>NC_000018.10:10000-1260000 GCF_000001405.40 Homo sapiens | reverse complement strand
GTTAAATAGGAATGGTGAGAGTGGGCACACTTGTCTTGTTCCAGTTCTCAAGGGGAATGGTTTCAGCTTTTGCCCATTCAGTATGATGTTGGCTGTGGGTTTGTCATAGATGGCTCTTAATATTCTAAGGTCTGCTCCTTCTATGCCTAGTCTGCTGAGAGTCATCATAAAGAGATGTTGGATTTTATAGAAGGCTTTGTCTGTGTCTGTTGAGATGATCCTGTGATTTTTGTTTTTGATTCTGTTTATGTGGTGAAACCCGTTTATTGATTTTCATGTGTTAAATCAACCTTGCATTTTAGAAGTAAACTCTACTTGATCTTGGTGAATTAACTTTTTGATGTGCTGCTGGATTCAGCTTGCTAGTATTTTGTTGAGGATTTTTGCATCTACATTCATCAGAGATAATTAGCCTGAAGTTTTCTTTCTTTATCATGTCTCTGCCAAATTTTGGTATTAAGCTGATGTTGGCTTCACAGAATGAGTTCGGGAGGAGTACATCCTCCTCGATTTTTGTAATAGTTTCAGTAGGATTGGTATCAGTTCTTTGTAAATCTGGTAGAATTCAGCTGTGAATTTATCTAATCCAAGGCTCCTTTTGGTTGGTAGGTTTTTTATTACTGGTTCAATTTCCAAATTTGTTTTTGGTCTGTTCAAGGTTTCAATTTCTTCCTGGTTCAAACTTGAGAGGTTGTGTATGCATCCAAGAATTTATCCTTTCCTCTAGATTTTCTAGTTTCTGTTCATAGAGGTGTTCATAACAGTCTCTGAGGATCTTTTGTATTTCTGTGGGATTGGTTGTAATGTCATCTTTACCATTTCTGATTGTGCTTGTTTGGATCATCTCTTTTCTTTTTTTCTTTGTTAACTTGTCTATCAACATTGTTTATTCTTTTGAAGAAAAAACTCTCGGTTTTATTGATCTTTTGTATGGATTTGGGGGCCTCAATTTCATTCAGTTCTTCTCTAATTTTGGTTATTTATTTTCTTCTACTAGCTTTGCAGTTGCATTGTTCTTTTTTTTCTAGTACCTCTAGTTGCATTGTTAGGCCATTAATTTAAGAGCTTTCTGACTTTTCGATGTGGGCATCTGTGAACACAGACTCAATATCCTCCTTCTATCTATTTGAAATTATATATTATATATATATATCATTGTTAACTATAGTCATCCTACAGTGTTATAAAACACTAGAACTGGCTGGGCATAGTGGCTCATGCCTGTAGTCCCAGCACTTTGGGAGGCCAAGGTGGGTGGATCACTTGAGGTCAGGAATTCGAGACCAGACTGGCCAACATGATGAAACCCCATCTCTAATAAAATTACAAAAATTAGCTGAGCTAGTGGCATACATACACCTATATTCCCAGCTACTCAGGAAGCTGAGGCAGGAGAACTGCCTGAACCTTGGAGACGGAGGTTGCAGTGAGCCAAGATAGCACCACTGCACTCCAGCCTAAGCAACAGAGCAAGACTCTGTCTCAAAAACAAACAAAAAAAACACTAGAACTCATTCCTATCTAGCTATAATTTAGTGTCCCTCAGCAAATCTTTCCATGTCCCCCCTTCTCTATACCTTTCCCAGTATCAAGTATCCTATGTTCTACTTGTTATTTCTATAAGATTTACTCTTTTTTTTAGCTTCCACATATGAGTGAAAACATGCGGTGTTTAAGTTTCTGCTCCTGGCTTATTTCACTTAATATAATCCCTCCAGTTCCATCCACATTACAGCAAATGACAAGATCTTATTCTTTTTTATGTCTGAACAGTATTCCACTTTGTGCGTGTATGTATGTATGTGTGTATACACATATATATATATGTACATACATATATATGTCACCTTTTTAATCCATTCATCTACTGTTGGACACCTAAGTTGATTCCATATCTTGGCTATTATGAATAATGCTGCAATAAACATGGGGGTGCAGATATCTCCATGATATACTGATGTCCTTTCCTTTGGATAATTCCCAGAAGTGGGATTTTTGGGCCATCAAAACTACTTGTAGTTTTTTGAGAAACCTTCATACTGTTTTCCATAGTGGTTGTACTAGTTTACATTCCCACCAACAGTGTATAAGAGTTTGGGGGATATGTTTTAATATTATTTACAAGGCAAGTCTACGGGTGACTTTTAACTTTTGAAGGATAATTTCACTAAATACAGAATTCTGACTTAGTAGTTTTCTCTTTTAACATTTCCAATATTTTACTCCAATTACTTCTTGCTTGTATAGTAACTGAAGAGAAATCTGATCTAATTTTTACCCTAGCTCTCCTATAGGTAAGGTTTCCCCTCAACCTCCTGGCTTCTTTCAATGTATTTCCTTTGTCTGCTAGGTATTTTATTCTTTTTTCTTCTGTTGAATATGATATGCCTAGATGTAGATGTTTTTGGCATTTATTCTTCTTAGTGTTCACTGAGCTTCCTGGATCTGTGATTTGGTTTCTATCATTTGTTTTGTGAAATTCTCATTCATTATTGCTTCAAATATTTCTTTCATTTCTTCTTCTCTATCTTTTCTTTCTGGTATTCCCAGTGTGTATATGTTGCAGCTTTTGTAATGGTCCCATAGTTATTGGATATTCTGTTCCATTTTTCCATTCTTTTTTCTCTTCACATTTCCATTTTAGAAGTTTTTATTGACATATCTTTAAGCTAATTATTTTTCTCTTTGGCGATGTTCAGTCTATTGAGGAAGCCATTACAGGCAATCTTTAATTCTGTTAGAGTGGTTTTTATTTATTTTTTATTTATTTTTATTTTTATTTTTTTGAGATGAAATCTTACTCTGTCGCCAGGCTGGAGTGCAGTGGCACGATCTCAGCTCACTGCAACCTCCTCCTCCCAGGTTCAAGTGATTCTCCTGCCTCAGGCTCCTGAGTAGCTGGAACTACAGGCGTGTGCCACCATGCCCAGCTAATTTTTGTATTTTTAGTAGAGACGGGGTTTCACCACGTTGGCCAGGATGGTCTCGATCTCTTGACCTCATGATCCGCCAGCCTCAGCCTCCCAAAGTGCTGGGATTACAGGCGTGAGCCACCACACCCAGTTGAGTGTTTTTGATTTCTTACATGTGATTTTGATTTTATCTTACCCACGTTCTTGAATGTCGCCCACTTTTGCCATAAGAACCCTTAGCATATTAATTATAGTTGTTTTAAGTTTCCTGTCTGATAATTTCAATATATCTTCCATTTATGTGTCTGGTTCTGGTACTTCTTCTATCTCTGAAAACTGTGGTCTTTGTCTTTTATTATGCCTTGTAATATTTTGTTGAAAGCTGGGCATAAGGTACTGGGCAAAAGTAACTAGTAAATAGGTTTCTTCGTGTAAAGTTTTATTTTTATCTGGCTTTTAGGGGTTAGGTTGTGTTTACTATTAGCTGCAGCTTTAGGTATCAGAAGCTAAAGTTTCCTCTGGTGTTTATGATGTTGTCTCCCTTGATGTCTTTGAGGTTCCCTACTGACTTCTTAAATCAGGTCTAATATGCAGTTTTTTAGTTATATTATCCTGTTATTACACAGGAGCCCTATTGACGTGGGGATAGGATGGAAAGTATTCTGTGTTTCTATACTTAGGTCTCTGGCCTTTAGGGAATCTCTGCCCTTGGGCTATAACCTTCATAAGTGCTTCTCAGTTCCCACCCCTCCTTCAGTGGGATGGGAAGTGGAGAGAGGCTAGAGCTGGGCAAACTCCTTCCCCCAAGTGAAAGGCTAGAGCCAGCTACAGCTGGATATTTTCCTTCCCCCAGGTTGGATAGCCTCTTGGAAAATTAAAGTCAATTAGGCTCTAGTGAAATTGTTTCCTTTGAGAACAGGTCTTATTAAGAAGAATAGAATTCTCTGGTCATATTTCAAGATGGCTGCTTTCCCCTTTCCTCTTCCAAAATCAAGTTGAGGTTATTCCCCAATTTTCACTTTGAGATCCTGAGAGAACTCCTGGAGGTAAAACTCATAAAAGGATGGGGCCTCCAAGTACTGAGCCCACGGGAGTTTTTAACTCTCAGATTTGTACACACAAACCCTCTAGCAGTTTTCCAATTGTAATTGAGATTTTCTGACTCCAGTACCGGTTCCAGTGGTGGTTTCTTCTCTTGTGTTTCTGTTGAAGTTGTGATTTTCTCCATCTGCCTGTCTCTCTAATTCTTGAGGCAGTGGTTTGCCCTATGCTGTCAATTCTCTAATGGATGTAAAAAGAAATGGTTGACTTTCAGTTTGTTATGCTTTTTTATTGTTGTGTGAATAGGAGTGATGCCTTCCAAGCTTCTTGCATGCCAGACCAGAAACTGGAAATGGAGTTCCTCTATTTAAAAAAATACATAATTATTAGTTATTCTGAAGTTCTTGCTTGGCTTATCAATGAGTCGACTTCTATTGTCTATTTTTATTTTCATGGTTGGAGATATATATGTATATATATATGTATCTGGATATTGTTGGATATATATATCTGGACTATATATATATATATATATATATTGTTGGATATATATATATCACAGACATTGTGAGTTACAAATATTTCAGATGACCTCGATATTCATCAGAGAGTTATCTCACTTTCCTTCGCTAGGCATTTAGCATTAGGGATTGATCACTTCAAGCCCGTCAGGGACTGAACTGTACTGAAGAGGGGTTACAGTTTTAGTAAGGTTCAGTTTACAACTATTTCTTCATGGGACCTTCCAGGCTCTTGATTAAGTGCTATTAAAATGTCTATGTCTATATTCTGGAATGTCTTGACATGACTAAGCTCTGCCCTGATTTTCCTAGGTCAGAGCTCCGGACTCCAGCCCCATGCAACTTCAAAATATGACAAATGTCTTGAAGGGGAGATTGGCATGCAGATGAGGAAGGCCCTCTCGCCAACACATTTGTATTTCCTCTGTACTGTGAGACTGTGGGAGATTTACTGCGACATTTAGAAGCTTTCTTCCAAACTCCTGGGCCTCCGACACTGGTTCTAAACTCAGCAAATGTTCTTTGGGAAAAACAGACAGTGCATGTGAGGCCCCTCGAGTTTGGAATTTATGTCTCCAGCTTCACATGGTCTCTCAAGTGCTTATGCTTTTCTTCTCTCTGCCACCCACATTCCCACATCCCGCCCACCCCCCAACTTTCCTCCCTTCACCTTCCCATGGAGACTTTTTGCCTGGGCTAAATCTGATCCTCAGCCCACTCTCAGAATCGATAAATGCCCCTAGGTGATTGTAAGCTCACCTAAGATATACTTTTTCTCCTCTAGAATTTTAGTTTATTAGATTTTTCTAGTTGTCTTTGCAAAAGCGTTAACAGGCTCTGACTTCTGACATTCAACTAGATGTGGAATATCCAACCCCTAGCATTTCATGGAATGTACTGACCAAGATAAAATGTGTTCTTATTAAACAATGCCATTTCTTGACCACTTCTGTTTTTAGGAATTGTGGTATCTGAGTCATGGTGATTAGAAGTACTAATGAAATAAATGGGAAAATTAAACTTCTACTAACATTTCATATAGTAGGGAGATGTCTGTGAAGAATTATAACTGGTACAGATTTTGTGTTTATAAACAAGGAGACAGAAAATGCAGAAAATAAAAAATATTTTATTTAGTTTTAAAGTGGTCAGAGTACTTTGTTTCTAATCTCATAACATTAACTAGCAACAGATTGAACTTTTAAGCAAATTCCTCTGACCTAGTAGCTACTAGGATTACCTACTGCATGTAGAAACCATTCTTAACTTGAGGGCCACATAAAAAGAGGCCATTGTCAGTAATTTGCCAACCCTTGATCCAGACCATGTATTGCTCTACCTCTAAACCATAGTTGCTTCATTTGCTTAAGTCTTTTCACATAATAAAACCCTTATTATAAGGAGGTGGTGCTGTTACCAGGACAACCAGGAACTGGGCCTCTACTATTGTCAGCTGAATTCTCTGCTCCGTTGTCAATTCTCAACTCCATTTCTGGCTTACCTCAAACAGAGTCACAAGAAAGTAAATATTTTGCAATCTTCTTGTCCTTAGCTGTTCGTTCCTCCAGAATGACATAGAGATTTGTAAATATTCACTGGAATTCAATGGCTTCATGCATTCTATTTCCACAAACAAATCCTGATACATTTCTCTCCTTCAATATAAAGTACTCATTTTCTGATCCGTATTAGCCAGCATCTTGCACTCCAAATAACCAGTAACAAAAAGATCCATGGGTTGAGGTGAGATTATTGCTTTAGATAGAGAAGTATCTGACCATTGTTAATTACTTTGAAAACAGATATGTCAAAAAAGATAAAACATACATTTATTGTCCCTGACAATTTACAAACCAAAATATACCATAATGCAACAAACTATCTGGGTTGTGGCTTATCTCCTCAGTTGAAACACTATTGCCAATGCTAAACAATGGAACACAGTATTTGGCTATTGGCTAAAGAAAATGATGTTCATACAGCTTAGACAGAAATTAGTCATTGAGTCACTAGAGACTATAAGCAGCATATGAATGCCTGAAACTTACAGAAGAATCAATACAGGCTATTAAACTCTCATTTCTTAGAATACCGTATACTTGCGTGTTTAAACTGACATCTTAAAAAGTTTTGTAAAGAGCAATTCAAACTCACAGCATGATAAATAATCTTTAGGTTTAATGAGACCTCAAGAACTAGACCAGCTTGAAGCATGCCATCTTACCTAGTTACTTAAGAAGCTAGTTTTTCCTTTTGTAACATGATCTCAGAAAAAAGAAAATATAATCATTGTTCTAAGGCAATCCACAAACTCTGTTACTCCCATTACATTTTCAAAACTGCAGACACTCAGGGGGTGTCCGATTCATGCCTGGGGCCATGTGAAACACCCACCTCTGTGAGTAGCTTTATTAACTCTATAAACACTTCAAGACATTCCTAGCAGTGTGGGGTAGCACACATATCTATTGTCTATCTTAGGTTTGGAATCATTTTTCCTCTTAAAAATAACACACTGAACCAATTAGCTTTTCTAAATCAAATTAACCTAATAGCATTCAAAAACTGACAAACATAATCTGCTTGTTCTAAGACAAAAGTGGATTAGTGAACAGAATCATATCTCTAGTCAGGTCCAAATCAAGTTATAAATTCTAACCAAACAGTGATTGCTGGAATAAGTCATATTATTAGTATGCATAGTCATACTGATCTCAAATGTAAGCAACATAGGCCTTTTCAGCAGGGAGATATAAAAGTTTAGAGTTGAAGAATGTCTTTTCATGTTGTGGTAGAGAGCTTGT
This sequence comes from Homo sapiens, assembly GCF_000001405.40. Classification (NCBI taxonomy): domain Eukaryota; kingdom Metazoa; phylum Chordata; class Mammalia; order Primates; family Hominidae; genus Homo; species Homo sapiens. The sequence continues at coordinate 1,252,722 of NC_000018.10, read as the reverse complement.
TTCCTTTGACGTACATGGCTCCCTCAAGCCTTAGGCTATTTAGTTACATCCCTTGTAGTCACAGGAAGGAATAGCACTCCTCATTTTTCTATACCATCTTTTAGGCATGTTATTGTTTAATACTTTTTTTTTTGTTGCCTGCCTGCTGCTTGTTAGTATATGCACCAAAGCAAATGAGGTAAGACTTCAATGCATCAAATGCTTTTCCTTAAAACAACATTTTTATTGAAATATGAAACAAATATTTTTATTACCTTCTTTATAGAAGTATTTTTTAAAGAATAGTGATTGATAATATTGACAGAAAGGAGGACCTATGAATTATCTATAAATTATCTTTATATTTGAACTATTCACAAATGCAGAAAATTTAAAAATCAAATACATTTTTCACTTGCTAATATATCTTTTCATGAGACATTATCCTATAAAATCCACAGAGGGATGTGTCCATTTCTATTCTCTGCCAACCCTTTTGGTACCACCCATTGGACATAACATTTAGAATTAAATTAAGGTTATCACTATTGTTAAGCAAATACTATTAGAGGTTAGACTGGCAGGTCTTCAGAAATAGCTCACACTGGAGCCATGCATCTCAGTACTCACACTCCTGTGTAGCCTCCTTTCCTTGAATCTGAGAATCTGAGATGGTCCTGTAACTTGTTTTTAACCAGAAGAACATGGTAGAAGTGATACTGCCTGACTTCTGAGATAAAATTGTAAGATTCCTTGCAGATTTTCACCTAGGTCCCTTGGAATGAGTACCCTGGAAAAAGCCAGCAGACACCACGCTGTGAGCAAATGCCCAACCTAGCCAAGCAGTGGAGCAACATGGGGAAAACGGAGATACGTGGACATTCTCCAGCTATTTCAGTCAACCCAGCCAAGGAGAAGACATGTGAGTGTAGATGCTATTGTATATGTCTAGGCCAGTAAAGCCTTTAGCAAGCTGGAGCCCCAGCAGCTATTTGAATTCAATGAGAGACCCCAAGTGAGAGCCACCATATTGACCCAATCAACACACCGAAGTGTGAGAGAGAATAATTAAGTGCTAGCCTAAGCCACTGAATTTTGAGGGTGGTTTGTTACACAGCAATCAACCAAAGCAAAGATATTGGTTACTTGTTTGGGGGTTTCATTTTTAATTATAACATTCCATGGCTTCTAAACAAATTTTGCACTTATAATTTTATCAATTTACTGATAATCCTGCTGTCCTTGTTTTGTATCTACAATGCTTAGATTAGAAAATCTAATGGAGAAGTGTGTGTGTTTGTGTGTGTGTGTGTGTGTGTGTGTGTGTGTATTTCACTCTTTTATATAATGGATTTTGAGGAACAACTAGATTGGCTTTCTAAGAGAGGGGGAAATGCTTCTGAATATTTTAAGTAAAATTTTGATCTACAACAACTCTGCTGTAAATGTTTAATATAATATTATTTTGAGACTTTGCATGAGCTAAAAACATCTAAAGCTAATAAAGCCAGGCTTTTAAAGAGAAAAAGAGTAATTATAGGTTGCCTGTAAGAAACTCACTTACTTTACTTTTTTATTTATCTATTTTTTAACTTATCATTTTAGATACTCTCTGAATTTTAATTGTAGTGTTTAGATGTTGATCTGTCTTTACATGTCAAACATTTAAATTAACTCTTTTGCCTGAAAGAAGAAATACCAAGATACATAAATTGAATAAAAGGAGTGGTCTTGAGCACCATAAAAATACAATGTTTGGGCCGGGCATGGTGGCTCATGCCTGTAATCCCAGCACTTTGGGAGGCCGCAGCTGGTGGATCACGAGGCCAGGAGATTGAGACCATCATGACTAACACAATGAAACCCCATCTCTACTAAAAATACAAAAGCAAATTAGCCAGGCGTGGTGGCATGCACCTGTAGTCTCAGCTACTCGGGAGGCTGAGGCAGGAGAATTGCTTGAACCCAGCAGGTGAAGGTTGCAGTGAGCTGAGATCACACCACTGCACTCCAGCCTGGGTGACAGAGAGAGACTCCGTCTCAAAGAAAAACAAAACGATGTTTCAAAATCTACACAGAAAAGAAAAAGAGGGGAGAAGAAAACTAAAAAGAGACTCTAAGAAAAATATTGAAGAAGAAGATGGTTGGTGAAGGGGATATTGCTCTAGTACTAGTATTTCTTTAGGCAGCTGTTTAATGTTGCCTCTGAATAAGTACATATTTTAAGGCAGTTAACAATCTGGTTTATGAAAAAATGGGAAATCACTGTGTGTTAGTGAGCCAGACAGATGTGTATAGTGTGGATAGGGTTCTCTCTTTAAAATGCACAGAACTGGAATTTAGCGTTAACCTCATAAGCACTTGATGTTCATGTGGGTGCTCACCAGGCAATATGCTCCAGCTATTGAACAGAATGCATTCACTTGCTGTATACTGAGTGGTCCCCTAGTAAGCTGGAAAAAGTTGTACTTATGTCATGTTTAATTTATATAGTGTAGACATCATGAATAATTAAATTTAATAACTACTCAATGTCAGTGTTTATATATGGCTAGTAGCCAATATTTTTTGGTTCTTCAAGAAGAAAGGTACATGTCTTAGGAAAACTTGATACAGGAAAATATCAGTATTCTCACTTCAGAGTCATTCCTTTGGGGAAAAAAAAAGGCTACAAATTTCCTAACTACGTGTTAAGCATTGGTGCAGGCATTGATAAAGTTTGGATGTTTGTCCCCCACAAATGTCATATTGAAATGTAATCCCCAATGAAGACGGGGCCTGGTAGGAGGTGTTGGCATCCTGGGGTCAGATCTCTCATGAATGGCTTGGTGTTGTCCTTGGGATAGTGAGTAAGTTCTTGCGAGATCTAGTTGTTTAAGAGTCTGGCACCTCCTCCCTCTCTCTCTTGCTCCCTCGCTCTCACCATGTGACATGCTTGCTCTCCCTTCACCTTCTGCTATGATTGGAAGCTTACTGAGGCCCTCACTATGAGCAGATGCTGGAACAATGCTTATACAGCCTGCAGAACTGTGAGCCAATTAAACTTCTTTTCACATTACCCAGCCTCGGGTATTTCTTTATAGCAATGCAAGAGTTGGCTAACATGGGCATAGAGGGCATATAGCAGCTACATTTGCCTGAGGTGTATAGCAAAGGTGGTGTCAGGAAAGGTTAGCATTGAGCTTTGTTCTTTAAAGTGAGTAAGTTACCAGGATGGTAAAGGAGTATCGATGCAAAGTAAGGAGTGGAGAAATACATTTTAAGTGGAGGGAATTATTTAAAACAGGGCCCGAATGTCTTCCTCGGGTGTTGCCATATATTGTATCTGAACATCTTATATAGTATTTATTATTTGATGATGTAAAATCAGTTTCTTATTGTTTCCTTCTTTCTCTAGATTGCAAGCTTAGGGGGCAGCAATAATACGTCACTTATGTTTGAGTCCTAATTCCTCATACAGTCTTTGGCATAAATAATAGGCACTCAGTAATTACTATAAATAAAGAAAGAAAATAGCTGTAGTAAAAATGGATAACATTTGTTGTAACAGTTTCATTTAGATATTTATGAGAGTGTTAGAGCTCCCTGTTATATTGTAAGATTTTTTAGGGAAGGGATCTTGCATAAGTTTTATCCTTTAAATGGTGCCTGACTCATAGTTAGAACCCTATGGAAAGCAAATTATAGTCCTTTACATTTCTTTAATCAGCCAGGGCCTAATTTAACCCTATACGTTTATATAAAGGGCAGAAATTATTACAATAAATAATCTTGAAACAGCAGAATTCTGCATTACAAATATGAGGCTGCCATATTTCTGTGTTTCTGGTTGCCTAGAAACAAAAATGTGAAGTTGTATGAAACTATAAGAGTTTGTACTCATAAGATATTCTATGCAAAGTTCAGCCTGCCTCTCTGGGTTTGGAAAGCATCAATTCTGAGGAGCTTCAGACAATATTGCGGTCTTCATAGCTGAAAGTTTGCAAAGTTGGGCTTGTTTCATGGTATTACCGGCATATCCAATTAGCTAAAGAAAATAATTCTTCATTTAGAGTATCCAGAACAGACCAATAACAATATTGTTCAATAACAACTGCTCTAAATTTACTGATATTTAACAAATATTTTCAGACTTTACGTAATGACTGCTATGGTTTGGATATTTGTTCCTTGCAAACCTCATGTTGAAATTTGGTCCTCAGTGTTGGAGGTGGGGCCCAATGGGAGGTATTTGGGTTATGGAGATGGATCCCTCAAGAATAAATAAATGCGGTCCCTTGGGGTGAATGAGTTCTCACTCTATTAGTTCCCACCAGAGCTGGTTGTGAAAAAGAACCTGGCACCTCCCTCTTTCTGTCTTGCTTCCTCTCATAACGTGGTATCTGCACACACTGGCTTTTACCTTCTGCCATGAGTAGAAGCAGCCTAAGGCCCTCACCAGAAGGACATGCTGGTGCCATGCTTCTCGTACGGCCTGCGGAACCAGGAGCTAAATAAACTATTTGTATTTATAAATTACCCAGCCTCAGGTATTCCTTTATAGCAACACAAAATAGACTCAGACAATAACATCAAACATTGGAGAGTAGGGGAAAGGGAAAAATAGGGGAAATTTGATATTTGGCATTGTCAAGGTAATAGAATTATAATTTGGACCTCTTGACAAGTAACTAGCGGGTAAGTAGAGGCAGTGGCAATGCTGGGTAGTGGACTGTTTAATTTCCAGTTGTAAGTGCCCATATTTTCCCTGCTATAATTTTCACTGGATAGACAGATATGCAATTTGACATTGCAAAAGTAAAGGGCTAGGAGTCAGCAGTACTAAGCTAGATCTGCCCTTTTCCTGGCCTCAGGAATTTATACACGTAAGTAAAGATAATTTTATCCCCTTGGAAAGAAAGCCATTCTGCTGATTTGATCTTGTTTTCTGTAACTGCTGCAGCAGGAGAGGGGGTATCAGGAAGAGCAAAGAAGATTGAAATTAGCTTTTGAAATGAAAGCAGGAAAACTGGAGGCTCTGTTCTGGGGAAATCAATGAACATTTAACTACTCTCTTGGACACAGCTGGGAGCAACTCCCCAGCAAGAGTTTATATGTCCTCCAAGAGCAATTTCTCATGTGTCAACTCATTTTAACATTCACAACAGTGCTTGAGGTAGTCAGGCCAGGTGGTATATCAAGTGAACAAGTCGAGGCTCAGAGAGATTAAGTGACAGTGTTAACACAGTCACCCAAAAGAGCTGGCTTCCAAACCAGGTCTCTTGACATCAATGCTAGTGCTATTTCTGTTGCAACATCCTCCTTTATTTGCAGTGGTGGCGGTCTTAATTATAATTCTGTGGACAAGTCTAGGGCTTATCAAATACTGCCTGGTGTGCCTTTTTGTGCATATTCCTACCATATCATAAGAACCTGGAGAATACTTGTTAGGGTCACCCCCACCAGACCATTCCCTTCCCCTCCCACAGGCCTTACAATACAGTCTCTTACGCTCTCCACACAGCTACCCCAGAGCAAAAGACAAACCCCCCCTTCACAGACCCCTCCATTAACTGTTTGTCCAGACAGTTACAGGATGCAGTAAACGTGTCTGTTCACCTCACATAACAAAGCTGACAAAAAACATCTCCAGGATGCTGTCAAGACACCTGCACCCCGAGCTCAGCTCCCCGACCCCAGCTCAGCCCTCCTTCACACCCAGCTCAGCTCCCCGACCCCGACTCAGCCCTCCTGCACACCCAACTCAGCTCCCCAACCCTGACCCAGTTCGTCACCCTATAAAGTTCTGCTGTCGCCTGTAAGCGGGGCTGCCTCCTCTCTTTTTGTCAGGAGGTAGCCTGGCAGGACTGAAAATAAATCAGCGTGCCTGAAACTTGGGTCTATTGGCCTCATTCCTTTCTCAGCTGTCCTTCCAATTATCCCTGAAAATACTGTTTTGTAGTACCCAGAATTTAATAAGTGTTCAACAGAGATGTATTAATTGCTTGATTAGGTGCTAACAGTATTCAGTCATGGAGTTTATAAAATAGTAAACAGGATTGTTGTAGAACCATACATTATGACATTATTGGTGAGCAAGGGGTGGTTGTTAATACTTTTTTGATTAAAGTTTCCTTGAATGATTGTTTTAATTATTTCATAAATCTATGTTAAGATGATCTACCCTTCACTTCTCTGGACTGTGTTTTATAAAGTTTAGATAATAAAGCTTGGTACTTTTCTATTGTCTTCAGAAATTCTGTTTTTGAGCTAATATAGATAAATGGACCTCAGGTTCCAGCTCTCTATTATCAACTGCACACCAGGGGAATAAATGATAGCTTTCCTGTAAGAAAGCTATCATTTATTTAGATTTCTGGTGCCAGAAACTACACTGAGTCCTTTGAAAATTTAAACTAATTTAATTCTTACAACAGTACTGTATTATAGATACTACTCTCTACCTCTCAGATCAGGATGCTAATGTTCAGAGAATTGAAGATGCCCTAAGTCACATAGCTAGTTCTGGTATTTGTGTTTGATTGAGTCTTTTTTATTCCATAATCGTGTGTGTGTGTGTGTGTGTGTGTGTGTGTGTGTGTTTGAGTATAGAGAAATCCAAAGGATTGTGTATTGACCATCGAGATTCAGTAAGTATTAACATCTGGTCCCTTTCTTCTTCAGAGCTTTTATTTATTTTTTAACATTAAAAAAATAAAAATCTTTTGTTGGTAGTATCCAGCAGTAGTACATTTCTATATCCAACAATATCCAACATTAGTATATTATTAAAGCATTAATATATTGCTAAGTAATATACTATAGTTTTTTATTTATACACTTAAGACCACATATATTGACTTTTTACTATGATAGACTAGAATTTAATTCAGTTATATCCTTTCGCTACCAATATCATTGTATCATCTTTCGTTTGCATAAATATTACTCTAACTCACTTTAAATTTTATATCAAGCCCCATTAAATAATGCACTTCAACCTCTATTTGTTCCTTTAAGTAAAGCCATAATTCTTTAAGATAATGGTATTAGAATCTTTACCCTTCCTTCTATTTAATGTCTCCCGATACCAACAACCTCCCTACTTCTGTTGTTTTTACTCTTACCTTATGAAAATTTATAATATTTTCATTTATCGTGACCATAATTAAGGCTTTCATGCTCTGTATATAGGTTGACTCTAAAAGCTGAAATGGCAAAAACCTTGTTTAAGTTATCATGATGATCTAACTACTACAGGGCTATTTAATGAGATATTATCATTTCCATCTATATTTCTATTATAGATACTAAATACTATTTTGGAGATATCCAAAGTAAAGTACTCTTAGCATCATGTTCAAATGATGAATCTCTTTTCATACCCAGCCTATGCTTAAAAGCATGATACAACTTTTATTTAGTTTGTATTTTGACAGTGTATTTCTTGAGTTTTATTTGGCTTTCTCTAATTTCTGCTTCTATTTTTCACTATTACTGGTAATAGAAACTTAATCACAATATTTTTCCAATTCATATTTATTCTCTCAATTGCCTGTAGCCCATGCTGTTCTATTTGACTCTTGTTGACTTTTGTTTCCTGAAATTTGAGTAGGTCTTTATTTTTCTTCTTGCATTTTTTAAAATTTTTATCCAGTTCTTGATATTTCTAGTCTCTCTCACACAGTTACTATTATTGTATGGTGTCCTCTTTATTTCCCAGAGGTTTTTCTTGCAGAGTTTTGCATCTTCCTGCTCCAATATTGACTGGTTGCTTCCTAGATCTGCTATGCAGTTGCAGTCCTGGCACTTCCATTCACTCTTCTCCTGGGCGTTCAGCCACTGTTTCCTGAATCTCATGACTTCCTCTTTCTTATATTTTGTCTTATTTTTTAGAATACACCCTCAAGAAGCTTCCTAGGAAAGTGAGTGTGGGAGGTAAATTTTCTAAATCCTTGTATGCTGAAAATGTATGCAAGTTGTCTCTCTCCCAGTAGATTGGTTGTTTCACTAAGTATTTTTTCTAGGTTAAAAATCATTTCCCTCAGAGCATTGTTTTCAAGCATTGCATGCTGTTTATGGGAAGTCTGACACCAATTTAATTCTGCGTCTTTTTAAAAACATTTTATAAAGTATGTTTCTCTCTGGAAATTTTAAGAATACTTAATGTGAGAAAATTTCGCAATGATATGTCTAAGTACACTTAATTTGTCAGTATTTGGTCAGCCTCTAAATTGGAAGACTCATTGCTTTAATTCTGGAAGGTTTTCTTCACTTTCCTAATTTCCTTCCTGCCATTTATTTTTTAAAAATCTATTAATTTGATGTTAGAACTCCTGTTTTATACATTTTATTTTCTTCCTTCTCATATTTCTGTCTTTGTCTTTATAATAGGTTCTGGAAGTTTTATTAATTTTTATATTTCAATTCTGGATTTCTTTTTTGTAATTGTAAATTCTGTCTTCTGTTCCTTATTCGTGACATCCTTTTCTTGATGTATAAAACATCTTCAAAATCAAAGTGGATCTAGTTACAATTGTAATGTAACTTTTTTTTTTTTTATCTTTCCTGATAAATGTTTTTTTCTTGGATCAGTTTCTCTATCTCACATTTTTCTCTTGCAGGCTTTCCTCAAAAGGCAGTAATGTGTTGTTGCCTGTTTAAACTTAAATGTGAAGAAATAAGATAGATGGCTAACTCTGTCCTCTGGGCCAACAGCAGGATTTGTTTCAGCTTGAAAGGTCAGGAAGTTGTTATGCTACAGTTCCTCAACATGCCAAAATGCAAGATTTTCTTCCAGATACCAGCATCCAAATAAATTTGCCTGGTTCCCTCTATACAGTTTATTCAGTTTTAGTTTTAAAAAGAACTGTGCTTTTTTGGAAACTGGATGTGAATGTCTGGCTGGAGATCATCCTGAATGTAGAAGCAAGAGGGGCTTGAGGACCCTAAGTGAACAATGTAGAAATCTTCAGTAAATATTCATCTTGTTAGTCCTGTGTATTACTCCTTTCCATCCATCACCACCGCTTCCCTCTCAGATTCTTGAGTTTCTCTTATGTTCCTCTTGGCACCCATGCCCTTTCACAATTCAGCCTCCTCTGCATATATTTATGTCACTTTATCATCTACCAGAAATCTGTTGACATTTCTTGCCCATGCTATCCCTCCTATTTTAATTGCTATTGTTGAAAAACTAAAATTTCTTATGTTTAATGGAGATTTACGAGAAAAAGATATAGACACATATATTTTATCTACTGTGTTAATTTCCTATGCCTGGAAAATATTTGTAGTTTAGAACAACAAAAAAAAAATTCTTTCACAGATCCAGAGGACAGAAATTTAAAATAAGGATCATTGAGCTGAAATGAAAGTGACAACAGGTTCATGCTCCCTCAAGAGGACTGAGGTGAGAATTTATGTCCTGACCTTTTCCAGTGTTTAGAACAGCATTTCTTGTATTCTTTAGCCCATGGCCCCTTCCTCCACCTTCAAAGACAGTTGCAAAACATCTTTTCTTTTGACTCTACTTCCCTCTGCTTCTTTCACTCATTTCTTTCTATTCTGTGTCAAGTCTCTCTCTGCCTCTCCTTATAAGGAGTCCTGTGATTGCATTAGGGCCCACCTGGATAATCCAGGATAATCTTCTCATCGTAAGATCTTGAATTTAATTACACCTGCTTAGTATTTTTATTTGCCATGTAATGTACCATTTACAAATCCTGGTGATTAAAAGATATATTTTGTAGGACCATTATTCAGCCTACCATATTGACCATTTTGAATGCCATGTAAATTGCCTTTTTAAAGTTCTTAAGAGAGAAAATAAATGTAGTAAGGGATTTTTCCAGTATACATTTACTGAGGAATATTTAGACTTTTAAAGCTGGGCTTGTCTTTTTAATGTCAAAAATGATTTGATTTCCCATTGACCACTGGCAAAAGAATCCCTTCTGCTACCATTTGCCTCTATGAAATCTTCCTGGAGAAAATGAGGTAATAACTGATTTTCACTAAATAAAGCACTGATGATTTTCGATTATGAACAATTACTCCTATACACCTGTTGCCTGTCCTATTCATTTTGTTCTCTATTATATGTTATTATGCAATACCACCTACATAATTCAGGGTCTATAAGCTGAAATTGACCACACTTTCTCAATATCCCCATGCCACAATTTTTTTCATATGCTTTGAATGATGATCAGTTTTTTCTCTAATAAAAATAATAATAGCTATAATTAAAGAGCTCCTTTTAATTTCCACTTGACATTTACTATTTGATTTTTTAAATTATTTTAATATCTTTATTAAATTTATCATTCTGGTTACATTTTTTTATTTCATTAAATTGTTTCTCTGTTTTATTGAAGTTTGCTGAACTTCATTAAAACAGTTATTTTGAATTATTTGTCAGTCATCTTATACATATCCATTTCTTTAGGGTCAGTCACTAGCACCTTACTTTGTCCACTTGGTGATGTCTTATTTCCCTGATTGTTCTTGATTCTTGTTATTGTACACTGATGCCTGGACATTTGAAGAAGTGGGTACAGAACTGGGTTATTCCAGTTTTCACAGGCTGGCTTTGTCTTGGAAAGCCCTGCAGCAGGTATAGTCCTGGTATAGGCTGGTAGCCTGAGGCAGATATGGCTGTCGTAGTATTGCCAGAAGCCTGTGGCCTGCTATGACAAATGTGTGCTAAAGCAGATGATAAGCCTGAGGCAGCTGTGGCTAATATAATACTGAGATGCATATAGCCAGAGGCCACTTAGAGCTGTCCAGAGCCCAAAGCTGCTGACATTGGTCTGGTGTTGGTGCAGGCCATAGGTCAAGTTCACCATACAAGCTTGAAGCCTGGGGCTGTGTGATTCCACCTCATGCCAGGGTGGGTCTAGGGGCTCAGTCTGTGATACTGGCCTAGTATATGGGTCCTTGGGGAGTCTGCCCAGTGCTCGGTTTTACTCTGGTGGGCCCAATGTGGGTCCAAGACAAAGTCCTGTGCTCACTTCCCTTTCTTTCCCCCAAGCAGATGCTATCTCTCTCCACACTGTGCTGCCTGGGACTGGGGAAAAGGTAGTGTGGGTAATGTAAAATTGTCTTTTCTACCCTATTCAATGCATCTTTTTACATCATTGTGCCACAACCAGAAACTGTGATCTCTCACCTGGTTTTCTTAGCTCTAGTGAAGGTATTTTCATCTGTGGACAATTGTTTAAATTGGTATTTCTGTGTGTGTGGAGACAGTGCTGGAAAGTCTTACTCCACTATCTTGTCCCATTTACCTTTACATTTACTATCAAATATGACCCTTATAGACTCTGTGTGCTCATTATTTATTATTATCCCCAATTCACAGATTGGGAAACAGACTCTGGGATGAGAAGTGACTTCTTCAAAGCCATGAAGTTAATGAATGGAAGACCCGTATTTTAAACTAAGTCTAAATAGTACCAGAATTCAGTCTTCCAATTACACACCACTATTGGAACTGTTTGTGAGCTAAAAATGCTACAGATTTGAATCTTTTGCAAAATCTGCTTATTTATGGCTGCATTTAAATAATGTGACTCTAAATACACATGACAGCAGCAAAATTTAAAATGTGAAAGATAAAAAAAGCCAAAGAGATCGTGTAAGCTCTTGAAAAGACAGCTTCAATAACCTCTTGCACGTATTAGGTAATTTATAAAATGCCTGTGTTTGGAAAAATTCCTTCTTCCTTCTTTGTTTGTTGCAAGCAACTCTCTTCTGTCATAAAGACTCCCTTGCTTTGGCAAAATAACTCAGAGCAAAAATTTAAAAGTGTATTTAAGAACATGTTCATTCCGCTGTAGGAAGTAAAATTTTAGAAGTTCGACAGTTGGGCATCCAGATTTGAAGAAGAAAAAAATAGTAGGCATGCCAACATTTCATTTCGAAATAGAAAACACAATCCAAAATTAGGAAAAGGTGACAATTCAGAAAATTACTTATGAGCTGATACATAATTACAGGCTTTGAATTCCATTTTGAGTATGCAATATTTTACAGAGTTCTAAGTAGAGATCTGAAAAGATACAATGGTCCAAATAGTCCCCACCCTTCCTGCCAAAAAATATTCAGAACTGGCACAGATTTAGCAAATATTTCCAGAGAAAATATTTCTGATACAACTGAGAAATTAATGTGTTGGTGATTCGAATTAACAGGACTACCAAAATTTTCAATATACGTTAGTCTAAAACAAAAGAGAAAACAAGTTATTTATTTATATCCTAAAGTTTGACATTTTACATTTATGTTTTGCTTCTCCTAGAAATATCTGCCTGCTTTATTTTAGCCTGTCCAGATCCTTCTCATCTTCTAATTCAACTAATGCTGATCACATGGCTTATTTATGTCACGCATTACATTTCTAGTGCCTCATCTTTTATCTTCCAAAGAAACCTCTGACATAAGTACTATCACTGACCTTTTCAGATGAGGAGACCAAGAGTCAGAGAAATGAGGTGATTTCCCTAAAATCATACCACTGGGAAGTAGTGGAAACCAGATTTAAAACAATGTTTTCTGATTTATAGCCTAATTAAAGATTTGATTTCTTAGCTATCTCAGCATACAATGATCTTCATTACTATGTACAATATATTTGTGTTATATTCTATATGATTAAATCCTTTTTCAATTAAAGTTCTCTTCTCAAATAGAACATAAAATGTTTAAGACTAGAGGCCTTGTATCATGCTTTTACCATATGTTCCACACGCCCTGTACAATGACAGACATATAGTTGGAGCTCAGCAAATCAATAATCAGTCCTAGATACATTCAAATGGATCCTTAGGCAATGAGAAGACATTCATTTATTGGTGAGTGTGAAGTTGGTTCTTGGAATCTGCATTGACTTTTTCAGGCTAGTAGGAACAGCACCTGCTCACTGGTTATATTTAGAAATGACGAATAGAAGAAATGGTGAGAAAAAGGCATGGGCATGTTTGAGTTTTCTTATTTTCATTCAATTTTGTGGACTGTTGGGTTTTTTAAATAATAATTTTTAAGAGCTGAAATAGGATTTGATAAACTAAGACTAATAAATTATACTTAAGGCACTTGTTTTCTTCTTTCTTTTCATAATTTATTTCTGTCTCTACTGCCCTTATCCTCATCACACATTTTACTTCATGCATTCTACTAATTTACTTGACATTCTGCAAGTACAGTACATTTTATATGGCATATGTTATAATTTGACAAGATTTTTTGATAATATTAACTTCCTTAGGCACATTATAAGTCAATATGCAATGATATAGGACCAAATAGTTTCCTTGCCTTTATTTTTCTGAATCTAGCATTTAATAGAATAAATCTGTGGTGATGCTCCCAGCCTTTTATGTAGGTAAGCATATTTATGCCAGGACCAATACAATTTATTTTTAAAATATCAGGTAAGAAATTTTCAAATATAATCTTAAATTCATAGTGAACATTGGAAGTGTATGTACCAAAATAAGTTTGAAGTATTCTCAAATCTCACTGATTGTGAAGACCTCAAAAGAAAGAGCCGAATATTGTATTTAGTTACACAGAAATATAAAGGGTCTTTAATGTAAATATTTCGATTAAAGATGCCATGGACTGCTAATTTGTATCCCCCCCTTGATTTACATGTTGAGGTCCCAACTTCCAACGTGATTTTATTTGGAGGTGGGGCCTTTGGGAGGTAATTATGTTTAGATGAGCTCATGAGGATGGAGCCTTGTAGGACTAGTGTCCTTATAAGATGAGGAAGAGACACCAGAGCTCTCTCTCCCCCTGCCCCACAAGTGAAGACACAGTGAGAAGGTGGCCATATGCAAACTAAGAAGAGCCATATCATTAAGAACTGAATGTATTGGCACCTTGATACGGGACTTCCCAGCTCCCAAAACTGTGAGAAGCAAATGTCTGCTATTTAAGCCACCCAATATGTCATATTTTGTTATAGCAATCCAAGCTGACTAAGGAGGACTGAGTGTCAAACTGTTCTTGTGGACAAGTAGAAAACAGACTTCTAGACCTAGATAGATTTCTAAGAGCCAGAAGTAGGTATAAGCTAGATTGCAAGGTGAAATAGTTTGGATATTTGTCCCTGCCCAAATATCATGTTGAAATATAGTCCTCAATGTTGGAAGCAGGGCCTGGTGGGAGGTAATTGGATCATTGGGGCAGATTTCTCATGATTGGTTTAGCACCATCCTCTTCGTGCTGTAACTCGCAATAGTAAGTTTTCATGTGATCTGGTTGTTTAAAAGTATGAGGCTCCTCACCTCTCTTATTCCAGCTTTTGCCATGTGACATGCCTGTTCCCCTTTTGCCTTCCACCATGAGTAAAAGCTCCCTGAGGCCTCCTCAGAAGCTGAGCAGATGCCAACCCGATGCTTGTACAACCTGCAAAAGCATAAGCCAATTAAATCTCTTTTCTTTATAAATTACCCAGTCGCAGGCATTTCTTCATAGCAATGCAAGAATGGCAAAATACATAAGATTAAAGCCTGAAGCCAAGGAAACTCAAAGACTGCCTGAGTGGTAACTTCCAGAATGGTGCATGAAAAACTCTGTGAATCCTTTCCCTAATTAAACAACCATAACTGATAAAAATTATAGAAGAAAAATCACCCAAGCTCTTGAATACTTTGGAAATTGTCCTATAGAGCAGGGCTATGGAGATTTTTCCCAGGTGGAGGGGCATTCTGTAAGAGCAGGGAGTTCCACAGCTTATTTCAAGGGAACTGACTTTATTTGGTATAGTTCAATATTCTGGGCACTATTGAAAAAAATAGATGAGTACCAAGAGTACCCTGGATTTGTTTTAATCAGGCATGGTAAGATGGGAAGACACCAGAATTGGTTGTCATGAAATAATAAGTTTATTATATTTATAGATTCCTGGAAATGGGAGGCATGGTACACCAAACAAGGAGGCCACACAGGGAAACACTGGAGTTGTTCAGGACCTGAGGAAGCAGGGAAAAGTGTGACTAGAGCCTTTATTGTGTTTTCTATGGGGAAAAGAGTAAGGGATGGTAAACAGGCTTAAGATTGGTTAGTTTAAATAATTTCAGTGAGCTCTGGGATATAAAAAATGTCCCTAGACTTCTGATACTTGGCTCTGGGATGATTAGGACAGATGAATAGTAGAGTCAGTTTGAGAGCCTTCTAAGAGAGGTGGTTAGGGGTATGGGCTATGAATTGGCTGGTTTGCATTTGAAAAGTGTGCTCCCACATGAGTTGTTTACTATCTCTAGTAATTGATTAACCCTGGTTATGGGCATTCCCTACAGGATCAGAAAAGCCCCCAGATGAAAATGTCGGAATACAGAAAGACATGGTTAATGAGCTGTAAGCAATTAAGAAGAGGCTGGTAGTACCAGGAGAGCTAAATGATAGTTAGCCAGAAGATTAATAAAAAGAATCAGGGAAAGAGATAGTTGTTGGGTTGGAACAAACCTCACAGGCTGGCTTCAAAGATTAACCTGGCAAAGGGGCCCAAATTTAATTGGATCAGACTATGGAGCAACTTATGTCCAGGGAATTAATGGAAATAATAACATGATCAGCCACCAGTTAATGGAGGCTAACCACTCAGTGTGACGCTAACAGAAATATGTAGCTTACTAGAGATATCAGAGAAAGAGATAGTAAAAAATTGCCTTTTTAAAAGAACTTTCATCCTAAGATGTATATGTATATGCCCAAGATTCCCCTCCTGAACTGACATCAGGGAATGCACACTGGGGGGGAAATGAAATTCACTAAAGTACTCCAACTAAGTAACTAAACAAATAAACAAGCAAACAAAATAACAACAACCCATAGCCCCAAGAAAGAAAGAATAGGTATTCAGAGTTCAATATTATATAAAATGGCCAGTTTTCAACAAAAAATTATGAGATGTGCATAGAAGTAAAAACTGTAAATTGTAGAGAAAATTTAAAAAGGCAATAGTACCTGCCTTTGAGAGAATCTACACGTTAGACTCAGCAGACAAATTTCAAAGCAAATATTAAAAATATGTTCAAGGAACTAAAGGAAACCGTGCCTTAAAAAGAAAAAGGTATGATGACAATGTTTCATCATGTAAAGAATGTCAATAAAGAAGGAAATAAATTACTTTTTTAAAAACTAAGTGAAAATTCTCAAGTTGAAAACTACAATAAACGAAGTTAATAATTTAATAGAGGGGCTCAATGGTATGTTTGAACTGGCAAAAGAATGTGTGATGTTGAAGACTGATTATTAGAGAATATGAAATATGAAGAATATGAAAAAACAGAACGAATAGAAATGAACAGAGTTTCAAAGAAATGTCAGACAACGTTTAGTGCAACAACATAGATATAGTAGGACTACAGGAAGGAGAGGAGAGGAAGAAAGGGGTACAAAAATATTTAAAGACATAATGGAGATATAGTGGCTGGTAACTTTCTACATTTAATAAAAAACAAATATTAATCTGCAAATCCAAGGAGCTCAGGAAACTTCAAGTAGGATAAATGCAAAAGATATTCACATCCAGAAAATTATGTTCAAAATGTTGAAAGACAATGGCAAAGAGAAAATTCTGAGAACAGCAAGAGAAAAACAACCCATCACTTCAAGTAAACTGTAATATTTAATATTAATATTTAATATTTGCTTTGAAATATTTGCAGCTGACTTCTCATTAGAAACAATGGAGGACAGAGGCAGTGGAAAGTCAAATTCAAAGTAAAGTAATAAATTGAAAGGAAAAAAAAACCCTGTCGAGAAATAATCATATATCCAAGAAAACTAACTTTAAAAAATGACAGTGAAATAAAAGCATCTTCAAATAAACAAAAATGGACAGAATTTGTTGTAAGCAGATATTCCTTGTAACAAACATTAAAGTTCTAAATGAAAGTGAACTCAGACCATAGTTCAAGTCCACATGATAAAATAGAGTGCCAGTAAAAGTACTTGTTTATGTAATTATTTTTAAAAACTATATTTGCAAATTTCTTAACTGACTTAAAAGCAATCATATGAATAATATGTATATAACTGTATTATTGGGCCTGTAACACATAGAAATGTGATATATTAGAAAATATCACAAATAAGGTGAATTAGAGCAAAACAGTATTGGAATAATTAAATGATACCAATAGTACCTGGAATTCACTGGAACAAATGAAGAGAACTAAAAAGGTTAATATAACAAGGCATAAATATTTAATTGCTCTTCTTTCTTTTCTCAGCTTCTTTAAAGGACATAAAGTTGTACAAAGTAATAATTATAACAATATATCATTAGGTTTGTAACATATATAATCTAGAAAACACTAATTTAGTACAAAGAAGCAGAAGAATAAGAATGAACAAAACTTCTGAGTAATATGGGATTATAAAAAGAGGCCAAATCTATGAATCACTGGTGTCCCTGAAAGAGATAGGGAGAATAGAAGCAATTTAGACAATATATTTCAGGTTATCATCCATGAGAACCTCCCCAACCTAGCTAGAGAAGCCAGATTTAACCAGGAAATGTGAAAAACACCTGCAAAATACTTCACAAGAAGATCAGCCCCAAGACATATAATCATCAGATTCCCCAAGGTCAGAAAAAAAAAGTTAATGGCATCTAGAACGAAAGATCATGTCACCTACAAAGAGAAGCACATCAGACTAACAGTGGACCTCTCAGCAGAAACCCCACAAGTGAGAAGATATCAAGGTCCTATATTCAACATTCTTAAAGAAGAAATTCCAACACAGAATTTTGTATCCAGTCAAACTAAACATAAGTGAAGAAGACATAAGATTCTTTATAGACAAGCAAATGTTACGGGAACTCATTACCACCAGACCTGCCTTACAAGAGCTCCTGAAAGAAGCACTAAATATGGAAAGGAAATATTATTACCAGCCACTACAAAAATTCACTTAAGTACACAGACCAGTGATACTGTAAAGCAACCACACAAACAAATCTGCATAACAACCAGAAAACAACATAATGATAGGATCAAATCCACACATATCAATACTAACCTTGAATTTAAATGGACTAAATGCCCCAATTAAAAGGCACAGCGTGGCAAGCTGGATAAAGAAGCAAGACCCAATGGTATGCTGTCTTCAAGAGACCCATCTGACTTGCAATGATATCTATAGGATCAAAATAAAGCATTGGAGGAAACTCTAAGAAGCAAATGGAAAAGAGAAAAAAAAAAAAACAATGGTTGCAATCCTAATTTTACACAAAGCAGACATTAAACCAAAAAAGATCAAAAAAGACAAAGAAGGGCATTACACAGTGGTAAAGGCTGCAATTTAACAAGAAGATGTGACTATCCTAAATATATGTGCACTCAACACAGGAGCATCCAGATTCATAAAGCAAGTTCTTAGAAACTATCAGAGAGACTTAGACTGCCACACAACCCCATTGACAGTATTACACAAATCACTGAGGCAGAAAATTAATAAACACATTCAGGACCTGACCTCAATACTGGACAAAATGGACCTGATAGAAATCCGCAAAACTCTGCACCCAAAAACAACAGAATATACATTCTTCTCATCACTGCAAGGCACATACTATAAAATCGACCACCCAATTGGACATAAAACATTCTTCAGCAAATCTAAAAGAACCAAAATCATACCAACCACTCTCCTGGACAACAGCACAATAAAAATAGAAATCAAGACTAAGAAAATTGCTCAAAACCATGCAATTGCATAGAAATTTACAACCTACTTCTGAATGACTTTGGGGTAAATAATGAAATTAAGGCAAAAATTAAGAAATTCTTTGAAACT
This sequence comes from Homo sapiens, assembly GCF_000001405.40. Lineage (NCBI taxonomy): Eukaryota > Metazoa > Chordata > Mammalia > Primates > Hominidae > Homo > Homo sapiens. The sequence continues at coordinate 1,233,945 of NC_000018.10, read as the reverse complement.
AAAGAGAACAAAGATAAACCATACCAGAATCTCTGCCACACAGCTAAGGCAGAATTAAGAGAGAAATTTGTAACACTAAGTGCCCATATCAGAAAGTTACAAAGATCACAAATTGGCAACGTAACATCACAACAAAAAGAACCAGAGAATAATGAGCATACTAATCCCAAAGCTAGCAGAAGACAAGAAGTAACCAAAGTCAGAGCTGAACTGAAGGAGATTGAGACTCAGACAACCATTCAAAAGATCAATAAATCCAGGAGTTGGTTTTTTTTGAAAAAAATTAATAAGATATAAGGCTAGCTAGACTAATAAAAAAGAGAGAAGATCCAAAAATAACACAATTAGAAATGACAAAGAGGATGTTACCACTGACTTCAAAAAATACATAAATAACTATCAGAGACTACTATAAACACTTCTATGCAAACAAACTAGAAAATCTAACAGAAATGGACAAACTCCTGGAAACATACACCTTCCCAAGACTGAACCAGGAAGAAACTGAATCCCTGAACAGACAATAACAAGCTCCAAACTTGAATCAGTAATAGCCTACCAACCAAAATAAGCCCATGACCAGATTCTAGCAGATTCTAGCACATGTACAAAGAAGAGCTGGTACCACTCCTACTGAAACTATTCCAAAAAATTGAAGAGGAGGGATGCTCTCCCAATTCATTCAATGAGGCTTTCATTATCCTAATACCAAAACCTTTCAGATAAACAACAAAAAAAGAAAACTTCAGGTCAACATCTTTGATGAGCATTGATGCAAAAATCCTCAACAAAATACTAGCAAACCAAATCCAGCTGCACATCTAAAAGCTAATCCAACATGATCAAGTGGGCTTTATCCCTGGTAATGCAAGGTTGGTTCAACATACACAAATCAATAAATGTGATTCATCACAAAAACAGAATTCAATACAAAAACTACACAATTATCTCAATAGATGCAAAAAAGCTTTTAATAAAATTCAACATCCCTTTATGTTAAAAACTCTAATAAACTAGGTATTGAAGAAACATACCTCAAAATAATAAAAGCCATCTATGACAAACCCACACCTAACAACATACTTAATGGGCAAAAACTGACACAAGATGAGGATGTTCTCTCTCAACACTCCTATTCAATATGGTATTAGAAGTCCTGACCAGAGAAATCAGACAAGAGAATGAAGTAAATGGCATCAAAATAGGAAGACAGGCATCAAAATAGGAAGTCAAACTATCGCTGTTTGCAGACTACGTGATTCTATATCTAGAAAATTCCATAGCAAATAAAAAATCCTTAAGCTGTTAGACAACTACAGCAATGATACATTGGATAAAGAAAATGTGGCACATATACACCATGGAATACTATGCAGCCATAAAAAAGGATGAGTTCATGTCCTTTGCAGGGACATGGATGAAGCTGGAAACCATTATCCTCAGCAAACTAACACAATAACAGAAAACCAAACACTGCATATTCTCACTCATAAGTGGGAGTTGAATAATGAGAACACTTGGACACAGGAAGGGGAACATCACAGACCAGAGCCTATTGGCAGATGGAGGGCTAGGGGAGGGATAGCATTAGGAGAAATACTTAATGTAGATGACGGGTTGATGGATGCAGCAAACCATAATGGCACATGTACATCTATGTAACAAACCTGCACATTCTGCACATGCATCCCAGAACTAGAAGTATTGGGAAAAAAAAAACTACAGCAAAGTCTCAGGATACAAAATTTATGTACAAAAATAACTAGCATTCCTATAAACCAACAACAGCCAACCTGAGCGCCAAATCAGGAATGAAATCCCATTCACAACTGCTACAAGAAGAATAAAATACCTAGAAATACAGCTAACTAGGGAGGTGAAAGATCTCTACAATGATAATTACAAAACACTGCTCAGAGAAATCAGAGATGACACAATCAAATGGGAAAACATTCCATGCTCATGGAAAGGAAAAATCAACATCATTAAAATGGCCATATTGCCCAAAGCAATTTATAGATCTAATGCTATTCCTATCAAACTACCATTGAAATTATTCACATAATTTAAAAACACTATTTTCAAATTCGTATGCAATTTTTAAAGAGCCTGAATAGCCAAGGCAATCCTAAGCTAAAAGACCAAAGCTGGAGGCATCATGTTACCCAACTTCAAACTATACTACAGGGCTATAGTAACCAAAACAACATGGTACTGGTACAAAAACAGGCATATAGATCAATGGAACAGAATAGAGAGCCCAGAAATAAAGCCACACACCTACAACCATCTGATCTTCGACCAAGCTGACAAAAACGAGCAATGGAGGATGGACCCCCCTATTCAATAAATGGTGCTGGGATTACTGGCTAGCCATATGCAGAAAATTGAAACTGGGCCTCTTCCTTCCACCATATACAAAAATCAACTCAATACCCAGGTGAACATGGTCTAGAGTAGACCCCCCAGAAAACTGCAGCAGACCTGCAAAACAGGGACCTGCCTGTTATAAGAAGAACAAACAAACAGAAAGCAACAACAACAACATCAACAAAAAAGACCCCATAAAAACTCCATCCAAACAGATTGAAAGTAAAAGGATGGACAAGGAGATACATATAAACTGCAATGATAAGAAAGCTGAATGACAATATATCACACATAAAAAAGCTTGTACCTGAAAGAAGACATCCCTAAATGCACAAAGCAAAAGTTAACAGAATAGAGGGGGGGAAAAAACAATTCAACAATAATAGTTGAAGACTTCAATGATCTCACTTTAAAGAATATGTCAGCTAGAGGGTGGGTGTGGTGGCTCATGCCTGTAATCCCACCACTTTGGGAGGCGGAGGCAGGTAGACCATGAGGTCAGGAGATAGAGACCATCCAGGCTAATATGGTGAAACCCTGTCTCTACTAAAAATACAAAAAAGTTAGCCGGGTGTGGTGGCAGGCACCTGTAATCCCAGCTACTTGGGAGGCTGAGGCAGGAGAATCATTTGAACCCAGGAGGCAGAGGTTGCAGTGAGCCAAGATCATGCCGCTGCACTCCAGCCTGGGCGACAGAGTGAGACTCCATCTCAAAAAAAAAAAAAAAAAAAAGAAAAGAAAAGAAAAGAATAAAAACAGAATATATCAGCTAGGAAGAAAATCAACAGGAATATACAAAACTTGAAAAACAGTAAAACAATTAGGGTTATCTATAGTCTACATCCATAAACACTACATATAGACTACCTCTACAGACACTACCAGAGAAAGCAGAATGTACATTTTTTTCAAGAGTACATGAAAAATTCTCTAGTACAGACCATGTGCTAGGACATAAAGCAACAAATAAACCTCAATAAATTTAAAAGAATAACAAAAGTGTTCTCCAACCACAATTGAGTAAAATAGAAATCAATAAAGAAATTTGGAAAACTCAAACATACTTGGAAATTGAACAACACACTCTTACATAAGCAATAGGTTGAATTTTAAAAGTCACAAATTAAATTAGAAAATTCTTTGAGATTAATAAAATGTTTTTAAATATCAGTACTTACGTAGTTAAAGCAGTCATAGAGGGAAATTTTTAGCTGTAAATATCTACCTTAAAATAATCAACACAAATTCTTCTAAGACAATGATGAAAGAAAAACAAAAAACAGTAAAGATTACAATGGAAATTAATGAAACAGAAAGAGGAAAACAATGGAGAAAAATTAACCAAACCAAAAGTTGGCTCTTCAAAAAGATCAACAAAATGGAAAAATCTTTAGCTAAACTGACCAAGAAAAAAAGAGAGAAGTCTCATGTCACTAAAATCAGGACTAAAAAGGAGACATTACTACCAACCTTACAGAAATAATTAAAGATGTCAAGGGAATACTACAAACAAATGTATGCCAACAAATTCACTAACTGAAATGAAATAGGAAAACTCTTGGACACAAACTAATGAAACTTACACAAGAAGAAATAGAAAATTTAAATACATACTCACTAAGCAAATATATTTAATTAGTCATTAAAAATGTTCCTAAAGAAAATAGCCAAGCCCAGATTTACTAGTCATGTAGTAAATTATTGTTAAATTAATAATCATTTATTTATTAGTCAATTATTAGTAACAATTAGTAAACTATTAATTTAAAGAAGAATTAGTATCAATTACTCAACAGCTCTTCTGAAAAATATGAGGGAGCACATTTTCACTTATTCTATGAGTCTAGAATTACCCTGATACCCAAAAACCGACAAATAAATCATAAAAAGGAAGACTACATACCAATATCGCTTAAGAATATAGGCAAAAAAATCCACAAGAAAATATTAGCAAATAAAAGCAATATTTAAAAGGAACTATGTACCATGATCAAGGGGAATTTGTCTAAGGAATGTAAGGTTGGTTTTGCATCTGAAAATCAATTAATGTAATCTACCATATGCATGTAATAAAAAAAGAACCATGTAATCATCTAAGGGGACACAGAAAAGGCATTTGACATAATCCAGTGGCCTTTTATGAAAAAAATTCATCAGATTAGAAATAGAAGAAAACTTCCTTAGCCTGAAAAGGCATCTACAAAAATCCCACAGCTTACATTATACTTAATGGTGAAGCTGAATGCTTTCCAGATAAGATCAGAGACAAGGCAAGAATGTCCACTCTCACCACTTCTATCCAACATTGCACCTGGATAGTCTAATTAGGGCAATTATGTAGAAAAAAGTCATCCCAATTGGGAAGGAAGAAGTAAAATAATAATAATAACAACAATAATAATAATAATAATAATGCCATCCCAATTGGGAAAGAAGAAGTAAGACAATTTCTATTTGCAGATGACATGACCTAGTGTATAGAAAATACTAGAGAATACACTAAAAGCTTTTATAACTAATAAGTGAATTCAGCAAGATTGCAAGGTATAAGATCAATGTACAAAAATCAGTTGCATATCTCTATACTGGCAATGGACAATTCTAAAATAAAATTAACAACATTAACATTTACAACAGCATTAAAACTAATAAATACTTAGGAATAAATTTAACCAAAAAAGTGCAAAACTTGTGCACTGAAAACTAAAAAATATTGATGAGAGAAATTAAGGAATGCCTAAGTAAAAGGAGCACATCCCACATTTATGGATCAAAAATCTCATGATAGTTAAGATTGCAGTAGTCCCCAAATTGATCTACAGATTCCAGACTCATCACAATCCCTATCAAAATTGTAGCTGTCGCCCTGGCTTTTACTGTGCAGAAATTGGCAAGCTGATCCTAAATTCATCTGGAAATGAAAGAAACCAGAATAGTCCAAACAATCTTGAGAAAGAAGAAAAAAGTTGGAGGACTCACACTCCCTGGTTTCAAAATGTACTAGAAAAGTACAATAGTCAAGACAATGTGGTATTGGCATAAATATACACATACACATCAATGGTATATAATTCAGAGTCCATAAATAAACTCCTACATTTAAGATTAATAAATTGTCAACAAGGATTCCAGGACAATTTAATGCAGGAAAGAATGGTGCTGGGACAACTGGATATCCACAAGCAAAATGATGAAGAAGGATTCATTCCTTACACTCTTCACAAAAATTAACTTCATGTAAATTGTAGACTTATATGTAAGATCTAAAACTGTAAAACTCTGAAGAAAAGAGAGGAGTGAATCTTAATAACCTTGGATTAAGAAAACCTTCTGAGATATGACCCCAAAAGTGTAAAAACAAAATAAAAAGTTGAAACATTGAGTTGCAATAATATTAAAAACTTTTATACTTCCAAGGACACTATCAGGAAAGGAAAAAGACAACCACAGAATGAAACAAAATATTTGCAAATTATATATTTGATAAGTTACATGTATCCACAATATGAATAAATTCTTATAACTCTTACATCTCAATAATAAAAAGACAACAAAATTAAAAGTGAACAAAGGATCTGAAAAGACATTTTTCAAGACATTGGCTCTTACATAAAGAGCCAGTAAGAACCAGAAATAATGCTCAACCTTATTAGCCATTAGGGAAATGTAAATGAAAATCACACTGAGATACAACAACAATAATAATAAAGGACAAATAAAAAAAGTGTTGGTGAGTATGTGAGAAATTGTAACCTTCATAAACTGGTGGGAATGTAAATGGTGCACATGCTTGAAAGCACAGCTAGGCAGTTCTCAAATGTGAAACATGGAATTACCATGTGGTCCCTCAATTTCACTCCTAGGTATACACCCAAGAGAAATGTAAATGTATATCCACACAAAAACTGGTACATGAATGTGTACGGCAGTATTATTCCTAATAACCAAAAAGAAGAGCCAAAAAGAAGAAACAAGCCAAGTGTTCATCACTGATTAATGGATAAATAAATAAAATGTAGTAGGTCTATACTATGAAATGTTATTAAGCAATAAAAAGGAATGAAGTACTGATATGGGCTACAACTGGAATGAACCTTGAAAACATAATGCTAAGTGAAATCAACTAGTCACAAATGTGTGATTCCATTTATATGAAAATCCAGAATAGGCAAACCTATACAAGCAGAAAGTAGATTCGTTGTTGCTATGTTGGGCAGCGGGTGGAGTTGGTGGGTGGAAGGTGGAGGAGTGGGTACAGGATTTCTTTCTGGGGTGACATAATGTTCTAAAATTAGATTGTGGTGATGATGACACAACTCTGAACATACTAAAAGGCACTGAATTGTACACTTTAAATGGGTGAATTGTTTGGTATGTGAACTATATCTCAATAAAGCTTTTTTTTTTTCCAAAAAGAGCCATGCCCAGAGGGAAAGTTGGAAACGAAAGCCAAGTTTTCATTTAAAAGGAAACATTAAAGAGGTTAGCCAGAGAAACTTGAACCAAAGAAAAGACAGCACGCTGTTCAGAATGGTCAATAAGAGCCTAAAACGGTACCCTCGGAATGAAGCAAAACTGAAGTCCCAAAGATTAAAACTGTTAGACATACAGGAAATGACAGAGCACTGAGTTTTACTAGAGGCTGAGGCAGGAGAATCGCTTGAACCCGGGAGGCCGAGGTTGCAGTGAGCCGAGATGGCGCCATTGCACTCCAGCCTGGGCAACGAGAACGAAACTCTGTCTCAAAAACAAACAAACAAACAAACAAACAAAAAACAAACACGAGCAACAAGATATCTAGGAGACCTGACTCTTTCAGACATCGTTCTTTGAGCTTCTTTTGCAGCACTTGGATGCAGTTTAGTTTGGGGATAAGTAATGCTAACTGCATAGAAGGCAAGCTGGTAGAGGGAAGTCTTTTGAGTTTTGGGATCTCTTACATTTTATGTTTTGCAACTCCATAGCCCTGTTTAATCAAATAACTATCTATTATTCAGTCTAGTGGCAGCCCATAAATTATAGAATAATTTATTTTTAAAAATGTAGACAGACCAGATATATGCAGCTAAAAGCAGTCCTAGATAAGAAATTACTACAGAGCAACTCCTCAGGTCTCTCATTCATCCTTTTGCTAGTAAATTCCATCAGTCAGTATTTGCAAGGAGCTCTGGTTGGCATGAAAATTGCCTTAGGCATCCCTGAGGATAAACAAGTTACAAACTAATGAGCCCTTTTCTTCCTCATAGCCATAAGGCCTATTTATTAGGGTGTCTACAATTCTGCTGGCTGGTGGAGAAGAGGTTTGAGCAGCTCAAATAATAATACAGCCTTTATTCTTCTAACAAATCTTTACTTAAATGTTGTGTATATATTATTATATATCAAATAATAATCATTACAGGATCCTTACATTGGCTCTGCCTTATAAGATGCAATAAACAAACTTGAAAATCTTCATATGGGAGCAACCATAAAGATAAGAAAACTCTTTGGAGGCTGAGGCAGGTGGATCACTTGAGGTCAGCAGTTTGAAACCAGCCTAGCCAACATAACAAAACGCTGTCTCTACTAAAAATACAAAAATTAGCTGGGCGCGGTGGTGGGTGCCTGTAATCCCAGCTACTCGGGAGGCTGAGGCAGGAGAATCACTTGAACCCGGGAGGTGGTGCTTGCAGTGAGCTGAGATCGCGCCATTGCACTCCAGCCTGGGCAACACAGTGAGACTCCATCTCAAAAAATAAAAATAAAAATAAAATACTCAAAATTATAACATGAGACAAGTCCTGAGAAACTGAAGAGTATTTAATCAGGAGGTGAAAATTTTGGCTTCAGAAGAGAAAATGCTAAGGAGGGAACATTAACACACATCTTCAAATATCTTAAGGGCCTGTCTCTGGAAGAGGAGTTAATCCCTTACGGGTGAACTCAGGAAATAATGGGTAGAACTGATAGAGAGTATATTCTAACTGTCAAAGGATATGAGATGTTGTCTTGGGAGATATGGAATTTTCTTTTGTGTAGCTAATAATGTGAAGACTGAACTATCTCTTATCAGAAACACTGTAGATATATTTAGCATTGGAAATGAGGTAGGTGACCCTACGTCCTAGTTTGCCCATGACAGTGGCAGTTTACTCTTTAATCCAGGTGTATTTGCGGGGCTTCTTTTACTCTCAAAAGTGCTCCAGCACATGACATCGTGACTTAGAGCAGTGATTTCTCACCCCCCGGTTATATATTACAGTAATCTGGAAATCTTTTTAAAAGTACTGATATCTAAATGTGGTTCCTACATCATATAAAACCAGAATCTTGGGGATGAGATGCAGGCATCAGTAATTTTGAAAGGTTCCCAAGTGATTCTAATGTGCAACAGGTGTTGAGATTCCCTTACCTGGAGGATGTTTTCATTTCAGTGTTAACTGAATCCTTTTATTCTATTTTATGTTAATATATGTTTTACTCCATAAGGAAAGCAAAGCTTGAAACTGCTACTGTTATAGTAGCAGAGGGAATAAAACAAACAGTAGGGAATAAGACAAACCTAAACATAGTCATGTTTTTCTAATTCCATATATATATATATATATATATATATATATATATGCTTTTATTACCCCCACCCAAAAAAGAGTTCCTTTGCATTCCCCTCCAAAAAACCTGGTGACATTTTTAAGCTTAAATGTTCTTTTATCAAGTGGAAAATAGATTCTATAAAGCTTTTATTTCCTTAGGAAAACCTGAGTCCACCAAGATTTCTACACTACACTTACATGCTTTCTTTAATGAGGTAATTATACTGTCAAGTGTTGGGCTAAGAGGTTTACCACGTGTGCAACATTGAATTAAATTGGTGCACAGTACAGATGGCAGTCGTTGAGCTTTCTTATTAGTTTATTAAATTTGATCCTTTGAAATATTTTACCACTTAGCCATGAGCCTCTGAATTCACTTTAATGAGTCTAGTCCTTTATCAGCTGCTTCTTGAAAATGGTTTCACTTTTTATCCTGCGGTCAAATGAGCTACAAGCTAATAATGTATTTTTCTTTTTGTAATTCCTGGGAGGAAAAACAAAACCCACTCCAGTCCATTGTTTCCATGGAACTTTCATTTAAAGGATGAAGATGTATGATGTATGATGAGGACTGGAAAACACCATGTGTAAGTCCCAAACTTTACATTTTTAGAGATAAAATTTACCCAAGATTTATGAAATGTTATTACACAGGAATATATTTTATAAAGTTGATACCAGTTTGTATACATTTTAAGACATGCATAGTGCCTCTGTTTCACTTCATTATGAAACATAAAGTGGGGACTAAAACTATTGAATTTTAAGAGAAGGGTAAGTATTGTGTGTAGTTTTCGATTGTGCTTGGGAATCATTGTTCTCTAACCTGGGATCTTAGGCTGAAAAGCTGAAAATCCTTCACTTACTAACATATGGCTTGAAAAATGGGTAACTCAATACAGAGAAACTAACTCTGTTCCAATTCCTGGTATAAATGATGTTTTCTTGCCATCAGCTATGGCAGGCAGCTGACACCCCTCCTCTCTTTCTCTATGTGCTCCAATGTACCTCATTTGCCCAGAGCCTCAGAAAACTCGTTTGCAGACTGGAAATCATACAGTATAATTATTTAACAAAACAGAACAAAATTAGTCACCAAAACAACTAGCACTAAATAATAAATTTGCATAGGAAAGGCGTTTCATCCCTATCTGTCTTTCAGATGTCTAATCCTTTTCTGACTCCCTCTGGCTCATCTGATGACAGAGTGGATCTTTTCCTATAAAAAAAGACAAAAAGGCTGGATAACCATGTGAAACAAAGTGAAATAAGTCATGTCCACACTAAAATTTTGTCTTGCAGTTTGGTCCAATTCAGTTGCTATAATTTTTGTGCTTCATAGATTTAACTCAGACTTTGGTAGAAAAGCAAAAATAGTATAACTAGAAAGATCATGTATATTTATGATTACTTATATTTTAGTTGTTTGAATAATATATCAGTTCTTTGATTTCAAGAACCTTTGTCAGGCAATCTAATATATTTGTGTTCAGAAATCTCTTAAAGAAGTATCCTCCTTATTTTTGAACTGACCCTGGAAAATAAGTAACAAATGCCATTCTCGTTTCCTACTGATACCAATTTTCGCAACCTTCTCTCAGATTTTTCTTTGACACTGAAACACAGACGAGCCATCTTTAATCTTCAGACATTTTCCCTTTTAGTCTGTTCTGTTTATGTTTGTGCGTATATATGTATGTGCATATGCATTTATTTAGTGGCTTGGCTATTTATTTATACCCTGCCTTATTCTGGAATGAATAAAAGGTGGTTTGTGAGAATATAGAAAATATACCAAAATTATAGCAGTTGATAATGGCAATGAAAGAATAAATAAAATATGAGACATAGATTGCAGCTTACAGTGATCACAATATGTTTAACCTAATAAGTTACTTATTAGTTAATGATCGAGCTGTTAATTTGATTCTAAGGAGACTTTTTTTTTAAAAAAAGTAAACCTGGTTAGGTACACAATTCACAGGGACCACACGACAAAATCAAAGTAATTTCTCAGGAGATGCACAATTAATCTTGATGCTGAGACCACTCAGCCCTTTTCTCATGGAGTTTTTTTAAAAAGTGAATATGGTGCAATCCAATAAATAAATAATGCTCTCAGGACATTATATCCACAGATAAATCTATTTACTTTTTGAACCAAGAGGTTTTGAGGATATCAATTTATAGCACAATTGTTAATATTGATAGTAATGTTTCAACATATTTTAGTGATACTGTTTATTATTATTCATGTATCTAATGTAAATTAAACGCCTAAGGTATACAGATGAAGGAAAGCCCAAATATCCCAGACTTGTGAGGGTTTTTAAGTTAGGACAAGTTTCTTTATTCTTGGATGAATTGTTATCAGTTGTGTCAAGTATATCCGAAAGGTCAAGTAAGAGGAGAGCTGAGAATTAACCATCAGATTTAGCAGTGTGGATGTCACTGTGATACTGATAAAAAAAAAAAAAAATAGGAGAAAAGCCTGCCTGAAGAGAGGTTAAGAGAAAAGGAGAGGAAACGAATCGGAAGTGGTAAATATCAACAACCTTGAAGGAAGTTACATTATAAAGGGGGACAGAAAGGTGGAGTTATAACTGGTCAGGGATGGGACCAGGAGAAAAGAAAATTTAATATTGGAGGAATCTCAGCTGATTTTTATGCTAATAGGAATTTTTGGTGGAGACAATTATCAAGGAGGAATTTCTGGAGGATGTCCTTGAGTAAGCAAGAGGAATGGGCTCTAGTGGAGGCATTGGCCTTAGTGGGGTACAATCACTCTGTCTATGGTACAGAGTAGAGAAGAGAAGGGACTTGTAGATAATAGTTGTGGTGAAATAGGAAACTGAGTCATCAGCTGAGAGTAGGGATAGGGGAACAGATGTTGCATGTTTGAGGAGACAGGAGAAGGTATTTAATAGTCATCTAAGGAAATATAATATGATTGCCAGGTTCCCTTGAGGACACAATTCAAATTAATTCTCATAAATTTCAAATGGGACTAGTCAGCATTCTTGTGTGCCTTTCTCCAGCCATGTCAGCTGTCTGGTAGGGCGTTGTGTCACAGGAAGCAGTTGGCTTTAACCAAGATCGGGGATTTTATGTATGTATTTATTATTTTTAGAGTTACTATTTTTTAAAAAGTTCAGAACTGTTGTATTGCATGCTGTACTTTGAATGACATCAACTTATTTATTCATTCAATAACTATCAGTGTCAGACTCCATGGTTCCTGCCCTCAGGGAGTTCCACCTAGCCCATGTGAGTTAATGTTTGTAGAAGGAAAGGTATCAAGCCTAGATGACCTCAGTTTGGCATGCAGAAGGCAGGGACAATCCACTTAGACTGGAAAATGAGTAACTGTTTTGAAAATGTTACGCATAGGTATAAAGATATTATATGACACACCCCAATTTCCAATATTTTAAGTCAAAAGATTTCAAACTTTTATCTCAGGACCCTTTCATACTCTTAAAAAAATTTTAAGGGCCCATAGAGCTTTTGTTTATGTAGGTTGTATCTATTGATATTGAAATATTAAAAATTAAAATCAATACATTTTAAAATGTTTTTAACTTAAAAATAATTAAACCCATTATACATTTTATGTTCTTATAAACAGCATACTTCTCATGAAATATAACTTTATTCTCAAACAAAAAATGTTCAGTATCAAAAGTAGCGTTGTTCTTTTTTTTACAAATCTCTGATTTAGTAGATGCAACTGGATCTCGTCTCTGCTTCGGCGTTTAATCTGTTGTAATAGCATGCATCACACAGCCTCTGGGAAACTCCACTGTACACTTGGGAGATAATAAGAGCAAACAAGGCAAGAAGCAGCTTAGTATTATTATAATTGTGACCTTATGTACTCTTCAAAGGGTCTTGGGGGCCCAGTGGTCTCTGGAGAACTTCGATAACAACTGCTCTCGGTAACAGCTAACTAAAAAGTGAAACAAACATGGACATTAGCTGTAACAGTCGCCTATGGGCATTGCATAGAAAAAAAAGAAAACTTGGCCAACAATTTAATTAAAATAAAAAAGCATCGGTTGATAATTCTTAAGTTGTGTTTTTGTTGTTGTTGTTGTTTTTATTTTGCCTTTTATTTAACCAGTGTGTTTTTTTTTAAACATAGAACTGGTGAAATTTAAGGAATCTGAAATTCAGCTATTTTTAATTCTTCACTGTTCAATCCTGGAAGTTGAGGTCCAAAGAAATAATAATCTATGTCCCAATGATGGTCAGGGATAGCTACATGTTTTAAAATAAAAAATGGAAATCCATTAAATTGAGTCGTCAAAACAATTACGTGCAATTAGTTTAAAAATTGAGTATTTCAAATAATGTAAGTTAGCATCCAGATTTGATCATTTTGAAACTATCCTTTTTGAAATAATTCTAATTTTTTATCAAACCATGCTAGTTACACACTACTAGTTATCCACTGGTGGCTGCTTACAGATGAGGCATAAGGTCTGGAAGGGATTAAGATAGTTATTCTTGGATTTTCTTTGTAATTTCAAATCGTTATAAGTCATGGTGACATTGTGGTATATTAGACATTTGCTTAAAGAACATCAAAGACAAAAAGGAAAGAAAAGAATGGAAAGCTATTGTAGAGTTTAGACTTTTCTAAAATCCATTTTGTTTATTAACCACGGTAATAAATAATCCTTTGACAACAAATGTTATTTAATGGGCAATACTTGGAGCTGCTGCAAATCTTCACCATCAATTGTACACTTTAATTAAAAACTAAGAAACAGCATAAATGCCCATGCATCTTTAAAAAAATGCAAATTCAATTTGTTATTATTTAATGCTATAAACAGCTGAGATATATATATACATATCAATTTGTATCAGTTCATATCAATTTATATATCAAATATATCAATTTAGTGGAGATACATATTTATTTATTCATTTCACATTTCAGGAGTATGCCTAGAAGGAGGAAAGATATTATCTGCTCTGTCAAACAGAATAGATATTTATTATTCAGCATATTTTCATAGTGGAAGAAATATACAATCATAAACCTAGCTAGAAATTTAAAACTTATAAACAGAAATTTGAGAAAAGAAAAGACAAACATGTCTTCAGTATCCTTTGCTCCCCACTTTTTAAGATAGGCAGTTCTCATTTTGAAGCCCATGCAACTCACACACTACTGGTTATCCCGGGGCAGCTGCTTAGAGATGAAGCATAAGGTCTCCACATGAGATAGAAAAGGAATGGTCAACCGTAATCAACCTTGTTGAGCCTTGAGCTCCTTGTCTATTACATTTGTTTCTTCCAAAGTGCAACAGAGTAATATATCTCATTAAATGGTCACCTTTGCTAAGATTATAGGCTTTCCCTAAAGTTAAAGGTAAAAGTTTTATGTAAGCGAAACATTTAGTAGAGCCTTAGAAATGCCTTGTAGAATGAACAACATTCATTCAACAAATATCTGAGCACCTAGTACTGTGATTCTCAATTCTGGCTGCACATTAACACCACAAGGGAAGTTGGTGTTTTTAAAAACACCAATGCCCTGGCTGCACATTAACACCACAAGGGAAGTTGGTGTTTTTAAAAACACCAATGCCCTGGCTGCATCCCACATCAATTAAAGCAGTGTCTCTAGGATAAGAATCAGCAAGCGGAACTGTTTTAAACTCCCCAGTTCTAATGCGCTAGAAACAGCTATATTCACTGAAGATGAGTAAAGCATATTACTTATCCAGGAAACTTGAAGACTACTGTGAAAGACAAGTATACATGTAGAAAATCGTACTATAATATAATATGAGATATAGAATACATATTTTCTAGCTGTTACAGACTATGTTCTGGGAACTATACATGCATGCTGTTATTTCTAATCTATAAAAACTTGTAAATTTGTCATTATTATCATTTTACAGATGTTGAAATTAGACTTCTAAGAGATTAGTAAGTTGACCAAGTTTACATGCTAGTAAATGGCACAATGGCTGTTCAGCCTGCATCTCTCTGAGTCTGAAGCTTGGACTCTTTACACTAAGGCACACTGTCTCTGGGGAGATTCTCAGAGGTAGTTAACACTTGAGTTGAGTCTCTAGGAATCAGTAGACTTGGGTACATAGGCAATGAGATAAGGGCATTCCATGTTGTGCCAAAGACACGGAGGCATGAAAGAGCATGGCTTGTTGGAACACTACACATCGTTCCACATAGCCATCTAGAGTGGTCACTGATACGTTTAATGAATGATGCACCATGAAACTGTGAAAGTAATCAAAGATTATATAATAGATGTTAAATATTTTTATTTAAACACCAAAATGTTAAGGAAGTATAAATTAAATTGACAGTAACTTGGAGTAGATGTCCATTATTTTGTCGGTTCAGCAACTTCTTTTGTCCTGGAAACATTACTCTGCCATTTTGGGGACATGCCCTACTCTCTTCCGAATCATGTGGTTAGATGATTCTTACATGCTCTTATCTGTCATTTCCTGACTCTGAACCACTGATCTCCCTTTATTGGCTCAGGAGAGCAGCCACAGCAATAAAAGTGTTTCCCCAGTTTCTGACCTAAAAATGAGGAAGAAAGTTGGTGCCTGTCTTCCGACAGATGCTGTGAGATGTGAAGCCTGGGAGCTACTGGACAACTACCTTGCTGCTGCATGTTCACAGAAAAGAGAGATGGGAACTCAGACAGAGAGTCTCTGATTCTGACTGTCCTGTAGGTCCAGCTGTATTCCTAATTGTATTAGGATGGTCAACATTATTAGGATGGTTAACAGTAATGAATAACCTCCAAATCACAGCGGTTTAAATAATACAGGTTTATTTCTTGTACATTTTCATATCTATAAGGGATCAGTTGAGGACTGGATCATCACAATCATGTAGGGACCCTGGTGTATGGAGCAGACCCTTCTTCCATGTTGTTGCTCCCCATGTCAGAGGGAAATGAACACGCTCTGAAGGGTCTCTCACCAATAATTAAATACTCAGGTCCAGAAATGCCACTTACCACTTCCGTTCACAAATCATTAACCAGGAGTGGTTAAATTGCCCTACCTAACCATATGGCAGGGGCATGAAGTACAAACCATATGGCTACACTGGGGAACAACCAGGAAATAGTTTATCAAACAGCACTACTGACTAGCACAGTAACCTACCCACAGATATTTTTTTCAATCCTTCATATTCCATGAGAAGTGCTATTATCTTTCCAATAATTTCCTTTAATTTTAATTTAGTACATTAGTTTTTACTTTCATGAAGTTAATACATTTCTATAAAGTACGTGGTGCTGAAAGACTTAAGAAAAAAGCAGGAGTCCTCCCACCACTCTCTGTCCTGGCTCCAAAGGACAATCACTTCCCACGCTTTAAGGGGCTTCAACCTCTGCTGTGTCAATGACTGCTTCATTAGCTGCCTTCATTCTGCCCAAAATATGTTGAAGCTTCTTACTTAAAATGCTCTCATGGGCTAGGAGTTTTCTTTTAAAATGGATATGCCTGGAAACAAATGTGACATCTTCGGTGTTTTCCGCTTCCCTACTTATATAATCTTTGAGTGTTTATCCCTTTAAATATGTATATTTACTGTTGTTTTGATGGGATTGCAGGAGGAAACAAATATGCCACCTATATTTACACTTTCCACCCCCTATACCCAAGTTCTAATTGGGTTTCACTCCACTGACATTAAAGGAGTCCCAGAAAATGTGAAGCTCTTTAAGTCTCTGGTCTTCAAACTGCACTAATAATATAGGGATGCTACAAACAGTGCAGAGACAGTGAAATGAAATTTATTTGAAAGTGAATATTGCAAACACAGAATTATTTCAAGGAAGCGTTGCATATTTTCATGTGACACGAGCAAAGTCAACCTTGAATTTACAGGTAGAAATTACGTTCAGAGAATCTATGAAGTATTCAGAAATTACACTTACAGTAGTCCCCACTTATACATGGTTTTATTTTCTGTGGTTTCAATGTAGTCTGAAAATAGGTGGGCACAGTTCAATAATATATTTTGAGGAAGAGAGAGAGAGAAAGAGACCATATTCACATAACTTTTATTACGATATATTGTTATAATTGTTCTATTTTATGATTAATTAATCTCTTACTCTGCTTAATTATGATAAACTAAACTTTATCACAGGTATATATGTATAAGAAAAAAAGTATATATAGGGTTGGTATTATCTGAGGTTTTAGACATTCACTGGGGGTCTTGGAATGTATCCCCCATGGAATAGAGGGGACTACTGTATTTGTATTTTAGCATTTCCAGGATCCTTTCTACCTAGCTCAAGAATTACAATACAAAAGCTAACCTAGCATTGAGACTCAACAGAGAGAAATAAAAGTTTTAGTCTTGTCAGGTCATTGATTTTATGACACTGACTTATTTTTCTCCAGGCTTTAGAAATCTTTGCAACTCTTATCCCTCTTTTTCTCTGTTTTGTTTTGAGAATCCCTCTGGGGATCTCTTATAGATTTTTTTTTCCCAATAAAGGTTAGGAGCCACTTGGGATTCTTTCAAGAGCACATAAGAATGACAGAGTATAGGACAGAGTTTGTTCTCAGAATAATATACACTACTGTATGTACAGAAACCATTATTTAGATTATTATAGGTATATGTGAATATTCCACAGATGATAATTAAGAGAAATGTTACGCTTTTATTATAGTCACCATGATGCAGACAGACAAACAAAACCTGTGATTGTTTTCTCAATTCTCAGAGAAAATGTTAGCACTAAGAATATATTTTTATATTTTAACTTAGGAGCTTTCTTGTGTTGATATTTTATGTATTGCTTTTCTGTTTCCATTAGGAATATTGTATTAACACTTGACTCAAAGATACTGAAATGTAAATATTTATTGCATTTGGAGTACTTCTAGCTTAACCAAAATCTTCAACATCCTGCAATAGGATGATATGCACTGCAATGAACTATATGCACACCTACAACTTCACTTAAAACATTTATTGAAGTATTGAGACACTAATCTCCTTTAGAAATTAAAATAAAATGAATTTAGATGACAAGAATTTCTTCTATCATTAGACAAATCCTCGTGCCCCTTTGTCCCATAACACTTTTGTTAGGTGTTATTAACCTAATACTTCATACTGAGAGAGTTTAGGAGATTTCTTAAGGTGATACTTAAAAGAAAGAAAAAAGAACTTCTTTTATGTCAGATAAATAAGGCTGAGACATTACACAGGCATTATATATTTTAGAGTAAGGAAACTGTATTTTAAGAAAGATAAATCTAGGTGGCAATCTAACCCCACATGTATTTCTTGTCTTACAAAATCTCCATTTATCTGTATGAGTAGAAAACAGTTTCATGTGTGGTATGTTAGGTCCTCCTATAATCATCTCCAAAGAAATAAGTCCCATATAATTGCAAAACTACAGCAAACTAAAATGATTTTCCTTTTAAATGAAGACTTTTAATTTGGGGTAAAAGGAAAAACAAAAATTGCATCAATTACTCATTCCCTTCATTTCACACCCTGGCATACAAAATAAAATATGCTTATTGTTGGCTGGTATGGAGGGGTTCTCTTTTAGTATATTTTTTGGTGATGAATATGACCTGCCTTCTCTTGGACCAATCACCACAACTTGTCTTCTGTAATTTATTTGCTGGGTAAATTATGAGGGTTCAAGCTGGAGCTCACAACATTAGCTGAATTAGCAGGTGAGCATTACAGTAGCCCACACTTTTCAGGAGCTCAGATGTGTTATAGAGTTCTTCCCACACTCAAGTCCACCAGGTGTAGGTCTCTTTTTCACTGTTCCATTTTCCCAAATCTGGTAAGTGATTATTAGGTTTTTTTCCTCATCAGCTTGTTTATTATTAGGATTTTGTTGGGGAAGTGGAAAATTAATTAAATTGGGCTCCATTGCTTTAACCTACTTAGTGTAACAAAATTTGATGAATGTAAATTAGTAAATTTTCTGGCCATGTTTTCATGACTAGCTCAAATTATTCCTGTTTTTAAAATGCGTTCAGTAAATAGTTATTGAGGTTTATCATGTGCCAGGTGCTTTTCCAAGTTGTGGGCATACAACTCTGAACAAAAACAGACCATGTCATTATTCCAATGGAGGTGCATTTAGGTGGGGGAGACAATAAACAGATAATCATATATGTCAAGAGGTGATAAATGCCAACAATAAAAAATAGAGCAAAGCAATGAGATCAGATAATGAATGATGCAGTGTGTGCTAATTTGAATAAGGTCACCTAGGAAGTCCTCTTTGATAGCTTGTCATTTGAGCCAAAACTTAAAGAATCAAAGAAGAAAGTCATACAGATATCTTGAGGGAAAATGCTTCTGACAGAAACTGCAAGTGGAAAGGCTCTGAGGCAGGTGTGTAATCGTCCTAGTGAAGGTTCAGCAAAGAACTTGGTGTGGCTGAAGGGGAGTTAGAAGGGGTAGCATGATAGATGCAGACAAGGGAAATGGGAGGTGGGAAGATAGCAGATCTAACCATGGAGGCCATGATAAAACTTTCGATTTTATTCAGGTCAGTCAAGTGAGATGAGATTGGAGACTTTAAAATTGTTTTAATTGACATAATATAATTGCACATATTTATGAGGTACATAGTGATGTTTTAATTACATATAATGTATAGTAATCAGACCAGAGTAATTATCATATCCATCATCTCAAACATTTATTATTTGGGTTGGGAAAATTCAATGTTATCTTCTAGCTACATGAAACTATATAATATATTATTGTTAACTATAATCATCCTACACTGAAATAGGACACTAGAACTCATTCCTCCTATCTAGCTGTGATTTTGTATCCTTCAACAGATCTCTCCCTATGCCCTCCTTTTCCTCCTCTTCCCAGCCTCTAGTATCTTCTGTTCCACTTTTTGCTTCTATTATTTTAATTTTTTGTAGCTTCCACCTATGAATGAGAACATGCAATTTTTAACTTTCTTTTCCTGGCTTATTTCACTTAAAATAATGTCCTCCAGTTCTATCCATGTAGTTCAAAAACTTAGAGGAAATAGATAAATTGCTTGATACCTACAACCTACCAAGATTGAACTGAGAAGAAAGAAAACTTGAGAAGACCAATAACAAGTAATGATACTAAATCAGTAATAAAAAGTCTCCCAATAAGGAAAACTCCAGAACTGGATGGCTTCACTGCTGAATTCTACCAAATATTTAAAGAAGAATTAATACAAATTCTTCTTAAACTAGTCCAAAAAAATGAGGAAAAGGATAAAGCTTTAGAGTTTATTCTGATGGGTGAATTGAGGTGGAATTGGAGGCTTCAAAAATTTTTAATTGACTTATAATAATTATATGTATTTATGAGTTACACAGTGATGTTTTGATACATACAATGTATAGTGATCAGACCAGGGTAATTAACATACCATCGTCTCAAACACTTATCATTGCTTTCCTGATACTTACTATAATTTCCTAATTCATTCTATGAGGCCAGCATAACCTTATAACAAAACCAGAAAAGAAAACTACAAGCCAATATTACTGATAAATATAGACAAGATATCCTCAACAAAATGCTAGCAAACCAAATCCAACAACACATCAAAAGGATAACACATTATGATCAAGTAGAATTTAGCTCAGGAATGCAAGGATGGTTCAACATATGCAAATCAATAATGGTGATGCATCACATCAAACAGAATGAAGGATAAAAACCATATGATTATCTCAATAGATGCAGAAAAGGGATTTGATCAAATTCAACATCGCTTTATGATAAAAAATATCTCAATAAATTAGGCATAAAAGGAAAGTAACTCAAAACAATAAAGACCATATATGACAAACCCACAGCTAAAATCATACTGAATAAAAAAAAAACTGGAAGTTTTTCCTCTAAGAGCCAGAACAAGACAAAAATGCCCACTCTCACCACTCTTATTTAATATAGTATGGGAAGTCCTAGCCAGAGCAATTAGGCAAGAGAAGGAAATAAATGGCATCCAAATTGTAAAAAAGAAAGTCAAATTGTTCCTATATGCAGATGACAGGATCTTATAAATATATAAACCTAAACACCCTACCAACATACTCTTAGAATGAATAAGTGAATTCCATAAAGTTGTAGGATACAAAATCAACATACAAAATCAGTAGCATTTCTACACATGAACAATGAACTAGCTGAAAAAGAAATTTAAAAGGCAATGCTATTAACAATAAATATAAAATACCTAGGAACAAATTTAACTAAGGAGGTAAAGGACCACTAGAAGGAAAATTATAAAACATTGAAGAGCATATAAATAAATGGAAAGATATACTATGCTTATGGATCAGAAGAAGTAATATTTAAACGACCATACTACCCAAAGCATTCTACAGGTTTAGTATAATCCCTGTCAAAATACCAATGACATTTTTCACAGAAATAGGAAAAATCCTGAAATTCATATGGAACTGCAAAAGATGCCAAATAACCAAAACAATGCTGAGCAAAAAGAACAAATCTGGAGGCCCTACCAAACTCAAAATATACTACAAATCTATAGTAACCAAAAAAGCATGATACTGGCACAAAAACAGAGACATAGACCAATGGAACAGAATAGAGATCTCAGAAATAATTTGCTTATCCACTAAGGCACTGATTTTGGGGAAAAGCGCCAAGAACACTCATTGGGGAAAGGAATGTCTCTTCAATAAATGGTTCTAGGAAATGTAAATATCCATATGCAGAAGAATGAAACTATACTCCCACCTCTCAAATTACACAAAAATGAACTCAAAATGCATCAGAGATCTAAATGTAAGAACCAAAACAATTAAACTACTAGAAGAAAACATAGGGGAAATATTTCAGGACAGTAGTCTGGGAAAAAGATTTTATAAATAAGACCTCAAATGCACAGAGAACAAAAGCAAAATTAAACAAATGAGATTATATCAAATCTTATGCACAGCAAAGGAAACAATAAACAGAGTGAAATAACAACTTAAAAATGGAATAAAATATTTGCAAACTATTCATCTGACAGGGGATTAATATCCAGAATATAAATGGAATTCATACATCTAAACAGCAAAACAAAAAAGTTGATTAAAATATTGACAAATGATCTGCATAGAGATTTCTCAAAAGAAGACATACAAATGGCCAGAAATTTATGAAAAAATGTTCAACATTATTTATCATAAGGGAAATGCAAATCATCCACAATGAGATATCATATCACCCCAGTCAGGATAAATAACAGATGCTGATGAGGATGCAGAGAAAAGGAAACTCTTATACACTCTTGGTGGGAATGTAAACTAGTATGGATACTATGGATATAATATGAAGGTACCTTAAAAAACTACAAACAGAATACCTATATGATTCAGCAATTCCACTACTGGGCATTCATCCAAAGGAAAGAAAATCAGTATATCAAAGACACATCTGCACCCCCATGTTTATTGCAGCACTAGTTACAATAACCAAGATACAGAATCAACCTAGGTGTTCAATAACAGATGAATGGACCAGAAAATGTGGTCCATATACACAAGGAAATACTATTAAGCAATGAGAAAGGAAATCACAGGATTTTGAAATTGGAGACTTTGGGATTTGGAAATGAGAGGTTATCATATTATTTATAAAAAGTTCGGTGGAATAATGAGAAACAGGCTGGTTAGAGTGGATTCAAGAAAGAATGGAATGAAAATAAATAGAGAAAATGATAATAGGCAATGCTTTGGAAGCATTTTACTATAAAGGCGACAGAAAATGTTAATAGGATAGAGGAAGGCATGTTTGTTCATTTTGTTTAAAGTGTCTATTTTTAAGATGGGATTATATTTTTTATAAGAAGCAATAATTTCCAGAGCTAGGTTCTTGAGTAGGTGAAATGGAATAAAATTCAGTAATCCAAGTGAAGGGGTTTGCTGTAGAAGCTAGGAGAGCACATCCATTGTAACAAGAGGAAAGGCAGAGTATATGAGCAAAGATGCAATTAGGTTAGTAGATGTGATGATTGGAGCACATCATTGGCTCTTAGATACCAGAAAATAGATTTGAAAATATGTTTTCTAGCTTTTCTAGTTGTTCACAAAAAGAGGATTTTCCTAAAATACGCTGTCTACCATTGCTATAAGCTTGTCTTCCATGTACGTACTTTAAAGTATGTAAGGCAGTTAACAATTATGGGGTTGAAATTGGGTGATGTGAGCCTGGTAACTCTAGATTTTGAGAAGATTTTCTTTACAGGTTATCTGCCAATTCCCAAAGACATGGCTACAGGGTTAAACAATGAATAGAACTCCTGGCTACCTCATGGGACTAGGGGGGGAAATGGAGCAAGAGCTCTATTGACTGGTCCCCTGCCTAATCCCCTTTTGTGTAAGGACTCTGAAGCCTTTTGGGTTTCATGGAAGCTGAGTGAAACCTGAGATTGCCCGCTTTCCCCTACTTCCCTGACAACCTGCATGACACAGTAGAGGCAGTCATAATCCTCCTAAGAACATAACTCCATTTACCTGGGAACCACAACCCCATCCCCCCCAGCAGCCGCAGCAAGACCCACCCAAGAAGAGTCTGAGCTCAGACAGGCCTAGCCCTGCCACCACCTGATGGTCCACCCCTACCCACCCTGATAGCTGAAGATAAAGGGCATACACTTTCGGGAGTTCTAGGGCCCCACACATCACCTGATCCTCCCCATATGAGCACAGCTGATGCTGTCTTGAATGTGCCACCTCCTGGAAGGAGACCAATCAGCATAAAAATAGAGCATTAAACAACCAAAACTAAGGACCCTAACAGAGTCTAGTTTACCCCCCTGCAATCTCCACTGTAGCAGGTACTGGTATCCACAGCTGAGAGATCCACAGATGGTTCACATCACGGGACTCTGTGCAGACAACCCCCAGTACCATCCTGGAGCCTGGTAGATCTGCTGGGTGGCTAGATCTGGAAGACAGATAACAATCACTACAGCTCAGCTCTTAGGAAGCCACATCCCTAGGAAAGCAGGGAGAGTACTACATCAAGGGAACACTCCATGAGACAAAAGAATCTGAACGACAGTCTTGAGCGCTAGACCTTCCCTCTGACAGAGCTTACCTAAATGAGAAGGAATTAGAAAATCAACTCTGGCAATATGACAAAATGAGGTTCTTTAACACCCGCAAAAAAATCACAGCAGCTCACCAGCAATGGATCAAAACCAAGAAGAAATCCCTGGCTTACCTGAAAAAGAATTCAGAAGGTCAGTTATTAAGCTAATCAAGGAGGCACCAGAGAAAGGCAAAGCCCAATGTAAGGAAATTTAAAAAATGATACAAGACATGAGGGGAGAAATCTTCAGTGAAACAGATAACATCAACAAAAAACAATCAAAACTTCGGGAAACAATGGATGCACTTAGAGAAATGCAAAATGCTCCAGAAAATCTCAGCAATAGAATCCAACAAGCAGAAGAAAGAACTTCAGCGCTCAACGACAAGGTTTCATAATTAACTCAATCCAACAAAAACAAAGAAAAAAGAATAAGAAATGAACAAACTCTCCAAGAAGCCTGGGATTATGTTAAATGACCAAGCATAAGAATAATCAGCATTCCCTGAGGAAGAAGAGAAATCTAAAAGTTTGGAAAACTTATCTGGGGGAATAATCAAGGAAAACTTCTCCAGCCTTGCTAGAGACCTAGACATCCAAATACAAGAAACACAAAGAACACTGGGAAATTCATCACAAAAAGATCATTGACTAAGCACATTGTCATCAGGTTATCTAAAGTTAAGATGAAGAAAAGAATCTTGAGAGATGTGAGGCAAAAGCACCAGGTAACCTACAAAGGAAAACCTATCAGATTCACAGCAGATTTCTCAACAGAAACCCTACAAGCTAGAAGTGATTGGGGCCCTATATTTGCCTCCTTTAAAAAAACAATTATCAGCCAAGAATTTTGTATCCAGCAAAACTAAACTTCATAAATGAAGGAAAGATACAATCTTCCTTTGGACAAATCTTTGTTCAGACAAATAAACGCTGAGAGAATTCACCACTACCAAGCTAGCACTACATGAACTGCTAAAAGGAACTCTAAATCTTGAAACAAATCCTGGAAACACAGGAAAACAGAACCCCTTTAAAGCGTAAATCTCACAGGGCCTATAAAACAAATACACACACACACAAAAAGCCAAGGTATACAGGCAACAATTAGCACAATGAATGGAACAGTACCTCGCATCTCAATACTAACGTTGAATGTAAATGGCCTTAATGCTCCACTTAAAAGATACAGAATTGCAGAATGGGTAAGAATTCACCAACTAACTATTTGCTACCTTCAAGAGACTCAACTAACCCATAAAGACTCACATAAACTTAAGGTAAAGGCGTGGAAAAGACATTCCATGCAATGGACACCAAAAGCAAGCAGGAGTAGCTATCTTTATATCAGACAAAACAAACTTTAAAGCAACAGCCATTAAAAAGACAAAGAAGGACATTACATAATGATAAAAGGCCTTGTCCAACAGGAAAATATCACAGTCTTAAATATGTATGCACCTAACACTGGAGCTCCCAAATTTATAAAACAATTACTAATAGACCTAAGAAATGACATAGATGGCAACACAATAGTAGTGGGGGACTTCAGTACTCCACTGACAGTACTAGACAGGTCATCAAAACAGAAAGTCAACAAAGAAACAATGGATTTAAACTATACCCTGGAACAAATGGACTTAACAGATATTTACAGAACATTCTACCCAACAACCACAGAATATACATTCTATTCATCAGCTCATGGAACTTTCTCTAAGTTAGACCATATGATAGGCCACAAAACAAGCCTCAAAGAATTTAAGAAAAGTGAAATTATATCAAGCACTCTCTCAGCCCACAGTGGAATAAAACTGGAAATCAAATCCAAAAGGAACCTTCAAAACCATGCAAATACATGGAAACTAAATAACCTGCTCCTGAATGATCATTGGGTCAACAATAAAATCAAGACAGAAATTTTAAAAATGTTTTAAACTGAATGACAATAGTAACACAACCTATCAAAACCTAAACACCTACATCAAAAAGTCTGAAAGAGCACAAACAGACAATCTAAGGTCACACCTCAAGGAAGTAGAGAAACAAGGACAAACCAAACCCAAACCCAGGAGAAGAAAGGAAATAACCCAGATCAAAGCACAACTAAATGAAATTGAAACAAAAAATACAAAAGAAAAATGAAACAAAAAGCTGGTTCTTTGAAAAGATAAATAAAATCGATAGACCATTGCCAAGATTAACCAAGAACAAAAGACAGAAAATCCAAATACGCTCAATTCGAAATGAAACAGGAGATATTACAACTGACACCACAGAGATACAAAAGATCATTCAAGGCTACTGCGAACACCTTTGCACGTATAAACTAGAAAATCTAGAGGAGATGGATAAATTCCTGGAAAGATACAACAGTCATAGCTTAAATCGGGAAGAATTAGATACACTGAACAGACCAATAACAAGCAGTGAGATTGAGATGGTAATAAAAAATAACCAACAAAAAAAAAGTCCAGGACCAGATGGATTCAGAGCAGAATTCTACCAGACATTCAAAGAAGAATTGGTACAAATCCTACTGACACTATTCCAAAAGAGAGAGAAAGGGACTCCTCCCTAAATCATTCTTTGAAGCCAGTATCTCCCTAATGCCAAAACCAGGAAAGGATAGCCAAAAAACAAAACTACAGACCAATGTCCTTGATGAAAATAGATGTAAAAATCCTTAACAAAATACTAGCTAACCGTGTCCAACAACAAATCAAAAAGATAATGCACCATAATCAAGTGGGTTTCATACCAAGGATGCAGGGATGATTTATCATATATAAGTCAATAAATGTGATATACCACACAGACATAATTAAAAACAAAAATCACATGATTATCTCAATAAATGCAGAAAAAGCATTTGAAAAAATCCAGCACCGCTTTACGATTAAAATTCTCAGCAAAATCAGAACACAAGGGACATACCTCGATGTAATAAAAGCCATCTATGACAAACCCACAGCCAACATAATACTGAATGGGGAAAAGTTGAAAGCATTCCGTCTGAGAACTGGAACAAGACAAAGATGCCCACTCTCACCACTTTTAGTCACCCTAGTACTGGAAGTCCTAGCTAGAGCAATCAGACAAGAGAAAGAAATAATGGGCATCCAAATTGTTAAAGAGGAAGTCAAACCGTTGCTGTTTGCTGATGACATGATTGTATACCTAGAAAACCCTGAAGATTTCACCAAAAAGCTCCTAGATCTGATAAAAGAATTCAGCAGTTTCTGGATACAAAATTAATGTATACAAATCAGTAGCTCTCTTATATACCAAGAGCAACGAAGCAGAGAATCAAATCAAGAACTCAACCCCTTTTACAGAAGCTGCAAAAACAATAAAATACTTAGAAATATACATAACTAAGGAGGCAAAAGACCTCTACAAGGAAAAGTACAGAGCACAGCTGAAAGAAATCATAGATAACACAAACAAGTGGAAACACATTCCATGCTCATGGATGGGTAGAATCAATATTGTGAAAATAACCATACTCCCAAAAGCAATCTACAAATTCAATGCAATTACCATCATAATACCAACATCATTCTTCACAGAACTAGAAAAAAAAAATCCTAAAATTCATATGGAACCAAAAACAGCCCACATAACCAAAGTAAGACTAAACGAAAAGAAGAAATCTGGAGGCATCACATTACCTGATTTCAAACTATACTATAAGGCCATAGTCACCAAAACTGCATGGCACTGGTATAAAAATAGGCACATAGACCCATGGAACAGAATAGAAACCCCAGAAATAAAGCCAGATATGTAGAGCCAACTTCTCTTTGATGAAGCAAACAAAAACATAAAGTGGGGGAAGGACCTTTTCAACAAATGGTGCTGGGATAATTGGCAAGCCACATGTAGGAGAATGAAACTGGATCCTTATCTCTCACCTTATACAAAAATCAATTCAAGATATATCAAGAACTTAAATCTGAAACTATAAAAATTCTAGAAGATAACTTTGGAAAAACCCTTCTAGACATTGGCTTGGGCAAGGATTTCATGACCAAGAACCCAAAAGCAAATGCAATACAAACAAATCTAAATTGCTGGGATTTAATTACACTAAAGAGTTTCTGCACAGGAAAAGGAAAAGTCAACACAGTAATCAGACAACCCACAGAGTGGGACAAAATCTTCACAATCTATACATCTGACAAAAGACTAATATCCAGAATCTACAATGAACTCAAACGAATTAGCAAGAAAAAAAAACAAACAATTCCATCAAAAAGTGGGCTAAGGACATGAATAGACAATTCTCAAAAGAAGATATACAAATGTCCAACAAATATATGGAAAAATGCTCAACATCACTAATGATTAGGGAAATGCAAACCAAAACCACCATGTGATACCACCTTACTCCTGCAAAAATGGCCATAATCAAAAAATCAAAAAACAGTAGATGTTGGTGTGGATGCAGTGAACAGGGAACACTTCTACACTGCTGATGGAAATGTAAACTAGTGCAACCATTATGGAAAACATTGTGGAGATGTCTTAAAGAACTAAAAGTAGAACTACCATTTGATCCAGCAACACCACTACCGGGTATCTACCCAGAGGAATAGAAGTCATTATACAAAAAAGATACTTGCACATGCATGTTTACAGCACCACAATTCACAATTGCAAAAGGGTGAAACCAACCCAAAGCTCATCGATCAATGAGTGGATAAAGAAACTGTGGTATATATATATATATATATATATATATATATATATATATATATATATATATATATGATGGAATACTACTCAGCCATGAAAAGAATGAATTAATGGCATTCACAGCAACCTGGATACAAACTGGAGACTAATATTCTAACTGAAGTAATTCAGGAGTGGAAAACCAAATATTGCATGTTCTCATGCATAAGTGGGAGCTAAGCTATGAGGATGCAATGGCATAAGAATGACACGATGGACTTTGGGACTTAGGGGGCAAGGGTGGGAAGGGGGTGAGTGGTAGAAGACTACATATTGAGTGCAGTGTACACCCCTTGGGTGATGGGTGCACCAAAACCTCATGTAATCACCACTAAAGAACTTATTCATGTAACCAATTCATGTAACACCACCTGTTTCCCCAATAACCTGTGGAAATTTTTAAAAAAAATTAAAAGTAAAATAAATTGTAGGAAACTGGGAATAAAAATAAGAAAAAGAAAAAGTTCAGAGATTATGCAGGTAACCATGTAACCAGACACAGACTTTAAAACAATCATGACAAATATATTTATTAAAATATATAACAGTTTAAGAACTCTTGCAGAGGACTGCAAATAGTAAGATAAAAGCAAAATTCTATAACTATAAAAATCATTATTTGAAATTCAGAATTAAATCAATGAGATTAACAACAGATTCACTGGAGAGAGAATTACCGAACTAAATGATAGGTCAAAAGAAATAAAGAAATTATCAGTCTGAAGCACAGAGAGGCCAAAGAATGAAATATACAAAAAAAAAAAAAAAGCTGTAACAGCATAAGAAATATAGTGAATAGAACCTCAGAAAGAATTTAGGTTATATTTGAAAAATTGATGGTTGGAAATTTTCTAAATATGAGCAAGAGCAGAAAACTACATAAAGAAGCCCTACAAACTCTGGCAGAGTAAATTAAAAGAAAGCTACACATATAGATATAATAATAAAACCTCAAAAAAATGAAAAAGAGAAAAAAATGTTAAAAGCAGCCAAATGGAAAAGGACATATTACCTCTAAAGGACAACAACAGAACTGACATCTGCTTTCTCAAAACCAACAATGAAAGCCAGTTGACTCCTTGAATTTCTGAGAGAAAGTAACTGCTGAGTTCAAATTTTACACCCAATTAAAATAAAGTTCAAAAATGGATGGTGACATAAATATATTTTGGACAAAGAAAAACAGAGAAGCTGTCAACATCAGACACTCCTGCAAGATTCTTGGAAGACTGATATAGGTAGGTACATATAAGCTAAAATTGACCATATAACCAAACGCTATATCTTTTAACACTTTAAATATATATATAGAATTAAAATAAACCACAATAAATAGAAAGAAAGAGTAAATGAAGGAATTCTAAGGCTTCTACATTATTTGGGAAGAGATAGAAGTATCAATATATATATTAGACTTCAATGAGTCAAAGATGCATTTTATAACCCTAAAGATCACAGGTAAAAGATTAGTATAACTTCTACGACAATGAATAAAGGATAGTAACAATTGCTACAGGAAGGGTAAGAAAAGGAAAATAATTATTTAGATATAACTAATTGAAAGCAAAAAGTAAGATAATAGATTTAAAATGTAATGTAATTAATATAATTGAATATAAATTAAAGGACAGATATTGTCATAAAGAATAATAAAACCAAGTCTAATGATATACTGATTAGAAGAGATACTGAAAATATCAGCATATTAGAAAGATTGAAAGTAAAACCACGGAAAAGGAATAGCATGCAAATATTATCCAAATAAAGTTAGTTTAGTTATATTCATACCAGACCAAATGTACTTAAAGGCAAAAAACACTACTAATAACTTATAATTCTGTAAAATAAGAAAAACACTACTAATAATTTATAACTCTGTAAAAATAAGAAAAAGAAAAAGTTCACAGATTATACAGGTAACTATGTAACCAGACACAGACTTTAAAAAATCATGACAAATATATTTATTAAAATAGAGAACAATTTAAGAACTCTTGCAGAGGACTGCAAATAGTAAAGATAAAAACGAAATTCTATAACTATAAAAATCATTATTTGAAATTCAGAATTAAATCGATGAGATTAACAGCAGATTCACTGGAGAGAGAATTACCAAACTAAATGACAGGTTAAAAGAAATAAAGAAATTATCAGTCTGAAGCATAGAGAGACCAGAGCAAAAGAGATAACTGCAGAAACATCAACAAAATGAAAAATGGTGAACTAAAAGGTTTAGTTCACCAGAAAGAGACAGATATTCTAAATTTGAATGTATT
Organism: Homo sapiens; assembly: GCF_000001405.40. Classification (NCBI taxonomy): domain Eukaryota; kingdom Metazoa; phylum Chordata; class Mammalia; order Primates; family Hominidae; genus Homo; species Homo sapiens. Next base: position 1,202,864 of record NC_000018.10, on the reverse strand, counting down.
TAATAACATAATCTCATGATATATAAAACAAAGAAATACAGGAAAAACAAATCTGTAATCAGAGTGGGATATTTTAATAAGCCTCTCTCAGTACCAGATAGAACAAACAGTTTACAAATCAGTAAAGTTATAGATTATTTGAACAAAACAATTTAGAAAAATTGACATTATAAAACACTGATACTGACAACCATAGTATGCATAGAAAATTTACCAAAATTGCCCATAAGCTGGGTCATAACGTCTCAACAAATTTCAAAGGATTAAAAACAGAAGAAAGATTCTGTGGTCATTGTGGAATTAGGCTGGAAGCCAATCACATAGAGATAACTAGAAACTCACCATATGTCTGGAAATTTAAAAATAGTTCACTTATAAATAATTCATGGATCTGGGATGAAATCATAATGGTTATTAGAAAATATGTTGAACTAAATTATAATAAAAATAAACATCAGTCGGGCACCATGGCTCATGCCTGTAATCCCAGCACTTCAAAAGGCCGAAGCGGGCAGATAACCGAGGTCAGGAGTTCGAGACAAGCCTGACCAACATCGTGAAATCCTGTCTCTACTAAAAATACACAAATTAGCCAGGCGTGGTGGCACATGCCTGTAATCCCAGCTACTCAGGAGGCTAAGGCAGCAGAATCACTTGCACCCAGGAGGCAGAGGCTGCAGTGAACTGAGAGCTTGCCACTACACTCCAGCCTGGGCAAAACAGCAAGACTCCATCTCAAAAAATAAAAATAAATACATAAATATACAAACATCAAACCTTGTGGATGAAACAGAGCAATGATTACAAGGACAATTATTAGAAAAAAAGCAAGACTACAAATCAATGATCTAACAGTCTACCTCAATAACAACAGAGAAAGATTGGAAGATAATGATAGCTGTCTGAATCCAACTCTCCTCTCATGTCCTCTCCCCAGAACATAAGATCAATGGGTGCAAATAAAACCTCACAAGGGTCACACTTTTGGCGTTAACCAGGAGGCAGAGACTACCATGAACTTTGTATTTCCTGTACCTAGAGAAATGAACAAGTTCCAACAGAGCTTGCATTATTGCTACAAACCCATGGATGTGTGAAGTGAGGAAAGCAGACCTAGGGGTCTGAAAGTAAAAGAGGAGAGAGAGACAGAGGACACGGATAAGGCATAAACAAAATCACCCTTACAATGAGAAAGTCCAACACTAAGGATGAAAAACTCAACAGAGATCTGGGACTTAGTAATTCACAACACCAACTATAGGGAAGGAGCTTGGAAGTGACCAAAGGTGACAGACTTAGAGAAACATTGCATGTGGGGAAATTAGATAAGTACATAAAGTATGGCAGAAGGGGGAAGAAGGAAAGAAGAGGGGGAAATTAAGACAATATTGTCCACATGCGCCCCTCTGGAGGAAGGTAATGAATGTATCCTCCAGCCTAGAGATAACTGCGGAAACATCAACAAAATGAAAACTAGTGAGCATTTACTATATTTAATTGTAGAGCTAAGATTAAAACAAAAAGTGAGGGCACGTTTGGAAAAATAATGTGTAGATATTATATGTTCTGATGAAGTAGAAAAAATGCAACTAAAAGACTAGGAAGTAAATGCAGAGAGAAAGGGGAAAATAGACCACTCTTGACTGCTGTGTAGGTAGCAGGTGGGAGTCAAAGGATACCATTTAAATTGGCTTCCCAGATAGTAAAATGTTAAGTAAGAAAAGAAGGGGCTTAAGAGCATAACAAAAGGTATACACATAAAGATAGCCAACAGAATAAAAATACAAACCTTCCTACTACCAGAAAATTTAAAAAATAATAATAAACACACCAAAGAGAGAAACACAGCATAATATACATAGCACACATAAAGTATGATGATATGATCCAGTTGAGACCAAGTACATCCATTATATCAATAAAGATGAAAGTGCTTCGCTTGTCTATTAAAATAAAAACATTTTAAATTTGGCTTATGAAGGAAAAGCCAACATTAGCCTGTATACAAGAAATATGGCCAAAACATGGCATTAAAAAGCTGAAACTAAAGGCGTGCACAAAGACACAACAGATAAAACAAAAACACAATCAGAGGGAAATAATAAAAAAGCAGATGTTCTGACTCTTATATCAGATAAAGGAGAATTCTGGGCAATAAAAATTAAATGAGACATTGGACACCTTCTAATACTAAAAGCTGTAATTCATTATGAAGAGGTAAGTTACAAATATCTGTGTGCCAAAAAGCACAGCAAGTCTTATAAAAAGTGAAAAGTAAAAATAAAGCTTTCAACTCAAAAACCTAGAAATAAAACAAAAGACACCCCAAAAAAGCACAAGGAGGCAAATACTAATGATAAAAAAAAAAGCAATTAATAAGGTACAGAATTGAAAAGCATATCAAACCAATAAGCCAAAATTCTGGGTCCTTGGAAAAATTAACAAACAAATTACTATTAATAGTAAATTTGTTCAAGAAAAAAAGGAGAAAAATATGAAATAATAAACAACAAGTGGAAATGATGATTAACACAGAGAAAAAAAAATTTTTTTTTTAGAGACGAAGTCGCCCTCTGTTGCCCAGGCTGGAGTGCAGTGGTGTGATCTCAGCTCACTGCAACCTCCGCCTCCCGGGTTCAAGCGATTCTCTTCCTTCAGCCTCCTGTATTAGGCGCAGCTAATTCCTGTATTTTTAGTAGAGACGGGGTTTCACCATGTTGGTCAGGCTGGTCTTGAACTGACCTCGTGATCCGCCCGCCTCAGCCTCCCGAAGTGCTGGGATTACAGGTGTGAGCCACCGTGACCGGCCAGAAAAAATTTTTTAAATCACAAGATGCTACTCTGTACACCTTTATGCAAACAAAATTGAAAACTTAGATAAAATGAATATTTTCTTAGAAAGAGACAGTTTACCAAAACTGATCTCTGTAAAAATAGAAAGCTTAAATAGACTCACTTGTGCAGAAGAAATAGAGGAGTTATCAAGGAACTACAATGTAAAAAAAAAAAACAAAAAAAAAAACCCCGAAAAAACAGCAGGGCCAGATGGTTTTGCAGAATAATTTTAAAAACTTTAGAGACCAATTAGTGTCAATGCTATATAAATTACTCAGAGAAAATTTTTTAAAGTATACAGTATTTTTACAAAACAAGTATAACATCCATGACTCAATTTTGTTAAATGTAACACAAAAAAGAAGCTAATAGATAAATATTACTTATAATTATTAATGAAAAACTCCTAAATAAAATATAAACTGAGAAACTTGGATACTTCATTAAGAAAATAATACACTATGACTGAGTGGAATTTATACTAACAATGTAAGAATGGCTAATATTAGGAAATCTAGTGATATAATTTGCCATTTTAATTGGTGGAGAAAGAAACATCATATAATTTTATCATGGATGCTAGAAAAGCCTTTGACAAAATCAACCCTCATTCCTAATAAAAATTTCCAGAAAATAAGAATAGATGTATTCTTCCTCAATGTGATTACAGACTACACACACACATACACGCACTCCATGCTAAATCCATCACTGTAATAAGAAATTGAAAAGTGCCATTAAACTGAGAACATAAGTCACAGGGAGAAAATATTTGCAATATATAGGTCTGAAAAGATTAGATCCAAGATATAATGACCTCTTACAATTCAATATTAAAAAGAAAAACAGTTCAATAAGAAAATTGGGAAAAAAGATTTGACCAAATACTATAGAAAAACCATATAAAAACATTTCTTGTTATTTCACATAAGAGGTGCTAAGCATCACTGGTCACAGAAAAATGCAGATTGAAAGCCACAATAAGATACTCTACATACCCATTAGAATGGCTAAAATTTAAAAAACTACCAGCAAATGTTGGTAAGAATGTCAAACAGCAGACACACTATACACTACTGCTAAGAGTGTGAAACACTACCACCATTTAGGAAATAGTTCGGTATTTTCTAATAAGTGAACATACTCTTACCTAATATGACACAATGATTTCATTCCCAGATATTTACTGGAGAAATAAAAACACACGTCCATGCAAACACCTGTTCATAACATTTCATTCATAGTAGTTCCAAAATGGAAGCAGCTTAGGTGTTCATTAGGAAAATGGATGGACAAATTGTGGTATATTTGTACAATAGAATGCTACTCAGAATTAAAAGGAACACACTACTAATGCATGGAAAACATGAAAGAATCTCAAGTATTATGTTAAGTGAAAAAAATCAGACCTAAAGAGTATACATAGAGAGTTATATGAAATTCTAGACCAGACAAAAGTAATCTATAGTGATAGAAATCACATCACTAATGTATGCTAATGTTAATACTGGTTGGTTTGGGATAGTGTGATTCTTTTTAGTTAGTTATTTAAATATTTTCCTTATTTGTATTTTTGACTTTTTCTGTAGAGAGTGTATATTTAGTTCAAATAAAAAAAGAGGATGGCCAGGCATAGTGGCTCATGCCTGTAATCTCAGCACTTTGGGAGGCCAAGGCAGGAGGGTCACTTGTGTCCAGGAGTTCAGGATCAGCTGAACAACATAGTGAGACCTGTCTTTACCAAAAAAAAAAAAAAAATCAAAAATTAGCCAGGCATGGTGGGACCTGTAGTTCCAGTACTCAGGAGGCTGAGGCAGGATTGCCTGAGCCTAGGAGACAGAGGCTGTAGTGAGCCATGATCACACCACTGCACTCAGCCTGGGTGACAGAGTGAGACTCTCTGTCAAGCAAAAAAAAAAAAAAAAAAGAAAGAGACAGAGATAGGATTACATGTTAAGGCAGGGATCCCCAATCCCTGGGCCGAGGATGGGTACTGGACCATGGCCTGTTAGGAATCAGCTAACAGGTGATTTACAGCAGGAGGTGAGCCTCGGCTAGCAAGCATTATCACCTGAGCTCTGCCTCCTGTCAGCTCAGCAGCAGGAGAGTAAACCCTATTGTGAACTACGCATGCGAGGGATCTAGATTGCACAGCTCCTTATGAGAATCTAATGCCTAATGATCTTAGTTGGAACGGCTTCATCCCAAACCCACCCACCCTCCCTCCCTGATCCCCATTCCTCCATGGAAAAACTCCATGAAACTTGTCCCTGGTGCCAAAAAGGTTGGGGACTGCTGTGTTAAGGTATTTAGATGTCTGTATTTTCTACATTTCCCTCAGCCAAGTACCAATGTACTAGCACATGCTTTCACGGAACGATTAGGCCAAGAATCTTTGAGAAATGTATTAATTTCTCACCACATAATGTCAACCTGCACCACATTTCCAAGGAATTCTACTTTGTTCATGAAAGGTCTCCGTTTTCCTTTTTATGTTTCCATTCTTTTCACGTCAATTCCCTGTCAGAGGAAACACAGAATGAACTGCAGCTACATCAAAGGCAGATTAATTTTAGGTGCAGGTCTAAATATTCTTGACTAGGGATAAGTGTTAAATGAATTAGTTAATCCAGTTTTAGAATACAGAATCAAATTATATATCTTTTTACTTGGTAGATTCAATAATTATTTAACATATTAAAATTTTATGAATCTTGAACTCATTCAGTTTCCTTTTATGAATGTCATCTTTGATGAATCTATGTCATCTTTCCTGCTTGCCTTCTTTCTTTGTGTTTGGGCTGCACTTGGGCTGAAGAAGTTTTCTCAGGTATTAATCCACAGTTATTAAAAACAAAACAAACCACATAAGAATTTGTTTAGAACATGAATATTACTCTATTACTGTGTGGAGTTGACTGAGTAATCATGAGACCTCAGCTAAGGAAGAGCCCTGTAGCAAACTTTGTAACTAATTAGATTATTATGGCACAAGGGGGTTTTAATCTTTTTTTTAATTTTATTATTATTATACTTTAAGTTTTAGGGTACATGTGCACAACGTGTAGGTTTGTTACATATGTATACATGTGCCATGTTGGTGTGCTGCACCCATTACCTCATCATTTAGCATTAGGTATATCTCCTAATGTTATCCCTCCCCCCTCCCCCTACCCCACAACAGTCCCCAGAGTGTGATGTTCCCCTTCCTGTGTCCATGTGTTCTCATTGTTCAATTCCCACCTATGAGTGAGAATATGCGGTGTTTGGTTTTTTCTCCTTGCAATAGTTTGCTGAGAATGATGGTTTCCAGCTTCATCCATGTCCCTACAAAGGACATGAACTCATCCTTTTATATGGCTGCATAATATTCCATGGTGTATATGTGCCACATTTTCTTAATCCAGTCTATCATTGTTGGACATTTGGGTTGGTTCCAAGTCTTTGCTATTGTGAATAGTGCCCCAATAAACATACGTGTGCATGTGTCTTTATAACAGCATGATTTATAATCCTTTGGGTATATACCCAGTAATGGGATGGCTGGGTCAAATGGTATTTCTAGTTCTAGATCCCTGAGGAATCGCCACACTGACTTCCACAATGGTTGAACTAGTTTACAGTCCCACCAACAGTGTAAAAGTGTTCCTATTTCTCCTTCAAAATAGTCCTTGGAATTTTAATCTTCAGAAGACTAAATTATGTTTGTCCATTTGTTTACAGCTTATAAAAATGCTGTCTCTACCATTATATAATCTTTTAAATAATTAATTTAGAAAATAGGAGAATTTGCTAACTGTGCAAGTAGTATAAGCTATTGTGACCCCTGTAGTCATTGGTTAAATCTCATTGATCATATGATCTCACAACTAATAAATCCTAATTAAATATTTAGTATTTAAGATCCTAAATATTTAGGATTTAAAACATTCATATGTTGTTTGCAAAATTTTACAAAAATCATTATTGCTCCCTCAGAGCTCTGTATACTTTGCATTTATCTTCAATGAGCTCCTCCTCACTGAGACCCTAGCATAATATAAATTCATTATTCAATGTCTCCAGAGAAAAAGCTTTTCTAGCATGCAAATTTTAAGCACAAGAAGCATATACTTTTAAATAATTATACTTTTTAAATAAATTTAATGGAAATATTTGTTAAATGTTATTTTTATCCCCACCTTTTAAACAAAACTGCCTATAGCCTAATTTAATGATAATACTTATACATTAGCCAACATAGCAACTTGTAACATCCTCGAATCAATCTTTTAAAATTATCATTATCATCATTTGTTATGATTATTATTATTCAATCCATGGAATATTACTTTAATTTAATTTCAATTAACTTTAATTTTAGAGTTTAGAGTTTTTTCAATTTACTTTTTTTAACTTAAACATTTTTTAGGCCCGGCACGGTGGCTCACGCCTGTAATCCCAGCACTTTTGGGAGGCCAAGGCAGGCGGATCATTTGAGGTCAGGAGTTCAAAACCGGCCTGGCCAACATGGTGAAACCCCGTCTCTACTAAAAATACAAAAATTAGGCCGGGCGCGGTGGCTCATGCCTGTAATCCCAGCACTTTGGGAGGCCGATGTGGGCGGATCACGAGGTCAGGAGACTGAGACCATCCTGGCTAGCAAGGTGAAACCCCGTCTCTGCTAAAAATACAAAAAATTAGCCGGGCGTGGTGGCGGGCGCCTGTAGTCCCAGCTACTCGGGAGGCTGAGGCAGGAGAATGGCGTGAACCCAGGAGGCAGAGCTTGCAGTGAGCCAAGATCGCGCCACTGCAGTCCAGCCTGGGCGACAGAGGGAGACTCCATCTCAAAAAAAAAAAACAAAAATTAGCCAGGTGTGGTGGTGGGCGCCTGTAATACTAGCTACTTGGGAGGCTAAGGCAGGAGAATTGCTTGAGCCCAGGAGGCAGAGGTTGCAGTGAGCAGAGAGTACGCCGCTGCACTCCAGCCTCAGTGAGAACGAGACTCTATCTCAGAAAAAAAAAAAAATTATATGTTGTGAAAAACACATAACATAAAATTTACCACATTAACTATCTTTAAAGTGTATAATTCAGTAGTGTTAGGTTTATTCAACCATAGTGCTCCAGAACTTTTGGAGTTTTTTAACAGCCTCATTATAAAGTCAAAACCAGTATCAAAATATTATTTTAGGTATATTGAATAGGCTTGTGATTGGTATTGTATACATCATCAGAAATTTGGATTTGTTAAATAGAATCATTTGTAAGAGGAGTTTTCCATACAAGGGCAATTATTGTGTTTTTCTCATTTGTCTCTCTTTATGATAAAATTATGACTTGAATTTTAGGTCCCACGTCTTTCTTTGAGATATTGTTAGTTAACTCTGTTGAGAGGTTCACAGTCGTAGTTGTGGATGAGTGCAGTTGCTGCTGCACTACAAATGCTTGAAATGCATGTGATTAAATTACATTCTGGTGGCCTGTCTCTGGAGACTCTCTAATCAGTGTATGCCAATAGCAATGACGGAAGACATAAACTGGGCTCTAAAATGATAATAGTATTGGCTGCCTTCATATAGCAGGGTAAATGACTTTAGAGCTTTGACTTCAGACTTCTTCAACGTGAACCAATAAAATTTTTTAAAAGAGATTTTAGAAAATGAGTGTGTTACGAAGGATGAATAAATCTTAAATGCCAAGTTGACTCAAGAGGCAACTTGAACTAATTAGCATGTCAGCACTAACTCAAGCCAGGAAGTCGAGGATGCTGGTGGCATGAGTTATGCCATCTCTCCCAGATGCAGGTATGAAGATGGAGTGTGCAGGCCCTGCCATAAGCAGGCTGTTCCTTTGGTGTCTTCCTGTGGCCCTTGTCTGGGTCCCTTCTTTTCCTTCTAGCTAAGCCTCATTTCTCGTGTCATTACCACCGCCACATTCTTATTAGCTGTCTATCAAGGTGCTAGAGTCAGACGGGCCTGGGTGATGGTGGGTAAAATTACTGGACCTCCTCCGACCAGTCTCCTCTTCTGTAAAATGGGGAAATAATGCCCACTTCATAGGCTTCTTGTTAGGATTAAACTGGCTAATCCTTTCATTGCAGGAAGCTCAAGCTAGGAAAAAGGTCCACTATTTTTTTTGACAGTTTTTATACCCTGGAGTAGAAGTGTGTGGAAAGGGACTGCTATGCTAAAATCGCCAGTAGTGTTTCTGTTTTTGTTTTAGAAACAACTATATTGTTCCTTTGTTTAGGTAAAGTCTCTAATTACTTTTTGGTTCTATACATGGAAAAGTCAGGGTCCTATTCTGGAATGGAGATTTTGGCATTTGAGGAGCTCAACTGCTCTACGTGATAACATAGTTTAATAGCCAGCTTTCTTTGTAGCATTGTCCCTTTTTCTATTCTATATTTTAACTGTACAGGGTACTTATTGTAGCTATGGGAGAAATAACCACCCTCCCCTAGAAAGGAAGCCCTACACACACTGTGAGTAGCCTGACTGTGAAGCGTGGGTGGAATGTCACTCCCACCGTGAGCTGCCTCGTTGGTCCCTCGAGCTCAGTGGCTGAGGGATGAGAACTGGTAAGGGGATTTGGGGGGTTGGGATGGCCCAGGGCAGTCATATCTAGTATTCAGTTTAATGTGCAGATCAAGTTTTTATTTCTGCTTTGTTATCCACAGGTTTTAGTCACATTGTGCTAAACATTAAAGTTAGTTCTAATTAACTGTGCTTTGGGGGAGGGTCTTATGTTTGTTTCTATACTGGGAGAATAGGAAAGAGGCTGAGAGGTGACCTGCTTAGGGGCAGTTGAAGGTTGCTGAGATGACAAGAAACAGTACATATCTGTAGAATATACATTCCAGGATTTCCAGAGATATTAGAGTTCCAGAGATCAAACAATGCAGATTTGGATTACTGCTATTTGGGTGTTAAAACAAGTGAAATGTTCCTGCTATTTGTGCAGAACAATATCTGCTTTCAAGTTTTTTGTACTTTAAGAAGGTTTTCCTAAGATAGAAGGGGTCGTTTATATCCAAAGAATGGGTTAAGAACCATGAAACAACCCCAATGGTGATATTTTAGGGAAGGTAAATTGTACCAGGTAGGCTATTGCCTACTTACAAATTGGTTCCTGTTTTGTTCCAAAAATAAACAGCATCTCAGAGCCCTCTCACCTTCTCAGAAAATTTGGAAGCCATTAAAGAGTTGGATCTGTGTTTCCTGGTCTGGTTCCTATGCTTACTTTTTTTAAAGCTATTTATTGAAAGGAATAAAACATCTACCTTGATTTTTTAAATTAACTTTTAAGTTCAGGGGTACATGTGCAGGTTTGTTATATGGGTAAACTTCTGTCATGGGGGTTTGTTGTACAGATTATTTTGTCACCCAGCTATTAAGCCTAGTACCCATTATTTTTCCTGATCCCCTCCCTCCTCCCACCCTTCACCCTCTGATAGGTTCCAGTGTGTGTTAAAACGTCCACCTCATAAACATCTTGTGCCACTAGATAGAAAATGTATTTAAAGATTATCTCTACATCCCTTATTCTCACCTATCTGGCAGCTCCTATCCTTGCCCATGCCCATTTTAGTGCTCCAGTAACATGTTGTTGGGTAAGTGACATAGGCTATAGAGAAGGAAGGTGATGCTGGTGATGTGGCCAACAGGACTCGAGTCTCCAAAATCTCTGTGTAAGGGGCAGTGTTACCTTGGGTGTCAGGATTACAGTTACAGAAAAGAGAGCTAAGTTAAGAACTTCAAGAGGAATAGTCCTAGACTTTTCATTTGGAACCTCCCACCACGTGTGTGCCAAATGGAGGAGGATTTCTGACTTAAAAGTTAAAAGTCATGTGAATGGGGGTTTACACTGAGTGCATGCAGACAACCAGGAGAGTGGCAGCTGAAGAACTAGAAATGGACTGATTGTCAGGATGTGCACACTTTAGTGTTGGGTTCTAGTGTTCTAGTGTCGGCTTCTACTTGTATAATATTTTGGAATCTATGTTTTGGTTAATGCAGGAAGAAACTGAACATTTACTTTCTGTCTGAGGCATATCCTATTTCTTTCCTTCTGGATTTTTAAATAACATTATTTCTCTACATTGTCAGATACAATATGTTCCTCTTCAAAGGTTTAACTGTTAGCTTCCCTGTTCTTTGTTCCCAAGATCAACTTCCTTATTTGGAAAAAGTCCTTATTCATCTTGTAAACTACCCTTCCCACCCTCGCGGTGCTCAGACACGCCCAAACCTGCCTTGTCGGCAGCCTTATCACCCTTACTTCTTCCCTCTTCTGCTTCAGCCATCAACACTCTTGTGTTATTACCTTATTTAGGGAAGTTTAAGCTTTAGCCAGTCGGGATTCTTTAGATTGTGCAGTTCAACCCCAGCCAACAGGTGAAGGACACAGAAGCAAGAATTGCATTAGGGATAAAAACCCCTTCTCTCCTTTGTTCGGTGTGCTCTTGAGACCATGCCTGGCACAAGCAGCACCCTTCTGCAGAAGTAAAATTTGCCTTGCTGGGAAAATCTTGTTTAAGTGCTCATTTTCTTTGTGGCACCGAGCATTTGTTTCTAACAACATTAACTCTTGGCTTCATGGGTTTTACTTAAAATGGTTTGTGGAGATACAATGTTTACTGGAACCAAAAACATTTTGCTGTATTTTAAGACAATTTAAGTGCCTGGTGCTCCTGGGTATCAAAAATCAGCTGAAGGCTATTGTTATCAGCCAAACTCATTTTCTATTTATAAAATAATATGGAATGATTTTATTACTATAAGAAAGGTTAGCAGCATGCCTCCTTAGACAATACATGCCCAATAACAGTCTATAATCTCTCAAAGTTATTAGGGAAGACACAAAGAAGCCTGGACGGAAGTGGTGGCCAGTTTACTTGAAAGAAATCTCTTTCTTCCATTTTTTTACTGCCAGGATAATTAGATATAAAACATTTTCTTAAAACTGTAAAAGGTGGGACTTTACATTTGTCCTCTAAAACTTTTATCCATTGACTGACTTAGTAATTTGATATATTACATGGCATTTTAATTTCAACATTTGGGAAGGGAGAATTATCCCTGAAAACACTATTTGTTATTGGGGCTTTGAGGCACTAAGAGTATCTTGCTTTATAAAATCCAGAGGAATTCTAATTTCAAACTTTTGCTGGATTTGGGGTAATTTGGCTGTTTACACCATCTCCATGGTGATTTCCAACACATTTCACACTTAATCTTAAAAATGAGTGTTTTCTACCACATCTTCCACCCACTCTTTTTCTCTTGCAGAAGCTGTTTTGGGTGATACACAATAACTAACTATATTCATATATATTCCAGCAGTTATGTTTACAAACAGATACAATTGCCTGGCAATTTGGTTACTTCTGGATTAAATCTTATTAATTACCTTTTTTTTAAGTATAAATTTAAACACAAATTGTCTCACAGATCACCTTATTTTAATAATTATGAGTCTCCATAATCATATTGCATGAGACTCATCATTATATTTATGCCAGTAAATATTGGAAAAAATATAAGACATATTCTTTAATACTGAGTTATGGTAACAATAGCAAACATTTAATTATGCTTACTATGAGCAAAGTGCTTTAATCCTCACAAGAACTCTCTGAGGTAGGTAATATTCTCATTCCAAGTTTATCAATGAGAAGAGTAAAGCCCAGATAGGTTAAATAAATTTCCCAGTCACGTAGCTAATAAGCAACGGATATGAAACTGGTATCCTAATCAGTTTGCTCTCAAAGCCAGTACTCTTAAGCTGTACGTGTTTTATCATTTGGTAATTCTGCACATAGACAGTATTTATTTCTTATTTAAGTTGGCTGGAAGCTACATATTAAGAAATTAATCATTGTGGATGAGAATGGACTTTTGTAATCAAATTCTCTTAACAGTATTACTGATGAGTATTACTGATAGTAGGTAATTTAGTTCATTCCCCCTTTTGCTATAGAACTGCTCCAATAGGTCCTAGATGTGGATTCAATTCACCATAGCAGGCCACAGCTGCATGAGCAAGCTGGAACCTCCACCACCTGCATCCCTGGCTCGGATACCCTGTAATGGACTGTTTTACTTGTAGTCAGAGACAGCATCCTGAGAGAGTCCCTTTTGCTATTCCTTGGGATACCTCCTTCCTATTCAAGGGGCAGTTCCTCTTATATTTCCTCCTTTACACTGAGGGTTTTCCTTTATTGCCCTGTGCTAAAACCCAGGCACTGAAGTGAGATCACTAGCCAAACACTTCATGGGGTTCTTCTTAAATGCTACCTACAATAAACAAGAACAGACAGGCCCACAAGATTAACAGGCACCAGCCAAGGAAGAAATTCTGGACAGAACTCTGTCTACTGACATTCTTGCTTCTAGTCTCGAATATGAAAGAACACAGATTTAGGAATTAGGACTTTAGTACTAAGTGTGCCAGTAAATTCTCATGGAACTGCAAATTATTTAGTCACTCTGGGCACCAATTTTGTCATTTGTAAAACAGAGAAAAAAGTTATTTCCCAACTTTACAGGGTTGAGATGATTAAATATCTTAGAGTATTTTGAAAACTAGAAGGCACTACACAAATAAAATCTGGAAGCATATGGTATTTCCATACAGCACATTAATACAAGCATAACACTGCGGCTTGTAGGAAACAGAATCAGTGTCCAGGGGTTGAGAATTTGCACATTCTTTCTATGCAAGAAGATCCTGATGACTACAGGAAATAAGAATGAGAACAGGTTCTAGGGAAATTTGGTCTTTTCTCTCTAATCTTTATAGCATGACATTTTGTTTATGGGTTTGATTTTCAGCTCAGTGGACTGCAGGCCTCTCTGTGAAGTTTGTGCTCCTAGGATAAAAGCAAAAGTTACATGCGAATGCTTCCAAATTGAAAATATGAGTCTTAAGCTAATTGTCAAGGGCAAGAAAGAGATCCCAAAGAGCAACACTTTTAAATGTTCTAGTTTGGGGTATCTAGTTTAGGATAAGCTTTTTGTGATAAGCAGAGTTTAAAATGCCTCTCTGCCCCACCCCACTTCGAGATTTCCTGCCCTAATCTTTGAGACTGTGAGTATAATGAGCTATCATGCCTGCTATTATGAATGTACTTAATATTGCTAATCAGTTGACTTTGAGTTAGTCAAAAGGGAGTTAATCAGGCCCAGGTAGGTCTAATCTAATCAATTATTTGTGCCCTTTAAATGCAGAGAATTTCCTCTGGTGGGCAGCAAAAGAGGAAGTCAGAGAGATTCCAAGTAAGACATGGATTCAACATGGCCCTGCTATCTTAGAAGGTGGAGGGGTCACATGGCAAAGCATGCGGGTGTCCTCTACAAGCTGAGAGTGGCCTCAGCCAATAGCAAGCAAGGAAGCTTCTATTTCCATCTTACAACTGCAAGGAACTAAATCCTGCCAATAACCAGAAGAAGCTTAGAAGTGAATTCTTCCCCAGATCTTCTAGGTAAGAGCCCCTCCTGGCCAACAACTTGATTTTGGCCTTGTAAGGCCCTAAGGAGAGAATTTGGTCAAGCTTGCCTGCAATGACCTACAGAACTATGAGCTAATAAATGGGTGCTATTTTAAGCTACTAAGTTTGTGGTTATTTGTTAAACAGCAATTGAAAATTAATAACACTATTGCCTATATTTATGTTTCTACATTGCATTTATTCCTGTTTTGACTCCTTTTGTTCTACCACTGAAAACTGTATTCTGTCTTCCTTATAGCTGTAACTAGGAGTTCTTTTTCTACTGACTTCATCTCCCAATGATATATCTGATATTAAATATGGATGAGATATACTCATGCATCCTTTCATTCCATAAACAGTCATTAAGTGCCTATTATGTGCACTAATGCACATATCTGGGAGTAGAATAATGAAACAAATATTGTCTTTGTTCTCATGGAGCTTGCATTCGGGCAAATAAAACAAGTAATCATCAAATAAACTATAACATCAGCCATTGTGAAGTTTAAGAAAGGATGGTTGGTGAGGTCAGTGGCCAGCTACTGTTGGCTATGGCAAGGAATTTAGATTTAATGGGGAAGTTGTTGGACAGCTTTGAGTAGGGGAATGACAAGATTAGATTTTTATTGTAAAAGGATCACTCTGACTGCTTTGTGGATAATATACCCAATTGGGAGGTGGTAGGTGGGAAGGTAAAGTGAGAGAGGTAAGGGGAGGTGATAGGGCTAGGGAAAGACAGAAGTCTGAAGGAGACATTCTGGTAGCCAGCACTAGATGGGAGTGGTAAAGGTCATGGGAAGTGATTACATTTGGAATATATGTGAAGGTAGAAGATTAAACTGAAAACTAATCTTCAGCTCTTGAATACAAGTGGTTGAGGTGGCTCTTGAGTGATTGGCTCAACTCCTTCACTCCCCATTGATTGAGTACTCACCTTGCATATCAGCTGGTATTCAGATTCCAATTTTGGCTTGGTACATTATGTATATAATTTCACTTCCTCCTTAAAATAGTCGTATGAAGTGAGTATCTTTAATCCTATTAATATTATTCTACATTAAGGATATTCAGGGTTGTTTGTAAACAGATAAAACCGTGTTTGCATGTGTGTTTACCAGCAGTTTGATGTTTAATCATTTCTACAAGTTCTCTTCTACTTGAAAACCAACCACACCTTCTTTAAGACTTTTTTTTTTCTTTCACATATGATTCTTGATCCAGATGTCAGAGGCCAGAACTTGTCAAGAGCGGATAATTATAGCTGAGTCCAGGGATCCTGGAATGGAATTTTTACTTTTGGAATTTTCTTCTGCATTTAGAACATATGGCCTGAAGCAAAGACTGTTGCTAGCTCTGATCCCAGTTTCCATAAACATTGGTGTCTTTTTTGAGTGTGCCACTAGAGCAAGGAAGAGCATCCTGAGAGATTATTCTATATGATGCTGAGTCAGAGCACAGTCTGTATAGTATCACTAGTTGAAAGCAGAGTGCTATTTTAGGTTTCCACCTCTGACACTTGATTTTTGAAAAGCTCTCTAACACATGCAAGTAATGGAGTATCTGATTGTCTAAAATGGTCTAAAACAATCCATTATAAATTCTTCACAATTCCTTTATAATTGAGTTGTTTAAAATGAAAACTAAAACCAAATATAGAATGTCGATCCTCTTGGCATACTTTTAGGAAGTGAAAAGGATAATTTCTGTTCCTCAAATCATTATTTTGAATACCTACTATGCACAAGCCACTGTGTCAAAAACTTACGCCACCAAGATAATTCAAAAGCAACCCAGTCCCTGCCCTCATGGAGCTTTAAGTCTAGTAGAATAAGAAATTATTAATCAAGTACTCACACAAATAAGACTATAGTTACAAACTGAGAAATACTATGAAGCAAAAAGCAACATAAATCTTACTTTTATATTAAATATAAAAAGACCTTGCTGTATGTGTATTTATCTATGTCCTGAGAAAATTTGAAGAAAGAGTGAAATGAATTATCAAAAATATGAATATTCATAAATTTTCTGGGAGCTATTATTTAGAAACATTTTAAAATAAAAAGTTGTTATTTTTTCATTAACAAAGCACGACATCAGCATTTGAACTTTTACAGATCCCACATGGTACTGCCATCCTACTGAGCTAGCATGGCACATGGCCTGCATTTCTTTATATAACTTCTGTATTTTTATGTCTTCATTCATTCATTATTCTTTCAAGAAAAACTCTATTATCTTTTCTATAAAATTGCTAGCCTTTGCATAAGTCTCAAAATTGTACGATAACAATAAAAATAATACTTGTCATTATATTCCTATTATGTACCAGACATGATATATGTATACATAAATATATATATATACTCATTTAATTTTTTTTTGGCAATCTTGAAATGTAGGTACAATTGACTCTTTGCATCTGTGGGTTCCACATTCATGGATTAAACCAACTAAGCATCAAAACTACCTGGAAAAACAATTGCAATTGTACTTAGCATGCATAGACTTTTCTTCTTGTCATTATCCCCTAAAAATACATTAATAACAACTACTTACATAGCATCTACATTATATTAGGTAGTATAAGAAGTCTGGGGTTGATTTAAACTATATGGGGAGCATGTGCATAGGTTTTATGCAAATACGATGCATTTTTTTAAATTTTTAAAATTTTTTTAAAATATTTAATTTAATTTTAAGTTCTGGGATACATGTGCAGGACGTGCAGGTTTGTTACATAGGTAAATGTCTGCCATGGTTGTTTGCTGCCCCTATCAACCCATCACCTAGGTATTAAGCCCAGCACACATTAGCTATTTATCCTGATGCTCTCCCTTTCCCCAGCCCCTCAACCGGCCCCAGTGTGTGTTGTTCCTCTCCCTGTGTCCATCTGTTCTCATTGTTCAGCTCCCACTTATAAGTGAGAACATGCAATTTTATAAAAAGGACTTGAGCATTCTTGGATTTTGATATTTTAAGGAGGTCCTGGGACAAAACCCCCATAGATTGTGAGGGATAACTATGTTAGCCTTATTTCATATGAGGAAACAAGACCCACAGAAATCAGTAAGTTACTCAAGACAATGCAGATACTTGTTGTTTTAAATTCAAATCAGGCTGATCAGGTTCTAAGTCATGCATCTTTTCATTACACTATTATGGTAAGGACAATGACACAGGTACAACAATCGTTACATTTCAAGATGGTGTGTGATGAGTGCCATGTTCTGAAATTAGGATTATAGATTGGAAAGAGTGGCGTTTTTAGCCAAAGTGGCTAAATAGAGGATACCATTTCCTCTATTTACCAGTTCCCAGATCTGCCACATTTTTTCTTTTTGAGGTCTCTACCTAGTACATCATTATCTCCCTCTCCTTTATCCAAACACATTGAGGGTCCTTATAAATGGAGGAGAAAAGACTACTGCTGTCTTTAAAAGTGTTCTCCACTAAAAAGTTTTATTAGGAGTGTAGGAGACAGATTTGTAGTCTAATGTACTTACTCCACTTCTCATTCCAGTTTTTGTAAGAGATACTCAATTGGTGATTCAAGACTGTTTCAGTGTATCAAATAGGTATGTAATATCATTTTCTTGCTTTTAGCAGTAATGGCATATTTGATATCTCCACTCTGAATTTCTCTGTTGATTTAGAAGGCTCATGAAGGCTCATCTGGTAGCATCTTGTGAGACAGTGCCAGCTGGTGAGGCAAATGGCAATGTGGGCTCGAACTGCATCTCCCTAGCCTTGTATCCAATTTGGATCACTTTTTGGTATATGCCAAGCAAACTTGCACTCAAAAGTGGTCTGCATTTTAGGCACATAAATTTAACAACTATGATTAGGGTGGAGAAAAAAGATGATAAATTACATGAATACACTGTAATTTTGCAGAGCTTTTTTAAAAATTCCTAATGCAAGAAATATTTAAACCAGAGTTGGCAAACTTAAAGCCACTGTTAATTTCCCCAACATCCTTATAACTGTGCTTACGTTTCTTACCCTTCCCCAGAGTCCTGTGATTTCCTAAATAATGCATATGTGTTCCAAGACAAAACATGAGTATTGGATGTTTCAATCAAAGGGCTTGAATCGGAATCTGTTACCCGGAGTCGATCTTGGGCAAGTCACTTGTGTTCTAAGAGTATCATTTCTCTCACTGGAAAAATGGTAGCTAAGTTGACCTAAGTCGACCTTTGCTATTTGTTTTTAAAAAGAAAACATATTCGTATACCCAAAGAGTGTTTTGTGGCAAACAAGAGCTTTCTCTTCCTGGAAGAGAGTCTCCTTAGTTTTAGCAAAGAGGCTTCAAGGATCTGCAAACTGGCAGGGCTGCTGAAATGCCACAGACTTGAATTCTGTCAACTGATTCTCTAAGAGTAGTAAGATAACTACGTTGACCTTATATGCTTACATTTATTTTAATCTTATTATAATTGTGAATCCCACTGAAGGACATTAATAATACTGGTTGAATTTTATACTTTTAAAGAAAAGAATACAATTGTCTTAGACTTGTTCGGGTTGCTTTAACAAAATACCACCCAGTTCAAAATACCAGATGGCTTATAAACAGAAATGTATTACTTACAATTCTGGAGAATGGGAAATCCAAGATCAAGGCACCAGCAGATTCAAGATCCAGGCACTGGCAGATCCGGTGTCTGGTGAGGGACTGCTTCTTCGTTCACAAACGGCCTGTCTTCTTACTTTGTCTTCACCTGGTAGAAAGGGTGAGGGAGCTCTTGGATCTCTTTTATTATAAGGGCACTAACTCCATTCAGAGTATTGCTCTCTTTAGAAGTGTTCTCCACTAAAGAGTTTTATTAGGAGTGTAGGAGACAGATTTGTAGTCTAATGGACTGACTTACTTACTTTCACTTCTCATTTCAGATTTTATAAGAGACACTAAGTTTGTGATTCAAGGCTGCCTAATCACCTCCCGAAGTCCTCACCTCCTAATACCATCACACAATGGGTTAAGATTTCAACATACGAATTTTGGGAGGATGCAAACATCCAGTCTATTGCACTATGGTCATACAAAATATTTCTGGTTTTCAAACACCGCATGTTCTCACTCATAGGTAGGAATTGAACAATGAGAACACATGGACACAGGAAGGGGAACATCACACACCAGGGACTGTTGTGGGGTGGGGGTAGAGGGGAGGGATAGCATTAGGAGATATACCTAATGCTAAATGATGAGTTAATGGGTGCAGCACACCAACATGGCACATGTATACATATGTAACAAACCTGCACGTTGTGCACATGTACCCTAAAACTTAAAGTATAATAATAATTTAAAAAAATATTTCTGGTTTTCTTTCTAGGAACATGATATGGTTGCACTCTTTCCCCCCATCTCCTCTTTGGATAAAGGAATGTGAGTAGAAGCGACTTACATCACTATTAGTGAAAGTTTTAAGAAACTGTGTCTATTTGCCACTTCTCTCTTACACAGTTAGGCAAATTTGGAATGACGGCTATTTATCAACCTGTGAATATGGATGCCTGGATTAAAGCTTCTAGCCAATTCATGATGTGCATGTAGAAGGAATGAGAAATAAACCCCCATGTGCTAAGCATTTAAATTTTGGATCTTTTAAAAAATATATTTATTGTGCTAAGAACACCTAACCTGAGATCTATCATCTTAACAAATTTTTAAGCGTACAATACAGTATTGTTAGCTGTAGGCACAATGTTGTATAGCAGATATCTAGAATGCATTCATCTTGTATAAATGAGGTTCTATGCCCACTGATTAGCAACTCTGTCTCTCTCCCCGTAAGTCCCTGGAAAGCAACATTCTACTCTGTGATTCTAAGTTTGACTGCTTTAGGTATTTCCTTTAAGTGAACTCATGCAGCATTTGTCCTTCTGTGACTAGCTTATTTTATTCAGCATAATGTCTTCAAGGTTCATTGAAAGTTCATTCAATGCTGTTGCATTTTGCAGAATTTTCTTCTAAGGCTAAATAATAACCATTGTATGCATATATCTCAGTTTTATTCATTCATCTTTCCATGAGCGTTTAGGTTGTTTCTACTTCTTGGCTAATGTAAATAGTACTGAAATGAATATGGGAATGCTAGTATCTCTTTGAGATCCTGATTTTGATTCTTTTGAATAAATATCCAGAAGTGGAATTGCTAGGTCATATAGTAATTCTATATTTAATTATATATATATTTAGCACATATATATATATGCTAATAAAGTTATGCGGCCAAAAAGTGCCAGCACCTGCCATCTGCAATATGGAGAACCAGGAAAGATGGTGGTATAATGCAGTCTGAGGTAAAAGACCTGAGAATTGGAAGGCCAATGGTGTAAGTCCCAATATGGGTCCTAAAGCCCATGAACCAAAGCATGTATGTCGGGCAGAAGAAGATGTATGTCCCAGCTCAAGCACAGAAAAGAAATTTGCCTTTCCTCCACCTTTTTGTTCTATCCTCAATGGATTGGCTGATGCCCACCCACATTGGTGAGGGCAGTCTTCTTTACTCAGTCTACTGATTCACATTCTAATCTCTTCTTAAGACACTTTCACACATACATACTTAGAAATAATGTTTTACCAGCTATCTGGGTATCCTTTGGCCCAGTCAAGTTGACATGAAATATTAACCATTTACATGCCATACTGGTTTTTGATACCAACTGCTCCATTTAATATTCCCACCAACAGTGTACAGGAGTTCTCATTTCTCCACATCTTCACCAACAATTGAACAAATGTCCCTTCTTTTTGTAATGCCCATTCTGACAGGTGTGAGGTAATATCTCACTATGGTTAGTAACATTGAGTATCTTCTCATATATGCTTTGGTCCCTTGCATGTCCTCGTTAAAAAAATGTGTATTCAAGTCTTTAGCTCATTTAAAAATCAAGTTATTAGTTTTCTTGCTAATGAGTTGTTTACTTTTCTTGTATATTTTGGAAATGAACCCCTTATCAGACATATGGTTTGCAAATGTTTTCTCCCACTCCATAAATTGCCTTTTCATTTTGTTGATTATTTTACTTGCTGTGCAGGAGCTTTTTAGTTTAATATAGTCCTGTTTGTCTACTTTTGCATTTTTTGCCTCTTCTTTTCATTTCATATCCATAAAAGCATTGGCAAGACCAATGTTGCCTTACGTTTTCTTCTGTAAGTTTTATAGTTTTAGGCATTATGCTTAAATCTCTAATCCACTTTGAGTTGACTTTTTTGTGTACATTGTAAGATAAAGATCCAGTTTCTTATTTTTCACATATGGACATTCAATTTTCCTACCACCATTTGTTGAACAGACTATCTTTCCCCATTGTGTGTTTTTGACACCTTTGCTGAAGATCAGTTAACCCTATAGATGCATGATGATGTGGTTTGGCTGTATTCCCACCCAAATCTCATCTTGAATTGTACCTCCCATAATTCTCACATGTCGTGGGAGGGACCTGCTGGGAAGTAATTGAATCATGGGGTGCGTCTTTCCTGTGCTGTTCTTGTGACAGTGAATAAATCTCATGAGATCTGATGGATTTATAAAGGGGAGTTCCCCTGCACAAACTCTCTTGCCTGCTGCCATGTAAGACATGACTTGCTTCCCCTTCACCTTCTGCCATGATTGAGGCCTCCCCAGCCAAGTGGAACTATGAGTCAATTAAACTTCTTTTCTTTATAAATTACCCAGTCTTGGGTAGGTCTTTATTAGCAGCATGAGAACAGACTAATGCACATGAATTTATTTCTGAGCTCTTCATTATGTTCCATCAGCCTATATGTCTGTTTTCATGCCTGTAGTATAATTTTTCTACTGTATACTTATAACATATTTTGAAATTAGGAAGTGTTATGTGCCTCCAGGTTTGTTTTTCTTTCTCAAGACTGCTTTGGCTATTCATGGTCTTTTGTGGTTCTATGTGAATTTTAGGATTGTTTTTTCTGTTAATATAAAAAAATAGGCCCTGAGATTTTGATAGGGATTACACTGAATCTGTAGATCACTATAGGAAATATGGATATTTTAATAATATGCATTCTTCCAATCCATGAAAACAGGATGTCTTTCCGTTTATCTGTCTTCTTTAATTTCCTTCATCAATGTTTTATAATTTTCAGTGTAAAAGTGTCACTTTTTTGGTTAAGCTTATGTGTAACTATTTGATTCCTTTTGTTGCTAGTTATAAGTAGTATTGAATTCTTAATTTAGCTTATGGATAGTTTATTGTTTGTGTATAGAAATGCCACTGATTTTTGTGTGATGATTTTGTATCCTGCAACTTACTAAATTCATTTAATAGTTCTAATATTTTTTGGTCGAGTCTTTAGGGTTTTCTCTATATATATTATTATGTCATCTTCAAATAGAGATAATTTTACTTCTTCCTTTCCAATTTGGATGACTTTTATTTCTTTTTTGCCTAATTGTGGCTAGGACTTCTGGTATTATGTTAAATAGAAGTGGCAAGAGTGGGCTTCCTTGCTTTTTTACTGAGCTTAGAGGAACAGTGTTCAACTTTTCACTATTGAGCATAATGTTAGCTGAGGGCTTTTCATATATAGCCTTCATTATATTGAGGTTCTTTTCTTCTGTTCCTAGTTTGTTGAGAGTTTTCATCATAAAAATTTGTAGAATTTTATCAAATTCTCTTTTATGTCTTTTGAGATGATCATATGGCTTTTATTCATCTTTCATTCTTTTAATGTGATGTATCACATTTGTTAATTTGCATATGTTGAATCATCCTTGCATCCTGGGGATAAATCCCCCTTGGTCATGGTGAATGATTCTTTTAATGTGCTGTTGAATTTGGTTTGCTAATATTTTGCTGATGATTTCTGCATCTATATTCATTAGAGATATTGACATGTAGTTTTCTTTTGTCGTGGTGGCTTTGTCTAGTTTTTTTATCAGGGTAATTCTGGCCTCATAAAATAAGTTTGGAAGTGTTTCTTTCTCATCAATTTTTTGGAAGAGTTTGAGAAAAATTGGTATGAATTCTTCAAGTGTTGCATACAATTCATCAGTGAGGTGTTTGGTCCTGAGCTTTTCTTTGTTGGAAGATTTCTGGTTACTGATTAAATATCCATACTAGTTAAAGGCCTGTTCAGACTTTTTATTTCTTCATGATTCAGTCTTGGTAGGATGTATGTTTCCAAGAATTTATCCATTTCTTCTAGGTTTCCCAGGTTTCTGGTGTATAATTGTTAATAGTAATCTCTTATAATCCTTTGCATTTCTGTGGTATCAGTTGTAATGTATTCTCTCTGTTTTCTGATTTTATGTGAGTCTTCTCTCTTTTTTCTTGGTTACTCTAGCTTAATATTTTCAATTTTATCTTCTCAAAAGCCAACTCTTAGTTTCATTGATTTTCTATTGTTTTTCTCTTCTTCATTTTATTTATTCTGCTATAATCTTTATTATTTCCTTTAGTCTGCTTTGGATTTAGTTGCTCTTATTTTTCAATTTCCTTGAGATATACAATGGGGTTTTTTATTTGAGACCTTTCTTCTTTTTTAACATAGGCATTTGTCACTGTAAACTTCCTTCTTAGTACTTCTTTTGCTGCATTCAGAAAATTTTGTTAAGTTCTATTTATATTTTTATTTGTTTCCAGATATGTTTTGTTTGGATTTCTTTTTTGACCCATTGGTTGTTCAAAAATGTATATTTAATTTCCACATACTTGCAACGTTTTCGGTTTTCCTATTGTTATTTATTTCTAGTTTTATTACATTTTGGTTGAAGGGGTACTTGGTATTATTTCAATATTATTAACTTTGTTAAAACTTGTTTTGTGACTTAACATGATCGATCTTGAAAAATGTCCTGTATGTGCTTGAGAAGAATGACAATTCTTTTGCTGTTGAATGGAATGTTTTGTAGAGATTTGTTAAGTCCTTTTGATGTATAGAGTTGTTTGTGTCCACTGCTTCTTTGTTAGTTTACTATCTGGTTGTTTTTCTATCAATTATTGAAAATGGAGTGCTAAAATCTCCTACTATTATTGCAGCACTATTTTCCCTTCAGTATTATCAATGCTTGTTTTATATATTTAAGTCTTCTCTTGTTGGATGCATATATATTTATAATTGTTATATCTTCCAAGTGAATTGGTCCTTTTATCATTGGATTATATACTTCTTGTTTCTTGTGACAATTTTGACTATTTTATCAGATATAAGTAAAGCCACATCTACCCTCTTTGGGTTACTATTTTCATGAAATATATTTTATCATACATTTTTTTAGCCTGTGTCCTTTAATATAAACTGAGTTTCCTGTAGACAGCATATAGTTGGATCTTTAAAAAAAATCCTTCAGCCACTCTGTATCTTGATTGGGAACTTGAATATTTATACATTTTAAGGAAGTATTGATCAGGAAAGATTTACTATGGCCTTTTTGTTCATTGCTGTCTGCCTTGTAGTTATTTTGTCTATCTTTTTCTCTCTTACTGTCTTTGTGTTTCATTTATTTTTAAAACTGATAAGCTTTGCTTTCTTTCTCTTTTTCTTTTGTGTTACTTCCATAGGTATTTTCTTTATGGTTGACATGGGGCTTACATAAAATTTCTTATAACTGTCTAATTTAAACTGTGAACAACTTACGTTCAATTGCTTATTAAAACTATACCTACACTTATCCCTCACATTTTATCTCACTGGTGCCACAATTTGTATCTCTTTATATTG
Source organism: Homo sapiens (assembly GCF_000001405.40). Lineage (NCBI taxonomy): Eukaryota > Metazoa > Chordata > Mammalia > Primates > Hominidae > Homo > Homo sapiens. The sequence goes on along the minus strand of NC_000018.10, from coordinate 1,177,857 downwards.
TCTCTTTTAATATTTTTAGGCTATAGTTACTTTTAATACTTCTGTGTTTTAACTTTTATAGTAGAATTAAAAGTGATTTACCATTATTACAATAATACAGCATTCTGTATTTGTCTGTATATTTACCTTGACAAATGTGTTTTATATTTTCTTATGCCATTGTGTTGTTGTATTGCATCCTTTCATTTTAACTTGAAGAACTCACTTTAGCATTTATTGCAAGGCTGGTCTAATGATGATGAACTCCCTTAACTTTGTTTGTTTAGCAGAGTCTTTGTCTCTCCATTTTTGACAGACAGCTTTGCCAGGTAGAGTATTCTTGGTTGAGAATTTTGGGGTTTTTTTCTTCATCAGTTTGACTATTTCATCCCACTGTCTGCTGGCCTGCAAGGTTTCTGCTAAGAAATCCACTGATAGTCTCAACAGAGTTCCCTTGTATGTGACAAATTGCTTCTCCATTGTTGCTTTCAAAATTCTCTTTTGACCTTGATTTTTGACAACTTGATGTCTTTTTGTGTGTGTTCTTTTTTAAATTCATCTTATATGGGTTTCTTTGGGCTTCCTGAATCTGGATGCTCATTTTCTTCTCCAGATTTGAGGTTTCTGCCAGTATTTCCTGTGGTGGCCTGTAGTCCCAACTACTCAGGAGACTGATGCAGGAGAATTGCTTGAACCTGGGAGGCGGAGGTTGCAGTGAACCAAGAGCCACTGCACTCCGGCCTGGCAACAAGGCAAGACTCTGTTTCAAAAAAAAAACAAAAAAAAAAAACACACAACCATTTCTCCATCAGTCAGGAAGGACGTTGGAGTTGAGGTTGACATACCTATCAAGGACAGCAACTACCATGGCTTCCCATGCTTTGACAAAACCTCGGATGCATGGCCTTCTGGCCGAGCATCTGCAATTTCATATTGTTGGAGTATTCATGGTATCCCTGGAGCTTGCAGTTTTCTGTAAGTTTGCTGTGGCTGAACCAAGAAAGAAGGTGTACACAGATTTTTACAGAAATTATGATTCCATGAAAGACTTTGAGGAGATGAGGAAGGCTGGTATTTTTTGGAGTGTGAAATGATCTTGAAATATAAAGAATTTCTTCAGGCTGAATTACCTAGAAGTTTGTCACTGGCTTGTGTTCCTGAACTATGAACACGAATATGCGGGCTAAGAAATAGTTTCTCTCGATAAATAAACAATTAACAAATTTTTTAAAAGCCACAGTAATAAAAGACACTATGGTATATGCACAGGAATAAACATGTAGATCAATGGAACAGATTAGAGTGTCTAGAAATAAACACACATTTATGATCAATTCATTTGACAAAGATGCCAAGGTACTTTAATGGAGAATGGACAGTCTTCAACAAATTGGATATTCATATACAAAAATTAAGATTTGACTCTTAAATCATGCTGTGCACAAAAATTAACTTTAAGTGAATCATAGACTTAAATGTAAGAACAGAAACTATAGAATTTGTATAAGAAAACTTAGGAGAAAAATATTTCTGAACTGGGGTTAAGCAAATATTTCTTAGTTATACCACCAAAAGCAAAATCAATAAAAGAAAACATTGATAATTGAACTTCATCAAAATTGAAAAATTTTGCTGTTCAAAAGAGTTGCAAGATGAAAAGCTATGGACTGATAAAAAAATTTCAATATATATAACTGACGAAGGACTTGTATCCAGAATTTACAGTGAATTCTTATAATTCAGTAATAAGATGACAAACATCCCAATTTGTTTAAATGGGCAACATAGTTGGATAGAAACTTCAGCAATGAAGATACACTAAGGGCAAAAGAAAGTACATTAAAAATACTCAATATTGTTACTCTTTAAGGAACTACAAACTATAACGAGCTAAACTCGGTTAGAATGGCTAACATCAAAACAGCTGACATAACTGTTGGTGATTTTGGGGACACAAACCTTCATGCATTATTGGTAGAAGGGAAAATGGTACAGCCATTTTGAAAAACAGTTATAGCAGCTTATTAAAAATGAAATCGATGCTTGACATAAAACTTAGCAAGTCTGCCTTTAGATATCTACCCAAGAGAGAGAAAAACATGTTCAAATACATGAACACACTTGTTTATAACATCATTATACATAATAGCCAAAAAGTAGAAATAATCTCAACATCTATCACCTAGAATGTGGTGTATTTATATAATAAACTGTATTTCGGGACCTGGGTCAATTTGCACAACCAGAAACCATTGATAGAAGGAGAATCTGAGTTTTTAGGAGGAAAAATTCTGCAACACCATGGCAACCGTCTACAGTAATGATTTTCTCAATACTTTCATTTAAACAAAAATAAACCCTATACCCATTTACTTGGGTAACTGTAAAATGGGAATACAGAATACTAGGGACAGAGAATACTAAGTTATTTCAAGGACTTTTGTGGGGTCCTCAAGTGTATCATGGCCCCACTATTCAAGTGAGACTTATGGATAGCAGATAATAATGAAGATGTGGCTTTGATTCAGAATATTTTAATAAATAAATGAAGATGCAGCTTTGACTCAGAATATTTTCACTGGGTCTACAACCCACCTATTGGTCATCCTACCAGGGAAGTAAATCTATGTGGCACAGAGATGAACTGTAGTGAAGGTTGTGGTCACCTCCTCAGGACAGAGGCACTTATTCCATCAAATGCATAGAAGATTGGCTGCTGATAGCCCACATTTGAGTCACTTTCTTAGAATTTCCATGGATCTGCCTTGTCTGATGTCCAGCCCTCTCCCCAAGGGGCAGCTTATATCCAGTCACTAGTCAATGTGTGGTTACAGAGGGGCTCCTGATATCAAATCAACACCAGTTGGAAGGTCCATCCAAGATCTAAATTTCCATGTGGAACTGAACAATGTATGCCTCTGTTGTAACTCACCATGCTTCAACTTTTCCCTTGGAACATTCCTGCTTTCCTCCCTCTCTTACAGACATTGTTCCAGAGGATAAACCATTAAACTTCCTGTATGCAAATCTCCAATTCAGAGTCTATTTTACAAAAAATTTGATGAAAGATAGTAGATATGTAAATATATTATACATCCATGGAAATACACAAATTTAGCCGGACACAGTGGTGTGCACCTATATAGTTCCAGCAACTTGGAAGGCTGAGGTGGGAGGACTGCTTGAGCCCAGGAGTTCAAGTCCATCTTGGGAAATATAGCAAGACTCCATCTCTGCAAAAAATTTTTAATTAGTGAGGCATGGTGGCAGATGCCCATAGCCCCAGCTACTTAGGAGGCTGAGATGGAAGGATAACTTGAGCCCAGGAGTATGTTTTTAATCCTATAAATATGAAATACACAGAATTTACCAATGCCTGTCTTGGTAATGGGATTTTGGATAATTTTAATTTTTTGCATTTTTTAAATTTTATTTTTTAGAGATGGCATTCTTGCTATGTTGCCCAGGCTGGTCTCAAACTCTTGGCCTCAAGAAATCCTCCCACCTTAGCCTCCAAAGGGCTTGGATTACAGGCATGAGCTTCAGTGCCCAGCCTTAATTTTATATTTTATGTTGTTCTACTTTTACGAGATTTTCTACAATGGTCATATATTATTGCCATAATCAAAATAAAACAATAACTTCTAAAAGTAAGAAAAAAACTTAAAAGAAGAAAGAGTACTGTCTTTGAAGCCAATAACATTTAGCTTCAGATTCTGGCTGTGTAGGTTTTGTCAAGTCATTCGGCAGTTGTTCTTCTGTAACTCAGTTTCATCTTCTGTAAAATGTTAATAGTCATTATTACACAGCTTAGATTTGTTTTGAGGAGCATAATAAATATAAAACACTCACACAAACTGTAATGAACTACAGAGATGTTGTTTCTGATTTTATTATGTCTTGGAACTGTTTTCTACTATTATCTCTCGGAACTGTTTTCTTATTTTCATACGTTGGTACCTAATGTGAGTAGTGCTGCTTAAATGACCACAAGGATCACCATATACATTTATTTACCTTTTAAGTAAACATTAGTGCTGGGCTGGTTCTCTTAGTCAGAATGTACTGTGACTAAGGGTACATCCTTTAGATGGTAAAAGAAGTCAATATCTTGTTTGAGTTCTGCAACAATCCCGTGTACATAATTACATATGGGTCTCAAAGCCAGAACACTCAATGCCTCCAAAATAAGTCATTCCCAAGGCATTTCTCGAGCTGCTGGGACATAATAAGTGAATGAGTTATGAAGAATTCTTTTTGTCCTCAACTTCCTGAAGATCTAGTAAGGTTAGGATATTTTGGATCTTACTTAGAGGAGCCTTTACATTTGCTCTAGGCAGCAGCACAAGTACATGTATATGCAGTTAATAAACTACTGTCTCTAATGATGGAAAGTATCTGTTCACAACTGTTGAAAAAGATCATTCACAATCGATATCTGTGATAATTACGTTAGAGTCAACCCTGTTCTGTGGCAAAATTGCTTAACACAAGCCTTCTGTAGTGAGTGATAAAAGAAGGCAGAGCATATTCTAGTAACAGACTTGACGGAGACTAAAGCTGTTGGGTCCCATTTTTACATGCAATGGGGATTTATGTTAACAGAGAACCACAATAAATTGAGGAGAAGCATGCCCTTGCACAAAGATATGTGTTAAGCAAGTGTGCAGTGTCCCAAATTCTGGATCCTGGGAATTACTATTTGGGAAAATTTCACATAGAGAATGCTTAGTAAGAGTTTGTAGACACAAGAAAAAGGTACCGTTTCGTTGGCGGAGTTTTCTTCATAGGGAATCTTCTAGAATGAAAAAAGCAGATATCCCCCTTCCAGCCCAAATTGGCAAACTCTCAAGGGCAAGATGGAAAGAGACAATCTCTGTGGGTATTTAGTATGGAGATACTCCATCAGCATAGGGCCACCATATTTCCTGACAGCAGGAACTATTTATTCCACATAACTTTGTCATTTTCTGTGGCATCTGGTCTATTTTTTTTTCTCTACATAGTGTATTAGGGAAGAGGCTAAAAGGAGTAAGCAATAACTTATTGCAGTCAGTGTAGTGTAAATGGCCAAGTCAAATGAAAGATATAGATTCCACATTCATAAGAACACAAAAATCGGGTCCAGAAGGAGAGATTTTCACTTTCTGAGACCTTGTTGGCGGTCTCCTTTTCTTAAAAATAAAACTTATAAATTTTTATTTTTTACAGTTTTATTGAAGTGTAATTTACATATAAACTACACATATATAAAGTGTGCAGTTTAACAAGTTTTGACATATAAACGCCCATGAAACATAATGACCACACATACACTTCCCCGAATTTCTCATGACACTTTCTAATTCCTTCCTCTCTTTTGTTTCCTGCCCTGTACTCAGATTTCACTGCTCTGCTTTCTGTCACTATAGATTAGTTGGCATTAACTAGAAGTTTATCTGAACTATAAACTTGTTGATGAACATTTGGGCTGTTTAATGAACTTAAACCTCATTTTTTCTGTACTTTTTTCTTTAGAAAGAAAATAAAACATTAAAAGAAGCACTATGGTGAACTTATGTCTAACCAGCACAAGAAGTGAATAGGTAAGTGGCAGTTGGAGGAACTGTGGGAGAAAGTGGACTTATCGTCACTGAGTTTGTTATAACCGAGTCAAACAGGTATCCAGACTTAATGAAGCACATTTCAAAAAGGTTATGTATCAAGTATATTATTGAGGGGATTTATATTTTTGAGGTGAGGTTGGATAGAGTTATTTATAAATTCTAGATTCTTTGATTTGGTGACTCAATACGGATTATTATCTGCTTCTTGGAGGTTACCTACGGGTTAACATACCTTTGATTAGTAGCACATATAAATGCTGAATATCTTTATCTTAAGAAAATTAAATTGTAATTATTACATATATTCAATATAATAAATATAACATATATATCAAGTATGAAGTGAAGGGATCCTTGAATTGTGACAGCTTCTATTTTACTCTGCTTCTGTGACCCTGGACATTTCCCTCAACTCTTGATGCCTGATTCCTCCTTATTACCTGAGGAAAACAGTCTAGATCCTTAATACTTGCCCAAATAGTTTTACAGGAGCCATGTGAAAACACTTTGAGATATATGCAGTGATATATAAAGTCCTTCATACAAAACAATCCAATTACTTCCTTGTCTTGCCCAATATTTTATTTGGACTTCCTACTGCTCAGTAATAAATGACAGAGAGCATCAGAAGCTATACTGGAATGTTGTTTAAAGGAAATATAGTTTTCATATATATTTTTAAATAATTATTTTTAAGTACAATACTGTGCTATAGTGATCCCACTATTCATGAGTTAAATAACATGTGAAATTAGAGATTCTTAGGATATTCTTAATGGTCTCTGAGCTTATTCCATAGCACAGCTTTGCACCTGTCATGCACTTGGTTACCACACAGGCCTAAGGAAATGCATTGTAGCGTCAGCCCTTAGAAGGCCAAGTGGCACACAGGAGTTCGTATTGATCAACTAATTGCATTGGCTACTGGGCTGGTCCGCATGTTCCAAGCCTTGGTCTAACTGACCCATGAGGAAGAACATACTTTGTTTTCTCTGGCTAATTTTCATCTTGTTATAAATCACTGCTACTGTGTAAGGAAAAAATAGGCTTTTAAAATTTAGCCCTGCCTGTGTCATTTTCTTTACTAATCTTCTTTGTGTTTGAGAGATATATAGAATGTTATTGGGATAAGGAAGGGAACTAGAGACAGATGGGCTGTCAGGCTAGGTACATAAAAATGTACAGAGAGGACTGACTGGCAATATCTTCTAGCGCAAGCCATGTTCTTGAGTAAATTATTTAGAATTTACATATGAATGATCTCCTTGTGGTCAGTTTTCCATCTGTGATCTGACAGCTTGTAGATGCACATTTAGTATGTTTTTAAAATCCTATCATTTTACATTTGACACATGTCCATGTCAAATGAAAGCATAGATCTCCCCATTCTTTAACATCCTCTAAATTCTCCTTACTAATGGATAACTAGAGAATTTGTTTATTGCATCTGCTTTGTAAGAGGGGTGATGCCTGTTACTCAAAGTCACTCAAAAGAGTAATTTAGCATTTCTTGATGGTTATAATTGTAGTATACGTTCTGCATGTCTGTTTGTCTCTCTATATATCTCTATATTATCTTCAAGCTTTGACACAATAACCCTTCTTACATGAAGGGTATATGATTTATGCTTGCAATATAATGTAAACAAGCATTTTTAAATTGTGTAGACAGGATGGTTCGTTTTATATTTGGTTCATTTCAATATAATAGTCCACACTCTGAATGTTTTTGGATTTGGAGTAATCGTGAACTTGGAATTCTTTGGGAAATAAGAAAAATACAAGACTCTGAGTTTAACATTCTCCAAGATAATGTACTTGGTAGAGTTATTTTATTGTTATGTTTAATCCATGTCTTTTGACTGACCTAATAATAGAGGAGACAAATCTTCTAAAATTTCGATTATGCCTTTGAAGTTTCCAATTTTTACATTAATTTCATCACCGATCTATCATTTTCTCTCTTATTATTACAAAACTGTGTTCACATTAAATTCACTTTTTTTTTTAATTTGTGATGGAGTCTCACTCTGTACCTTCACCTCCCAAGTTCAAGCGATTCTCCTGCCTCAGCCACCGGAGTAGCTGGGATTATAGGTACACATCACCATGCCCAGCTAATTTTTGTATTTTTAATAGAGACAGAGTTGCATCATATTGGCCAGACTGGTCTTGAAATCCTGACCTCAAGTGATGCACGCGCCTTAGCCTCCCAAAGTGCTGGGATTACAGACGTAAGCCACTGAGCCTGGCTCACATTAAAGTCACTTTTAATGAAAAAGTATCTCACAATTTTGATAATTAAACACAGTTTTTAAAATATTCCTTTTTAATCTTTTTTAATGAATAAAGATTATATGGTTGTAATTTTTATTCTTTTTAAGATTCCTATAATTAAGTAGTCTTAATGTTTCCACAATTGTTATTGTCAATAACTACATAGTATTCTGTTAGATATTGTATTATGACTTACTTGACTATTCCCTACCATCCTATCTTTTATAGATTTTTAGTATTTTTGATAATGATGTAATAAATACCTTTGTCCGGGTAGCTGTTCTTTCTCTATTGAATTAACTACTTATGAATATTTTATGACTTTCAAAAATTATCTTATTGCAGCCAGAAACAGCCAGTGACACAATTTTATAGTTCTGTAATTGTATATAAATATATTTGTTTCACCATATCATCAAAATTATGTGTCAATACTTTAAAACATTTTTTATTTTAATAGATACAAAATTATATCTTAATGATGCTTTAATTTTTATTCCTTTGATTATATCAAACCAAGACCAAATATTTTTCAAAAATGTTGGAACTTTTTGTATTTTATCAAGTGTGAATTGTTTCTTGGATCTTGAATGTTTGGGGGACAGTTACATAACCTCTTTATTTTATACAGGTGCATATACCTTGTTTTTGTACTTAAGCATTTTCTCAAACTGATTTTTCGTAAATATTTATTCTTTATTTTTAAAAATTGTATAAATATTTTGATAGTCAAATATGTCAGTCTTCTCTTTGTGATTTTGTCATTGTAAAAGAATTTTTTATTTTAGAAATGAACTGTGCAGTTGATTGCAGAGAATAAATTTAGGTAATAATATTTGTTTATGCGGTTACAATTGTTTATTAGGATGGCAGTCATCAGTCAATTGGCAGTTTTAGAAACAGAATAAAATCTTATGCTGTCAGCATGTATAGGCTATTTAAAGGTTGAAGTTCCTTGGTGTGGGTATCTGCTTTGTTCCCGGTTAGAAGCTGTAGGAACAGACTAATTTATTTAAACAAAAGACAAGTTACTGGACTGATATCAGGGACTCAATGAATGAAGGGAAGGTGGAGGTCCAGGATTAGAAAATACGTAGGAAGACGTGAACTTTGGAGGTTTGAGCAGTGGCTCCACCACTGAGACCTACCATGACCACAGGCTGGTCTACTGCTGCTGCCAGGATAGAGACTCTTGGTCTTTCTGGAAAGCCCTAACTGCTAAGACTATACAGTATGAGGAATTCTGTAAAATGAAGATAAGGGTGTCAATAGGAATGGAAGTTTGGATGTTGGACACCCATATGATAAGTGTTCACAAAAGCAATTCCACAGACACAGTCTTGTCTATCTTCAGATTCCAGTTCATTTGCTCATGAAGGAATCATTAGGTTCTCATCAGCTGAAACACACTAACAAAACTCCAAGGAATGAGGTTTTCTCTCATTCCTACATTCATTTTTAAACAGATGTAAACAGCTTAAGAATGCTGGTCAGTCATCTAGTCTGTCTTTTATATCTACTTATTACTCCAAATAACTACTAGATGTTCAATCTAATGAAATTATTATCAGAGGGAGTGGAAGATAATAATTTTAGGAGTTGTTTCATCCTGTTCATGTTAGCACTTGGAAATTTTATTGTTTTCCATTACTGGTGTATTTCTATTCAGAGAGCTCACCTTGGTTGTCGTTTTAGTTTCTTATTGCTGCTGTAACAAGTACAGTTAGTCTTCACTGAGCAATGTCAGTAGGTTCTTGGAAACTGCGACTTTAAGAGAAATGAAGTGTAACAAAACCAATTTTTTCTTAACAACATTATAACAAAATGATATTGAACTAAACAATATTGAGTGTCTGCTGTATGCTATTTTGCTTAAGTCACAGTTTCCAAAAACCTACCAATGACGATAAGTGAAGACATAATGTACCACAAACTTAGCATCTTAAAACAACACAAATTTATAATTTTATAGTTCTAGAGGTCAAAAATCTAAAACCCGTTTCTCTTGGCTAAAATTAAGGTGTCAGCAGAGCTGGTTCCTTCTGAAAGCTGTAGGGGAAAATTCCTCTACTCATCTTTTCCAAAATCTAGAGGTTGCCTACATTTCATGGCCCCATCGCGTTTCCAAAGCCAGCAATGGCGAGTAGAGTCTTTCTCACATTGCATCACTCTTAACACTGACTCTTCTGCCTCCCTCTTCCACATTTAAGGTCCTTGGGATTATACTAGGTCCACTCCAATCAACCAGGGTAGTCTCCCTATTTTAAGGTCAGCTAATTAGCAGCCTTAATTCCATCTGCAACCTTAATTCCCCCTTGCCATGTAATGTAACATATTCACAAATTCCAGGGATCAGGATATGAACCTCTTTGGGGGGTCATCATTCTGCCTCCCATTGTTACTCATTCACAGCGCTCCCTTCTTTGGTAGGTATTCGAACTGACATGTGAGAATACTGGCCTTTTTTTCTGAAGTTTCACGTAACTTCAAAACAAGGTGCCTCTTCTGTTTGCTCGTAGTTAGAACAATAAGCTTATGCTAATACTTTGAACTTCTTTGAACTTTACCAGATTTAACATTTGTTTTTGCTTTTCAAACAGTAAATATTTGGAATCTTCTATTATCTATGAAATTTACCTAAAATATGTGTGATCCCTCCAATTAATAACCATCTATCCCCTCAACATCTTAATTTCAATTTAGGTCTCAGAACTATTAGGCGAATAGATATACTATTTGTTAGAGTAATTATAATTGTTTGAATTGAATATCTATCCAATTATTTGACTTATTACTTCTAAGAAAGCACACATATATCAAAAGTTTCCAAAGCCTTATACTCTGTAAATATTAAACAAAGAGTGTTTTGTCATAAAAATATGCTTCTAGAAAATGTGCTAAAGAAGCAATAGTTGACTATTTTACAGTTTGTACCAGTACATATTGGGCTAAGTATACTTTATGTAATTCTTGAAACATATACATAAACATTCAAACCTAAATGAGGCCACAAAATATTTTAACTCATTTCTCTTTTATATTTTTCTCTCAATGATCAAGGCATCTGGCATTAGTGATTAAAATGAATGATTATGAAAATGTGAAAAATATTCTGAAATTTCTATTATACCAGGATTTATTACAATACAAACCTTGCTTTTAAATGAGCCTATTTCAGACATAACTTGATATTAAAGAAATCTCTAATAACGGTTCTTTGATCTTCAAGGTAAAGAAACATAATTCAAACGAACACAGAAACAAACCCCAAATTCTACTTTCTGGTTGTAATTAAGAGCCACTATTATCTCAACTCCCAATCAAGTTACACTGAGTAAAATCTACTTATATTCCTTGTATTAGTCCATTTTCAAACTGCAGATACTACCTGAGACTGGGTAATTTATAAAGAAAAGAGGTTTATGACCAGGCGTGGTGGCTCATGCCTGTAATCCCAGCACTTTGGGAGGCCAAGGTGGGTAGATCACTTGAGGTCAGGAGTTCAAGACCAGCCTGGCCAACACAGTGAAACCCCGTCTCTACTAAAAATACAAAAATTAGCCAGTCACGGTGGTGCATGCCTGTGGTCCCAGCTACTCAGGAGGCTGAGGCACAATAATTGCTTGAACCCAGGAGGTGGAGGTGGAAGCTGCAGTAAGCCAAGATCATGCCCCTGCACTCCAGCCTGGGCAACAGACCAAGACTCTGTCTCGGAAAAAAAAAAAAAAAGGGAAAAGAAAAAAGAGGTTAATTGACTCACAGTTCTGCATGGCTGGAGAGGCCTCAGAAAACTTACAATCATGGTGAAAGGTGAAGAGGCACGTCTTACATGGCAGCAGGTAAGAGAAAGTATGCATGTGCAGGGGGAACTGTCAAACACTTATAAAACCATCAGTTCCTGTGAGAACTCACTATCATGAGACCAGCATGGAGGAAACCACCCCCATGATCCAATCACCTCCCATCAGGTCTTGCCATCTACACATGGGAATTATGAGGATTATAATTGAAGATGAGATTTGGGTGGTCTCAGATGGAGATGAGGAACTTGTTGGGAACTGGAGCAAAGGTGATTCTTGCTACGTTTTAGCAAAAAGACTGGCGGCATTTTGCTGCCCTAGAGATTTGTGAACTTTGAACCTGAAAGAGATGATTTAGAGTATCAGGGAAGAAATTTCTAAGCAGCAAAGCATTCAAGAGGTGACTTGGGTGCTGTTAAAAGCATTCAGTTTTAAAAGGAAATGAAACATAAAAGTTCAGAAAATTTGCAGCTGGACGATGCAATAGAAAAGAAAAACCCATTTTCTAAGAAGAAATTCAAGCCTGCTGCAGAAATTTGCATAAGTAACAAGGAGCCAAATGTTAATCTCCAAGACAATGGGGAAAATGTCTCCAGGACATGTCAGAGACATTCACTGCAGCCCCTCCCATCACAGGCCCAGAAGCCCAGGAGAACAAAGTGGTTTCATGGGCCAGGACCAGGGCCCCCCTGCCATATGCACCCTAAGGACTTGGTGCCCTGCATCCCAGCCACTCTAGCCATGGCTAAAAGGGGCCAAGGTACAGCTCAGGCCATTGCTTCCAAGGGCACAAGCCCCAAGCCTTGGCAGCTTCCACATGGTGTTGAGCCTGTGAGTGCACAGAAGTCATGAATTGAGGTTTGGGAACCTCTGCCTAGACTTCAGAGGATGTATGGAAATTCCTGGATGTACAGACAGAAGTCTGCTGCAGGAGCAGAGGCCTCCCAGAGAACCTCTGCTACAGCAGTGCAGAAGGGAAATGTGGTGTTGAAGCTCCCACAGAGACTCACCACTGGGACACTGCTTAGTGGAGCTGTGAGAAGAGGGCCACCATCCTCCAGACCCCAGAATGGTAGATCCACTGACAGCTTGCACCATGCACCTGGAAAAGCCACAGACACTCAATGAAAGCCCATGAAAGCAGCCAGGAGAGGGACTATACTCTACAAAGCCACAGGGGCAGAGCTGCCCGAGGCCGTGGGAGCTCATCTCTCGCGTCGGCATGACCTGGATGTGAGACACGGAGTCAAAGGAGATCTTTTTGGAGGTTTAAGATTTGAGTGGCCCACTGGATTTCAGACTTGCACGGGGCCTTTAGCCCTTTGTTTTGGCCCATTTCTCCCATTTGGAATGAGTGTATTTACCTAATTCCTGTACCCCCATAGTATCTAGGAAATAACTAACTTGCCTTTGATTTTACAGGCTCATAGGTGGAAGAGACTTGCCTTGTATTGAATGAAACGTTTGACTGTGGACTTTTGAGTTAATGCTGAAATGATTTAAGAATTTGGGGGACTGCTGGGAAAGCATGATTGATTTTGAAATGTGAAGACAAAAGATTTGTGAGGGGCTGGGGCAAAATGATATGGTTTGGCTGTGTCCCCACCCAAATCTCATCTTGAATTGTAGCTCCTGTAATTCCCACATGTTGTAGGAGGGATCTGGTGGGAGATAACTGAATCATGGGTGTGGTTTCCCCCATCCTGTTCTCATGGTAGTGAATAAGTCTCATGAGATCTGATGGTTTTATAAGGGGAAACCTCTTTCACTTGGTTCTCATTATCTCTTGCTGCAGCCATGTAAGACATACCTTTCACCTTCTGCCATGATTGTAAGGCCTCCCAGCCACGTGGAACTGTGAGTCCATTAAACCTCTTCCTTTATAAATTACCCAGGCTTGGGTATGTCTTTATTAGCAGCATGAAAACGGACTAATACACTGTGTCATGTAAAACTTACATTAAATATATTTATATGCTTTTTTCTTGCTAACCTATCTTTTGTTATGGGGGTCTCAGTGATGAACCTAGTGATGGTGAAGAAAAGATGTTAGTCTTTCTCCCCTACAGCTACATTTTAGAAGTCAAAAAGGAATATATTTCAAGAATAGTTGTGGAATAGAAATATAGGAAAGACCATTAGCTGCCTCCTAATACCCATATTCCCCCTGCTCTGTTGTAGAACTTTGGCTTCTTTGCTGGGCAAATTACCACACATGCACAGTCTGCATCTCCTATCCTCTGATCCCTTAGTGTGGCTGTGAGATTGAGTTATGGTCAGTGTGATATAAAGACAAAGTGTGGGGCATTGTTTTAAGAGTTTCCCTAAAAATCCTTATTTTTAACTACTAGAAGCTGAACTTGTTTTGTAATTTAGTTACTGACTTCAAAAGTGTTCTGTATTCACATAAACTATGCCTTTTGGATATTTTTCTAGTACAAAGTTGTTACTGCAAGTTTCATAGCTACCTTCTCTTGTTTTGTGCTTCCCCTGATTTTATTTCACATTTCTATTATCAACTAACCTAACTCCTCTAACCAGGGACATTTAAAAGACTATGCAATGCCAAGGAAACAAAGAGAACAGATTTTTATCCTTGAGTCACAGTTCGCTCTGAAATCCTGAAATTTGCTCTGCAATCTTTAGATTTTGAGATAATACAGTACAGCTGCACAAAAGTTAATTTTCAACTTTGTTAGAACATAGTTCTTTAAAATTCCCTGATTTTTTATTCTAACTCACCTTGAACGCATTAGAGTGAGTACAGGTGATCTAAATCATTTAGTCTAATGTCCATTTGGGGCCTGGAATTACCCATAGAGTTTCCATGAAGGCCTAGATAATTATGTAGTAATGCACTCACTCATATTAGAGATGTGTTTTAAAAATCTTAAGGAAACAGGCCTTGGACATTTCTATTAGACAACTCTCTCCCTACCTTCCACCTCTGCCAAAAAGTAAAAATAAAATCCAAAAAATAATTGTATCAAAATCCTCTGGTTTATTTCATTCTCTTAGTCATGGTAGAGAAAGTTTACTTGATCTTTATTCTCTTACCAAAGCAAACTTCTCCCTCTTAAGATGGCTCAATTTTATAAATTCATGTTTTCATATTACTCTAACATCCTTCTAAAGTTTTTATCCTATTATTTTTGTGTCGATTATGTATTCAAGTTGAGAAAGAATCTCCCCAGATTCTATGTTTCCATGCCAAGTTAAACATAAAAATAGCATAAAAAAGAAATTTGGTTTGTTCCATTTATGTTCTAATTAATGTAAATATGATTATGTTGATTGCTTCACTAGCACAGGCGCTTAATGTATCTACTCACTGATACTTACCTTAAAAGAGTGCATTTTTCCTTTTCACAGTCTTCCTTCCTGAAAGGGAACATAAATGTCTGAGGCAGATGCCAGTCCTGAAAATGCTTCTGAAAATTTACTTTTAATACCCATTAGTATATACATTCATTTAAACTTGGGAAAGATGTTAGAGGAAAGCAATATGAACTAATGATTCCCTTGTTTTAGGAAATCATTAACTTTGGAAACTATGCAATTAGGATGACTAAATTTCTCCTTAAAATAGCCAACATCTAAGGAGAATTATAGGCTGTATAAAAGGTACTAGTTTTAGGTACAGAGGATGCAAGTAGTGGTTTAATATATTCATAATTAGATCATAGAGCAAAGAAAGGGCTCCAGATCTAATTCATTTGAGGCTTTCCTGATGCAAAATATTTTACTTGTATAAACACACATAAATTTGCAAATCAGAGTTCCCTTGCACTTCTTGTAATTCTGACCAGTTCTCTTGATTAGGCTATATTTTGCAGTTTCCTCAGTGACATTCTGCTGCACCTTGCCTACCATCTAACTTTACTGAAAGACACCACTTATGAGCTGCCCTGGACACATGCTTATTATATAAATACTTCTTTTCTGAATTCTAGTAGTCTTGTCAGGCCTGGTAAGATGGGCTGGACAAATATGTAACAAATCTTAAGGTGGAACTTCCACCAAGCTTCTTTGATGAAGACCTGAACAAATGGAGGGTACCAGAAAATGCCAACCTAAGCTATGACACTTTGGTGTTACAACAGTTTTGATCTGAAAGCAATTAACTCTGTCTAAAAGTAAGACATGTAAAGGAGATTAGTTTAGACCCTTTAGTCCCAGTCAAACAGACAGATAATTGGAGATGCATAGGTGAACCAGGTGAGGTCAGCAGAAGAACCAGCCAGCTGATCCTAGCCAACCCACAGAATCACGAGTGATAACACATTGTTGTTTCATGCCTCTGACTGTGGGAGGATTTGCTATGCATCAGAATATTACTGATAAACAATCTGGTGTAACAGAAAAACAAGTCAATTAGAAGAGATACAGCTGGGCAGACAGTGTCACAAAGGTCTGGATATATTTAGCAGGGACATACTATAGGAATTAGTCCTAGGAATGAGCTGGGTTGAGTAGAACAGGTATCGACACAGAAGAGGAACTTAAACACAGCAGTGGGAATAAGAACCAAGTTACTCAAACTGGTATATAAAGTGAGGATAAGAACATCACCAATGTGACTTATTATTGATTCACATACATATTGCATACCGGACAAGTCTCATAATTCTTCCCAGTCAGGATTATGACTGGTCCAGACTCAAGTAGCAAAGTGAGCAGTCAAAATATCCAGTTACTCTAAAAAGGTGAACTCTTCTTTAAGTACTATCTTAAGCAAGGTTTAAAAAAAAGTAGATAGTTTCCTGGCATCTTACCTTCATGTATTAATTTACCAAATACTTCTGGAGAACAGACACAGGAAATGGCTTCTGCTCTCCAGCAGCTTGCAGTTGGGTTGCAAGGATTGGGCACATACACAGGAGGTGGTTACAGGAGACAGAAAAGTAGAATGCAAGGAGAGACAAATGAGTGATGGAGATAGGATGGAGCTGAGAGGACCTGCACATCTGGACATCAATGAGGTAGACTGAGGAGGACGAATGTGGGGAGGACTATACAATGGGATAGTCTATGAGGTTGAAAATAGGACTTGGTTACTCCAGGGCTGCAGAAAAAAGGCTTCTAGCTGGAGCTCAGGGTTAGGTTGGAGAGGAGGAAGTCATTAGATCAGAGAGGAATAAATTTTAGTTATATAAGCCCCATTTCCTTTTCTCACCACAAACCAACCCAAATTACTTTCCCAAGGTGATAGTGCTACCACAAGTAAAATAAAATTAGCTGTGGGCCACAGTCCGTAGAGGGGCTGATATGGTTTGGCTCTGTGTCCCCACCCAAATCTCATGTCAAATTGTAATCCTCCTGTGTCAGGGGAGGGGCCTGATAAAAGATGATTGGCTCATGGGGACAGATTCTTCCCTCACTGTTCTTATGATACTGAGTGAGATCTCATGAGATCTGATCATTTAAAAGCGTGTGGCACCTCTTTCTTCTCTCTCTCACTCTCTCTCTCCTGCCAACATGTGAAGAAGGTGCTTGCTTCTTGCTTCCCCTTCACCTTCCGCCATGATTCTAAGTTTCCTGAGGACTCTCAGTCATTCTTCCTTTTAAGCCTGCAGAACTGTGAGTCAATTAAAACTCCTTTGTTCATAAATTACCCAGTCTCAGGTAGTTCATCATAGTAGTGTAAGAACTGACTAATAGAGAAAATAGGGGCAACGGGATGTTGGCTATCTTAGGGAGAAGATGCTCCATCTGTGGTGCCTCAACATGCCGGCAGCTGGTGGAGATGAGTCCTGAGGCCCACCCAACCTCAGTTGCAGGGCTCTTGGGCCACTCCCCTGTTCCCTCAATCTAGTCCATGACATTCCAGAAGAATATAGTTGTCATTATGGCTTCCTTAAGTTTTAATTACTGTAGTAGCTTTTAAATTATGCCATGACAACCCCGCTGTTGCATACCTGGATTTAGCAAAATGTGATGTGCGGGTGAGTTGTTCAATGTACAAGGTCATTTTTAATAAATTTTCACTACAGTTAAGAAGATAGTGTTCCTGATGTGGCTAATGGATAAGCTCCCACTTTTACTGGCCATGCTATGCAGAGACATGGTAAGTTTAGCTTTTAAAAGCCCTTGAAATCAGGCGTGGTGGCTCACGCTTGTAATCACAACAGTTTGGGAGGCCGAGGCAGGTGGATCACTTGAGGTCAGGAGTTCTAGACCACCCTGGCCAACATGGTGAAACCCCATCTCTACTAAAAATACAAAAATTAGCCAGGTGTGGTGGCTGGTGCCTGTAATCTCAGCTACTCAGCAGGCTGAGGCAGGAGAATCACTTGAACCCAGGAAGCAGAGGTTGCAGTGAGCCGAGATCATGCCACTGCACTCTAGCCTGGGCAACAGAGCAAGACTCCGTCTCAAAAATAAAATAAAATAAAATAAGCCCTTGAAGTCTTTTAGGGCAGCATGTTCAGAGAGAATGTCTATCTCTGATGCACATAACTTTACTTTACTCCCTCTCTCAGTGTAGAAGAATTTTATTTTACTGACTTTGCCCTGGCTCCAATGAAAGCTGCTGATGTAGAATTTCAAACCAAGCCAGGGCATGCTAATGTTCTGAGGAATCCTGCTTCCAAAAGGTATAAACAAAGAGAGATGGTCCCTCATGAATGAAACAGGTAACTATACACCACAAGAAAAGTCAATTGCTTTAGATATACCATTGAAGTATGGAATGCATTTGTTGCTTTTCAAGCCCAGAAATAAAATGTCCAAAGATAGAACAGATGGTTGTAGTATTTGAAGCAGGTTACGTAGCTGGGGGTGCTATTGTCTCTCACCTGCTGATTCTGTAGCATCTGTGGTGAATAAAGGCAGTGCCACTCAGCTTCCTCAGAGGATTGGATGTAGGCTGTGGGAGGACCGGGCTGTGTGGGTATCATCATAATTGGACCTCTGACTGAGCTACAGTGGTTTATCGAAAACTCCAGAAGGTCCATCTCAGCTTCCATGCATTTTGCCATCTGAAATTGGAGTCTTTGAAGAAGCAGCATGTTTTCCCTGAGGAAATAAATCAAAGCAAATGTGAACTAAATTGCTTGCTGGCCAGTGTTGAGAAACGTACAAAAGTAACATTTATAAATTTGACAAACAGGACACGTCCTGTTCCTGATATAGTTACTGGTATTACCTTTGCTTAAGGCAAGAGCTTATTTGTTGAAATAAACTAACTCTCCATGATTTATCTGTGATTTGATAATTATTTGAAGCTAGTATGAAGCTGAAACTGGATCCCTTCCTTACACCTTATACAAAAATTAATTCAAGATGGATTAAAGACTTAAATGTTAGACCTAAAGCCATAAAAACTCTAGAAGAAAATCTAGGCATTACCATTCAGCACATAGGCATGGGCAAAAACTTCATGACCAAAACACCAAAAGCAATGGCAACAAAAGCCAAAATAGACAAATGGGATCTAATTAAATTAAAGAGCTTCTGCACAGCAAAAGAAACTACCATCAGAGTGAACAGGCAACCTACAGAATGGAAGAAAATTTTTGCAATCTACCCATCTGACAAAAGGCTAATATCCAGAATCTACAAAAAACTCAAACAAATTTACAAGAAAAAAATAAACAACCCCATCAAAAAGTGGGCAAAGGATATGAGCAGACACTTCTCAAAAGAAGACATGTATGCAGCCAACAGACACATGAAAATATGCTCATCATCACTGATCATCAGAGAAATGCAAATCAAAACCACAATGAGATACCATCTCACGCAAGTTAGAATGGCAATCATTAAAGTCAGGAAACAACAGATGCTGGAGAGGATGTGGAGAAATAGGAACACTTTTACACTGTTGATGGGAGTGTAAATTGGTTCAACCACTGTGGAAGACAATGTGGTGATTCCTCAAGGATCTAGAACTAGAATTACCATTTTACCCAGCAATCCCATTACTGAGTGTATACCCAAATGATTATAAATCATGCTGCTATAATGACACACGCACATGTAAGTTTATTGTGACACTATTCACAATAGCAAAGACTTGGAACCAACCCAAATGTCCATCAATGATAGACTGGATAAAGAAAATGTGGCACATATACACCATGGAATACTAGGCAGTCATAAAAAAAAAAGGATGAGTTCATGTCCTTTGCAGGGACATGGATGAAGCTGGAAACCATCATTCTCAGCAAACTATCACAAGGACAGAAAACCAAATACTGCATGTTCTCACTCATAGGTGGGAATTGAACAATGAGATCACTTGGACATGGGGTGGAGAAAATCACACACCGGGGCCTGTTGAGGGGTGGGGGGCTGGGGGAGGGATAGCATTAGGAGATATACCTAATGTAAATGATGAGTTGATGGGTGCAGCATACCAACATGGCACATGTATACCTATGTATCAAACCTGCACGTTGTGCACATGTACCCTAGAACTTAAAGTATAATAATAATAATAATAATAATAATAATAATAAAAGGATTGGAGGCAGAGCAAGATGGTAGAATAGAAGGCTCCACTGATCATACCCCCTGCACAGACACCAATTTAACAGCAATCTACACAGAAAAAAACACCTGCATAAGAACCAAAAATCAGGTGAGCTCTCATAATACCCAGTTTTAACTCCATGTTGCTGAAAAAGGCACTGAAAAGATAGAGAAAGCAGTCCTGACTTGCCGATGCACCCAGAGATGCTCTCGGTACCAAGCTGCCACTGCTGGGGGTGGGGACGGTGCAGAGGGAGGGAGTGCACAGCAATTGTGAGGCACTGAACTCAGTGATGTTGATACAGGAGATAGAAAGAAATTATTTAGAGGCAGATAGTAAGGGCAACAGAGTCCTCGGCAGAATTTTTCCTTTTAACAAAAAGCAGCCCCCAAATCATTTCTTTTCTAACAAAGAGCATCCTGAAAAATTGAGCTGTGGACATATATAAAAAAGCTGGAAGCTTGCATGGGTGACTGTCTGCAGCTGTGCCAATAGCAAAGGGCTACCTGAGGGCCAGGCATGTTCAACATGGAGGCTCTATCTTCCCTTTTCTTTGTCACCACATGTAAAAAAGCAGGCAACATGGTGCCAGCAAGGTATAGAACCAGTCTGCCTAATAAAATATTTGGGTGGGGTGGCCAGCCTCTTTGTATGCTATGCAAATGGCACACCTAATCCAACCAATCTTTTGTGTCCTGTGTAAATCAGACACTGCCTCCTCAGGCTCATCTACAAAACCTCCTCCACTTCACCGCAGACCAGAAGACCTGCTCGGGACCCCTCTCTCTGCAGAAAAGAGCTTTTCTCTTTCTTTCACCTATTAAACCTTGGCTCTTAACCTCACTCCTTGTGTGTCTGCATCCTTGATTTCTTTGGCGTGGGACAATGAACCTTGGGTATTACCCCAGATGAATGATACCACTTCACTATTCTGTTCCTACAGAAAGGAAAACAGGACCAAACTCAGCTGATGCCTGCCCACAGAGAGAATGTTTAAAACAGCCTTAGCCAGAGGAGAATCGCCTATCCCAGCATTCAGAACTTGAGTTCTCACAAACCTCACCACCCAGGACTAAATTGCTTGAGGTTTCTTAGTTAACTTGAAAGGCAGTCTCAGCCATAAGGACTCTAACTCATAGGTGAATCCTAGTGCTAAACTGTGCCCAGAGACAGTGGACTGGGGGGACATGTGACCTACTGAAACACCAACTAGGGTGGCTACGGGAGTGCTGGCATCACCCCTTTCATAGCCCCAGGCTGCACAGCTCACAGCTCACAGCTCCAAAAGAGATGCTTTCCATCTGACTGATTAGAGGAGAGAGAAGACTGGTAAGGACATTGTCTTGCATCTTGGATATCAGCTCAGCCTCAGCAGGATAAGGTACCAGTCAGAGTTGTGAGGCCCCCATTTCCGGCCCTAGCTCCCAGACATTTCTAGACACACCCTGGGACAGAAAGGAACCTGCCGCCTTGAAGGGAAGGATCCAGTCCTGGCAACATCCATCACCTGCTAACTGAAGATGCTTAGACAGTGAATAACCAGCAGTGATACCCAGATACTGTGTTGAGGGTCTTGGGTCAGCCCCAAAGAATTGCTGGCTTCAGGTAAGACTCAGCATATTACCAGCTGTGGTGGCTACAGGGAGAAACTCCTTCTGCTTGATGAAAGCAGAAAGAAAAGTAAAGAGGACTTTGTCTTTCCCAAGCTGTGGACCTTAGGTACCAGCTCAGCCACAGGTGTGTAGAGAACCAAGCAGGCACTAGGGGCCCCCAATTCCAGGACTTGACTCTTGGATGGCATTTCTGGACCTGCCCTGGGCCAGAGAGGAGCCCACTGCTCTGAAGGGTGAGTCCCAGGCCAGGCAGCATTCATCACAAGCTGACTGAAGAGTCCTTGGGCCTTCAGGGAACATTGGTGGTAGCCTGGCAGTACTCTCCGTGGCCTGTGGTGGTGGTGGCTTTGGGGTGAGGCTCCTCTGTCTTTGGAAAGGAGAGAAAAGTAGGAAGAATTGTGTCTTGTGGTATGAATGCCAGCTCAGCTGCAGCAGAATAGAACACCAGGAAGACTTTTAAGGTTTTTTATTCTAGTTCCTGGCTCCCAGATAGCACCTCTAAACCCAACCGGGACCAGGAGGAACTTGCCACCTGCATGGAAGGATACAGGCCTGGCTGGCTTAGCCATCTGCTGATAACAGAGCCTCAGAACCTTGAATGAACATAGGCAATAGCCAGGGAGTGGTTACAGCAGGACTTGAGTAAGACCCAGAGCTGCACTGGCTTCAGGCCTCACCTAGTGCAATCACAGTGGTGGTGGTCACAGAGGGTTTGTGTCACTCCACCCCCAGCTTTAGGTGGCTCAGAACACACAGATATACTCTGTTTGGGAGAAAATAAGGAAAGAGAACAAGAGTCTCTGCCTGTTAATCCAGAGAATTCTCCTGGATCTTATCCAAGATCATCAAGTGGGACCTCTATGAGTCTGCAAGAGTCACAGCATCCTGGGCTTTGGGTGCCCCCTAAAGCAGATACAACTTAGATCACAATACCCAAGTTCTTTCAAACATCTGGAAAGCCTTCCCAAGAAGGACAGGTACAACCAAGCCCAGATAGTGAAGATGACAATAAATACCTAACTCTTCAATATCCAGACACCAAAAAACATCTGCTAACACCAATACCATCCAAGAAAACATGACCTTACCAAACAAACTAAATAAGGCACTAGGGTCCAGTGCTGGAGAATCAGAGTTATGTGACCTTTCAGATAGAGAATTCAAAATAGTTGTTTTGAGGAAACTCAAAGAAATTCAAGATAACACAGAGAAGGAATTCAGAACTCTATCAAATTAATGTAACAAAGAGATTTAAATAATTATTAAAAATTAAGCAGAACTGCTGAAATTGAATAATGAAATTGGCATACTGAAGAATACATCACAGTCTGTTAATATCAGAATGGATCAAGCAGAAGAAAGAATTAGTGAGCTTGAAAACAGGCTATTTGAAAATACAGTCAGAAGAAACAAAAGAAAAAAGAATTTAAAAAATGAAGCACACTACAGGATCTAGAAAACAGCCTCAAAAGGGCAGATCTAAGAGTTATTGGCCTTAGTGAGGAGGTTGAGAAAGAGATAGGGGTAGAAAATTTATTCAAAGGGATAACAGAGAATTTCCCAAACCTACAGAAAGATATCAATACCCAAGTACAAGAAGGTTATAGGACACTAAGCAGATTTAACCCAAGAAGACTACCTTAAAACATGTAATAAACTTCCAAAGATCAAGGATAAAAAAGGAGATCCTAAAAGCAGCAAGAGAAAATAAACAAATGATATACAATGGAGCTCCAATACTTCTGGCAGCAGGTTTTTCAGTGGAAAACTTACAGGCCAGAACAGAGTGGCATGACATATTCAAAGTGCTGAAATTTGATTTTTAACTCTAGAAGAGTATACCCAGTGAAAATATCCTTCAAACATGAAGGATAAAGGCTTTTCCAGACAAACAAAAGCTGAGGGATTTCATCAACACTAGACCTGTCCTACAAGAAATGCTAAAGGAAATACTTCAATCAGACAGAAAAGGACATTGATGAGCAGTAAGTACAGTGAAGGTACAAAACTCACTGGTAATAGTAAGTACACAGAAAACACAGAATATTATAACACAGAACTGTGGTATGTTAACTACTCTTATCCAAAGGAAAAAGACTAAATGATGAACCAATCAAAAATAATCACGACATGGACTTTTACAGGCATAGCAAAATAAGATAAAAATAGAGACAAAAAGTTAAAAAGTGAGGGTATGAAGTTAAGGTACAGTTTTTATTAGTTTTCTTTTTACATGTTTGTTTGTTCATTTATACAAACAATGTTAAGTAGTTATTCAGGTTAAAATAATGGGTTATAAGATAGTATTTGCAAGCCTCATGGTAACTTCAAACCAAAGATCATACAACAGATACACAAAAATAAAAAGCGAACTAAATTATATTACTGTATCCCCAGAAAAAAATCACCTTCACTAAAGGAAGACAGGAAAGAAAGAACAAAGGAAGGGAAGACCACAAAACAACCAGAAAACAAATAATGAAATAATAGGAGTAAGTCCTTGCTTATCAAAAATAACATTGAATGTAAATGGACTAAACTCACCAATCAAAAGACACAGAGTGGCTGAATGGATAAAAAAAAAAAAACAAGACTCAGATATCTGTTGCCTACATAAAAAACACACTTCACTTATAAAGACACACTTAGACTGAACATAAAGGGATGGAAAAAGATATTCCATGCCAGTGGAAACCAAAAAAGAGCAAGAGTAGCTATACTTATTTCAGACAAAATGGATTTCAAGACAAAACCTATAAGAAGAGACAAAGAAAGTCACTATATAATAATAGAGGGGTCAATTCCACGAATGAATATAACAATTATAAAAAATATGCACCCAACACTGGAGCACCCAGATATATAAAGCAAATATTATTAGAACTAAAGAGAGGGATCACCCAGTACAATAACAGATGGATAGTTCAACACCCCACTTTCAGCACTGGACAGATCTTCCAGACAGAAAATCAACAAAGCAACATCAGACTTAATCTGTACTACAGATCAAATGGATCTAATAGATATTTACAGAACATTTCATCCAACGGCTGCAGAATACACATTCTATTCCTGAGCACATGTATCATTCTCAAGGATAGGCCATATGTTAGGTCACAATACAAGTCTTAAAACATTTAAAAACATTCAGATAATATGAAGTATCTTCTCTGACAACAATGGAATAAAACTGGAAATTAACACCATGAGGAATTTTGGAAACTAAATAAATATATAGAAATTAGATAATACGTTCCTGAATGACCAGGGGGTCAGTGAAGAAATTAAGAAGAAAATTGAAAAATGTCTTGAAACAAATGATAATGGAAACACAACCCACAAAAACCTATGGGGTACAGCAGAAGCAGTACTAATAGCTGTAAGTGCCTACATTTAAAAAGCAGAAAAACTTCAAATAAACAATCTAATGACGAATCTTAATGAACTAGAAAAGCAAGAGCAAACGAAACCCAAAATTAGTAGAAAAAAGAAATAAGAAATATCAGAGCAGAAGTAAATGAAATTGAAATTAAAAAATACAAAAGATCAATGAAACAAAAAAGTTGCTTTTTTGAAAAGTTAAGCAAAATTGACAAATCTTTAGCCAGACTAAGAAAAAAAGGAAGATACAATTAAATAAAATCAGAAACGAAAAAGAGATATTACAACTGATACTGCAAAAATTCCAAGAATCATCAGTAGCTACTATGAACAACTGTATGACAATAAATTGAAAAATCTAGAAGAAATGGACAAATCCCTAGACAGGTACAACTTACCAAGATTGGACCATGAAGAAATCCAAAACCTAAACTGACCAACAACTAGAAACGAGATCAAACCCATAATAAAAAGTCTTCTAGTAAAGAAAAGTCCAGGACCTGATGGCTTCATTGCTGAATTCTACCAAACATTTAAAGAAGAACTAATACCAATCCTACTCAAACTATTCTGAAAAATAGAGAAGGAGGGAATGTTTTCAAACTTCTTCTATCAGGCCAGTATTATCCTGATACCAAAACCAGACAAAGGCACATCAAAAAAGGAAACTACTGACCAATATCTCTGATGAATACTGATGCAAAAATCCTCAACAAAATACTAGCAAACCAAATTCAACAGTATATTTGTCAAATGCTGATCAATGAAAAGCATTTGATGAAATTCAACAGCCATTCATGATAATAAAAACCTTTTAAAAACTGGATATGTAAGGAACATAATGAAAGCCATATATGACAGACCCACAGCTAGTATTATACTGAATGGGAGGAAACTAAAAGACTTTTCTCTACATTCTGGAACACAGTAAGAATGCCCACTTTCACCACCATTATTCACCATAGTACTGGAAGTCCTAGCTAGAGCAATCAGACAAAAGAAAGAAATAAAGTGCAGTCAGATTGAAATGGAAGAAGTCAAATTATTCTCCTTTGCAGATTATATAATCTTTCACTTAGAGAAACCTAAAGACTTCATCAAAAACTATTAGAACTCAAACAAATTCAGTAAAGTTGCAAGATACAAAATCAACAACATTTGAATACAAAATTAGTAGCATTTCTATATGCCAAGAGTGACCAACCTAAAAAAAAATTTTAAAAGTAATCTCAGGCCAGGCATGGTGGCACATGCCTGTAATCCCAGCTACTTGGGAGGCTGAGGCAGGATAATCACTTGAAAACAGGAAGCAGAGGTTGCAGTGAGCCGAGATCATGCTACTGCACTTCAGCCTGGGTGACAGAGTGAGACTCTGTCTCAAAAAAAAAAAAAAAAAAGTAATCTCATTTACAATAGCCACATATAAAATTAAATACTTAGGGATTAACCAGAAAAGTGAAAGATCTCTATAATGAAAACCGTAAAACACTGATGAAAGAAATGAAAGAGGACACCAAAAACTGGAAAAATATTCCATGTTTATGGATTGGAAGAATCAATATTGTTAAAATGTCCATACTACCCAAAGGAATCTACAGGATCATTGTAATCTCTGTCAACATGCTAAAGACATTCTTCACATAAGTAGAAAAAAAAATCCTAAACCTTATGTGGAACCACAAAAGAACCAGAATAGCCAAAGCTAATCTGAGCAAAAATAACAAAACTGGAGGAATCACATTACCTGACCTCAAATTATATTACAGAGCTATAGTAACCAAAAGAGCATGGAACTGGCATAAAAACAGACACATAGAACAATGGAACAGAATACACGCCCCAGAAACAAATCCATACATCTACAGTGAACTTATTTTTGACAAAGGAGCCAAGAATGTACACTGGGGAATGGACAGTCTCCCCAAAAAATGGTGCTGGGAAAACTAGATATCCATATCCAAAAGAATGAAACCAGACTGCTATCTCTCACCATATACAAAATGGATTAAAGACTTAAGTCTAAAACTCAGACTATGAAACTACCACAAGAAAACATTGGGGAAAATCTCCAGGACGTTGGTGTGGGCAAAACTTCTTGAGCAATACCCTACAAGCACAGGCAACCAAAGCAAAAATGAAAAAAATGAGATTACATCAAGGTCAAAAGCTTCTGCACAGCAAAGGAAACAATCAACAAAACAAAGAAACAACCCACAGTATGAGAGAAAATATTTGCAAATGACTCATTTGACAAAAGATAATATAACCAGAATACAGAAAGAATTCAAACAACTTTATAGGAAAAAAATCTAATAACCCGACCAAAAACTGGGCAAAATATTTTAATAGACATTTCTCAAAAGAAGACATACAAATGGCAAATAAGGCACATGAAAGGGTGCTCAACATCACTGATCATCAGATAAATGCAAATCAAAACTACAGTGAGATATCATCTCACCCCAGTTAATACGGCTTGTATAAAAAAGACAGGCAATAACAAATATTAGCAAGAATGTGGAGAAAAGAGAACCCTTGTACACTGTTGGTAGGAATGTAAATTAGTGCAACCTCTATGGAGAACAGTTTGGAGATTCCTCAAAAAACTAAAAATAGAGCTACCATATGATCCAGCAATTCCACTGCTGGGTATATACCCCACGCCCCCCACCAAGAAATCAGTACGTGAAAGAGATATTTGCACTCCCATGTTTGTTGCAGCACTGTTCATAATAGCCAGGATTTGGAAGCAACCTAAGTGTCTATCAACAGGTGAACGGATAAAGAAACTGTGATACATATATGCAATGGAGCACTATACAGCCCTAAAAAAGAATGAGATCCAGTCATTTACAACAACAAGAATAGAACTGGAGATCATTATATTAAGTGAAATAAGTCATGCACAGAAACACAAACATCGTATTGTCTCACTTATTTGTGGGATCTAAAAATCAAAACAATTCAACCAAAGACAAAGAGAACAGAAGGATGGAGAGTGCCAGGAGAGTACTAGAAGGAAGGAGAATATCAGCATCTAGAAAGGGAAGGTGTGGATGGCTAATGGGTAGAAAAACATAGAAAGAATGAATAAGACCTACAATTTGATAGCACAACAGGGTGACTATGGTAAATAACTTAATTATACACTTTTAATAACTAAAAGAGTATAATTGGATTGCTTGTAACACAACAGATAAATGCTTGAGGGCATAGAGACTCCATTCTGCATGATGCGGTTATTATACATTGTGTACATATATCAAAACATCTCAGGTACCCCATAAACATGTATGACTACTATGTACCTAAAAAAATTAAAAATAAATTAAAAGAACAGAAGAAAAAATAATGTTCTGGATCATCAGGCAGAAACTCTTGTTCTCTTCTCTTACTTTCCTCCAAACAAACGGAATTTCTTCCTATGTTCTGAGCCACCAAGCTAGGAGAGGGGTGACACAGGCACCCCGGGGCCACTACCACTGGGACTGTGCTGGATCAGACCCGAAGCCAGCATAGCATCGGATCTCACCCAAGCCTCCCCTGTAATCACCACCTGGCTATTGCCTATGTTCACTCAAGGCCCTGGGGCTCTACAATCAGCAGGTGGCAAAGCCAGCAAGGCTTGCGTCCTTCTTTTGAGAGTGGTGAGATCTTCCAGTCCAGAGGTGCCATCTGGGAGCCAGAGATTGGAGTCAAGAACCTTAGAAGTCTACCTGGTGTATTGTACCATGGCTGAGCTGGCACTCAAACCATGCACTACTTTCCACTCTTCCCTCCCCTTTCCAAAGGCAGAGGAGCCTCACCCTGAGGCCACCACTACCACAGGCCACGGGGAGTACTGCCAAGATGCCGCTGATGTTCCCTTAAGGCCCAAGGGCTCTTTATTCAGTTTGTAGTGAATGCTGCCTGGCCTTGGAGTCAGCTTTCAGGGCAATGGGCTCCCTTCTGGCCAGAAAGCCTTTCTGGTCTAAAAAAGCCATTCAAGAACCAAGGCCTGTTATCAGAGACTCCAAGAGCCTGCTTGGTGCTCCCACTGTGGCAGAGCTGGCACCTAAGGTGCAAGACAAAGTCCCCTTTACCTTTCCCTCTGCCTTTCTCAAGCAGAAGTCTCTCCCTGTAGCCACCATAGATGCAAATGTGCTTATGTCACCTGAAGCCAGCACGTCTCAAAACCTTACCCAAGACCCTCGATGTAGTACCTAGGTACCACTGCTGGTTGTTCAGGGGCCAAGGGCTCTTGAGTCAGCAGGTGATGGGTCTTGCCAGGACTGGATCCTTCCCTTCAAGGTTGTATGTTCTCTTCTGGCCCGGCGTGTATCTAGCAACTGTCATCCAGAAGCTGGAGCCTGGAAATAGGGCCTAATGACTCTCACTGGCACCCTATCCTACTGTGGCTGAGCTGGTTTTATATCCAAGATATAAAACAAAGTCTTCTTTATTCTTTCCTCTCCTTTCCTCAAGCAGAAGGAAAGGTTATCTTTTGGAGCCTCGAGCTGTGCACCTGGGTTTAGGGAAGGGGTGGCATAAGCTCTCCCTTTGCTGCCCTAGCTGGTGTCTCAGTAGGTCACATCCCTCCCCTGCCACCCAGTTTGCTGGCTCTGAACCCAGTTCAGCATTAGGATTTGCCTAAGAGTTGCAGTCCTTGTGGTTTACACTGCCTTTCCAGTTTATTTAGAGCCCCAGGGCTCTTTAGCCCACAGTGGCGAGGCTTGCCAGAACTCAAGTTCCAACCACTGCTATGGGCAATTCCCCTCTGCCTAGGGCTGGTTTAAAAACTCCCTCTGTGAGCAGGTTTCAGCCAGTTTGGCTTTCTGCTATGACAGGGCACCACTGAGTTCAATGCAATGTCTCACAGTTGCTGTACTCTCCCTCTCCCAGGCTCAGAAATTCTCCCTCTGAGCCAGGTGGTCACTGCTGGGAAATGGGGGAGGGGTGGTGTCAGTGATTCAAGAGTCTCTCTGGCCCTCCTCAGTGCCTCTTTGAGCTACATGAAGCTAAAACCAGGTACTGTGAGTTTTCACTTGATTTGGGGTTCTTACGAAGGTGCTTTCTTTTGTATATAGTTGTTAAATTGGTGTCCTTGCAGCAGGAGCAACTGGTGGAGCCTTCTGTTCTGCCATCTTGCTCTACCACTTTCTCTCATATATTTATTTAACAAATATTTTTTGAATATCTGTTTAATGCCAGGTCCTGGCCTGGATTCTGGGGATGTATCAGAAAATGAGGCATAGTGTTTACCATTCTCAGTTGACATGTCAGTGGTGAAGACAAAGAAGTAAACAGAAACTATGATACACGTGTGCATAATGAGCACTTTGAAAAGGAAAATACAAAGTAGAATGGGTGTGTGTGGCAGGGGTTGGAGCCACCTGCCACAATATGGCGCAGTCTGGAAAGATTCCTGGAAAAAGTAACATCTAAGATGAGACCTGAAGGATGAATAGGAGGTACACAGGCAAATGAGAGAGAGAAGTAGTAAGGCAAAAATCCTTCAAGATAGAACTGTATCTGCAAAGGCCCAGGAGTAAGGGAAAATAAGCCGCTTTAGGAAGTTAAAGAATGATAGCCACATACAAAAGGTCTAAAAAGTGCAGGCATTGATAACTTTTTATGGGCAAAATCTTATTAAAGAAAGTACAGTGACATTGAATATGTGTTTTAAAACAGTAAATTAAAATTGTGTATTTAAAAATAAATATTACTTTGTTAAACATTTGTATAAAAGCAGAATCCTTAATGGCATAAAAGTAGAAACATCACAAATATCCATTGACTGAGAACAGATGAATCAAACTGTGGTATATTCACACAACAATGAATTATGACTATCTGAAACAACATAGGTACAGCTTGAAATGATAATGTTTAGCCAAAAAAGCATGTCCCAATAAACTACAGGGTATGTAGAGTTCACTAACAAATAAAGCCAATTGGCATACTTAGACATATGTATATGTATGATAAAACTATAAAGAAACAATTAATGATAAATGTAAGTTTTGGAATAGTGATTACCATTGTGGCATGGAGTAATGTAGAGGGCAGGGAGGCAGAGAGATGGGTAGAAGGAAGAGAATTAATAGGGAACTGAAAATGTTTTAATGTTGTAGTTTTGTATTTGGAAGTGGGCTCATAAATGTTCCTTACACAATTATTATTTATAACTACTAAATGTTATAAAGGTTACTTTTTATTTTTCAAATTAATATAGATTATGAAAGATAATAAAGGAAAAAAAACCCAATCCTAATTCTAGCCATATTCAGTTGTTCAGAAAATATTTCCAAGTCATCAGGACATTTTGTCTGCTAAAGCAGATGCTTCTACTAATCACATGACCCTATATCTTCATAACATTTTTATTTAATTTGACATTGTTAGTAATTTGAATAAGATCCAAATTATTAATCACAGAAAAGTAGAAACATTTCATCTATTCATTGACAAAGAATGAACAAATAAAACTGTACTGTATTGATAGAATTCAGTAAGTTGAATTAAATTTAATCGCATATTTGCTATCTTGTCTTTATAAGCACCCACAAAATGAGCCCTCTTTCACTGGTGACCTCAAGGCTTGGCTTGTACGTAAATTTTTGCACTGCACCATCCACACATCAAACCACACATCTACTAGGGAATGAAAAATTGATAGCCTTCACCTAAAGGATTCTGAAAAGACCTCATAGGCATAATAGATTGATAAAATTTAATATCTATTTGTTCAAATATTTTTTAGCATATATTGAGTCCCAAGCACTCAATATTCTAGGTATTTCTAGGTAATAGAAATAAGTCAGAGTGAACAGGCAACCTACAAAATGGGAGAAAATTTTCGCAACCTACTCATCTGACAAAGGGCTAATATCCAGAATCTACAATGAACTCAAACAAATTTACAAGGAAAAAACAAACAACCCCATCAAAAAGTGGGCAAAGGACATGAACAGACACTTCTCAAAAGAAGACATTTATGCAGCCAAAAAACACATGAAAAAATGCTCATCATCACTGGCCATCAGAGAAATGCAAATCAAAACCACAATGAGATACCATCTCACACCAGTTAGAATGGCAATCATTAAAAAGTCAGGAAACAACAGGTGCTGGAGAGGATGTGGAGAAATAGGAACACTTTTACACTGTTGGTGGGACTGTAAACTAGTTCAATCATTGTGGAAGCCAGTGTGGCGATTCCTCAGGGATCTAGAACTGGAAATACCATTTGACCCAGCCATCCCATTACTGGGTATATACCCAAAGGACTATAAATCATGCTGCTATAAAGACACATGCACACGTATGTTTACTGTGGCATTATTCACAATAGCAAACACTTGGAACCAACCCAAATGTCCAACAATGATAGACTGGATTAAGAAAGTGTGGCACATATACACCATGGAATACTATGCAGCCATAAAAAATGATGTGTGTCGCAAGAACAAAAAACCAAACACCACATATTCTCACTCATAGGTGGGAATTGAACAATGAGATCACATGGACACAGGAAGGGGAATATCACACTCTGGGGACTGTTGTGGGGTGGGGGGAGGGGGGAGGGATAGCATTGGGAGATACACCTAATGCTAGATGACGAGTTAGTGGGTGCAGCACACCAGCATGGCACATGTATACATATGTAACTAACCTGCACAATGTGCACATGTGCCCTAAAACTTAAAGTATAATAAAAAATAAATAAATAAATAAAATAAAAAATAAAAAAGAAATACAATAGTGGACAAGAAACATAAGGTCCTGTTCCTAGGGAGCTCACATTTTCTTTGAGAAACACACATGCTTCCAAACAGCTTGTGTATGAAAGTCTGTAGCTCATGGAGAAGTACTGGCTAGAGATTTAAGTGTTAGAATTGTCATAGTGTTGCAGGAAGTCAGGGATCCCGAACGGAGGGACTGGCTGGAGCCGCAGCAGAGAAACATAACTTGTGAAGATTTCATGGACATTTACCAGTTCCCAAATAATACTTTCATAATTTCTTATGCCTGTCTTACTTTAATCTCTTAATCCTGTTATCTTCATAGGCTGAGGATGTACATCACCTCAGTGCCACTATGATAATTGTGTTAACTGTACAAATTGATTGCAAAACATGTGTGTTTGAACAATATGAAATCAGTGCACCTTGAAAAAGAACAGAATAACAGCAATTTTCAGGGAACAAGGGAAGACAACCATAAGGTCTGACTGCCTGCGGGGTCGAGCAAAATAGTGCCATATTTTTCTTCTTGCAGAGAGCCTATAAACGGACGTGCAAGTAGGGAAGATATTGCTAAATTCTATTCCTAGCAAGGAATATTAATAATTAATACGCTGGGGAAGGAATGCATTCCTGGAGGGGAGGTCTATAAATGGCTGCTCTGGGAGTGTCTGTCTTATGTGGTTGAGATAAGGACAGAAGTATGCCCTGGTCTCCTGCAGTACCCTCAGGCTTACTAGGGTGGGGAAAAACCCTGCCCTGGTAAATTTGAGGTCAGACCAGTTCTCTGCTCTCAAACCCTGTTTTCTGTTGTTTAAGATGTTTATCAAGACAATACGTACACCACTGAACATAGACCCTTATCAGTAATTCTGCTTTTGCCCTTTGACTTGTGATCTTTGCTTTTGCCATTTGCCTTGTGATCTTTGTTGGACCCTTATCAGAAGTTTCTGATTTTGCCCTTAGAAGCATGTGATCTTATTCTCCTTTTTGCCCTTTGAAGCATGTGATCTTTGTGACCTACTCCCTGTTCTTGCACCCCCCTCCCCTTTTCTAATCCTTAATAAAACTTGCTGGCTTTAAGGCTCAGGTGGGCATCACGGTCCTACTGATAGCTGATGTCACCCCCAGAGGCCCAGCTGTAAAATTCCTCTCTCTGTACTCTCTCTCTTTCTCAGCCGGCCAACACTTATGGAAAATAGAACCTATGTTGAAATATTGGGGGTGGGTTCCCCTGATATCATAGATTTTAAAAGTCATTGCCAAAGAGAATAAAAGAGAGCAGGGAGAAGGAAAAGGAAATATGAAAGGAGAACAGAGAGAGATGGAAAGAGGAGGACCCAGGACTGAGATGTTAGGACCTCAGTTGAAGATAATTCAAAAGAGGAGCCAGGAGGATCTCCAGACCCATATATCCAAATTCCTTGGATACTAATGATCCCTGCTTGGCTCTCTCACATGCATTTCAAAATTAACATGTCCAAAACTGAAACTGAGACCGAATGACAAGTACTTTAGGAAGATCACAAGAAGAAACCATTGTCATAGAAGCAAATGGAGTAGAACATTTCCAAAAGAAGAGGGGAGTCATTCTTATGAATTGCTGGAGAAAAGTTAAAGAGGGTAACAGATCAAATCCCTAATTGTGCTATCACCAGTATGGTTAGCAAAACCATGATGGATGAGAAGCACAGTGAGGATAAAGTCTAGAGTCTGACTTAAGGAGTAAGCCATGCCAGACCATGAAGAATCATATAAATCAAATGGAAAGGAGGGTTGATTCCTCAGGTCAGTGGAGAGCCATTGAAGCATTTGCTAGCAGGGGAACTGTCTATTCAGATCTCCACTATCTGCACTTTAAAAGTATCACTGTGACTACACAAACAAAATAATCTTCACTCCCATATTGTTTTTTAAAAATTTTTTATTTCCATAGGATTTTGGGAAAGAGGTGGTATTTGGTTACATGAGTAGGTTCTTTAGTGGTTATTCTTGAGATTTTCTTCCTAACTTACAGACTGGAGAATTATCTAAGAGTCAGTCAGGACAGAACAATGTTTCCTTTTGAGTTAACGTATAGAGATGCTTAAAGCCAAAGCAAGATGCACAGTTGCAGCAACAAAGAAGGCAATATGAAAAGGGCTGGGGTGAGGGGAAACACACTAAAACATGATTTCGGGTGACATGGTGCCTTTAACTCTACACATCAGCTTGTTTCTTTTAAATTAATCTCAAACTAAAAAAATCAGACCACACTTTGAAAATTCAAAAGTGACACAGGGAACCAATTTGTGTTAATTATATTCTTTAGAAAACAAAGGATTATCACCTTAGAAGTCTCAAAATATAAAATTTGGGGGACCTCAGGTGCATGCGTATTCCTTAGGAATATTTTTACATTTATGTTCATTTTTATTTTGAGAAATTTTCCCCCAGAATTTGAAGTAATTTATTCTTCAGGTATCAGTAGCCAAGTGTTCTCTCTCTGGGTCTCAGGCATTTGGGTTGAGAAGCACAGGTTCTTTCAAAATTCCACTAAGCCAGCTGCTAATGGGCTAATAAGTCACTTCAGAGTGTACGCACCAGAGTGATGGACACCAGAACAGCTGCTCTCTACCTGGTTTGGATAAGCTCTGAAGTTCACTTATTCAGCTGGTGAGAAAAGCAGCAAAATTGGGTCACAATCAGAATTTTCAACGGAAGAATTTATGGAATGCTTCCCAATTTATTTTAAGATAGACTTCTTTAAAATCTACCTTCCTGGGAATAGAATACCTGACAATACAACACGAAATGATGGTTTTCTCAATTCAGTTCTGAAGTATGAATCATTCTTTCCTCTCTCTTGGCCCCAAAAGATATAGTGAATGAGAAAATCAATAAATGAATTTAAAGTAAAAAAATCTGATTTTAAATGAAAACTGAAACTCATTGACTACCTAGCACTGGAAAGATTATTGAACTTTGAACATGGTATGTTTCCTTACCTATGAAATGGGGATAAAAAGACCTCATATCTCAAAGGACTTCTAATGGGAAAAGTAAATAGTATCTTAAAATCCTAGGGATGATTTCACTTCCAGTTTGGATGCAGAAAATGACAAGATACTGTTACTCGCATCTGAATGATGTAACAAGCCACATAGGCTACAAAATCATGGATATTTTAGAAACACATCAGAGACCTAAGGAACCAAAATAACTCAAATGACTCAAACTCCAAAAAATGAAGAACCTTCAGAAGAGAGAAAAGACTGTTCCTATCCCTGCAGAAGAGGAGGAGATAGGGAGAAAAACAATGAATTTCTAATTGGTGCATGTGTAGTAGTATGAAAGGCTAGAATCCTTAGGAGTTCCAGACACAAAGCATGTCTCCAACTACCTGCCAACTCTCCCTCACAAGCCATCAGTTAGTGCTTCAATGTCATATGGCAAAAGTGGAGTGGGAGAGACAGAGAAAGGATGTCACCCATAGGTACTTGGGATTTTCATTCAACGAAGGGGCCAGGCAAGAGAGTTAAAAATGTTCCAAGCCACCCACACTTTCAAATGCCAAAGACTGGAGGAGAAGCCAGCTGAGAGTGCCCACACCAAGGCATCATTAGCCTTCACAGAGGGTAGAGTTTCCACCTTCCAAATATCTGAGGGCAGAAAAGCAGCACTAAAAAGTGATCTCTGGTAGTTCAGAAAGCAGGGTGAGATTGAAATGCAGTAACCCAAAAAACAGAGAGCAAAGTTGTAAAGCAAGAAGAGATCTCTCAACTTGCCTGTGAATCAAAGGTAGATCTCTGAAATACTGCCAACACTTAAGTCCCAGGCCTGGGAAACCAAAGTTCTCATTCCATACTTGCTTTCAATATTTGAAAAAAGTAGTGAAATGAATCAGATAAAGCCCAGACTCAGGTAAAAAACTTTAGATTGACTAATTCCACACAACAGTGGCCTGACCTAAGAAAAAATATGCTCCTTTTACAAGGTAAATATCATTTACCTCACTCTGTAGTATTATTTTATACAAAGTGACTAACACAAAAATTATGAAGAACTGAAAATTAAATGTTACAATATTAATTTACATATTCAAATCACTCAATACATTTTGGTAGAATAAACTCAAAGGGACCTACATTTAAATGCACTATAGTCAAATTGACAGTGATTGATAGTGATAAATACACCATAGTCAAAAACAGAAAACAGGAAAGAAAAACAATTTATCACATTTAAGGGATCTTCAATAACATTTGTAGTTGACTTCTCATCAGAAACCATGTATGCCAGAAGACAGCAGAATGACATCTTTAAAGTATTAAAATAAAAAGATTGTCACTGAGGTGATAGATAACACAATTACCTTGATTTGGTCATTACACATGGCATACAAGTATCAAAATATCACATTTATCCCAAAAATATATATAATTATTATATATCAATAAATAAAATAAAATTTAACAAGACTGTCAACCGAGGATTCTATATACATCTAAACAATCTCCTTAAAAAATGAAGAAACTGCATGATCCGAGATAAATACAAACACATAATTTGTTGTTAGCACACCTACACTACTTTAGGCTTTAGGCTGACATGAAAAGACACCAGACAATAACTTGAATTTACACAAAGAAATTCCCACAAAGCAACAATAAAGATAAAAATGTAGGTATTCTGAAATATGATATAAATGCACTTTTGTATATAACTCTTCTCTAATGTATTTTAAAAGATATCTGCATAATTATACTACACTGTTGATGCTATTATTATTTATACAGATGTAGCTTGTATGACAATAAGACTACAAATGACAGGAGAGAAAACTGTGGTAAATTAGAACAAAGCGTTGGTATGCCACTGAAACTAAGTTACTGTTAATTCAAACTAAATTATTTAAGTTATGATACTGTCATCTCAGGGCAACTACTAAGAGAATAACTGAAAATATATAGGAAGAGAAACAAAAAATAATAATTTAAAATATCCACTAGAAAATATCTATTTGTACAATAGAGGGAACAAATAGAGAAATAGAAATAAAACATGTAGGAAACACAGTAAAATGACAGTCATAAAACCTATTTTATCAGTACATATATTAAATATAAACAGAGCTAATCAGATAAATATAAACATTTAATCAGAAGGCAGAGATTGGTAAAATTGATTTTTTTAATAATCTAATTATTTGTTGCCTACAAAACATACACTTTAGATTCAAAGACATATCACGTTGAAGTATAAAAAATATATATAACATACAAGCAGTTAAAAAAATTGCTGGAATAGTTTTAATAATACTGGACAAAATAGTAGTCAAAATAATAACAGTAGTTAGAGAAAAAGAAAGATATTTTAATGACAACAAGGTAAATCCATCAGAAAAATAATAATTATTATTACAATGTAATCACCTAATAACAGAGACCCAAAAATTAATGGAATTGAAGAGAAACAGAGATAATTCAACAATACTAGTTGGAGACTTCAATAACCCACTTTCAACAATAAATAAAACTAGGCAGAAGATCAATATATAAATAGAAAATGTTAAAAATTGGATCTAAGAGACATCTATAGAGCACTGCACAAAACAAAACATACATTCTCATCAAGCACACATGAAACATTCTCCAGGATAGACCACATAGAGGGCATAAAACAAACCTCAATAAATTGCACATGATTGAATCACACAAAGTATGTTCTCCAACTACAATGGGATGAAGTAAAAATTCAACAAAAAATTGAGGAGAAAATAACAAGGAAAATGTTTAAAACTATGAAAAACTGAAAATGAAAACCCAAAATATTAAAACTTATTGGATTCAATGAATGCAGGTACTTAAAGGAAATGTTACAGCTGCGAACGCTTACTCAAAGATCTTAAAAAAATAACCTAACCTTACACCTTAACAAATTAGAAAAAGAGGAACAAACCATATCCAAAGTAAGGAGATTGAAAGAAATAATAAAGATTAGATCAAGAATAAAGAGAACAGAAAAACAACAGACAAAACTGACAGTTGAAGCTTTGAAAAGATCAACAATTTGACAAAACTTTAGCAAGACTAATGAAGGAAAACAGAAAGAAGACTCAAATTATAAAATCAGGAATGAAAAATGAGACATTACTACAGACATTACAGAAATAGGAAGGATGATAAGGGAATCCTATTTTTAAAAAAACTGTATGCAACAAATTAGACAATCTAGATGAAATGGACAAATAGTTAGAAAGTCACATATTACAGAAACTGTTTCAAGAAGAAATAGAAAATTCGAATAGAAAAAGTCCTGACCCAGTAGGACTTATCCCAGAAATACAAAGTTGGTTTAAGATTTCAAAATCAATTAATGTAATAAATGCCATTAATAGAATAACAGACAAAACCACATGATTATTACAATAGACAGAGGCAACATTTGACAAAATTCCATACTGTTTCATGACTTTTTAAAAAAGTAAATACACTAGGAATAGAACGAAATGCCCTCAACTTGATAAAAGACATCTACAAAAAAACGCATAACATACTACTTAATGGTGAAAGCCTGGATACTTCACTTCTAAGATCAGAAGAAATA
Source organism: Homo sapiens (assembly GCF_000001405.40). NCBI lineage: Eukaryota > Metazoa > Chordata > Mammalia > Primates > Hominidae > Homo > Homo sapiens. Next base: position 1,138,410 of record NC_000018.10, on the reverse strand, counting down.
CAAGCATATCTGCTCTCAACACCTCTGGTCAATAGAGCGTTTCTGTGTGTATATATATACACACACACATATATACATATATATAATTTTTATACATATACATATATGTGTACATGTGTGTATATACATATAAGTATGCATATATATGTGTGTGTGTATCCATTTATATAATTTGGGTATTGTTATGTAATATATATAGTCAGAACAAATGCAAATATAGTTTTACATATTCCCAAGGAATCCACTAACAATCCATTAGAATTAAGAAAAAAAATTGGCAAATGTTATGATCTGAATGTCCCCCCAAATTTGTGTACTGAAATGTGAAATTGTCAATGTGATAGTATTAAGAGGTGGGACCCTTTGAAGGTGATTAAGTCCTGTAGGAAGAGCTTATAAGCACTGGAGGGAACTAGTGGTCATCCCTTTCTGCTCTTCCACCATGTAAGAAAACAGTGTTTGTTCTCTTTTGCCTTTCTGTCCCTTTCACCATGTGAGGACACAGCATTCAAGACACGATTTTGGAAGCAGAGATTAAGCCCTCACCAGATATTAGAACTGCCAGTATCTTGATCTTGGACTTCCCAGCCTCAAGAACTGTAAGAAATAAATTTATGTTTTTTATAAATTGCCCAGTCTCAGATTTTTTGTAACAGCACAAACAGACTAAGATAGAAAGATTGCAGGAAGGAAGATCAATGTACAATGACTAATTGTATTTCTAAATGGTAACATTTAATGAAATGAAGAAACAATTTTATTTGTAATAGCACCAAAAAGAATAACATCCTTATGAATAAATTTAACAAAAAGAAGTGTATAACTTATACTCTGAGAACTACAAAGCACTGTTGAAGGTAATTAAAGAAGACCTAAATAAATGGAAAGACTTCCCATGTGCAAGGATTAGAAGATTTAATATTGCTAAGATAGCATTACTTCCCAAATAAATCTACAGATTCAACACAATCTCTATCAATATCCCAGTAGCTGACTTTGTTGCAGAAGTTGACAAGCTTATCCAAATAAATAAAATTGATTTGGAAATTCAAGGAGCCCATAATAACAAAACAATCTTGAAAAAGAACAAAGTTGGAAGATTCATACTAACTGATTTCAGTATTTTCTACAAAGCCACAGTAATTGAGACAATATAGTACTTGAATGAGAATAGACATGTGAGACAGTGGAATAGAATTGAAAGTCTAGAAATAAATCCTCATATTTATGATGAATTTATTTTTGACAAGGATTGCAAGACAATTCAATGGTAAAAAAAAAAAAAAAAAGCTAATTCAACAAATGGCACTGGGACAATTGGATGCAAAAGAATGAAGTTGAAACCTTACCTAACAACATATATTTTAAAAAAAAATTCAAAACGGATCAAAGTCCTGAATGTAAGGGCTAAAACTATGTAACTGTTGGGAAAAAAAATAGAGGCATAAATACTCATGGCCCTGGATTAGGCAATGGTTTCTTATATATGACACCAAAAGCACAAGCAATCAAAGAAAGGTGGTAAATTGGATTTCATCAAAATGGAAAACTTTTGTGCTTCAGAGACACCATCAGGAAAGTGAAAAGACAACCTGAAGTATACCAAAAAAGTTTTGCAAATAATATATCAAATATGGACTTTTAACTAGAAAATATAAATAACTATTATAAATTAGTAATGAAAAGACAAGCCAGCTAAAAATGGGCAAAAGATCTGAGCAGACACTTCCCAAAATATATGTGTTCACACATATATACAAAAGACCAATCAATATGCACATGAAAAAAGTCTCAATATCCTTAACCATCAGGCAAATGCAATCACAATAAGATATCACTGTATACACACTAGGGTAGCTATAATAAAAAGATAATAGTAAGTGTTGTCAATGATATGGAGAAATTAGAATCTTTACACCTTGTTGTAGGAAATTTAAAATGGTTAACCACTTTGGAAAAGGGTCTGGCATTTCCTCAGAAGTCTAAATATAGGGTTATGATATGATCCAGCAATTCCACTCCTAGGTATATATGCAAGAGAAATGGAACATATGTCCATACAATAATATATACACAAATGTTCATAGCAGCATTATTCATAATAATCAAAAATGAAAAAGATCCAAATGTATATCAATGAATGAATGAATAAATAGAATGTGGTATATACATAAAATTGAATATTATTTGGCAATAAAAAAGAATGAAGTACTGAAGCATGTTATAACATGCACGAACCCTGAGAATATGATGCTAAGTGAAAGAAGCCATCAGAAAGGATCGCATAGTGTCTGATTCCTCCTATATTAAATAGCCAGAACAGGTAAATCTGGAGATAAAAAGCAGATTAGTGGTTTCCTAGAGCTGGAGGGCAATAGTGACACAGAATTGGGGCTTTGGGACTGTTGCCTCTTGGGGTAATGAAAATGTTCTAAAATTGATTGTGTTGACGGTTATACAACTTTTTATTATACTTTGAATTTTTATTATACTTGTTATTATACTTTGAATATGAATTTTATACTTTAAATGGGTGAATTGTATGGTTTGTGAATTATATCTCAATAAATCTTTTAAAAGGTAAATTGTATTTCTAATTCTAACAACGAACAATTGGAAAATGGAATTTTTAAAAACAGTACCACCTAAAAGAAGACGGACAGTATCAAGTGACAGTGAAGATATAAAGTAGTTAAAACCCTCATATATTACCAGTAAGGGTATATATTGGTGAAATCACCTTCAAAAACCATTTGACAGAATCTACCAAAACTTAGTAAATGCTTAGTCTATGAGCTAACAATTCCACTTCTGTGTATATGCCCCAAGAAAATGAGTGCTATGTCTACCAAAAGCCATGTACAAGACTGTTCACATCAGCTTTATTAGTAATAGCAAAAACTGAAAATAAACCATACGTCTATCAAGAGTAGAATGAATAAGTAATCTGTGACTTACTCAGATCTTGAATACTACTCAGCAAATTTTTAAAAATAAACTACATATAGATGTTTGTATAAATCTACTAGACATAATATTGAGTAAACAAAACCAGATACAAAAGGAGACAAGTACATGATTCTATGTACAGAGTATTCAAAATTAGTTTAAGCTTAGTCTGTGGTGATAGAAATCAGAATGGGGGCACCTGTGAGTGGGGTTAAGCATAAGACTGTCAAGAAGCACAAGGGAGCCTTCTGGAATGCCGCAAATATTTTATAACTTGATATGAGTAGTGTGTAAATACGTAAAAATTCATCAAAATTAAATCTTTGCACTTGTACTTTGAGTTTAAAATGTTTAAAGGAAAGGCCATAAGAGTTAGCACTTAAATAATTGTTCACCTTCGTGAAAGGAGTTTTTACAATGGTAGAGGCAAAAGCCAGGTGGTAGTGAGTTGGGGAGTGGATGGAGAGGTAAAGAAGTGGAGTCTGTGTGTAAAGACTAATTGTTCAAGGTATTGAACAATGAAAGGAAGGAAAAAGATGGGCTTGAGAAGTAGGATCTAGAAAATAAATCTCTACTATTGGTTTAAAGAAGGAGACACTGGAACATGTTTAAAAGTTAGGAGAAAGAACGCGACAGATGATGAAAGCACTAGAACTGATTGTTTAGCACTAATGGATAGAAGCTCAGGCCTTTGAGTCAGTCTTGGGTTCAAGTCCTAACTCATTTACTCCCAATAAGACTTTGTACATGTTCTTTAAGCTCTTCAGCATCAGTTCCTTGTCCCTAAAATGGAAGGAGATTATTTTAACATTTTTAATGCTGCTGTGAGCATTTCCTGAATCTGAGCTCAATAAATATCTATTACACCAATTGACGGAGATTAGAGAAAATAGAATTTTAAAAACAGGTAGAGGAATTGAACTTCTGAAATATCAGAAAAGAAGAAAATTCTACATTTCAAATTGTTGGCATGTGGTAGAAAAAGTAAGTTAACAGCAGATTCTTTACTTTTTCACAGTGAAAACTGTCTTACTAAAATAGAGCCAACATAAGGCTTGTGACTTACATAACAGGTTATCAACCCCTTTATAAGACTGAAGGAAACTGAGGTTTTGACTTTCAAGTAACATAACACTAGAGTAGAAAGTCTGGTTTTTGCTGGTTCTTATTTCCACTACAGCCCTTTCCGCATATGGAAAGTGAAAGGGCTACAATTTGTATTGTCTTAAAAACAAGAAATATGAGAATGTTCATGTCAGTCTGGAATAAAACTATTCTATACAATGGCTATTTTAAAATATTGGAATTAGAAATATTTAGTGGTCTAATGTTTTCAAGCATAAAGAAACTGCATTGCTTACCTTTACATGTGGAAACAAGAAATTTTCCATTAAAAAGGAGAGACTAATGAGATAAGCGTGTATCAAAGAGTTGACTGTTTTTAAAACTTGGATGTTTCCATACATTGCAATCAAAACAGTTTCAGTGTTTTTAAGTGAATAAATTCACCTTTACTTATTTGAGGGAAGATCCACATTCTTTTACAGGGTGCAAGAAGGAAACAAACCTGGAGATGTCTTCTTTCCACAAGGCTTTTCTTTCCCAGTTATTTCCAGACCCTAAAAGACAGGGGGAGTGTGACAAGCTGAGAAATGCAGTTCCAAGTAATTGACTAGGCCAGTGTTCTATTGTCATAGAAGCAAAGCACATCAAATTAATGAGGCCCATAGAGACCTGGAAGGCTGGGACCAATCAGAAGCCTTCCTTGGCATGCTTCAGCATGTGCTTTGGGCGACCTGGCAGCCCTTTTGTTTGTATCCCAGACAACCTGAAATTTCCAGGAAAGAGAAATCATCTTTATATTCTTACCGTGTGTGCCAAGTTAGGTTTCCAAAGAGCAAATGTTTAAAGCCCAAAAGTCACTATTTGAGCTCTGTGCCAGGTGTGGGGAAAAAATAATTTAAATAACTTGTTTAGCCTTATTTGCTGATGTTTATTAGTATAAAGCATGCTGTTAAAAATGCAAGGAAAAGTCAAGCATGGTGGTGCAGGCCTGTAGTCCCACCTGCTCAGGAGGCTGAGGCAGGAGGATCATTTAAGCCCAGGAGTTTGAGGCCAGCCAAGGGAACATAGTGAGACTTAAGAAAGCACCTAGGAGTCAGAAAAATCCTCATAATTCTGCCATTGGCCACTTTTCCCTTTAGGCAGCTCAGGTAACTTATCTGGGCCCCTGTTTTCTCTTTTGTAAAAAAAAATATTAAATAGATGGTCTTTTCCTTCCAGATCCAAAATTCTACCAACTACAAAGATGAAATTTTGAAATATTATCTAAACTTTGAAAAGTAAATTTTTTTAAAGATGAGCAACAAGTTTTTTACATCTCCACTTCTAGCCTGAAAAACCTAAGGATCTAAAATGAATGGTATGACATTTAAAAACCACAGAGTTTTTTAAAAATTGAGATTTCCATAATATAAGAATTATTTGCAAATGGACAAGAATAATACAATAATACACAAAAGCGGAAATAATTTTTACAATGATGGAATATAGGTATGTGTGTGGGTTTTTTCCTTTTAAATAAACTTATTGAAAACACTCTTACATCTTTGACTATTGGAAATAAAATGGTGGATTTGGGACCCAGATCCCAGTCTTCACTGGGCATCTTCCTCTATTGGCTCCAGTACACTCCTCCGTAGAGGCTAATGCTCCAGCATATTGAAATACTGCTGCTGCGGGTGCAGATCCTGGCTCACCTTGAGCTCTCAGCTTTGAGTAGCCAAGGCAGCACCCCCAGGATAACCAGAGAGACCAGCCACCACTTCCCAAGGCAAGAAAAATAATAATTATATGAAGGAAGAAATTTTTTGGATGTCTTTTTCAAAATGGAAAGATAAAACACCCAAGTGAATAAAGACATTAAAAATAGAGTTTATCTTCTTGAGATTTAAAGTGGCAGTAGAATGGCCCAGTGGATAGATTTTGTGCTTCTTGGAGCAAATTAAAACATGTCATGATCTTGGTGACATGAGTACTGTGATCTGAACACATTCATAAATAGGTCCCAAGTAAGAACATCTAGTTTGAGATTTTGAGATTTTGAAAGGCCAGTTCTTAGTAGAGGTGAAATGAGCTAATTAGCTGAAAAATTATTCAATAAGCAAAAATTGCTTTAAAATATATGGCAGGGTTTTATAATTACATAATTTAATTGTGAGAAGCAGGATTTCTGAGATGATGTTGTGAATAGTTCAGTAAAACCTCTCCACTAGAGCGATATCAAGTATGCGGGTCAAAATTAGCAAAAACAATTATTTAAAGTCTCTAAAGACTAATCAAAGACCTTACAACAAATTGAAAAGCCCTTACTCAAAAAAATCTCTGGAAACTCAGTAAGAACTGTGGAGGCTGCAACATTCAAACTAGAGACTGCACCCATCCACCAACACCTCTCCCTTGCAGAAGAGTTTCAGTGGGCCCAGTGGGTTTGGTACCCAACTGGAAGTTCCTATCCTCCTCAGCTCTGTGGGATGGAATTACTATTCTGGGTGGTTTCAGCAGCCCGTGAATATCAGCAGATCCCACTTTCTACATATCTGTATACAGAGGACCTCTATCAAGCAGTTGGCAACAGCTGGGGGGCAACTTTTGTCACATCAACCCCTGCATTTTGGGTAGGACCCAGGCAGGACAGCTGTTGAAGAATGCAGTCCCCCTTTCCTACACAGTTCTGAGTTGCTCCAGTGGGTGTGGCACCCAAGTGTCAGCTCCCACCTCCACCAGCTTCCTAAGGCAAAGACCATGTGGCAGATGATGAATGTCAGCAGTTTCCACCCTCTCTGGCACTGGGTTACAGCAGATCCATGCTAGCTGGTGGCCAAAACCAAGAGGTGATACCAACCCTTACCTCCCTCCATCCTCCTACACACACAGACCCATCTCTCCAGGGAGGATACAGGTGGGATAGCCAATGAAAATCTAGTTCACCTCTCAGCTCTTACTCTGTTGCATAGAGGTTCTATTCAGGAGAGGATACCAACCAGCCTCAAAGACTGGCAACAACCTGCCCCTTTCAAGGGGCTGAATTTTAATTGTATCAAACTATGGAACAATTAATGCCATACATAGCGTGTTGTCCAAAAAAATACAGCAATCAGCTAGCAATTAGTGGATCCTACAGAGGAATGTGATATGAATAGAGAAAGAGCAGAAGCTGAAACAGAAAAGAAATAGTCAAAAAGAGCCTGATTAAAACCACAGTCACCTCTGGTGATCAGGATTAAAGACTGTGGGCCCATGGCGGTGCCCTCTCAGAAGGGACATCATAGGCTGCACATTACGGGGAATAGATCTCATTAAAGCAGTCCAGCCAAGTTATTAAACAAATAAGGAAGCAAACAATAAGCTCCAAGCAGTGAGAGATCAGTATCCAGAGTTGCTACAATGTATTAATTTAAAGGTCTAGTTATCAAAAAAACAGTAAGGAAACAGGAATGTGTGATCCATATACAGTGAGGAGAATGCAGGCAATAGGAAGGACCTTATTTAAGGGGCCTAGATGTTGGACTTATCAGACAAAGACTTCAAGACAACTACTATTAGTATGTTCAAAGAGCTAAAGGAACCCATGCTTAAAGAGTTAAAGGAATTTATGATGACAGTGTCTCATCAAATAGATAGTATCAGTAAAGAGATAGAAATTATAAAAACGACAAAGAGATAAAAATTATAAAAACAAAAATTTTGTAGTTGATAAGTGAAATTACCAAACATAAAAAACTTAGAGGGGCTTAACAGTGATTTGAGCTCTCAGAAGAAAAAACTGGCAAAGATAGATCAATAGAGACTAAGCAGTCTCAAAAACAGAAAGAAAAACATAGAAACATGAACAGGACCTCAGAAAAAGGTGGGACATCATTAACACACCAACATATGCATAGTGGGAGTTCCAGGAAAAAAAACGGGGAAAGAAAAAAGATCAAAAATGTATTTGAAGAAATTGTGTCTGAAAATTTTCTAAATTTGATGAAAATCATTAATCCACACATCCAAGAAGCTCAACAAACTTCATATAGAATAAATACAAAGAGCTGTTATCCTCACGTCATAGTCAAAATATTGATATACAAAGAGGAAATCTTGAAAGCAGCAAGGGAAAAAAAGATACATCATGTTAAGGGGACCTGAACAAGGTTAACAGCTGGCTTCTCATCAGAAACTTTAAAAGCCAGAGGGCAATGAAACGACATATTTGAAGCCACAACTAGAGTCACACCACTTCATACCCATTAGGATGGCTATATTCAAAAAGGAGGAAATAACACATTTTGGAAAGGATGTGAAGAAATTAGAAGCAATACATTGTTAGTGGGAATGTAAAATGGTGCAGCTATTACAGAAACTACTTTGGCAGTTCCTCAAAAAGTTAAACGTTGAGTTACTATATGACCCAGCAATTCCACTCCTAGGTACATACACAAGAGAACTGAAAACATATCTACATGAAACTTCTGTGTACATATTTATAGCAGCATTAATCAAAATACCCAAAAAGTGGAAACAAGTCAAATGTCCAAAAACTGATGAATAGGTAAATAAAATGATATATTCATAGATAGAATATTTAGCCATAAAAAGAAATGAAATACTGACGCATAATACAACATGAGTGAACCTTAAAACATTATGCTAAGTAAAAGTAGACTGACAAAAATCCACACATTATATGATTCTATTTATATGAAATGCCCAGAATAAGCAAATGCATTGAAACAGAAAATGGATGCCAAAGACTACGGGGTAGGAGGAATGAATAATGATTGCTAGTGGATGTAGGGTTTCTTTGTGAGGTAATTAAAATGTTCTGAAGTTAGATAGTGATGATGGTTACACAACTTTGTGGATTTAGTAAAAACCACATAACACGCTTTAAAGGAGAGAATTTTATAGCTTCTAAATTATACCTCAATTTTTTCAAATGAAGGCCAAATAAATACACTTCCATATACACAAAAACTGAGACAGTCTGTTGCTCACAGACCCACCTTAGAAGAAATACAAAGGAAAGTTTTCAGGCTGAAGAAAACAGATAAGCAATAATTTGAATCCACACATATAAAACAGAAAGAATGCCGAGAAAGGTATTTCTGTAGTTGATTCTAAAAGATAATATAATTGCACATTTCTTCTCTTTTCTTCTCTTAACTAACTTAAAAAGCAATTCCACAAAACAATATGTATGTGATTGCATTGTGGGGTCTGTTAACACATAGAAATGAAACATATTTGACAATACCAGCACAAAATAGACAGGAAAGAAGAAAATTGTATTGGGATAAGAAAATGACACAGTACAAAAACTCAAAGTCATAAGAAGAAAGGAAGAGACCCAGAAATGGTAAATAAGAAGGTTAATATAGCAAGCTTTATAAATACATATTTGTCTTACTTTCTTCTCTCAGCTCTTTTAATGTAGTTGTTGTTCTCCTTAACAACATAAGAACAAAGGTATTCCAATATATTCCTGGAATTGTCATGACCATGCTACCTGCTACACCTGAGAAAACTTACCATTTGCATAAGGTATTATAAAATATATTCACAGAAAAGTGTACAACATAGATATTATGTCTTGTCCCACATTATTTACCCAATTCTTAATTAGCAAGAGTAATCAAATAAAAAAACCAGGTAATTACCAATATAAATAGCCTTAGAATGATAGTGATTTGGTAAGCATTAAAGCAAAACCCAACCAGTCTGGGGTACAAATATGCCCCATTTCTCAAAAAAAAAAAATTCTTCTGGTATTTTCCCACACATGTATATCATTTAAGGATATAAGAAGCTCTCCAGTGGAGCAAATGAGCTTTCTCAATAGAAAACTGGAGAATGCCATTACTATCACCAAGCAGATATTCTTCCAAGATCCGGTTTTTGTAACAGTGCACTACATATTCCCTATTATCAAAATCTGCCACATTGTGTCTTGAATAATTTTGACTTTCTTAGCTTTCTCTTGACATTATAGCATATCAATGACAGTTTACACTATTCATGGTTTAATAAATAGCTAAAATATAAACTCTCCAGACTTCCAAAAGTGAGAAAAAAATAACACTGCTTAAATTTCAATTCCTCACCTCTCAAGCCAAATATCATTACTGATGAGGATTATACAAACATACATTTGTTAATCCAGTATTTCACAGTACAATATGTTGAGAAACTTGTATGCACATTTCACTAATCAGGATTTATCGCTATGATTTAAAATGAGTCCTCGTACAAGTTGCATGACCAGCCAAGATTAACAAGAAATGGTACTGTGGAAAGCAGCATAATTGTCATCCATTAATTATTTGCAAACTAGAGATTCACAGTGATCCATACACTAAAACAAGAGTGAGAAAACTTGAAAATGTTGGTTTTAGATGTGTCTCAAACTGTTTATTGTGAGGCCTGTTTATTTTGGGGCCTAGCACCCAAAAGAGAGAATAGCTTTGGTGATTAATTCCTTGAGATGCATATAAGACTTTTGTTAAATTATCATCAAGGAGATTTAGAAGGTTCCTAACATAGAGTATTAAGGTTGTGTACTGCCATATTGCAAAAATCTATCACCAATATTAGCCACAGGGACCTGCTCTTTGATAGGCTCGTAAGACTTCAATCTCACCTTTTCAGAAAAGAATTACGACAGAGCCTACATGTGCTGACAGTAACAGCACAAAGGAGGTAGATAAGAACAAAGCTTCACTGGAGTAATAACGTGACACCAGATGGCTGATTGTCTCTTCCAGAGTGTTACCCTCTAAGTCCATCCTGGGACAAGCGATGTGCTCCTTGCTTCTTTGCGCTGGTACTGATTGGCATAAGTCACCTTGAGTCTTCTAAATCAAAGATTTAGAAAACTATTTAACGTCCCCTGAATGGAAATAATCAAGTTTAATCATTTCCCCTTTCTCATACATTTTTTAATCTATAATACCTTAAAATGGCCCAATCAAAGAGAAAGATAAGAATAAGAATAACTGCACATGTACTAACACTTTTTCTCAAGCCCCTTAAGTGCTTTACTTATACTGCATATATTACATGTATTACCTTTGTTAATATTCAAAACAATCATCAGGGATAAGTACTCCTATTTTCTTTCTTTCTTTTTTTTTTTTTCTATGAAGAAAGGCCAAGTGACTTGTCAAAAGCCATGTAGCTAGTAAGTGGTAGAACCAAGATTCTCAAACTCAGGCCACCTGGCTCCACTGTCTTCACTCTGCCTTTTCTGCTATTCTGTCCCCAGAATATATTATCATCATGCATTTAACTGATACACAGCATGTCTAAAGAAAACAAATACAAACACAAAGATACATAAAATAAAACATATTAAATAGTAAAAGTAGAAGAGTAAACACGAGTATGAGAAATAAATTTTAGAAATGCATACTATAAAGAATTACAGCAATAAGTATATGTAAAATTATGTATTTATATAAAATGAATGCTATTTAATGTTAAAAGAGTTCAAAGAACAAACGTTCAAATTAATATCACTGTGTTTCTTAAACTGAATTGCTGTGTTCACTTTTTATGTCCCTCTACTCAACAAATATTTCGTAATGTGCAATATACAGTGCTTGGAAATGGGGACCCATCGCACTTCATCCTCATGAAGCTTACGACCAGCGTGGAAGTCAATCAAACAGCTACACTAAGGTGGAGTGTGGATGATTGAGGAAGTACTGGAGACTCCTGGAACAAAGCAGGCTCCTAACATCCATTCCACGTGGTCAGGGAAAGCTTCCCAGAGGAAGCAAAGCACAAGCAAGATCTGAGGATGAAGATGAGTTGGTCAAGCGCAGAAGAGGAGTTCAGGAAAAAAGATGCAGCCTTTGCAAAGGGTCAGAGGCAAAACAGTAACTAACATACATCCACCAAGGAACTAGAAAAAGTTCTTCATGGTCACTTGACACACATGTACTTTTCTATCCTCATCTTGACTATTTTCCATCTTCAAAGGAGCATAATGTGAGGAAAGAGCCCCAGATTTGGAGCCAGACAGGTTCAAATTAACATTTTTGTTCTGCCACTTGCAGTCTTAGACAAGTTGCCCATCCTCCCTAAGCTTCAGGCTTATTTTCGGCAATATAATAATAACATCTAAATTGAGCCGTTCTCATTAAGATGTCTACGATTTGGCCAGGCATGATGGCTCATGCCTGTAATCCCAACATTTTGGGAGGCTGAGACAGGCAGATCACTTGAGGTCAGGAATTTGAGACCAGCCTGGCCAACAAGGCAAAACCCCATCTCTACTAAAAATACAAAAATTAGCCCGGCATGATGGTGCGCACCTGTAATCTCAGCCATTTGGGAGGCTGAAGCAGGAGAATTGCTTGAACCCGGGAGGCAGATGTTGCAGTGAACTGAGATCGCGCCCCTGCACTCCAGCCTGGGCAACAGAGCGAGACTCCATCTCAAAAAAATAAAATAAAATAAAATGTCGATTATTTCATTTACAAAAATGGCTTGTACAGAGAGACTCAATAAATGATGGTTTGTCTTCCTGGTAAATAAGTATATATATATGACCTCTGCCCCAAGCATTTTGTAAAAATTTGAAGTGTTTCTTGTGTTCATGATTTTATGGATTCATGGAATCTGCTTTTTATTTAACCTAATACTGTTTTTACCAACTGTGTAATTTGAATGCAGAACTGGAAGAGACTGCAGAGAATCATCTGCAGCTTCCCCAAGGGGGGGTCTTGATGACTGTCATTTGAGGAAGGAAAATTCTTCACTGGGCAAGATCATCTTGTGCATTGTAGGATGTTTTCTAACCCAGACTGGCAACCAGTGAATGTCAGGAATATCCCAAGTGAATGTGACAAATAAAAATGCCCCTACAGTTTTCCAAACACTCCCTTGAGGTCAGTATCACCTTATTTGAGAACCCAGAGATTACCCTTTTCACACATACACATATATACACACCTCTTCTACCAATGAAAAACCTGAGAAAAAAAGCTAATGTGTTTTGCCCAAGGTCAAAAATTAGCAGGACTTGATTGTATGTCTCTTGATTTTTAGTTCAGCTTTCTTCTGATTGTAATTAGTCCCACACTGCAACATTCCACTAAACTCATTTACCAAACTGTGCATATATGTTTCACTTAACAAATGCTTCATAAAACGATTTCTAAATTAGGGAAAAGGCAAGGAAAATGGGCCCTTTTGTTACTCCATCAAAAGGAGTTTAACAACTCTGGTCCATTTTCCTTTTGGTGCATTCCATTATTACAAAAGAGTTCTACTGAAACATACAAAGAGTCTGGGAATATTTAGAGTTACTTTGTCATCAAGAAGCAGTATTATACATAATACGTTCATTATCTTGCCCGAGCCATTATTGGAAATAAGACTCAATCCAGTGGTGCATCACAGTCTACGTGCTTAAAAAATCACTACAAATAACATCACTCCTTGGTTATTTTTCAGACAAGCTTTACACACCATAGTTGTATTAACTTTAAACTATTTTACATCCTGAAGATGTGACACTTTCAGCTCTCTCTACATGCCGCAAAGAATGCATTGTTCTTGTTTTTTGTTTTAAGACTTATTTTTTATGTGGCATACATTTTCAGGAAATATATCTTCAGGCCTGTACTCTGGATGGAAAAGCTGCAATTGGTATCAACAGAGCTTTTGTAAAGACAAATATCTGAATATTATGTGCATGCCTTTATTCCACTGAATATTTGAATATTACGTGCATGCATTTACTTCTAATCAGAGAACCAGGGAACTGCTGCTTTTCTCCAAATCTCAAAGTCCTGCAGGGCATGAGTATTCATGAGGGTCAGTGAACTACAAAATCTGTGGAGACTTTAAGAAAACTGAAGGTCAGTGGTAACTTCATGAATTTAGAAAAGAATCTCAAGCTATTTCCATTTCCCCTGAAGGCTGCAAAAGAGAGGAAGACTTGAGTACCAGAATGCTAGGCAGGAGAGCTGCCCACATTTGACTCATTGCACACAGGAAAATGCTACTAAGCACCATGTCTTGAAAGTTTTTGCTTTATCCTAAGAGATATCCTGTCTCCTAAGAGAATTCCCAAGGCAATGACACTAGAAAATGGGTGATCGTTGAGATACTTTATGGTTCTCTTCCCCATCTACAATGTCCCAAAACTATCTTCAAGAGAAAGGGACACCCCTTTGTCAGATGGATAGATTGCAAAAATTTTCTCCCATTCTGTAGGTTGCCTGTTCACTCTGATGATAGTTTCTTTTGCTGTGCAGAAGCTCTTTAGTTTTATTAGATCCCATTTGTCAATTTTGGCTTTTGTTGCCATTGCTTTTGGTGTTTTAGTCATGAAGTCTTTGCCCATGCCTATGTCCTGAATGGTATTGCCTAGGTTTTCTTCCAGGGTTTTTATGGTTTTAGGTCTTACGTTTAAGTCTTTCATGACAGTTAGAATGGCGATCATTAAAACGTCAGGAAACAACAGATGCTGGAGAGGATGTGGAGAAATAGGAAGGCTTTTACGCTGTTGGTGGGAGTATAAATTAGTTCAACCATTGTGGAAGACAGTGTGGTGATTCCTCAAGGATCTAGAATTAGAAATACCATTAGACCCAGCAATACCATTACTGGGTATATACCCAAAGGATTATAAATCATTCTACTATAAAGACACATGCACATGTAGTTTATTACAGCACTATTCACAATACCAAAGACTTGGAACCAACCCACATGCCCACCAATGATAGACTGGATAAAGAAAATGTGGCACATATACACCGTGGAATACTAGGCAGCCATAAAAAAGAATTGAGTTCATGTCCTTTGCAGGGACATGGTTGAAGCTGGAAACCATCATTCTCAGCAAACTAACACAGGAACAGAAAACCAAACACTGCAGGTTCTCATTCATAAGTGGGAGTTGAAAAATGAGAACACATGGACACAGGAGAAGGGAACATCACACACCAGGGCATGTCGGGGGGTGGGGGCTAGGGGAGGGATAGCATTAGGAGAAATATCTAATGTAGATGAGGGGTTGATGGGTGCAGTAAACCACTATGGCATGTGTATACCTATGTAACAAACCTGCATACTCTGCACATGTATCCCAGAAGTTAGAGTATAATAATAATAATAATAATAATAATAATAATAAATATTCAGTTGAAAAAAAGAGAGAGAGAGAGAAAGACACCACAGACTATGTCTGGTTTCTGAAGACATAAGACCTTGGTAACATTAGGGTAACATGGCCTGTTTTTAATACATATGCAGATAAAAGATCTTTCAGATTCCTTCAATAAGAGGTAAATTTAAGGTAAATAACTTTAATCTCTATAAGATTTCTCTCTAATTTGGCCTCTGTTCACTCAATCCCATAGACAACGAAAGTGGAGGCTGGGATGCAATTAGTCTCACAATTACATTGCTTTCCTTGCAAGTGCCCTTCTTACTTAATATGCCCAAATCTGAATAATTATTGAGAAAGCAGAGCTCATATCATTCCACTAGTGCAATTAGCAGAAAATGGGATATTTAAAATATATATATCGTGTTTATATTTATATTTCACAGGCTTAGGCTTAAAATATGAAATGTCAAGAACGATTATGATAACATGCTATGCAGCCATATTTAGGTAAAGTAAAATAGATTGTGAACAACAAAATGCTGAGATTCATTGGTCCACATAGCATGCTAAAAACCTTTCTGAAGATATATAACCAAAATTGCTAGGTACATAATTTTTTTTAGAATACACACACATTTTTTTGCCTTACTAAAAACAGCCATGAGAATCAGTAGCAGATAAAGGAAACCTCAGCTGAATTATGTTTCTAAGGTATAAAAAGGACATTTTATAATGACAACCATAGGCCCAAAGTAAAGGGTTGGAGAAAGTCTATCACACAACTGGAACACAAAAAAAGACAAGGGTTACTATTCTTATATCAGATCAAACAGACTTTAAACCAACAACAGTAGAAAAAGGACAAAGAAGGGTATTACATAATGATAAGGAGTTCAATTCAACAAGAAGACTTAACTATCCTAAATATATAGCACCCAATATTGGAGCACCCAAAATCATAAAACAAGTACTTCTAGACCTATAAAAAGAATTAGTCACATAATAATAGCGGGGGACTTCAACATCCGACTGACAGCATTAGATCATCAAGGCAGAAAACTAAAAGAAGAAATGCTTGACTTAAATTTGATACTTGACCAATTTGACCTAATGGACATCTACAGATTATTCCACCCATAAATCACAGAATATACATTCTTCTGATCTGCACACAGAACATACTATAAGATTGACCACATGCTCAACCATAAAGCAAGTCTCAGTAGAGTCAAAAAATTGAAATTACACCAATCATATTCTCAGACCACAGTGCAATAAAAATAGAAATCAGTACCAGGAAAACCTCTCAAAACCATAAAATTACATAGAAATTAAACAATTTGCTTCTGAATGACTTTTGGGTAAACAATGAAATTAAGGCAGACATCAAAAAAGTTATTTGAAATAAGTGAAAACAGAGACACAACATACCAAAATTTCCAGGATGCAACAAAGACAGTGTTAAGAGGAAAGTTAATAGCGCTAAACACCTACCTCAAAAAGTTAGAAAGAGCTCAAATTAACAATTTAACATCACACATAGAAGAACAAAAAAAAAAGTACAAACTAACCCCAAAGCTAGCAGAAAAAAAGAAATAACTAAAATTAGAGCAGAACTGAATGCAATTAAGACCCAAAAAATCCATACAAAGAATGAACAACATCAAAAGTTGATTCTTTGATGGGATAAACAAGATCAATAGACTGCTAACTAGATTAACAAAGAAAAACAGAGAGAAGATCCAAATAAGCACAATCAGAAATTACAAAGGAGACATTACAACCAATCCCACAGAAATACAAAACATCCTCAGAAACTATTACAAACACTTCTATTAATACAAACTAGAAAATCTACAGGAGCTGGATAAACTCCTAGAAACACAATCTCCCAAGATTGAATCAGGGAGAAATTGAAACCCTGAATAGCACCAGACCAGATGGATTCACAGCCAAATTCTACCAAATGTAAAAAGAGCTGGTACTCATTCTGCTAAAACTGCTACCTGGTGTAATACCTACATGACATAGCTGAATTTCTTCCCTGTCCTAATTCTGCTTATCTTTAAGAAACAGGACACCTGTGATTTAAAAAAAAGTTCCCTTTGTAACCAGATCAGCTGAGACTGGTTAGAACCAAGACAGCCAACCAAATGACTTCAAAAAGACTTCAGGCTTCATTATAATCTCATTCCCATGCTAAATGACACTCCTACCAGCACCACGACAGTTGACAATCACCATGACAATGACCAGAAGAAACCATAAAAGGACAAAAGGGAAGGCTGCACTCTGGTTCTGGAAACTTCACTGCCCAATTCCATAAAAGACACAAATATTTTTCCTTTTGCTTTTAATGTTCAACCCTTTCATTAGAGAAACTCTATATGTTAACTTGTTCACCCCTCATTGTCAAGAAGTTAATTTGTGAGCCACAGTCTTGCTTTTCAATTTCATGGCCATCAAATAATGCCTGTACTACTTGACACTCACTTTCAGTTTTGTGTATTGGCTTTGTGACACCAAACAGGGAAAAATCCCCTCTTTGGGGAGACCAGCTTTGTCAGTAACAACACTGTCCCAATAAATTAAGGATGAGGGACTCTTCCCTAACTCATTCTACTAAGGCAGCATCACAGTGATACCAAAACCTGGAAAAGATTCAACAACAAAAAAGAAAACTACAGGCCAATATCCCTCATGAACACAGATGCCAAAAATCATTTTAAAAAAATACTAGCAAACCTAATTCAGCAACACATCAAGAAATTAATTAACCATGATCAAGCAGACTTCATTCCCAGGAGGCAAGGTTGGTTCAACATATGCAAATTAATAAGTGTGATTCAACATATAAACAGAATTAAAAACAAAAACCATATGGTTATCTCAATAGACACAGAAAAAGCTTTTGAAAAAAATCCAATATCTCTTCAAAATAAAAACCCTCAAGGAGTAGGCATCAAAGGACTATAACTCAAAATAATAAAAGCCATCTCTGACAAACCCACAGTCAATGTCGCACTGAATGGGCAAAACCTGGAAGCATTCCCCTTGATAACCAGAACAAGACAAGGATGCCCACTCTCACCACTCCTTTTCAATATAGTACTGGAAGTCCTAGCCAAATCAATCAGGCAAGAGAAATAAATAAAAGGCATCCCAATAGGAAGAAAAGAAGCAAAACTATCTCTCTTCACAGACAATATGGTTCTATACCTAGAAAATCCTAAATACTCTGCCAAAACGCTCCTGGAAATGATAAACAACTTCAGTAAAGTTTCAAGATACAAAATAAATGTACAAAAATCAGTAGCATTTCTATACACCAATAACATTGAAGCTGAGAGCCAAGTAAAGAATGTAGTCTCGTAACAGCCACAAAAAAAAATATTTACAAATATATCTAACTAAGGAGGTGAAAGAGCTCTACAAGGTGAGCTACAAAACACTGCTGAAAGAAATGAGATGACACACACAAAAAAAGAAAAACATTCCATGCTTATGGGTTAGAATAATTTGTATTGTTAAAAATGGCCATACTGCCCAAAGCAATCTACAGAATCAATGCTATTCCTGTCAAACTACCAATATTTTTCATAGAACTAGAAAAAAACACTCTAAAATTCATATGGATCCAGAAAGGTGCCCAAATAGTCAAAACAGTCCTAAGCAGAAAGAACAAAACCTGGCCAGGCACAGTGGCTCACACCTGTAATCCCAACATTTTGGGAGGCTGAGGTCGGTGGATCACTTGAGGCCAGGAGTTCGGGACCAGCCTGGGCAACATGGAGAAACCCCATCTCTACTAAAAATACAAAAATTAGCCAGTTGTGGTGGCACACACCTGTAGTCCCAGCTCCTTGGGAGGCTCAGGCACAAGAATCACTGGAACCCAGGAGGCAGAGGGTGCAGCAAGCTGAGATTGTGCCACTGCATTCCAGCCTGGGTGACATAGCAAGACTCTGCCTCAAAAAAAAAAAAAAAAAAAAAAGAAAGGAAAAAGAACAAAGTCAGACACCACATTCCTTGACTTCAAATTATATCATAAGGCTACTGTAACCAAAACAGCATGGTACTGGTACAAAAACAGACACGTAGATCAATGGAATAGACTAGAGAACCCAGAAATAAAGCAGCACACCTGCATCAATCTGATCTTTGGCAAAGTCAACAAAAACAAACAATGTGGAAAAGACTCCCTATTCAATAAACAGTGCTTGGATAGCTAGCTCACTACATACAGAAGAATGAAACTGGATTCCTACCTTTCACCATATACAAAAATTAACTTAAGATGAATTAAATATTTAAATGTAAGATCTCAAACTAAAATGGTCCTAATAGAAAACCTGGGAAACACCATTGTGGACAATGACCTTGGGAAAAAATTTATAAGTCCTCAAAAGCAACTGCAACAAAAACAAATGTTGATAAATGGTACCTAATTAAACTAAAGAGCTTAGTTTCTCTGCATAGCAAAAATAACTATCAACAGAGTAAACAGACAACCTACAGAATGGGAGAAAACATTTGCAAACTGTGTATCTGGCAAAGGTCTAATATCCAGACTCTATAAAGAACTAAAACAATTTAACAAGCCAAAAACAAATAACCCTATTTTAAAATGGGCAAAAGATATCAATGGACAAAGACATACAAGTTGCCAACAAATATATGAATAAATGCTCCATATCACTAATCATCAGAGAAATGCAAATCAAAACCACAATAAGATACCATCTCAGAATGGCTATTATTAAGAAATCAAAAAGCAGGTGCTGGCAAGGCTGAAGAGAAAAGAGAACACTTATACACTTTTGGTGGGGATGTAAATTAGTTCTGCTACTGTGGAAAGCAGTTTGGAGATTTCTCAAAGAAGTTAGAACTACCATCCAACCCAACAATACCATTACTGGGTATACATCCAAAAGAAAACAAATCGTTCTACCATAAACACACATGCACTTGCATGTTCATCGCAGCACCACTCATAAGAGCAAAGAAATGAAATCAACCTAGGTGCCCATGCCCATCAGTGGTAGCCTGGATAAAGAAAATGTGATATAATATACACCAGGGAATAATACCCAGCAATTAAAAAAAAAAAAAGAACAAAATCTTGTCCTTTGTAGCAGCATGGATGCAGCTGGAGGTCATTATCCTAAGCAAATTAACACAGGAACAGAAAACCAAATATTGCATGTTCTCACTTATAAGTGGGAACTAAATAATGGGTACTCATGGATATACAGATGCCAACAACGGACACTGGGGACTACTAGATGGGGGAGGGAGAGATGGAGTGGGGTAAGGGATGAAAGACTGACTGTTGGGCACTATGCTCATTATCTGGTGACAAGATCATTTGTACCCCAAACCAGAGTATCACGCAATGTATTCTGGTTACAAATCTGTGCGTGTATCCCTTGAATCTAAAATAAAAGTTTAAATTATTTTAAAAATTAATTTGTTTTTTTTTTGAAAAAAGGACATTTTACCAAACAAGTTTTTCCAATAACTTGTAGCACTTCTGAAAACTATTAAAATCCATGAAGTTTTCCGTATCCCACGTTCAGGTAAAACTTATTTAAAATCATCTCTCTATCTTATTAGAACATTTTACAGTAATTAACACAATACCAGAGAAAATGGCAGATAGGAGCAGGACTAACTTGCAGCTCCCACGTGGATGGACAGAGCAATGTGTAGAAACTCACATCATGAACTTTTGCTCCAAGAACTCCTGTGGGAACATACAGGAGAGCTGAGAGAATGCACAGACCGTTTGAAGGAAGCAGATTGCTGTTGCAAGCTCCCAGACACAGCTGAAAAACTGTGTACTCAAAGTGTGAAAGTGCGAAAGGGGATCCTCTCCCCCTGAACACACATCCTCACTGGGGAATCTGAAGGTCCAGATCACTGGAGGATTTGACCTTACCTGGAGCTCAGATAAATTTATAGAGCCAAGCAAAATATAGGGGCAGAAAAAGTAGCAGAAAGAGCCCTGTGGGCACTCTCAGTCCCCAGGGAAGCCACTCCTGACTTTGTCTCACAGGGATCCTTGGGGAGGGCTGCCAGTAGAATTGAGAAAAGGCCACAGGGAGAAGAAAACTTCCAGCTGAACTTTGTAACAACTTCAACCTAACGCAAAGTTTCTGGGACAGGCCGAGGTGGGCGGATCACGAGGTCAGGAGATCGAGACCATCCTGGCTAACACGGTGAAACCCCGTCTCTACTAAAAATACAAAAAATTAGCCGGGCGTGGTAGCGGGCGCCTGTAGTCCCAGCTACTCGGGAGGCTGAGGCAGGAGAATGGCGTGAACCTGGGAGGCGGAGCTTGCAGTGAGCCGAGATCGCGCCACTGCACTCCAGCCTGGGCGACAGAGCGAGACTCCGTCTCAAAAAAAAAAAAAAAAAAAAAAAAGTTTCTGGGACAGAACCCGGAGGAGGGATGAACCAGGAGTGCAGACACAAGACAGAAGCTGTGGCAGGCAAGGAGGCAGGAAACCTGAAAGCCCTGCTTGCTTTCTCAGTGGGGAGGCTTATAGCCTGGGGCAAGTTCTCAGCCCTGCTCATTGGCAGCCTGGAAATAAACTCGGGGCTGTTGGGGGGGCATGGTAGGAGTGAGACTGGCCTTTTGGGCTGCATGGGTGCTGGATGAGGCCTATAACTGCCAGCTTTCCCCAGTTTCCCTGATGACCTGTATGACACAGCAGAGGCAGCCATAATCCCCCTGGGAACATAACTCCATTGACTGGAGAACAACCTCCTCATCCCCCACAGCAGCCACAGCAAGCCCTGTCCAAGGACAGTCTGAGCTCAGACACACCAAACCCTCCCCAAACCTGATGGTCTGTCTCTACCTGCTCGAGTAGCTGAAGACAAAGTGAGAGGTGAAGCCAGCTGGGCTTCTGGGTGGGGTGGGGACTTGGAGAACTTTTCTGTCTACCTAAAGGATTGTAAACACACCAATCAGCACTCTGTGTCTAGCTAAAGCTTTGTAAATGCACCAATCAGCACTCTGTAAAAACAGACCAATCAGCACTCTGTAAAATGGACCAATCAGTGCTCTGTAAAATGGACCAATCAGCAGGATGTGGGTGGGGCCAAATAAGGGAATAAAAGCTGGCCACCCGAGCCACCAGCAGCAACCTGCTCAGGTACCCTTCCATACTGTGGAAGCTTTGTTCTTTAGCTCTTCACAATAAATCTTGCTGCTGCTCACTCTTTGGGTCAACACTACCCTTATGAGCTGTAAAACTCACTACGAGGGTCTGTGGCTTCATTCCTGAAGTCAGCGAGACCACAAACCCACTGGAAGGAAGAAACTCTGGACACATCTGAATATCCAAAGGAATAAACGCTGGACACAGCATCTTAAGAACTGTAACACTCACCGCGAGGGTCCATGGCTTCATGCTTGAAGTCAGAGAGACCAAGAACCCACCAGAAGGAACCAATTCCGGACACAAAAGGACATAATCTCTTGGTAGCTCTATGTCCTTGCCCACCTCCTAAGAAACCCAAATACTTATCCAGGAGACCCTAGGGCAAGCTTGTATCCTCCTACACTACTGAAGCTGATGCTCTCTTGAAGGCATCACCTCCTGGCTGGAGGGCAACCAACCCAAAACTAGCTCACTAAACAAAAATGCCAAGGACTCTCACAGAATCCACTTCACTCCCCTGCTACCTCCACCACAGCAGGTGCTAGTATCCATGGCTGAGAGATCTGAAGACAAATTGCATCACAGGACTCTTTGCAGACACTCCCCAGTACTAGCCCACAACCCAGTAGCTCCACTGGGTGGCTAAATCCAGAAGAGAAATAACAATCACTGCAGTTCAGCTCTCAGGAAGCCCCATCCCTGTGGGAAACGGGAGAGCACCACATCAAGGGAGCACCTCGTAGGACAAAAGATTCTAAACAGCAGCTCCTGAACCCCAGATCTTCCCTCTGACATACTCTAACAAAATGAGATGGAACCAGAAAAACAATTCTGTTAATATGACAAAAAAAGGTTCTTTAACATCCCCAAAAGATCATACTAGCTCATCAGCAATGGATCCAAATCAGGAAGAAATTTCTGAATTGCCAGAAAAAGAATTCAGAAGATGACTATTAAGCTACCCAAGGAAGCACCAGAAAATATTGAAGTCCAACTTAAATAAAGTATTACAGGATATGAATGGAAAAATCTCTGGAGAAATAGATAGCTTAAATAAAAAACAATCACAACTTCTGGAAATAAAGGACAAACTTAAATAAATGCAAAATACACTGAAGAGTCTCAGCAATAGAACCAAACAAGTAGAAGAAAGAACTTCAGAGCTTGAAGACAAGACTTTCAAATTAACCTAATCCAACAAAGACAAAGAAAAAAAGAATTAAAATAAATGAACAAAGCTTCCAAGAAGTTTGGGATTATGTTAAATGATCAAATCTAAGAATAATTGGTGTTCCTGAGGAAGAAGAGTAATGTAAAAGTTTGGAAAACAGACTTGAGGGATTAATCAAGGAAAACTTCCCTGGCCTTGCTAGAGACCTAGACATCCAAATACAAGAAGCTCAAAGAACACCTGAGAAATTCATTGCAAAAAGATTATCGCTTAGGCACATTGTCATCAGGTTATCTAAAGTCAAGATGAAGGAAAAAAGTCTTAAGAGCTGTGAGGCAAAAGCATCAGGTAACCTATGAAAGAAAACCTATCATATTAACATCAGATTTCTCAGCAGGAACCCCACAAGCTAAAAGGGACTGGCATCTTATCTTTAGCCTCCTTAAAAAAAACAATTATCAACCAAGAATTTTGTATCCAGTGAAACTAAGCTTCATAAATAAAGGAAAGATACAGTCTTTTTCAGATAAACAAATGCTGACAGAATTCAACACTACGAAGCCAGCACTACAAGAACTACTAAAAGGAGCTCTAAATCTTGAAACAAATCCTTGATATATACCAAAATAGAACCTCCTTAAAGCATAAATCTCACAGAACCTATAAAACAATAACCCAATAAAAACCAAGGTATTCAGGCAACAAATAGCATGATGAATAGAATAGTTCCTGACATCTGAATACTAATGTTGAATGTAAATTGGCAGAAATGCTCCACTAAAAAGACACAGAATGGCAGAATGGATAAGAATTCACCAACTAAGTCTCTGCTGTCTTCAAGAGACTAACCTAACACATAAGGGCTCACACAAACTTAAGGTAAAGGGATAGAAAAAGATATTCCATGCAAATGGACACCAAAAGTGAGCAGAAGTAGCTATTCTTATATCAGACAAAACAAACTTTAAAGCAATAGCAGTTAAAAAAAAAACAAAGAGGGACATTATTTAATGAAAAAAGGCCTTGTCCAACAGGAAAATATCACAATCCTAAATATACATGCAACTAACACTGCAGCTCCCAAATGTATAAAACAATTACTTTTAGATCTAAGAAATGAGATAGACAGAAACAAAATAATAGTGGGGGACTTCAATAGTCCACTGACAGTACTAGACACGTCATCAAGACAGAAAGCCAACAAAGAAACAATGGACTTAAACTATACTATAGAACAAATAAACTGGTAAGATATTTACAGAACACTGTACCCAACAACTGCAGAATATACATTCTATTCATCAGTGCATGGAACATTCTCCAAGATAGATCATATATGATAGGCCATAAAACAAGTCTCAACAAATTTAAGAAGATCTAAATTATATCAAGTACTCTCTCAGACCACAGTGGAATAAAATTGGAAATCAACTCCAAAAGGAACCTCCAAAACCATGCAAATACATAGACATTAAGTAACCTGTTCCTAAGTGATCACTGGGTCAACAATAAAATCAAAATGGAAATTAAAAAATTCTTTGAACTGAGTGATAATAGTGACACAACCTAGCAAAACCTCTGGATACAGCAAAAGGGGTGCTAAGAGGAAGCTTCAAAACATTAAATGCCTGCATCAAAAAGTCTGGAAGACCACAAATAGACAATCTAAGGTCACACCTCAAGGAACTAGAGAAACAAGAAAAAATCAAACCCAAACACAGCAGAAAAAAAGAAATAAAAAAAGATCAGAGCAGAATTAAATGAAATGGAAACAAAAAAAAATACAAAAGATAAAGGAAACAAAAAGTTGGTTCTTTGAAAAGATAAATAATGCCGGGAGCAGTTGCCCATGCCTGTAATCCCAGCACTTTGGAAGACTGAAGCAGGTAGATCACTTGAGGCCAGGAGTTCAAGAACAGCATTCCCACCCACGGCTAAACCCCGTCTCTACTAAAAATACAAAAATTAGCCAGGTGTGGTGGTCATACCTGTAATCCCAGCTACTTGGGAGGCAGAGGAATGAGAATTGCTTGAACCTGGGAAGTGGAAGTTACGGTGAGTGCAGATCACACCACCGCACTCCAGCCTAGGTGACAACACAGTGAGACTGTCTCAAAAAAATAAATAAATAAATAAAATAAAATAAAATAAAATAAATATATATATATATAAATTGACAGACCATTAGTGAGATTAACCAAGAAAAGAAGAGAGAAGATCCAAATAAGCTTAATTAGAAATGAAATGGGAGATATTACAACTGACACCACAGGAATACAAACGATCATTCAAGGCCACTATGAACACCTTTACACACATAAACTAGAAAACCTAGAGAAGATGGATACGTTCCTGGAAAGACACAACCCTCCTAGCTTAAATCAGGAAGAATTAGATACCCTGAACAGACGAATAACAAGTAGTGAGATTGAAATGGTAATTTAAAAATTAACAAAAAAAAAAAAGTCCAGGACCAGACAGATTCACAGCTGAATTCTATCAGACATTCGAAGAAGAATAGGTACCAATCCTATTGACATTATTCCACAAGATAAAGAGGGAATATTCCCTAAATCATTCTGTGAAGCAAGTATCACCCTAATACCAAAACCAGGAAAGGACACAACAAAAAAAGAAAACTACAGACCACTATCCCTAATGAACATAGACGCAAAAATCCTCAAAAAAAATACTAGCAATGAAATCCAACAACATATCAAAAAGGTAATCCACCATGTGCAAGTGGGTTTCATACCAGGGATGCAGGGACAGTTTAACATATGCAAGTTAATAAATGTGATACACCACATAGAATTAAAAATAAAAATCACATTATCACCTTAATAGACACAGAAAAAGCATTTGACAAAATCCAGCATCCTTTTATGATTAAAACCCTCAGCAAAATCAGCATAGCAGGGACATACCTTAACATAATAAAAGCCATCTATGACAAACCCACAGGCAACATTATACTGAATGGGGAAAAGTTGAAAACATTCCCCCTGAGAACTGGAATAAGACAAGGATGCCCTCACTCACCACTTCCATTCAACATAGTACTGGAAGTCCTAGCCAGAGCAATAAGACAAGAGAAATAAATAATAAATAAATAAAAATAAAAATAAATAATTTATATTATGATATTGGCCAGGTGCAGTGGCTCACACCTGCAATCCCAGTACTTTGGGAGACCAAGGCAGCAGATCATTTGAGGTCATGAATTCGAGACCGGCCTGGCCAACATGGTGAAACAAGTCAAAAGAGCTAATGTACAATGTGAGGATTATAGTTATGAATAGTGTATCTTATTCAGGATTTTTGCTAAATGAGTAGATTATAGCTGCTCTTGCCACAGACAGGAAAAAGTGGGTAACTATGTGAGATGATGGGTACCTTTATTTGTTTCACTAATCATTTTACTGTAATGTATCTTAGAACATCATGTTGTATGCTTTAGATATACAAAGTAAAACTTATTTTCAAAAAATTTGCACAGACAGTGGCCAGAGAAAACAGCTTAAAACTGGCAGCTTTCATTCAGTACTCTCCTCCCACAACAAGCTTATCAACAACCTCAGATAAAATAAAAATTTCCAATATTCATTAGGCATATTTCTATTGGCCCTGATCTAAATGCTTCACACTTAGTGACTCCTTGTATTTCTATAACATTTGCACAAAATAAATGCTACTATTGCCTCCATTATGAAAAAACTGAGGCAAAGAGAACTTAAAAATTTCGCCAAAGGTCAAACTTCTAGGATAAAATAGAACTGGGATTTGAACAGACATAATGTGGCACTAGAAACCACGTTAACAACTCTGCTATACTGACAATTCATTTTTCAAAAAAAATAGGATTCTTATTATGCAAACACAGCATCAAGCCAGGTGAAATAAATGAACAGGGTTAAGATAAAACAATATATTTGCGATGAAAAAACAACTTTAAGACAAGTCCTTGTCCTTCCTCCTACTAGATTGTTCTCAGATACCAAATAGCTGATAGGTGAAGGTGTTAAACTATGCTTTTGTGGACGCTGTAGTGGACGAGAACTACAACATCAAGATCCCATTAGTACTGACTTAAACCTTTCAAATAAGACCCCAAAACTATTTGAGTTCATTAATTTTTTTCTTTCAATGATATGTTGGTATTGATGACATTCGAAGAAATATAAGCAAACTGGTAACACTGTGAAGAAGAAAATGTCTGATTTATCCTGTCAGCATAGATTCTTGTGTCCTACTACATTTAAATCTGAAGGTTAAAGCAGAAACAATTGACATAATATGAACAAGCTGAGCCTCTAGTTGACTGATTGACCTTGCTGGGTTTCATGATACCTTTTTTTTTTTTAAATCAACAGCCAGATGTTACCTAAAAGCAAACAGGAATGGCCTGAGATGCAGAGTCATCTATTCTGTAAGAATAGAGTAAATCACGAGAATTTTTCAAGGCCTCAATACTTAGGGGCTCCATGATACTAGTAACTAGGCATCAGCTCAAGAAAACATCCAGTAAGAAAAAGAGCTTGCTCTACCAATTTGTGCTAAGAAAGCACAGCTGAGGCTTAACTACACAGAATTGGTCCATGATATAATTTATTCTTGTTGTCTCTATAAAGGAACTAAATTTTGTCTCCCCTATTCCCTACATCCTCTTGGGCCAAAATCATGCAGATCTTTAGAGGTTTCCAATACAAAACCTGAGAGAGAAGAGCTTGATATTGTGAAGAAAGCATTGGCCTGAGGACTGGGAAACCAGGTTCTAGTGAGCAGTCAACAAAAAGTTAAGTGACCTGAGCAGTCTTTGTCTAAAGCAGACCTCAGTTACCTCCCACCTATAAAATGGGAGGATTTGTAATAAAGAGGTGAGCTCTAAAATATAAATATGTTCTAAATATTTTATCTAAAATAAAAATATGTTCCACTTTTAAAAATATTTGATTATTCTATACCTAAAAAAGAATAAACTTAACTGTATATATTATTATATAATATCAAAATCATAATGAGTAAACTTAATTGTATATATTAACCCAAAAATTACTCATGTTGAGTGACCACAGTTTCACTGATTTAAATATCACTTCCTCAGAGAAGTTCTTGTGGCCACCCTACCTAATGGGCCCTCTTCCCTAATTGTCATTTATCCCTTCACTCCACTTTTTTCCTCCTAACAGTTACCACCTGATAGTATGTGTTTGTGTGTGTGTGTATATATATATACACTATATATATACACACTATATATATAGAATATATAGAATATATATACACTATATATAGAATATATATAGAGAATATATAGAGAGAATATATAGAGAGAATATATATAGAGAATATGTATATAGAATATATATATATTCTATCTTCTCCCTGGAGAGAACATAGAACTGGAACTCTTTTGTTCATGGTTATATTCTCATCACCTGGGTCAATGCCTGCAATAATTAAAAGAGTGAATTTTAGCCCCTTCATTGTTATTTTTATCTTAGCAGCCGGTTTTTCAATATAACCTCTTTCAAATCATCTCATTTCTAACCTTTCAATTGACATATCTTGATCATTATGTCTTTCATTGTCAAAAGTTAAATCAAATTTAGTTTAATTTTAAAAAACAAACCAACTTCTAAATACATTTTAGTACAAAAACACTTTCATTAGGATACTACTGGAAATAAAAATAGTTTTAAAGTTAAAAAAAATATTGCTTAGCTCCAGCTCTCAAGGTTTTTGTTTTCTTCCCTCATCAGTTTGTTTCAACAGATGATCTCTTGACAGTCAGCCATGAGGTAGGTACTAGAAGGTCAAATATAAAAATGACGTGATCCATGCCTTAAAAGATGAAGAGTTTAGTAAGAATAACAAAGAAACAGATCATTTATGCTAAAAGGAATTTCACATTTTAAGAGGAAGATGTAGTCCTGAAACATAACTAGTCTATTTTTAAAAATTTATACAAGAGAAATTTCTTCCTATGTATGGATTCATGAAACCTCAACTATTTTATTTAGAAAGGTTGAGATTTTCTTTTGCTTCCGTGTGTGGTCTTTATTATGCATCTAATACCCAATTTGTTCACTTTAGTAGGAACTGGTCTCATTAATGACATTAGAGGGGATTAATACTGCAGTAATTTCCATGCTGAGTAATATATGGGAGAACCAAAAAAAAACACAAAAAAATTGAAGGTATGAACACTGCTGATTCCAATTATTTTTCCTTGACTATTGAATTTTGAAGATGCTTGCATAGCTATCTACTATATATTATTCAAGAGAAAAAAAATTTTAAGTACTCTGTGCATTTTGCCACTTATTAAGAATTCTAGTAAAAGAGAAGCTCGAGGTCCTTCTAAGATTAGGGATTTGTCTATTTGTGCCTTTTAATTATGCCTTCTACAATTACCATGAATCAAGGAAAAAGACAAGATCTGGGAATTCTAGTCCTGGATGACAAGTATGGTCACCTTAGATGAGCCTTTTAACTTCTCTTGCCCTAAGTTTCCTTATCCAGGAAAAAAAAAAAAAAAGACAAATGAACCAGATAATTTCTATAGTTTCTTCAAGTTCCAAGTTTTCTAAGTATGTGTCATGAATAATTAAAAACTTGCTATTATCTCTTCAAATAATTGATGTACAAACGGCCTGTGAAGAATCCAGTACTTTTCCCTATGTAAACATCATCAGCAATACTACTCAGTGCAAGCCACTTTATGTGGAGACGCAAAGCTCACAACATAACTGAGAACATTTTTAAAACATGAAAAATGACCATGTCTAAGATAAACCATCACTGGCTATCAAAAGATTTGCATATACCAGTGGTATATGCCAAACCAGGTTAGTAAATTGGATCATCAAGTAGTTAAAAAGAAAAACATGGATCCACAGTATCTCAGCATGGAATCCAGGATTCCTTTTTAATTTCTTCCTGTGATTTTGAGGTGTAGTCAAATTTTGTGAACCATGGTTATAAACAATAAATGTTATGAGTTCTGAACACTGAGGGACCTCTGTGCTCTAAATTAGTTTGGGAAAGCTAATAATAATGTGTATTATTGAAATTGATTCATAATTTTTCCTTGATCAGTCAGTAATTGTTCAAACAAAACTGACAGTAATAATTCCTTAGGGGTGTGATAATCAGTCAAACTTTTTATGCAAGTGAGTTGTATTCAGATAGACTCATACATTCTCTCTCAAATCTCCTAGCAATAATAATTACTACACCTTATATTTGTATTGTGTTTTATGAATCACAATGTGCTCCACATGAATTTTCATTTGAACCTTACTTAGTTATATTATCCCCACCTTAAAAATCAGGAAATTGAAGCTCAGAGATAATTGTTCCAGAATTACACAAATAAATAGAAACTTGAGTGTAAACAAAAGTTTTTCTGACTCCAAGTGCTTCTTATCTAATCTCATAAACAGTAAAAGTTGTTCTTGACATAAGACATCACTTAAAGCCACTAGTATGCTTGTATAACTTAAACTTCACTTTCTTTAACTTAGGCAGGTAAGAAATTTTTATTTCTATAAGACTTGCAAATATCTTTCATTTATATGACTCCTGCGTTAGAACTACTCTTACCCCAATGGCTCAAATTAATATTTTTAGAGTAATTTTACTTCTAAGCTCCATCCAAAAATCCTGAGGAAATCTCCCTGCTAGGCATGACAGTAGGTGGAAACTATTTCTCTCACTTGGAAGAAAACATATCAGAATTTAACAGTAGAAAGTGCTGGAAATAAAAACAGGTAACCAAAACCTATATCTATCATCCAAGAGAAAATTCAACAGCATCCTTTAATAAAAGCAGAGCTCCTGAAACAGAGCAGAAAGAACAGACTTCGGGATCAGATGAAATTGGACTTAAATACTAGCTGTGCCACTGAATAGCCATACCAGCTTGGGCAAGAATGAAGCAAATGAGGAATGTTTCACAAAGATGGCAGTGGAAGCTGTGGTGATGGCTGGTGGTGGTAAGAAATAGAAAACAGAAAAAGCAGAAAAACAGATCTGAATGCAGTGGTTTTCTAGTGAAGCATCTAGAAAACCAGGATGGGATGGGATGGGGTGGGGTGGGGTGGGGTGGGGTGGGGTGGGGTGGGGTAGGGTAGGGTGGGATGGGATGGGATGGGATGGGACGGGACGGGACCATATTGGGAATTTCAGAGGTCACTCAGGCCAAGGATTTTGAATGCCAATCTAAATAGTATAGACTTCCTCCAATAGGTGACTGACTCAGTGAATGCTTTTGATTGAAGCATAATGAAATCAGCTGTTAGGAAGGTTAGTCAAGAAATGGTATTTTTGTTGGTTAGTTTGTTTGTTATTGTTTGTTTTAGGATATATTTAAGGACCCAGTTACATACTTTCCCGTTTATCCAAAAATAAAGTACAGATGACCTATCTTCTGTTCTGTATTTTACTGCAAAATACAAGAAATCCTCCAGAGCCTAACAAAGTGAGGTTCTTTCAGGACTCTCATTGGAATCAAAAGGCCTGGGTTTTCATTCCATTTACTAGCAAAAATAATGAGACAATCTCTCTAAGCCTTAATTTCCTTGTCTGTAAAATAGACATAATAGTACCTATGTTGCATATTTACTGTGAGGATAGAAATAATCTAAAGTTGCCTAATACCATTCTCAGCACATACTGGCACACAATAAATGGTAGCCATTATTTTCCCCCATAAAATAGATTTCTTCCTTTTGAGACTGTCCCATTTGGCTTAAGTTTTATTGTCTCCATTTAATTTAACTGTACTTAAGTTCACAGCCTCTAGGAATAAAGTCTTCACATTCTTAGGGGAATAGAAGCCTTCCATTCCTCAGGCATTTACCTTCTGCCCTGAGGAACAGGACCGCCAGCACTACTATTTAGATATCAAATGAAAGTGATGATCTACCCAAGACGTTCTTCCAAACTGACCTGGTGTTCCTTTTCCAAAGAACTATGCTCTGCTGTTTCAAAGACTCCCAGTGTTTTTTCATTATCCTGCAGCTCATTTCTCTCAAGCGATAGATGAGCTTAGCAAAATTGCTTTATAATGCTAGGTGGCTGTCCAGTTTCAATTTAAGCATATTGCAAAACTAGCCTACCTTGAGACTTCTTTGTCATTTTTCTAGAAATGGGTACATGATTCTTGCATCTAAAAAACTCAGGTTACTTACTCAAATAACCTTAGCCTCTTTGACTTACAACTGTTAACACAGGGAAGAAAAGTCAGTAAATAGACAGGTAAATAATACATCAAATTCTCTAATAGTAGCAAGTGTGCGGTGACATTTATTGTTGTTTTCTATTCCCTATTTCTGGTGGAAAAATGAATCGCTTACTGTACCAATCATAGTACCAGACTCTCTGGGTCATTTTATTGCAGTTGGAATCTGACCAATGCTAAGCCAACCAAAGTTCCAACATAACCACTAGCGTGAAGTCTTTGTAGCTATATTTACAGCCACTGGTCACTACCAAATGATTCTTCTGAATCCCTTAAGTTCCCAGAAAAAGAATCTGACTGTCTGTTAGCCAGTGAATGCATTTAGTGCCTTTGAGTCAGGCGTCCATCTTGGTCCAACATTGAGTTGAATGGTGAAATTGCAGGAGCTAGGAGTCACAAAAAGGGGAAGCTTTTAGAACTGTAACCCTAAAATTGAATGAATGAACAAGGTTGAATAAAATATATCTTATTAGAAAGTTTAACTCACACATTAAGTAGCTCGACTGACAGGATTGGTGAAAGGTCCTTTGATCCTAGTAGCATAGTATAGCTATGATTATGAATGTGCGAAAGTAAAGAAATCTAGGAGTCCCTGTTCCCAGATCTCAGACTAAGTCAGAAATATTTTCTGAAGGAGCTAGTCTTCCGTTTGATATTTCCGGCAAATCTTTCTCTGCAAAAAAAATTTCTTTTACAGAAGAATTAAATATTACCCCTTCTATTCCACAAGTGCATGAATAGAAGACTCTCCAGATAGCTGAGGATGGAGTAGAGAAAGACACCAGCAAAGGCAAGGACAGCCCCCACAATAAACCTAGAAGGGTGGGTTTAGCAAGGCCTGTAGCAGTAAGGACTTGACCCAAAAGAACCCACAGTGAGAATATTAAAATCCCGACAATTTTCCTAGCAACAAGAACCACAATTCTCTAGAGTCCAGCAGCCAGCATTTCAGAAGAAATAGATCAAGACATTGTGGAATGGATCCAGAAATCAGGATCAAGTAGAACCCCAGAGAACTGCACCAACAAAACGACATGGGCTCCATTAGGGATGACTAACTACTTCTGGCCAGTGGACAGATGCCAAATTTCTAGATGTGGTTTAAAAAGCTCACAGTGTAAGCACAGATTACTATATCTGCTTCATAAACATTACTTATCCTCCACAATGCGTGTGAATCAAGCAATTCTCATACAAACCCTTTTGCTAAAACGTGCTGCCTTGAGTATCTTGTTAGGTATTGTTGTACATAATCTAGCTAAATCTAAGTGGATCTGACCAACAAGATTCTTTCTATATTAGTGTGCATGTAAAAAACTGAATAATCCTAATTGGCTGTACCCCTGCTTCCACCTCCTGGGATTGAAAAATACAGAACAGTCATCCAAGAAAATGTTTTGTCTCTCTTCCTAGTAACTAAAGAAGAGTTACTTATAATTTCTTCTAGTGATGTTTTCCAGCTGGGATCATTGTAGTTAACAGGAAATCATTGCTTATTGCTTTTCACAATGCATTTCCATTAAATAAGACATCATTTATGACCTTGAATGGAGACCTTTTTTTTTTTTACTAACTGTGTGTTACATTCCTAAGAAACATAACAACAGCAACAAAAGCTAGCCTTGGCTGATATAGTTTCTGGTCAATTTACCATCTCATAAGGATATCATTTTTAAATCTCAGCTGTTGATACTGAGAAACTGTTGATGGTCTATATATACATTCCATGTATACATATGAAGCAGAACATTTACATGAATTGTTTAAATATTTTCAAATCAATAACTCCCTAACACCTTTATTTCAGCACAAGCCTTCTCCTGCTTGTTTTATTAACAAGCACCCATTATAGAGTCTTTCTACAAATGCATGGCTGACAGATGACAGACACAGGCAGGAAAGTGGCAGGGAGGATATTGCTAATACCAGCTGAATACATAAATACATTAATCACACAGACCATGCTCAATTATTCAGAAGCTGACATTATACTGTGAGATCAGCTTAGCCCCTGGCTCCTGCTCCTGTCAACTGAACACATATTTATTAAGGCCTTACTCTATACACAGCACTCCGGTGACATGCTCAGTGAGAGACAGAAAAAGAAACCACTACCTTGGTTGAGAAGATCAGATGTACATATGAAAAACAACTGAAGAACACGACTCAAGTGCTATCATATTCTTCCTTCCTTTAATTGGAAACAGTTTGGGGTGTTCATTATCTCTCATTACTGCTGCCACAAGACATTTAAAGAGAATTGGGACACAAGTCAGCTGTTTTTATCTCATGTAACAGATCTGGGAAAAGACTTAGTGAGGAGAGGAGAGGAAGAGGGTAAAACTATTCATAAACAGAAAGTATGAGGTTATCTACAAGTGCCATTTTCTATGTCATATCATTTTAACATTGGCATGGAAAAATTAACAGCTTCATTGGACACGAACATAGTATGTATGGATGTTCTACATCTACAAGTCACCTTTCAAGGTCCTAGTTTTCTTTAAGAATCACTATGCTGTCAGTTGACACCAGGGGATGTTACAAAGGAGGGGTGCTGTTGGCCTCAAGATACCCTCCTCCTGGCACTCCCCTCCAGCCTCTGCAGCTGGAATTCCCAGGCCCCCACATCCCTCTTCACAGCCAACAGCGCCATCTGATGCTTGCTCCACAACATGCCCTCTACCCCAGCTTCCAAAATGTCCCCTTTGAGCTACTTCTTTATTCCCTTTTTGCCTTAGAGACCCTATTCAGCTAAGTGTTGGGAGAAAAGCAATTGGTCAACGTAATTCATGATAAGCATCTAACAAAGGTCTAATATCCAGAATCTAAAAGGAACTTTAACAATTGAATAAGAAAACAACACTTCTCAAAAGAAGACATTTATGCAGCCAAAAAACACATGAAAAAATGCTCACCATCACTGGCCATCAGAGAAATGCAAATCAAAACCACAATGAGATACCATTTCACACCAGTTAAAATGGCAATCATTAAAAAGTCAGGAAACAACAGGTGCTGGAGAGGATGTGGAGAAATAGGAACACTTTTACACTGTTGGTGGGACTGTAAACTAGTTCAACCATTGTGGAAGCCAGTGTGGCAATTCCTCAGGGATCTAGAACTAGAAATACAACCCCATTAAAAATGGACAAAAGACATGAACAGATGCTTCTCAAAAGACATACAAATGGACAACAACAAATATATAAATAAAGTGCTCAGCATCACTAATCATCAGAGAAATACAAATCAGAACCATAATGAGATACTATCTCACACCAGTCAGTATGGCTATGATTAAAAAGTCGAAAAACAGATGCTGGTGAGGCTGCAAAGAAAAGGGAATGCTTATACACTGTTGGTGGGAATGTAAATTAGTTCAGCCTCTGTGGAAAGCGGTTTGGAGATTTCTCAAAGAAGTTAAAACAAAATTACCATCTAACCCAGCAATCCCATTATGGGGTATATATCCAAAAGAAAACAAATTTTTCTACCAAAAAGACACAGGCACTCACATGTTTATCACAGTGCTATTCACCATAGCAAAGTCATGGAATCAGCCTAGGTTTTCATCAGTGGTAGATTGGATAAAGAAAATGTGCTACACATACACCATGAAATACTACACAGCCATAAAAAAGAATGAAACCATGTCCTTTGTAGCAATACGGATGCAGCTGGAGCCACTAACTTAGGTGAATTAATGCAGGAACAGAAAACCAAATACTGCATGTTCTCACTTATAAGTGGAAGCTAAACATTGGGTACTCATGGAAATAAAGATGGCAACAATAGACACTGGGGACTGGGGGGAAGGTTGGGATGGGAGTAAAAGTTGAAAACTAACTGTTGGGTACCATGCTCAGTATCTGAGTGATAGGATCATTTGTACCCCAAACCTCAACATCATGCAATATACACAAATAACAAACCTGCCTGTGTACACCATTAATCTAAAATAAAAGTTGAATTAAACAAAAACAAAACAAACAAACGAAAAAAGGATGGGGGCATGTCTAAAATTCTCTTTTTTGGTTGTGTCTCTGCCATTTGACCCAGCCATCCCATTACTGGGTATATACCCAAGGGACTATAAATCATGCTGCTATAAAGACACATGCACACGTATGTTTATTGAGGCATTATTCACAATAGCAAAGACTTGGAACCAACCCAAATGTCCAACAATGATAGACTGGATTAAGAAAATGTGGCACATATACACCATGGAATACTATGCAGCCATAAAAAATGATGAGTTCATGTCCTTTGTAGGGACATGGATGAAATTGGAAACCATAATTCTCAGCAAAATATCGCAAGGACAAAAAACCAAACACCGCATATTCTCACTCATAGGTGGGAATTGAACAATGAGAACACATGGACACAGGACGGGGAACATCACACTCTGGGGACTGTTGTGGGGTGGGGTGAGGGGGGAGGGATAGCACTGGGAGATATACCTAATGCTAGATGACGAGTTAGTGGGTGCAGCGCACCAGCATGGCACATGTATACATATGTAACTAACCGGCACATTGTGCACATGTACCCTAAAATTTAAAGTATAATAATAATAAATTAATTAATTTTAAAAAAATAGATAATGTAGAAATAAAAATAAAAAATAAAGCCTTTAATACATCTAGAATAGATTAAAAAAAAAAAAAAAAAGGCTGGGGGCATGTCAAGGAGACTCTGGAGCCAACCTGAAAGAACCCTGAATGGCCAAAGCCAGAAAAATTTAAGCAACAAAATAAATAATGTAGTACTAATTTATAACCCAAAGTATTAACAGAAAATAAACATACATGAGTCTACACTTACATTTAAAAAGTAAATGATATGAATAATTTCACTTAGTACAGCACCAGGCACATCACAATTCATTAATAAATCCCAGTTTCCCTTCCTTGTAAGCACAAGGGTAAGAAAACATATGGTCTGAAGCTTACAGTTAAGGGCATTAACAAAAAAGATCATTACCCATTCAAAAATAAATGTTATATTATGTAAAAAAGACATACCTGCCTTTAATTTTTAAAATATCATCCTGATGGCAGGCATCTAGCTTTAGCAAAAATGAATAGGGCGTTCCCTCACTTTAGACTCATAGTACTTAGAATAGACTACTGTTAGAATTCTTTTTATTCTCTCTTTTAATTAATTGTGTGCATGTCTGTCTCTTCCACCTTATGATGGGCTCCAAAATGTTGACATCTGAATCTTATATGTAACGTCACATCGTTAGATGACTCTGCACATGTGAAGGAGCAAGTGTGTAAGGACAAGGTGATGGTAATTCTGAAACCATCCCTGTATGAATAAAATTCACTGCTATATAGCAAAAAAGGCCTACAAAATTACCGCCTAACCTATAAAAATAAAAGAAAACCTAAATTAAAAATAGAGGCATTTCAACAATGAGAAAAATGCTCGTTAAAATATTAAGTGGCAAATAATGCATTTTGTATAATTTGGAATAACTATGTTGAGTTTAACTACACACCAATAAAAAGGTCAAAAGGAAATACAACAAACATTAGTGATAAAGATCAGAAATTTCCTCTTAAAAGACACTTTAAAAGACCATCTTATTTAATCTCCCTCCCAATTTGACACTGAGAGTTTTTCCTTTCACTGCACTCATTTTCCCTGGACAATCTTTTTCATTGATTTCTTCAATCAATCAATCAACATGTATTACTTAATATATGTTAGTCTCCCGTGTGTCAAGCAGTCTGCTAGACATTGGATACCCAGAAGGGACAGTCCCTGCCCTCACTGTCGCTGCTGGGAAGACAAACATTTAAGGAGAGTGCTGAGTATTCATAAGGCTCAGCTCCGTATGTGAGGAGAGCACCTAATCTACTCTGGGATGAGAGAAAGCCTGCTGGGGGAAGTAACTTTTCAGCTGAAACACAATGTGTGAGATGTTCGCATTGAGAAGAGAAGAGCAAGAAAAAACATCTTACGGGCTTCAACTGCCATCTACGTACTGATATCTCTCAGATTTGCATTTCCAGCCCAGAGAATTCTCATTACCTCCACATTGGCATAGAGCCTTCAGCCGCCTAATAGTCAACGTATCCAAACTGAAATCCTTTGTCTCCATTTTCCCCACTACTTTCAAAAAGAGAAAAACAGGCCATGCTTACTTCACTAAACCCTGAAGCCATGGATTATTTTAAATCATACTTTCAATCTTTCCAGTCACCAAGACAGAAAACCTACTTTATTCTACATTTCTCTTCCTCATCGTCCACCTCCCATGGGTCATAAAACTTTATTCTAATTCTCAGTCTCTCAAAACTCTCCCTTCTGCTCATCCCCACAGTCACAACTCTACCTCAGGTCCTCGTCACATTCTGAAAGTGTGTCCGGAATCGGTGGGTTCTTGGTCTCACTGACTTCAAGACTGAAGCCGCGGACCCTCACAGTGAGTGTTACAGTTCTTAAAAAGGCGGCGCGTCCAGAGTTTGTTCCTTCTGATGTTCGGATGTGTTCAGAGTTTCTTCCTTCTGGTGGGTTCGTGGTCTCACTGGCTCAGGAGTGAAGCTGCAGACCTTCACAGTGAGTGTTACAGCTCATAAAGGCGGTGTGGACCCAAAGAGTAAGCAGCAGCAAGATTTATTGCAAAGACCGAAAGAACTAAGCTCCCACACTCTGGAAGGGGACCAGACCGAGTTGCCACTGCTGGCTCGGGCAGCCTGCTTTTATTGTCTTATCTGGCCCCACCCACATCCTGCTGATTGGTCCATTTTACAGAGAGCCGATTGGTCTGTTTTACAGAGAGCTGATTGCTCTGTTTTGACAGGGTGCTGATTGGTGTGTTTACAATCCCTAAGCAAGACACAAAAGTTCTCCACGTCCCCACTAGATTAGCTAGACACAGTGTCTATTGGTGTATTTACAAACCCTGAGCTAGACACTGAGTGCTGATTGGTGCATTCACAATCCCTTAGCTAGACATAAAGATTCTCCAAGTCCCCACCAGACTCAGGAGCCCAGCTGGCTTCACCCAGTGGATCCCGCACAGGGGCCACAGGTGGAGCTGCCTGCCGGTCCCGTGCCCTGCGCCCGCACTCCTCAGCCCTTGGGCAGTGGATGGGACCGGGCGCTGTGGAGCGGGGAGCGGCGCTCGTCGGGGAGGCTGGGGCCGCGCAGGAGCCTACAGCCGGGGGCGGGGGGAGGCTCAGGCATGGCCGGCTGCAGGTCCTGAGCCCTGCCCCACAGGGAGGCAGCTAAGGCCTGGCGAGAAATCGAGCACAGCGCCAGTGGGCCGGCACTGCTGGGGGACCCGGCGCACCCTACGCAGCTGCTGGCCCGGGTTTAGCTAAGCCCCTCACTGCCCGAGGCTGGCGGGCCGGCCAGCAGTTCGGAGTGCTGGCCCGCCCAGCCCACGCCCACCCGGAACTCGCGTTGGCCTGCAAGCACCACACGCAGCCCCGGTTCCCGCCCGCGCTTCTCCCTCCACACCTCCCCGCAAGCTGAGGGCGCTGGCTCTGGCCTTGGCCAGCCCAGAAAGGGGCTACCATAGTGCAGCGGCGGGCTGAAGGGCTCCTCAAGTGCGGCCAGAATGGGCGCGAGGCGAGGAGGCACCCAGAGCCGGCGAGGAGGCACCCAGAGCCGGCGAGGGCTGCCAGCATGCTGTCACCTCTCAAAAGGACTATCAAAATAATTGCCTTATTCCCCTGATTGCTTTCTCTACTTCCAAACTCACTTCAACTCCCAATCCATTTTTCACATTTACTACAGAGTGATATTTCAAAAATGCAAATCCGGTCCTATTCCTCCATGATTCCTTCAGATAGTTTCCCGTTGCTCACAGATAAAAGTCTAAATTCTGCATGGTTCTGAATCCCTCGTCAGGCGTCTGCCTACTTCTCCACCTTAACATATCACTGCTACCCTTTTCCACTACACAAATGATAGGCAGACTTCTACAGAGTGGAAAGAAAGCCTCTGAAGTGTTCCTTCTGCCTGGAGTGCACTGCCTGCTTCCTCAAATTTCTGTCCAGCAAAATCTTCCTTCTCCTTAAAAATTAACTCAATACCTCCTCTTCTATAAATCATTTTCTGACTCCCCAAGATTGAATGTAATGCCATTTCCTGTATTTTCTACTCTCTTCCATTATAAAACTGTTCTGTCTACAATACCCCCGACAACAAGACTTATGTCAATTTCTTTATTCATGTAATTCCTTCTCAATCTTCAGATCCTTCCAACCACCACTTCCTAAGGAAGCCTTCTGAAACCCCTGACTAGGTCAGGCCTTTTTAAACTGAGAACAATGTTTTTATTCTTTCCCAGAACTTTTCTTAGTTTCTGATTATATATTAATTACAGTGATCTCTTTAATAATATCTCTTTCCTCATTAGACTATTATACAGAGGTAGGCCTTGGGTCTATCTTTGCTCACCATTACATAATGAATATTTAATCCCCACAACTTTAAGTTATTATTCTACTTTATGGGTATATAAATTGAGGTTTTGAAAGGTCACATAACTTCAAAGTCAGCCATATATTGAGTTGGGATTTAACTATAGTGTCTGGCTTTAGAGCCCAATCTTTAAAAGTCACCATCATCTAAGTATTTGTTGAATAAATTATTAAATTATCTTTTCCATCAGTTGTATTTAATTCATAAAATTATAAGTGAAATTTTTATCTGTTTTGTACGTGTTTATATTTTCCAAATTTTCTAAAATGATGTGACAATTTATGACAGAATAAGTAAATTTTGTCCTAAAACAGCATTTGGGCTCAACAAAATTTCACACAAATATTTTAAGGCATGCTTTGGTATGAACTGAACATATTTAAAGAACAGAGATAAATTAAGGTTAAAGTAAGTTATAAGAAACAGTAACACTTCATATCCATTTTGATATTATCAAAAAACAAAATTATTGATGAGGGTTGTGGAGAAACTGGAACTCCTGTGCATTGCTGCTGTGAATATAAAATGGTACAGATGCTGTGGAAAACAGTATAGCCATTCCTCAAAAAGTTAAAAATAGAATTACTCTATGATTCCAAGTCTGGGTTTATACCCAAAAGAATTGAAAGCAAAGACTTGAACCGATATTTGTACACCGATGTTCAAGGGAGCATTATTTACAATATCAAAAGGTGGAAACAACACAAGTGGCTATCAATAGATGAATGGATAAATAAAATGTGGTATCTGCATACAATGCAATAGTGTTCAGCCTTAAAAAGGAAGGAAATTCTGAC
Source organism: Homo sapiens (assembly GCF_000001405.40). Classification (NCBI taxonomy): domain Eukaryota; kingdom Metazoa; phylum Chordata; class Mammalia; order Primates; family Hominidae; genus Homo; species Homo sapiens. The sequence continues at coordinate 1,096,451 of NC_000018.10, read as the reverse complement.
ACATCCTAGAATACGGATGAACGTTGAAGATAGGCTAAGTGAAATAAGACAGACACAAAAAGACAAATATTATATGATTCCACTTATATGCAGTACTAGAGTAGTTAGACTCTTAGAGACAGAAAATAGAAAAGTGACTGCCTTGGAGAGAAGGAGATATGGGGGAGTTACTGTTTAATGGGTACAGAGTTTCAGTTTTGCAAGATGAAAACATTCTGGAGATGGATGGCAGTGATGGTTGCACAACAACGTAAATGTACTTAATGCCACTGAACTGTACACTGAAAATGGTAAATATGGTAAATTTTGTCATGTATATTTCACCGCTAATATTGCAATATTTTCCACGGGAAAAGAAAGAAGCAAGACAGATACCAAAGAACTGAGAAAAATGTCTACCAGAAAAACAAATAACTAGGAAGGAAAGAGTGTGTGACAAATACTCTCAATGCCTGCTCACAGCCCCCAGCACCCACCTCCACCTACATGTTGAAGCCTGCTTACCAGGAACACCAGTGTCTTCTTGTCTGAGAGCATTTTTCTTGCTGGACCTTGGCAAGGGCAAGCTGGAAGTGAAGTACTACCCCCAGAAATAGCCCTGGGACACTGTTGGATGAGGATAAACGCCTCAGCTTCCCTGCCGCTCTGTGAGGGTAACTCCATGTTCTCCATGCAGCCCAGAGATCCCCATGGGATGAAACTATCACACCATAGTAACTTGCTTGACAACACGATTGCCTTCCTCCCCTGCTCTGTCTCCCTTCCTCAGTCCCCTACCAGAGTTCCCTGGAATCACCTCCCAAATAAACAGCTTGCACTCAAATCCTTGTCTTAGTATCTTCTGCGTAATTTCAAACTAAGACACAATAAAAATTCAAGGCCCTGATGAGCATCCCCCTACAAACAGCACAGATGGAGAAAGTACCATGAGGAAACAAATGTTCATTTTAAACATCCAAGGGGTCCAGGTTTGGAGAAAAAATTAACAATAATATGACACAAAAGTAGACATACACAAGCTGATGCCCAACGGTTGGCCTATAGTTTTAAGTAAGCAACATATTGAACCATGAAACTTACAACAGTGCTTTAGCATATTTTTATTTAATAAATAGATGATTGGCTTATCCTAATGCTGAATTTGTAATTCTACTGATAGATTCTTAAATAAAATCTCTTCTTTTTATGGATTATTTTAAAATAACTGTACAATGATATGACACCACTGCAGCTTGCTTTAAAGGTCTCCTTACTCTATATGCTAAATATAAAATCTATAGCCTGTTTAGAACTGAAAGTTTACTGAGTAATATAAAGTACTAACGATGTGTTCATTGTTAGCCCTGTGTACCCTTTCTGTCAGAGAATAAAACCATACTGAGAACATCTTCAGTTAAATGGTGTTTTAAAGCAAAACACCACTGTAATAAAACTTTTCAGAGGACTCCTATCTTCTGGGTGGCAATCAATCCTCATTTCCTTTTCAGTCACTACAGTGTCACTACTGGAGAAGAGGCTATACAGGTAATTATCTCCCAGGGTCTGCAGTTGAAGTCCCATTATCCAACCCCTTCTGATTTACCACTAAACCCTGAAGCCAACACTGATCCAAGGGAAAAGATGAATACCAAATGCATTGCTTTAAATGGATTTTAAATCCCATTCTCTACTCTTCCTTGGACAAATTTATCTTGTCCGACAGTCCCTCTGTGCAGTATACATCGGGAGGTACCATCTCCTTTGGACAGGGATTTAACCAACTATTGAAGAGCCAAAAAGGGAATAGAACTAGAACAACTGACTCACACCTCACAGCTTGAACCACTAGACCGAGCTTCCGCCCTGAGATGGAGATGAATCAGTCAATGGTGATTCATCTCACCAAGGAAAATGTGTTTTCTCTGGGATGAAGCAGTTCATTTTAAACATGATAATACAGAAATGTAAAAGTTAATGAAAATGAAAGGCTGTTTAAATTCAACAGCCAAGTAGGCTTTTCAATCTTAATGTACAAATGTGTATTGTCACATGATCTGAAAAAGCAATAAAGTATGAACATTGTTCATGGAAATATCTGAAAAAACTGAAAAATTTTTAAATTGTTTTAGTTGACAAAGGAAGCATTGTATATATTTATGGTATACAATATGATATTTTGATATATATGCATTATAGAATGATTAAATCAAGTTAGTTAATATATCCATTGCTTCGTATCCCTTGATAATGTTAAAATTACCAAAAAGTAAGGAAATGTGCACTAGAATATATTTACATGAAATAAACCAGGCTCTAAAAACATTTTTAATTTTAAAAGCTTAAACTGTCATTTAAGCAGAATGTTTTAAAGAATAATGTTAACCTTTGGCAAAATCACAAAAGGAGAAATTTTATTACAAACAAATTTAGTACAAATAACTGGCTGAATTGGTACATTAATTTAATAAATATAATAGCTGACATTTATTGAATGTCTATGCCATCTCTGCATTTTATAACAACCCTCAAAATAAATATTATCTACATTTTACTGAAGAGGTATCAGAGGTTCAAAGAAGTTTGGTGACTTGCCAAACATGAAGTAAGCCTCTGTTCTGAAATTCAAACCAGCTATTCTGTTTTCAAAACAATCCTGACAATTCTCCACTGTACAATACTCTCTCCCTAAGATATCTGAAGCCTACCTGCACCCTAAGCAATGGGTTTTATATTGTGAGCACTCAGGGTCGGGTGCAGTGAAGTGACTCATGCCTGTAATCCCAGCACTTTGGGAGGCCAAGGTGGGAGGGTCGCTTGAGCCCAGGAGTTCAGGACCAGCCTGGGCAACATAGTAAGACCCCCACCTCTAAAAAATAATAATAACAAAATAAAAATATATTGTGGGCATTCAAAATAACATCATGAATTGTGTGCTCTGTATCAGCAAAAAGAGAAAATTCTCTTTCTCTCTCTCTCTCTTTCACACACACACTTCACAGGCTCACACAACTAGTGATTGAAATGTATGAGCTTTGATAGCAAACTGGCTACTATTTCCACCCAACTTACTCAAATACCTTTATCCTACTACTGGTCAGTAGACTCAGATAGTGTTGTTTCAAGTCATTTCCTTATGTGATTAAGAAGCATCCAAGACTGAAAGATATTAACCTGAGATTACTGTACACATCCCTAAGTTGAAGCTGCCAATTAGCTTTGGTCACAAAGGATTCAGGTACATCTATACCTCTAGATTTGCAGTCCTGACTTTAAATTTGTAATATAAAGTATTTTTAAGGGAGATTTTCATTCAGGGAAAAACATAGAGGTTTTATCACATTTCTCTGACACAAAAAAATAACTTTTGTAAAACCTTTTATATAAGCCTAGCTGGCTTAAGACATTCACCAGGATCTTAAGTACCATGTGATGTTGTGGCCAGTTTTGAAATTTTTGATGGAATAAGTAGCATTATATAGTAAATATCACATCCTACTGTAAGCTTTAGTATAGTAATAATTAACATTTAATCGTCTCAACAATATATAGTGTCAGTACTATTATTATCCCTGTGTTACTGGAGTATACTCACGATATAGACATTGTGCCTTAGAAAGATTCAGTGATTCAGAAAACTAGGAAGTAGAGCTTGTATTCAAAGCCAAAAATGCCTGTGCTTTTAACCATCATGATTTACTGCCTCCTAATTTCCATAGAGGTCTACCAGATATTATCATACCTTTCCAGCCATTTAAGCTAGGCTTAATTGTTAAACATTAAAACTGCAAGTTATGCACAAGTTATAGTATATTGACTGCTGACTTCTAAAGTGCACACAAAGAAGCATCAACTAGCTATGATTCACTTCAGATCCACTTCAGAGTGTGGTACTGTGTCATTGGCATAATAGCAAGCTCATAGTTACTGGACCAAGAACTCCTACCACTGCCCGTACCTGGGCTGCCAGAGGCAATTGCCAGGACAAACACCTGTGCTCAGATGGGTCTCTGGGAGCTGTCCTTGGTGCTGGCTGGGGAAAAAAAAAAAAACACTGGCTCCAGCTTGCTTTTCCTTATTTCCGCTCAGATTTTGCTGGCTAACCAAACCCGAGTCTTCTTTGTCTGTATATTCTGCTTATTAGCAAGCTTTTATCTCACTCTGTCCGCATCCCTGCCTACTGACCATGGAGCTTGTCTAAGCCCTAAGCTCTGTCTGCGCTGCCATGATTCCATCTTGGCTTCATTTTTTTGCCTGGATTCTCAGTGGAACAGCCTACTACTGTCTGGTCTGAGGTATTCTTTAAGAAGAGAAAAAATGGCCGGGCGCGTGGCTCATGCCTGTAATCCCAGCACTTCGGGAGGTCGAGGCGGGTGGATCACCTGACGTCAGGAGTTCAAGACCAGCCTGACCAACATGATGAAACCCCATCTCTACTAAAAATACAAAATTAGCCGAGCGTGGTGGCTCATACCTGCAATCCCAGCTACTCGAGAGGCTGAGGCAGGAGAATCGCTAGAACCCAGAAGGCAGAGGTTGCAGAGAGCGGAGATCATGCCTCTGCACTCCAGTCTGGGCAACAAGAGCAAAATTCAGTCTCAAAAAAAAAAATAAATAAATAAAAAGAAGAGAAAATATATAAATAAAAATACTTAACAAATAATACGGATATTAAGACTACTCTTCTCATTTGTCCCTTCTTATATTGCTTAGGATGTGCGCATGGAGGGAAGAAATGGGGAAGGGGTTCTTCTGGTAACCCCAAAGCCCCAGCTAAGTGTTACTTGAAAGTTGTGTTGAGAAATGAAGTCATAAAGTGAGAAGGAAGGAAACGGCAGGGGAGACACTGATAGAATTGACTTCGGTTGAGGCTGAGAGCAAGAGATAACAGGGAAGAGGCTATGAGGAAGCTAACCCTAAATCATGCTACCTGTTTCCCAGTGGATATTGGAAGCTGAGCTTTAGGTCCTAATGAAAAGACATAAAAGAGGGAAAATAATAAGTGGCTTTTTACAAAAGAAAATAAAAATCTAAATATTTTTATCTTTGTTGAAAATACCTATTTGTAGCTATATCATCTTTGCAAATTTAAATTCCCAGGCCTAATTTATTAATAGAATGCTATGTCTCATTAATTTAAGGTGTCTGGTATATAAAAAACTTTCACAAACTAATTCAAACTAACAAAGTATGACACTAGTCTCAGAAATTGTGTGAAATTTGCTTTAAAAATCGCTGCTGGCTGTCCAATAATTATACATTGTGACATTGCAGCAGCTTGGCTTCCATCTTAAATTAGAAAATGTGAAGCCAGTTTTAAAAAAATGATGTACCAGCATGATATCAACCTAGCAAATGCATAAATACATTTAAATTTATTTAACTAATTGCCCCCTTCACAGCCAGGTATTTATAGCCCTAAGTTATTTACCTTTTTTTTTTTTGTCTACAATAGCACAATGGGAGTCATTCCATGGTCATCCTTCTCACTGCATAACAATTCATTCGGTCACAAGCTGGGTATTTTGTTGCAGATGGGTTTACCCTAATGACCACAGCTCTGCACTTACAATTAACATTTTAACAAAAGTTTGATACTACTTGTGAATAAATAACATACCTCCTATTGTTAGCAGAAGTATACAGCTACCAAAATTAGTGTAGGATAGCTGCAGTTCTTAATATAAATTCTAAGAAGCTTGAGGGATTCTTTGAAGAAAATGAGGATTTAAGAGGAAAAATATTTCATCTTCTGGCCGAAACTCAAGGACAATAAGAAAATGATTCTGAATGTTATGTTATTTAGATGTCAACTCCAAGTCGGGGAATATACTACCTTCATACTGTTTGTGTTTTCCTGTAAAAGGTCAGAGATGTCAGTGGTGTCTCCCACCAACAACACCTCCCTTTCCATCTGAGATACATTTATGGTATTTTTCCATGAAAGTTCCATAATGCTTACATAGACAAACCTTTCATTTTGCAGATAAAAGGGAAAAGCCCAGACATACCAAATGACTTTTCCAAAGTTGCACAAGCAAAATTGGAACCTAACATATCTGACTACAAATAGAATGTTATTTCCATTATACTGTACTGTTTCACACAGAATTTATATTTCTAGACATCTTTTAGATAAGGTTAAACATTGTTATGTAGATGTTGCAAGAAAAAAAAAATGATCACGATTTTGGATGAACCAATCACTAAATGTCCCATCTAAACTTGGACTAAGACATTTGGATTTCTTTCTTGTTTTCTATTTCTAAAAAAATAGAAACTTTTATAACTCCATTAGTATTTGTCTTCTTTTGCAAATATATTTTACTTCTTAACTGCATCCAGGAACTGGAAGCCTAAAAAACCTTTACTTTATGAGAAAGCTAAATAATTCGGGATTTCAAGGGATCACGGCAGGACTAGATTGCAGCTCCAGACAGACCAGCATGCGGAGGCTTGCATTGTGAATTTTAGCTCCATATCAAGTGCAAGAACAAACCAGCAATCCCAAGAGGACCCACAGACCCTCTGAAGGAATCGGACTGCTACTGCAGAACCCGGGAGATACCCCAAATACTGTGAGTGCCCCAACTGCAGAAGTGCGAAAGGGAGATCTTCCTCTCCCGAACACACACCCCCATTGGAGAAGTTGAAGGTCTGTTTGTGGGAGAAGTTTCCGGCTTTACTTGGAGCTGAGTCAAGTTAGAGAGCCAAGTGAAATAGAGTGGTAGAGGAAGCAGCTGAAAGGCCCTGGGAGCTTGCTGGGTCCCCAAGCAGTCCATTCCTGCCTGGCACCACAGGGATCCATCAGGAGGGTGGCCAGAGGAGTAGGTGGTAAAACTCCATAGGGAGAAGGAATTCTCTAGCGGAAATTTGTAACAGTTTGAATGGCATGAGAAGCCCCCTGGCCAGAACTTGCGGGAGGGGGCAAATCCCGTGTGCAGACTTCGCAGGCAGGGGAAGAACTAAAGCCCTTTTCTTTGGCAGCTGAGAGGCAGATAGCTCAGGCAAGTTTTCAAGCCTATCATGCCCTCTGCCTCCAAACAGACTTGGGGCAGCTGGGGGTGAGGAGGGTGCACAGTGGGAATGAGACTAGCCATCTGGTTTGCATGGGAGCTGGGTGAGGCCTGCAACTGCGGGCTTTCCTCCACTTCCCTGACAACCTGCATGACTCAGCAGAGGCAGCCACAATCCTCCTAGGTACACAATTCCAGTGATCTGGGAATCTCACTCTACCCCCCGACAGCAGCCACAGCAAGACCTGCCCAAGGAGAGTCTGATCTTAGACATGCCTAGCCCTACTTCCACCTGACGGTCCTTCCCTATCCACCCTGGTAGTGGAAGGCAAAAGTCATATGATCTTGGGAGTTCTAGGGCCTCGCCCACCAGCAGTCCCTCTCCACACTACCACAGCTGATGCTTTCTGGAAAGCACCACCTCCTGGCAGGAGGCCAACCAGGACAAAAATAGAGAATTAAACCACCAAAGCTAAGGACCCTCACAGAGTCCATTGCATCATCCGCCACCTCCACCAGAACAGGCACTGGTATCCACAGCTGAGAGACCCATAGACAGTTCACATCAGGGGACTCTGTGCAGACAACCCCCAGTACCAGCCAGAATCAGGCAGATTCGCTGGGTGGCTAGACCCAGAAGAGAGACAATTATCACTGCAGTTTGGCTCACAGGAAGCCCCATCCATAGGAAAAGGAGGAGAGTATTACATCAAAGAAACACTCTATGGGACAAAAGAATCTGAACAACAACCTTCAGACCTAGGCCTTCCCTCTGACAGAGCCTACCCAAATGAGAAGGAACCAGAAAAGCAACCCTCGTAGTATGACAAAACAAGGCTCTTCAACACCCCCAAAAAATCACATTTGTTCACCAGCAATGGATCCAAACCAAAAAGAAATCCCTGATTTACCTGAAAGAGAATTCAGGAGGTTAGTTATTAAGCTAATCAGGGAGAGACCAGAGAAAGGCTACGCCCAGTGCAAGGAAATCCACAAAATGATACAAGAAGTAAAAGGAGAAATATTCAAGGAAATAGATAGCTTAAAGGAAAAAAAATCAAAAATTCAGGAAACTTTGGATACACTTTTAGAAATGCAAAATGCTCTGCAAAGTCTCAGCAATAGAATTGAACTAGTAGAAGAAAGAAATTCAGAGCTCAAAGACAAGGTCTTCAAATTAATGCAATCCAACAAAGACAAAGAAAAAAAGAATAAGAAAATATGAACAAAGCCTCCAAGAAGTCTGGGATCATGTTAAATGACCAAACCTAAGAATAATTGGTGTTCCTGAGGAAAAAGAGACTTCTAAAAGCCTGGAAAACATATTTGGGGGAATAATCCAGGAAAACTTCCCTGGCCTTGCAAGAGACCTAGACACCCAAATACAAGAAGCACAGTAAACACCTGGGAAATTCATTGCAAAAAGATCTTCACCTAGGCACATTGTCATCAGGTTATCCAAAGTTAAAATGAAGGAAAGAATCTTAAGAGCTGTGAGACAGAAGTACTAGGTAACCTATAAAGGAAAACCTATCATATTAACAGCAGATTCTTTACAAACTAGAAAGGATTGAGGGCCTACTTCAACCTCTTCAAACAAAACAATTATCAGCCAAGAATTTTGTATCCAGCAAAACTAAGCATCATATATGAAGGAAAGATATAGTTCTTTTCAGACAAACAAATGCTGAGAGAATTCACCATTACCAAGCCACCACTATAAGAACTGCTAAAAGGAGCTCTAAATCTTGAAAAAACAAATCCTGGAAACACATCAAAACAGAATCTCTTCAAAGCATAAATCACATAGGACCTATAAAACAAAAATACAAGTTAAAAAGAAAAAAAAAAACACACAAAGTACACATCCAAAAAAAATCATGATGAAAGCAATGGTACCTCACATTTCAATACTAACATTGAATGTAAATGGCCTAAATGCTCCACTTAAAAAAATAAAGAAACACAGAGTGGAAAAGAACTCACCAACCATCTACTGCCTTCAGGAGACTCACCTAACACATAAAGACTCACATAAACTTAAAGGGGTGAAAAAAGACATTTCATGCAAATAGACACCAAAAGCGAGCAGGGGTAGCTATTCTTATATTAGACAAAACAAACTTTAAAGCAACAGTGGTTAAAAGAGACAAAGAGGGACATTATTTAATGGTAAAAAGCCTTGTCCAACAGGAAAATATCACAATCCTAAACATATATTCACTTAACACTGGAGCTCCCAAATTTATAAAACAATTACTAATAGATCTAAGAAATGAGATAGACAGCAACACAATAATAGTGGGGGACTTCAATACTCCACTGACAGCACTAGACAGGTCATCAAGACATAAAGGCAACAAAGAAACAATGAACTTAGACTATACCTTGAACAAATGGACTTAACAGATATATACAGAACATTTTATCCAACAACTGCAGAATACACATTCTATTCAGCAGCGCATGGAACTTTCTCCAAGATAGACCATATGATAGGCCATCAAACGAGCCTCAATAAATTTAAGAAAATTGAAATTATATCAAGCACTCTCTCAAACCACAGGGGAATAAAACTGGAAATCAACTCCAAAGGAACCTTCAAAACCATGCAAATACATAGAAATTAAGTAACCTGCTCCTGGATGAGCATTGGGTCAAAAATGAAATCAAGATGGAAATTAAAAAATTCTTCAAGCTGAATGACAATAATGACACAACCTATCAAAACCTCTGGGATACAGTAAAGGCAGTGATAAGAGGAAAATTCATAGCCCTAAATGCTTACATCGAAAAGTCTGAAAGAGCACAAACAGGTAATCTAAGGTCACACTTCAAGGAACTAGAGAAAAAAGAGCAAACCAAACCCAAACCCAGCAGAAGAAAGGAAATAACCAAGACCAGAGCAGAACTAAATGAAATTGAAACAAAAATAATACAGAAGATAAATGAAACAAAAAGCTGGTTCTTTGAAAAGATAAATAATATTGATAGACTATTAGCAAGATTTACCAAGAAAAGAAGACAGAAAATCCAAATAACCTCACTAAGAAACATAACAGGAAATATTACAACTGACACCACAGAAATACAAAAGATCATCCAACTCTACTATGAACACCTTTATGCTCATGAACTAGAAAACCTAGACAAGATGGATAAATTCCTAGAAAAATACAACCTTCCTAGCTTAAATCAGAAAGAATTACATACCCTGAACAGACTAATAACAAGCAGCGAGATTGAAATGGAAATTAAATAATTACCAACACAAACAGTCCAGGACCAGAGGCATTTATACCAGAATTCTACCAGACATTCAAAGAAGAATTGGTACCAATCCTTTTGACATTATTCCACAAGATAGAGAAAGAAGGAACCCTCCCTAATTCAGTCTATGAAGCCAGCATCACCCTAATACCAAAACTAGGAAAGGAGAAAACCAAAAAAGAAAACTATCCACCAGTATCTTTGATGAACATAGATGCTAAAATCCTTAATAAAATACTAGCTAACCAAATCCAACAACATGTCAAGAAGATAATGCACTATGATCAAGTGGATTTCATACCAGGGATGCAGGGATGGTTTAACATACGCAAGTCAATAAATGTGATATACCACATAAACAGAATTAAAAACAAAAATCACATGATCATCTCAATAGATGCAGAAAAAGCATTTGACAAAATCCAGCATCGCTTTATGATTAAAACTCTCAGCAAAATCAACATACAAGGGGCATACCTTCATGTAATAAAAGCCTTCTATGACAGACCCACAGCCAACATAATACTGAATGGGGAAAAGTTGAAAGCTTTTCCTCTGAGACCTGGAACAAGACAAGGATGGCCACTCTCACCACTCCTCTTCAACATAGTACTGGAAGTCCTACCCAGAGCAATCAGGCCACAGAAAGAAATAAAGGGCATCCACATCAGTAAAAAGGAAGTCAAACTGTCACTGTTTGGTGATATATGATTGTTTGCCTAGAAAAGTCTAAAGAATCCTCCAGATAGCTCCTGGAACTGATAAAACAATTTAGCAAAGTTTCTGCATATGAGATTAATGTACACAAATCAGTAGCTCTTCTATACACAAACAACAGCCAAGCAGAGAATCAAATCAAGAACTCAACCCCTTTTATGATAGCTGCAAAAATGTGAAAGACTTAGGAATACACCTAACAAAGGAGTTGAAAGACCTCTACAAGGGAAACTACAAAATACTGCTGAAAGAAATCAGACAACACAAACAAATGGAAACACATCCCATCCTCACAAATGAGTAGTATCAATATTGTGAAAATGACCATACTGCCAAAAGCAATCTACAAATTCAATGCAATCCCCATCAGAATACCACCATGATTCTTCACAGAATTAGAAAAAACAATCCTAAAATTCATATGGAACCAAAAAAGAGCTCATATAGGCAAAGCAAGACTAAGCAAAAAGAAGAAATCTGGAGGCATCACATTACCTGATTTCAAACTATACTGTAAGGCCATAGTCACCGAAACAGCATGGTACTTGTATAAAAATAGGCACATAGACCTATGGAACAGAATAGAGAACCCAGAAATAAAGCCAAATACTTACAGCCAATTGATCTTTGACAAAGCAAACAAAAACATAAAGTAGAGAAAGGACATCCTTTTCAACAAATGGTGCTAGGATAATTGGCTAGTCACATGTAGGAGAATGAAACTGGATCCTCATTTCTCACTATATACAAAAATCAACTCAAGATGGATTAAGGACTTAAACCTAAGACCTGAAAGTATAAAAATTCTAGAAGACAACATTGGAAAAACCCTTCTGGGCATTGGCTTAGGCAAGGACTTCATGATCAAGAACCCAAAAGCAAATGCAATAAAAAGAAAGGTAGACAGCTGGCACCTAATTAAACTAAAGAGCTTTTGCATGGCAAAAGGAACAGCCAGCAGAGTAAACAGACAACCCACAGAGTGGAAGAAAATCTTCACAATCTATACATCTGACAAAGGACTAATATCCAAAATCTACAATGAACTTAACCAAATCAGTAAGAAAAAAACAAACAGTCCCATCAAAAAGAGTTCTAAGGACATGAATAGACAATTCTCAAAAGAAGATACACGAAGAGCCAACAAACATATGAAAAAATGCTTGACATCACTAATTATCAGGGAAATGCAAATCAAAACCACAATGCAATATACTACCTTACTCCTGCAAGAATGGCCATGATCAACAAATCACAAAACAGTAGATGTTGGCATAGATGCGGTGAACAGGGAACACTTCTACACTGCTGGTGAGAATGTAAAATAGTACAGCCACTATGGAAAACAGTTTGGAGATTCCTTAAAGAACTAACAGTAGAACTACCATGTGATCTAGCAATCCCACTACTGAGTATCTACCCAGAGGAAAAGAAGTCATTATATGAAAAAGATATTTGCACACGCATGTTTATAGCAGCACAATTCACAATTGCAAAATCATGGAACCAACCCAAATGCCCCTCAATCAACAAGTGAATAAAGAAACTGTGGTATATATACATATATATACACACACATATATATACACACGTGTGTATACACATATATACACGTGTGTATACACATATATACACGTGTACATATACATATATACATATACACGTGTACATATACATATATACATATACACATGTATATACATATATACATATACACATGTACATATACATATATACATATACACATGTACATATACATATATACATATATACATATATACATGTGTACATATATATATACATGTGTACATATATGCATATATACATGTGTAAATATATGCATATATACATGTATACATATACTATATGTATACTATGCAGCCATAAAAATGAATCAATTAACAGCATTTGCAGTAACCTGAATGAGATTGGAGACTATTATTCTGAGTTTTGTAAGTCAGGAATGGAAAACCAAACATCATATGTTTTCACTGATATGTGGGACCTAAGCTATGAAGACACCAAGGCATAAGAATGATACAATGGACTTTGAGGACTTGAGGGGAAGAATGGGAGGTGGAGGAGGGATAGAAGACTATAAATATGATGCAGTGTATACTGCTCGGGTGATGGGTGCACCAAAATCTCACAAATCACCACTAAAGAACTTACTCATGTAATCAAACACCACCTGCACCTCAATAACTTATGGAAAAATAAATACAATAATAATAAAAGTAAAAGAAAGCTAAATAATTATATAATTTCTATCATGTAAGAAAGAATAACCTTAGACTACAAACTCAATTCTAAGCCCAGCAGATAGCTATGTCTCAGGTATGTTTTATTCAATTTTCTAACTTCTCTCTTTTATATTTTACCCTGGTTTCCCACCAAAGATTCTTCCAGTTCAAATCCTAAAGTAGAATTTCACAAAAATATGTACCTAGTAGTTCTTAGTGGCAAAGTGACTGGATTCCCTTATCTTTTATATAAAACAACAAAGAAGGATTATTAGAAAGGCATAAATTTCCAAAAAATTACACACAACACTTTTAAAACATGGATATAATATCAGACAGACTTTAAAGGGAAATTCTGGAAGAAAAAAATGGTAAATTTACAAAATTAGGAAAATCCAGAAAAGGATAAAGAAAATATTATAGATACTCTAATCATCATAAATTCGAGGAAAAGAAATTAGATGTCATAATTTCATTGTCATAAGAATTTTTTGGTCATCACTTTTATTCAGTTCTTACTAAAGACAAATATGTATGTATTTATACTCTATGACATCACAGCAAAAAATTTCTGTTTCCATATTTGAGACAAGAAAATTACCCAAATAAGAATAGAAATTGGGGTAAAAAAAAAAAAAGAATATTGAGGTATGCCCACTCAAGCAGATAGTATGATGTGGCCAAGGCATCCTGTGGTAAAATTAGATGATTTCCAGGCAATGAACACTTTTTAGAAGGAAAGAATTCCCCTAGCTGACATGCAGGTGACTCTCTTACTTCCTGGAGAATTTCAGATTATCCATCCCAGACCCAGGAGCTTCAAGCAGAAAAGGGACAGAAGGCACTAAGTTTCAGGCAAGTTAGAGACAAAGACCAAGAAGAGGAACCAAGGTCAAGATAAGTAAGCCGAAAATGTAGTCAAAGCAAGAAGAAATCCTGAGACTAAAGAAGTCAGAGGGTACAATCAGGATGACAGGTTAAGACATGAGAGAGCAATGGATAGTGATCTAGGCAAAAGCAAGACCTGTCACAACCTGACCCTCAATTATTTCTTCAGCCTTATGCTTCAGTAATACTCATACCATCACAGTTCTGTGCCTTGGCTTGGCATGCCCTTTACCAACTGATCCACCCAGAAATCTTAACTCTCTTTCAGAGCAGAATTCAACATCACTCCCACAAAGAAATCTGTTCCAAGAAGACTTAGGCACTCCATCCTAATATTCCCAATGTACTTTATGCATACCACCATTATACGATAATATATCATACTTTAACTGCTTATGTGCCAGCCACCCCATTAGCTAAAATCTCTGTCTGAGAATAGGCACTGTTTCTTAATTATTACTTTTTCAAAACACCTAGGACACAGTGTCTGATGCACGACAAGCTGTCAAATATTTCAATAAGTGAACACCTCTCTAATAACACTTATGTTCTAGTATAATAATTTATAGTCTACCTTTTTCTGCAAAATAGGAGTTATAATGTTCACCCTTTTCCCCTAGCACTTAGCTCAAGCTTTGGCAAAGAATATGTTCTCAATAAATATTTAACAAATTAATAAATGAATGAAAAGCTCTTCCCCTTCAACTGTTTATATATACAAAATCTAAGAAGAATGATACAGATAGGAGTTCCAAAACGTGCTCTGACTATGGGAATAACAATGGTAGTATATGAGACATAGCAATCGACTAGCTGTGTCTCTTCAGTCAAGCAACTTAATCTCTCTATGCCTCGGTTAGTATCATTAGCTGTAAACTGGGGATCATAGTACCTAGTGTGGTTAATAGTAATCATGGTGTTTTGAAGAATAGAAGAGTGCCTAACATATACGAAGCACTATCAGTATTTGTTGCTGCTGTGGCTGTTAGAGTTCTTGGCTGGCAAGGAAAATCTAAAAATGAGAGAAAGTGAATGGCTGTACAGTAAGCAGAGTTCATGTTTCTTCTCTTTATAAAGCACAGCAATGAACTGACCGAAAGAACGGAAGAAATCAGAAGTCTCATCCATAAAACTTACTAGCCATTTGACTTTGTTCAAATCTTTCGCCATTCTCGGTATCATCTATGTATTTACTCCGTAGATTTTTATTGACTAACTACTACCCAAGATACTAGGGGTAGCATGGGAAACATTACATACATAAAGTTTACAGACCAGCGAACTCAATTCTTTTCACTCTCCAATGAAAGCAAAGGTTGAGAAAGTCAAAATAAGAGTGTCATCTCCTTAGGACTTTTTCAGACTGCTTCCAAAAACCACGCCCGCTTCTTTCCTCTGTTGGAACCTGCTGGATTGAGCCACTACTGCTGATGTGAATGTGGTATATTCTCTGAATGTACTGTGACAGAAAGGAGAGAATTGCTAGATTAGATGTTATGTGTAATTCATCCCGCAGTTTTAGTAACATGACTACTCTGTACATAAGTCTATGATTCTAAGTTTATTATTCTAAGACATTATTGCCCTGAAACCACAGCCTTCCTTCACAGCCACATACTCACAAACCCATGGTATTGATCACAACAAAGATGAAACTACAAAAACAGACGGAATAATAAAAATCTGTCTTTTCTCCTGGAAAAACAGTTTAAAGTGTCTACTCTTTCCTGAGTGGATGAGTTGGCCCTTCTTCGCAAATATATATGCAAAAAAAAAAAATCACAAAGGAAAGTAACATAATGATCCACAGCACAGAAGATTTAGATGTACAATATACAGTGGAAATTGAAGAAGCCTATGAAATTGCAGTAAAGGTTTAAATAGAGAAAAAAAAAATGTTTGGGAAGAAGAAACAGGTTAGAATAATAAGCTACATCCTAAGAAAAGCCAGAATTGTACTCAGGACAGAGACTGGGCAAAAAGCTGTTCAGTTAAGTGATACTTATCAAAATAATCCCACAAGTATGGGGGCTGGGCATTAGGGACATTCACTCGAGGAAACAGTATTTATCAGACAAAGTAATGTGGGGAAAGACAACTTAAACTTCCAACATATGCGCAAAGTACAGCGAAGCCAGAAGAAGGATTAGGTATTTTTCAAGGGATTGATGTGATTAAAATTAGAACAATGAAAGTCCAGCCACTTAGGTGCAGATGAGTCTGCAGAAAGATCATGCAGTCCCATGGTCACTCTGAAAAGTGTCTTAGAGCATTTTCTTTCAGAAAAGTGAAATATGTTACCTGATACGCACCTAGGCTCTAGTTAAAAACTGTCTGAAAGCATGGTGAAAAGTTACTTGCCAACATGTCTAAAATACCAGCAAACCCTATTATTAATAAGTTTTGCAGAGCCCCTTGATTGTACTAATAGATATGTTTTCCTTTCAAAACAATAGCACTTAAGAATATAAGTATAAATATTTCCATCAAGATAAAATAGAGTGAATAAATACCAAAAAATCCTTTCTCCAAATTTTTTAAATATTTCTTTAGTTTTATGAAGGGGTAATTTTATTTTTTTATTTGTTTGCTTTTTATTTTTTTCTTCCAATTTTTATTTTAGGTTCAAGGGGTATATGTGCAGGTTTGTTAGATGGTAAATTCATGTCACTGGGGTTTGGTGGACAAATAATTTCATCATCCAGGTGGTGAGCATAGTACCTGTTAGACGGTTTTTTGCTCCTCACCCTCCTCCCATTCTCTACCCTCAAATAAGCCCCAGTGTCTATTGTTCCCCTCTTTGTATCAATGTGTACACAATGTTTACCTCTGACTTATAGGTGAGAGCATGAGATATTTGGTTTTCTGTTCCTTTGTTACTTTGCTTAGGATAATGGCCTCCAGCTGCCTCCATGTTGCTGCAAAGGACATGATTTCATTCTTTTTATGGCTGTGTAATATTCCATGGTGTATGTGTACCACATTTTCTTTATCCAGTCCTCTGTTGATGGGCAGCTAGTTTGATTCCATGTCTTTGCTTTTATGAAAAGTGCTGTGATGAACATACACATGCACGTGTCTTTGTGTAGAAAACTCTATATTCCTTTGGGCATATACCCAGTAATTAGATTGTTGGGACCGGACACAGTGGCTCACACCTGTAATCCTAGCACTTAGGGAGGCCAGCGCGGGCGGATCACAAGGTCAGGAATTCGAGACCAGCCTGGCCAACATGATGAAACCCCATCTCTACTAAAGATACACATCCCATTCATACAGTGTGAAATACGTACTTTTATGGTAATTAGTCATTTTTGATACTGTTAATATTTAATGAATTCAACCTAAGGCATCTTTAGTTAATCTAAATATAAAATCATTACCCCTTCATTAACTACGATACATAAATCTCCTTATAAAATATTTATCTAAAAGCTACATGTAGGTTTTTCCTTCTGTGGTCAATTAACCACCAGTTATCTATTAATTTTCTTTAATGAAACTTCCCACAATTTAAAAACAAATTTTAGTGGTTTTAAGTATAAAAATACCTTGTATAGGCATAATTTCAAAATGTTAATATACTTTTTCTCCTTTCAGTAACCAAGACATTATTCTTGAATACTGGCAACTAGTTTCACCCATGCCTATGGAATTTTTAAAGAGGCACACACACAATGATTCTCAATCTTACTACACACTAGACTTACCTGGGGAGATTTTAAAAGACCCAAAGTCTAGGCCCACCACCACAAACCCTGATTCAAGTGTTCTGGGGTGAAACCCAAGCATTAGCATTTCTGAAAACTCCTCAGGTGATTCTAAAGTACAACCAGGCTGGAGACTGCTGCCACAGTGTGGTCACAGGCATCAAGTTGAAGATTAGGGATGAGATAGTTGAGGAAGAACACAGCAGCTGGAAAAAAGACTTCTTACAGCAAGGCTTAAGAAGGACCATGGACTAGGCTCCAGCTAGTGCTCCAGCTTCTGCACAAGTAAACCCTGGGCTCTTCTGCAGGCTTGGACACATCCATGGGGAGAGACTAGGGACATTTTCTAGGACTAGTGTCATGCTGTTGTCTCCAGATGTATGTAGATGAGGCACCAGGCCCCAGCTGCACTAACTGGGGTGCTGGTTCAGAGACGGCGTTGTAGGTTCTCAAATGGCTTGTCCCACCTGTTATGTCATATGTCCTGCATTTACAAGAGGAGGTAGAATTTGTTCTGCAGAAGCATTTCCTTAACTTGTTTACACAGAGATATCCTACCTGGATCTCTCTCTCTCTCTCTCTCTCTCTCTCTCACACACACACACACACACACACTCACATCAACCTACTCAGTAGAATTTTTTCAGTTACTTTTCTAACCAGAGAATACATATTAGAAATTGCTATATTTGAATATGAATAAACGTATTTATGGAAATACTCCCAGTGTATCTCAGGCTCTTTTTAGCACCTCCCTTAGTATGGTCCCCTTAACTGCTCCCCTTCAAGAAGTCAGGGTTTTCATACTCTCACTATATCTCTTTTCTCTAAACCTGGTCTTAAGAGGTGACTTGATGAGAGTAATTTACCCACTAAGGTGTACTGAGTTTGCTATGTTGCCTCTTAAGAGTTCAACTCTGGCCAGGCATGGTGGTGCACACCTGTAATCCCAGCTACTCAGGAGGCTGAGGCACGAGAATCGCTTGAATCCAGGAGGCAGAGGTTCCAGTGAGCCCTGTTTGTGCCACTGCACTCCAGCCTGAGCAACAGAGTGAGACTCTGTCTCAAAAAAAGTCTTCAACTCTAATTGTGGAATTAAGGTCTTTGTCCCCCTTTTAAAAGGACTCTATGCAAGCAGAGATTCCTTTTGGATGGATAGTGCTTCCTGACATGACTGCATCAACACCCATTAGAGAGCTGTTGACTCCTCCACACCAGGCTAGGTCTACTCATAAGCTAACTATTCACTAAACCCATACCATTAATTGGAAAGATTAAAAAAGGAAAAACATCAACGTTTAATCTAGTTTGGTTGCCTCCATCTAGACAAGTGAACAAGACTCTGTGGATGTTCTAGTGCCTTGCTTCATTCCACAGCTCCCAGAAATATCTTTCCTAAGTTGCCCAATTAAAAGTACTTTACACAATGTAGGAAATGAAACAATGTGAAGAAAGGTCCAAGAGATTATCACATTTCACTTTTAAATATTTTCATCCTACAAATATTAGACTAAAGAAAACCATTTTAATTAGAAAAACACATGGAAAAACTAATAACAAGCACTATGTAACAAGGTTTGCAGAGAGATTTTCTCCAGGCATGGAGCTTCAGTGTCAATAAATCAAGACAAAGAGAACTTCTGAGATGTATTGCTACTAGTTTCTTACCAAAAGTGGGGGAGGGGAGCATTTAAAAGGGAAATATCACTCATTTTTACTAGAACAACTTGGGCCAAACGTGATTATATTTACCTGTTTGTTTTCCTTCAAATATTAGCTTATTTGGTCAAGTAAAGCTTTTTGCTAAATGCCATGTCAGCCTTACTTTTTCTTCTTTGCCTAATGAATAATTTCCCCTCTCTACTCCTTCTATTCTTAGGAGTAGCTAGCATTCTGGTACATGGTAGCCGCATATCATGTACACATTCATACATTATCCAGAAGTAAATGCATTTCTAAGTGCTTTGTGACTCACCAAGGATACCATGGTTAATATGTGTCTCCATCATTAACCTTTGACTTACAACTTACAAAACTGCTATCATGAAAGAGAATTATTACTTTTTTTAGAGACAGGATCTCACTATGTTGCCCAGGCTAGTCTCAAATTCCTGACCTCCCACCTCCACCTCCGAAAGTGTTGAGATTAACAGGCATAAGCAATCATTCCAGCCAAGAAGATAATACTTTTTAAACTCTTGTACGTACTTTGATTAATACAGATTCAAAAGAAACCTGCAGACTGAATTCATCTGACAATTCAGAAGAAATTCTCATCCAAAACTGTGTATGTGTTAGAATATATATGTGTGTATATATGTATATATATAACATTCACACACACATTTACACTTTTTCTAATTTCTTCCCATCAATTAATATTTATAAGCATATTAATTTGAAAGTCAATCTGAGACAGGGATACAATTTCTAGATAAGACAACACAGATGGTGGCATGCATTCTTGCAGACTATTTTTATATTGACTCTCTTACAGACAATCTGTTTTATCAGCTTTCCAATGGGTCCACAGTATGAAGAACTCCAAAAAAGAAACTTCCAAGATTCTAAAAACACTTGGCTGTAAACAGACTTAGTGGGCATAGCTTCTCCCTTTGCCAAGTCTCTAGGATGCAAAAAAAAAAAAAAAAAAATACTGAGAATATAGCCAAACATTTCCTTCCCCCATCCTGTTGAAGAAACTTGTTACTGTATTGCTAGATGCTGATGAAGTCACTACCAAACTGACTCTGACTCTGACAAAGCAGATACACGAGCTTTGGACTATAAGGATACCAGAAATTTGCTGCAAGGTGATAAAAATGTATTAGGCATAAGAGCCATGTAATCAAGGAATGAGTTAACAAACAAGATGACACAAAACAAGCAATATCATACGGTCAGGGTTCAGGAACAACCTGGCTGCATATTGTTATCTGGAAATGATCACAAGTAGATAAGACACAGAGCCTATTTGTAACAGCGCATGTAGTAAGTGAATATGTAATCACTAGGGTAACATCAAGAGGACAGCCAGCTTCATGTCTAACCATTAATGATCGGTAATAAAAGTGGCAGTGTTTGTTCAGTGGGGGGAAGCTCTTTCCTATTGAGGAGAACACAGCACATTTAGTCAGAAGCCATTCATCTATGCAGGGATGTTGCCAACCTTGCCTAATTCAAAATAAATGAGTCTGGGGCTGAGCTGTGCTTTTAGCGGTTAAAGATGGCCTATGTCAACAGTTCAGGGCTTTGAATTTTGAACTAAGGTAACACAAAGGCAAAGAAAATGAGTGAAATACAAATATGAAAGCATTACTAAAGATCTGGGTTATTTTCATTAACCAGAAATAATGCCAGCACTCAGGATCATGTATTAACAGTTTTAATGTCACTATTTTCTAGACAAGAAGATAAGAGTTCTGTTAAATAGCTAAATAATTAAAGAAGTTATTAAGAAGCCATTTCGGCATTTAAATAAGTAACTCAATTAGTAGGCAGGCTGAGCTCAGTGTCATCATGATATGCACAGGAAGCTGAAATGAATGTTACTGGTTGGGGAAACTGTTCAGACTAAATATTAACTCTTATAGCTCCTTGAATTTCAACAAATATCTGTAAAAGTGCTTATGGTAACATAATACTGTACAATGGTATAAAGAAAACATCAAATTTTTACAAAAGGTTTAGAAGGGAGTCTGTCCACATAAATTAGTATCTTATTTCATTTATGTAATTCAGTCTAACTATAATCACATTTGGAGGAAATATTTTTTAGGTCAAGAAAATTGCCATACAGAGTCTAAAATTTCTAAAATTAGTGGTGATCTTATGGCACTTGAAGTGGATGATCAAGTGGCAATTGAACTAGATGATCTCAAACATCCCACCCCAGCTTTCACGATTTAAAATAATATTTCAGTGTACTCAAATATTTACCGATCCCATTGAACAAATGCTTTCATGAATAAAATAAAATCACTTAACAAATCTTTATGGAACTCTTAGTAAGAACTGGGTGCTAACTGTGTTCATTGCTAGAGAAAACATACCGGTTCAACACAATGCAATCCAAAGGGATGCTGGCTTTTAATTTTAAGGTGTGTGTGAATGTGTGTGTTGTATGACCTAAAATTCTTACTTATTTACATTCTGTAATACACTGAAATAAGATATCAGATGAGAGAATCTATTTATTGTCTTAATAAAATGCACTACAATGGCACCCTACTCTGTTGGTTCTCACAAAATAGGAACATAATTTAAAAGCATTCCTCATTATGTTCAAACGTGTCTTAACGTTTAATAAGATTTTATTTTCTAATTTTGAAAATCTAGTCAGTTTAGCTTGCAAGTACAATATTACACATCTGTGATGTTCCATATCCAGTGGTTCAAGAAAGCACACTAAGATGTTTGTATCGCTGAAGATAATTATCAAATCAATACAAAAGACAAAGAACTGTACCATAAAATATATTTTTTGAATAAAATTACAGATATAAAAAGTAAATTCTCCATTCCTCCTATAGTTAGGAATATAAAATGTATATTTTATATTTTATTTTAGCCCTTACATTTGCCCACATTTACAAATCCAAGTTATTATTTAGTCTGAGTCCTGGGCAAAGACTTAAAACAGCTCTTTTGTTAATGGAATCTGTTGAACCATCTCTATTAATTGAGTCTCCAAACCCCAGTTTGTTTTTACCTGACTGGGCTTCAAAGGGGTGAAGGCAACAGGAAAGTCTGCATACTACAGCATGATGGAATGACAGCTAAATTGACAGCACATTGTTCTCAACTAGGAAGAGGCACAATGTGAATTTACCTGTGCAGCAAAGCATTTGTCTACCATCATAGAATGAGTATCCCACAAAAGTAGATTTCCCAGATTATGCTAAAGCTTTATTTAATCCTTTCTCTACGTTTCAGTCTAGTCCTTAAAAACTGTTATATCATAAAATAATGTGAAATAATATGATATTCTCAAAGGACAAGGCCTTTAATTTATGTATCTAATATTTTTAAAGTATTTTTTTCTAATTCTGACATTGTCATATGGTCAAAAACTGAAATGCCAGAGCTGAGCAAAAATCATGCTTCTCTTAGATCAGGAAACATTGACTAAGAACATCATGCTATTTAATAGATATATTGACATATAAAAGTACAAATTTCTAGCTCCAAGAATCAGGCCTGAGTTGGAATATATTGTATTCATGTTTGTTTCAATTTATTTACTTAAAGTGGTGACCTGTTTACTTAATAAATTTAACTCTCAGTATTCCAACTCAAAGGAATTTTTTAAATAAATATTTGCCCCTTGCTCCTTGAATCTCATCAGATTTCTCAAGCCTTAATTGAGTACTTCTGTCTTCTTGAATTTTTTTCTGCTCATTAAATAAACTATCATCAAACCAATGTTAATTGCTAAAAGGTTTTAGACTAGATTTGCATTTGGGTCCTAATATGATAGACCTCTTTATTGCTCTTTTCTAGAATCAGGGGAGAACCAGTTTGTGAATTACAAACTTGTGGGACTTTTCCATTGTGAATGTTCCATTGTCTTAATCCCATTCCTAAATTTATCCAAACCTCTCTTTTTTTTTCTGCAAACACAGATGCTGATCAAGTCATAATCTAAATACAAAACGGATACATCAATATCTTTTTAAATCTCAAGACAGTGAAAATAAAAATGTGCTGATTAATAATGTGGGGCATGGCATTTTTATGTCAAGTACTATATAAATAAAAGTACAACACACGAAAAAATGTATGTATCTAGTTTTACAGGCTTCTATCTCTTCCCTTGCTGTCAAGCTAGCCACCATCTCTCTTTAATTCTTTATACTATTGGTTCTATCAATTTCTCAAATGCTTGTTAGTGCTTTGTCTAAAGTAGAAACAGACTCTTGGTGGAAGAATGGGGACTCTGTAGAGTCAAATACATAATACATAGACTTTGACACATGAACTTTGTATCAACTATTTTTTCACTTATATATTTTTCCTATCCTTTCTGAGAACTGTAACCATATTTCAGAATTGAGGTGGTTAAAATCTTATTACTAGCTACTGTATTGCTACTATATTTATATATCAGTTCCTTTAATCAATTTCTATCTTTCAAATCCCTTCTCAAGTTTTGGGCCTTTACATTCTTGACAAGTATGAGCTTTTTAAAAACAACTGATCCACATTGTATGACTACAAATTATTGGAAGATTTCACAGTCATATTTTTAGAGGAGTAGAAGAATAGTGTGAACACAAGTGACTGTTTACTACATTTACAGTTTTTCTAACTTGAGAGAAAGTGCTCATAAAAATTATTGGCCAATGTTAGAGAAATACAGATACTTCCATCACTTCCTGTTTTTAGATTACTGACAATAAAAAAATAGGTTATTCTTTTTACTTTTTTTTTTTTTTTTTTTTGGGACAGACTCTCGCTGTGTTGCCCAGGCTAGAGTGCAGTGGTGCAATCTTGGCTCACTGCAACCTCCGCCTCCAGGGTTCAAGCAATTCTCATGCTTCAGCCTCCTAAGTAGGTGGGATTGCAGGCGTGCACCACCACGCCCAGCTATTTTTGTATTTTTTTAGTAGAGACAGGATTTTGCCATGTTGGCCAGGCTGGTCTCAAACTCCTGACCTCAGGTGATCTGCCCGCCTCAGCCTCCCAAAGTGCTGGGATTTCAGACGTAAGCCACCGCACCAGGCCCAATTCACTTTAAATCAAAAGAATCTGAAGTCTCAGCATACTCTAAGAACTGCTAGAAAGTAATATAAGGTGCTAATATTGCATTTCATGAGCATTTATGTTTATGTTTAGAATTATAGGTAGAAATTAAATCAGCCAAATCAAACAGCAACCCCTCTATTAAATCAAGTGCAAACATATCTTGCCCTATATGACATTTATTACACTAAAAAGCAGTAAATTTTGTGTCCATCACATAATCTTTTCCAATATATTTATTTTAATTTTAGAGATCCTTCAATTCCATTTCCAGTGGAAAATTGATTGTCTTCTAATATTTCATTTCTAAGCTTTTCTGCTAAGAGGCTAAGTCAAGCAGATAATGGTCTGTGAAATACAGAAATGCACAAGAAGGGGCATTACTAAACTAAAACATCTTTTTTCGGAGGAAATTATTGTGCATGTCACTGTTTCATAAAGTCTGATTTCAGATGTACTTCAGAATAACAAGACAGGAATCAAAATTAACAACACAAAAATAAACATGTTCTATTTTGATATTTATTATTTCTTTAAATTGACATTCTATGTTATCACTTTGTACCATTATGAGTATTTTAAAACTTAACTCTAATAAACCAATCTTATCAAGTTCAGGCAACTTCTCATTATCACCCAAGTACAGGCAGAAACTTGCCTAAAAACAATCAACAATCATATTAATATAAAAGTATGAGTTTCAGGCCAAAAAATAAAAGCCAGTAAGTAAATAGTATACAGACGTTTGTTTTATTTGGATAAAAGGTATGAGACATAAACTATTACGCACTAAGTAACATAGCATTAAAACATATCAAACAAAGCCTAATACAAATATAAGAAGAAATCAGCAGAATTATAAGTATAGTGGAAGATATATTCCTATCAGTTCATAGCATTATGATAAATGTATATATGAGAACAAGTACTAAGGTCTTAAACACATGAACATTACATTTCCTGCAAACAAAGACTATAGTGTCCTTTTAACTGTCTCTAGAATGTTTATGAAAAGCAAATCATATTTTTGAAACTTTAGAAAATTTATTTTTTAATTTCAGTGGCAGCTTTAGAGAAAAACTCAATAAATTTTTTAATAAGTAGTATATATAGGCCAAACACTCTGACAATAATTCAATAAAATTAGAAATTAGTAATAAAATGTTAAATAAAAGGCTCTGACTACTTTTTTTAAAGCAAAACTAGTATCTTATATAATAAACATTTGATCCAAAAGGAAACATCACAAACCTAAGAACACTAAATATATTCAACCAACATTTATTAGACCCCTACTGTATACCAAGCACCATTCTTTGAGGTCACAAAGAATGAGAAATCTTCAATGCCTTCATGGGAATTAAAGTCTAATAAGTAGAGAGAAGCATAAAACAAGCAAACAAATAAGCAAAATAAAGTGTGTCACACATGCTCTGATAAAATGCATACAAAATATAATGAGTATCCAAGGCAATGAGTTTGCAGGACAGAGTATTGAGAAGAGAGAAGTGCACAGAAATACAGCTTCAGAGATTGTAAGGGGTTCCTCTGTAAAGGAAGTTCCTCTCCTAGTCTTCAGCTAAGTACTGATCATACATGTGAGGAAACTATCTGAGATTGGGAGAAAGAATCACCTGAAAGGCTAAGAAACAGTACCTAGAGCTCACATAGAACCAGGAATAATTTGTTTCCACAGGCTAAAATAGAAAACCTAATTATTTACAAAACATTGGGGAAAATACTCAGAAAGACTTTGTCTCAAATAGTGGAGGGGAAATTAGACCAAACTACACACTGCTCTGATCTCACCTAACCAAACTGTAGAATGAGAATGTGTTACTGCCTCCAAGTAACTTAATCACATCCCAAAACAAATTGCAAAAATGTTTATAGGAATACAGAAACATCCAGCATTCAAAAAGGTAAAACTGACTATGCCCATCCAACCAAAAACTATGAGGAATGAAAAAAAGAAGGAAAATACAGTCCATAACCATACAACACATAATACAACCCATAATTTTAAAAAATTAACCAGAACCAACCCAGAAATTACACAGATGATAGGATTAGTAGACGAGGACATTAAAACAGTTATATTACATTCAAAAAGCTAGAAAAAGAACAAATATGTTAAGTAGTCACAAAAGATGTTTAAAGGACCCAAATCAAGCTTCTAGAAATAAAAACTAAAGTGTCTGAGATGAAAAAAAATATTTTGGATGAGATTAATAGCAGAATAAGCATGGCAAAAGAAAATATTGGTGAACTCGGAAACATGTAATATACACTTCAAGTGGCCTCATATTCTTGTAATTGGAGTCCCTGAAAGAAGAGAGAAGTGCACAGAAAAAATAAAAAATAAAAAAAGGAAACGTTTCCAAAATTGATAAAAGCTGTAAAAGTTTAAAACACCCAAGTACAAAAGGAAAGAAGAAAAGCACACCAAAGCACATCATAATCAAATTACCAAAAACCAGGATAAAGAGAAAAATCTTAAAAGCAGGCAGAGAAAACAATTTATAACATACAGAGATGCATTATATCCCAATAAAGATTACAGCAGATTTCTCATCAGAAACCATGGAAGCCAGAAGATACTGGAGCAATACTGACAATGATATATTGTGGGATTTGTAACAAATGTAGAGGTTAAATATATGACAACAAAACACAAAGGCCAGGAAAGGACAGATGGAAGTATATTATGGAAAGATGTTTATGTATAAATGTGAAATAGTATAATATCACCTGAAGGTTGACTATGTTAAGCTAAATATGTATACTATAAACCCCAAAGCAACCATCAAAATAGCACAGCAAAGTGTCCTAGTTAATAATCCAACAAAGAAGGTAAAATAAAATTTTAAAAATAATTAACTTAAAGGAGGCAAAAAAAGAGGAAAGAGGGAAATAATAACAAATGGGAAACACAGAGACAAGTTGTAGGATGGTAAATCAAAACCCAAACATTTGAGTAATCACAATAAATGTGTAAGGACCAGAATTAAAAGATGGCAATTATCAGATTGGATTTAAAAAAAAACCCATCAGTATGCTGCCTATAGAAAATCCACTTTAGTTACAAAGGCATAAATAGGTTAAAAGTAAAAGATTGGATAAAGATATACCATGTTAACACTAATTAAAAGACAGCTGAAGGGGATATTTTGATGTAAAATAAAATAGACATCCAGACAAGAATATTACTAGGAATAAAGTGAATCATTTCATACATATAAAGTGGTCAAGTCATCAAGATGGCATAATAATCCCAAACATTTATGTAACTAATAATGGTGCGTCAAAATAAATGAAGCAAAAACTGACAGAACTCTAAGGAAAAAGCAGACCAAGCCATAACTAAGTCAGGGAATTCAATGTCCCTATCTCAAAATAAATAGGCAAAAAATCAGTAAACACATAGATAATGTGAAAAATATAATCAACCAAATTGACCTAATTGATATGTATAGAATACTGCATTCAACACTTCACTCCACATAGTTTTTCAATTGTACACAGAACATCTACCAAGGCAGACCATATTGTAATCCATATGTCTCAATAAATTTAAAAGTATTCAATCGACACAAAATGTTTTCTCTGATCACAATGGAATCAAATTAGAAGTCAATAACGAAACATTTCTAGAAAATTCCCCAACTGTGTAGGAATTAAACAAGAATAGGAAAAAAAGAGACTAAAGATGAATAAAACATAAAAATAAAAAAAGTATTTTGAAATACATGAAATTGAGAACAAAACATATTGAAATTTGTGGAATTCAAGTAAAGTAGTACCTAAAAGGAAATTCATAGAACTAAATGCCTTAAATTAGAAAAATAAAGGTATCAAGACAGTTACCTGAGCTTAAGAAGCTAGAAAAAAAGAGAAAATTAAAAGCAAAATATGAAGAAAGGAAATAAGGATACTCAAAGTTTAAATTAATGAAATAGAACACAAAAAATAATGGATAAAAAGATAAAACTACATTGATAAACATTTAGCCCAACTGATCAGGAAAAAAAGAGAAGAGCCAAAATACCAATATTAAGCATGAGAGAGGTGACATCACTACAATCCACAGATAAGGAATTAAGAAAATATTATCTACAACTTTATGCCTATAAATTCAACAGCTTAGATAAAATATATGAATTCCTCAAAAGACACAAATTGCCTAATATCTCATAAAAAGAAATAGATACAGTTAAGTTGAATAGCCCTATATCTATTAAAGCAATTAAATTTTTAATTAAAAAACCCCTCACAAAGAAAACTCCAGGCCCAGGTGACTTCACTAATGAATTCTTATGAGCATTTTAAAAAGAAACATTATCAATTCTACCCAAACTCTTCCAGAAAATTGAAGGCCAGGAAATATTTCCCAACTCATTCTGTAAAACCAGCATTATCCTGCTAGAAGAACGAAAGACATTACAAGAAAACAAAATTATCTGTCAGTATTCCTCTGAGACATACATGTAAACACTCTTAAAATTGAGCAAACTTAATCCAACGATATATAAAAAAGGTAATACACCATGACCCAGCGAGGATTGTCTCCAGAATGCAAAATTGGTTTAACCTCTTTAAATCTGTCAAAATAATTCCCTTTATTAGCAAACTGTAAGGAATAAATATCTGTGCCCACCCCCTCCCCCACCATATTCAAACCTGAAAGTTTGCCTAAGGACAGTGTTACAAAGTGACTATCCATTTTTGTGAATTTTGAATATTTGAAATTTACTCTAAGAATATTTCGTACATACTGACAACCACAATCTCCCATATGATTAACTTTGGTTTCTGTTCAAACTACACCTTATCCAACTAACTAAGTCACAGCAACCTACCTAATTATTCTCTCAGATTTAATTAGAATTACTTTGCCTTAAATTGACATGACTCTATAATTATGCCTGAAGAACAGAGAAATTAAAAAAGACTATTTTCATATCTCAATAATCAAGAATCAATCCAACTCTGATGGTACATGCAATGGTTTCTGAAAATAAGGAAAGAATTTCTAAAATTTTTATGCCAATATAACTTCAAGTTTCCCCAAATTATACTAAATGCACCAAAAAAAACCCCACTTTCTTTGGATATTAGTTTGACAAATAGTTCATAGTGAAAGCACAACTTAAGAAAAATATCCGAATACTTGTACTCCTAAGAATTTTTGTCCTTCTAAGATAATATAATTAAAGTTGTTCATATTTTTATTGTTTTAAAGGGTAGCCATGG
Source organism: Homo sapiens (assembly GCF_000001405.40). NCBI lineage: Eukaryota > Metazoa > Chordata > Mammalia > Primates > Hominidae > Homo > Homo sapiens. The sequence goes on along the minus strand of NC_000018.10, from coordinate 1,066,634 downwards.
CTCTGATGATCACTGAAATCTGAATGTTCCTGACAAAGTAATCACAATACAATCATTTGCCCAGGTGAAATATGTCACAATCATCTAAATACTAGTAAATAAATGACAAGCAAAGCCAAGAGAATAGAAACTTTGTTCCTAGAATCTTGGGTGGTCTTCATTCTTTTTCCCTAATTGACTTAACCCAGTGTGATGGTTAATACTGCGTGTGAACCTGATTGGATTGAAAGATGCAAGGTATTGATCCTGGGTGTGTCTGTGAGGGTGTTGCCAAGGGAGATTAACATTTGAGTCAGTGGACTTGGAGGGGCAGACCACCCTTAATATGGGTATGCACCATCTAATCAGATGCCAGCATGGCTCGAATATAAAGCAGGCAGAAAAATGTGAAAAGATTAGACTGGCTTAGCCTCCGAGCCTACATCTTTCTCCCATGCTGGATTCTTCCTGCCATCAAACTCCAAGTTCTTCAGCTTTGGGACTCGGGCTGGCTTCCTTGCTCCTCAACTTGCAAACGGCCTATTGTGGGACCTTGTGATCATGTGAGTTAATACTCATTACTAAACTCCCCTTTATATTTATATCTATCCTATTATCTCTGTCTTTCTAGAGAGCCCTGACTAATACAACCAGTATTGACCAAAAAGTCTCCATACTTCTCATCCCCCAGCTTCTTTGCTGATTGTGGCCTGATTATTCATAGTAGAAGACGGCAGCCCCAAATCTTTTAGAAGTCCACTTATTACAGGAGTGGTGGGAGATGGCAGAATGGAAGAGAGCTGATAATGCCATTTTCCCATCATTTCTTTTCTCTTATTCTGCATCACTATCTTAAGACCTCTAGGTAAAACATCCTCAGAGAGCTCTTGCAACTTCTAGAAGAGTTTAAGTGACTCTCTGTCTTCAGGTTAGGCAAGCAGCTTTGACATTCCTCCAGCAAACTTTTTGAGAAGCTACTCTTTACCAGAATACAAAGTGCCTATACTTCAGAAGTTCATATAAGGCTATAAAGAGAAATGATCAGCACTAGACTAAATTTTATCTTTATATTAAAATTCCTCTTCCCTTTTCTCTCTCACATATATACATGTTCATTTGTTTCTTTTGGGGGAGAGGGGAATAGATAAGGAACTTCATGCTCTCCCTGTAAATAGGATTTATTGCTTTCAATGCAAAGGAGCCACTCTAAGGTATTTGTGGGAAGTTGCTATTGGCAGTTTCTGTTGCATACAAATTAGAAGAATGAGAACTTTCTTAAAGCTTCAGCATTTTCACGAATCTAACCACAGTAACAACATGGAAAAAATACCAAGTTAAACACAAATAAAGATGAAAATTCCTGAATTATGGATTCCTGAGACAGGTGATAATATAGATTCACCTGCTGTAGCAGGTTTATAAGGGCTCATGAGAGCCAAGTACTAAATTTTCAGAAATTGTGAAAGCCAGCAGTTAAATCTCTGATATCTTGAAATCAGCCAGAGGACATATTTACATGGAAATCAGCAAATGCTACAAATCAGGCTGTTTTTATTTACCTATTTTTGGTGAGGTGATTGTTAAACACTTACCAGCACACCTGGATGGAGGATGAGACTAGAACAGTCAAGGCCCAACCCTGCCAGGTAATGAGTACAAGAGATCCTTCCTTTCAGCCCCAAGTTAACTTCAAGCTACAGTTTTGCAAATCTGTAACATTTACTAAATCTCTTAGTTACCAAAAAGATTGGTAACCTGACATGTTAAATTTCAAAAAAAAGGAACGATCATAAAATGACAAAATATATTATATAAGAAGAACTCTAGCAGTTAGGTTGTAAATATGATTCAAGCTTTTACTTCAAATTTCTGAAATCCTCTTCCAAAAGTCATATTCCCTAGAACTATCCAAATCACCAGTCCTCAGTTCTGACTTCCAAATTTAGACAAAGTCTAAGTTCTGCAGGTGCTGTTTATTGAGTGTTTTGGCTGCAGATTCATCATCTGTAAATATTTCAAGAGATTCTGAAAGCACAGTATGCTTCAAAACAACCACCTGGACAAAACAGAACCTTTGCAGAGCCTAAAAGCAATTAGGGGATAAATATAAAAGAAACAAAACATTCTCCCTCTTTTTAATTGGAAATCTATATTAAGGATTGGGAATATACTTAGGTAGATTAAGAACATGCAGTGAAATTGAATTGATAAGATTGGGTAGCCCAATTAAAATTGTGATTCTATGAAATTTTCTTAATCAGTTTTAGGATTCACAATGTTTAAACTGCCAAATTTGGAACATTTACATTTAACAATTTAATGAAATAATCAGGAACATGAGCCATATCTTTATAGTATTTTCAAAATTAAATGTGGAGCATACAGATGTTTCGAAAATAAAAATAAAAGCCTATCTATATTATAAAGAGTCAGTCTTTTTCCCCAAAAAGAGGCAATGCCTTTGTTTGAGGTTAAGATTCAAGAAATAACAAATAATGGTGGTCAGCTTGACAATAGAAACTCACAATACTAAAAATAAACATGCCTCAAGTTTTCAAATAATAGAGAATACAATCATAATGAAAGATAAATTTTCCTTAAATGGCAATGCAACCTGATGCAGAGCAATTAATTTTGTGCCTAGAGATCCTTTATTTCTCTTCTGTTTGCAGTAGAAGCAGAGATTACACTAAACCACATATTTCAATGTGCTATTATTGGATGAATCTGTTTCATCCAAGGAGAGATCAAAGACGGATTAAATTTTTAACCATAACATCCTAAGGAAAAACATAATTTAAAACTTGAAAGAAGAAAGTTTAAATCTTCACTTGGGAATTTCCTCCCTCTATACAGAGAAGTGATTGACAAAGCAGTTGTATACATCTACTTAAACACATTATGCAAAAATTTACTATTATAGAAATAATAATTTAGGTGTATAAATCGTTAAAATATAGTGGTTTTTTCAATTTTATGAAAAGTTAGTATTACTCTATGTCAAGAAGGGTACATATTAAACAGATTAATAGGGATGTCAGCCAAATGATGGGATAGAATGTCCTCTGCTTGTATCCCCATCCCCCTACAATAACAAGAATTTGACAGCCATCTGTAGACAAAGTGCTATTGTGAGCCTTGGTTGGAGACTGAGAACCCTGGTGGAGCCCAAGACCTAAGAAGGCTGTCTTGAGAACAGGCTTGCACTCAGATGGCAGTGTCACTAACCATAATGCAGGCTACAGATGTGAAAAACAGCCTCATCTCCTTATGTATCAGATACAACTTCATTTGCCTTGGTTCTGCCACTAGAACCATCTGCCAAGGGACCTGAGAGGGGTCACACCCACATGAGTCTCAAATGATAGGCCCATGATCCCAGCAGCAGACCATGAAATTGCCTTGTAACTTGGCTCCAGCTCCTCTTAGCTGTGGTCTGCAAGCAGTTGTGCCTTCCTTGGGACCCACCAGTAGTCAGGCTGGTCTGTGACTTGCCAACCTCAGTCCCATACAGACCCTGAAAGAGCCCTATAACTCATCTCCAGTCCCTCTCAGCTGCAGCCTAAAAGCAGGTCTACTCAGTGAGGGACCTTCTAGAAGTCATACCCAGTCATGCCCTGGGAGACAGGCTTGCCAACCTTGGTCCCACAGTAGATCCTGAAACGAATTGGTAACTCGGCTCCAGCCCCTCTCAACTGTAGTCTGAGAGCATTCATGCCCACTCAAGAACATGCTTGAACTCACACTCATCTGTGTTCCAATAAACAGGCTTGCCAACCTTGGTCCCACAACCAATCCTGAAACAGCCCTGTAACTTGGCTCTAGCCTCATTCAGCTTTGGTCCAGTGGCAATTGTGTTTGCCCAAGAAACCACCAGGAGGCACACTCATCTCTGCCTCTGGAGACAGGACTGCAGATCTCAGTCTCAGCTCTGGATCCTGAAGCAGCCCTGTAACTTAATTGACCCCTCTCAGCCTTGATCCGGAGCCAGTACTGTCTCTTCAAGTACCTACCCAGTGACCCAGTAGAAACTCCCCTAGACTCAGAGGGAAACATACCCTTCTACATACCTAGTAACAGGCTCACCATCAGCCAAATCAACTGTGGACCCTGAAACAGAGCCTGGTCTCAGCACCACCCCTACTGACCAAGAACCTGGAGGCAGCTCAGTCTGCCCAAGGACCAGACAGGACCCACACCTGCTGGAGCCCCTGGTAACAGGCCTATCAAACATGGACCCAGTGCAGAACCAGCAGTAGCCATGTGACTCGATTCCAACCCCACTCAATCAACTGTGATCCCAGAGACAATCCCAACAGCCTAGACATTTAACAGAAAAAGATCTTTACCTGCCAAAACCAGTCTGTAAAGACTGAAAAATATGTTTGCTACTTCAGATACATAGACACCAACACGAGGCTTCATGAATGACAAAGAATCAGACAAACATACACCACCAAAGGAAACAAATAAAGTTCCAACCCCAAAGAAATTGAGATCTATAAATTGCCTGACAAGCAATTTAAAATAATGATCTTAAAGTAGCTCGATGAGATGCAAGAGAACACATGTAATTAAACAATACCAGGAAAACAATGCATGAAAAAATAAAAATTTTAATAAAGAAATAGAAACCATAAATAAGAACCAAACAGAAATCCTAGTGCTGAAGTATACAATAAGATAACTAAAAAAATACAATAAAGAACTTCAAGAGCAAACTCAATTATGCAGAAAAAAGAACAGTGAAATCAAAGTCAGATCATTAAAAATTAGTTGATTAGAGAAACAAAACAAAAAAAGAATAAAAATTAGTAAAGAAATCATAAGGGACAAATTGGGACATCATCAAACAAACAAATATACTAATTATGGGAATTTCAATAGAAAGAGACAGAAAACGGAGCAGAAAACTTATTTAAAGAAATAATGGCTTAGAACTTCTGAAATCTCAGGAGCGATAAGAACATTCTGATTAACGAAACTCAAAAGATCTCAAGTAAGATCAACCCACAGAAAAATACACCAAAACACATAATTAGATTGTCAAAAGTCAAAGACAAAGTGAGACTCTTGAAGGTAGTAAGAGAAAAGACACTCATCATATACAAGAAACTCACCATAAGGATGTCAGGAGACTTCTCAGCAAAAACCTTGTGGGCCAGGAAGGAATGAGATGATATATTCAAAGTTCTGAAAGAGAATAAAAATCCAACCAGAATACTACCAGCAAAAGTGTTCATCAGAAATGAAAGAGAGATAAAGACATTCCCAAACAAACAAAAGCTAAGAGAGTTCATCACCACTAGATATGCCTTACAAGAAATGCTGAAGAGATGTCTTCACATAACATGGAAAGATGCTAAGAAACTGTATTAGTCAGGGTTCTCTTAGAGGACAGAACTAATAGCAGACATTTATATATATGAGACATTTACATATATATAAATACATATATAAAGGGGAGTTTATTAAGTACTAATTTACATGATCACAAAGTCCCACAATAGGCCATCTGCAAGCTGAGGAGCAAAGAGAGCCAGTCCGAGTCCCAAAACTGAAGAACTTGGAGTCTGGTGTTCAAGGGTAGGAAGCATCAGCACAGGAGAAAGATGTAGACTGGGAGCCTAGGCCCACCTCTCCTTTTCATGTTTTTCTGCCTGCTTTATATTTCCCGGCAGCTGATTAGATTGTGTCCACTAGATTAAGGGTGAGTCTGCCTTCCCCAGCCCACTGACTCAAATGTTAATCTCTTTTGGCAACACCCTCACAGACACACCCAGGATCAATATTTTGTATCCTTCAATCCAATCAAGTTGACACTCAGTATTAACCATCATAGTAACAACATAAAAACGATAAACACATGAAAAGATAAAACTCACTGGTAAAAGTAAACATATAGTCAAGTCCAGAATACTCTAATACTCTAATGCTAGTGTGTATATCACTTGTTAACTCTAGATTAAAAGTTAGGGGACAAAAGTATTAAAAATAACTATAGCTACTATCATTTGTTAATGGATATTCAGTATAAAAATATTTAAGCCTGGCATGGTAGCTCACGCCTATAATCCCAGCATTTTGGGAGGCCAAGGCGGGTGGATCACCTGAGGTCAGGAGATCAAGACCAGCCTGGCTAACATGGTAAAACCCCATTTCTACTGAAAATACAAAAAATTAGCTGGGCATGGTGGTGTGTGCCTGTAATCCCACCTACTTGGGACGCTGAGGCAGGAGAATCGCTTGAACCCAGGAGGCAGAGGTTGCAGTGAGCCAAGATCGCACCATTGCACTCCAGCTTGGGCAACAAGAGCAAAATTCCGTCTCAAAAATATATATATATATATATATATATATATATATATATATATATATATATATATATATTTAAAGTGTGATATCAATCATATAAAATGTGAAGAAGGCAGAAGTAAGAGTATTGAGTCTTTTAATGCAATTGTAGTTACATTCTCATCAGCTTAAAACACAATGCTATAACTATAATATGTTTTATGTAAACTTCATGGTAACCGTAAGAAAAAGCCATGCCGGGTGCAGTGGCTCATGCCTGTAATCCCAGTACTTTGGGAGGCCAAGACAAGCATATTGTTTGAGCCCAGAAGTTCAAGACCTGCCTGGGAAACATGGTGAAACCCCATCTCTACTAAAATTACAAAAATTATCCAGGTGTGGTGGTGCGCCCCTGTAGTTCCAGCTACTTGGGAGACTGGTGCTGGAGACTTGCTTGAACCTGGGAGGCAGAGGTTGCAGTGAGCCACGATCACACCACTGCACTCCAGCCTGGTTGACATAGCAAGACCCTGTCTCGAAAGAAGGAAGGAAGGAAGGAAGGAAGGAAGGAAGGAAGGAAGGAAGGAAGGAAGGAAGGAAGGGAGAAAGAAAGAGCCACTAGTAGACACACCAAAGATAAACAGAAAGGAATCCAAGCATACCACTATAAAAAATCAACAACTCACAAGGAAAGATACCAACAGATATGAAAAGGAATAAAAAATCTAAAAAATAGTCAGAAAACAATTAACAAAATGGAAATAGTAAGACCTTACTTATCAATAATTACTTTAAATGTAAATGTATTAAATTCCCCAATCAAAAAACACACAGTGGTTGAATAAACTTAAAAATAAAATTCAACTATATACTGCCTACAAAAGGGTCACTTTAGCCTTAAAGATACAAACAGGCTAAAAATAAAGGGATGGAAAAGGATATTCCATGGAAATGGAAACCAAAAGAAAGCAGGTATGGCTATACTTATATCAAACAAAATAGACTTTCAGTCAAAATCTGTCATGACAAAGAGGTCAATATATAATGATATAGGGGCCAATTCATCAAGGGAATATGCCAATTATGAATAGTTCCACCCAACATTAGAGCAAATAAATACAAAAAGCAAATATTAACAGAACTGAAGAGAGAAACAGAAGCAACATAATAATAGTAGAAGACTTCAGTACTCCACTTTCAAAAATGAATAAATCAACCACACAGAAAACCTTTAAGGAAATAGCAGACTTGAATAGCACTGCAGACCAAATGCAGAACATTCCACCCAGCAACAGCAGAGTACACACTTTTCTTAACTGCACGCAGAATGCTCTCCAGGGTAGATCATATGTTGGGCCACAAAACAAGTCTTAACAAACTTAAGAAAGTGTAATCATATCAAGTATCTTTTCCAACCACAATGATATGAAACTAGAAATTAATAACAGGAATAATTTTGAAAATGTGTAAATTATGTGTAATTAACTGATATGGTATGGCTGTGTCCCCACCCAAATCTCATCTTGAATTGTAGTTTCCATAATCCCCACATGTCGTAGGAGGGACCCAGTGGGAGGTAATTGAATCATTGGGCCGGTTACCCTCATGCTGTTCTCATGATAGTGAGTGAGTTCTCACGAGATCTGATGGTATTATAAGGGGGTTTTCCCCCGTTTGCTCGGCACTTCTCGTTCCTGCCATCATGTGAAGAAGGATGAGTTTGCTTCCCCTTCCACCATGATTATAAGATTCCTGAGGCCTCCTCACCCATGTGGAATTATGAGTCAATCAAACCTCTTTTCTTTATAAATTACCCTAGTCTCGAGCAGTTCTTTATAGCAACATGAGAAATGACTAATACATTAACACACTACTGAACAATCAGTGGGCCAAAGAAGAAATCAAAAAGTATTTTGAGACAAAAATGAAAACACAACATACTCAAACTTATGGGGTGCAGCAAAAGCAGTTCAAAGGGGGAAGTTTATGGTGATAAGTGTATACATTAAGAGAAAAAAGAATGATTTCAAATAAACAACTTTATTTTACATCTTAAAGAACCAGAAAAAAAAAGCCCAAAGTTGGCAAAGGGGAGGAAATAATAAAGATTAGAACAGAAGTAAATGAAATAGAGACTAGAATGACAATACAAAAGATCAGCCAAACAAAGGGCCACGGTTTTTTAAAAAAAGAAAAACAAAATTGCCAAATTTTTATCTACACTAACCAAGAAGAAAAGAGAAAGGCTTGAATAAATGAAATTATAAAGGAAAGAGGAGACATTACAACTAATACCGCAGAAATACAAAAGATTATAAGAGACTACTATGAACAATTCTATGCCAACAAATTGGACCACCTGGAAAAAAATGGGCAAATTTCTAGATACATACAACCTACCGAGACTGAATCATGAAAAAAATAGAAAATCTGAGTAGACCAATGAGTAAGCAGATTGAATTAGTAATCAAAAACCTCCCAATAAAGAAAAGTACAGGACCAGATGGATTCACAGATGAATTCCACCAAGCATTTAAAGAACCAAGACTAATCCTTCTCAAACTCTTCCAAAAAATTACAAAGAGAGGAACACTTCCAAATTTATGAGGTTAGCATCACATGCACACTAAAGCCAGATAAGGGCACTATATGAAAATAAAACTACAGGGAAATATTGCTGAGGAACACAGATGCAAAAATCCTCAAAAGAATTATTAGCAAATAGGACTCAACAGCATTGCGTAAAAAGATTATACACCATGACCAAGTTGGAGTTATTCCTGGGATGCAAGGATGGTTCCACATACACAATCAATAAATACAATATACTACGTTAACAAAATGAAGGATGAAAACCATGCTATCATCTCAGTAGTTGCAGAAAAATCATTTGACAGAATTCAACGTCTATTTATGATTTTAAAACTTTCAATAAATTAGGCATAGAAGAAATGTACCTTAACATAATATAAATTATATATGATAAGCCCACAACTAACATCATATGAAAAGGTGAAAAGCTAAAAATTTTCCTCTAAGATCAGAAACAAGACAAGGTGCCCACTCTCACCACTTTTATTCAACACAGTACTGAAACTCCTAACCAGAGTAATTAGGCAAGGAAATAAAAGATAAAAGGCATCCAAATGAGAAAGGAAGAAGTTAAATTATCTCTGTTTGCAGTGACATAACCTTATATATAGAAAACACTAAAGTCTCCACCAAAATACTGTTAGATATAAATAAATAAATAAATAAATAAATAAATAAATAAATAAATAAATGGATTCAGTAAAGTTATTAAACACAAAATCAACATACAAAAATCAGTCACATTTCTATACACTAACAGGAATCTAAAAAGAAATTAAGAAAACAATCCCATTTCCATAGCATTAAAAACGTTAAGATACTTAGGAATAAATTTAACTAAGAAGGTAAAATATCTGTGCTCTGACAACCCTGAGACATTGATGAAGAAAATTAAAGAAGACAAAAATAAATGACAAGACATCCCATGTTCAAGGGTTAAAAGAATTAATATTGTTAAAATGTCCATACTACCCAAAGCAGTTCACAGATTCAATGCAGTCCCTACCTAGTCCCTACCAAAATGCCAATAGCATTGTGCACAGAAATAGAAAAAGCAATTCTAAAAGTGCGTATAGATCAACAGAAGGCTCCAAATAGCCAAAGCAATCTTGAGCAAAAAGAACAAAGCCAGAGGCATCTCAGTCCCTGGTTTCAAACTATATTACAAAGCTATGGTAATCAGAACAGTATGGTACTGGCATTAAAAACAGACAAGTAGACCAATGGGACAGAATAGAGAGCCCAGAAATAAATCCACCGATATATAGTCAACTAATCTTTAACAGGGGCACCAAAAAATACACAATAGGAAAAAAATAGTCTCTTTTTCCCTCTTTTCCCTAATAAATGGTGCTGGGAAAACTGGATATCCACATGCTAAAAATTAAAACTTGGCCAGGCACGGTGGCTCACGCCTGTAATCCCAGCATAATTTGGGAGGCCGAGGCAGGCGAATCATGAGGTCAGAAGATCAAGACCATCCTGGCTAACACAGTGAAACCTCGTCTCTACTAAAAACAGAAAAAATTAGCTGGGCATGGTGGCAGGTGCCTGTAGTCCCAGCTACTCAGGAGGCTGAGGCAGGAGAATGGCACGAACCCAGGAGGTGGAGCTTGCAGTGAGCCAAGATTGTGCCACCACACTCCAGCCTGGGCGACAGAGCGAGACTCCGTCTCAAAAAAATAAACACACACAAAAAAATAAAACTTGACAAAATCAACTTGAGATGGATTAAAGACTTAAATATAAGACCTAAAACCATAAAACTCCTAGAAGAGACGTTAGAAGAAAAGCTCCTTGACACTGGCCTTGGCAAACATTTTTAAATATGACACCCAAAGCACAAGGGAACAAAAGCAAACAGAAAAAAAAAATGGGACTAAATGAAACCAAAGGGCTTCTGCACAGCAAAGGAAACAATCAACAAAATGAAAGGGCAACCCACAGAATGCAAGACAATATTGGCAGACCATGTATCTGACAAAATGTTAATACCCAAAATATACAAGGAGCTTATATAACTCAAAAGCCAAAACAAAAAAAAAATTAAATGAGTAAAAGATCTGAAGAGACAATTTTCCAAAGAAGACATACAAATGACAAACAGGGATATGAAAAGGGGCTCAACATTAGAGAAATGCAAATTAAAACCACAAGATATCACCTCACACCTGCTTGGATGGTTATTATCAAAAAGATAAGATATAAGAAGAGTTATCAAGGCTGTGGAGAAAATAAAACCCTTGTACACTGTTGGTGAGGATGCAAATTAGTACATCTCTTATGGAAAAGAGTATGGAGTTTGCTCAAAAAAATTAAAAACAGAACTATTATATAATACGGCAATCCTAATACTGGGTATATACCCAAAGGAAGCAAAATCCATATCTCAGAAAGATATTGGCACCCCCAAGTTTATTGCAGCATTATGACAATAGCCAAGATACAGAACCTAAGTGTCCATCGAAAGATAAATGGATAGGGAAAATATAGTATGAATATATACAGTGGGATATTATTCAGCCATAAAATAGAAGAAAATCCTGCCATTTGGGTTGAATGTGGATGAACAAGAACATGATGCTAAGTAAAATAAACCAGACACAGAGAGACAAATACTGTATGATCTCATTTATATGTAGAATCTAAAAAACTTGAACTCATAAAAGCAAAGAGTAGAATGGTGGTTGCCAGAGGCTCAAGCATGAGGAAAATGGGGAAATATTGGTCAGAGTACAAACTTTCAGTTACAAGATGAATAAGTTCTGAGGACCTAATGTAAAGCACAGTAACTATAGTTAATAATACTGTGTTGTTTATTTGAAATTTGCTAAAAGAGTATGTCTTACATGTTCTTACCACACACACACACACACACACTCACATTTTTTGTCAATTATACCTGAATAAAGCTCTTAAAAACATAAACAGAATAACAGGTAGCATTTAGTAGGCAACTACTAATAGTACATATATGTAATGTGCTAAATGGTAAGAGAAATAGTTGTAAAAACAATGAAAACTAGTGCTGGATATCCTAAATACCTTGACTTGATCATTACATATTCTATGCATGTAACAAAATATCACTTGTATCCTGCAAATATGTACAAATATTATGTATCAATTTAAAAAATATTTAAAACCGAAAACCGAGAATGCAAAAATATAGTGTGACAAGTATGATTAAAAATTAAATATAATACATGTGCACAGAAAAAAGCACTGAAAGATAATATGCCCAAAACATTAGCAGTAGCTATTGATGTTACTAAGTATTATATGTTGTTCCTAAGTATTTATGCATATATATACATAAACAAATCCTAGCAAACAACAAATCCTAAGTATTTATGCATAAATACATACATGCATACATATATGACTACAGGCCACTTGTAATCAGAAAGCAATATATATTCAACTAAAAATTTGGGCTACAAATTTAAAAGTTTAAAACTTTTTAAAGTATAGATCTTCTGAAAATGCCTTAGCTACAGAAATAATACAGAAACTAATACTGTTTTATTTTTAGCTTATACCTTGGGGTTTTCAGAGAAAATATTTATTTGGCTTATAGAGACCCAAGCTTATCCCTGTGGTAAGCAGAATTGTAAGAATGGCCTCCAATGACCCTCATTCTTGCTTAATCTCCTTCCGTTTTAGTGTGGGTAGAACCCATGCATACAATTAAATATCACTCCTGTGATTATATTACCTTACATGGCAAAAGGGGGATTAATCTGGTGGGCCCAATCTAATCAAATTAGCCCTTTAAAAGTAAAGAGTTTTCTCCAGATGATGGCAGAAAGGAAGTTTGAAAGTCTGAGAGTGAGAAGGACTTGATGCACCGTTATGGCTTTGAAGACAGAGAGGACCACGTGAGAAGGAATGCAGGTAGTCCCTAGGAACAGCAAGCAGCCATGGCTGACAGCCAGCAAAGAAATGAGGACCTCAGACCTGCAGCCACAAGGAACAAGTTCCTGCCAGCAACCTCAGTGAGCTTAGAAGCAAATTCTTCCCCAGAGCTCAGCCCATGGACACACTGATCTCAGTCATGAGAGACCCTGAGCAGAAGAGCCCGTCCCCAGTTCTGACCCACAGAACAGTGAGATAACGAATTAGTGTTGTTTTCAGCTTCTAAGTTTATAGCAATTTGTTACACAGCAACATCCCTTCATACTGTTCTGTCACTAAGACTGAATCCAGGCAGGGTCATTTGGAGGTACATTTCCTTCAATAAATTTAGTCCCAAAAGAATAAAATTTCTGGCAGCATATTTGGAGACTTGAGGTCATTAACATTTTATATGATTTTAGTTCAATGTAGTCCATGATTCCAAAAGGCAATAGAATATTTTATGTTTAGAGTTTTTGCTTTGTTTTGCATTGAATATTGAGGCCAAACAATTTCCCAGAGATAATATTGCCCTCCCAATGTGCCAATCGTGGTGAAAATAATTTCATAACCTGAAATTTGTTTTACAGCCAATTTGGGGGGAAGTGAACAAATGCAATTAATAAGGCACAAGTGAATATGGCTATCTTTTTAATGATAAAAATTGAACATTCTTGAATTTCAGTAGTGAAATGGATTAATAGGAAAGAAAAATATTTCTGAAGACTCATTTTTTCCCTAGCGGCATTTACTGTGGTCGCCATTTTCTCCCAGTCATCCCTTGGAGCCGTCCATATTAGGACATCAGCTACCTAACCTGACAACCCTAAGGCTATGAACTAAATTAAAACTGAAATTTAATTGAAAAACTTTAGTGATTTTAGACTTCCTCTGGCTCCAGGTCTTCTCACTGTTCTTTTTGGCCTTTTCAGATCAAAGTCTCTCCGGAGAAGCGCTGTGCTTTACACTGACGGCATTATTATTATTACACCTACGATTCTATTTCCTGACTTCTATTGAGTTTTTTTTTCTAAATTCATTATGCAAAATAAAATCTGAATTTCCCTCCAACTCACCAAGCTTGTCACATGATCTGGACTAAATGATGTCTAATATTTCTTCCAACTATAATATTTGATGACTTAGACCTTTAACGTAAAGCTAGGATATAAACACATCTTTTCAAGAAAGTCAAGGGAATAAGTAATGTTGCCTGTTATAATTTGAAAAAAGTTCCTTTGAAGATCTCAGAAAACATTAAGGCAATACTGGCTGGTCTTTGATTGACCACAAGCACCCACAGGCTTCACATCATTTTTGGCATCTCTTTCCCCAGTGAGATGCTGCAGGCACAAAACATGGAACCAAGGAACTATGCTGAGCTAAGGCAGTTCCCCTTTTCTTTTAGATACATTTCTTTCAAATATTCTATTATCATTAAAAGACAGGACACAGGAACAGATCTGTATCTGTCTCCAAACCTAACTAAGGGTTGTAACAAATTTTCCACAGGCATTTTAATTGATCTTTCCATGAAATGTAAAGGCAAGGTATCTATTAGTTCCTTTCCTTTCATTTAGCAGTAAAATATTAGATAGGCAAGAGAAAAGGATGCGAAGCAATAAAAGATAGCAAGGAAACAGTCAGATTTTAATACATGGAATTAGGATGACTTGTAGTTTTATATTGCCAGGCTTTAAGAGAATTACCATATAATGATGGATATTTGGGGAAATCACCAGGATATGAAATTAATTTCTCAGCCTGGAACTTTAATTTGGCACATGAAGAATTAATACATAATTAAAACCAAATATCCTTTATTAGCCATAATTCTCCCCAGCAAAAATTATTTTGTTCGCCCACCCAGCAACCCTCATCTCCACTCTGAGGTGCTGATTCATGACATGGTGTCATCACTTGCCTTTATTTTTAAACTGAAAGAACTAATGTAATTAAACCCAATTTCATCTGTTGCTCGTAACTACAGAATCAAGTCAATAATTAAAAATAAGATTGGGAGATCCCTGCCCTACTAGACTTAGTTAAAAATATTTTCACAAGGAAGTATTTTATACCAGGATAAAGAAGAAAAGATTTAAGGATACAATCACCAACTTGTAAAAATGCATTTCAGTCTTTCAAGGGTAACTTTTCCTGCACAGAATACACACTTTTATGCCTCCATGTTTCAGATGCAACTGTTCCCTCATGCCCAGAACTCCTCATCCCCACACTTTTTTGTTAACTACATATCTCATTTTTTAAAGGCCAGTCCAGATGCTTCCTCCTTCCTAGGAATTCCTATATCACCACATAGCAGGTCATTCTTTCTAGTTCCCACTCTTACCCTTCTGTCACTGGTCATGCACTAAGCCTAGGCATTGGAGAAAAGTAATTTGGGTGTGATGCATTCATGAAGAGCTGATGGGCAGGTACTTTATATTATAAGCCAGAGAAGAAAGGCAGGTAAATGCTGCCTTAACATCATAAAGCCAGGTCATTCCTGAGAAATATTAGGAAGAAATGTTTCAAATATTTTAATTAATATGAAAATATTAATAATCAATATTGAAATATGAATTTCTTGTTTAAATGTGGAAGAAAATATCAAATATCTGATGAAGAGGTATCAATAATCAGGCTCTGGGAGGAAGCAGCTGCCAAACCAAGTAAAAATCCCTTATGATTTCCCTCCTGCCCTCAACGCTGACCCATTTACAGGATCCTCCTCACCTCTTTGCTCAGCAATGCCAATAGAGCAGAGGGGAAGAAGAAGCCTGGCATCCATCAGACAATGGAAGCAGAGAAATCAACAAAATTAATGAAGAGAATATGTGGATTGAGATTCATATACATGAGAGGATGGAAGAGAAATTCATGAAACATCCCAAGATAGAATCAGGACAACAAAAGGGCACCGAGAACACCTACAGGGAATAAGTTAAAGAGAAAATAAAAAGGGGAAGAAAGGAGTAAGGAACAGAGGAGTGTCTGTGCGGGACAGCCCTCCAAGGGAGGAAGCATCCAAGACAAGGAAGGTTAAATACCCTCACCATGGTCATCTCACTGGTCTCCTCCCTTAGGGTCACTGAGCAGCAAGGAGTATAAGTCACGGAAAAGGACTCTGCAAGACAACCAGGAAAACTAACTCCCCTACCCCTCCAAGCCCCACCCCCCGCCCAAAAAAGCGCTGCTCTTGGTTTGCACTTCTGTTTGACATTGATGACATTTTACTGTGCTTAGGTATTTACTTGTCTCTCTCTCCAAACTTATAGAAGAAATCGTGTTTCTCTTTTCCTCTGGTGTCAGACCCAGCCCTCTGCCCATTGTAGTTATTTGTAGTGAACACTGTGAATTGCCCACCAGTGTCCACTGCTTGCTTTTTTCGTTCTAGTGGAACCCTCACTTTGTTCAGGTAACACTCTTTCCAACTCCAATGGGACCATCCATGGGGTATAGGCCAGGCTTTAGGACTGAGTTTATTTTTTGTCTTTTTAATGACATAAATTCATCAATGGTGCTAGCTTGGATACTCATGCCCTAAATTACAGGTCTGGAGGTATTCAGCACCTCCTCTCCCTGAAATAAAGTTTAATTATTCCAGCTATAGTGATTGTTCCCCAGACAAAAATGCTTACTCATGACAGAGCTCAACAGTTACTGAGTCATGCACACACCCACCTCCAAGCCTGCCATGTTTCCTCATGTATTTGTCTCTTTGCCTCTTCTTCCCTTTCTGTGCCCTGGTCTCTTTATCTTGAGGGTTTTCTCTCGTCCACCTCTCTCTATCTTCTGCTGCTGTCTCCATTTTGCTATTCCTTCTCCTCCACTCAATTTTCTTTTTTGTTTCCTATTTCACCAGAATATTAAATGTAATTATTTATATATTTATTTGTGTTAATAAAGCTTTAGCTAATATCTGGTTTTTTTAAAGCAAGCGAGTTGAGCATTTTAATCTCTTTTTTGAAAACTCAATAAAATTGCTTTCTTTTATTTAAAAACTTCTCAATTGATTTTTACCTGAAGAGTCAGAAATACTCTATAGAAAAATAATTTCTTCAAAAGAAATATATCCCTTGAATTAATATCCAGAATACATAAGGAACTCAAAAAACTCAATAGCAGAAAAATAATAATAATAATCCAACTTTTAAAATGAGCAAAAGACCTTAATAAATATTTCTCAAAAAAAAAAAAAAAAAAGACATACAGATGGCCAACCTGGTATATGAAAAAATGCTCAACATCACTAATCATTAGGGAAATGCAAATCAAAACCACAATGAGATATGATCTTTCTCTAGTTAGAATGGCTATTATCAAAAAGACAAAAGATAACAAGTGTTGGCAAGCATGTGGAGAAAAGGGAACCCTTACACATTGTCGGTGAGAATAAAATTAGTACAACCAATATGGAAAACAGTATAGAGGTTTCTCAAAAAGTTAAAAATTGAAATATCATATGATCCACCAATCTCACTACTGGGTATATATCTAAAGGAAATGATATCAGTATGTTGAAGAGACATCTGCACTCCCATGTTTATTGTACCACTATTCACAATAGCCAATAAATAAAATCAGCATAACTGTTCATCAACAGATGAATAAAGAAAACAGCATATGTATATACACAATGGAATACTAATCAGCCATAAAAAAAGAATAAAATCCTCTCATTCACAACAATATGGATGAACCTGGAAAACAGTATGTTAAGTGAAATAAGCTAGGCACAGACAAATACTGCAGGATTTCAGTCATATGTAGAATCTAACAAAAAAATGATCTTACAGAAACAGAACAGTGGATACCACAGATTGGGAAAGGTAGAAAGAAGGGGGAAATGGGGAGAGATTGACTGGTCAATGGATACAAAGCTACAGCTAGATAGAATAAGTTCTGGTGTCCCATTGCACCATGACTATAGTTAACAATAATGTTTTGAATGTTTCTATATAGCTGGAAGAGAGGATTTTGAATGTTCTCACCACAAAGAAATAATAAATGTTTGAGGTGATAGATATGCTGATTACCCTCATTTGATAATTACATGACATATACATGTACATGAAATCCATCAACCTTGGCAGAAATGCCAGCAATTTTTCTGTTATTTTATATAGGTATATGGTGTGCAAGAAAAGTTATCTAATGTATCTGCGCTTATTATTAAAAATTCATTTTAAAAGATAAATACAGTGGTATAAACTGTACAATTATCCTTTAAGCAACCTCTTTCCACTGGGATAATCAGGAAGCTCCTCATTTACAACTAGAAAGTAGGAGTCCTGGCCCCTGTCTGTGCACAGAAGATTTTAAAGAAGTCATGAGAGTTTTAGAATCTAGCCTAAGGGACACATTAAATTTCCATTGTTCTTAAAGTGGCCAAAATAATATGCATTTTTAAACAACTTCCTGACTCAAAGAGCAGTTTTAAAGTGTGAAATCTGTAGACTAACAGGCTCCTTTTCTGAGAGGACAAACCTCCTAGTTACAGATAGTAAGTATACCCTCTCCTTGATGAAAATAAGGCCATCTTTCAAAGTAACTAGATTGATTTTTTAATCAGTTCCGCCAATCAAAAATGACCCTTACTATTCATTTAGGGATATGATGAAAACCTAGTAAAACCTCACACGTGACTCACTTTAGCCAGAAGCCTAATTAAAAGTCAGATTCCTTCTTCCTTACTCAGCCTCCACTAAATCATAACAATCAGGCCTGTGATGGTCGTCCCTGACCATACAGTACAGGTCGTGCCAAATTAGGTTGAATAATAATGGTAACTATTTATTGAATGGCAAATGCTTTATATGAATTCTCTCTAATATCCACAATAATGGTGAAGGGTAGAAATTTGTATCTCTATTTTATAAATGAGAGTACAGAAACCTGAAAATGTATAAATTGTTCAAGTACAGAATGCCAGGAGGGGAGAAAGCTGGGAATTAAACCAAATGTCCTAACTCCAAAATCCCGGTACCTCTTAAAGCCTCAGTCTCCTAACTTATCTATAAACTATATTTAGTTAAATAGGGTTATTGTTAAAATTTAAGGGAATAAACTACCTAGAATGTTTAGCACAGGGTTGGCACATAGCAAGTATCAATAAATGTTAGCTATAATTACCGCAGAGTCAAAATTAGCTTCACTCTGGTACTTACTCATGTATTTTGGCTTTCTGGGAAAACACAGGATAATTCTCATATGGCAACGAAGCCCTTCGGAGCCATTCCATTTTTATTACTGTTCTTCATATGACATTATTTCTAGCTCCCACGCATTCCTATTTGGTGAGGGATAGACTAGAGGGATCACTATACCTTTGGGTTCAATTAGCTGTGGTCAACTCAAATCTTGTTCACATAAATAAACGTCAAGCCAGCTCAGTTCATAATATATATTTACAACTGATTTGGGGA
Source organism: Homo sapiens (assembly GCF_000001405.40). Taxonomy (NCBI): domain Eukaryota; kingdom Metazoa; phylum Chordata; class Mammalia; order Primates; family Hominidae; genus Homo; species Homo sapiens. The sequence goes on along the minus strand of NC_000018.10, from coordinate 1,047,444 downwards.
TTCAAATGCAAACACTTAAAAGCATGTTTGTTAAATATCACCTTGCTATCCTGAACAGAGTAGATCACTAGGACTCTCAAATGATCCACGTGACTGACTGCAGAAAAGTTTTTGTACGTGCTAAATGCTCTCAAAGCAGGTATTCAATAGATATCAACTGTCCCCTCCATAGAGGGCTGCTTTTATCTAACCCCACAATATTGCACATAACACCACCACAGACAGCAACTCATACACATGCAAGAACACAGACCTCTTCAACTATTATTAGATTCTGTATAATCCACCCCCATGGAGTCTATATATGATCACTCCAATTCACACAGAAAAAAGTTCTAAATCCCATTACTGGGTATATACCCAAAGGATTATAAATCATTCTACTATAAAGACACATGCACATGTATGTTTATTGCAGCACTATTTACAATAGCAAAGACTTGGAACCAACCCAAATGCCCATCAAGATAGACTGTATAAAGAAAATGTGGCATGTATACACCACGGAATACCATGCAGCCATATAAAAGAATGAGTTCATGTCCTTTGCAGAGACATGGACGAAGCTGGAAGCCATCATTCTCAGCAAGCTAACACAGGAACAGAAAACCAAACACCGCATGTTCTCACTCATAAGTGGGAGTTGAACAATGAAAACACATAGACACAGGGAGGGAAACACACACTGGGGCCTGTCGGGGGGTTGGGGGGCAAGGGGAGGGAGAGCATTAGGACAAATACCTAATACATGCAGGGCTTAAAACCTAGATGATGGGTTGATAGGTGAGCAAACCACCATGGCACATGTATACCCATGTAACAAACCTGCACATTCTGCATATGTATTCCAGTATTTAAAGTAAAAAATAAAAAAAAATCCAAATCGTTTCTGCTTGTTTACATCAGAAAAGCAAGCCATTTATAGAAAGAATTCCTCCGAGCACAGAATACTCATGGAGAGGTTCCTCTCGGGTGGTAATTTGTGATGAACACTTCTGAGTTTGTGCTTCAACCTTAATTGTGCCCAGAATAGCCAAGAAACATGCATCAAGTGTCACTTCATCTTCCTGCATCCAAACCTTAAAAGTATCAGCAAAAGTTAGGTGCCAAAAGTTTGAACTGCATCAGTAGTTCTCAAATCAGCTACACTTTAGAATCACCTGGGGAACTTTTTAACAACACCAGCATCCAGGCCCCACCCTAGGTGGATTAGATCAGAAATCTCAGCTGGGGTTTTTTAAAAGCTCCCCAAAGCATTCTAATTTGAGTTGAGGCCAAATAGTCGCTAAAATCTCTTTCAATTCTTCCTTCATTCTAGAAATTCATTATATATTCTCCTCCTCTGAAGATGTTTTTCACAGCCTTGCCTACCCACCTTAAAAGTAAAAACCAAAAAACAATTATTCCACTCTCAATCACTTTCTATACGCACATTTGTTATGCTTTTACTAAACAATAGCAGTGTTTCCTCTAAACAAAAGGCACTTAGCCACAGCAAACTTAAGAGTTAAATGAGAGAAGCAGCTCCCTGTTTCTTTCTTTCTCAAATCGGAAAATACAGCTCAGACCTCATTCCTCTTTCCCTGCATTGCTGCATCCCATCCTTCTCCTGCGTGAATTCTGAAACCCTCCCACTTCCTCCCGGTGGGATCCACAGGGCTCCCATTATTCTTTCAGCCCCAAAAGGAAAACAAGCTACAAATCAAAACTGCTTGCTCCCTCAGCTCCTACCCCTGTAGACAAAATACTGAAAGCCAAACTATGAAATGTTAGAACAGGGAATCCTAAATTCAAGCATTACATTCCAATGTTTTTTATTTCCATAGGTTATTGGGGAACAGGTAGTGTTTAGTCACATGGGTAAATTCTTTAGTGGTGATTTGTGAAATTTTGGTGCACCCATCACCCAGGCAGTACACACTGCGCCCTGTTTGTAGTCTTTTATCCCTCACCCCCTTCCCACCCTTTCCCCGAGTCCCCAAAGTCCATTGTGTCATTCTTAGGCCCGCATCCTCATAACTTAGCTGCCACTTATGAATGGGAACATATGATGTTTGGTTTTCCACTCCTGAGTTACTTCACTTAGAATAATAGTTTCCAATCACATCCAGGTCACTGCAAATGCCATTAACTCATTCCTTTATAATGCTGAGTAGTATTCCATCATATATGTATACATATACACACACATATATATATGATGGAATCTATATATAAATATATGTGTGTGTATATATATACATATATGATGGAAACTTTTGTTCCCATATATGATGGAATCTACATATATGTATGTGTATATATATATATACACATACACACTACAGTTCCTTTATCCACTCGTTCATTGATGGGCATCTGGGTTGGTTCCATGATTTTGCAATTGTGAATTGTGCTGCTATAAACATGCATGTGCAAGTATCTTTTTCATATAATGACTTCTTTTCCACTGGACACATACCCAGTAGTGGGATTGCTGGATCAAACGGTAGTTCTACTTTTAGTTCTTTAAGGAATCTCCAAACTGTTTTCCATAGTGGTTGGACTAGTTTACATTCCCACCGCAGCGTAGAAGTGTTCCCTGTTCAGCGCATCCATTCCAAAATCTATTTTTTTATTTTTTATTATGGCCATTCTTGCAAGAGTAAGGTGGTATTGCTTTGTGGTATTGATTTGCATTTCCCTGATCATTAGTGATGTTGAGCATTTTTTCATATGTTTGTTGGCCATTTGTATATCTTCTTTCGAGAATTGTCTATTCATGCCCTTAGCCCACTTTTTGATGGGATCGTTTCTTTTTTTCTTGTTGATTTGTTTGAGTTCATTGTAGATTCTGGATATTAGTCCTTTGTCGGATGTAGAGATTGCAAAGATTTTTCCCACTCTGTGGGTTGTCTGTTTACTGTGCTGACTGTTCTTTTTGCCATGCAAAAGCTTTTTAATTTAATTAGGTCCCAGCTATGTATCTTTGCTTTTATTGAATTTGCTTTTGGATTCTTGGTCAATGTCTAGAAGGGTTTTTCCAATATTATCTTCTAGAATTTTTATAGTTTCAGGTATTAGATTTAAGTCCTTAATCCACCTTGAGTTAATTTTTGTAAAAGGTGAGAGATGAGGATCCAATTTCATTCTCCTACATGTGGCTAGCCAATTATTCCAGCACCATTTGTTGAAAAGTGTGTCTTTCCCCACTTTATGTTTTTGTTGCTTTGTCAAAGACCAGTTGGCTTAAGTATTAGGGTTTATTTCTGGGTTCTCTGCTCTGTTCCATTTGTCTATGTTCCTATTTTTATACTAGTACCATGCTGTTTTGGTGACTATGGCCTTATAGTTTGAAATCAGGTAATGTGATGCCTCTAGATTTGTTCTTTTTGTTCAGTCTTGCTTTGGCTATGAGAGCTCTTTTGGGGTTCCATATGAATTTTAGGATTTTTTTTCCAATCCTGTGAAGAGTGATGGTGGTATTTTGATAGAGATTACATTGAATTTATAGATTGCTTTTGGCAATGTGGTCATTTTCACAATATCGATTCTACCCATCTATGAGCATGGGATGTGTTTCCATTTGTTTGTGTCATCTATGGTTTTTTTCAGCAGTGTTTTGTAGTTTTCCTTCTAGAGGCCTTCCACCTTGGTTAGGTATATTCCTAAGTTTGTTTTGTTTTGTTTTGTTTTTTGCAGCTATTGTAAAAAAGGTTGATTTCTTTATTTGATTCTCAGCATAATCGCTGTTGGCATATAGCAGAGCTACTGATTTGTGTACATTAATTTTGTATTCGGAAACTTTGCTGAATTCTTTTATCCGTTTTAGGAGCTTTTTAGAAGAGTCTTTAGGGTTTTCTAGGTAAATGATCATATTATCACGAAACTGTGACAGTTTGACTTCCTCTTTACTGATTTGGATGCCCTTTATTTCTTTCTCTTGTCTGATTGCTCTGGCTAGGACTTCCAGTACTATGTTGAAGAGGAGTGGTGAGAGTGGCCATCCTTGTCTCATTCCAGTTCTCAGAGGGAAAGCTTTCAACTTTTCCCCATTCAGTGTTGTGTTGCCTATGAGTTTGTCATACATGGCTTTTATTATATTGAGGTATTACCCTTGTATGCCAATTTTGCTGAAAGCTTTAATCATAAAGTGATGCTGGATTTTGTCAAATGCTTTTTCTGCATCAAGATGATCATGTGATTTTTATTTTTAATCCTGTTTAAGTGGTGTCTCACATTTATTGACTTGTGTATGTTAAACCATCCCTGCATCTCTGGTATGAAACCCATTTGATCATGGTGGATTATCTTTTTGATACGTTGTTGGATTTGGTTAGCTAGTATTTTGTTAAGGATGTTAGCATCTATGTTCATCAGAGATATTGGTCTGTCGTTTTCTTTTGTGCTTATGTCCTTTCCTGGTTTTGGTATTAGGGTGATACTGGCTTCATGGAATGATTTAAAGAGGGTTCCTTCTTTCTCTATCTTGTGGAATAGTGTCAAAAGGATTGGTACCAATTCCTCTTTGAATGTCTGGTAGAATTCTCCTGTGAATCTTCTGATCCTGGACTTTTTTTTGTTGGTACGTTTTTAATTACAGTTTCAAGTTGGTCTGTTCGGGGTATGTAATTCTTCCTGATTTAAGCTAGAAGGGTTGTATTTTTCCAGGAATTTACCCATCTCTTCTAGGTTTTCCAGTTTATGTGCATAAAGGTGTTCATAGTAGCCTTGAATGATCTTTCATATTTCTGTGGTGTCTGTTGTAATATCTCCTGCTTCATTTCTTATTGAGCTTATTTGGATTTTCTCTTTTCTGGGTTAATCTTGCTAATGGTCTATCAATTTTATTTATCTTTTCAAAGAACAAGCTTTTTGTTTCATTTATCTTTTGTATTTTTTTTCAATTTCATTTAGTTCTGCTCTGATCTTGGTTATTTCCTTTCTTCTGCTGGGTTTGGGTTTGGTTTATTCTTGTTTCTGTAGTTCCTTGAGGTGTGACCTTAGATTGTCTATTTTTGCTCTTTCAGACCTTTTGATATAAGTGGTTAGGGCCATGAACTTTCCTCTTAACACCGCCTTTGCTGTGTCCCAGAGGTTTTGATAGCTTGTGTCACTGTGTCACTATTGTTGTTCAGTTCAAAAAATTGTTTAATTTCCACCTTGATTTTGTTTCTGACCCAGTGATCATTCAGAAGCAGGTTATTTAATTTCCATGTATTTGCATGGTTTTGAAGGTTCCTTTTGGGTTGATTCCCAGTTTTATTCCACTGTAGTCTGAGAGAGTGCTTGGTTTATTTTCAATTTTCTTAAATTTATTGAGGCTCATTTTGTGGCCTATCATATGGTCTATCTTGGAAAAAGTTTCATGTGCAGTTAAATAGAATGTATATTCTGTGGTTGTTGGATGGAATGTTCTGTATATCTCTGTTAAGTCCCTTTGTTCCAGGTTATAGTTTAAATCCATTGTTTCTTTGTTGACTTTCTGTCTTGATGACCTGTCTAGTGCTGTCAGTGGAGTATTGAAGTCCCCCACTATTATTGTGTTGCTGTCTATCTCATTTCTTAGTAATTGTTTTATAAATTTGAGAGCTCCAGTGTTAGGTGCATATATAATTAGGATTGTGATATTTCCTGTTGTACAAGGTCTTTTATCATTATATAATGTCCCTCTTTGTCTTTTTAAAGTTTGTTTTGTCTGATATAAGAATAGCTACTGCTGCTTGCTTTTGGCATCCATTTGCCTGAAATGTCTCTTTCTACCACTTTACCTTAAGTTTGCACGAGTCCTTATGTGTTAGGTGAGTCTCTTGAAGGCAGCAGATAGTTGGTTGGTGAATTCTCATCCATTCTGCAATTCTGTATCTTTTAAGTGGAGCATTTAGGCCATTTACATTCAATGTTAGTATTGAGATTTGAGGTACCATTCCATTGATCATGATATTTGTTGCCTGTATACCTTGGTTTTTTATTTTTTTTGTAGTTGTTTTTTAAATTTTATTTTTGTTTTATAGGTCATGTGAGATTTATGCTTTAAAGAGGACCTGTTTTGATGTGTTTCCAGGATGTTTTTCAAGATTTACAGCTCCTTTTAGTAGCTCTTGTAGTGGAGGCTTGGTAGTGGAAAATTCTCTCAGCCTGTGTTTGTCTGAAAAAGACTGTGTCTTTCCTTCATATATGAAGCTTAGTTTCACTAGATACAAAATTCTTAGCTGATAATTGTTTCATTTGAGGAAGCTGAAGATAGGGCCCCAATCCCTTCTAGCTTCTACGGTTTCTGCTGAGAAATCTGCTGTTAATTTGTTAGGTTTCCCTTTATAGGTTACCTGGTGCTTTTGTCTCACAGCTCTTAAGATTCTTTCCTTAAGACTTTTTCCTTTGTCTTAACTTTAGATAACCTGGTGACAATTTGCCTAGGCAATGATATTTTTGTGATGAATTTTCCAGGTGTTCTTTGTGCTTTTTGTATTTGGATGTCTAGGTCTCTAGCAAGGCTGGGGAACTTTTCCTTGATTATTCCCCCAAATATGTTTTCCAAAATGTCAGATTTCTTTTCTTCCTCAGGAACACTGATTATTCTTAGGTTTGGTCATTTAACATAATCCCAGACTTCTTAGAGGCTTTGTTTATATTTTCATATTCTTTTTTTCTTTGTCTTTGTTGGATTGGGTTAATTTGAAGACCTTGTCTTTGAGCTCTGAATTTCTTTCTCCCACTTGTTCAGTTCTGTTGATGAGACTTTCCAGAGTATTTTGCATTTCTATAAGTGTGTCCATTGTTTCCTGAAGTTTTGATTTTTTTTAATTTATGCCATCTATTTCCTTGAACATTTCTCCCTTCACTTGTATCATTTTTTTTTTTTTTAATTTCCTTGCATTGGGCTTCGCCTTTCTCTGGTGCCTCCCTGATTAGCTAAATAACTAACCTCCTGAATTCTTTCTCAGGTAAATCAGGGATTTCTTCTTGGTTTGAGTCCATTGCTGGTGAGCTAGTGTGATTTTTTTGGAGGTGTTAAAGAACCTTGTTTTGTCATATTACCAGAGTTGGTCTTCTGGTTCCTTCTCATTTGGGTAGCCTCTGTCAGATGGAAGGTCTAGGGCTGAAGGCTGTTCTTCAGATTCTTTTGTCCCGTGGGGTGTTCCTTTGAAGTAATACTCTCCCCCTTTTCCTATGGATGTGGCTTCCTGAGAGCTGAGCTGTAGTGATTGTTATCTCTCTTCTGGATCTAGCCACCCAGCAAGTCTACCAGGATCTAAGCTGGTACTGGGGGTTGTCTGCACGGCATCCTATGATGTGAACTGTCTGTGGGTCTCTCAGCCATGGAAACCAGCACCTGTTCCAGCAGACGTGGCAGGGTAGTGAAATGGACTCTGTGAGGGTTCTTAGCTTTGGTGGTTTAATGTTCTGTTTTTGTGCTGGTGGGCCTCCTGCCAGGAGGTGGTGCTTTCCAGAGAGCATCAGCTATGGTAGTACGGGGAGGAACAGGCGGTGGGCAGGGCCCTAGAACTCCCAAGAGTATATGCCCTTTGTCTTCAGTGACCAGGGTGAGTAGGGAAGGACCATTGGGTGGGGGCAGGAGTAGGCATGTCTGAGCTCAGACTCTCCTCGGGTGGGTCTTGCTGTGGCTGCTGTAGGGAATGCGGGTGAGGTTCCCAGGTCAATGGAGTTATGTTCCTAAGAGGATTATGGCTGCCTCTACTGTGTCATGCAGGTCATCAGGGAAGTAGGGGAAAGCCAGCAGTCACAGGCCTTACCCAGCTCCCACACAATCCAAAGCGCCAGTCTCACCCCCACCGTGCCCCCTCCAACAGCACCGCATCTGTTTCCCGGCAGTGGGCAAGCAGGGCTGAGAATTTGCCCCAGCCTACCCGCCTCCCAGCTGTGAAAGCAAATATGGCTTCCCTTTTCCCCCAGACTGTGGAGTCTGCACACCGGATTCACACCCTCCCCTGAGCTCTGACCAGGAGGCTTATCAATTAGTTCAAATTGTTACAAAGTTCAGCTGGAGATTTCCTTCTCCCTGTGGCGTTTTCCCAGCACTTTTGGCCGCCCTCCTAAAGAACCCACCTGAGGCCAGGCAAAAACAGCTTCCTAAGGGACCCAGCGAACTCCAAGTGATTTTCCTGCTGCTTCCTCTAACCCTATATTTCGTTCGGCTCTCTAAATTGACTCAGCTCCAGGTAAGGTGAAAATGTTCTCCTGTAATCTAGGCCTTCAATTTCCCCAGTGGAGGTGTGTGTTCGTGGGTGGACAATCTCCCTTTCCCACTTACAAAGTTTGGGCACTCACAGTATTTGGGGGTCTCCCGGGCCCTACAGAAGCAATCTGCTTCCTTCAGGGGGTCTGTGGGTCCTCTCAGGTTTTCTGATTTATTCCTGCAGTCGTTATGGGGCAAAAATTCACGACACAATCCTCTACATGCTGCTCTGTCTGAGTCAGAACTGCAATCTAGTCCTGCCTCCCGTACACCATGATACCTGCAACTTACAACTTACTTTGTAATGCATCAAAAAATGGGTTGATAAGTGGATAGATGGTATAGAAAAATGACAGCAATGTGGAATCTGGATGGTTAGTGGACATGTGTGTTCACTGCACAATTCTTTCAATGTCTAGGTATATTTAAAATTATTTTTAAATTAAATACTGGGGAGGAAGAGGACAACTTGGATGAATCTCATAGGCATAATAAGCAAAAGAAGCCAAACAGCAAAAGAGTATGTATTTTATTATTCCAATTACATAAAGGTCAAGAATAATAAAATAATTTACAGAGATAGAAATCCAAATAGTGGAAACCTTGGGGTGGGAACATATTGATTGGGAAAGAACATGAGAAAGTGGCCTGCAGTGCTGGAAATATTCTGTATCTTGATTTATTTCTTGTTCTTTTTCTTGATATCAGGAGATTAGATAGATAGATAAATAGATTGATTGATTGATGATAGATTAAAAATTTATTGAGCCATAGTCTTAAAATTTGTGCAGTTTACTATAGTATAACTCAATTTTTCTTAAAAAAAAAACTGAATAATTTACTAAAGGAAATCTAGCCATACGAGTTTGCTGTATTACTTTCAATAACTCAGTGTTATTCTCTGGTATTAACTTATACTCAGCAGCAAAAACTCTCTTAACCATGCTTATAATCCTAACTTCTATGATTTGTGCCCAGAATTCACACTTCCTTTTCTGACATGATGGCCTAGGCTGGAGAGCCTACCTGGCTGCCAATCGGCCTCTCTTCAGATCTGAAATTTTTTCTAAAACAACAATCCTCCTAAAGATACCCCAAAGCTAAAGGTAACCTCAATTTAGAAAGTCTAAATGCAGAAGGAAAAGAGGGAGAAGATGGAGAGAAAATAAATGCAGCCCTGTAGTTCTGGTCTGTAATACTCATTCTGTTGTGCTACTCTTTGTTCATCCTTAACATGGAGCACTGCAATTTTATTCAGTGTTTTCTCAGCTCCTCCCAGGGGACACTGGATGAACGGGATGGAGAAACAACACTCTGGATCCTCAAGGCAAAGCTCTAAACAATGAAGAACAGCTGCACAGGAGAGGGCAAAGAGGAGCACCATTTTTCATTCATATTTTTCCTCTAAAAACGCTAGTGATATGAGGTAAAAATTCTGAACAATTGGCAAATCAGGTCATTTCTTACTGACATATCATTCTGGGATTTTGTATTAACAACAAAACAAAGCTAGAAACAAAACGAAGTTTGGTAGAAAAGTATACATGATATTAATAACAACCAACTTAGAGATATATATCTTGAAAATCTAAAATGATTGGTTATACTACACAAACACAGTGTAAACATTGTGTAAATGCCCAGACATTATACAGGAGGTTAGCACTATGAGGAACAGTCACGTATGTCTCCTCTTGGTGTCTGATTCCCTTCAGAACTCTGTGTAGCCTCAAACTTCTTCCACCTAAATCTTAGGCAGTTTGAGAACCAGGACCTTTTTCCATTTAAAGCAAAACTTCAAATCAATAAGCAGGAAAAAATATTTTTTAAAAACTTTTCCGTACCTTAGGAGAAGAAAAGAGTTAATGAAAATTCTTAATTCTTTGCCTGCATGTGAAAAGATTTTGGAGATATTTTTATGTGAGGGGGAAAATCCTCTAGAGAGAAATTTGATATTTGCACAAGAAGAACAAGATGAATATTGTCGATCTGTATCAAATTAGGCTTTATTCACCTTCTTACTTTTCAGTATGTGCCTATGATTTCAAATTGTCTACATGAAAATTTCTAAAACATCCCAAGATTATCAGAGTAGTTATTAGGAGCTGACCTGAGCTAGAAATTGCTGAGTCAGGTGTCAGGGAAACCAGCTAACACAAGCTCAAATGAAAGTAACAGGCAACCTAACACGGAGTTTGCATGGTTGCAGAGAAAAGAAAACACACAGTGTTGGTGGCAATGTAAATTAGTTCAGGCACCACGGAAAGCAGTTTGAAGATGTCTCAAAGAACTAAAAATAGAATTACTATTTGACCCAGTAAGCCCATTACTGGGTATATACCCACAGGAAAATAAATTGTTCTACCAAAAAAGCACTGGCTCTCATATGTTTATTGCAGCACTCTTCACAATAGCAAAGACATGGGACCAACTTATGTGCCCATCAACGGTGGACTGGTTAAAGAAAATATGGTACATATACACCATGGAATAATATGCAGCCACAAAAAAAGAACAAAATCATGTCTTTTGCAGCAGCATAGATGTAGCTGGAGGCCATTATCCTAAGCGAATTAATGCAGAAACAGAAAATCAAATACTGCCTGTTCTTACTTATAAATTGGAGCTGAACATTTGGGTACACACAGACACAAAAATGGGAACAGTAGACACTGGAAACTCTGAAAGACAGGGATGGCAGGGGTAAGGGTTAATAAAGTCTCCACTGGGGACTATGTTAACTATTTGGGTGATGGGATTAATAGAGGCCCAAGCCTCAGCAGATATACCTCAGCATATACATCATGCAATATACCCATGTAAAAAACCTACCCATGTACCCCCTGAATCTAAAACTTAAAATTTAAATTGAAATTTAAAAAAAACATTTTTTAAAAAAGAAAGTAACAGGCAAGCCTTTAGTCTTGCCTTTAGCAATAGTCTAAGCAAGAGGCTAAATCAGAGAAAGTGTCAACTCCCGTTTAATTTTCCCCCTCAGAATAGCACCAGTTCAGGGTCAGGAGGATCGGCATAAATGTGACGGTCACCTCACTGCCAAGGGAGCCCCAAACAAAAGGCCCTGAAGTCTTATGAACCTGGGCAATAAGGGGAAGTAGGCAGGAGTGTAGAAAAGCATTAAGTACTGAGTCAGAGTAGAGGAAAATGTCTTCAGGGTCTCCTCCTCCCTCTCCACAATAAGGAAGTCTCTGCTGATGGCCCTGGATAAAGAGGCTTCCAAAAGGAGGCATCTGGGCTAGGAATGCAGCCATGTATAACAGCATGGCTGGCCAGGGCTGAGTCCTTGACAGTCACTGCTTTCTCAGACTGCAGTGCACTGGGTGTCGCCAAGTCTCAGGGGGCATGGCAGCTCTGCCCTATGAGGCCTGCCAGATAAGGTCTTTGTAATTGTCTAAGGTTGGGCCTGAAAGTTATGCAGAGGTTTTTGACCAGGATCTGTACTCCCCTCAGTGGCAACTTTTAAAAATATTCCATTTTGTTCATCTCCCACATTTACATTTGGGTTGTGAAAGAAATTCACTGTCACCAAGTTTGGAAAAAGAAGTGTGTGAGTGTGTGTGTGTGTGTGTAGTGTAATGTATTTTTAAAAATACGTTGTAAATGTTTTCATGAGAATGTAAAACTTGCATCAAAAATATGTAATCTTACAGTAAATCCAACCTAAGAAAAGTTCAGGTAAAGAAATAATGAAGATAAAAGCAGAGATTAATAAAATTAATTTGAATAAAATTAAAAACAAAAATGAAAGGCAGACACTTGTCAAAGCCAAAAGTTAGTTCTTTGAAAACATTAATAATATGGAAAAGGTCACTTCCAAGATGGCCAAATAGGAACGGCTCTGGTCTACAGCTCCCAGCAAGATAGATGCAGAAGACAGGTGATTTCTGCATTTCCAACTGAGGTACCTGGTTCATCTCATTCGGACTGTTGGACAGTGGGTAAAGCCCATGGAGGGCGAGCCGAAGCAGGACAGGGCGTTCCCTCACCCAGGAAGCGTAAGGGGTCGGGGGATTTCCCTTTCCTAGCTAAGGGAAGCAATGAGTGACTGTACCTGGAGGAATGGTACACTCCTGAATAAATACTGCACTTTTCCCACAGTCTTCACAACTGGTAGACCAGGAGATTCCCTCCTATGCCTGGCTCAGCAGGTCCCACTCCCATGGAGCCTTGCTTGCTGCTAGCACAGCAGTCTGAGATTGACCTGGGAAGCTGGAGCTTGGGAGGTTGAGGCATCCACCATTGCTGAAGCTTGAGTAGGCAGTTCTATGCTGACATTGTAAACAAAGCAGCAGGGAAGCTCAAACTAGGTGGAGCCCACAGCAGCTTCGTAAGGCCTACTGCCTCTCTAGATTCCACCTCTGGGGGCAAGGCATATCTGAACAAAAGGCAGCAGAGAGCTTCTGCAGACTTAAACGTCCCTGCCTGACAGCTCTGAAGAGAGCAGTGGATCTCCCAGCATGGCGTTTCAGCTCCAATAACAGACAGACTGCCTCCTCAAGTGGGTCCCTAACCCCTGCATAGTCTGACTGGGAGAAACCTCCCAGTAGGGGCCTACAGACACCTCAAACAGGGAGATGCCCCTCTGGGACGAAGCTTCCAGAGGAAGGATCAGGCAGCAATATTTGCTGTTCTGCAGCCTCCACTGGTGATGCCTAGGCAAACAGGGTCTGGAGTGGACCTCCAGCAAACTCCAACAGACCTGCAACTGAGGGGCCTGGCTGTTAGAAGGAAAACTAACAAACAGAAAGGAACAGCACCAACATAAACAAAAGGGACATCCACAGCAAAACCCCATCCATAGGTCACCAGCATCAAAGACCAAAGGTAGATAAAACCACAAAGATGGGGAGAAACCAGAACAGAAAGGCTGAAAATTCCAAAAACCAGAATGCCCCTTCTCCTCCAAAGGAACACAACTCCTCGCCAGCAAGGGAAAAAAAACTGAATGGAGAATGAGTTTGACGAGTTGACAGAAGTAGGCTTCAGAAGATTGGCAATAACAAACTTCTCCAAGCTAAAGAAGCATGTTCTAACCCATTGCAAGGAAGCTAAAAACCTTGAAAAAAGGTTAGGCGAATGGCTAACTAGAATAAATGCATAGAGAAGACCTTAAATGACCTGATGGAGCTGAAAACCACAGTATGAGAACCTCATGAAGCATAAACAAGCTTCAATAGCTAATTCAATCAAGCAGAAGAAAGGATATTAGTGATTGAAGATCAAATTAATGAAATAAAGTGTGAAGACAATATTAGAGAAAAAAGACTATGTGAAAAGACCAAATCTACATTTGATTGGTGTATCTGAAAGTGATGGGGAGAATGGAACCAAGTTAGAAAACACTCTTCAGAACATTATCCAGGAGAACTTCCCCAACCTAGCAAGGCAGGCCAACATTCAAATCCAGGAAATACAGAGAATGCCACAAAGATACTCCTCGAGAATAGCAACTCCAAGACACACAACTGTCAGATTCACCAAAGTTGAAATGAAGGAAAAAATGTTAAGGGCAGCCAAAGAGAAAGGTTGGGTTACCCACAAAGGTAAGCCCATCAGACTAACAGTGGATCTCTCAGCAGAAACCCTCCAAGCCAGAAGAGAGTCGGGGACTAATATTCAACATTCCTAAAGAAAAGAATTTTCAACCCAGAATTTTCATATCCAGCCAAACTAAGTTTCATAAGTGAAGGAGAAATAAAATCCTTTACAGGCAAGCAAATGCTGAGAGATTTTGTCACCACCAGGCCTGCCTTACAAGAGCTCCTGAAGGAAGCACTAAACATGGAAAGGAACAGCCGGTACCAGCTACTGCAAAAACATGCCAAATTGTAAAGACCATCAACCCTATAAAGAAACTGTATCAATTAACGGGCAAAATAACCAGCTAGCATCACAATGACAGGATCAAATTCACACATAACAATCTTAACCTTAAATGTAATGGGCTAAATTCCCCAATTAAAAGACACAGACTGGCAAATTGGATAAAGAGTCAAGACCCATCGGTGTGCTGTATTCAGGAGACCCATCTCACATACAAAGACACACATTGGCTTAAAATAAAAGGATGGAGGAACATCTACCATGCAAATGGAAAGCAGAAAAAAAAAGCAGGTGTTGGTTGCAATCCTGGTCTCTGATAAAGCAGACTTTAAACCAACAAAGATCAAAAGAGACAAAAAAGGCCATTACACAATGATAATGGGATCAATTCAACAAGAAGAGCTAACTATCCTAAATATATATGCACCCAATACAGGAGTACCCAGATTCATAAAGCAAGTTCTTAAAGACCTACAAAGAGACTTAGACTCCCACACAATAATAATGGGAGACTTTAACACCCCACTATCAATATTAGACAGATCAATGAGACAGAAAATTAACAGGGATATCCAGGACTTGAACTCAGCTCTGAACCAAGCAGACCTGATAGATATCTACAGAACTCTACACCCCAAATCAACAGAATATACATTCTTCTCAGCACCACATCACACTTATTCTAAAATTGACCACATAATTAAAAGTAAAACACTCCTCAGCAAATGTTAAAGAACAGAAATCACAACAAACTGTCTCTCAGAATACAGTGCAATCAAATTAGAACTCAGGACTAAGAAACTCACTCAAAACCACACAACTACATGGAAAGTGAACAACCTGCTCCTGAATGACTACTGGGTAAGTAATGAAATGAAGGCAGAAATAAAGATGTTCTTTGAAACCAGTGAGAACAAAGACACAACATACCAGAATCTCTGGGACACATTTAAACCAATGTGTAGAGGGAAATTTATAGCACTAAATGCCCACAAGAGAAGGCAGGCAAGATCTAAAATTGACACCCTAACATCACAATTAAAACAACTAGAGAAGCAAGAGCAAACAAATTCAAAAGCTAGCAGAAGGCAAGAAATAACTAAATACAGAGCAGAACTGAAGGAGATAGAGACACAAAAAACCCTTCAAAAAACCAGTGAATCCAAGAGCTGGTTTTTTGAAAAGATTAACAAAATAGATAGACTGCTATCCAGACTAATAAAGAAGAAAAGAGAGAAGAATCAAATAGACGCAGTAAGAAATGATAAAGGGGATATCACCACCGATCCCACAGAAATACAAACTACCATAAGAGAATACTATAAACACCTCTATGCAAATAAACTAGAAAATCTAGAAGAAATGGATAAATTCCTCGGCACGTACACCCTCCAAAGACTAAACTAGGAAGAAGTTGAATCTCTGAATAGACCAATAACATGTTCTGAAATTGAGGCAATAATTAATAGCCTACCAACAAAAAAAGTCCGGGACCAGATGGATTCACACCCAAATTCTACCAGAGCTACAAAGAGGAGCTGGTACCATTCCTTCTGAAACTATTCCAATCAATAGAAAAAGACGGAATCCTCCTTAACTCATTTTATGAGGCCAGCATCATCCTGATACCAAAGCTTGGCAGAGACACAACAAAAAAAGAGAATTTTAGGCCAGTATCCCTGATAAACATCGATGCAAAATACTCAATAAAATACTGGCGAACAGAATCCAGCAGCACATCAAAAAGCTTATCCACCATGATGAAGTCAGCTTCACCCCTGAGATGCAAGGCTGGTTCAACCTACACAAATCAATAAACGTAATCCATCACATAAACAGAACCAACAACAAAAACCACATGATTATCTCAATAGATACAGAAAAGGCCTTCAAAAAAATTCAACAATGTTTCATGCTAAAAACTCTAATAAACTAGGTATTGATGGACCATATCTCAAAATAATAAGAGCTACCTATGATGAACCCACAGCCAATATCATACTGAATGGGAAAAAACTGGAAGCATTCCCTTTGAAAAGGGGCATAAGACAAGGATGCCCTCTCACCACTCCCATTCAACATGGTATTGGAAGTGCTGGCCAGGGCAATCAGGCAACAGAAAGAAATAAAGATATTCAAATAGGAAGAGAGGAAGTCAAATTGTCTCTGTTTGCAGATGATATGATTTTATATTTGGTAAACTCCATCGTCTCAGCCCAAAATCTCCTTAAGCTGATAAGCAACTTCAGCAAAGTCTCAGGATATAAAATCAATATGCAAAAATCACAAACATTCCTATACACCAAGAACAGGAAAACAGAGCCAAATCATGAGTGAACTCCCATTCACAATTACTACTACAAAGAGAATGAAATACCTAGGAATCCAATTTACAAGGGATGTGAAGGACCTCTTCAAGGAGAACTACAAACCACTGCTCAACGAAATAAGAGGACACAAACAAATGGAAGAACATTCCATGTTCATGGATAGGAAGAATCAATATCGTGAAAATGGCCATACTACCCAAGGTAATTTATAGATTCAATGCTATCCCCATCAAGCTACCAATTACTTTCTTCACAGAATTGGAAAAAACTACATTAAATTTCACATGGAACCAAAAGAGAACCCACATAGCCAAGACATCCTAAGCAAACCTGACTTCAAACTATACTACAAGGCTACAGTAACCAAAACAGCATGGTACCGGTACCAAAACAGAGATATAGGCCAATGGAACAGAACAGAGGCCTCAGAAAAAACACCACCCATCTACAACCATCTGATCTTTGACAAACCTGACAAAAACAAGCAATGGGGAAAGGATTCCCTATTTAATAAGTGGTGCTGGGAAAACAGGATAGCCATATGTAGAAAGCTGAAACTGGATCCCTTCCTTACACCTTGTACAAAAATTAACTCAAGATGAATTAAAGACTTAAATGTAAAACATAAAACCATAAAAACCCTAGAAGAAAACCTAGGCAATACCATTTAGGACATAGGCATGGGCAAGGACTTCATGACTAAAACACCAAAAGCAATGGCAACAAAAGCCAAAATTGACAAATGGGATCTAATTAAACCAAAGATCTTCTGCACAGCAAAAGAAACTACCATCAGAGTGAACAGGCCACCTACAGAATGGGAGAACATTTTTGCAATCTATCCATCTGACAAAGGGCTAATATCTAGAATCTACAAAGAACTTAAACAAATTTACAAGAAAAAAAAACCCCATCCAAAAGTGGGTGAAGGATATGAAGAGACACTTCTCAAAAGAAGACATGTATGCAGCCAACAGACATATGAAAAAATGCTCATCATTACTGGTCATCAGAGAAATGCAAATCAAAACTGCAATGAGATACCCTCTCACGCCAGTTAGAATGTCAATCATTAAAAAGTCAGGAAACAACAGATGCTGGAGAGGATGTGGAGAAATAGGAACGCTTTTACACTGTTGGTGGGAGTGTAAACTAGCTCAACCATTGTGGAAGAGAGTATGGTGATTCCTCAAGGATCTAGAATTAGAAATACCATTTGACCCAGGGATCCCATTACTGGGTATATACCCAAAGGATTATAAATCATGCTATTATAAAGACACATGCACATTTATGTTTACTGCAGCACTATTCACAATAGCAAAGACTTGGAACCAACCCAAATGTCCATCAATGATAGACTGGATAAAGAAAATGTGGCACATATACACCATGGAATACTAGGCAGCCATAAAAAAGGATGAGTTTATGTCCTTTGCAGGGACATGGATGAAGCTGGAAACCATCATTCTCAGCAAAATATCACAAGGACAGAAAATCAAACACCACATGTTCTGACTCATAAGTGGGAGTTTAACGACGAGAACACACGGACACAGGGAGGGGAACATCACACACTGGGGCCTGTTGCGTGGTGTGGGGCTAGGGGAGGGATAGTGTTAGGAGAAATACCTAATGTAAATGACGAGTTGATGGGTGCAGCAAACCAACATGGCACATGTATACCTATGTAACAAACCTGCACGTTGTGCACATGTACCCTAGAACTTAAAGTATAATAATAAAAATATATATAGATATGGGAAAACCCTAAGACTTATCCAGGAAAAAAATGTAAAAATACAAATTATTGATTTCAGGAATGAAAAAGGAGCAGCATTGTAGATCCTACAGACATGAAAAATACATAGATGACAATGTTCAAAACCTTCAGGCCAAGAAATTTGAGAATTTGGAAGAGAGAAAAATTTCTGCAAAATTACAATTC
Source organism: Homo sapiens (assembly GCF_000001405.40). Taxonomy (NCBI): domain Eukaryota; kingdom Metazoa; phylum Chordata; class Mammalia; order Primates; family Hominidae; genus Homo; species Homo sapiens. Next base: position 1,029,149 of record NC_000018.10, on the reverse strand, counting down.
ATTAAAACTGTCAAAAGAAAGAGAAAATCTGAATAATGTGATATTCGTCAACAAACGTGAATCCATTATTTTAACTTTCTCACATTCACATAAAACCTAGGCCCAAACAGTTTTACCAGTGAATTCTTCCAAACATTTAAGGAGGAAAACATCAATTTAGCAAAACTTCTTCCAAAGAATAGAAAAATAATGAACACTTTTTAATTATTTTTAAGAAGTCAACAAAATGTTAATTCAAAATTTGAAAAGAAGAAAAATAGCAGATCTAAATGTTTTGAGAGGAAACATAGATCATTGTAAACTTAGAGAAAAAGACTTCTTAAAGAAGAGGGAAAAAGCACTAAAGCATAAGAGAAAATATTTATGTATCAGAGTACACAAAAATTGAGGCTTTCTGTTCATGAACAAAGTACCATTAAGAGTGAAAACCAACCCACACTGAGATATTCATATAACTCATGGCACAAGACTCATATTCAGAGTTAAAGAGCTACAAGTTACTAAATAAAAGTCAGACAATCCAGTAGACAAAATTGGCAGAAGACTTGAACAGCCGCTTCACAAATGAGGCTATCCACCTGGCCTCTGAGCATGCGACGAGGTTCTCAATATCATTAGTCATAGGGTAATGCAAATTAAAATCACAGTAAGAAAACACTCATGAGAAACTTATAAAATAGAATGAGCTAGAACACTCACAAAATACTAAGAAGAGAAAATACATTGGGATTGTTGAAGATGTGGAAGCAACCAAAACTCTGTGGGTGGGAGTTAGTACATCTGTGTCATATATATTACCTATGACCCAGAAATTCTACTGCTAGGTACATACCCAACTGCATACAGCGCACACAATGTTCACCAAAAGACATGCAATAGAATACGTGCAAGACATCTTTAGTAACAGGTAGATATCCACTGGCAATAAAATTAATAAATAGGTAGTCACATATCCTTCCATTGCAATACAAAATGGCAATAGGAATGAATGAACAATCTACAAATACACTCAACAATATGGATGAGTCACACAAACAAAATGCTGAGCAAAAGAAGGCATACGCCAAAGAGTATATGCAGTAACTCTGTCTATATGAAGTATAAAAAATGTTGAAATAATCCATACTGTTAAAATCAAGATCACTTCCCCTTGGGGAAGTGATGAAGAATGACTGGAATGGAATGCATGGTGCTGGTGATGTTCTATCTGGATGCTGGTTATACAGCTGTGTTCAGTTTGTAAAAACTTCTCAAGCTGTACACTTAGGATATGTGCATTTTTCTATATGTTATATCCAAGTAAAAGGTTAAAAATGTATCACTTGTGTATTTATAAAATATGATAGAGTCTATAAGTATTAAAAATATTCACACAACAAACAGCATCATATAAACTTGTGATCATGGTTGCCTTTAATAAAAAAAGAACTGAGAAAACTAAGGCAAGTTTGGATAGGATTAATATATGTTTTAGCATAGACTTTTCCATATTACTTAAAATTTTACCATGTATTTGTAACACTTACTTTAAAGAAATTTTAAGCATATCAAAAATAAAATTGAATCAAGAATTGCTAAAGTAAATGCCACAAGGCCAATAAGCACATGAGAAGATCAACATCATTAGTCTTCAGAGAAATGCATTAAATTAAAACCAGAATGAGATACACTACTCACTCACTAAAATAACTAAAATTCTGGAAATAACAAGTGTTGGCAAAGATGAAGCACAACTGAAACCTTCAAACATTGCTTATGGGAGCGTAACATGGTTCATATACTGAAAAACAGTTTGGTAGTTTCTTATAAAGATAAACACACACTTACCACATGGCCCTGTAACTTCATTCCTTGGCATTTACCTTAAACAAATGTAAATATATGTCCACACAAAGATTTACTCACAGTAGCTTCATTTGTGATAACTCAAAACTGGAAACAACTCAAATGCCCACCAGTAAGTGCATGGATAAACAAATTGTGGTATATCCATACAATGGAATACTACTCAGCAATAAAAAGGAAGACTTCTGCTATATACTACAGCATGGATGAATCTCAGAAACATTATGCTGAACAAAGGAAGCCAAAATAAAATAAATGAAATTTAAAAAATAAAACTTTCTGACTCTGTAACAGACAAAACTAAGCTATAATGACAGATATAAGATCCCAAGTTATCTGAGGCTGGGGGTACAATGAGTTCACTGTAAACGTATAAGAGAGAACTTTCTGGAGTGAACAAAATCTGTATCTTGATTATGGTGATAGTTACATGAGTGCATACAATTGTCAAATTCATTGTACTGTACACTTAAGACAAATATATTTCATTGCATGTAAATTATCCTCAATAAAACTGGCTTTTCAAAGGAAACACTATCAAAATGGTGCCCAATATATAATATTAAAAAAAAAGGACTGAAACAAAAAAGAGAGACAAAGAACATGAACAGAAACAAGTCACCAAATGGACCATAGAAATTAACAAATATAAAAACCCATGCAACCTTATTGGTAACCCCAGAAATATAAAATCAAATGACAAAATATCTTTACCTATCAAAATAGTGAAAAGAATTTTAATGATAACACCCCCTCCACCTCCCAGGTTCAAGTGATTCTCCTGCCTCAGCCTCCCAAGTAGCTGAGATTACAGGCATGCACCACCACACCTGGCTAATTTTGTATTATTTTACTAGAAACAGGGTTTCTCCATGTTGGTCAGGCTGGTCTCGGACTCCCAACCTCAGGTGATCTGTGGTAGCAACATAATTGGCATGATTACTAAGAACAATCTAGTAACATATATCTTTAAAATACCATATATTTATTTTGTTTGTTTTTTTAACTTTTATTTTAGGTTAGGAGTTGGTGTACAGATTATTTCATCACCCAGGTAATAAGCATAGTACCCAATAGGTAGTTTTTCTATCCTCACCCACCTCCCACTCTCTACCCTCAAGCAGGCCCCAGTGTCTGTTCCCTCCTTTGTGTCCATGTGCACTCAACGTTTAGCTCCCACTTATAAGTGAGGACATACAGTAAAATACCATGTTTTTTGATCCAGCAATTTCTCCTTTAAGAAACTGTCTTAAAGAAAAAAATAAAAGATGCAGACAAATCTACATAGAAAGCCATAGAAAATATTTTAGAATTGCAAACAATTTCTGTGTCTGAGAATTATCAATTATAGAGTGATCAAATGATGACACACCCATGACTATTATGAAAAGGTTTTAATGGGATAGAGAGATACTGATTATAAATGTTAAGTGAAAATGGCAGAATTCAGCTTGGTATACACAGTATGATTCTAAATATCTATTTCTCCTCAAGGAAACTCCTCATCCGAATCGATTGGATAATCATCCAGCCCAAATCCATACATTTTGTTAAAACTCAAGGCACAACTGATTATTGAACTTCGTTACATTTTACCCTGAAAACAATTTTGTATTAAGTCAAATAATTATGGGCAATCATCTCTTGTAGTTGAGAGGGTAGTAGGTGGTGGCGAGCTGGTTGTCTTGCTACCCTCCTTCATAACTGTGTCACAGCTTCCTCTGGAATAGCAGGATGTGTACACTCAGTATTCTCAAAATAGTCAAAGTGGATAAAAAATGTAATCCACCATCCTCCAATTTAATTCTTTTCAAACACAGAATGCACTCATCTCAAATTAGTGGTCCTCTATTCAGAGGACATGAGCCCTTACGGGAAAACTATCACAACTTAGGGTAGCAAGCACTCAGATTCATGAAAAGCAAACTGTGCCCATTCGCTCCTTCTCTATAGAAACAATGGGAACAATTAAGGAAAAAATGTGTCAACCATCATAGGTATAACATCCTGAGGGCCCTAAATCACCGGAATACATAATGGATTTTTTGTACATCTGAATTTACCCATTACCCAATTGCTGATCTTGGCAAGGCACATTTCTATTAGGTAGGACATGTGGTGTTATTACTCCAGATAAAGAAATTAATTTAAGCACTGATAAGCCAAAAAGTATCCTTTTAAAGCAATGGGCTTGTTCTGACTATTCAAGTGTCTTAACCACAAGGTGAAATTAGTGGAGAAAGGGAGACATTTACCCAACATTATGTACTTTTGTTGAAATAGAGAATAAGATTCAAAGTAAAGGCCTAATTGATGTGGAAAAAGAGGTTTCCAAACAAAGAGACAGAATGTACATTTTTAAATAAGGCTGCTGCTGTTACAAGATGTTGGCATAGAGTTTTGATGTTGTGTCCTCAGTTTTGTGAATGATGCTAGAACATAACATTCTGAAGCACACAGAGCACACAGCCATCAGTGTGTGCACTCCTGGCCTGATGGAGCCGTCTTTGCCACAGGAATTAACACGCTATTCATGAGATAGCCTCCCCTATCAGACTGAGAGCATTTTGAGACCAGAGGTCCTGTTCATCATTGGATTCCAGTGCCTCATACAGAGTAGGCATTCATAATACCTATATTGCTAAATCATGATTACATGAATGACAGGAAATCTATGAGTGACAGATCATTCCAGCTCTAAATTGAAAAGAGCTTTGTGTAGTCTTATCCAAATGAAGATCTGTTTTCATTAGTTGGCTCTGTTTGTCCAAAGGGTCCTATGTGCCATTCTCCAATCAGGTCAACAGGGCTGATTATGCACATAGTGGGTCAGTTAATTGTGCCAAATTCAGCAGTCAAAGATTGCAACCTAATTGATCAGATCAACATATGTGTACATTTTAGAATCATTAAAATTGCTCTACATTAGTAAAGGAAGTTAGATATTTGTTGTGAAAATTCACCATTGAATGTGGACTTTGAAAATGTTTCTCCTTTAGTTCACGAGTTGTTTATGTCCATGCAGACTCTTTTTTAGCATTCAGAAGGTCCAGGACAAGACTATAGATGCAGGTCCATATACCATGTGAAGAATACATACATGTCACAAATCATCCTGGCAAACTTAAATAAAATGCATTCTATCCTCATACCTTAGCAAACATAACTACATGTCTTCGAAGGCCAGATGAAAATACTGAAGAATTCTCCAAGTCCCTGGAGTTCCTCAATAGGAGGTGGTGGTATAGTGAGAGTAAAGCCCTGGCCCCCAAATCACCCAACAATGGGCTTCCCAACATTCTCTTCCTACTCCTGTTTCTATGCTGAAGGGCCCATGAACACAGGCCTGTGGCCTTCCCAAAATAAACATCCAAGCTCAGTCGACACCAATCCACCCCCAGGGAAATAGCTGCTCCTTGTCCATCCTTTGGACCTAGAAGGCCACAGATCAGTGACACCTGAGTGCAGGAGAACAGACTGGGAACAGCAGTGCAGGCTCTGGAAGCAGCTCAGGGCTGTGCTGGGAATTCCATGGCCCCTCCTATCTGGGACATGGTTCTAGAAGAAGAAACCACAATTCCTTAGACCTGTGAAAACCTTATCCCCGTGAAAACCTTATCCCCTAGATAGTGATATGGCCAGACGTGAACAAGAACAGGACCCAGAACAAGGGCCTCTCTTGCCAAGAACTAACTACTGCTCTATGTATAAAGAACCTCTCTATGACTATGGTTTGAAGTTCATGTTCATACCGCTGTGTAATCCAGTGTCCTGTGAAGGCTGTTGGTAATGGTTATTAGGACAAGATTTTTTTAAGCTACTGTAGGTCAATGATCAAGGAAATAAGTGATAAAAAGAAAAAATCATTGCATGTTTTTTAAAGCCATCTTCAATATCTGAAATGTCCTAATTTTACATGGACCTTTTAAATATTCCATGTTTTGAAATATGTGACAAAGCAACAACTTTAAAGTTAGAAATGTAACTCTTACATTTAAAAGCTTACTCATTCTCCAGTGCCTCATTTTACAGGATTTTCAAGGAATCGCCAGCAATTTTCTGCAGCAATAAAAATCCTGTGGCTAACCTGTCCTTTTTATAAGAGTAATTTACATAATAAAAAGTGAAATATTTCCTATTTAAGATTATCAAATCCATGTTAAAAGAAAAATAACAAGTATAACAAGAGTAAAATAGGAAAATAGATTCCAAGTCAGTTCATCCGAGAGTTGGGCAATTACAAGATGAGTATTATCATCTGTGGAGCATCAGTTCAAAGACACCCCCTACCAGCATGATGATTGCTTTTCAAACCAAGTGCCAATTTGAAATGCGTAACAGGACAGTGCCTTTACCTACATAGTAATTTTCCATGTTTTATTCTCATAATCCAAGCTGGTTTTAGTTCAATAAGTAGACAAAATAGAACAAACTCTTTTTAAACTCTACATTAAAATAGGAACTAACACACAAGTTAGTGCACACATCAGAAATGTAAAGCTCAGTGAATTTTCACAAACTATCCCAGATCAAGAAACAGAACATTATCAGCACCCACCAAGTCCCATCCTGAGCTCTCTCTTCTAATAACTAGTCCTGCCAAGGGTAGTCACTATCCTGCCCTCTAACACCTAGATTTTGTCTAGTCTTGCATCTTATGCAAGTGACAGTCATCCATATTGTAGTTTTTTGCTGTAAAGTTTGTGCATTTTCATTGCTGTGTAGTATTGCAGTGTGTGAATACAACACAGTCGATTATCAAATCTACTGTTGATTGGCATTTGGACGGTTTCTGCTTTGTGGCTGCAAGGAATAGTGCTGCTATGAACATCCTAATATGTCTTTCAGTGAATATATGGACACACTTCTGTTGGGTATATAGCTAAGTGTGGAAATGCAGAGTCATAGGAATGCACATTTTCAAATCTTCTACTTGAGTAGGTAACACACCAATTTACAAAAAAGATTACCAAGTTATACTCCTACTGCAGTTCCCCCTCCTATCACTTACCTCATAAAAATGATCAACACACATGTGCATCTCCTCATGTGGTTGATACAAGGATGAAGGGAATGATGGAAAGACACTATCAGATACAGGCAAAAGATAAAATTTAGTCTATTTATGTAAAAGGGGAAAAGTATCAGCACACAGATGGCTATACAGAATAGGAGAAATGGCGCAGCCCTAGGTTGGGGAGGGTGAAGCAGGCAGGTTTCCATGGTCAGGAGTCCCCAGCGAACTCCCCAGCGGCCAATGATACAACTTGAGATTGTTCCAAGAAGTTCATCCATATACCCCATCGTCAGAGATTCTTGACACATTTCTGGCTCACAGCTATTCTGGAAGCTCTGGCTTCCAGAGCCTCTCTGCTCACTTTGGACTAGTAGCTGGAAAGAATCTGAATCCTAACACATTTCTGAGTGTTTATTACTGTGAGAATGGGGAAAATCAAGTCAATTTCTCAGTAAGAGGCTGCCTGGGATATTTTCTTGGACTTCTCCAATAAGCAGTAAACTCCTTAAGTATAGCATATGTGTTACTCATCTTTTATCCCAGGCATTAATGCACTAAATGGAACACAATAGGTGCTCAACACATGCTTTTTAAACTGAACTGGGTAAAGCAATTATGATTATTTCCACTTTACAGATGAGCAGAGCTCTAGGCACTGAGTAAGCCCTCCCAAATACGGTAGCTACAACTAGATTTTACACCAAAGCAATGGTATTTCTACTCTGTTAAAGTATTTGACAACATGTCAGAAATCCACTTATCTGAATGACCCCAAGGAACAGAATTAGGAAAACAGACTTTACTTCAATATAAAGAAAACATTTCTAATATTTGAAGATGTCTAAATACCACTTGCTTCAGGAGTTACCACTTATAAAAGTGCCACTTCTAAAGTATTTCCTATGCTTACTCCACATAAGGCATTTATTGGATACAGTACAGTCATTGAGGGCACAAGAAAAAGCAGAAACAGTCATAGTCCATGTGTTCATCCAAGTGACATCAAATCTATAATCACAAAAATAAATGTAAAATTGTGACTGTGATAGAGGTATATGGTCTAGGATATACTAGAGGGGCGAGATGGAAGTGGGGGCTTAATCTCAACTACCAGTCTCCCTAAGGAAGTGATATTTAAGCTGACAGTTAATGACTGATTAAGAGTTAACTAGGGGAAGATAAAGGAAAAGACTGTTCTAAGCAAAGGCCCTTAACCCAGGGGAAGAGAGAAATGTTTGAGGAATGAAAAGAAGGCCAATGTGGCCAGAACAGAAGTCTAAGAGGAGAACTTAGGAACACCAGACCAAGTAGCTCACAAAGCATCCTGCAGACCTTACTAGGAATATTGTGGTCTGTCCTGCCAAAAATATGTGTGAGTTTACTCATAGTTAACATGCTGACTTTCTCTAGCAATTTTTGTTAAGGAGCAATCCAAAACAAAGACAAAAATGAGGTTGGTGACGTGAACTGAGGAATTTTGGGATATTGGTGAGGACATCCTTGTTAAGGCTAAACATAGCATCAGGGCTGATAGGGAAACAAATTAAGTCTAAAAGATCAGGTAATGAGCGGCAGACAAAACATCAACCGTCACAATGAGCAGAAATGATTCCATCAATAAGAATATGCAGGCCAGTCACAGTGGCTCACACCTGTAATTCCAGCACTTTCGGAGGCTAAGGCAGAGGATTGCTTGAGGTCAGGAGTTCAAGACCACCCTGGCCAACAGAATAAGACTGTCTCTATTAAAGAAAAAAAAAATCAAAGAATAAGCAGAGGTAGTTAAAATAGTAGGGAAATGATTACAATAAAAGAAAATTTCAGACTTCAAGGCCCAAGCTTCAGAATAGTTTTTGTTTTGAAAAGCTTAAAGTGGATATGAAGGTGACGAGAGATAAGAACATCAAGAAAATATGAAGCCATGGTTTTAGAAGGGTTGGCTATGTAGAAAACAGGGCCACTGAAGAGGACTGAGGCGTGAAACAGGCCAACTTTCAGACAGATGCTGAAGTCACTGATTAACATGATGAGAATATCTTCAAGATCAGGAGGTTTGAGTGGTAAGAATAGGGCAGGAAAAGAATATTTGAGAATTACCAAAAAGTATTTAAGATACTGATCAGACCTACTCAAACCAAATGTTAGCCCATTAATTCACAATGGCTAATAAATAACTTCTCCTAGAAGAATAATTTTTTAACATTAAGACTCTGATTGTAGTTTGGGGAGCTTTATTTTCTTTATTCAATTTTTTAAGGTCATAGGAATCCAAGATCAACAAGTTCTTTATTTGTTTTTGGTTAGGGGAAGGATGTAAACTTCTAACTTTAGAAAAACACAGGGATCAAATTCTGCAATCCTCCAGTGATGTCTCCACTCAGTATGCTTCAGGAAGAACCCTCTCCCTGGTGCGCTGTGAGGCTGTGACAACTTTTACATCGGGGGATCTTGATTTTGTTCTAAAATACCCTGCAATTTTATTAAGAGTGAGGAAAGAGATGGAAGCTAAAAACCTACCTAAAATCAGACCATTTTAAGATCATTTGACGGCTTGAAAAGTCAAAATTCACAAATTTTTTTTAAATTAGAAGTGGTAAGGAAGGAGATTTTAAGAAAATAATCATCCACTTACATGCTTTCTTGACCAGAGAGAAAGGGCAGGTGTAGTAAACCTAAAATATAAGCCTTTAATGGAAGATACAAGGCCTATACCTTGTACTTGGGCTGCCAAATAAATGATGATTTGCCACATGACTTGAAGATTGTAAACTGACACATTCTAAAGCACGTCCCGGGAGCTGCTCGAAATTCAGGAAGTGTCTGCTTCCAACCAGGCACATTTGTTCCTTGGCTCCAACTCCAAGTATTCCATATTTCCTCTGAGGCCACAGCTTATAAATCAGATGAGATTGGTCATCTTGCAACAAAATGGATTTTTTAAATGTGATTTTGAAGAGATTGGAAAGTGTAATACAACAGGTTTTTCAGTCTTCAGTGCTGAGAAATGATTGTTTTATTGATGGCTCTATTGAGAATGTGATATTACTCTAGAAAGACATAGGCCTGTACTGTTTCCAGGAGCCATATCATTAGCTGCTTTAGTCCACGGCCTGAATGGTCAGACAGCAATTAGGTGCTTTACTCTAAAAGATAAAATAATGATGACTTAAGGGCTCCAGTCATTGCTTTTATTTCTGAGTTAATCAGGATATTTTTGACAAATACACAAAGGAAAGCTTTAGTGAGGAGTTCCAGTGAAATCTGGATATTCCAGCATAGGTACTTGGTTAATTCACAATATAGATGGGTGGTTCACATTTTAAACCTCACTATTACTAAAGAGAAAAATCCAAGCAAAGGTTATTACGTCCCAAAATGGTTCTATGTTCACATTCACAGAGACATTGTGTACTGCCAGACTTCACATTGACGTATGCAATATAAGGAACAGTGTTAAGGTCAAAACCTTGATAAATTAATTCATTGCCGCCTTTCCAGATGTCCAAACTCTAGAGGGCCTTACACTTTATTTTAACCCTCCACAGCAGTCCAGAGAATATCCATCCCCACCCCCCATGGCTCCTCACCCCCTGGCTTGAATTTAATGACAAAAATTCATGCAAACTGGCTGCTCTTACAGACTCATAAGGAGAGGGCTAAATCTGGAACCAGGTGGATGACGGCCAGTTAATTGGATCTTTCTTCGCCAAACACCAGGGGACAGCTGGTTTGCATTGTTGCTCTAATGAGCAATGCTGAAATCGAAGCTGAGCACGTTAGTTGGAGCTCTTCTGGTGCTACGTACAATCTTGGAAATCATGCTTATCACTGCCAGAGGCTTTTATGGTGAAAAGAATAAACTTTCCATACTTTAAGAAAAAAAAAGAAAAGCCTAACAGATATTGGAGGAAGGCAGCAGTATTTCTTTGTTCTCCCATTCCAGTCCTCACATTCCTAAAAAGTCATTTCTTCTGTTCCATATTCCCTTATATGGGCACATATGTCTGATGGGATTGCATGTGTTGCAAGCCACATGTACACACACCTCTCTGGGTAATCCCCCATGAGAAGGGACAGTATGAGCTCACTATAGAAGAGGCTATATGAGTTTAAGCTTGTAGTCTGGGTAGCCAGAGCCAAAGGCCAAAATCCATTTGAAAAGATAAGAATTAAGCACACCTATGAAGTAGCTTTTAAATCATACCCCTTAAGAGACAGCCCACGCAGTATTAACACCTTTCTTAAATATTTCAGAATGAGAAAAGGGGAGATTACTTGGAATATTCCCACTGTAAGTGTAAGATCTAGTAAGTGTTAGTAAATTGATTAATCAAAGCGCTAGAATCACAGGACCCTCTACCCTTCCAATAATCAGGTCTCTAAGGCCACTCGCTGGTTACATGGATAAAGCCCTGTGTCGTGCAGCTGTCAGACGTTCAGCCCTCAGCCAAGACTGCTGAAGCCACTGTAATTGGGTCTGTTTTCATTTTAATTTTTCAGAAAGACATGTCTTTGTCTTCAATATGAAATACTGAAATGGTTCCAAATGGTGTCAAGCTATAAAAGGTTTAATAAAGTGCTTAAGCTTTGAATGCTTTTCTTTTTCCCTTCAGGACAGGCAGGAGGCATACAAAGAACGATGAAGGTTAAGGAACTATAAAAACTGATCAAACTGAAAAGTTTTCTGGCAATAAATTTTACCATTTCTCTGGCTCTCATTTTGTTTTCACAAATTTCCTTTTGATTTCCTCTTTATTCTGTAATTTAAGATCTTAACATTTTCGCTGAGAGCATATATAAGGCTCCCTCTTCACTACCTAGAGGAATGAGGTGTTACTCAGCATTAAAATGCGTCATGCTGAAACCATTCCCTTATAAGAGACTCATCTAAATGATAATGAGCATGAAAAATTGATTATCCCCTAGGTTGAACTGGTCTTTGTATTTTTCATCTGGCAAATCTAATAGTGCTAGAATACGTCTCAAAACATAAACATGCCAGCAGTTCAATTAATAGAATAGTGAGAGCCCATCTACAGGATGTTACCTATTTTAGGCAAAAAAAAAACCTCCCAAATAATAGTGATTCATATAGTAATTTCAACAGAAAAAGGCCACTATGAATTTTTAACTTTCTGTTTAAACTTGTGCATGGACTGTTTTCTTCAGACCCTCTAGTCCAAAGCAGAAGATGGATTATAGAAAGTTTTCAGGCATAGCAAAATATGAATTGCAATTACCCAGTCCTCTAATAAACAAATAACCTGATAAAAAAATATTAGATGAGACAGTAGTTCCTATATGAGACTCTGTGTGCGGGCTTTCTGGATCTTGTCTTCTTTTTAATTTTCTATCCTTACTTTTTTATGTTTACCCCTTTAAAAATGTAACCCCTTCAAGATTTCTACTTTCTCCTCTCTATGATACTTTCCAAACTATGGTTTTAGTCTTAATCTCTCTCCAAAACTACAAATCTACATGCCCACAGGAAGTCTCCACCTGTTTTGTATACTACAAAGACAGGCTCCAATTTAGCATCCACAAACCATCTCCTTCTGATCTCATTTCTATTAATGAGATCAGACCTTTTTTTATATTAGTCTGTGGTTTTCTCTATCATAACATGTTCTATTTGTGATTTTCTGCCTAACTTCCATGCATACCTCTGGACTATCTTCAGGGTAAATAATGTTTTATCTACACTCCTAGAAATTTCTTCCCTGTATCCCTAAGTATTATTATTTAATAATATGGAATGATGGATGAATATATAGATTAATTATCTCATGGCACTTATTTCTTACTACAACTATAGGGCTAGCACATTCAAGTTCAAAAATGAATGTGAAAATTCATATTGGTATTGTTATGAACAAATGAATAGCAGTTGGTAAAATTTGAATCTGGACTAATAATTGAAAATAGTATTATCTTAATGTCAATTAACCTCACTAAATTTTATTACAGTTATGTGTTAGAATGATATGTGGTTATACTGTCAGAATGTCCTTGTTCTTAGGAACTGTGTCCTAAAGTATCTAGGAGTGAAAATATTAAGAAAGCTAGAAGTCACATGGTAGTTGTCATTATTGTTGATGTTGGAAATAGTGACTTTATTTTTAAAATTAAACTGTTAAATGTGCTAAATTCAGATCTTGTAGGATCCAGTCTTGTGCTAAACCAGGACAATTCTGGAACCTAATTAAGCCTCTTACTCCTAAAGGAGTTCTGTCGTGCCTAATCTCATATCCTTCTAATATAATAAATACCTGGCATCCCCACAACAGAAATAATCAGGAATTCAGTGGGCGTTGGAGTGGTTAAATGCAATAATAAAACAAAAGTCTGCTTACACAGCCTACACCACATCATACATTTTTATTAAGCAAATGCCTGCTTTACCTACCAGGACTTTGGTCAAATCTATTAAGAAATGTGAAAACCTGTAAGTTGATAAATTCAGCTTCAGAAAATCATGGCCTGGACCTGCAAATTCCATTAAAAATTTTTTTAAAAATCTACAGACAAGAACAACTTTGCTCCTTCAAATGGGTTTCAGATATTCTCCTCTCAAATCTCTGCCATGTATCACCTGAGAACTTGGAAAGAAATGTATGTCCTGAGCTTTCATCTCTTCTAGGAGAGAGATACAGAAGCAAAGAAAGAGAAAAGAAGACAGAAACAGAGAAACAGATACAGAAAGAGGTAGAGACAGAAGCAGAAAGAAAAGGAGACAAGAAGAGAGAAAGAGAGACACACAGAGACAAGGGATAATAAGAGAAAGGCACAGGCAGAGAGAGAGAGACAGGAACAGAGACAGAGAGATATGCCCCACCCCCATGGCCTCAAAGGCTTCCAACACTAAAAGGAACCTTAATGACCACTCTGCCAGAAGTGTTTCAGACTACATTACAGAAATTCCTAGGATTCTTGGCAGCCCTGAAGGACCATTTTCAGAATAAAAGTTTAACTTGACCATTCCTTCCACCAGAACTGCCTTCTGCTTATATACTGGGGCTTATATATGTTATCTGCTTATATATTGGGGCTCTGAGTACTATTTCATTTAATGAAATAGGTTCAATCACATCATGATGCATATGACAAAACTGAGACCAGAAAGGTTCAGTGACTTGTTGAGGATCACACAGCATCAGAGTGAAGACTGAAACCCAGCTAACAGAGCCTCAACCTTTCAGTGCCCTTTCCACATCTGCAGTGAGTCCATTGCAAACCTCACTGTACATGTAAGTGATGAGCTTAATTCAAGCACAGATTCTTGTGCCTCAGTCCAGGCAATTCTAATTCAGTGGGTCTGAGATGGAGCCTGAAAATCTTTTACCTGGTATTCTGGGTGATTCTGATTCAGCCAGTCACAGGCCAACATTTAGGAACCACTGTGGCCTCTATTCATGCATGCATTAAATCTTGCAACAAACGCAATTTATATTTAATCAATGCTGAGCACAGGGCTCAGCATCCTGCTACCAGGTTCCTGCTATCAGCTGGTTCAGGAGTTTAGAAGGCTTAAAAGTTAATTTAGCACCAACGAGAGAAGTGATTTATAGCCTGAGTGTATGTGTATTTGCTCCCTAGGGACGGCTCTCAGAGGCTGGGGAAACAACACATCCGCCTTGGCCCTAAGGCCTCTTCCAGATGGCTCCTAAATGAGCCGGAGGAATCAGCAGCAGCTTTTCAGAATCCTACTTACCTATCCAAATGGTCTAAGCAAAACGAGAACTTTTAAGGAATCTTAGAAATAAGAAAAACTTTCCTGAGTGCAGGAGACAAAGAGTGACACCAACTGCTTCCCTCTGCTTCTCACTGCTCCATGGCAGAAGCTCTCAGGGAGAGATGTAGCTGGTCATACATGCAAGGTGGACATCCCCTGCTGGAGATGCCAAACCAGCAGCATGGTCCCTGGTGGGAAGGAGACTGTAGGCAGATGCCCCCGCAGCTGCTCCACCTCACAGCAGGAGGCTTCATCTTATGGTATATCTTCCACTGGGTAAGCACTACTATTGATCACAAATATCAGGGTCCACTCTCATTCCTAGAATGAGACTACTCCTCCCAGCCTCTTTGTGGTTAGGCAGGGTCAGATGACTAATCCTGGCCAATGAACTCTAACTTGAGGTACCATTGTAACTTCTAGGCAAAGTGGTAAAAAACTCAGGCACAAGCCTCCAGCTCTTCCTTCCCCTGGCACTGTGGACTGGAATCCACATGCCAAGATAACAAAGATGTTAAAAAGAAGATGGGATTCCTAGATCACTGCTTGGAAGGGAGTTGCTCAGTAGAGCATCAGGACCTGAAAAATACCATGTAGGATCAAGAAAAAATTATTCACTGCAACAAGCCATTGAGGTTGCAATTTTAATTCAGCCTCTCCTGACTCAGCTCCTCCTCTCCCACACCTACCACTCCCTGTTCCTATTAGGACAGCGATTGCTGCCTACCCAGGCATCTCACCACATCTGTTATAACAGAAATAGGGGCTTCACTCTCACTAACCAGCTTCCTCCAAAACCCACTCAAAGAATTAGGGTCTGAAGTATTATCGGATCATCGGCTTTGTGGTATTATCTGCTGAGACATATTTTTAAAAATTAAGAATAAATACCTGTTTTAATCAGTAGTTTGAAGAAAAAAGAATGTAGAAAACACAGAGGTCCCTGTAAAGACCCAATATTAAAATTCTGGTTTAGGGTCAAATACAAGACTGATTTTTTTTTTTTTTTTAAACAAGACCTTGCTCTGCCACCCATGCTGGAGTGCAGTGGCATAAACATGGCTCACTGTAGCCTCAACCTTCCAGGCTCAAGCAATCCTCCCACCTCAGCATCCTGAGTAGCTGAGACTACAGGCACATGCCACCATGCCCAGCTAATTTTTTTGTTGTGATGGGGTTTCAACTGTGTTACCCATACTAGTCTCAAACTCCTGGACTCAAGCTTTAAAAAAAAAAAAAAGAAAAAATACGTGGTTCATGGAACAGAGTAGAGCTCAGGGCTGCTCCAAATCAACCCAGTTCCCCAGGTCAGTTTAAAATCTTTAATTTCACAGCAGACGCATGCAAAGAGAGGATCGAGACATTATTAGGTAACTCTCCTCTCCCTTCACAATGGTGATTAACAGAATTCCCCTGCACAAAGGGGAACTACCAAACAGACCCATACCTGCCTTAGGAGTGGTCTTTCAGGACTCAGAAAATAGATGTTAGGTACGTTGATCTCCTTGCAAACTACACCAAGTTGACCTTCTGTGCAGCCTGGGGTGTGTGCTGCAACTAGCCCAGCCAGGCAGAACCTGTGTGGGAGGTGGTTAACACCTCTACAGTCACTATGTGGTTGTCTATGCAAAAGAACTGCAATTCATCCAAGAGAAACACTCCCAAGATGAACTGAAGCAGGACTTCAAGCCCCTTGGCATTACCATGACCTGGCAGAAGCTGCTACAGCAGCAGAGCCCACATAGAGGACATCCAAGAGGTGAGAAGGACCCTCAGTCAAGGTGGGCTTCCATGCAGCCATAGTCAGAATGCTCTGGTATTATGTGCAGTGGATTAAGCTGCAAAGGATGAGAGACACAGTAACTGAATGCTCGAGTCACACAGTTTATTGGCATGTAAATTCTTAACAAATATAGGTATTTTATCCCCATTCACACTGCCCACAATTCCTATTTTTTATCCTGCTTGGAAACATTTTTTACCCTTCTACGACGAGCCAATCTTACAGGAATAGGCATAGAATTGGTCATACAAGTCCTGGGGCATCCAGGAATAGGTTCCTCCTGCATCAAGGTTGGAGCATTGAGGCCGAAGCATCCAGTCAAAAAGACGGCATGCCTGGCTCCAGGTCCCTTTCTGAGTGGCAGCATCTTGTCCTCGTGAGTCTGTTTCTCAGTGGAGCAGGTAGGGCTGACTGAGGGCTTCTCTTTTTGTAGTCCCTTTATGGGCATCCACCTATTTCTCCTTAGCTTGAAAGTTGGCGCGCCCTAGCACGTGATGTTGTCCTGCCTCAGAACACCCCAACGCAGTTGGTCTAATTAAGTTTAGGCATTCCAGACATTTTGGCAGACATCTGAGCTTACAAACTCAATACAACATATTCACATTACTCCCATAAATTGCACTCCTAACAACTGGAATCACACCGGGTTTTTAGCCACTCTCACCCACTGACAATGTTGACAACAGCCATGACTCTGAAAATGTTGCAGACTATTAATGGGGAACAAACCAGAGATTGGTTTTTCATGATCTGCATTAGTAGAATCAGTTCCCAAGTACCTATCAAAATCAGCTACACTGGAAGGAAGGCAGCAACTCAGAAACCACCGTGAGAGCCCAGCCATCACCCATGTGGCTTCGTGTCTTGAATCAAACTAGATAGAGAACATGACTTGGTGGGAAGGTCCATTCTCATAAGACATTCGGCTTTCCAGAATCCAGCCTTTGGCCAAGCCAGAGCCAGCACAGTTCCTATCCCCAGGAACATCCCTCTTACTTCTCCTCTTCAAAGTATAGTAACTTGAAGCTGAATACAATGACTGAAATTTCATATACTCCTACACAGAGATTCAGGGAGAAACTCCAGGGTCTTCTAAGATTTGAGATCCAGCGTCCTATGACTGAAGCTCAATGGCACTTTGTACTACTTTCCATGACTTTAAGAAATATGTTCTGCACATAACTCTACCCAGAGTTAAATGCACATAATAAATCTGCTCTAATTTCTGCTGAGTCATGATGAAATTCAAATCTGAACCATGTGCTGAGGGATCATACACAACTGGAGTCTTCTGATTCCAAAGCCCCTTTGCCAGACTAACTCGGAAAATATCGTTTTAGTTGAATAATTATTTAAATGTGTGCTCATAGGAAATATTATCAAATTATAGTAAATGAACAAATGCAATTAAATAAAACTATGACTCCTCCTAAGCACATAACGATCTGAGATGTTTGGCCCCAGGAAATGCAGTTAGAATGGACATTAATCTCTGTCCACTGACTCAGGTGTGCACAGTAGTCCAGGTTTCAATAAACAAACTTAATTTCTTGCTCAGTCCCCATCCTGCAGCTTGGTGAGGATGCCCCTGTCTCCAGGGTCATGTCAAGGTCATCTGTCTTCATAAATTATTGCTGAGATACCCACTGTCCCAGATTTACATGTTCTCTCAGATCCAGAAAATTCTTGTGACTTCTATGCTCTGCCAGAGGTAGGAAGATAAATGGAAGGCTAGAAACCCCACGCCTGAGGTCAAGCTGTCTACTATGCACCATCCAGCCATCTCTTTGAGATCCATCTGGCTGCCTTACCAGTTACCACCAAGAAGATGGGCCTGGTTTTAGACCCACAGGGCCCAGATGGGAGAATTGTGCCTTCCATCAGGCAGAAACACATTGCTTCTTCCAAGCCAGTCTGATTCTTCCTCCAGACTTTCCCCTTTCCCTCCTATTACCTCTGCAGGTGACCTCATCCTCTTGTAAACTTAGGTTTTTAACAACAAACATGATGATTTATCATAGGCTATTTTTGTGTTCAATAATCTAACTTAAAGAACAAAATAACCCTTGGTTTAACAACATAAAAACAAATCCAAATACACAGATCAGTCCCTAAATCTGTTGTAGTATATTTCCATAAATACTAGGCTATTTTTAGAATCTGCCCACAGAGCACCAAGGAAGAAGAGTAAACCATCAGAAGTAAATTAGAAAAAAATAAAATGAACCTTGGATAACTATACTGCACAGCCTATTTGATTCCCTTCTCTTTACCAATTAGAGTCACTCAATTAAATCAGATGAATTTTCACTTAATCCAGTGGATTCAAGACTCATTAAAACAATTGAACAACTTCTGTTAAGGTTTTTTTTTCTATTTATACACACCCCCTCAGATTGGCTCACAACCCCATAAGAAACTGTTGGCAGCCCCAAATGAACTATATTGAAGTTACTCTCTTACTTCATGTTCATTCAGCCTAGATTTTTTTGGCTTAAAGATAGTATTTCAAGTCTTCATAAATATGCATGTAAAAGAACTTTTAAAACTTAGATTTTTTTTTTTTTTTTTTGGCCTTCCAGGAATTTTTAAAGTTATAGGTGTCTGGGCTAAGAAGAAATACAAGTAGTCAATAAACACATGAAATTTACTAGGACTCGGAAGAATTATAAGATAAAACAACATTGAGATGTACCACTCACTAGCTATGAAGCTGCCAATTTTTAAGTGCCACAAAAGTATTGGTGAGACTGAAGGGAACAAGGATAGGATCTTCTTAAGCTGTTGGTGGAGGAGCAACCCTCTTGGAGGACAAGCTAGTTATAGTTGATCAGAAGCACTGGCTGCTGTAACAGATGAACCCCTAATGTCAGGAGCTTCACACAGTAAGTTATTTCTCAGTTACCTAGGGGCTGAGGTGGACAATCCTGACTGGTGGTAGGAGTCCCTCATCCTCTCATTGACAGAGAGGATGGTAGAGCCTGACTGACAGCCTACACTACCTTGAGTGTGGCTTCCAGTGCTACCCCATAATTCGACACTCAGCTGAGAGACCAGAGAAGAGGGAGGCCATTGAAAAGGCACACCTACATTTTAACAACCTTGTCTGGGAAGTGACATACTTACTGCTCTGAGTCCCTGGGAGAGAATCAGGCACACAGGCCCACTGAGGGGAGCTGGGAGCACCTGCTTCCTAGCAACAAATCTCCACTGCAGATGAGAGGCATGACATTCTCTGCCAAAGTAGCAAAATAAATATGCAAACATACATACATATATGTCTTTTAAAATAGTTACATCCTTTGACCAAACAATTCCACTTTAAGAAATGTATCTAAAGGAAATAGATATGTGGGCAAAGATACATACATATAAATACATATACTTATATATGCATAAAGGTGATATATGTTTTAATAGCAAAAAGTAGAAAGAGCCTTTAAAAATTAAGCAGATTGATCAAATAAATTCAGGCATATTTATTTAATGGAATACTGTTGACAAAACAAGAATGATGCTATAAATGTTTGTTTATTGATTGTTATGAAATTTATAAACCAGAATACATAGGATGACCCCATTTTGGAACAAAAAATCCTAATGAATATATAGATTGGTAATACATATAGAGACCAGGTTCTATAACTTTTATTTTAGCTTCTAAAATACAATCTTATCTATTAACTTAGAAACATTCCAGTTCTGAAGGGCTAACTCTGGCTAAAATATTCTCAAGAATCTGACGGATAAACTGGAATGCTGATTTGTTCTTTTGCAGTGAAAATATACCCCCTACTATAGGACATGCCTGTTTCTTTTCTCTAAAACATCTTCACCCAGTTATCAAGAAACTAGGAAATCAAGCTTCTTTATCAAAAGTAACTTCATGAGCTCAGACCTCAAAAGAAAGGGAATTTGATGCTCTTGAGACATTTTTTTCTGGACTGGAGAATCAATGCCATCTCAAGAAGTCAACTGATATTGAATGCGCTGCCACTTTATAATATGAGCTGTGCTAGACCCTGAGGATGCAAGAGTGAACAGCACGAAATCTGCCACTTCAAAACTCAGCAAGGAGCAAGGGAGGCACAGGTGCAAACAGCAATTGTGATCCGAGAGCAGAGCTTAGTGAGGGACACCCACAAGGTGCCAAGAGAAACACCCAGCTTTTTTTTAGGGATGAAGAAGGACTCACAGAGAAGACAGTATTTGAGTTAAATACAAAAGAATGAGAAAGACTTCCAAATACAAGCAAAATGAGGAGGGACCTTCCAGGCAAAAGGAAAAGCATATGCATCACAGAAGTCAAAGATTGTGAACTCTGGAGAAATCCAAATAACATCCTCAAACTTAAACGATACAATACATGCAAAACACCAAGCCTGGTGCTTGGAACAGGGTAAGCACTCGAATGTCAATTTCCTTTATCTTCCTCTTCTCAAACTGAAAGGAAATAAAGCAGAATCAGGGGAAGAATTGAGTTTTGTGAAGCATCGACATTTGGGGGGCTCTTTTCAAGAAAAAGTATACAACATTAGGTTCAAAGTCTGGGAAGGGGCCCATGCAAGTGAGGGGCTCCAAAGCTAAGCCTCACTAACTACTCTGCATACACCCCTAGCAGAATACAGGAGAATATTGATGGTGGGGATGGAGGGTGAGCGGATGTAGTGGGAACACTGTGATGCACTGTCCAAGTCCCCCTTCAAGAATGATGAACTTACTTGCCCACTCGTAGGGTTGCTGCAAAGAGGATGCCCTCAGCTGGTAGTCTCTACAGGGATTTGCGTTAGCTGAAGAAAGTGATTCACCTAAGGCACACACCGCCTTCCTGCAACATCCTATGAGGTTGACACAGAAATCCAGAAAACTGAGGTATCATCATGACCGCCCCCCCATAGGAGCCAGTGATAAATGGAGCCCTGACCCAGGTCCAGTTCATGGTGAGCACAGTTGGTTCACTGACCCACCTGGTGTCATTTTCCTGGTCCACAGATGCATCACTGCAACAGACACCCTTGCTAGTCGGCAGAACCCCTACATTTGCTCCTTGGCCTGTGGAATGAGACTTAGGGCAGTGTGGAAGGCCAAGAGGTTACCTCTGAAACTGCAAGCCCCCACTACCACCAAGACAGACAATCAAAAATAACACTGTCTCCTCGGGATAATGGCAGAGATTCATGCCATACTGAAAGAACTGAAAGACGAAGGGTGATGAGGATTACCACTTCATCATCTATGCATTTAATTGACCATTCTAGTTTCTGCAAAAACTACAAGTATCCCAAAAAATTACATGGATTACCATAAATTCATCCAAGTAATAGCCTCAATTGCAGCTACTGTGCCACAAGTGAAATCTTTGCTAGAGCAGCTTCAGGCACATAAGGATGTGGCCATTAATCTGGCATTTTTTCCATCCCTACTAGAAAAGAAGATCAGAAAGAGTCTGCATTCACCTGAAATGAACAACAGCAAAAACTTACAGCCGTGCTCCAGAATTATGTTAATTCTCCCACCCTCCCCTCTGCCATAGCATAAGCTAACAATCCTGGACTGACTGGACTTCTGAGATAGCACAGCACTGACCCACTCTATTGATAACACTGTTCAAACCAGGGCAGATAACAAGATACAGCAGGTACACCGGAGGCCGTGGTAAGACACATGAACTCTCAAGTGTAGGAAATATGCCTTCCAATGACTCAGGACCCCAACATATCAGTAAAAATTTTCGATGTTTAATGGACTGGGGCAGACGAGGACGTCATCTCCAAAGTAAAGGACAAATAAGATAACTTGCATCTCCCCCCATAAAGAAGAAGTGCCTCAGGCCTGATCAGCTTCTCTGGATTCTGAGGGCAGCATATTCCATACCTGGGAATATTGCTTCAACACATCTACCAAGTTTCCAGCTTTTAGTGAAGGTCCAGAGCAGGAAGAGTTGTCAGCTTTTCGTTGGGATTGGAGCAGGAAAGGGATATACAGAAAGTCCAGGCTGGAGGTCAAGCAATCTGTCTTTTGGGCCATATATTCCAGCAGACCCTATGGTAATAGATGCCTCAGTGGTCAGCAAAAATGCCACGTGCATTTTATGGCCAGTATCAGTGGAAGAATCATAATGCAGATCCACAGGGCTCTGGGGCATGCTACCTGTCACAGAATTAATCATGCACCTTTTGGGAAATTATTGTTAGCATGTTACTGAGCACTGGTGGAGATGGAGTGCCATGGGACACCAAGTGATCATGCAGTCAGAACTGCCCCCTTGTGACCTGGATATGTATGAATCATCAAGTCATAGGTTGGACAGGTCCAGCAGTAATTCACTGTAACATGAAATGGTACTTGTAGGATTAAACACAGTTTCACCACAGAGCACGACCATGCTGTACAACAGCAGTACGACAGGTCCAGCAGTAATTCAGTGTAACATGAAAATGGTACTGTAGGATTAAACACAGTTTCACCACAGAGCACAACCGTGCTGTACAAGCAGGTAGACCAGACCACAGGTCATCCACCACTGTTGCACCAGTCTGTCCCTCAGCACACACCTGTGCTCACATGTGTAATTTCTTTTGACCAGCTGATAGGAGAAGAAAAAGCCTGAGCTTGGTTCATAAATGGGTGAGTTCAATATATGGCTGAAAGACAAAACTGGATGATGGCTGCACTACAACTTGCTCGGGAATTGCCTTAAAACACAGTGGCAAGGGAAGATCCTTCCACAAGCAGAGCTTTGGGTGGTGGACATGGTCAGCTACTTTGTAAGAAGAGAAGTGTCCCAAGGATAGACTATGCATGGACTCATGGGCAATAGTGAATGGCTTGTCTGATTGGTCCGGAGCCCGGAAGAAGAAATAATGGAAGATCGGGAGGTCTAGGTAGAGACATGTGGATGGATATATAGGATAGGACAAAGTATGAAGGTCTTTACATCACATTTCTATGCCCATCAGAGGTAATTCACCGCAGAGGAGGCACTAAATAACCAAATAGACAGAATGACTCAGCCAGCCTCTGTCAATAGCCACCCATGGCAGACACTATGGACACATGAAGAGTGACCATGATGGCAGGGATGGAGGCTATGTGTGAGCTCAACAGAATGAATTTTCACTTACCAAGGGTGATCTAGCTGCTGCAACTGCTGAATGTCTAACCTGCCAACAGCAGAAGCCAATGCTGAGTCCCCAGTCTGGCACCATCCATTAAGGGGCCAACCACCCAATGGTGATAAGCTGACTACATGGGACCCCTCCCTCCATAGAAAGAGCAATTACTCATTCTCATAGGAATAGATATCTATGCTGAGTTTGGGGTTTGCCTTTCCTACCACAGGGCCCCAGCCAGCACTACTATCCAAAGGCTTACTGAGTATTTGATGGACTGGCAAAGTAGCCCACATAATATTCCATCCAACTAAGGTATGCATATTACAGCAAAGGAGCTATAGGAGAGGGCAACAACCATAAAATCTACTTTTCATATAAAATGCTGTAACACCTAGAAGTTGACAGGCTGATGAAATGATGGAACAGCCTGTTGAAAGAACAGTGGAATTGCCAACTCACAAATACTACCTTGCAAGGTTAGGGGGCTATCCTCCAGGGTGCAGTGTACATTTTAAATAAGTAATGTTTATAGGTATATAGTCAACCTACTATGTCCCCAGTAGGGAAAATATATGGGTCCGAGAACCGAGGAGTAGAAACAGGAGTCCCAAGTATCATTGTTCCAAGGGTCCCACTTGGGGCTTTTTGCGGTTCCTGCCCCCACAACTTGGGGCTCTGCGGTTTTAAAGATCCTGGTACCCAAAGAGGAAATGCTTTCTCCAGGGGACACAGCAAAAGTCTCATTGAATGATAAGCTACAGCTTCAACCTGGGCACTTCAGGCTTCTCACACCAAGGGACCAGCAGGCACAAAAAAGCACCATCATCTTAGCAGGGGCAATTGGCCGATTATTAGGAGGATGTAGGGCTGCTATTATACCACAAGGAGGAAGGAATATGTTTGACACTTGGATGATCCACTTGGGTGCTGCTTGGTTCCTCCTTGGCCCTATTTTGATGGTAAATGGAAAAGTGCAGGAATCTCAGCCAGAGGAAGACATGATGACCAAGGGCTTAGATCCTTCAGGAAAGAAGGTCTGGGTCACACCAACAAGTCAGCCTTTGAGATCAGCTGAGGTGTTAACTAAGGGTGATGTAAATCTAGAATGAAGAGGAGAGAAGAGTGAGTGTGAGTGTCAGTTGTGCCCCAAGACCAGCCACAAATGCAGGGACTATAGTTTTTCCAATTACCTTTTTCTTCTAAATGTGCAAGAGAGAGAAAGAGGTCCCCTGGAATCTTAAGAGTGTCTGCTTCTAGAACTTATACAAAGAAGTGGATCAAAATAGCCTGATATAGTTTGAATGTTTGTCCCCTCCAAATCTCATGTTGAAATTCATCCTCAGTGTTGGAGGTGGGGTTTGTGGGAGGTGTTTGGATCATGGGAGCAGATCCCTCAGGAATGGCTTGGTGCCATTGCCATGGTAATGAGTGAGTTCTTTCTCTATTAGTTCACTCAAGAGTTGGTCATTTGAGGCCGGGCATGATGGCTCACGCCTGTAATCCCAGCACTTTGGGAGGCTGAGGTGGGCGGATCACGAGGTCAGGAGATCGAGACCATCCTGGCTAACACAGTGAAACCCTGTCTCTACTAAAAATACAAAAAATTAGCCGGGCGTGATGGCAGGCGCCTGTAGTCCCAGCTACTCAGGAGGCTGAGAGAGGAGAATGGCATGAACCCATGAGGCAGAGGTTGCAGTGAGCCAAGATTGTGCCACTGCACTCCAGCCTGGGCGACAGAGCAAGACTCTGTCTCCAAAAAAAAAAAAAAAAAGTTGGTCATTTGAAAAAGCATGGCACCTCTCTGCTCTTTCTTCCTCTCTCTCTCTATGTGACTCACCAACTCCCCTTTCTCTTCCACCATGATTGGAAGCTTCCTGAAGTCCTCACCAGAAGCAGATGCTGGTGCCATGCTTCCCATACAGCCTACAGAACTGTGAGCCAAATAAACCTCTTTTCTTTACAAATTACCCAGTCAGGTATTCCTTTATTGCAATGCAAATGGACTAAGACATGGCCCAAGGAGTGGACTGTGTTGGCCACCGTGATATGCTGCCCAATCCTCCATCAGGAACAAAGGACTCACTCTCACCTTCTGAGAGTTCTGAAGGCAGAAGCTCTCAGCTACCAGGCCCTGATGTGGACTACCTTGGCTGAAGAGAACTGCCTCACCTAAGGTCACACCCCCGTCCTATCATGGCCAGCATTCAATGACTGATTGACATGGGAGTACAATGGCCTGGGCTCTGGCCCAACTCAGGACAACTTCAAAGGGTCATGACAGCTTTAGGTCTCCCCAGAGAGTTGGCTGAGACCTCTGTTGAAACTGTGTCTCATGGCTCTATCTCACCCACCGTCCAAGGATCCTGCCTTCCTTCTACAGATGTTGGTTACAAGGGCACTCCTAATGAACCCTGAATGTTCATCTTCATCTCAGTGTCTGCTTCACAGGGAACCCAACCTATGATATGCACCAAAATACAGGCACCAGAGATACTTGTGTCTGTCAGATAAGTTCTCTCCCTGGAATGGTACTTGATAAATGCCAATTCATTTACCATCTAAATTGCATGCATCATTATCTATTAATAGATAAGCAAAAATATAATTGAACTGATCATAGTTTCTTCTCGTCAGATAGGAATATTGATGAGAAACAACTTACTATAAGAGGTCAGAATCCCATCTTCCAAGGTGGCCCCAGATGTCCAGAGTTTGATTAGATTTTTTCTTTAAAAATGACTCACTACTAACCTCAGATAAAATCCCTGATTCATTCTTGTTTTGAAAGCAAGAAACTGCCAGAAAGATTAATTACACTTCCAGTGAGCTAGCCTTTTCCATGGCTTGAGGTCAGATCATTGCTTGTGATTTCTGGAAATTCCTTGCTCTAAGAGCTCCCACCTTGGCTGTCCCAGGACAACAAAAAGCACAGAAGAACTCTTGTCTATCTTCTCAATTCATTCTTTCCTGCCAGGTATGCTCCTATTACTTAGGCTCGTCAGCAGCTCATTTAGGTGCTCTGGAACCCTTTCATTTCTAGGGAAGAGCAAGGAAACTATTGTCTTTAACTCTTGTTTCCCTGACATGGCACTAAGATAGAAAACAATGCTCTTTTCCAACTGTAGAAGTACATGAATGCATATAAGTA
Organism: Homo sapiens; assembly: GCF_000001405.40. Classification (NCBI taxonomy): domain Eukaryota; kingdom Metazoa; phylum Chordata; class Mammalia; order Primates; family Hominidae; genus Homo; species Homo sapiens. Next base: position 1,002,509 of record NC_000018.10, on the reverse strand, counting down.
ATTCAATTAGCTATGAAACTACAAATTTGTCCGAAATAACAGAAATCTCCAAGTATGACCTGGCCCTCTCCATATCAGAATGGTATTAGGGAAATTAGGTAACTTTAGAGGAGAAGAGAGGGGAAGATAAAAGGATGACTTTCTGTGCTATACTATTTATGTCACCCAGGGCCTACACTGTCCTGCTGTTAATGACCCTTTGTTAAGAAATGGTCCTGTTCATAATTAAAATAATAGTAATAGAAAGGTTCTCTGTTATCCAAGATCTTATTCCTCCATGTCAAAAAAACTCCTAGCTTAAAAACAACTTATAACCATAATATAAAATAACTATAATTTTAGTTATTTTAGGATTTAGGGCATTTAGGATTGTTATCCCAGCTCTGCTGCTAAAGAAGAGCCACTTTCATCTCATGAGTTCTATGTTTTCTCATCTGTTTACAAAAACAAGGAAAGACAAGAGAGGGCTAGACTTTCCAAAAAATTTTAATAATGAGTGTGTTATACTGGAAATAACAAAAATTATTTTATTATTGAAGCAAAACTTTAAAGGTAACTTCTAAGTTTCCATCCAATGCTAAAATTGTATAAACTTCCATGTGACCATGTTGAGCTAAATTGCATTAGCTAGTTCATCCACCCCAGCCCATATCTCACCAAAATATGGCTTCAATAGCAATCTGTACATCAACAACTTGGCATGGCCCAGCCGGACCTCTCCTCTGAGCTCCAGACTTGCATACAACTGTCTACTCCATATATTATCCATTTGGCTGTCTCAAAGGCACCTCAAATGCTCATATGCAAAACAGGCTTCACAACTTTCACTCCAAATCTGATGCTCTTCCAATGATCTTTATCACAGTAGCAAGTATCACACTTAATAAGTACAACAAAGGTACAACCAGGTAACTGGAGTAAGGCTTAACACTTTCTGCCTCCCTCACCTTCTATTTCCAATCTACTTCTATTTCCAACTCCTATCTTTCTTATTTTTATTTTTTTTAGACACACTCTCACTCTGTCACCCAGGCTGGAGTACAGTGGTGCCATCTTGGCTCACTGCAACCTCCACCTCCCAGGTTCAAGCGATTCTCACACCTCAGCCTCCCAAGCAGCTGGGATTACAGGCACCTGCTACTACACCTGACTAATTTTTGTATTTTTAGTAGAAACGAGGTTTCACCATATTGGCCAGGCTGCTCTCAAACTCCTAACCTCAAATGATCCACCTGCCTTGGTCTCCCAAAGTACTGGGATTACAGGTGTGAGCCACCACGCCTGGCCTCAATTTTATCGCTGAATAACTCAAACCTTCCACCAATCTTTGTCTCTACCCCCACTATCTAATTCAATCTACTAGGACTTCTCACCTGCATTAGGCAGTAGCCTCCTTGCTGGCTCCCTGAAATTTTCTCTTGTCCAATATCCATTCTCTGTATTACAATTAGCAATGTCTCAAAATTCATATATGATCATGCCATTCCCTGCTTAAAACCCTCAAATGATTTTCCTATTCTCTTAGTATAACCACAAAATCCTTGACTCTTACTACAAGGTCCTGCATGATCTGGTACCAGCTTCATAATGCAGTGCTTCACGCCTCTCTTGGAGCTCCAGCCACACTGGCCTCCCTAAGCTCTTTAAATGCACATGCTCCCTCCAACCCCAGGACCATTGCACATATTGTTCTACAGCTGCAGAGAGCTTCACTCCATTTTCTTTGCCTAGTTAGGACCTACTTTTTCCTCAAGCCTTAGCTCAAAAAACACCTTCTCAGGGAAACCTTCTCTGACCCCCAGGCTAAATCAAGTCTTTGTATGACAAGTTCTCATAGTACCTCAAACATTTTCTTTATAGCACTTATTACATTTTGCAATGATGAATGTAGGTGGTTATTTATTCCATATCTGTCTTTCTCACCAGGTAAGTTTTATAGAGCTCAGACATTTGTTTGATCATCATTTTATCCCTGAAGCCTCTTCTCAATGCTTAGCACCTAATAGTTACTCAATAAATGTTTCTCTAATGGATGAACAAATGGATAGATACATAGAAGCAGGGGAAAATAATGAGGCATTTTTTTCTCATGATTCCTTTTGCTGAAATGCCTACATATTTGCATCTTAAATTTTATTTCTCTTTAACTGTGAAGGTATTATTTGGGACTTCTAAAATTTCAGCAATTTTAAAGGAGAAATGGTGTCTACTTATCAAATTAAAATTGTTAAGAATGATCACTTGTTGTTTCCATGGCAGTTACACAATGTCAATTACAATGAACAATCTTGATAGATCTTCTTGGGAAAATTATTAGTGGGTCAAGAAAAACAGAAGCTAAGGAATATTTGTAATACTCTCCAGGAATGAGATATCAGCCCTGAGTATTATGCAGTGGAAAAGTTTTGAATTACCATCAGCTTCACTTTTCCAAGACTATTCTAGTCAAGCATCTCAAATTATTAAATCTTGAAGATTTAATGAGGTCCCCAAACTGCTCTCTAACCTGGCAATTGCTGAGAAAGGAATGAGTAATGTTGCTGGTGGTAGGAAGGCAGACAAGTACAACAGTCTAATGAAAATTAAAGGAAACACACAAATAATGTTGGGGAAGCAAGAGTGATTTTTTTTTTTTATTCAGCCTGTGATCAGCTCCTGTGCCTATCCCTACCTTCTTGTAAGTGAATTTTGTAAATGCAATCCCCAACTATCAAGATGCATAAGACATTCATTAGGTCCTTGGGACCTCAGGCCCAGGGCACTCTTCTCATTTAACTTATCCTTTCACTGCTGCCCTTTGGGCAGCTCTGCCTCTGAGGAACAAACCTAACACCAAGATTCTAAGCCAGGTCTTTCATCAGCACCAAATTCAATTTATAAAACCCCCAAGTGTTACCTCCTCCAGTGAAACTGCTCAGACAATGTTTTGGAGGCAAGTCATGTCCAAATTGCGTGACGAGTGTAACTGAACCCCTGAACTGATTTTCCCTTTCCTCCATCCTCTACCCCTTCTCTGTATTTCTGAAATAAAGGAGAAAACATAGAAACGAGGCAAGGCAGAAATCAGTCACTGAAGCCAATATTCCCTCTTCACATGACCCAGGTCAACAGCTACTGTCCTCTCAGTCTACCAATGTGACTTGAATAAAGGCCTCCTCCTTAAGGTAAAGCATCCATCAGTCTTGGATAAGAGAGAAATTTACAAAAGGATGCATCTAAAAAAAACAAAAGAAAAAAAAAGCCTCCGTAGCACACAGTCAGCAGGAAAACAAGACGAGCCACCTGTGCTATTTAAGATCTCCTCTTTCCATCAGCCCTTGGGGCCTCAGAATAAATAGTTCCCATAAGCTCCCAATACAGAGGGAGGCTCCCTGGAAGCATGCTTTTGAAATAATTAAGGAAAAGGGAGGCTTAGAGACTCTTTTTGTGAAGCCGTCTGTGACTGCCCTAGCATACTTAGCTGCACGTGTGACTCACATGCAACTTTAACGATCACAGCCCATTTTTAAATAACTGTTGTATCACTGGTCATAGTATTATATAGCTTATACATATGTTTATGTGTTTGTTTACCCTACTGTAAGGGGAGATCTGCTGGGGCCTGGAGCCACATATTAACGCTCTTTATAGCTCCATCACATAGCGCAATAAGTGCTCAGTGTTTGTTGAATAAATAGGTGAATTTAAAATGCAGGAATCTTTCAGGATTTCTTTATTAAAACTTTTTTTTAAAATAAAATAAATAAGATTGCTCAGCCAATTTATTCCATTTATTTTTCAAAGTTTGGATCCGTATAGAAATACCCATGCTAAATTATGCAATATTAAATAGACATAAAAAGTTATAAAGTCTAGCACAATTAACATTAAGCTGGCACGTCTTTTTTTTATTCCAAGGGTTGTTTATTTGAGATAACCAATAAAATAGACAAATCTGGCAAATCCAATCTAAGGGCTCTTTCTTTAGATCTAAAAAGAACCCTTATTTAACTTTTATTTTAGGTTTTTTAGGTTATCTTAAAATTTAAATTTAAAATTTTAACTTTTATTTTAGGTTCAGGGGCACATGTGCAGGTTTGTTAAATAGGTAAACTTGTGTCATAGATGTTTGTTGTACAGATTATTTCGCCACCGAGGTACTAAGCCTAGTACTCAATAGTTATTTTTTGGTGGTTTTTGTTTTTTTTTTTTTTTTTTTTTTTTTTGATGGACTCTCACTCTGTTGCCCAGGCTGGAGTGCAGTGGCACAATCTCAGCTCGCTGCAAACTCTGCCTCCTGGGTTCAAGCGATTCTCCTGCCTCAGCTTCCCAAGTGGCTGGGATTACAGGCACCCACCACCATGCCCAGCTAATTTTTGTATTTTTAGTACAGACAGTGTTTCACCATGTTGGCCAGGCTGGTCTTGAACTCCTAACTTCAGGTGATCTGCCCGCCTTGGCCTCCCAAAGTGCTGGGATTACAGGGGTGAGCCACCGTGCCTGGCCTCAATAGTTATTTTTTCTGCTCCTCTCCCTCCTCCCACCCTCCATCCTCAAGTAGGCCTCACTGTTTGCTGTATCTCTCTTTGTGTCCATGTATTCTCACCACTTACAAGTGAGAGCATGAAGTGTGTGGTTTTCTGTTCCTAAGCTGCCATCTTTCTTAAGAAACAAAACATTACCTATACAGCTGGAGAGCTCCTTATACCCTTCTCCCTCACCCCCACCTCCACCCCTACCCCCATCCAGAGGTAAACACTATCCTGAATCTGATGTCTAGAAAGTTACCATTTTAAGGAAAAACATCAGGTGTTTCAAAATAAAAATAAGCATGATGATGTCATTTCTTTAACTCAGCATGAATAGAAGTTTGAATTACACAAAACTTTAGAATGTGATTGTAATTATTATTTTAAATTACACAGACTTAACAATGGTTTTTACATGGACATCAAAGGAAATATTTCAAACAAGGAATTGTACCTAGCAGGGTCAGGAAGTCTTTTTTTTTTTATTTTTTTTTTTTTAACGGAGTCTTGTTTCTGTCACCCAGGCTGGAGTGCAGTGGGGTGATCTTGGCTCACTGCAACTTCGACCTCCCGCCTGGGTTCAAGTGAACCTCATGCCTCAGCCTCCCGCCACCATGCCTGGCTAATTTTTGATTTTTTGTAGAGATGCGGTTTCGCCATATTGGTCAGGCTGGTCTCAAACTCCTGGCCTCAAGCAATCCTCCTGCCTCAGCCTCCCAAAGTGCTGGTATGATAGGCATGAGCCACGGCGCCCGGCCCAGGAAGTCTTTTGACTCACATGCTGCCATCCCCTGGTTAGGAAATCTACCCATTTTAACCCTTTTGAGCCTTCTTTCCATGTGACAGATCATGGCAATCAGGAAGAAAGGCACATTCATGGAAAGTGCACCAAGGCTAGAAAAAAATGTTCTTCTGAAGCCAGAAGAACAAGGCGAAGATAGGTCTATCACTTAGAAAGGAATGGTAAATATTAACAGGCAACATCAAGAGCTACTGCACACAATTCTTACTTTGTATGTAGGTGTGTGTTGGGGGAAAGAGAGGAAGAGATAGAGAGAGTCTAGCTGGGACAAGGTGGGGGATGATCAAACAACCCATCTCGAAGTAAACATGAAAGTAAAATAGAATCAGGTCATATTAAATGAGTCCAATCCTTGAGGACCAAACAAAATTCCACCCGAAGAGGATGAAAGAACGTCCAGGTTTTATCTCTGAACCAGTGAAGCTATCTTTTGGGGAATAATTTTTTTTTCAGTGACCACTTTCCTGATTTACCAGAAAGGAGGAAAGGATGGATCTCAGAAACAACCAAAAAAATTTAGGCTAGTTTATGAAATAGTAGATATATAGAAAATAATGTGTGGTGATTCCCAAAACCCCTGCTAGGTCACCTAATAATATAACAACAAATTATTCTCATCTTCTTTTTTAATAAAAGTGTTTGACAAATTCTCTCTAATGTTTCTGGATAAGATGATTAAATGTAAGTTAGATGATAATAGATTTATATGGACTTAAGCTAGAGGAACTAGAAAGCAGGTCGATAGATAGAGAGATAAAGAGATAGATAGATGTAGATTGATTAATTGACAGATATAGAGATTTAAGACCACTCTAAACTCAAACTCATCCATGCTGTTTATGTATTTAATCAGACATTTCTTTGGTTTCCTGTGGGAAGACACTGATTACCTATTACACAGTCATAACCTCTTTCCTTGGTAATAAAACAATGATTTTGTTTAGGCAATAGTGTTTCATCTTCCAGGCAATGACTCTTCATTGGTCTAGGCCAACCATAGCAATCCCAACCCATTTGGCCCAGTGATTGGCCAATGAGACAAAGAAAAGTCTTCTGGGCCCTTCTGGGAAAGATTTTCATCCCTGAAAGAAGAACGGTATGCAAAAAGGAGGTTCTTTTTGCCCCTACTCCCTTCATTTCTGCTGCAGATACTTTTGTGTTGGAGCCTGATGATTGGGGCTGTGGCAGCCATCTTGAAACCATGAGACCACAAACATGAAACTCATTCTCTGAGGACAACAGAATAGAAAGAAGAAAAGAACCTGGATCTTGATGACATCATTTATTCACCAAACAAGCCTGAAATTGCATTTCTCCAGACTTCTTATTAAATAGACAATAAATATCCTTATGGTTTGAGTCACTGTTAGCTGAGGACATCCTGACTGCTCTGCTTCTCAACTCTAAAGGAATGAGGAAATGACCTCAGGCATTGCAGTTGGCCAGAAAACTTTGGCGAGGCTTCTAAAACGGGAGAAAAATTCTTGGCCTACAAATTTATGTAGCACATAAATAATATATCACTGAGGTACCATGGAGAATAGTAGTCCCACTCTGTTGTCCCTTGACCCAACCCTATTTGGTAGGTTTTTCTCAGGTCAGGGTCTTACATTTTAGGAGGCACATGGAAAAGTCAAGTGCCAGTAGCAACTAAAATGAGGAAGAACATAAATATAGACATATCTGAAGGGAATGGATGAATTATTTTTATACTGTGTAATAAAAGACAAAAAGAATTATGACGGCTAATTCAAACATCTGAAGGTTTTTAATGCAGTATAGACAAGAAAACAAAATGTTCTGCCCACTTTGCCACAAAATTCCTCCTCCTACATTCTCTATCTTTATATAGTTACACCATTCACCCAACTGTCAATGGCTCTATTTTATTAGGGTTTCTCAAATCCCCATACTTCTCTCCATTTCTTTTTTTTTTTTTTTTTTTCTGAGACAGAGTCTTGCTCTGTCGCCCAGGCTGGATGGAGTGCAGTGGCGCGATCTCGGCTCACTGCAAGCTCCGCCCCCCGGGTTCACGCCATTCTCCTGCCTCAGCCTCCCGAGTAGCTGGGACTACAGGGGCCCACCACCACGCCCGGCTAATTTTTTGTATTTTTAGTAGAGACGGGGTTTCACCGTGTTAGCCAGGATGGTCTCGATCTCCTGACCTCGTGATCCACCTGCCTCGGCCTCCCAAAGTGCTGGGATTACAGGTGTGAGCCACCACGCCCAGCCCCTCTTTTATTTCTAATGTCACATCTTTGGCACCATCGTCTCTCCCCTGGACCACTGCAGTAGCTCTCTCCAGTCTCATGGCTCCCAGCACAGCTTCCACGGCATTTCCAAAATGAGATCTCTGAAAACAAACTTGACCTAATTGCTCCCCTACTAAAACTCTTTCAGTGCTCTCCGTTGACATTCAGAGTACAACCCAATATTCTTAACCATTCATAATTTGGCCCATGTCCATTTTTTATAACCTCATCCCATCACTTTCCTGCGAGTACCTTATGTTTATCCCAAGGTATTTTCAGGCTCTTTAAAACATACCAAACTGTTTCAAGCTTCTGTGTTTCTCTATCTTCTCATTCCATATCCACAAGAAGAAAACCAACATTCCCTTCAAAATCTTGCTCAAAATTCTCCATCTTTGGAGCCCCTAAAGCTCTCCTCTCCAGGGACACTAGCATACATAAAGTATCCCAAAACCCTAGGCCAGGCAGGAGAATAGAAAAGGCATGGGCTGCAGTAGACAGGAACACCCCAGAGACTGGAGGGGCTAGATTCAAAAAATCAGATAAACTATGTAAGTGAGACTTCACTTTCATGGAACCAAACAGAAAGATAAAATCTGGGTAAAACTCAATAGGATAGAAATGGGAGAAACCAGGAGAGAACCAACATCTGACATGGAGAATGAGAAGAGTCTGGGTAAGTTATCTGAACCAATTTGGGGGGCACGACTATAACCTTGGGCATGTGTAGAGAGGGAGATATTCAAGGTACCAACTAATGGGCACTTTATTTATACCTCTCTTAGTAACTATCTCATTGCATTGAAATTGTATATTGCTCTGTTTCCCCCTCTGTTCTCTATGATTGTCTACGGAAAGTACCATGTCTTATTCATCTGTAACCCATACTTCCCCAAGCCACACCAGCATAGGAGTAAAAGTAGGTTGAAATTATCAATCAAAACTAGTATTTCTCTACCTCTGTTCATATACTCTCTTCAGAATCCTCCATATTCCTTCAAATTTTTCCTAGCTCAGGAGTCCCCTCAGGATGCTCAGCTAGTCTTCTTGGTCACCTCGTGCTATCCACCATTTTCCTTCTTTTGTGATCCTGCCGCAGCTCAAGGAGTAATACTTTCTGTGGCTTATAAGTCCCTTCATGATGCTTGGAGCTGTGGCAGCCATCTTGAAACCACGAGGCCACAAACATGAAACTAAGCCTCTGAAGTCCACAGAGTAGAAAGAAGAAAAGAATCTGGATCCTTTCTACAGGTGATCTGTGTGGTAGTTTCAGTGAACAGCACCAGCACTGTTCAATGAAGCTACCACACAAATTACCTGTAGAATCCTCTAGAATCCACCAAAGGAGCCAATTCCCATGCCCTCACCCATGAGTCAGGCCAGTTATAGCTTTCCGCTGGCCTGGCCTTCTGCTCAAGCCTCAGCATTTGTTCCGGACTTTGTTCAATGAGCTCCAAACATAAAGAGAACTTAACTCTTCATTGCCATTTGCTTTACAGAGACAGTATTTCTGTAGGCTCATCCCTGAAATTTTGGTTAAATGATTCTAAGCATTTTTTATGGTTCCCTGTCCTCTGAGTGAGGACCCAAATCCATGGAGAATTAACCAGAAATCAAATGAGTTGTAGACATCCTCTTGCTTTCAGAATGGCCTTTCTCACAAGAGGCCTCATGGGCCTTGACAATCTGTCTTTAGGTTGAAGTCCTCATGCAGATAGATATCTGACAACTCCACCTTTCAGTCTGAAATTTCTTTCATGCCTGTCTGTGTCCCTAGTGTGTAGTACATGCCTGACACATAAATGTGTGTTCAGTAAATGTTTACCCAATGAATAAACGAGGAAATGTTTTTCAAAATAAAAATTTTAAATGATTGCATTTCTCCAAAAAAGATTTACAAGTGTTCAATAAGCACATAAAATAATGCTTGACATTATTAGCCATTAGAGAAATGCAAATCAAAACCAGAATGAGAAACTATTTCACATTCACTACAATAGCTATGATTAGAAGGGTGAACAATAGCAAGTGTTGGCAAGGATGTGGAAAAATCAGAACCCGTAGACATGGCTCATGGGGATGTAAAAAGGCATCACTGCTGTGGAAAAAGTTTGGTAGTTCCTCAAAAAGTTAAACAGAGTTATCACGTGACCCAGTGATTCCATTTCTAGGTATATACCCAAGAGAATTGAAAATATATATTCACACAAAAACTTGTGTAACACAAATATTCAAAGCGACATTATTTATAATAGCCAAAAAGTGGAAACGACCCAACTGTTCATCACTTGATAATGGATAAACAATGTATATCCATACGATGGAATATTATTCACCCATAAAAAGAAATGTAGTATATGCTGCAACGAAGAAATGAAGAGCATGCTAAATGCTACATGCTACAACATGGATGAGCCTTGAAATGCCATGCTAAGTAAAAGAAACTAGACCCAAAAGGCCATATATGATATGATTCATTTATATGAAATGTCCTGAATAGATAAATCCATAGAGACAGAGAGGCGTTAAGTAGTTTTTCAGAGGTTGAAGGAAGGAGAGAATGAGGAGTGACTACTAATGAGTGCAGTGTTTTGAGGGAGATGAAACAGACAGTGGTAATGCTTGCACAACTTTGCAAATAAACTAAAAACCACTGAATTGTATATTTTTAAAAGGTGAATTTTTTGATATCTCAATTTTTAAGTGCCCCTAGAAAAATTAGGGCAATTGGGTGGACATTCTATCATGATAAATTATAAATTCCAAAGTAGATTTTGGTTCAATTTTTTAAAATACTTTCTACTTTTAGAAATTAATATGCCTACCTATGGAAATAAATTCCTTATTCAGGTAGTGAGCTGCCTATCCCAAGGATTATTCAAGATAGGCTTAGCAGAGGTGTTACAGAAGGAATTTGTACACGGCACTTGATATTAGACTATCTTATAAATTCTATATCGTGTTATGTATCTTGCCCTATGCAAACAAGTCACTCTATTAATAAATAAATAAATGGCAACAAATCCCTAGAGGACACATTAACAAACAAATCTTTGCAAAGCCTTTATTAAGCCTATCTTTGTACACAAAGTTGAGCTACCCAGCAAATGCTAACCTTTTCAGGGAAAGCTTACTGTGGATCATGGCCAATTTATCCCTGGGAGGTAGAAAAGTGAACCCCACATATTCTGTGTTGAGTTTTTTCAGCTGTTAGAGAAGTTATTTTGGAAAAAAAAAAAAAAACAATAATGGCTGATAAACTCCAATTGCCCGGCTGAGTGAATATAAACACTGCTGGCCAATATTGCTCATGCACTGGTGGCTGGCAGAGGCCACTGGAGGAGAATCTGCAGTTCCAGGGAAGGAGGAAGAAGGAAGGAGGGAGAACGGAAGTCTGTGCTGGCTTTCAAACCATGTAAGAACAGAGACAGAAGAACAACATTACTGGACATCAGAAATAATGTCAACAAAGTCTGCAGAAGGAACTTCATTCCAATATTTATAGCACTCAGCCCAGTGATGGGCAGAGAGTAGGCACTCATTACAATTTTTTCCCTTATAAAAAATATTTCCTTTTACATTTCCCTACCCTTATATTATGTGTTAAATTTGTCACCCTACCAAAAATAGAAATGTTGGAGTTCTAACCCCAGCACCTCAGAATGTGCCATTATTTGGAGAAAGGTCTTTGCAGATCAAGTTAAAATGATGTCATTGGGATGGGCCCTAATCTAATGTGACTGGTGTCCTTATAAGAAGAGGAAATTTGTACACAGATACGCACACAGGGAGAATGCCATGTGAAAATGGAAGTAAAGATTGGGGTGCAGCAACTACAAGGCCAGGAACACCACAGATGTTCCTTACCAGCAAACCACCAGAAGCTAGGATAGAAGTGTGGAACAGATTCTCCCTCACAGCTCTCAGAAGGAACTCACTTTGCGGACACCTTGATCTCCAACTTCTGGCCTCCAGAACTGGAGATGATACATTTCCGTTGTTGAAGCCACCCAATATATAAGACTCTGTTATGGCAATTGTAACAGACCAGTACACTCTATGCACCACCCGCCCCCCAGCAGCAGCACTCTCCAACCTTGTTGTCATTGTCATTTTCTAATCCTGGCTTCCTCTTACCAGAAGCTGAGTTTAAAACTACATTGAAAGTCCAGCCCGTCAACAGGGAGCACCAAAACCCACAAGCATCCAAGATGATTTTCCCTCTGTGAGTACAGTCTGTGTCCTCTAATCATCTGCAGCAAAAGAAAAGGGCTAAAATGTCATGATTCCTCTCACCCCCATTCTTTTTCATGATGTGTCATTCATCTTTAGCAGGGTGGCAGAAAACTATCCTTAAAATGGCAATTTCATGAAGTTAAGCATGATTTTGGATAAGTGAGCCCCAAGGGCTCAATAAACAAATATGAACAGATGTTCCAAATTGGGGAGGAATATGACAATAGAAGAAGAGGGAATAATGTTGCCAGACTGACATTTCATACCCAAGGCTCTGTCTGAGCTCTGAGCCACCAGTACACCTGCTGCAGGAACAGCATTTTGATATGATTTAATATACTCAGTAATGAGTTCAAAAGTGCAGCATGCACATAACTTCATTCTAAGGCCTGTAAATTAGAGTGATCTTCTAATGAGGAATAATAAGTCGCATTTCCCAGCCTGCGCTTAGGAAGGCACAAGCAGTGCAACTCTCTGGCTCAGAGGAAAAAGGCCCACCCTTTCTCTTCCTCCATGCTAGAGCCTCTGAGGAGGTCAGCCATCCAGAGAATAGCACTCCTAGCCCCACTGCAGCCAAGCTCCTGGCTGCAGAGCCAGGCACTGCACGTCCACAAAGCTGGGGGTACTCCAGCCAGTACCACCAAAACACTACCCTCCCTAAGTCCAAAATTTGTTCACAGTTTGCCAAAGACAGGTATAAATCAAGAAACTGGGCTGTAGTTTACAGGGTTGTAGATTACAGGCTAACACCTGTAATCCCAGAACCTTGGGAGGCCAAGGTGGGAGGATCACTTGAGCCCAGGAATTCCAGACTAGCCTGGGCAATGCAGGGAGACCCCATCTCTACAAATAAAATAATAAAAATATAAAATAAAGAAGCTAAACAGAAAAAACAGAACCACATACTCTGAGAAAAAAAAAAATCTTGCTCCCAATCATAAACAGGCTATTTCAGGAAAAAAAAAAAAATGTAATTCAATGACAAGTTTACAGCTTTAGGACAGGATACACCTTTTGTGTGCTTCGGCAGTACTGAATCTGTTAAATCATCCTTGAGTGTCTACTCTGTGCCCAACATTGTGCAAGGTGCTGATGTAAGACTGTGGATGAGACAGACACAGTTACTGTTTGTGGAGATGCAGTACACTGGGCACAAAACCCGGCTTGGGGGTCAGACCCAAAGTCCCACCTCAATTCTGTCATTTCTTAGCTAGATGATCCTGGAGAGGTCATGTAACCTTTCTGAGCCTCAGCTTTCTCATCTGTAAAACAGAGATAGTAATGTGTCCTGCATCATGCTTTGTAAAGTTTCTAGCACTGAACATAATAATCACTTGAAAGTGGTAGCTATAATTATTTGATGTTAATGTATAAATGCTGATAAACATATCCTTATAGATTTACCTTTAAGTGTCTTTCATGAGCATATATTCTGCCTTCCCAGCTAGAGGTGAATATTCATCAGGGCAGACACCATGTCTCCTTTTTTTTTATTATTATACTTTAAGTTCTAGCGTACATGCGCATAACGTGTATACATATGTATACATGTGCCATGTTGGTGTGCTGCACCCATTAACTCGTCATTTACATTAGGTATATCTCCTAATGCTATCCCTCCCCCCTTTTCTTTGATATCCTCCAACTTTTTATAGCTGCCTACAATGATGGCTGCCTCACTGTCCCACATCAGTGTCCTAGACAAGCTGTAAGAAAAATGTCAGAAAATTACATAGTCAGGAATTATAGGCTGGGCGCGGTGGCTCATGCCTGTAATCCCAGCGCTTTGGGAGACTGAGGCAGGCAGATCACAAGGTCAGGAGTTCAAGACCAGCCTGAACAACATGGTGAAACCCCTCTCTACTAAAAATACCAAAATTAGCCAGGCATGGTGGTGCGCACCCATAATCCCAGCTACTCAGGAGGCTGAGCCAGGAGAATTGCTTGAACCTGGAAGGCAGAGGTTGCAGTGAGCCAAGATCACACCACTGCACTCCAGCCTGGGTGACAGAGTGAGATTCCATCTCAAAAAAAAATAAATAAATAAATATATATATATATATATATATATATATATATATATATATATATATATATATATATGTAATGATGCTGCTCAGGAAGAATTAATGGAGTGACATGAGAAGCAAGACTTGTAAACTAATGATTGTCATAATTGCAAAGTCTTGCTGCATCCTCAAAACCGAAAGTCTAAAGCTCTGTTCTTCCCCCTGTTTAATGAAAACCAACCTAAACTTGAAACAACATATTCTCTGGCCCCAAGAATAATGAAAAGATTATTAAATCTAGAGGACGTCTTGCTGTTGTATAAACTTAAAAGCATACGTATGTTCCTATAGAATACTACAGTTTTGAAATCTACAAAGATTCACCTATTCCTGAATCATAAAAAATATTTTTCGAGCAATTTCCTTGTCCTGAGAGAGAAAATAAACTGTTTCTTCTGAGACATCAACAGCTTTCCTATGAAACCAAATGTTCTCCAGGACAAAAATTGTTTGCCTTCCAAAGAAAGACTATTTTCTCCTTTCATCAACAAGAGATAGAACCTGCTGTTTTTAATTCATAAGGTACGCCTAACCTAAAATGGTTCAAGAATGTTTTCATACATTGCTTCGATGTTTCAAGAGCTTATCATAAGAATATATTTTAAAATATAATCAAACAGTTGTATGGAATATGCTTTTCCATGTTTGATTCCCTCAAAAGTTACACAGATGTTTTCTTAAGGAGAAATAAGAATAGATTGTGTTATAACATTTGATAAATTCCTCCTGTGTCAAGAATAATACAGAGTGGTTGCAGGAAAATAGAAAATTCCAGGCAGCAGTTTCACATGACTAAGCAAAAGGAAATTGTTGAAATAGCTGCAGAAGCTATGGGTTGATAAGACCACGGAAAACAGGGTGTGGACCAAGTTGGCGAAGACCAACTGGACCCAGTATGACACTGGATTTGACCTATGTTTCACCTAGGACCTCATTTTACACTCACTGACTGACTCAATCACACACCCAATCACTGTGAAAAGCAGTTTAGAGATTTCCCAGAGAATTTAAAACAGAACTACCATTTGAGCCAGCAATCCCATTACTGTGCATGTACCCCAAGGAATGTAAATTGTTCTGCCATAAAGATACATGCACACACATGTTCATCACAGCACTTTTCACAATAACAAAGACATGGAATCAACCTAGATGCCCGTAAACAGTGGTCTGGATAAAGCAAGTGTGGTACATATACACCATGAAATACTATGCAGCCTTAAAAAGGAATGAAATCTTGTGCTTTTTAGCAACGTGGATGCAGCTAGAGGCCATTATCCTAAGCAAATTAAGACAGGAACAGAAAAACCAAGTGGGAGCTTGGAAGTGCCATGACAGCTCTGAGATGATATGGTTTAGATTTGTGTCCCTGCCCAAATCTCATGTCTAATTGTAATCCTCAATATTGGAGGGGGAGCCTGGTGGGAGGTGATTGGATCACGAGGGCAGACTTCTCCCTTGCTGGTCTCCTGATAGTGAGTGAATTCTCATGAGATCTGGTTGTTTAAAAGTGTGTAGCACCTCCCTGCTTTCTTCCTTCTGCTCCTGCCATATAAGATGTGCCTCCTTCGTCTTCACCTTCTACCATGATTGTAAGTTTCCTGAGACCTCCCCAGCCATACTTTCTGTACAGCTTGCAGAACTGTGAGCCAATTACACCTCTTTGCTTTATAAATGACCCAGTCTCGGGTAGTTCTTTATAGCAATGCAAAAACAGACTAATACACAAGAACACTGATATTTGGTGTAAAAATGGGTGGCACCACAGTTCTAAGAAATCTCCAGCTTTTTCAGGAATTTTCATGCATATTCCACCCTTTGGTTAAAAACCCAACATAGAAACCTCAAGCCCCATTGTGCAACTCTCTTGAGTACACACACGCTCCCCTTCTTGAGTGTGTACTTTTCACTTTGCAATAAATCTCTATACTTTCTCTATTTTCTGACTCATCCTTGAATTCCTTCTCACAATGGTGTTAAGAGCCTTGACACTGGCTGAAGTTGAGGTCCCACTGGTGTCTGGGGACCTCCCCAGTCCACTGGTATTACACTTTTGCTCAAAAATGAGGCATTCAATGACACAGGGGAAGTTATGTTTGATAAGGGGAAAAAAGATCATTAAATGTTTCCAAGAAAGTCATTGAACATAGAAAAGATTGTCACACACGTTCAGCCCTTTAAGAGTCTCATAACTCCCCTTAGATGCTCCTGAAAGAATTGGTGAAGTAGACAATGGCTTTATTGGAAGTAGATCCTCCACAATCTGGCCACATTCCTAACTCTGCTTCATCGCCACCTTCTGCTGCTCTGCCTGCTTGGCTTGGCAGCCCCATTTATGTACTCACTAGGCCCAACCTCTCCAGACTGCAGCCAGCCCCCTCCTCCCATGAGCTGCTAATGGAGCTGCCACCAGCTTGTCCCAGCCTTCCTACACCTGGGCCCAGCCTTCAGGGGCAGCCCTGACAAGGTTGGGCCATGACCCAGAAGGACCGATTCAAGCAGCCAACTGCTTGTTTTGAATGATTTAATCTGCTCAAGAATAGCAACCGGAATGGATGGTACTTTGAGATTTCCAGCTCTGATTCTAACAATTTGTGACTAAATCTTCCCAGGAGAACTAAATAGAGAAATGCCCTATCCATTTAAAACCCAAACCAAGGAAAGATGATCACTGCTAAAATAATTTAACCTCAGTCCAGGACTATTATCAGCAGACTACCGGGCTGGTTTGGACCTTTCCAAAATGAAAATGCAGGTTTGTCTATGGCATAGATGTGTGATAAAGTAGGGGGAGGGAGGGAGGGAGGGAGGGAGAGCAAGGCGAGATGAGCATCTTTATCTTAGCATAACTAAGAGCAGATTATCCTTCACCTCTGAGGTTTGAATAAAAGAGAAAGAAAGCTGAGGAAAGCAATTAAGACGGCTTAATAAGGGTCTGAGAGGGTTTCGCTGCAAGCAATAATAATTCAGCTTGGGTAGTAGAAGGCAGGAAGAACGATTCAATCCTATTTAGTACATCTGAAGCCAGATCTGCATGTGGTTCTGAACACTGGTCGTTTGTATTTGGATAATTCACCAGTTGCCACTAAGAAATTACCCTAGGGAATGCTTTCTGGGAAGGATGTGGGGGAGGGGAGCCAAGGACAGGCTGTGTCCTCTCACCTTATTGTTCAGAGCCTGGAATCATTTGCATGGCCCTCTGAGGATGGAGTCTTTTCTGCCATTTGGTAGATTGCCATCAAATTTCAAATGACATGATGCACAGTAGATTTATGCACCGTGAAGCGGATACTGCAGGGGTTTGGTGTATTTGTGTTTCATTTCCAGTTAAACAATACACAAGGGGCTGTCACACTAACAAGGTTTATAATGATTGACTTGTTCAGCCGTATCGAGACCTTTACTTCAATAGAGCAGAAGCCTCAATAAACAGGAAATTTATATTTGAACAGATGTCTGTCTAGAAGGGCGGTGCCATATTTCTGCCTGACTTGGTACAGAGTGAATCGTGTACATTTCCCTCCAAAACACAGGGCATAGCTAAATTCTGGACAATTGACTGGATCTCTGGGTCACTAGTATCTCACTCCTGTAAAATAGAATTTCATAATATGTGTGTTTAAATCCTCCAAAAGAAGAACTATCAAGTATAATTCAATACTTGGCTGTGCTTATTTGTGAGCATAAATTAACAATTTTGAAAAATACAGTCATACTAGAACAAAAAGAAAACAGCTCTATCTCTGTGATAAGGAGCAACTTAATTCCTTGAGCCTCAGTTTTCCCATCTATAAAGCAGAAATAGCAAAACCCCATGTAAAATGTTGTTATGAGAATAAAAGATTGTCATGATAAAAGTCTAGGAAAGCCTAGCACACACTTGTTGTCTGATAAATATTTGTTTAACAAAATACCCACAAATCACCTAAGTGACCCTCTAGACCCATCTGATCTCACCTTTGGTGGATGAGTTCATATTATTTGTGACAGAATTAAGAACAGTAAGAACATTCAGGAACAGAACAGCGCAAGACTCAGTGAGAAGAGAACGCTTTCCTGAAACCTAATCCATCCAGTGAACCAGACAGACATGACAAGTGTGGCCACTGCCAGGGACTGATTCCTTGAGGAGCCAGATAAAACCTGCTAAGAGAGAAAAGAGTTGAGGGAAGTTGAAGAGAACAATTTATTCTCGCCTTGGATTCGAAAATACCTAGCTATGTGTTGAATGAATGAATGAATGAGTCAATAAATGAGAAAACAAACACCTACTTACATAACCACCTCCAGATTATTTTAGTGAACGATTCCTGAGTTCAGAATAAATTATTGGGCCCTTGCCATGTGCCAGACTGTGCTAGCGGCTGATGATAAAGGGGTGGGAAGACTGAGTAGTCCTTGCCTTCCAAGAGCTCACAGTCTAGTAGGGAGATAAATAAACAAATAACCACATAAATGAAGACAGGGATCATGATAAGTGCTATGATGGAGGAGCAGAGACTGCTATGCGAGTATTTATATCACGCAAACCTAATTTCTGGGACCTGAGGTATGTGTAGAAATTAGTCAGGGAAAGAGTGGGGAAAAGAGAATTCCAGGCAGAGCAAACAGCCCATGAGAAATCTCTGAGGCAGGAGAGAGCTGGGCACATTCTCAGAACTGGAAGAAGGCCTCAGTAGCTGGAATAGCAGAAGCAAAGCAAAGACTGGCAAGAGTTGGCAGGAACCTAATCGGGCAGTCTTATTGGTTATGTTATTAATTTTGTATTTTATTCTAAATGCAATGGGAAACAATAACATGATCACACTTTTGCTTTTAAAAAAAGTCATTCTGACTACAGTGTGCAGAATAAATCAGAATATAAAAGTAGACATGGGGGAGCTATTGAGAAGCTATTGCAGCAACTCTAACATGAAATGCTATTGGCTTACACTAGGATGTAGAGATGGGTTTAATACATATTTTTGAAGTAGAATTGACAAACTTGAAATTCAAATGGCTGTCAGACAACAGAGTAGACAGGGGTACTACCTGTGGAATGGAGTATACCAAAATAAGACCATATTGGGGAGTGGGAAAAGTGGCAGTAGAAAAAGGTCAAGAGTTTAATATCAGATAATTCAAGCTTAAAATGTCTCCAACCACTAAAGTGGATATGTCTATCGCTCAAAAGAGAAGTCAGAATTAAAACATAAACAGGGAAGCTACAGACATATATGAACTATGAGCAAAACTGCAGGAGTGACTGAGATTGCCCAAGGAACATATAGAGGAAGAAGACGGCTCAACATTCCCATGGAGGTCAAGAAGCCTGGGAAGGAGAAGCCATGGGATGGGAGGAAAACGGAGAGTGCTTGGTACCAGGAAAGTAAGATAGCATTTCCATAAAGGCATGTTGAATGTTGACCCAAACGACGAAAAATGAGAGCTGAAATGAGCCCATTGGATTTAACAACACCCAAGTAACCATAGTAAGTAGTGATGCCATGGAGTTGTGAGGACAGAAGCCAGGCTGGAGAGGTGGGAAAAACAGAGGTGGGGAAGCACGTGGGCAGGAGCAGACCAGGCTTGGGTGAGGGTGGCTGTGAAAGCACAGTCACAGGAGAGAGGCCAGGGTCATGGGTGGGGGGCGGCCATGGTTGTCATTTGTCACTGTTGTCTTTGTTGCTGTTGTCTTTGGGATTGTTCCTGATGGGAGATACAACAGAATATTTTAGTACTGATCGGATAAATCCAGATAGATGGGAAAGGCTAGAGGGAATGGGATTCAAGACACATATGGAGCAATTGGCCTTGGAGAGGAAGAGGGGCATGTCCTCCATGAGAACTGTTGTGAAAAGAGGGTGCAGACGCAGGCTTCCAGGTAGATCATGTGAAGGGAACGTGAGGGCATTTCCATCTGAGAGCTTCTAAATGTGAGGCAGAGTCATGTTATGAGATCAAGGGAGAGTGGGCAGTTTTAAGGAGAATGAAAAAGGCATAAAATAGCCTTTCAGGAAAGCAGGATGGTGCTTCCTAAAAGAAAGTAGTACTAAGCTTGCCATGCCATGAGGAGAAGCCAATTGTGTTTGGTGATTGTGAATGCACAGTGTTATCATCTGCTAGGCCGTGAGATACTCTCCAGCCATGCCAAGACATTCAAGAGTAGACCTGAGCTGGGAGCCAAGGCTCACTCCTGTAATCCCAGCACTTTGGGAGGCAAAGGTGGAAGGATTGCTTGAAGCCAGGGGTTTGAGACCAGCCTGCACAACGTAGTGAGACCCCTATCTCTACAAAAAAAACAAAAAATTAGCTGGGCATGGTGGCACCTGCCAATAGTCCCAGCTATTCAGGAGGCTGAGGTAGGAGGATTGCTTGCGTCCAGGAGTTTGAGGCTACAATGAGCTACGATTGAGCCACTGCACTATAGCCCAGGTGACAGAGAAAGATTCTGTTTCAAAAAGGAAGACTGGGGCGAGTAGACCGGAGAAGGTTGGTGGCTGGGTTCATCCAGACCTGGGGCTTTGTCAGCTGGGCAGAAAGACAAACAGGAAGATATTTGCAACAAATAAAAGCTTGTGTGAACAATGAAGTCTAAGCTGGACAAAGGGAATGTAGACACTAGAAGGGCTTGTGGGGAGAGAGAAAGTGGAAGGGTCAATGGACTGGAGATGTAGGGGGATTGTGAGCAGGGGAGTGGGGAAGATACAACAAGCAGCTTTCAGGAGTGGGTTGTGTGATTTAGAGATTCTGCAGATGGGGAAGCCTCCAGTGATGACAGCCATCAGAGTGTAGCCATGGGAGAGGCCTGCTCAACCTAAAAGTGGAAGAGGAAGTCCTTGTAGATGAAGTTCTCAAAAACCGAAAGTTTGGAATGTTGAATAGATTTCACTGTGGATGTTTAAGTCAACTAGAATGAAGACAGATGTTGAAGTAGACAGAAAGATTGGGAGCCAGGTTCTAAAGTCTTCAGTGACAGAGACGGAGATTTACTTCTCAGAAAGTGAGGAAATTACAATGAATAGGAGGGGGAGAAAGTGGTACACCTGGATGATTTTAGCCCCAAAGGATTGAAATTTTTAAAAAAAGAAAGGGTAGTTATGGTCTAACTGTGTCATAAGGGAGGAAGAAAGACACTTACTGCACTGTCTAATCTTTAAATAAATCATATGTGAAAAAATAGCCTCTACCCAAAAGTGCCTCAAGAAGCACAATAATAATAATAACTCCAAATTTTTTGAGTGTGCTAAGAATATTTAATGTGTTACTTTACAAAAACCATTAATATTCCCATTTTACAGATGAAGAAACTGAAGCCTGGACGGTTAAACTAACTTGCATTAGTCATATATGTAGTAAATGGCAGAGCAGGAAAGATTCCATTTATTGAAATGTTCTTGAGGGCTTGTAAAGGATGCAGTGCTTCTTTTATATCTGGAGGGATCTTGGAGAAGCCATTATTCTATGGACTAATGGTGGAGTATTGGAAGTTATTGCAGATGGCCAGTTCAGGTGACGGTGTTCATTTCACCCTGTGTCCTAGAGGAAAGAACTGGCCTTGCTCCCTTCCCTCCCCATCTTCTGCTTTCCCTCTCTTTCCTCCTGCAATACAAACTCTTAAAAGCTGTTACCGCATTTATTTTTGTCTCCCCTGAGTCTAACATTGTGCCTGATTCACAGAAGCTGTTCAATAGATATTTATTGACCTGGAACAAGGAAAATGTCCAGACTAAACCAAACGACCAACCTTCTCTCACTTGCTGAGACTAGGACGAAAGAGAAGGGATAAGATAGATTCCCTTATGGTCATCTTCTTGCCTCTCAAGAATGAATCAGATATGTGGTCACTTTATCTTGCATAACAATAAAGTGATTAAACATGTATGCTAGGCTTTTAAGGACAATCTTGGTTTTAAGGGAAGCCGCAGGCCTGAACAGAGCACAGTAATCTCACGCTGGCATGAAATTCTCCAATTCTCAGGGATTTGTCTTCCTACTTTCCCCAGGGCACAAGGACAGAGAAAAACTCATTCTCTTTAACTATAAATTCCCTTCCCATTCTCCCTAGTTTTCAATCTTCAAACATATAAGTATTAAAAATAAAGAGGTGGCTGGCAAGATGGCCGAATAGGAACAGCTCCAGTCTGCAACTCCCAGCGAGACCAACGCAGAAGGTGGGTGATTTCTGCATTTCCGACTGAGGTACCCAGCTCATCTCATTGGGACTGGTTAGAAAGTGGGTGCAGCCAAAGGAGGGCAAGCCGAAGCAGGTTGGGGAGTCAGCTCACCCAGGAAGCACAAGTGGTCAGGGAACACCCTCCCATAGCCAAGGGAAGCCATGAGAGACTGTGCCATGAGAAACGGTGCATTCCAGCCCAGATACTAAAATTTTCCCAAGGTCTTCGCAACCGCAGACCAGGAGATTCCCTCAGGTGCCTACACCACCAGGGCCCTGGGTTTCAAGCACAAAACTGGGTGGCCATTTGAGCAGACACTGAGCTAGCTGCAGATGATTTTTTTCATACCCCAGTGGCGCCTGGAACACCAGCGAGACAGAACCATTCACCTCCCTGGAAAAAGGGCTGAAGCCAGGGAGCTAAGTGGTCCAGCTCAGTGGATCCCACCTCCATGGAGCCCAGCAAGCTAAGATCCACTGGCTTGAAATACTCAATGCCAACACAGCAGCCTAAAGTTGACCTGGGACACTCAAGCTTGGTGGGGGAAGGGGAGTCCACCATTACTGAGGCTTGAGTAGGCAGTTTTCCCCTCATAGTGTAAACAAAGCCATGGGGAAGTTCAAACTGGGCAGAGCCCACTGCAGCTCAGCAAAGCTGCTATAGCCAGACTGCCTCTCTAGATTCCTCCTCTCTTGGAAGGGCATCTCTGAAAGAAAGGCAGCAGCCCCAGTCAGGGGCTTATAGATAAAACTCCCATCTCCCTGAGACAGAGCACCTCGGGGAAGGGGCAAATGTGAGCACAGCTTCAGCAGACTTAAACATTCCTGCCTGCCAGCTCTGAAGAGAGCAGCAGATCTCCCAACACAGCACTTGAGCTCTGCTAAGCAACAGACTGCTTCCTCAAGTGGGTCCCTGGCCCCCATGCCTCCTGACTGGGAGACACCTCCCAGCAGGGGTCGACAGACACCTCATACAGGAGAGCTCCAGCTGGCATCTTGTTGGTGCCCCTCTGGGACAAAGCTTCCAGAGGAAGGAACAGGCAGCAATCTTTGCTGTTCTGCAGCCTCTGCTGGTGATACCCAGGCGAACAGGGTCTGGAGTGGACCTCCAGCAAGCTCCAGCAGATATGCAGCAGAGGGGCCTGTTAGAAGGAAAACTAGCAAACAGAAAGGAATAGCATCAACATTAACATAAAGGACATCCACACCAACCCCATCCAAAGGTCACCAACATCAAAGACCAAAAGTAGATAAATCCACGAAGATGAGGAAAAACCAGTGCAAAAAGGCTGAAAACTCCAAAAACCTGAACGCCTCTTCTCCTCCAAAGGATCACAACTCCTTGCCAGCAAGGGAACAAAACTGGACGAAGAATGAGTTTGACGAATTGACAGAAGTACGCTTCAGAAGGTGGGTAATAACAAACTCCTCCGATCTAAAAGAGCACTTTCTAACCCAATGCAAGGAAGCTAAGAACCTTGAAAAAAGGTTAGATGAATTGCTAACTGGAATAACCAGTTTAGAGAAGAACATAAATGATATGATAGAGCTGAAAAACACAGCACGAGAACTTCATGAAGCATACACAAGTATCAGTAGCCAAATCGATCAAGCGGAAGAAAGGATGTCAGAGATTAAAGATCAGCTTAATGAAATAAAGCATGAAAACAAGATTAGAGAAAAAAAGAATGAAAAGGAACGAACAAAGCCTCCAAGAAATACGGGACTATGTGAAAAGACCAAACCTATGTTTGATTGGTGCATCTGAAAAGTCGGGGGAGAATGGAACCAAGTTGGGAAACACTCTTCAGGATATTACCCATGTTTAATAAAGTGATTAAACATGTATGCTAGGCTTTTAAGGACAATCTTGGTTTTAAGGGAAGCCGCAGGCCTGGACAGAACTTCCCCAACCTAGCAAAACAGGCCAACATTCAAATTGAGGAAATACAGAGGATACCACAAAGATATTCTTTGAGAAGAGCAACCCCAAGACAAAAAATTGTCAGATTCACCAAGGTTGAAATGAAGGAAAAAAATGTTAAGGGCAGCCAGAGAGAAAGGTCAGGTTACCCGCAAAGGGAAGCCCATCAGACTAACAGTGGATCTCTCGGCAGAAACCCTACAAGCCAGAAGAGAGTGGGGGCCAATATTCAACATTCTTAAAGAAAGAATTTTCAACCCAGAATTTCTTTTTTTTTTTCCATCTCTCTCTTTTTTTTTTTTGTTTATACTCTAAGTTCTAGGGTACATGTGCACAACGTGCAGGTTTGTTACATATGTATACATGTGCCATGTTGGTGTGCTGCACCCATTAACTCGTCATTTACATTAGGTATATCTCCTAATGCTATCCCTCCCCCCTCCCCCGACCCCATGACAGGCCCCAGTGTGTGATGTTCCCCATCCTGTGTCTAAGTGTTCTCATTGTTCAGTTCCCACCTATGAGTGAGAACATGCGGTGTTTGGTTTTCTGTCCTTGCGATAGTTTGCTCAGAATGATGCTTTCCAGCTTTATCCATGTCTCTACAAAGGACATGAACTCATCCCTTTTTATGGCTGCATAGTATTCCATGGTGTATATGTGCCACATTTTCTTAATCCAGTCTATCTCAACCCAGAATTTCATATACAGTCAAAATAAGCTTCATAAGTGAAGGAGAAATAAAATCCTTTATAGACAAGCAAATGCTGAGAGATTTTGCCACCAACAGGCCTGCCTTACAAGAGCTACTGAAGGAAGCACTAAATATGGAAAGAAAAAAACAGTTCCAGCCACTGCAAAAACTTACCACATTGTAAATACCATTGACACTATGAAGAAACTGAATCAACTAATGGGCACAATAACCAGCTAGCATCATAAACACAGGATCAAATTCACACATAACAATATTAACCTTAAATGTAAATGGGCTAAATGCCCCAATTAAAAGACACAGACTGGCAAGTTGGATAAAGAGTCAAGATCCATCAGTGTGCTGTATTCAGGAAACCCATCTCACGTGCAGAGACACACATAGGCTCAAAATAAAGGGATGGAGGAATATTTACCAAGCAAATGGAAAGCAAAAAAAGGCAGGAGTTGCAATCCTAGTCTCTGATAAAACAGACTTTAAACCAACAAAGATCAAAAGAGACAAAGAAGGGCATTACATGATGGTAAAAGGATCAATGCAACAAGGAGAGCTAACCATCCTAAATACATATGCACCCAATACAGGGCACCCAGATTCATAAAGCAAGTTCTTAGAGACCTACAAAGAGACTTAGACTCCCACACAATAATAGTGGGAGATTTTAACACCCCACTGTCAATATTAGACAGATCAATGAGACAGAAAATTAACAAGGATATTCGGGACTTGAACTCAGCTCTGGACCAAGCTGACCTACTAGACATCTACAGAACTCTCCAGCCCAAATCAACAGAATATACATTCTTCCCAGCACCACATCACACTTATTCTAAAATTGACCGCATAATTAAAAGTAAAACACTCCTCAGCAAAGGCAAAAGAACAGAAATCATAACAGACAGTCTCTCAGACCACAGTGCAATCAAATTAGAACTCAGAGTTAAGAAACTCACTTAAAACCACACAACTGGGAGCCAAGATGGCCGAATAGGAACAGCTCCGGTCTACAGCTCCCAGCGTGAGCGACGCAGAAGACGGTGATTTCTGCATTTCCATCTGAGGTACCGGGTTCATCTCACTAGGGAGTGCCAGACAGTGGGCGCAGGTCAGTGGGTGCGCGCACCGTGCGCGAGCCGAAGCAGGGCGAGGCATTGCCTCACTCGGGAAGCGCAAGGGGTCAGGGAGTTCCCTTTCCGAGTCAAAGAAAGGGGTGACGGAGGGCACCTGGAAAATCGGGTCACTCCCACACGAATACTGCGCTTTTCCGGCGGGCTTAAAAAATGGCGAACCACAAGATTATATCCCGCACCTGGCTCGGAGGGTCCCACGCCCACGGAGTCTCGCTGATTGCTAGCACAGCAGTCTGAGATCAAACTGCAAGGCGGCAGCGAGGCTGGGGGAGGGGCGCCCGCCATTGCCCAGGCTTGATTAGGTAAACAAAGCAGCCGGGAAGCTCGAACTGGGTGGAGCCCACCACAGCTCAAGGAGGCCTGCCTGCCTCGGTAGGCTCCACCTCTGGGGGCAGGGCACAGACAAACAAAAAGACAGCAGTAACCTCTGCAGACTTAAGTGTCCCTGTCTGACAGCTTTGAAGAGAGCAGTGGTTCTCCCAGCACGCAGCTGGAGATCTGAGAATGGGCAGACTGCCTCCTCAAGTGGGTGCCTGACCCCTGACCCCCGAGCAGCCTAACTGGGAGGCACCCCCCCAACAGGGGCACACTGACACCTCACACGGCAGGGTACTCCAACAGACCTGCAGCTGAGGGTCCTGTCTGTTAGAAGGAAAACTAACAAACAGAAAGGACATCCACACCAAAAACCCATCTGTACATCACCATCATCAAAGTCCAAAAGTAGATAAAACCACAAAGATGGGGAAAAAACAGAACAGAAAAACCGGAAACTCTAAAAAGCAGAGCGCCTCTCCTCCTCCAAAGGAATGCAGTTCCTCACCAGCAACAGAACAAAGCTGGACGGAGAATGACTTTGACGAGCTGAGAGAAGGCTTCAGACGATCAAATTACTCTGAGCTACAGGAGGACATTCAAACCAAAGGCAAAGAAGTTGAAAACTTTGAAAAAATTTAGAAGAATGTATAACTAGAATAACCAATACAGAGAAGTGCTTAAAGGAGCTGATGGAGCTGAAAACCAAGGCTCGAGAACTACGTGAAGAATGCAGAAGCCTCAGGAGCCGATGCGATCAACTGGAAGAAAGGGTATCAGCGATGGAAGATGAAATGAATGAAATGAAGTGAGAAGGGAAGTTTAGAGAAAAAAGAATAAAAAGAAATGAGCAAAGCCTCCAAGAAATATGGGACTATGTGAAAAGACCAAATCTACGTCTGATTGGTGTACCTGAAAGTGATGGGGAGAATGGAACCAAGTTGGAAAACACTCTGCAGGATATTATCCAGGAGAACTTCCCCAATCCAGCAAGGCAGGCCAACGTTCAGATTCAGGAAATACAGAGAATGCCACAAAGATACTCCTCGAGAAGAGCAACTCCAAGACACATAATTGTCAGATTCACCAAAGTTGAAATGAAGGAAAAAATGTTAAGGGCAGCCAAAGAGAAAGGTCAGGTTACCCTCAAAGGGAAGCCCATCAGACTAACAGCGGATCTCTCGGCAGAAACCCTACAAGCCAGAAGAGAGTGGGGGCCAATATTCAACATTCTTAAAGAAAGAATTTTCAACCCAGAATTTCATATCCAGCCAAACTAAGCTTCATAAGTGAAGGAGAAATAAAATACTTTACAGACAAGCAAATGCTGAGAGATTTTGTCACCACCAGGCCTGCCCTAAAAGAGCTCCTGAAGGAAGCGCTAAACGTGGAAAGGAACAACCGGTACCAGCCGCTGCAAAATCATGCCAAAATGTAAAGACCATCGAGACTAGGAAGAAACTGCATCAACTAACAAGCAAAATAACCAGCTAACATCATAATGACAGGATCAAATTCACACATAACAATATTAACTTTAAATGTAAATGGACTAAATGCTCCAATTAAAAGACACAGACTGGCAAATTGGATAGAGTCAAGACCCATCAGTGTGCTGTATTCAGAAAACCCATCTCACGTGCAGAGACTCACATAGGCTCAAAATAAAAGGATGGAGGAAGATCTACCAAGAAATGGAAAACAAAAAAAGGCAGGGGTTGCAATCCTAGTCTCTGATAAAACAGACTTTAAACCAACAAAGATCGAAAGAGACAAAGAAGGCCATTACATAACGGTAAAGGGATCAATTCAACAAGAAGAGCTAACTATCCTAAATATATATGCACCCAACACAGGAGCATCCAGATTCATAAAGCAAGTCCTGAGTGACCTACAAAGAGACTTAGACTCCCACACATTAATAATGGGAGATTTTAACACCCCACTGTCAACATTAGACAGATCAACGAGACAGAAAGTCAACAAGGATACCCAGGAATTGAACTTAGCTCTGCTACCAAGCGGACCTAATAGACATCTACAGAACTCTCCACCCCAAATCAACAGAATATACATTTTTTTCAGCACCACACCACACCTATTCCAAAATTGACCACATACTTGGAAGTAAAGCTCTCTTCAGCAAATGTAAAATAACACAAATTATAACAAACTATCTCTCAGACCACAGTGCAATCAAACTAGAACTCAGGATTAAGAATCTCACTCAAAACCGCTCAACTACATGGAAACTGAACAACCTGCTCCTGAATGACTACTGGGTACATAACGAAATGAAGGCAGAAATAAAGATGTTCTTTGAAACCAACGAGAACAAAGACACAACATACCAGAATCTCTGGGACACATTCAAAGCAGTGTGTAGAGGGAAATTTATAGCACTAAATGCCCACAAGAGAAAGCAGGAAAGATCCAAAATTGACACCCTAACATCACAATTAAAAGAACTAGAAAAGCAAGAGCAAACACATTCAAAAGCTAGCAGACGGCAAGAAATAACTAAAATCAGAGCAGAACTGAAGGAAATAGAGACACAAAAAACCCTTCAAAAAATTAATGAATCCAGGAGCTGGTTTTTTGAAAGGATCAACAAAATTGATAGACCGCTAGCAAGACTAATAAAGAAAAAAAAGAGAGAAGAATCAAATAGGCACAATAAAAAATGATAAAGGGGATATCACCACCGATCCCACAGAAATGCAAACTACCGTCAGAGAATACTATAAACACCTCTATGCAAATGAACTAGAAAATCTAGAAGAAATGGATAAATTCCTCGACACATACACTCTCCCAAGACTAAACCAGGAAGAAGTTGAATCTCTGAATAGACCAATAACAGGATCTGAAATTGTGGCAATAATCAATAGCTTACCAACCAAAAAGAGTCCAGGACCAGATGGATTCACAGCCGAATTCTACCAGAGGTACAAGGAGGAACTGGTACCATTCCTTCTGAAACTATTCCAATCAATAGAAAAAGAGGGAATCCTCCCTAACTCATTTTATGAGGCCAGCATCATTCTGATACCAAAGCCAGGCAGAGACACAACAAAAAAAGAGAATTTTAGACCAATATCCTTGATGAACATTGATGCAAAAATCCTCAATAAAATACTGGCAAACCGAATCCAGCAGCACATCAAAAAGCTTATCCACCATGATCAAGTGGGCTTCATCCCTGGGATGCAAGGCTGGTTCAATATACACAAGTCAATAAATGTAATCCAGCATATAAACAGAGCCAAAGACAAAAACCACATGATTATCTCAATAGATGCAGAAAAAGCCTTTGACAAAATTCAACAACGCTTCATGCTAAAAACTCTCAATAAATTAGGTATTGATGGGACGTATTTCAAAATAATAAGAGCTATCTATGACAAACCCACAGCCAATATCATACTGAATGGGCAAAAACTGGAAGCATTCCCTTTGAAAACTGGCACAAGACAGGGATGCCCTCTCTCACCACTCCTATTCAACATAGTGTTGGAAGTTCTGGCCAGGGCAATTAGACAGGAGAAGGAAATAAAGGGTATTCAATCAGGAAAAGAGGAAGTCAAATTGTCCCTGTTTGCAGGCGACGTGATTGTATATCTAGAAAACCCCATCGTCTCAGCCCAAAATCTCCTTAAGCTGATAAGCAACTTCAGCAAAGTCTCAGGATACAAAATCAATGTACAAAAATCACAAGCATTCTTATACACCAACAACAGACAAACAGAGAGCCAAATCATGAGTGAACTCCCACTCACAATTGCTTCAAAGAGAATAAAATACCTAGGAATCCAACTTACAAGGGATGTGAAGGACCTCTTCAAGGAGAACTACAAACCACTGCTCAAGGAAATAAAAGAGGATACAAACAAATGGAAGAACATTCCATGCTCATGGGTAGGAAGAATCAATATCATGAAAATGGCCATACTGCCCAAGGTAATTTACAGATTCAATGCCATCCCCATCAAGCTACCAATGCCTTTCTTCACAGAATTGGAAAAAACTACTTTCAAGTTCATATGGAACCAAAAAAGAGCCCGCATCATCAAGTCAATCCTAAGCCAAAAGAACAAAGCTGGAGGCATCACACTACCTGACTTCAAACTATACTACAAGGCTACAGTAACCAAAACAGCATGGTACTGGTACCAAAACAGAGATATAGATCAACGGAACAGAACAGAGCCCTCAGAAATAACGCCGCATATCTACAACTATCTGATCTTTGACAAACCTGAGAAAAACAAGCAATGGGGAAAGGATTCCCTGTTTAATAAATTGTGCTGGGAAAATGGGCTAGCCATATGGAGAAAGCTGAAACTGGATCCCTTCCTTACACCTTATACAAAAATCAATTCAAGATGGATTAAAGACTTAAACATTAGACCTAAAACCATAAAAACCCTAGAAGAAAACCTAGGCATTACCATTCAGGACATAGGCATGGGCAAGGACTTCATGTCTAAAACACCAAAAGCAATGGCAACAAAAGACAAAATTGACAAATGGGATCTAATTAAACTAAAGAGCTTCTGCACAGCAAAAGAAACTACCATCAGAGTGAGCAGGCAACCTACAAAGTGGGAGAAAATTTTCGCAACCTACTCATCTGACAAAGGGCTAATATCCAGAATCTACAATGAACTCAAACAAATTTACAAGAAAAAAACAAACAACCCCATCAAAAAGTGGATGAAGTACATGAACAGACACTTCTCAAAAGAAGACATTTATGCAGCCAAAAAACACATGAAAAAATGCTCATCATCACTGGCCATCAGAGAAATACAAATCAAAACCACAATGAGATACCATCTCACACCAGTTAGAATGGCAATCATTAAAAAGTCAGGAAACAACAGGTGCTGGAGAGGATGTGGAGAAATAGGAACACTTTTACACTGTTGGTGGGACTGTAAACTAGTTCAACCATTGTGGAAGTCAGTGTGGCGATTCCTCAGGGATCTAGAACCAGAAATACCATTTGACCCAGCCATCCCATTACTGGGTATATACCCAAAGGATTAGAAATCACGCTGCTATAAAGACACATGCACACATATGTTTATTGTGGCATTATTTACAATAGCAAAGACTTGGAACCAACCCAAATGTCCAACAATGATAGACTGGATTAAGAAAATGTAGCACATATACACCATGGAATACTATGCAGCCATAAAAATGATGAGTTCATGTCCTTTGTAGGGACATGGATGAAATTGGAAATCATCATTCTCAGTAAACTATCAAAAGAACAAAAAACCAAACACCACATATTCTCACTCATAGGTGCGAATTGAACAATGAGATCACATGGACACAGGAAGGGGAACATCACACTCTGGGGACTGTTGTGGGATGGGGGGAGGGGGGAGGGATAGCATGGGGAGATATACCTAATGCTAGATGACGCGTTAGTGGGTGCAGCGCACCAGCATGGCCCATGTATACATATGTAACTAACCTGCACAATGTGCACATGTACCCTAAAACTTAAAGTATAATAATAAAAGAAAAAAAACTTAAAAATAAATAAATAAATAAATAAAAAATGAATAAATAAAACCACACAACTACATGGAAACTGAACAACCTGCTCCTGAATGGCTACTGGGTAAATAACGAAATTAAGGCAGAAATAAATAAGTTCTTTGAAACCAATGAGAACAGAGACACAACATAACAGAATCTCTGGGACACAGCTAAAGCAGTGTTTAGAGGGAAATTTACACCACTAAATGCCCACAGAAGAAAGCAGGAAAGATCTAAAATCAACACCCTACCATCTCAATTAAAAGAACTGGAGAAGCAAGAGCAAACAAGTTCAAGAGCTAGCAGAAGGCAATAAATAACTAAGATCAGAGCAGAACT
Organism: Homo sapiens; assembly: GCF_000001405.40. Classification (NCBI taxonomy): domain Eukaryota; kingdom Metazoa; phylum Chordata; class Mammalia; order Primates; family Hominidae; genus Homo; species Homo sapiens. The sequence goes on along the minus strand of NC_000018.10, from coordinate 970,505 downwards.
GAAGGAGATAGAAACACAAAAAACTGTTCAAAAAATAAATGAATCCAGGAGCTGGTTTTTTGAAAAGATTAACAAAATAGATAGACTGCTAGCCAGACTAATAAAGAAGAAAAGAGAGAAGAATCAAATAGACACGGTAAGAAATGATAAAGGGGATATCACCAACCACTGAACCCACAGTACCATCAGAGAATACTATAAACACCTCTATGCAAATAAACTAGAAAATCTAGAAGAAATGGATAAATTCCTGGACACATACACCCTCCCAAGACTAAACCAGAAAGAAGTCGAATCTCTGAATAGACCAATAACAACTTCTGAAATTGAGGCAGCAATTAATAGCCTACCAACGAAAAGAAGCCAAGGACCAGACAGATTCAGAGCCAAATTCTACCCGAGGTACAAAGAGGAGCTGATACCATTCCTTCTGAAACTATTTTAAACAACAGAAAAAGAGCAACTCCTCCCTAGCTCATTTTATGAGGCCAGCATCATCCTGATACCAAAACCTGGCAGAGACACACCAAAAAAAGAAAATTTCAGGCCAATATCCCTGATGCACATCGATGAGAAAATTCTCAATAAAATACTGGCAAACTGAATCCAGCAGCACATCAAAAAGCTTATCCACCATGATCAAGACAGCTTCATCCCTGGGATGCAATGCTGGTTCAACATAGAAGAAAACCTAGGCAATACCATTCAGGACATAGGCATGGGCAAAGACTTCATCACTAAAACACCAAAAGCAATGGCAACAAAAGCCAAAATTGACAAGTGGGATCTAGTTAAGCTAAAGAGCTTCTGCACAGCAAAAGAAACTATCATCAGAGTGAACAGGCAACCTACGGAATGGGAGAAAAGTTTTGCAATTTATCCATCTGACAAAGGGCTAATATCCGGAATCTACAAAGAACTTACACAAATTTACAAGAAAAAAAAAAACAACCCCATCAAAAAGTGGGCAAAGGATATGAACAGACACTTCTCAAAAGAAGACATTTATGTGGCCAACAAACATATGAAAAAAAGCTCATCATCACTGGTCATTAGAGAAATGCAAATCAAAACCACAATGAGATACCATCTAATGCCAGTTAGAATGGCGATCATTAAAAAGTGAGCAAACAAAAGATGCTGGAGAGGATGTGGAGAAATAGGAATGCTTTTACACTGTTGGTGGGAGTGTAAATTAGTCCAACCATTGTGGAAGAAATACCATTTGACCCAGCAATCCCATTACTGGGTATATACCCAAAGGATTATAAATCATTCTGCTATAAAGACACATGCACACATAGTTTATTGCAGCACTATTCACAATACCAAAGACTTGGAACCAACCTAAATGCCAATCAATGATAGACTGGATAAAGAAAATGTGGCACATATACACCGTGGAATACTATGCAGCCATAAAAAAGGATGAGTTCATGTCCTTTGCAGGGGCATGGATGAAGCTGGAAACCATCATTCTCAGCAAACTAACACAGGAAAAGAAAACCAAACACTGCATGTTCCCACTCATAAGTGGGAGTTGAACAGTGATAACACATAGACACAGGGAGGGGAACATCACACACTGGGGCCTGTCAGGGGATGGGGCTAGGGGAGGGATAGCATTAGGAGAAATACCTAATGAAGATGACGGGTTGATGGGTGCAGCAAACCACCATGGAATGTGTATATCTATGTAACAAATCTGCACACTCTGCACATGTATCCCAGAACTTAAAGTATAATTTTAAAATAATAATAAAATAAATAAATAGCCAGGCGCAGTGGCTCACACCTGTAATTCCAACACTTTGGGAGCCCGAAGCAGGAGAATCACCTGAGGTCAGGAGTTCGAGACCAGCCTGGCCAATGTGGTAAAACCCTGTCTCTACTAAAAATACAAAAAATTAGCCAGGTGTGTTGGTGCACACCTGTAATCCCAACTACTCAGGAGGCTGAGGCAGGAGAATCACTTGAACCCAGGAGAGGGAGGATGCAGTGAGCCGATATCGCGCCACTGCACTCCAGCCTGGGCGACAGAGCAAGACTCCGTCTCAAAAAAATAATAATAAAGAAATGTGGAAAGGCTAAGATAAGAGCCTATCACTCAAACCAGAGGGACTTGGTCTATAATGAATGGCAGTGTGTGAAGTCCAAGATTTCAGTCTGGTCTGATTCAGCTTACAAGTATTGTGTTAGACTGCTTCCATACTTGGGTCAGTCCCTGTGTGCAGGAAACCCACCGAAAGTTTTCACCTCTCAGGAAGATGGCTATGGTTTCAATATTTACATATTTTACTTAATTTTCATCCCTCTTTCAAGTAATAGATGCTAGAACCTACCAAGATGCCATGATTGTGATTTGTGTCACAGTCTGCCAACCTAGCCAATGCTCTCTGAGAGATGCTAAGCCTATAATGGAAGCAGGAGAACAAAAACCTTCTGCTCATTCATCATTGGTGGTTGAGGTCAGGTCAATGAATCAGTGCACACTTAGATCCAGGATTGACAATGAAAGAGGATGTGGACACAGTTAGGGGTCCAATTTAATCCATCGTCATCATGCTGTGTGCCTACAAAACACTCCAACCGTTCCACAAATAGGGCAGCCCAGGGCCCCAAGGCCCAATCTCCATCCTCTAGGAGACTGCAACCTACAGATGCAAAATAGATTTTCTTTAAAATGTCATTCGAATGCCTCCTTTCCCTTCTTAATATTTCAAGATTCCAAAGGAGATGAGGCAGTGCCTTTTGCAGTGTTTCAGAGGTTGTCAGTAATTCCCTGCACCTTATTAATTCCTGATGATAAGCCTGCTGCAATGGTGAGGCTTCAGGTGTGTCCTTCAAGAATGATGGAGGTAAGATGGTGGTCCAGGCCAAAGACAGAGACCAAAGGGAATGGCTGGACCAAGAAGACCCAGTGATGACTTTCAACAGCCACCACGTTGAATTCTTATCCAATTTCTTTACCCATCTGCTCAGAAGATACAAGAACACTGTGCCCTATCTTCCAACTTCTGTCTAGGTTTTACTGGCTCAGTGCTATCACTCAGTAATATCAATGCTTCCTATGTGCCGGACAGTTTCCTGGGTTTCTTAAATGTCTATAATTCTTATCCTGAAAGTTTGGCCAGATTACCAGCCTTATCTTGTGTATAAGAAAACTGAGGCACAAAAGTGTGGCTGATAAGTGGAGATGGAATTGAAACCCACACTTCTTGGGCTTCCTGGCCCTCGTGTTTGACTATGATGCAATGGTGCTTCCCAGAAGACAAAACCTAAAACGGTTTGATGCAATCTGGCAGTGGCAGCCCTGTTGTCAGAGACTCAAAACTAACTCTTCCTCCTCTCCAATCTTATCTTCCATCTGTAACACAAGCAACAGAGGAAGCAGAAAAGATAGTGAGTCTGCCGAGCATAAAGTAGAAATGAGGTTGTGTGCTTCAACAGAAACTTGAGGATAAAGGTCCTTTGGGTCACTTCATATTCCAGATACACCAGGAGAGACTTCTCCAGACTCAGTGAACTTGACCATGAAACGGTGGGAGGCTAAGGTCCATGGTCTAAAATTATCACCCAGGGGGCTCCAGACCACAAAGAGAAAGCATGCCTCCCTCCTGCTGCCACCCCAAGGAGCGGCAAGAGAGTGAAAGATGCTGTGAGTCTGTTTCCTGTCACTAATTGTAACTCCAGACTCCCATGGATGCCTATGAGAAGAGGATCTCGTGCAGAAGAAAAAAAAAAAAAGGTGGGTGTCATAACTTCAACAATGTGAGAAAAAGCAAAACAGATCGCAGGAGCCTGCAAGAACAGAATGTAAGAGAACGTGAAATGTTCATGGTTTCAGTCGCATATACAAATTATGAACCAGTTGGGATTCACCAGAAATGTTTTGTGGGCCAACTTTTCAATGCAATGCTTTGCTCAGTCTGGAGAAGTGTGAAGAACTGGCAGCTGACTTACGGTGGCTTGTTTTGAGTGTAAGTCTGGGTTCATCCCAGCAGCTTACATCTCCAGGGCCCTCCAACAACCAGCTGAGTCAGCAACTGCAACCACAAGCCTCCCCATGGAGAAGTTTGTCACTAGAGACACCACACTCGAGTACACCATATTGCAGCTTCCGAAGAAAAGCCCTAGGGTACTCCTCTCCAAATGCCCACAGGATGACTTTACAAAGCCGTTGCAACCAGCCCACACCTATGTCCCCTTCCTGAGTTCCTAGATTTGTACTAGACACATAGTGAGGGCACCCAGTGTTGGGTGCTAAGAACTCTGCCACCAACTTTCACAAGATTAGCTTGTTAACTTCACAACTAACACAGCAAGAATAGGAAGATGACTCAACTGTGGCACAGATAGGGTAGCTGGCTTGCTACCATGTTGTAAGTAATACAGCTAGGATCCAATTCGCTTCACAACGCAGACGAGGGTCTGCTCTGCACAGCAGCAGACACTGTGTTTATCCCAAGATTGCTAAGACATTGCCATGATCTTTGAGGAACTGACAGTCTACTGGAGTGTGCCTCATCTCACGGGTTTCAATCCAGATTTTTCTGCCACCTTTTAAAATACCATAACTACTCCCAAACACTTTATTGTCTGTATTTCATTTTGTGCTTAGCACAGACTATCCAGAAAGGTGTTTATCTTCCTATGTATATGGGCCATATTTCTACCAGGATTTTAAGCTTTTTTATTTTTTTGAGATGAAGTCTCGCTCTTGTCCCCAGGCTGCAGTGCAATGGTGTGATCTTGGCTCACTGCAACCTCCGCCTCCTCGGTTCAAGGAATTCTCCTGCCTCAGCCTCCCCAGTAGCTGTGATTACAGGCACCCGCCACCACGCCCAGCTAATAATTTGTATTTTTAGTAGAGACAGGATTTCACCATGTTGGCCAGGCTTGTCTCAAACTCCTGACCTCAGGTGATCCGCCTGCCTCGGCCTCCCAAATTGCTGGGATTACAGGCATGAGCCACCATGCTCAGCCTTAAGCTCTTTGAAGGCAAAGGCTATGTCATGAACCTCTTGTTCCTGTACCTACCACTGTATCCTACACTTAACAGGCTAGCTTAGTAGGTTTCTTTTAATATTGGTGGTGGTGCTGCTGATGTGAGTGATTGAGATCAGTTCAAAGTAGAGAAGAAAGAATTAGAGAGTTTGCTCCCTTACTACCAACAAAAAGGTGTGTCTGTATGGATATTATATTATTAAAATTCATTTCAGGAAACATTACACACTAGGAGTCTATAATTCAGAGTCTAGGCTCTCAAACCAGACTAATTACATTTGAAATCCATTTCTATCATTTATGTATTAGCTGGGTGCCCCTATGCATGTTACTTAATTTCTCTGTGCCTCATTTCCCTCTCTGTAAAATGAGAATAATAATAGTAACAAGCCACTCTTGCAAAGACTGTGTGTGTTAAAACATGTAAAGTGCTTAGAAAGGAGTCCAACACATAGTAAGTGTTCAACTAACATTAACTCTGGCTATGATCTTCAGATAATTTTGCCTCAGCACAGTAGTATATAGTCATAGGATTGGCAGAAACAAATTACAGGGTAACAGACCCTGTTCATGGATTTATTTTAAATAATAACTTCCAAGGGGCATCCTTGGTTCAGTACGAATTTAGTTCAATGCTTCATCTATAAAATGATAATTTTGTCAATAAATATTTATTAAGTAGCCAATAATACTTAACAATTAATTGCGTGTCTCTGTCACAAAAATTTGTCTGTCTTCTAGCACACTTAATAAATATTTATTGACAAAATTATTATTTTATAGATGAAGAAGCATCTTCTTCTCTCAAAGAGCTCAGAGTCGAGGGGTGAACCTAGAGCAGTAAATGCAAGGACAAGGGAAAGCACCAAGTATTATGGAACACAAAGAAGGGCTACACCTCCCGTCCTGAAGAGGTGAAAAGGAGTCTCTTGGAAAGGCCACATCTGTACCAAATTTTGAAGTAGCAGTGAGCCAGTTACAGAAGGGAGAGATGATAGAAACAATAATGATGTTAATAATTATAATACCACGTATTCTCATGTGTCTTTACAACTTACAAAATATTGCAATGAAACTGATTGGTAATTGGTCCAAAATGTGAGCACATGAGCTGCACCAGACCAATCAGGGTTCTTTCCTGCCTGAGCTAATGGGGAATTGTGTGTTTATCTGTCTGGTTATAACAAAGGTGAGAAGACAGAGCTGCCTGCTGCCATGTCCAGAGCTGAGTGGAGAAGCAGCTGTCAGGAGAGAATGAAGTTAGCAAGCAGAGGCAGAAATGAGAAAGATCATGTTTGATATGCTGGATCTAGTTGTCCCTAAAGCCAGCTCCCCTTGCCATTACATGCACTGATGATGACAGTAAATACTAATAATAATATTGCTAATGAGCATGTATTGAGAGCTTAATATGTACTAAAGGCTGTGCCAAGCTCCTCACACTGCCAGTAGCACAAAATTCTTTTATAAAATGTGGGCAAATATAGAGCAGTTGCCAGACAAGGAAGAAATCAGCTACTTTAACTGCCTATTTCTTATCAAATTAAATTAAATCTCTGCTTAGCCAACAGCTAAGAACTGTGTCTCACTTAAGCAGCATCACTGGATAGTCAGTATAGACAATGAAATCTGGTTGTTTGGTGCTATTTTTTAAATCTTCTTGCCTTTATTTGTTCTGTAAGTCCAAAGAGGCTTTGTCTAAAGGCAATTATTTATTTTTTTACCAGGTCAATGACTTTTATTAACATGATATAAAAAATTTTAGTGTGATATACAGAAATCTCAGAAAGTAATTGTAAAACATTTTAATGCACTTCTTAAAATCTTAATTTACAAGACATTTTGTCTTACCACCACTGACCTTTCAATACAAAAACTTTACAATTTTTGTTTGCCAATTATTTAAATATAGCCCACTTTTGATCCCTTGCAGACTTGTATTTGGGGGATAAAAGGAGAGATTGGTTCTATAGGATGCTCCTCAACCTGGCATGCTTCCCAATCCATTGTCAACTTACTGCTCACCAGTGCTCTCTGACATCTCCCAGGCCACCAGCCCCACTCCAGCCCCATGCCAAACTCATCTTAAGATAAATGCCTGTACAGTACTCTGCCGGCAATAGCTCCTCAGGTATGAATTTAACTCTGTTCGTCTGTACAGCTCAAACAAGGTGTTACTCTCTAGTAATGTCTGAAGGATCTTTGAAATAGTCCCCCTGTCCTTTTCTCTTGCCAGGTGCAAATTCTTCCTTCATCAGCAAAGACAATTTGCTCTGGGACACGGCTCCAAATTGCCTGCATGCTCATTTATGCTGTGGGAGAACAGCATAAATGCTCCTTTTTCACTGTTCTACTACTTACTGCTGTTGCCAAAGACACCAGAAGCCAAGTCAGTTTCTACACTACACAAAGAATTAGAAAAATAACAACAATACAAACACACAGTGGTTTGGTCCTTAACCGTATTCTGAGTACATATGATTTTAATACAATGTGAATTCTAAAATGTGGCCTGGACAGATAGTTTTATTCCTCTTTTACAGATAACAGAGAGCGCAAACAACTTGTTCAAGGTCATTGGACTGAAAGTGACAGAGCCAGGACTCTGTCCCACATGCAAAGACTCCACGCATCATGCCTATGATACTCAGAGAAGAAGGCTATCATTATAAAGACCTATACTTGATGCTAGAAATTCAAGACGAGCCTGGGCAACATAGCAAGGCTCTCATCTCCACAAAAAAGAAAAAAAATTAAAAATAGGCATAGTGAAGCACACTGGTGGTAGTCTTAGCTACTCAGGAGACTAAGGTGGGAGGATCCCCGAGCCAAGGAGTTTGAGGCTGCAGTGAGCTATGCAAATACCACTGCACTCCAACCTGTGCAACAGAGAAAGACCCCGTCTCTAAGAAAAAAAAAAAAATCCAAATCCCAAAAAAACCTAACCAATAATAAAAATCATTTCAGTTTACAACCTTGGTGGATTTTTCTTTCCTTCATATTCTTTTTGGGATATATGATGCTTGTCTTTAATACATACATATTATGTTTGAAGAAAAACTATTTAATATTTATCCCATTTGGATAAACAGTCCAAAATGTTTCCAAAAATAACAATTCATTCTTATTAAAAGCTCTGTGTGGAGTGAACAGCGGTGGCACTTATGTAAACCATTCCTCATTTCGTACTTGGAAATGAAAAGATAGAAGCAGCACAAACTGTCAGATAGAAAATGTTTTTCCAAAATAAGCCCTTCTGAAATGGCTTTTGGAGTAAAATGTCTGAGTACCCCCCACACTTCACATTCTCGGCAGATAAGTCACAAAACTCCCAAGGGGGAAAAAAAAATGTTTTCTTCTCAGTTCCTTCCCCGGGAGAGATTTTAAATGTTGATCGCATTCTCATTAGAGAAATAGCGTTCATTTGAGAAGAAGAGTTTTCTCATCCTGTTCAAAACGATTCGTGCACAACACAAGAGACTGGAGCAACACAATCATCAGATAAAACCATTTTGGTGGTGTCCCTAGCGCCCTGAAGGAAGAAACAAGGGAAAGACAAGATGACAGGACCCTCACGCGGCCGATCACAGAGGGCTGTGCCACAGAGCAGTTGTGCCCTCTGCATCCGGCACAGAGACAGCCAAAGAACGCTTGCTTTCTTTTTTAACTGAAAAGTTAAAAGTTTTTTAACTGAAAAGTTAAAAACAACGAAATTATGCCGGTGACAGTTCCGATGCTAGCCTCCAGGGGTCGCTGTTAAATTTCGTAGCTACTTCAACCAGCAAGTCTCCAAAGAGCCAAGTCAAAAACATTTTTCTCCAGCCAGAGCTTTCATAACCCTTTCCAAATACAGACAACATCTAATGACAGAATATTTTAGGATCTTAATGTTCCTTGACAGGTCTATTATTACTTTCTGAAACAACCTTGAATATCATGGCTTTTTGCAGTTTTCTTTAATTTCAAGGAGCAAAAAGTGATTTTTTTAATACCTCACAATTAAGAAAGTAACATAACCTGCATGACTTATGAGGCTTCCATTAATAATACTTATTGCTTCTTCCCCTAAAATCCTCTACTTCCCATTTCTATACGATTTATAAACACACAGAAAAGGAAGGATAAATTTGAACATGGACAGAAAGGAGGCCCAGAAAACAACTCAATAGGATTATACCCTCTTCATATATGCATGTATACACATATATAATCTATATAAACAGAATCATATATTTAATCATAAATAGAATCATATAATTTTGCATGTATGTATAAATAGAATATATATAATTTATATAAATATATAGAATATTTGTGGACATAAAAATAGAATTATATATCATATAGTCAGTATCCTCACATATGTATGTGGTCAGGCTGTTAAAAATCTCACAATTATTAACAGATATTAATATATTATTTTTAAATTAACAGCGAGTATACAAAAGTAGCAAGATAATTTAATCTCAGTATCACTAATTACCAAGGACACTTAAGCAACCAAAAACTGAGCAGTCATTTTAAACATAAGTGTATTTACATTTATTTCTGGTCCATAACAACTTTTTCCCAACTGTATTCCCTTGTCAAAGAAGTTTTGAAATGCTACAAACCATTCCTCACTTTTGGAAAGGTAAAATGCACAGAGAGAAATCTGTTAAACTTTGTTTATTCAACCTAGCATTTCTCAAACTTATTTGAGCACCAAACATATTCTTCATTGACTACCTTTTAATTTCTCATGCAATGTATTATAATAAACTATAAAAACAGCATTATAAATACAGTTTGGAAAATACTGGCCTAGGGTATTCTTGCTAAGAATATTTAAGAATTTGTGAATACTGTATATAAATATTTATTTTGTTCTTGATTCTCAAAGTTTCTTTTGGGAAATTATTTTATTATCCAGAGAATCTATGTCAGTATATATTGTAATCTAAATTTGTCCGTTTCTTCTCCATGTATCATGCTGTAATGCTATAAAAATTCACACTTGTGTACTAAGCTTTATCAATTCCACATAATGGTAATATTTTATATTCCTCCAAAATAAGCTGGAAGTATACTGCAGGTATTTTGTAACACATTTTTTCTATCACTACTGTGACACAGGTGGAAATTAATTGTTCCATTTCACAGATGTAGAAAAAGCATCTTAGAGAGTGAGTCACAAGCAAAGTTGGAAATAAAACTCATTTATTGAGCCTTCAGAATGTAATTTTTCATCCAGGTGGCAATGTTCCTCTACGAATTAAAAGCATGATTCTCTCTGTGTGTGGCCATCTTCTTGGGAAAAAGTAAAATAAAATAAAGAACAAGTGAAAAGCACTCTTGATGGAATCTTCTCCACAATAGAAATGTTTGATCCAGGATCTTTCCCACAGGATTCTGATAAGAAGCTAAGGGAGCACCGCCGAGAGCCGGGGAGAGAGCACGTGGTGATATAATTCTAATGGTGAGCCAAAGAGCATAGTATCATTCATCAGTGTCCAACTATCCACTTCCTTTCAAAGAATTACAACTGGAGTTTGCATAGTCATTTGCCCTAGGCCACAAAATGAAATACACAGCAGCCAAATAAGTTGAAATAATTTCAAATCTCTTAAAATAATTTAATCTTCTGCATTCATTGAGTATACTTTAAAAAGTTAATGATTATTAAATCATAGTTATTGTTGCTGTTCTCACTTTCAAATGGTTTGGAGGCTGTCTTTTCAGGAAAAGCTTCCTAATCACTTTCCCAGTTCCTTACATCCTCCTGCATACACACAAACACACACACACACACAGACACACACACAGACACACACACACAGTTATTTTTCAGTCCCTGCCAGGACATTGTCATTCCTTTCAAAAAAAAAAAAAAAATCAGCCTGGCATGGTGGCTCATGCCTGTAATCCCAGCACTTTGGGAGGCCGAGGTGGGTGGATCACCTGAGGTCAGGAGTTCAAGACCAGCCTGGTCAACATGGTGAAACCCCGTCTCTACTAAAAATACAAAAATTAGCCGGGTGTGGTGGTACACACCTGTAATCCCAGCTATTCGGAAGGCTGAGGCAGGAGAATTGCTCCAACCCAGGAGGCAGAGGTTGCGGTGAGCCAAGATCGCGCCACTGCACTCCAGCCTGGGCGACAGAGCAAGACTTTGTCTCAAAAAAAAAAAAAAAAAAAAAAACGCAAAACTACTGGATTTTTTTTTCTTTCATAACATTTTTACTTTTAACATTTAACCTTGCCTCCTGGCGCATTTTGCTCAGCAGAAATGTTTCTTTGGGCAAAGTCATTTGTGTCTCCTTTTTCAACATAATGACAGCAAAGCATGCTATCCCCAAAGTTTCCATTTCCACATTTAGAACGAATTAGCCCTCGGCTGTAAGATTAGGCTAATACTTGGCCAATTCTGTTACTACTCAAAGAGAATTTAAGGATCCATAGACTAATGTTCAAGCTGGAGTAGTGTTCAGTTCTTCTATCAACGGTGCTCACCTGCCTTTACGATGCCTCTTAGGAACTGAAGTCTAGTCCCAGAATCTGAGCACAGGGCTGGGCTCTTCCACTCTTGCCTGCTCAGCCCTCCCAGTTGCCACTCCCTGTCTTCAAGCTTTCCGGCATATTTCCATCATCTGTCACCCACTGCTGTGTCCCTGTGCTTTGCCAGATCATCCAGATCATTTCACTTTGCCAGCTTCCAGGCATGCTCCTCAGAGACCCAGCCGCCCTGAATGCCATATCTGCTTTCCAGATCTTTCCTTGGCCACCTTTACAGTCCATCAAAGTACTACTAATTCCAAGCACTTGAGTATCAGCATCCAAAAATGTTCACCTGTTCCAGAAACACTGAGAATCTGGAAGAACAAGAGACTGGAAGTTTCACTAGCAGGACAGTAGACACCCCCAGCACCACGTATAGAAAAGATGATGCACACATACAGAAAGAAAGACTGAGTCCCTGTCACCTCAGACAGACACCTCCCACACCAACCTCTCCTCCCTCCCTGTGAAACTCACCTCCCAGTCACCAAGGAGAGAAGCCAAATCGTCAGATTGAAGTTTGGTTGTCCATAGTGCAAACTTTAGATCCAGATTGTCTTGGTTCCATCCCATGTCCATGACTTACTAACTATATAATCTTTGCAAAGTTACTTGGCTTTTCTAAACCTCAGTGTTCACATTGTTAAAATGACAGGAATAATAATTTACCCAATTAGGTTTCTCTAAGTCCTAATGAGGCAATCCACATAAGACAATGAGCAAGTACTGAGGCTGCAGTTGACATTAGATAAATGGTAACTAGCTAGTAGTATTAAGCCCTTTTTCATTACACCCAAACAGAGAAATAAGAAATAAACAAAAAACTGGTGCCTGAGAATTTCAAAAAAGACTGTGCCCAACTGTTGTATTTTTTCCCTTTCCCTTTTATGCCTCACTGTGATCATGCTTGCTAGTGACAGCTCGCCCATGACATCATGATAACTAGCAAGTCAACAACCGCAGCATTTCTCAGCAGCTGAATCCAACCCAGCAAGCTCCATGAGACACTTGAGTTCTCGTCAACGTGCTGCCGAAGGGTGAGAGGTGACTTTCTGCTTAAGGAACTATTAAAAATCCAAGGTTACTTGTATCCTTGAACACTCTGAAAGAACCCTTGCCCCACATAGAACAGGCTTCCAAGCCTTTATTCACTGGCTCATTGGACTTCGTGCCATGCTAAGAATTATTCTGCTGGGACCCTGTTTCTAAGGCTGAAGTTTTCAGTGCTCCAAAGCAAGCCAGGTTTATAGTCTTGACCTTTTTCAGAGAGAGAATGCAACCTTTCTCAGGGTCCGTTACTGCCAATTTCACCTTGGCAATTCCTCACAATTTGAAAAATTATCTAGAGGGATGCTGAAATGCTGCACATCGCACTGTGCAGACAATTTCTAAAGAATGGCGAAAGTTACCCAGCTAAAGAACTGTTTTTCAAAAGTGTGGGCTCTGACCCACTAGTGAGAAATGAAATTTAGTCTCTCTCTAGAGACCTGTTTTTAATAAAATGGAACAGAAATGGAATGGAATAGAACAATATAAGAACATGTCCCACTTAGTAAGGGTAAAGCGGCAGTCATGTTTTAATTACACATATAGGTATGTCTGTACTAGATCATATTGTAAAAATGTAATTCTTACTCTGGATTGAGATGAAAATTTTACGGAAGTTGCAGATCTAATGGGATGGCTAAATCAGTGTCTATCCATTTTTCTACACTTAACAATAACATTTAAGAATCTGGAGGATTGAACACTGGAAAATACCAGGGAATCTACAGTAAAATTTAGCTATGTGGCTAAAAGTTATTCAGACAAAATTAGGGAAAATTAATTCAAGCCAGCTTACATAAAATCGCTGGAAACCTAAATAGTACTTAAAGAATGTAGGTATGACAGCACACTGCCAGGGCCCAAACTGTGTCACTGGTTGGCTGCGTGATCAAAAGCTCCGCAACTTAGCATCTCCAAACCTAGGGTTCCTCGTCTGTTAAATGGGGATAAAAGTAGAGTTACTAGAAGAATTAAATGAATTATTATAATGGATTGTTAGAAATAAATTATTGAGATTGGGTGCAGTGACTCACACCTGTCATCTCAACACTCTGGGAGGCTGAGGCAAAAAGATTGCTTTAGGCCAGGAGTTAAGACCAGGCTAGGCAACATAGCCAAACCCCATCTCCACAAAAATAAAAAGTAAGAAATTAGCCTGGTATGGTGGCTTGTACCTATAGTTCTAATGACTCCGGAGGCTAAGATGGGAGGAGCCCTTGAGTCCAGGAGTCTGAGGATGCAGTGAGCTATGACTGTGCCACTGCACTTCAGCCTGAGTGACAAAGTAACACTCTGTCTCAAAAAAAAAAAGAAAGAAAGAAAAAGAAAAGAACAAAGAGAGGAGGAAATGAATTACACAGCACTCAGCACGAGTGCCTAGCACAAAGTAAGCACTTTTAGCTGCTATTTTATTTGCCATTGAAATTGGTAGTTATTATTGTTGCTTATAACAGGCAAAAATATATTGTTGTCTAAATAACCTTATCTCACAAAATAATACTCAGTACACCAAGAAGACCAAATAGCCACCTTCCCCAGTTTAGCCATCCAGCCTATTAAATTCCCAGTGACTTCAAACACCAAATCTACCTGAATAATCCTGAAAGGCCTGGGGCTCCATTTCTGGCCGCAACTACCCAAACAGTGGGTATAGGCTTGTAGAAGTGGGGTTAATGCCATGACAGTTTGTTCTATGGAGTAACGGCCAATGTGGGTTCAAAAATAAACACAAATGCTTTATCTAAGTTGTCATCTGTGAAGAAAATTTGGCCTTTTAATCATTTTTTCATAAAATACCAAAAGGAATTCCAAAGAACTTTCAATTAATTATTTCACAATCTTAATAATTCACCTAGAGCTATTTTTTAATAAAAATAAAAACTTATTTCCCTTTTCTCCCTGCTTCAACCCTGTCAGGACTTTCTCGGTGGTGGAAGAAGGGGAGGAAGGTGCAACCCACCAATGACAGGAAGCCCCGTGGCAGAGGTGGCGAGGAACAAACCTAATTGTGCCTGAACATCGATAAGAACAGCATTTTCCAGCTTTCATTGTCTTTGTTCTATTCCCACCCATGGCTGTGCTGCACTTCACAGCAGCCAGGAAAACTTAATGCAGAACTTTCTTTCTGCTTTAGGGTGGGTTGAATGTGGGAATCTTTAGTAAAGAAGAAGTTTCTCCCAGCTCCAGATTGCTTGAGCAGACTGTAAATGAAATCATGGAGACTTCAATGGGGACATTTTTAAAACTCCATCCTCCTGCTGAGCTGTCTTAATTCTAGCATGAAGTTCACACGTCCTCATAGGAGCAGGGCTTCAAAGAGCCAGCAAGTCATAGTTTCATGTTAATCATCAACAGAATTTTAGCTTACACATCCGGGGAAAGGAATTTCTTAGGACCATGAAAACATAGGTGATTCTGGTTCTGATTAGAGGGCTCAGTCTTCATCCCAAAAAGTACATATGTTTATTCCAAATTTACAGATGATCAAACTGAGGTTGAGAGCAGCCAAGTAACTTATTTGAGTTTGCATAGCAAGCAAATAGTACAGCCAACTTTGGAAACTGAATCAAAGAGCTCCTCTGTTACCCACAACGTCCCCTCCAGCAATGGTAAACACCTCAGACTTCACACTGGCTTTCACAAACCACCTCACAAAATGCATGAGAATAGAGGAGAGGGCATGTGGATGCAGAAGTCAGCTGAGCAGGGAAAAGGGAAGCCCAGTGGTGATTTTCTATCTCCCTCACATTCACAAATACACTCACAGATCAGAGTCTATAGTGACATCAATAGAGGTTGGGTTCTCATCCCAGCTTGGGAAAAATGTGTCCAAGAGTAGTCTAGCACCAAGCCAAGTGAAAGCCATCAAGGGTGGAGCCAGGCTTCCCTTGGGAGTAGAGTGACACAGGATAGGCTGGACATTCTCTGCAAACAGGAAGCCTCATTCTGTCTTAGAGAAATAGCACCAGCCAGGCACCGTGGCTCATGCCTGTAATCCCAACATTCTGGGAGGCCGAGGTGGGCAGATCACCTGAGGTCAGGAGTTGGAGACCAGCCTGGTCAACATGGTGAAACTCCATCTCTACTAAAACAAAATGCAAAAATTAGCCAGGAGTGGTGGCACGTGCCTGTTATCCCAGCTACTATCGAGGCTGAGGCAGGAGAATCACTTGAACCGAGGAGGCAGAGGTCGCAGTGAGCCAAGATTGCGCCACTGCACTCCAGCCTGGGCAACAGAGTGAGACGCCATTAAAAAAAAAAAAAAAAAAAAAAAAAAAACAGCACCAAAATGATAGATCGCATTTTTAAAAAATACTCTCAATTTCTATCTAAATGAACAGCTCTTCCACTTGAAACAATAGAATGAAGATGTCATAATATCTAGTTAACCTCTCTAATGCCAAATAAGAGTGTCATTAGGTTCTATCCATATCTGAGCTAGAAACAATGCCGTGAAATGTTAATAAAAAAAACCTTTAAGGCATATGAAATTTCCTAATTGAAAAATGAATTACCTATATTCCCAAAGAAACACACAGGATGCAGACCTTGGTTATTGTTTTAGGAAGCAGACAACTCATATTAATGTTGTCTGAAGAATTCTTTTTTAGCTAAACATTAGCCATAACTAGGGAAGATGTTCGCATAACTCAGCATCATTCAAAATCAAAATGCATATAGAATCTGATCTGAGATGATTTTCAAAGCCCTGCTCCTATCAGATGTTCAGACAGATGAAGAAATTTTATACAAAGCTCTATTCTTAATGAAAATCCATCTCTTCTTCATTCTTCACCTCTGGCTGATCATGACAAAAAGAAGCTTTCCACTAAAGAGAGTGGATTGAGTAGGAATGTGGAAGGAGACACATAATGTGTATTCAACCCTTCGCCTGCTGCCGGCTCCTGGGATTTAACTGGCTTTGAAATATGTATAAGCTAGGGGGACTGTTGTATTATTCATCAAAGATTTATCAGACCTTCAAACTCAATTACATATAGTGACCATGGGACACTTAAAAATAATAATAACAAAGCAGGTAATGAAAGTACCTTTTTCAGAAATGCTGTCTAGGAAAAGAAAAAAACAAAACAGCTGTTTAATGTTGATTCCTAGGCCTCTAAATAAAAATTATAATAGGCTTCCCTCATCCCCCAACACTTATTTTTTCAAAGTAACCACTCAGTTTTCAAGGGTCCCTTCCTCAACTGTGGCCGATGAAAAGCAAGATTTCCCTATAAAGAGTCAATGCCTTCATTTGGTAGACAAACATTGCAACGGACCTCCGAAAAAGTCATCGTGGTCCAAAAAGTTGAATTATCCTTAAAAACAGAAAAGGAACCAAAAACACTCTACTAATGCTTTCTAAATCCAGATTTTTGTTTGTTTGTTTGTTTGTTTGTTTGTTTGAATGGAAAGGAAGTTGGATGCCATGTAATATGACTCCTCCAATTGTACAGATAAGATTGCACAGATCTAATTGTACAGATCTGAGCCCCAGCCATGCTGTGACTTGGAAAAGATCACAGACAATCATATTTATTACTTTGTTCAACAAATATTTATTACGTCCCTAGTATGTGCTAAGCATTACATGAAGCACAAGGTATACTGATAAAATAGCCCTGGCCCCTGTCCTTCTAGGGCTAAGTGGGTACCAGGACCACTAAGGTATGGGCCTCTCCCAATGGTCCACTCCTAACCCACTTACCAGGCCCAGTCTATGAGGAACTGTTGGAGGCAAATAGGAGAAAACACAATGTAGATTTCCAGGAAGCTGAACACACTCTTTTTAAAGGTGTCCTATACCCCAAGAGTATCTTCCTTATTTTGTTCTGTTAAAATTTCCTGCCTTTGGTGCTGGGAAAACTGGCTAGCCATATGGAGAAAGCTGAAACTGGATCCCTTCCTTACACCTTATACTAAAATTGATTCAAGATGGATTAAAGACTTAAATGTTAGACCTAAAACCATAAAAACCCTAGAAGAAAACCTAGGCAATACCATTCAGGACATAGGCATGGGAAAGGACTACATGACTAAAACACCAAAAGCAATGGCAACAAAAGCCAAAATAGACAAATGGGATCTAATTAAATTAAAGAGCTTCTGCACAGCAAAAGAAACTACCATCAGAGTGAACAGGCAACCTACAGAATGGGAGAAAATTTTTACAATCTACCCATCTGACAAAGGGCTAATATCTAGAATCTACAAAGAACTTAAACAAATTTACAAGAAATAATCAAACAACCCCATCAAAAAGTGGGCAAAGAATATGAACAGGCACTTCTCAAAAGAAGACATTTATGCAGCCAACAGACACATGAAAAAATGCTCATCATCACTGGCATCACTGGCCATCAGAGAAATGCAAATCAAAACCACAGTGAGATACCATCTCACACCAGTTAGAATGGCAATCATTAAAAAGTCAGGAAACAACAGGTGCTGGAGAGGATGTGGAGAAATAGGAACACTTTGACACTGTTGGTGGGACTGTAAACTAGTTCAACCATTGTGGAAGACAGTGTGGCGATTCCTCAGGGATCTAGAACTAGAAATACCATTTGACCCAGCCATCCCATTACTGGGTATATACCCAAAGGATTATAAATCATGCTGCTATAAAGACATATGCACACGTATGTTTATTGCAGCACTACTCACAATAGCAAAGACTTGGAACCAACCTAAATGTCCATCAATGATAGACTGGCTTAAGAAAATGTAGCACATATACACCATGGAATACTATGCAGCCATAAAAAAGGATGAGTTCATGTCCTTTGTAGGGACGTGGATGAAGCTGGAAACCATCATTCTAAGCAAACTATCGCAAGGACAGAAAACCAAACACCGCATGTTCTCACTCATAGGTGGGAATTGAGCAATGAGAACACTTGGACACAGGAAGGGGAGCATCACACACCGGGACCTGTTGTAAATGACGAGTTAACGTGTGCAGCGCACCAGCATGGCACATGTATACATATGTAACAAACCTGCACTTTGTGCACATGTACCCTAGAACTTAAAGTATAATAAAAAAGAAAAAAATGTCCTGCCTTTTTTATGAAATGATAGTGACAAAAGATAATAGGGGCTTTTACATACCTCACTTAGAAAACTAATTTTTCTTTTTTAAAATCTCCTTGTCTATGGAATCCAAGTCCGGGATTCTCTGCCTCACACCACAATACCCTCTTTCTGGGGATTAGCAGATGAAGAGCTCTAATAATGCTATTACAAGAGCAGAGGCAGAAGCCCCCAGCTGGTGGTCAGTTGAGGCAAGCTGAGTTTGGCTGTTCCTTTCTACATCTGGAATTCTAGTCTTAAAAAAAGTATGTTAATAAGGTTAATAAAATGTGTCCCTTGGCTCTGTGACTAACTGTTATTGAGACTGGAAAGTTAGGCTGCCAAGACGGAGCCAAAAACCTCCTGTTTTATGAAATGGATTAATTAGTTAATATTCGTGGAGTGCTTGAAAGTGGCAAAGGGTTATGTTTATGCTTTATACAATCAACATTCCAAAAAAGTGATTACGAACTGAGGAGAGTGTGTACCTGTTGCGAAAGCAACTCAAGCAATCTCTAAGGGTTACATCATTAACCTGAACATAAATGAGCAACCCACCTGTAATTTCCTGGTATGTTTCCCCCTGAGCATAGGATCAAGAGCTCCCTGAGTAGCTTCTCTCCTTTCTAGATCCAGGAACAGCAGCAGCCATCTCTTCTTCCTATTGCTGGATTTTCCAATTCAGCTTATCCCGATTCTGGGCCCTTCTGCCAGAGGAAACAGGGAGGTTAGAAGTGAAGGGGCAGGCTCATAAATGCCTCAGTAGTGAGTAATGAAGCAGAGCCCTTTTTCATCCTCAGTTGACATAAACTGCCACTCCACTGTCTTGTGCTCTCAGGGGGAAATGTTTACATACCCAAAAGTTGTGTCTTATAAAATTCCTAGAACCATCACAATAGCAACCATTTACTGAGTGCTTACCAAACTTCTGGACTTGGGCTAAGTGATTTCCACAATTATGCTATTACATTCTCATGGCCGTCTTTACTGTGGTATCATTAGCCTCAATTTCTAGTTGAAAAAATTGAAAGCTAAAGAATATAAATAACCAGAGGGGCTTCAGGATGGCTGATGAGAGGCATCCAGCACTCACCTCCTCCACAAAGAGGAACCAAAATAGCAAGAAGAAAATCACACTTCAAATACAGGGAAGGCCATTGGAGTTCAACAGAGAAGTGACAGACAGGAAACACCCAAGGCATGGAAGGAGATGGAAACCAGGCAGCCTGCTGAGCGGGATTGGTTGGGAGCCCAGAGAGGGTCTCCACTATGGGGAAAGGGTAAGTGAGAGATCCCCAGTAGTCTACATTTCCACCATGGAATCCTGCAGCCCTAGCCATGGGAGAACCCCCAGCCCTCGCAAGGCCCTGAGACTAGTATAGGGAGCTGCCTGGACTGTGCAGTGGCATTGCTCCAGATAGGGAGCTCACACTGCGTCCTACACACACACCCAAGTCCCAGGCAACTGCAGCACAGAGCCAGTTTGAGAGTCCAGCTTCACCAGACTGCATCCTGCCCTTGGGCCCAGCAGCCCCTCCATCTCCACATCTTTGGAGCCCTACTGACATCCCCACATGTCCACCTAGAGGGCTGCAGTAGTGTGACACTGGTTGGACCCAGTGGAGTGGCTGGGGCCCTAGCACTCTAGCACACACCGTGTCCTGCACCCCAGAGAATGGACAGTGTAGCACTCTAAGGAGTCCTCCCCTAAAACGAAGGGAGCCAAAGTGCATGCTCCACAGAGCCTGGAACCTGCCTCCCTGGGGCTGCTACCACTGACAGCAACCCCGCCCTCCACCACTCCCCCAGCAGGAGAACCACAGTGCACTTGTACACACCCTGAGAACTGGCTCTCCCTGCTGCTGCCACTCCCCACTGCTACCACTGACACCATGATAGCCACCACCAAGGCC
This sequence comes from Homo sapiens, assembly GCF_000001405.40. NCBI lineage: Eukaryota > Metazoa > Chordata > Mammalia > Primates > Hominidae > Homo > Homo sapiens. The sequence continues at coordinate 949,923 of NC_000018.10, read as the reverse complement.
CAAAGCACATGCTCCCCAGAGCCTAAGAGCCAACTGACGGCAGCTGCTGCCACTAATAGCAACCCCACCCTCCCCCAGCAGCAAAGCTGTGGTGCATTTGCACATACCCTGAAGACGGGCTTTCCTCACTAACCACCACTGCTGCCGCCACCCACAAACTCCACTGAGGGGTCTGAGAATCACCCTGCCCTGCCCACCACAGCCCATACAGAGGAGAGGCCCACCTGGCCTGGCACTGCTCTTCCAGTGCCCAAGCACATCCCCCAGGGGTTTGGGGATCACCCCACCCCATCCACCACTGCTGGCATCTGTGCACTCCTCCCAGGGGTCTGAGGATGGGCCAACCCAGCCTGCCACTATCATCACAGTGGCATCCACCCTCATGTGCCACTGTGGGGACCTGGGGACTGGCCTGCCCAGCCCATCACAGCCACTGGTAACACAAGCATGGGCCTCCTGGGAGCCTCAGGGTTGTCCCACCACTACTATAGCCACTGCCACACCAAGCACACTGCCCAGAGGCCTCAGAACCCACCTTGAGGTGCAGCCCACCACTGCCACTGCCAGCACCTGAGGAAGCCACATGGAGATCCAAGAATCTCCCACTTAGACCTGCTAACATTGGAGTCCACGTGCATCAGCTGAGAGCCCAAGGACAGGCGTGCTCAGGCTGCCACTGCTACAACTAGGGCCCAAGAACTAGCCTTCCTGGCTTTCTCGTCCCCAACAAAACCTCATCACAGCCTTCACTAACAACTGCAGACTCAGCCATTGAGGAAATCAGACACCGCTGACACCGCTTACAGCTGAAGAAATGACACTGGTGCGTGCACCTAGAATCAAAGCTAAAGTACCCTACCCAACCAACAACATAGATGCATCTTCACAAAAAAAGTGCTACCCTGTGAAAGGAAATTTTAAAACGGGAAAAAGCAACTGTCACACCAGATATGCGGATATCAATGGAAACATGAAAACACAAGAAAATGTGACACTCAAAAGGAACACAATAATTCTCCAGTAATAGATTCCAATCAAAAGGATTTATGAAATACCAGAAAAGGAGTTCAAAATAATGATATTAAAGAAGCTCAGTGAGATATAAGACAACACAGATAAACAATATGAAGAAATCAGAAAAACACAATTCAAGATATGAATGAGAAATTCATCAACAAGGTAAATATCATTAACAGAACCAAACAGAAATCCTCAAACTGAAGAATTATATGAATTAAATTAAAAATCCATTCAATGGCTATTATTAAAAAGGCAAAAAGCAATAGATGCCAGCAAGGCTACAGAGAAAAGGGAACATTTGTACACTGTTGGTGGGAATGTAAATTAGTTCAGCCACTGTGAAAAGCAGTTTGGAGATTTCTCAAAGAAATTAATACTACCATTTGACCCAGCAATCCCATTACTCGGTATATATCCCCCCCAAAAAAAATCTTCCTACCAAAAAGACACATGCACTTGCATATTCATTGTAGCACCATTCACAATAGCAAAGACGTGGAATCAATCTAGGTGCTCATCAATGATGAAGTGAATAAAGAAAATGTAGTATATATACATCATGGAATACTACACAGCCCTAAAAAAGAATGAAGTCATGTCCTCTGCAGTAACATGGATGCAACCGGAGGCCATTCTCCTAAGTGAATTAATGTGAGAAGATAAAACCAAATACTACATGTTCCCACTTATAGAAGTGAGCTAAATATTAGGTACTCATGGACAAAAAATATATATATCAACTTTAGAAACTGGGGACTGCTAGAGGGGGGAGGTAGGAAGGGGGCCAAGGTTGAAAAACTAACTATTAAGTACTATGCTCAGTAACTCAGTGATGTGATGGAATCATTCATACCCCAAACCTCAGCATCATATCCAGGTAATAAACCTGTACATGTACTCCCTGAAACAAAATAAATGTTGGAAAAAAATTCATTCAAGAGTTTCAACAACAGACTACATCAAGCAGAAGAAAGAATTTTGGAACAGGAAGACAGGGTTTTTTTTTCAAATAACCCAATCAGACAAAAAAAAAAGAATAAAGAATTTTAAAAGAAGGAACACCTCAAGGAACTAGAAAAACAAGAACAAACCAAACCCAAAATTAGCAGAAGGAAAGAAATAATAAAGAACAGAACAGAAGTAAATGAAATGGAAACTGAAAAAAATATATAAAGAATCAACACAATGGAAAGCTATATTCTTGAAAGGATAAGCAAGATTAATAAACCACTAGTTAGATTAATCAAGATCAAAAGAAAGTCCAAATAGAAAAAAGCAGAAATGAAAAAAGAGACATTATAACTTACACCATGGAAATACAACAGATTATCAGATACCTTTATAAACAACTGTATGCTAACATACTGGAAAACCTCGAGGAAACAGATAAATCCCTGGATATCTACAACCTACCAATATTGAACCAAGAAGAAATAGAAAATCTAAATGACTAATAATGAGTAACAAGATTGAATTGGTAATTTTTTTAAGTCTCCCAAAAAAGAAAAGCCAGGATTGGGTGGCTTACTACCAAATTCTACCAAACTTATAAAGAAAAACTAAGAATAATTCTCCTAAAATTATTCCAAAATATTGAAGAGGAGAGAATTTTCCCTAACTCATTCTACAAGGCCAACATTACCCTGGTACCAAAACCAGATAAGGACACACACACACACACATACACACACACACACACACACACACACACACACAAAGAAAACTACAGGCCAATATCCCTGATAAACATAGATACAAAAAATTATCAACAAAACACTAGCAAATTGGATTCAGCAGCACATTAAAAAGATAATATGCCATGATCAAGGGGGATTTATCCCAGGGATGAAAGGATGGCTCAACATATGCAAATCAATAAATGTGATAAATCTCTTCAACAGAATGAAGGACAAGAGTCATATGATCATCTCAATAGGTACAGGAAAAGCATTTGATAAAATTCAACATCCCTTCATGATGACAACTCTCAACAAACTAGGCATAGAAGATACATACTTCAACATAATAATAGCCATATATGACAAACCCACAGCTAACATACTGAACAAGGAAAGCTGAAAGCCTTTTCTCTAAAAACTGGAACATGACAAGGTTGCCCACTTTCACAACTCCTATTCAACACAACACTGCAAGGCCAAGCGCCGTGGCTTACGCCTATAATCCCAGCACTCAGGGAGGCAGAGCAGGTGGATCACTTGAGGCCAAGAGTTTGAGACCAGCCTGGCCAACATGGCAAAACCCCATCTGTACTAAAAATACAAAAGTTAGTATGGGCATGGTAGCACATGCTTGTAATCCCAGCTACTCAGGAAGCTGAGGCAAGAGAATAGCTTGAACCCAGGAGGCAGAGGTTGCAGTGAGCCAGGATGGTGCCACTGTACTCCAGCCTGGGCAACAGAGAAAGACTGTCTCAAATAAAAAATTAATTAATTAATTAATTAATTTAAAAAAAAAAAACAGAGCACTGCAAGTCCTAGCCAGGGCAATCAGGCAAGAGAAGGAAATAAAAGGCTTCCAATAAAAGGCCTCCTGCTTCAGGAGCAGGAGTATAAGAAGCTGCTCCTGAAGATATACCAGATTGTCCTGGTGCATAACCTACTTCTAGGAATAAATGAGCCTTTTTAATAGAAGATGTTAATGCTCTGTGTTACTGGGACACCACTTGGTAATAAACTGTTACTTTTAAATATAAAATAACCCTGAGTGGATTCCTCCAGTTTTTTCAAACTATGAAATTAAAAATGTGGCCAGGCATGGTGGGGCATGCCTATAATCCCAGCTATTCAGGAGGCTGAGGCAGGAGAATCACTTGAACCCAGGAGTGGAGATCGCACCACTGCACTCCAGCCCAGGTGACAGAGTGAGACTGTGTCTCAAAAAAATATAATAAATAAAAAAGAAGTTAAAAGTGCTAATGCTCACATGCAAAGAGAATCAAATATTTTTGAATGGGAGTTTATAGTAATGTAAGGAGAAACAGGGGCAATTCCAGAAAATAAAGACCTCTACCTTTCCCTTACTACTTCAAGGGACAGGTCACACCATGAACTATCTGGGACCCAATTATCTGAGGCCAAGGATATCATCAACATGGATACTGGTAATAGAGCATTCTCTGAGAAAGGGGGTCATTGCAAGTAGAATAGACTTCAACAGGGAGCCTGTGGTATGAGAATTCTAAGACAGCCTCAGATTCCTACCCCCTGCTATACACATTTTCTAGGTATTTCTGTAAAAGGATTTCACAGATGTAAATATTCCCGAATCAGTTGACTTTAAACTAGGGGGATTATCCTAGGTGGGTATAACCTAATCAGATGAGCCATTAGAAAATCAGGGAGCATAAAAATGGGAACAATAAACCCTGGGGATTTGAAAAGGAGGGAACCAGGAAGAGAGGTAAGGGTTGAAAAACTACCTATTGGGTATTATGTCCACTACCTGGGCAACAGGTTCACTAGAAGCCCAAACCTCAGCAGCACACATTGCCCATCTAACAAACCTGCACATGTACCCACTGAATCTAAAAATAAAGAAATTAATTAAACTGAGACATCTTTAAATATTTAAAAGTTTTTTTAAAAAAGGAAATAAAAAGAATCAAAGCAGCAGCAGACACCTCCTATTGGCCTTGAAGAAATACACCACCTGTTGAGGGCCATGTGGCAGAGAACAGTGGGCTGCCCCTGGGAGGCCTCAGCTCTGCAACCACACAAACATGAATTCTGCCAACAACCAATGACCTTAGAAGAGGTCTCAGAGCTCCGGATGAAAACAGCCCGAAAGATACCTTGATTACAGGCTCATGAGATCCTGAGCAGAGGACCAGCCAAGCTGCGCATAGACCCCTAGCCCACAGAAACTGCAAGATAGTAAACGTAAGTTTGGAGTAACTTGTTAAACAGCAAGAGCAAACTAATACAGGGCCCACGGCAGAAGTACACAAAAGCAGATGCGGTAGGCTATGGTGAGTCCAGGGGTGTAGATGCAGGAGACAGAAAAGGTCTCTAAGTTTTCTCCAGCTCCAGAAAAATCCTTTTCACCCCTACTGGAAGCAGAGTTGCTGGGTAGAGAGCTATAGCAAAGAGATGGGAATGGGGAGAACAAAATCATAGAACCACTCCTCTAAGTGTTTGTTGAAGCAGGTGACTAAATTGTTTTGCTTGCCTGGTGATGTGCCTGTCTTACTAACCTTATTATCCCAAGGAGCTTTCTCCTTTTTTCTCTCAGGGACTGTACAATGGCATTGGCAGAAGGCCATGAACTTCGCACAGTGTTAACAATTTTGCTTAAACCACAAGCACTTGGGGAATAAAGCAAGACACTGTGATTCACTGCTCACTGCCCAGAGTAATAAAGTGTTTCTAGTTTTATCAAGTAGGTCTACTGTTCATTTGATAATTCTTAGGATATAACCCAAAGTCCAAATTAGGTGTTTCCAGAATCCAATGCATTCTTATAGTAAATTTTTAAAGTAATTTTTTTTAAACTTGCTGTGATCTTTACAACTTTTTCCCCTCCGGGTTCATAGAGTACTCCATTCATTTTACCAAGTTATCCTCACAACAATAATACTCTTATCATTGAATTATAGGTGGAAAGCTAAAAACCTAGGACTATGGTTAGACTTACCCAGAGCCGTAAAGTAAATTTCAGATAGACTGGACTACTCTAAAGTCTCTTTCTTCTATATAACTAGTAACTAGTGTGTGTGTGTGTGTGTGTGTGTGTGTGTGTGTGTGTACATATTTTACTTGATAATTCTTCGGAGGTCATTTCCACAGTCTGGGTTGCTAGCTCAATAGCCTCTTGTTCCCTGATCCAATCTACCAAGTTCAAGATATTCCCAGAACAGTTTGAGCTAATTACTCAAACAATTAAGAGTGGTATATAAAACTATCCTTTGGTTAAGCAGTAATTCACATGTGGTAAAAGGTTTTTGAATTAAAAATAAGGACACATCAGGGTTAGACAATGGGGCAGAGTATGTAAAAATCAGAGCTGCCCTCCAAAGCCAGAATATATCTTTTGGCTGGGCACGGTGGCTCACGCCAATAATCCAGAACTTTGGGAGGCTGAGGTGGGAGGATCACTTGAGCCCAGGAGTTTGAGACCACCCTGGGCAACACAGTGAGACTTCATCTAGATATTTAAAAATGTTTGAATTAGTATATATGTTTACATACCTTCACAGACATACTTTAAATACATTCGAATGTTTTTATGTTCAACATCATCAGGAAAATTGTTGTTGAAGCCAGACTGTGCTCACAGTATAAGCTCAATAAATGCTTGATAACTGAGTGTTTTGCATGTATCATTTCACTTAGGCCCAATTATAACCCTTCAAGGTAAATATTGCTATTGCCATTTTGCAGATAAAGAAACTGAGATTCAGGAAAGTGAAGTAACTTGCTCAAGGGCACACAGCTACTAAATGCCTCTTGAATAAAACACATAAATAAAGGCCAAAACCAACATATCTTGAGGTAAGGCCCTCCAAGGTTTCCCTATTACAGTCATGGGCTGTGCAAGACAGACTGAATATACAATAGGAGTTCCATAAGATTATAATAATATGGTATTTTTTACTGTACCTTTTCTATGTTTAGATGCGCAAATACTTACCATTGTGTTGCAGTTGCTTACAGTATTCAGTAGGCGAAAACGCTGTACAAATTTATAACTTAGGAGCTGTAGACCATACCACACAGCCTAGGTGTCAGGTAGGCTCTAGCCTCTGGGCCTGTGTAAGCATATTGATGTTCACACAATGACGAAATCTCCCAACGATGCATTTCTCAGAACATATCCCTGTCATTAAGCGATGCATAGCTGTATTTTGTTATAGTAAAATTAAATTTTGTTATTCTGGTAGAAGGCATATTTCTAGCCCACTAAACCTGAAGGTAAAACAGAACTGACACCCAATTTTACTTTACTATGTAATCAAGTAAATCAAATTATATATTTAGAGCCCAGTAGAAGCTATTCCTTTCCTTTGCTTCTATTTTTAGGGGGAGAGGTATTTTTATTTAGATGGAATAATTTTTATTATGATTACTGTTTACTGTACTGTTTCAAACACTTCACATAAAGTAACGTATTTAAACCTCAGAAAAATCCCATGAGGAATTTTTAGGTAAGAAAGCTGAGGCATAGAGAATTAAATAACTTGCCCAAGGTAACAGTGAGTAAATGGAAGAACCAACATTCCAACTCCAGGGGCCAGGCTTTCAACTACTAATGAGTGGGGGGAATTAAGGTCCTTCTGGCTGTTCTTCTCACTGCCACACTTTCCATAGCACATAGGATTCATGACCTTTTTCTCTATTAAGGAATGACAGTGATTAAAGAAGGGGAACTGGTTTTGAATGGAATTTTGTGTTATAAGAAATGCAGTCTAGTCTATTTTGTTGCTCGGAGAAAACTGTCCTTCCTCCACCACACTGCAGCTTCCAACTGGAAATTCCCTTTCCTTCCCCATGCCAATCAAATGGATCTGTCCTCTCTAAGTTATAGCAGCAAAGTGTACTGATGACACAAAGCATGCCATTCACAGTCAACGTATAGAAACTTTATAGATATAGCACGATCTCAGCTCACTCCAACCTCCACCTCCTGGGTTCAAGCGATTCTCCTGCCTCAGTCACCTGAGTAGCTGGGATTACAGGTGCTCACCACCACACCTGGCTAATTTTTGTGTTTTTGGTAGAGACGGAGTTTCACCATGTTGGCCAGGCTGGTCTCGGACTCCTGACCTCAAGTGATCCACCCGCCTCAACCTCCCAAAGTGCTGGGATTACAGGCATGAGCCACCGCGCCCGGCCAGCACATAGGAACCTTAGCATTGACTTTTAAATACTGCTTGAACCTAGTTGGATAAGTGTAATTGTAGGGTTGTGGGCACGATGGCAGGTTTGGGGAGCTGCATTAAGAATGGTGAGCCTCTAGAAGAATGCTTCAAATTCGGGGCATCCTGAATGATACTGATGTGTGCATACTATATAATATATGGTGTTATAAATATGAAATTATATGGCATTATAAAGAAATGTCAAAAAACTTTTAGGCTTAAATAAAAATAAGTTAGCTTTAAACTGTACATGGCAGATTCAAAGAATTAGATGGGTAGATTCAATTCATGTCTATAAAAAGCAATCGTAATTATAGAATTCTAGAAGTTTTGAAAATTAGGATAACATCTTATTAATACAGGAAGATTTAGGTATAGATATTTCTAACTGTCTGTTCCTGACCCTGATGCCCTAAGAGGGACACGTGGTTCACACCTTGAGAACAAAGATCAGTCTAGCAAAGGAGATTCACATGAGAGAATCAGATCTGAAGATGTCAGTGAATCACCAACTCTGGAATTTGTACATATCCACATGTAGCCAACAATGGTTTCCCTGCATCTCTTCTTTTTCACCCTGACAGAGAATGCCAAAATTAAATAATAATTGAACTGTGGATTTAAACTGTGTAGGCTACTGCTACAGCTACTTCAGGAAGGAGCCCTGGGCTAGACATTGGAAGACTTGGGATCTAATTACATCTCTGCTATTAACTAGTCAAATCACTTAACATCTCTGACCCTCTCTTTCCTGTTTTGGTCAATGGAGAGGGATAGACTGGAAAAGCTCTAGGATCTCTAAAAGCTTGAAAATTCAATGATTCAGAACAAACTATGGTTACCTGCAACAACACCGGTGAAACTCACAGATACAACGCGGAATGAAGGAAACCTCATATAAATGAGCACATTCGAAGGATTACATATAAAGTTCAAAAAAAAGAGAGAACAACCTATCTTCTTGGAAGTCAGTGGAAGAGGGCCTTTTGGGGCGCTGCTCATTTCTTCATCTGGGTCCTGGCTAAATGGATCTGAGCACTTGGAGACTATGCACTGAATTGTAGACTTATGCTTTGCACACTTTTCTTTATTATGTTATGCTTCATTCTAAAAGTTGTTTTCTAAAAAACTGTTCAATAGTTCAAAACATGGTGCATTCTCAAATTCACGAAGTAACTGCAAACTCTTCCTTTTACTCTGTGCTGCAACCACCTGAAGAAAAGGAGAAAAGGAGGCTAGCGGGTGAACATTTGTTGAGCATTTACTAAGTGCCAGGCACTGTGCTATGTATATTACGTACCCTATCTCTATTCTCACAGTAAGGCTATGAAATAGCATCCACCATCCGCATTTACAGGTGAGAAAGCTGAGGCTCAGAAACTGTAAGAGACTTGCCCAAGCTCATGCAGCAAGTGAGCAATGCAGCCATGCCTTAAAGCTGGGTCTGTCTGCCAAGGTCTGTAATGCTCTTTCCACTGCGTCTTGCTTCAAATTACTGCAATTTAGTGCTTATTTTTAAAAAACTTCAGTCCCGAGTTCTCACACACACAAAAATAGTTTGGGAAGGCTAGAAAATTACTTTCCCAAAGTTTGAAACCCTCTGCAAGGTTCAACGTTTGCAGTAGTTCCCGGAAGTTATTCACTGAATAGGAAGTTATAGAGGCACTTGTCCCATCTTGGCTCATCACATGATGTGTGCTTGAAAATAAAACTCTTCTCTTATGAACCATTCCCTCTCAAGGATTTAAAATAACTCTCAGTATCTGAAAGATCCTCTTCAACCATAAGAGAGTGCAGTTGCTACTACCTTAAATATACACACATGACTCACAGACATTGAGTGTATGCACTCCAGGAACCCCATTTAAATGGCAAAGACTCAGGGTGATGGAGAGAAAAGGCTGCCCAGCCAAGGACAGGAACAGGGATCCAGGTCCTGTCTGGCCCAGTTAGCTGAGTGGCCTTGGGTATAGCCGTGGGATCTTCTTGGTGCTTACCCTGTTCTTTACCTAAATGAGACCACTGTAACCAACACTCCGAATAAGTTTTGTTGTTGTTGTTGTCGTCGTTTTGATTTACACACAGAGAATTGTGACTGCTTTAGATGATCTATAATATTCTATTTCATTCATATGCTTCCTCTACTGGGAAAAAAAAAAGTATTGAATACGTTCAACACTTTTAGATAATTTGGTTTGTGACAAAATAGCAAAATTGGAAAAATTGTAGTGCCCTCCTGCCTCTCTTTTTCTCCCCTTCTCTCCTTTCATCTCCCTTAAGTCATCCTGGTCCATCCCAGAATCCTGCACTGAGTACCCTTCCTGGGCCTGCTTTTCTCTCTCTCTCACCAAGAGGCCAACATCCCTCCCTGTCTCCCACCAAACTTCCCTTTTTCAGTGTGGATGACTTCTGCAAGGTATCAGAAAGAAAGTGATAGGGTTGAAAGTGTTCTTTCTAAGATCAATTTTCCAGAGTAGTCGTATTTTTAAAGCAGAACTTATTTATCCACATATATTCCTAATAGATGAAATATGGATTTCAGCCTGTGTGCCCAAAGAAATGAAAGAATTCTAGCACTGTGGGGAGACTGGCACTTTTTAAAGAAGGTGGCTACTCCCTGTGATGCAAGAACCTCACCCATCTGACTCCTCACTCCTAGGAGATGCTTTAAGGATGATGTCATTGAGTCGCATTCCTTGATCCCCTAGGTGGTCATATCTTCAGGCCTTTTTCTCTTACATCTAGATTAACAGGATTTCAGTAAACTACAGGCGTACATTTATGCAGGTAATATTTCAAATGTCACACCAAAATGCTATCCAAAAACTCATGGCAAATAAGTGGTGTAAAAATTCCAACGTGGATAGAATATACGACTATGATTTCTATGAGAGTCCATACTCAGTTCCTTATTCAGCTCCAAATACTCGTTTTAAGACTATTTCTTTCTTCTCATTTCCAATGCTTTCCATATGCATGCACAACCACAAAGTAAAAACAAAGCAGGAACTAGATTTGTGATCATTAGAATGTTGGCGGTCTGATCCCACTGTAAATAAAGGACTAAACCTTGATGATAGAATCTCTGGCAGAATGTGGGGTTACAATACCCTACCAACTTTTATTGAGCATCATCTAAGTGTCAAGCATTAAGATCCGCCCTCAGGGGGTGTAATAGGTAAAAAAATAAAATACTTAGAAAGAATAAATGAGACCCACTATTTGATAGCACAACAGGGTGACTATAGTCAACAATAACTTAACTGTACATTTTTAAATAAAGAGGCCAGGCATAGTGGCTTGTGCCTGTAATCCCAGCACTTTGGGAGGCCTAGGTGGGCGGATCACCTGAGGTTAGGCATTCGAGAGCAGCCTGGCCAACATGGTAAAACCCCGTCTCTACTAAAAATACAAAAATTAGCCAGGCATGGTGGTGGGCACCTGTAATCCCAGCTACTTGGGAGGCTGAGGCAGAAGAATTGCTTGAACCCAAGAGACGGAGGTTGCAGTGAGCCAAGACCGTGCCATTGCAATCCAGCCTAGGCAACAAGAGCAAAACTCCATCTCAAAAAAATTAAAAATAAAATAAAATAACTGAAAGAGTATAATAGGGTTGTTTGTAAATCAAAGGATAAATGCTTGAGGGGATGGATACCCCATTCTTCATGATGTACTATTTGACATTGCATGCCCTTATCAAAACATTTCATGTACCCCATAAATATATACACTTACTATGTACCCACAAACATTAAAAATAAAAATAAAAAGATCCACCCTCAAAGTTACTGCCATATCCCAGTTCCTTCATCTCTGGAGAGAGACACTGACATTCACCTAAATGCCTGCGATAAGACCACCATTATATATCCACCCCTCCACACCTTGTGCCCCAGCATCACGCAGTCAGGTCATCCCAGGTCTACACGCTTAAAACATGACCCAGAGAGACAAAAGACAAGTTCAGATGGTCAGGTTTTGGGATCCACAGAGAAGAGCCATTTTTAAGAAGAATGCTTCTAAATTTCCTAATTCACATTTTTAAGCAAGTGCAAATAAAGTGCTATTGTTGAAAAATAAGAACATATTATAAATCAAGAAATATTTCCTAAGCAGATATTTACCCTCATAATCTCCAGAAAACTCCTACACTTTCCCATCTCTGAGCCTGAATTTCCAACTTAATGCCTGTGTCAGTTGTTTATAAAATGCAGATCTAGTCATTCTCTATTTTACTGATAGTATGTAGAGTGCCTTGCACAGTACCTGGCAAGTACTTATTGAATAGGCACCCAATATTTGTGGCATGAATGAATGAACTGTTAAAATCTGTGAATCTGTGACTCATGTTTTAGACAGCAGAAATACAAATGATGTTTTTAATTAATTCTGCAACATATGGTATTGATTCTAAATATGCTTTATTAAACCATAAGTGAGCACTGAGATACTGATACTACAAAAGCAACTCTGCTACCAGAATAAAATTATGGTAATGCATAACTAGACTTATTTGTTAAATACAGACTATTAATGTGCTTTCATCGGCCCTTCATTATGTTTGTACAGGAATTTTTTAATGTTTAAGTTAAGTTTACCAGACTTCTTTTCCATCAGTAGAGGTAGGAAATTGTGTCCATTAGGCCCAGGCAAGAGTTGTCACAACTCTGGTGCTTGTCCAGCTGTAACCCTCCTCATGGGGAGCCCACAGGGCCTGAAGCCCACACCCTCTCCTAGACCATGCTTTGAGTATCTAGGACCCCAGGATTTCCAGGTCAAACGACCCCAAACCTGCTTTTGGAGCCTGTGCAACACCACTTCCAGGGTCCTTCCTCCAGAGGGTGGAGCCCATGACTAGAGTGCTCCCCACTAGGCCTGAGAAGTGGTCTGCACGAGAGGGAGGGAGGCCCACACCACTGCATGCAAGACAGAGCCGGGGATGGGGAGGGAAGGGGCTGGCCTCAGGCCGAGGACCAGCGCTTGCTCTCGCTGTGCCACCACATTCCTGTACAGACTGCCAAGGAGTCCAAAAATTCTCAATTCAAAGCTGCCTTCCAGGTTGTCATGAAGATGTATGTGTCAAGATGGGAAGTTACAACAGAGTTACATTTTGGTAGCTTGATGTATGATTTATCAGTATTTAGATCTATGATTTGTGAACCTTTATTTATACTCATGTCCCTTGTTTTTGCAAATGTTAAGCATTTTTTCTCAATTTTTTTCTTGAACTTCAAAAATCCAAATATACCACAAGTGCTTAATAAAGTATCACAAGTTAAGAACTGCCTATTTAAACCTTTGAAATTTCTTATGCTCTCAAACTTTACCAAGAGAGGTACTTGGTCCAGACAAACAGTTTCTCTTGAAAGGCAGCCTATACAAATTGACAAAGTTAATCTACAGGGGTAGTACTGTTAACAAATAATAATAATATTGAGCATTAAGCATGGGCCAGGTACAACACCAGGTAATTTGTATGCATGTTATTTCAACTAATACTCAAAAAACTCTACAGTAGTGTATTAGTCCGTTTTCATGCTGCTGATAAAGACATACCCAAGGCTAGGTAATCTATTAAGAAAAAAGATTTAATGGACTCATAGTTCCACATGGCTGAGGAGGCCTCACAATCATGGCAGAAGGTTAAAGGCACGTCCTACATGGCAGCAGGCAAGAGAGAATGGGAGCCAAGGAAGGAGAAACCTATTATCAAACTATTAGATCTGGTGAGACTTATTCACTACTATGGGAACAGTAGAGGGAAACCACCCCCATGATTCAATTATCTCCCACCAGGTCCGTCGCACCACATATGGGAATTGTGGGAGCTACAGTTCAAGATGAGATTTGGGTGAGGACACAGCCAAACCATATCAGGTAGGTACTAAAATTATTTTATCTTACAGATGAGGAACCTGAAGCTTAAAGAAGTTCAATAAATTGTCCAAGTTTCCACAGCTGGAAAGGATAGAATCCTGGGTGCCAGCAGGCTCAGAAGCCTGCACAGTGCCTGGTCTCTGCCACTGAGCTCTCCTGCCTCCAGCACCACAGTCCTCTCCCAAGCTCCACCTCCTCTTGGTCTTAGGCCCTCTAGTTCTTATCTTTGCCCAGCCCCACCTTAGCCTCAGGTATCCAACCTTAGGTTTCCTGTGGCAATCTCTTATTTTATTGGTCATAGAGATGACCAATAGGGGGACTGATGTCTTTCAGCACACATGTGCATGCACGCATACACACAAACCCACAACAGACACACACAGGAGTTCACACACAGGATTGAGGGGATAACTTGGAATCAGGAAGTCTAAACTCCATGATGGGACTGAGGGAAGTGAGCTGAGTCCTAGAGACTGCAAAGGGAGATGGGTGAAGCACGAGAGTGGAACCCATGAGGTGCACACTGTGCCAGGAGTGTGCTGTATAAAGGACTATCCGGTGTGTCTGTGCAGCTTGAAAAGGAAAGGGACAGAACCGAGAAGGCACAAGATATGAACCTCATCGCTGAAAGGGGGCAAAAGGGGTCTAGACTGAAGGAGAGATTCCTAGAACAGGGAACATACTTTGAATCAGACAGAAAAAAAATAAGTAAAATTCACTCTTTATCAAACTCCAAACCAAATCCAATATTTTTTGTTTATTTGTTTGTTTAGTTAAATCAGATCTATGTTTAAAAAAAGAAAGAACCTAGCCTACATATTTTTTAAATGCAGAGACCACAAGGAGAAAAAGTTATAAATTTTCTCAAAACTGGTAAGTGTGTTTATTAAGAATCCCTGTGCCCAAGAGAGAGGGAAAAGGTTTCCAGAAGCATATCCCTGGATGAAATAGTTTAGGAAAATGCAAGAGGGAAAAAGGAGAACCTCTTTTCTCTCCATCTCCCGTTCTCTTTCCTTTAATCTTCAAATACAGTAACAGAATGTGCTTATTTTGAGGGAATGGATTCAGAAACAATCATGACATCTGCCCTCTATATATAGAGGGAGATGAAAATGATATTTCAAGTCCACATTTCAGATCAACCTCACCCTTCTTCTTGCACAAAAGCGTTTAGGGCACTCAAAAACTCTTACTTGCTCTTGTTTCTGTTACCATGACAACAGGCATCTGCTCTGAATGGACAGGAAGAGTAGGGAAACAAATATGTTTCAACCTACTTGAGAAATACTTTCTGGTTAATAACCTGATGCTGCCAGTGTTACTGGCTCCTAAGCGTATTAAGTGGTTAATGGAAGTGCCTTCAGGAACCTGCTTCTCTCCAGGATCTAAGTCATGTGGCTGAGGTACGACACACTCAGTGAAACCCATCTATCCGACGAATGGCGGTGGGTGGGGCTCTGTCAACTCTCAGTGCAGCTAGGGCACCCGAGCCCTGTGGCTCCACATGGGGCTCAGACACGTGCACAGCCTACCTAGGCCTGACCCACAATCCAGGCACAAAAAAGCTTGTGGGACACAAAGCCAAGAGCCCTTTGTAAAGTCTGAATCTCTGGTTCTAATTCAAAGGGAAAATGACAAAGCCCCTCTTCCAGCCTCCCTCACAGCAGTCGTGTTTTTTCCCATTCAATGTGGACATTCAGTGTGTCCTATTATAAGCCAGGCCCTCTCTATAATTATCACATTGAGTCATTTCAACACCTTTTGAAGTAAGTACAACTATCCCCACTTTTCACCAGGAAAAATTATGCTCAAAGAGATTAAATAATGTGTCCAGGGGCCACGCTCAGTGGCTCATGCCTATAATCCCAGCACTTTGGGAGGCTGAGGAGGGAGGATCCCTTGAGGCCAGGAGTATGAGACCAGCCTGGACAACATAGTGAGACCCACTCTCTACAAAAAAAAAAAAAAAAAAAAAAAAAAAAAGGTTAATTAGCCAGGCATGGGAGGGTGCACCTGTAATCCCAGCAACTCAGGGGCTGAGGTGGGAACATCACTTGACCCCAGGAGTTGGAGATAACAGTGAGCTGTGACCGCACCACTGCACTCCAGCCTGGGTGAAAGAGTGAGACCCTGTCTCAAGAAAACTAAATAAATAACGTGGCCTGGTTCATATAGCCATTACATAGAAAATCTAATCTTCAAATTTACTTAGGTAAATAGAGGAAGGAGCCTGTCCCTACAGTTGATCACAGTCTGGGAGTAGGAGGGAGAGGCTGAGCTGTCCACTCACTGACTCCTGACACACTGATCCTTGGTGACCTAGCAGCTTGATCTCTGCCCTCATGTAGCTGACACACTGAGGCAACTGAGACCACAGACAAGTAAACAAAAATACGTAGAATTACAAGTCATGGTAAGTGTTGTTAAGGAAATGGTGCCCTAAGAAAGAATTGTGTCCTCATTGTTATTAGAAATCCTGTCCTCTGGATCCTCTCCCTTGCAGGACAAATGCAGAGCCCTGATTCACAGGCCTCTGAGGATGTGTCAGGAGCAGCTCTGCACAGAGACTAAGAACATGAACTTCCTCTCAGTCCACCACTTAAGACCCAGCTCTGCCACTACCTAATTGAATGACCTGGAAGAAGCTACTTAAAACTTTATGGGCTTCAGCAAATGAAGAAATATGTGCCAAGCACTTAGCTGAACCTGTCATATAACATAAATATGAGCTTCAATTATATTATCATTGTCATTACTTCCCTCCCACACCCGAAAGTCCTCCCAGATGTTGTCTGTGATGGCAATGGGAAATAGTGGCCTCTAGAGATTGTGGAACTAAAGCTATGGAGAGTCAGCTTATCTGAATGAAAACATCCACTTCCCAGCTCCTTTCCCTCACATGTGATCTGCAGGCTGATGCAGCAGAGGCTGTCCATGACCCTCTCATTTGTCTTCAAATCCCATTACCGTTTTCATGCTCACTAGCTCCCAGTGCACTTTGATTCCCAGTTGCAAGCATTTGTGTCTCCTTTGTCAATCCACTTTGCTGCCTGCAGAAATTGTCACAAATGCCTGGGAATCTATGTCAGAGGTTGTGAGGGGTGGAAGGAGACCCCTTAACCTATGACTGACAGGTGCAGAGTGAAAACTGCTCCGCTGGGCAACCCAAAAGAGTCGAACTCCAGGTGTTCCTCTTTGTAGGACTTTACTTCACACTGTGCCCTTGCTTGGCTTCGCTCCCTTCCAAGTCACACTTCCTAAAACCTTACAAGGGACACTTCCTAATAAGTACATCATCTTCCAAGAATCCTTTTTCCAGGGTCTGCGTCTGGGGAGCCAACCTAAGATAGGCTGGTGTTAACTGGCCCAAGGACTGACATTAAAAGCTTGGTTAGAAATAAACACTTGGTGGAGAAATGTTCCAGTCTTAGCAAGGCTTGACACACATAGCATTAGTATTCTCTGAGACTTTGAGAGGGAGCAATAGGCATTTTGTTTTTCTGTATGAAAGATGGAGAACAACTAGAGTTGGAAAGTGTAAACACAGTGATACATTTTGGGATAAGATGAGCCTCCTGGGACGCAAACACTCCTGAATTAGAGTCATCAGACTTTCCATTGTTGCTTGTTCCAAAATGAAATGTTCCCCAAACAATATTCAGAATGTGCAAGAACAAGCAAGGCTTTCTGAGGTGCTCAAAATAACAAAGAAACTGTAACCTTTTCAGTGAGATACAACTAAAAGTATAAGTAAAATTTCATCATTGAGTGTTTAATGGAATTCTTTTTTTATAATTGTATTGCACTTTTCATTTATTTATTTTAAAGACAAGATCTTGCTCTGTCACCCAGGCTGGAGTGCAGTGGCACTATCATAGCTCACTGCAGCCTCAAATTCTTGGGCTCAAGTGATCCTCTCCACTCAGCCTTCTGAGTAGGTAGGACTACATGCACATGCCTTCCAATCAGCTAATTAAATTTTTTTTGAAGAGACAGAGTCTCAAACTCTTGGCCTCAGTTGATCCTCCCGCCTCAGCCTCCCAAAGCTCTGGTATTCTAGATAGAGGAATTCTATCTAAGAGAATCTGTTTATCTTTAGAGCAGTAATTATTTGTAGATATAACTTATAGACACATAATAATAGGATCCACTCGTTCAGGATGGCTTTCAATTAGATTAAAATGTGTCCAGAAGTCTGGGTGACATAATGAGACCCTATCTCTAAAAAAAGTAAAAAATACAAACTTAGCTGGGGATGGTGGTACATGCCTGTAGTCCTATCTACTCAGGAGGCTGAGGTGGGAGGATTGCCTGAGCTCAGGAATTTGAGGCTGCAGTGAGCTATGATCATGCCACTGCACTCCAGCCTGGGTGACAGAGCAAGCCCCCATATCTGAAAAGAAAAGTACCTAGGTTTTTATTTAAGAATAAAAAATAAGGCTGTTCTAATTAGAGATGGTTTTGAGCCCAGCCTCCTTATCATGACTTTAGCTATATAGCCTTAGATACGAAATTTCTGATATTAGGGTCATAGCACTCAGAGCTTAAAGTTAATCCAGCCCAATTTTTTCTTTCTAGTCTTCTACATTTCCAGTTTTTCCACAATAGGTATATGGGTATAGATAACATACACATTTACATATATGTATATATATGCAAATTTGTATCTACTTTAAGGGTGCATGTATATATGTATACGTAAATATACAAAGAAATTATTTTATAATTTAAAATTTCTAAATTGGGCCATGTTCAACTGTATGGATACTTAAAGAAATTTAAATTAGAATAATGTACATTTTATTTATATATTATCAAAGTTTTTTTAACTAATAAGATTTAGTACTGGCCAGACTCAGTGGCTCACACCTGTAATCCTACCACCTGGGGAGGCCAAGGCAGGAGGATAGTTTGAAGCCAGGAGTTTGAGAACAGCATGGGCAACATAGCAAGACCCAAGAGTTAGAGGCTGCAGTGAGCTATATGATTGCCCCATTGCACTCCAGCCTGGACAACAGAGCAAGACTTTGTCTCCAAAAACACCCAAAAAATTTAGTGCTGATGGTGGACATTTAAACTGATATACTCTTTTGAAAGCAATTTAGCAAGAACCTTTAAAAAGTTTATAATCCAGTAGTTCTATGCTTATAAAACTAAATTTTACAAATTCTTTGTGTACAAATGTGCACATTTTCATAATATTTAATAATAGATTTTTATTAAAGTATTATTCTCAGAGAAGTGCACATTCCATAAACCTACAGTTCAATAAATTGTCACAAACTGAATTCACCCATGTAACCGTCACCTAAATAAAGAAGGAGAATATTGTCAGCACCTCAGAATGTAATCGTTTTTAAAGTAGAAACAAATTAATGTTTAACAATAGAGAAAAATGTAAAGTGGGACAAACAGAGGAAATTTTAAGCAATTCAAGCAAAACCATCTAGAAATCCCAAAGGCAACAAGACAAAGAAGCAAATATGAAGATCCCCGTGGACCACAGTCCCAAACTTGCAAGAGAACCATGCCCCTGCCATTAAAAACCTATATTCTTAGAGGTGTAGTTGGTGCAATGGGAAACCATACCAAGTAGCCTTTATGAGAAACTCTCAGGAGAATCACAGAAGCAAAAGCACTGAGTATAAGTTGGGCTCAGTCACGCATCATGGGTCACATCATGCATCGTGGTTATGCAAAGGAGGTCTCAATTGATACGCTCCTTAAACCAAATGCTGAAATTGAATAGGCAATCACAGGGGGGAGAAGCAGATACGGGTGACATCCTCTGAATGAGGATGAAAAATATAGACATAATTATAAGTGCTTGAGTTGATGGATACCCTAATTACCCTGATTCGATCATTACAACATTGTATGCCTGTATCAACACATCACATGTACCCCATAAATGTATACAACTATTATGTACCCATAATAATAAAAAATAAAAAATTAAGAAAAAAATGGACGTAAATCCTCTGTGGCGAGAAACAAATGGAGTTCACCATTTTGAGTCACATGGTGAATATGAACATCGAGCCAGATTATAGTCAAAGACACTAATGAGAAAGCCAAGCTTAACCAGTCGACGTAACCAGCTATTGTCATCTGGTTGATGAATAAGCATCACTAAATCAAACCTTACCTTGAGGTTCAGATCAAGAGAAAGTGAAAGAGTTTCAGAGGTCAGAGCAAAGAAGCTTCTCAATGGATGAAAGATGATTCAGTGACATTCCGGCAAAGAAACCTAATACTCGGATTAGGGCTCTTGAAGTTAGAACTTTCTCACCCAATGGACCAGGCTTTAGCGGGAAAGACAGAACCAGGTAATAATATCAGTATAGACAGTCCAGGTTTCATGGAAGGCACGTCAAAGAGAAGAGTGAGTTCTGGAAGAAAGATATATCTCCAGGCCTTCCATGAGACCAACGTCAAGCCAAAATAATTACAATTGGGGGTTTCTCCAGCTGAACAAGGACAGAACTAGTTTATGTCTCCTCCTTAGACTATAACAGATTTACTCTTTCTTTTGATAAATAGTTATTAAGGCACTGCTAAGTACCAGTCACTGTGCTAAACACAGAGGATATGGTGGTGAGACAGATTAACACAGTCCCCGTCCTGAGGAGGCTACCACCTAAACTGTGATACCAGAGGCACATTTACCCGGAAGCTCAAGAAGCTGCCACTTCAGGCCCCATTTCAAGGCCTGCAGCTAATGTTTTATCATAATTTTGTATTCTTTTCTTTAAAAGGCTTCCCTCAGAAAAATGAGCAAACTTTGGATCCCACAAAACCTGTCCCCAACTCTGTTGATGAGTCCTGTGAAGAAGAGGTTTCCACGGTGGCACCTCTTATGTTGCTTTACACACACTTATTTATATCTGTCTTTCCCGAGAACCCTGAGCCCCTTCATGTTAGGGGTGTTTCTAGTTTTATCTTTGTGTCTCTGATGTTCAATGCACATTTTTTTAAATGAATTAATAAGTGGAGGATTTTTGTTAATGTTCAGTTCTCAACACGCTAAGCAACCAATGGTTTTTATGCTTTTGAATATCATTTGTTTCCTTTTTGCTTTCCTATAGTAAAGGTCCTTTTGAAAATTTCAATCTGACCAAGTGGAACAAGTAAGAAATTGTTGATTCTTACCCAGACCAGGGAGCCATAAAGAAAAGAGCCTCTTTGTTGCCAGGTAAGGTTATGGCAGCAGCGGTTGCAATTGAAAAATCAGTGAAGCTTGAAGTTGCTGAGTCGATTAGGAAAATGAAGTTATCGGAACAAATGGTCTCTTCAGACAAACAATTCTCCAATTTTAGCATGCTCACCTGGAAAGCTTGTTAAAACACAGATGGTTGGGACTCACCTCTAGATTTCTTAATGCAGTAGGCATCAGGTAGGAACCAGAAATCTTTATTTCTAATAAGGTCCCAGGTGATGCCGCTGGTCCAGGGACCACACTTTGCAAACTACTTTGCCCTGTACCACTGATGCACAATCTTAGCTGTATATTGGAATCACCTGGAGAGCTTTAAAAATACTTGTCTCTGGGTCCTCCCTCACCCTTGTATTCTAATTAATTGGCCTGGCTGCTAAGATTTATTTAAAGTTCCCCCAAGTAATTCCAGAGTGCAGTCAAGATTGCGAACCACTACCCTACGCCATGGTACATTAGACGCTTAGGTCATAAGTCTTGACCTACCCGTCACCTTAACAGAAGCAAGAGTATCTGAATCCTCATTTCTGGAAAATCTTAAGAATCAGAGAAGGATTTTTAACATCTTACATGGTTATGGCCTCCAGACACCTTCCCTCTGCCCCATCCACCCCACCTCCCTTGGAACAATTCCAGGTGGAGGCTTTGTGCATTTAAACAGCCCTAGCTATTAAAATCCAAAGAAGACTCATTTCGGCCTGGCTGCTCCGCACACACCTTGTTTGCAAGCGTTTGCACATACTAGTGGCTGCCCGGGATGGCTCTCCTACCCTGACTTCCATAAACCCCAGTCTGCTCCTCTCTGACACTGTCTAGATCCCAGCCTCTTTAATTTGGGTTAGTCCCTCCTCCTGGTTCCCACAGCGATTTTTATAACTTCATTTTTCTCTTCTTACCTCGTAATTACTTGTTTGCATTTCCATCTTTCTCACAGAAGAAAAACATGTGAGCTCCTTGAGGGTAATCCCTCTCTCCCTGGTAGCCCTAGTACTGCCTTCAGGTATTAAATGTTTTTGGTTTTGTCTTTGTTTTTGTTTTCTGAGACAGAGTCTCACTCCACCACCGCCACCTCTGCCTCCTGGATTCATGCGATTCTGCTGCCTCAGCCTCCCGAGTAGCTGGGACTACAGGCGTGAACCACTATGCCTGGGTAATTTTTTTGTATTTTTAGTAAACACGGGGTTTCACCATGTTAGCCAGGCTGGTCTCAAACTCCTGACCTCAAGTGATCTGCCCATCTTGGACTCCCCAGGTGCTAGGATTACAGGCGTGAGCCACCATGCCTGGCCTTAAATGTTTTTTGAATGCATGTCAAGTATTGTATTATTCAGATCATTAACTCCTCCCTTTGGGGCAAAAGAATTGACTCTTTTGTCCCTTTGGGGCAAGAGAATTTCTTACTTTTCCCAACTGTCTCTCCATTTCTATATGTAATTGCTGAAGGCCTTTGCCTTTATCAAAATTGAAAGGTAAAAAACTATCTGGTAAAATCTCATATCAGAAATTGCAAAACAACCAAAATAAGCCCAAACTATTTGAATGGAGTCTCAAAAGAAGAACCTGAAACAGAGAGTTATATAAAGTGAACTAATTAAGTAAGGAAAATGAGAATTTTACTATTGCATTACAAGTTCCTGGTTTTACCTAAGTGAATGATTAAAAAAAAAAAAACAGTGTGGAAGAGCAAAATGACTTAATGTTAAAAATCTAAGCCCCAGAAGATCCTAGCATCCCTTCTATTCTAAACATAGCTCAGCCACTGGCCCACCATGTGAATGAGTCACTGCTCTTCCCTGACTTAAATCATCCCTCTTATAAAACTTGTTAAAGAAAGACGTCACTGCAAATTAGATGTTGTAGCTAAGTTTAGCCATCCTCAGGACATAAATATTGTAACTTATGTGACTTCAATCATTTTTGTTTCATGATGACTTATATTTGGGCATGTGCTTGAATATGTGTTTATATACATAGTGCAGCTAAAGATATACCTTCTGCTTAGACATAGGTTTTATATATATATATAATGTATATATATATTTATTTATAGGCAGATATCCACAAAAGCACCTTGCACAGAAACATCTTTGAGCTATTTTAAGAGGCAGCATTATTTTACTGACAAATGTTCAGAATTGAGCTCTCTGACTTGCCCCCAGCCCAACCTCTATGGATTGACCATTCTCCTCAGAGAGACTGTGTATGCCTGTGCAGGCACACATGTTGAGGGGAAGACAGGAAGACCTACCCTCCCCCAGGCCCTGGCTTCTCTTCAGACAGTGCCATTCACACTGAGCCTCACAGGCAAGTACTGCCTGGTGTAACTTGGGGAGTGATGGGGCCTGCTGACCAGAATCACTCCTCCAAAAGCTTCACACACAAGCCTGAGTTTCCAGTCATCACCAGCAGCACCTTCAGTCTTTGAGAGCCTTCTTAATGAACACACATATTTTACCTGGATCAAGACACTGTGTTATCTGGCAAAGGTTGCCCATTTAAAATGAGTGACTGGAAAGGTTCGTTTATCTGGTCAACCCTCTACTGCCCCCCTATTGTCACCCCTTTGGGATTAGAATCCTGAAAGAATGATGAGAAGAAAGGCTACATATGGAGAGACCTGAGAAACCCCGAATCTTTCTTGAGAGGAGGAAATCAGACACCTGCACAGTCCAGCAGCCTGATCCCAGGAGCCAGGGAGCAGGGAGCAGAGGAGAGTTCCAGGGACCAGAAGCCAGGAAGTGGGATTAAAGGCTAACACTGGCCACACAAGACGGACCGCTGCACAGGAATTTACAGTTCACAGAGCACTTTTTCATCTCCTTAAAATCTCATAAAATCGCAGTGAATTGAGCATTGTTATTTTCATCCTTATTGTTATTTTCTCAGAAAACTTGAGTGGCTCATCTAAGTTCACTGAGCTAGTAGGCAGCAGAACTAGACTGTAAACCATGGTCTTCAAAATCCAGTGATTTGGTTTGTTTGTTGGTTTGTTGGTTTGTTGGTTCGTTGGTTTGTTTGTTTGTTGGTTGGTTGGTTGGTTGGTTGGTTGGTTGGTTGGTTGGTTAGTTAGCTGGTTGGTTGGTTGGTTGGTTGGTTGGTTGGTTGGTTGGTTGGTTGGTTTTTAGAGACAGAGTCTTGCTCTTTCACCCAGGCTGGAGTGCAGTATCATGATCATGGCTCACTGCAGCCTTGAACTCCTGGGTTCAAGAGATCCTCCCATCTCAGCCTCTTAAGTAGTTGGGATTACAGGCATGTGCCATGTGCCAACAAGGCCAGCTAAATTTTTTTATTTTTTGTAGAGATGGAGTCTCACTATGTTGCTCAGGCTGGTCTTGAACTCTTGGTCTCACATGATCCTCCCACCTCAGCCTCCCAAAGTGCTGGCATTACAAACATGAGCCACCATGGATGGCCTCAGTAAGTCTCTTTACCATATTTTTCCACCTGTGTGTGTCAGGACAACCAGTAGCTGTGCCAAATGATTCTGTCCCCTGCAATACACACGGATCATAGTTATATACCACTACTGAGTGTCCATTTACTGTGGCCACAACTGACCCAAGAGATCTAGCAGTAGTCAGCCAGGCTGCTCATATCAGGAAAACTGGTATACCCTGAAACATGGAACAAATGGCTAAAGGAGAAATTGGAGAGGGAGGCTAATATTAAGACAGGTAATCAAGGCATCCCAACCCTTCTAAATCAGGAGAGTACATTGCTGACATCTTCCTATGGGTGACAGCTGAGCTGAGACCACAGAAAATACGGTGTGGGTGAGGCCTCAAGGGTGCCTCCTGCCAGGAGGGGTTGAGGCCCAGCTGGCAAATATTTACTCAGTCTCAGCCTACACCTCAAATATCCAGTCCATGTGGTCATCTAGTCTGTCTGTAAATGGTGAAAAAGAGGCATTCTTCACTTTCCTTAAGAGACCTGTTCCTGTGTTCAGTACTCTTTCCTATTAAAAAGGTGTTCTTGGCCAGAGGCGGTGGCTCACACCTGTAATCCTAGCACTTTGGGAGGCCGAGGCTGGTGGACCGCCTAAGGTCAGGCCTTTGAGACCAGTCTGGCCAATGTGGTGAAATCTCATCTCTACTAAAAATACAAAAATTAGCTGGGCATGGTGGCTGGTGCCTTTAATCCCAGCTACTCGGGAGGCTGAGGAAGGAGAATCACTTGAACCCAGAGGGTGGAGGTTGCAGTGAGCTGAGACCACGCCACATCACTCCAGCCTGGGCAAAAGAGCAAAACTCCATTTAAAAAAAAAAAACTATTCTTTCGTGTCTGATTTAAATGTTTTCCATCCACTTGCTTAAGTCTGCTCAAAAAGGGATATCAGTGCCACTTAAACAATATATTTAATATTTTCACGCCTACGAATAACTCCTTCAGGTTTTTTTTTCTCTATTAAAGCAGCCCCAACTCCTTGGACATTTCCTAAGGCATAAGTCCCATTTTTCATGCCTTTAATCAATTCCATTGCTCATCTGTGGTCCCTTTCCAATTTTACCACATTCACCTTAAGATGTAAAGACCACAGCACAGTGTGCTGGATGCAATACTCTGAGGAACAGACCAATAAAAGGCTGGTTTCCCAGCTTCTGAAAGACCACACAATAAAAGCCAGGGTCATGTTCATGCCAAAATATCACTAATATATAACAGCCCCGCGTTGCTGATTCTTTCAGTGTGCACTCCATTGGCTGCCCACTTCCCTCGTGTATTTCTGCGGGCTGTGTTGAGTGCTCCTGCACATAACCTTGTACTGACCCTTCCTGAACAGCACTGCTGGAGAAGAGAGAGCCACAGGATTTCACAAGTTTAAAATGCGATAAGAGCAGCCACTTCTTATTATCACAGATGACTAGAGCATCACAAAAGTTTAGAACAAAAAGAATGCTCAATCTAGCACCACAACAAGAAAGGAGGAATTATATATACATATATATATACACACACACACAGACACACACACATATATTCACATATATGTGTGTGTGTGCAAGCGCGTGAGTGCATGCGCGTGCCAATGATGCCTCTATAAGTACAAATAGCCTAAGAACATTTGCAGGTGATTTATATGCTGAGGTCTGTCTGTATAAAGGCAAGCGTCATCCTCATTCACCAGCTCATAGGGTTGACAAGCAAAAAGACCAAGAGAAAGCCAGAACTACCTGGAGCTTGCTAGAAAATTTATCACAGCAGGAGCAGCAATCACTCAGCCAGTTTTCTCTCTTGTTTTTGCTTTCCACGTGCATATAAAATCAAGCTGCTTGCTCCTCACAAAGACAAACTACTGCTACCTGAACTTTCCATTTTTCCTCCCTGAAGCAAAACAAGATTGTGGAAGTGAAAGGCCCGGAAACATTCTAATCAAGAATGAGAACTAAAACCCAGCAACTAAGATTTAGGCAAAGAAAACAGATTCCAGAATCAGCACAGAGCCTGCTGCTGCTGCTGCTGCTTCTGTCTGCTGCTTCTGCTGCTGGAGGCATTGCTAACACACTCACCCAAGCCTTAGCTCTTAATAGAGACATGTTTGCAGCTGAATGCCCCAGGTCTCTCTCTGCCTGAAGGGGCCGAGGCCCTGCTGGCAAATATTTACTCAGTCTCAAAACATCCCTTCCAGAGTGATATTTTTATTTACTGTGCTGATGAAATACACCCCTTGGAGGCTGGTGAGGTAGCACCATGTGCCACTGACCCTTGCAGATCATCCATCACAGGGCCTGCGCCATCTCGCATAGTCCCAGAGTGAGTTTAGTTCTCTGGAAAGTTGGTTTAATGCCCAAATTGCAAGCTAGGTAACCTAAGGTGGACATTTTAATAGAGAGGAGTCTGTAAAACCATAAATCTGATTATATTCATTTAATAATTGAATTATATTGCCAAAAGGATGGACTACTATTTGTGAGATACAGACCTATTAAAAACACATGAAGATAAGAGATACCTGCATTTTCATGTCCATTGAAACGCTATTCACAATAGCCAAAATACGGAAACAACCATCTGTTGATATGCCCATCAACAGATCAATTGATAAAGAGTACGTGACATATACGTGCAATGAAATATTATTCAGCCATGAAAAAGAAGAAAATCATGTGCTAGAGCAGGGATGAGCCTTAAAGACATTATGATAAGTGAGATAAGCCAGACCCAAAAGGACAAATACCATGCGAGTCCACTTCTATGAGGTATCTAAAGTAGTCGAATCCACCAAAGCAGAAAGGACAGTGGTTGCCAGGGCCTGAGCGGATGGCAAAATGGGGAGGTGTTCAAAAGGTAGAAAGTTTCAGTTATGCAAGATGAAAAAGTTCTATAGATCTGCTGTACAACATTGCGCTTATAGTAAACAACACTGCACATACGGTACACTTAAAAATTTGTTGAGGGTAGATCTCATGTTATGTTTTTAAACACAAATTTTTAAACCTGATTATTCTCTACTGCATTGTAAATCGCAGACTGAATTGACTGTAAAATTATGTGCATGTCAAAAAAATATTACACACACGCAATGAGGATAGAGTAAGAACAAATGAAAACAGGGTTCTGGTGCAGACTCAGGCTGGGTCTGCTATGCTCAGCATCCCTAAATCTAGAACCAGAGCCAGCTTCATGGGTGTATGAACCATACGCTATGCTCAGAACAGGCACACACTTGGTTTAATACTCTGCTGTTGCTATCTAGAAATTCTTAATAATTTTTTTAAATTTTCATTTTGTACTGGGCTCCACAAATTATGTAGCTAGTCCTTCCCAGAACTAACTGTGTCTGTTTACACACATACATCGTTCATTCTGTGTGACTGGAAATTTCTGGTGTCCAACCATTATTATATAATCTGCGCAAGATGGAGCAAATGTTATGAAATAAGAAAATATGTCAAGATGTTAGACACAGGTGGTTTGCTAAAGGCTGCTTTTGTAACCATATAAAGAAATTAAGCTGCGGGGTTGGGGCATTGTAATTGAGGGTAAAAGAGATTTGGAAATCCCTTACTTTGGGCTTCCCTCTACCCAACAGGACCCAAGATGTACCTGTGGGCAGGCAAATTACCATTGCTACCCACCCAAGCCCGTCTCCCTCAAGGAATTGGGAAGACCTGGAAAACCATGCTCATCAAATTTCCTCTAGCACTAGCCTGCTGTCTCCTGATATTCTTCACTAAAAATGGATCCTTTGTGCTTATCATAGTAATGGTGACTTCTAGAAAATGTAAGCGATGAATGTTCTTTTTTGCCAAGCCTCCAGCTCAGTTCGCTAAAGGAATTTTTCAGGATCATCAGAAGGAATCGGAAAAAACAGATGCTTTCAGAGACTTGAATTAAGTATCCTTGCAACAACCAGGCAATAAAGTTGAATGTAGTTTTTAGACAACTTAAATGAAAATGGAAAGTTAA
Organism: Homo sapiens; assembly: GCF_000001405.40. Lineage (NCBI taxonomy): Eukaryota > Metazoa > Chordata > Mammalia > Primates > Hominidae > Homo > Homo sapiens. The sequence goes on along the minus strand of NC_000018.10, from coordinate 921,526 downwards.
GTCTGGTCTAAATGACTATAATCTATACAGAGATAATTTATTAAGAATAACTTAAAAATATATTTATTTCAAGGTATAATCAGACAAATCCTTACTCCCTCAGTTTGTCTAAGTTTTTTTTTAATCTCATAGTAGGATGCCTTTTATAGTAATGTCAGCGATATAAACTACTCATTAACACTAATTGTCAACTTTAACCTATTAAAAAGAGAGAGAGAGAGGTTCTTGCTTACTACACCTCAAACAAAGATCCCATAAGAAAAGACAGGATCCTGCACCAGGTGTGTTGGTTCATGATTATAAACCCAGTATTTTGAGAGGCACAGGCAGGAGGATTGCTTGAGCCCAGGAGTTCGAGACAAGACTGGGCAACATAGTGAGACCTCCTCTCTACAAAAAATAAGCAAACGTAGCTGGCCATGGTGGCATATGCCTGTAGTCCCAGCTATTCAGGAGGCTGAGGTGGGAAGATCACTTGAGCCTGGGATGTCAAGGCTTCAGTGAGCCACGATCATGCCAGTGCACTCCAGCTTGGGCAACAGAGTAAGACCCTGGACCCTGTCTCCAAAGACAAAAAGGAAAAACAAAGATCCTCTCTCCATTACTGATAATATGCACTCATTAATTTATGAAAAATCTAGAGGCCTTCCTTTGGTAGTTTCATATCTCCTTTTTCATCAGCTCTTCCACCAGGATGCCTAGGAATCAGCAGATTGAACTGGCTTGCATTTTTGTTTCTTCTCCTTCCTTCTCTCTAATTGAAGCACAATTAAATAAACTTATGATCAGAAGAGTCTGATAATGGGATCATCAGCTCCTTACATAATTACAAAAGTTGTGTAGGCAAGATGTGCCCCCTACAAAATCATACTCCCAAGACAGGTTCTATCTAATTATGCTAAGAGCATCATTTCTTTCCCCAGCTCACTCCATGACCAATCATCTGGCTTGCACATGTAAGAAAGTTTATGAGAATAAATAAATCAGACTACCTTTCCCTGATGAACCCTGTTTACACTCAAAGTGGACTAGCCAGAAGAGATCCTAGCAGGGGATAATCCAAGAACATCTGCACCTACAAGTGAGATGGAAAATTTCCTGCCACTCAAGAGTCTCATGTCTGTTGTTTGAATGCCTTATTTTCTTTACCACTTCTCATCAAAGCTTACATTTTGGAAACATCCATGGCAATGGACAAGGACAAATATACTTGAGGGCTTTGAGTAACTCCAAGGAATTTGAGTTTTATATTAATGCCCTCCATTTTCTTAGAAAACAAATTCATTTGGTCAATCTATAACTTTTGGTAAGCAACCTATTATCTGCAAGTTCTGTTACCATTCCTGCCTGTCATCGGACAGCATAAAATTTATCACCGGTTTAGATCAGAAGATAACAAGAAAAATGGAATGGAAAGCAGTCCTTCAAAACTGAGACAACCTCAGCAAACATTTTCAGTATTCAAAGGAGTATGCTTTGACTTAATCGTTCAACAAGTTTTTGTTGTAGCCCAAATCCTTCCTAATATCTAATCAAAATCTTTCTATGTGGCTGGGCATGGTGGCTCATGCCTGTAATCCTAGCACTTTGGGAGGCCAAGATGGGTGGATCACCTGAGGTCAGGAGTTCGAGACCGGCCTGGCCAACATGGTGAAACCCCGTCTCTACTAATAACACAAAAATTAGCCGGGCACAGTGGCACATGCCTGTAATCCCAGCTACTTGGGAGGTTGAAGTACGAGAATCACTTGAACCCGGGAGGCAGAAGTTGCAGTAAGACAGGATCGCGCCACTGCACTCCAAAGTGAAATGGTGTCTCAAAAAAAAAAAAATCTTTCTATGCTATACCTTAAATTATATAAATCATATTTTTTCATGTTGTCTGTGTGGTAGAGAACTACTTGCCAACTTTCATAGAATTAATTTCAATTCAACAAATAGTGATTTAGTGCCCATTACGTGCCAAATACTACAGGCTCTAAGAATAGGAAGTTGAATAATTATGGTCCTCTTCCCATCAGCAAAATACATGCATGCAGCTACATGCTAAACTAGGAATATGAAGAAATGCAGCAGAAAAACAGAGAAAGGAGCTGGTTCTTCCCTGAAAGATCAGTAGCATTTCACTAGGAGGGCAAAGGGATAGAGCACTATTCTAGAGACAGGGGACCACAAACAAAAGGTGATAGATAAGAGCAGGAAACTAGAGTGAAGAGAACTGCTAAATACATGCTAAAGACTTTGGACTTCATCCAGTAGGCCACAGGAAGGCATAAACATTTATCAAGCCAGCATAGGGTAGTAGCATGACCAGAGTCTTATTTTAGATCTGTCCGGAGGCAGAGAAGACTGAACCGGGGGGAGTCACTAGAGCCAAGTTTGAGAGGCTATTGCAAAAACAGCCAAAAGATTATGTGAATGTGGAGTTCTGCAGAAAATAGGATTGAAAAATCCTAAGATTTTGTGACCAATTAAATGAATGGAGTAATGGGGAGGAAAAGGAAGGGCACTCTGCAATACATCGGTTAAGAAGTGTGGTGGATATGATGCCAAAAAAAAAGAGGAGGAATAAATGTGGATAATATTCTCATCTGGGAACATATAATCGGCCTCCATATCCATGGGTTCTGCATCTGTGAATTCAACCAACTGCAAATGGAAATATTCCAAAAAATTACATGTGTATGAACATGTACAGACTTTTTTCTCGTCATTAATCCCTAAACAATAATGACTTTTACACAGCATTTACATTGTATTAAGTATTCTAAGTAATATAGAGATAATTTAAAAGGCCAGACACAGTGGCTCACACCTGTAATCCCAGCACTTTGGGAGGCTGAGGTGGGCGGATCACTTAGACCAGCCTGGCCAACATGGTGAGACCTGTCTCTACCAAAAATACAAAAATTAGCCAGGTGTGGTGGCACATGCCTGTAGTCTCAGCTACTTGGGAGGCTGAGACACAAGAATCACTTGAACCTGGGAGGCAGAGGTTGCAGTGAACTGAGATTGCACCACTGCCCTCCAGCCTGGGCAGCAGAGTGAGACTCTGTCTCAGATAGATAGATAGATAGATGATAGATAGATAGATAGATAGATAGATAGATAGATAGATAGATAGATAGATAGATAAAGTATACAGGAGGATATGCACAGGTTACATGCAAATGCCACACCATTTATATCAAGGACTTGAGCATCCACAGATTTTGGGTTCTGCAGGGGTCCTGGAATCAATTCCATGTGGATACTGAGGGATAATTGCAAAGATTTTTAGTATTCACTGGATGTCCAGGTAAATATCTCAATTGGACACTTTAACTTTCTCACAAGGTCTGTAAGATTGCAAGTCGTCAAACCATCAGATCATAAAAGATAAGATTATCCTAGGTGAAAGTATAGCCCTAGGAGAAAGGGGGAAGGACAGAACTTGAGGCCATCTACCTTAAAGAAGGAAGAGGAGGCAATATAAAAGATTGAAAATGAGGCAAAATGGTATGAGAGGGAAAAGACAAAAAGCCAAGTTCCAGGAACAAGTGAAAAGAAAGTTTTAGGAAAGAGGGAATGTTATAAAAAGATTATACAAGATGGGAACTGCAAAAATATTGCACTTGGCAAGTATGGGACAAATGAACATGAAGAAATTGCAATTAAGTGTTAGAGGAAATACAAACCTCAGGAAATCGAGGTGGGAATTTGAAGTGAAAAAACACATGGAGCTAGAGGAAAAGAAACTAGGGAAGTTTTGTTTTGTATTTGTTTGTGTTTGGAAAATGGCAGGCAAAATCAACAATGAGGTCACCCTGGCAGGATGCGCCAAGGATACTGAAGAGTGAAGCAAGTAAGTACAGGAATAGAAAATAAGACTGATTAGCAATGAGTGCTTTATAGATCCTACAGACATAGGTAATCATAAATTTATAGTAAGAAAGGATCAAAACAGAGCCAAGATTTTTCTCGATGGCCTTCAGCAACCAGGAGAAAACACACAGTTGGGTTTCAGCAACCAGGAGAAAACACACGGTTGGGTTGATCCAACTTTGAGGAGTGTTAATGTGAGTGTGGCAAAAAAGGTCAGGTAGTGAAAAATGGTCAGTGGGGGCAGGCAGGGTCATTAAACTGATCTGGGATGAGAGGAGAAACAGCGAAGAGAGAAAGGGGCAGGGAGCCTGGGGAAATGGCGGGCAGGGCATCAAAAGACTGGAGCCTCCAGTGTGATCACAAGTTTCCTGGGTGTTAGGGAATGACAGCAGTGACGGGATAGTAGTTTCTACTCAACAGAATTTCAAAAAATGTTTCAGAGAAGAGCAGTTCTAAGGTACTCGTGGTCCAAAGAAGTAGTACAGTTGGCAGCAAAAGACGGTGAGAGCTCCTCAAAGGATATTTCTTACTATAGTTAAAATTAGTGACTAGGGTTTGCTTCTAGGTGCTCTGAAATATTTTAATATTGAAACGTTAAATTCTTAACGGAGGATGTGAAATCTTTGGAACACTCGGGCACTGGAACTTGTAAAGCTTCCTGTCGCCTGGAACCTCTGTAGACCACTCTTAACTCTCTTCTGTGTTCTGAGAAAACCATACTAAGCCAGTTCGAGTTGGGTTTTCCACTACTTGAAACATGGGTCCTAACTGATACTACAAATAACAAACCAAAAAAGAAAAAAACTGACTTAGGCAATGAAGGGGACTTATTGACTTATTTAACAGGAAACTCCAGTGGTAGTTCTGGTTTCAGGGTTGGTTTGATTCAGGGACTCAATGATGTCATCAGGAACCTGCCTTTTCCTGTTACTTCTCTGTGTCTTCCATGGTGACAGGTCCACTGTGAGGCTGGCTTCTTATATGGTGCACTACATTACACACCACACCATTCCAGAGAAAAGAAAGGACTCCTTTACTAGAAGCATCAAAAAAAAATTCCTCTCTAACCCCACTATTCTAAAATGGATCACATGCCATGCCAGGAACTATGGCTAGGAGATGCAATTATCCTGATTAGTTATATTTAAAAGTGGGGAGTTATTGTCCCCATAAAATCCATACCCTGCATGAGGTAGGTATAGTTAACCAAGCAAAAATCAGGGTAGTTAACAAGGGAAAGGGAAATACACATAGATACACATCATACTATTTTCTTTGTGGTTTATAGGCAATATTCCTCTCTGACTTAGGATTCTATAATATATAGCAAAGACATAATTAAGAAAAAATTTAACTTGGACCAGATGACATCACCTACTATAATGCTAAACTGTTAAAAAAAAGTATTTTTTCATTATGTTCTTTTTCCTGTCTATGAACTCATATTTCAAATTACATTTCAGTTGATGGGGGAAGTTTCTTTGGCAGCTGTAGATAACTGCTCTGTTAATTATCACTTTGAGAGCAGTCCAGTTCCCAGTCTGCCTCTCAAGGTATCCCTTTTCCTGTATTCTAGAAAAAAGGTATCATTGTCTTGAAGCATAAGGTGAATTCTCTTTTAGTTTGAAAATAAGACTCTTCTTTTTTCTATGAGAATGAAAAAAATAAAAGCCTGTGTGGCTTGAATCTATGACAGCCTTTTGCCTGTATGTGAATTTGGAGTTTAGTTTATCTTAACTAATAGAAACACACTAATTTAGCATTCTTTTCTATGTAGCTTTTCCTGGAGGTAGATCTAGTTTGATTCATGATGCCCATCTAATTGATAAGTTAATTTTTCAGATCTTTGGCTCTTCCACACTAAAAAAAAAAAAAAAAAAAGGAAAAAAAAAGTTAATTGTACTCCTGTATATGCTTTGCCGTTGTCCTGTTACAAGGGAGAAATATCATGGTGAATTCTACAGGTCCTCTGGTTATTCCAATCACTTAGAAAAGATATTTCTTATGTTCCCAGAAGTGTGTTGGCATTAAAGTGCAATGTATCATCCACACCCTCTAGGGGGTCATCCAGTGGGAAGACAAGCCATGCTCTTATGAAACAGTTACGGAACTGGACAGAGCAATGTGGAATTAAAAGTCAGAAAGGGAATACAGAAAGGGCAATACAGAGTATAATGGTCATGGAAAAACAGTGCAGGTTCTCGGGGTGGGGGAGTGAAGATGATTGTGACTCTGAGAGGCTAAAGGAGATGCCTAGGAAAGGAGAGCTTGAGTTGGACCTTACAGAATATTGAGGTTGGGTGGGTAGAGAAAGGACATTGTGGTCATGGGGGTATTGCTGGGAGCTGATAGGGAGCATTTGCGTTTCCAAAACTGATAAGAACCTGTTTTTTTAAAGAAAAAGGATTGGCCTGGTGCAGTGGCTCATGCTTGTAATCCCAGCACTTTAGGAGGCCAAGGTGGATGGATCACTTGAGGTCAGGAGTTCAAGACCAGCCTGGCCAACACGATGAAACCTCATCTCTACTAAAAATAAAAAAATTAGGCAGGTGTGGTGGCACACACCTGTAGTCCCAGCTACTCAGAAGGCTGAGGCAGGAAAATCACTTGAACCTGGAAGGTGGAAGCTGCAGTGAGCCAAGCCATTGCACCCCAGCCTAGGCGACAAAAGCGAAACTTCATCTAAAAAAAAAAAAAAAAAAGGCCAGGCGCACACGGTGGCTCAAGCCTGTAATCCCAGCACTTTGGGAGGTCAAGGTGGGTGGATCATTTGGGGACAAGAGTCCAAGACCAGCCTGGCCAACACAGTGAAACCCCGTCTCTACTAAAAATACAAAAATTAGCCGGGCGCGTTGGCATGCACCTGTAATCCCAGCTACTCGGGAGGTTGAGACAGGAGAATCGCTTAAACCCGGGAGGCAGAGGTTGCAGTGAGCCGAGATCGTGCCACTGCACTCCAGCCTGGGCAACAGAGTAAGACCCTTTCTCAAAACAAAAAAAAGAGGAAGGATCGTGTTGAAGAACAGAGAGGTAAAATTGACTACTGATTACCTTAAACCCTTTAACCCTTTGACAATGGAAGCTACTCTGGAACATCTGATCAGAGGGACATGATACTAAGATGGAGCTAAAACTATGTGGTTGCAGGGGAAGTGACCAGGATGACCAACTACAAACCAATGTAAGAATCCAGCAGTGATGCAATCTGCAGCAGCAGGGGCAGCTGGCATCTCCCTTCTACAAAAAAGAGTGGCAACAAAAGAGAAGAGGGATGACTTGATCTTGGCTTCCAATCTTGTGATCATGTGAACAGTAGGGTTGGGTTGAAGGTTATAGTGAGCCATCCAAGAGAAACCATCTTGTAAACAGTTGGGGAGCAGTAAATACATTCAAACCAAATTGGGATATAATGCAACTGGAAGTTGACTTCTGGATCCCCAGAATTATGGCTAGCTAGCTGCACAAGTTCTCCTCATTATAGCCATAATCTCTTAGTCCTGTGATTGAATATTTTGGACCCAACTTAGAGGATCACTCTCCTTCCACAAGCTCCTGTAGGAGAGGTCCAACCAGACTGTACAAGTAAAATAATGCTAACTAGTAGTTTTAGTGACCTAAAGGAAATACTGAAATTGTCAAGGAGCTTAATGACCAGATATCTTGGAAGAATATGGCACAGTTATGTATTTATTACTGTATGCAGGTAACATGACCTTTTGCTTATTTCATATGAAAAAAACATTCAGACCAGCACATATGTATGCCTACATATGTCACCAATTCTAAATCTAGGCAGTCTCAAATTTTAGTGCACAGTAATCTAGGGTTTTTATTTAAAATGCAGATTCACTGGATCTGGCAGAGCCCTACAATTTTGCATTTTTAAGCTCCCCCCGCCCCAAAGATGATCACATTTCAGAAAAACATTCTGAAAAAAATACTACCTGAGCTCCCAGGTGTTAGTCAAGCTCTCTCGACCAGTGCGGTGGCCCATTTCAGGTGTTCAATAAGTGTGCATTGTATTGAATAAGTGTGTTCTCCGCCCTAACAGCATTAAGGCACCTATTACAGCTTCTTGAATACCCATATGTATCAAGTCTGCCTTTAAAAAGATGTAATTTGAGTTATCACCGAAGATAATATGGCAAGTTGCTAAATACATGAAATTCACTTGAAGTCAGCCAAGTCTGGGGTTTATCTTTATGTTCTTGACAAGTCGTTAGCCTAGCCCCAACCGAATAAAGTCTTCTTCATTTTTTCATCTACCACACTATGTCTTCAAGGACAAAGAGGGGCAGTTAAAGATGGAGAAGAAAAATTCCTTATCCAATAAAATCAAATGCAAATATGAACTGTACTGGATTCATTTTTTCATTGACTACAAACGGGATTTCTAGACTGTGGGCTCCTCCCTATTTGATTCTAGGCCTTAAATACTGAGCTAAATTCTGAAGATAATTTTAGAATCCTCACTCATCCTTTAATTCTATCGTAACATATTTATTGATTTACTAATTGAGACCATTAATTTTTAGGATGAAACCCTGGCATTTTAAATTAAATGGTATGTCAATTATTGTGTGACTTTCTATACATTTTCTAAGCCAGAAATAGTCAAAGGTGCCAAAACACACACCACTACGGAATTTGAAGGAATTTCGTATGAAAGCTTTGCCCTAAAGTTTGTAAATATGAACTAAGAAAGCATACAATCCACAAATGACTTCTTGTGTTTCTTCCTGGACTTCAAAGTACATTTTCTTTTAAAGGCATCTAATTAACTCTTTACTTACTCATGTTCACGTTCCTTCTACCTAAAGCATTTTAATCAGAGACAGTAGTTTGTATGTCTCTAAACACATTTTAAAACCTCCAAAAACTGATTATTTAGATCATTTTATACAAAATTTTATCAAGACAAGTTTAGTCTGCAGAGTTACTTGTATAAGAACAATGTTAGATCCCTATTTTAGGCTGGGTGTGGTGGCTCACGCCTGTAATCCCAGCACTTTGGGAGGCTGAGGTGGGAGGATCGCTTGAGCAAGACCAGCCTGGGCAACATAGTGAGACCTGGCCACTAAAATAAAAAATAAAAGAACAATGTTAGATTGCTATTTTAGATGTGTAACTAATGCTCCAGCATTGTCTCCCACTACTACCTAGTAACTTTCTGAATATTGAGCAAAGTATATACACACTAGGGGATGGAAATTAATCTAAATTGTGTGTCTTATAATGTTGCAACATCATGCCTGTTTATGAGCTTAAAACCTTCTTAGGCATCTCCATCTGAGTAGCTACTTTAAATTTTTAGCAGAATCCAGTTGCCCATCAATTATTAAAGTGCAGTTCATGAAAATACAAGGGTGCTTAGATAGATATATATTCCAGACGTAAAAAAATCTTATGGTTGCTAAAGAAATATAATACTTTAAGAGATTTTAAAGTAATTATTTCCTGAATGTCTTTTTTCCCAAACATTAGACCAAGTTGCATTGTTTACAAAAATTTATTCATACAAATTTTACACACTTTATATAACAGTTATCAAAGTCCTAGTTATAGATATCATGTGTGTAATAATACTTGGTTAAGGTGTTTTTATAATCAGTTGCACACAAAATAAGAGCTTCAAGACTAACATCTACCTAAATTATCACTATATCATAAATCTGCTTCAGTTTAGTAAGGCTCTTGGCATTTCTAAAAAGTATACAAAAGATTAAACTGGGTGATCACTGTAAAATGCTTGCAACTAGCCACGGGAACACTAAATTAGACTTCATAAATAAAAGGTTAACTAGAGCCCTATTTCACCACTAACAGCTGATACAAATACAGAAAACTCTGCCCATTATCCAAGAAACAAATAATTAAGACTAAAATGCAAGCTGATGTGTTGCAGCATTGTAGGGCCACTAAATAGCCATCTGTGATTCGTGGCAATTTAAAAGGCGAAGAAAGGCACTAAAGCTGCAAACTGCATCCCGTGTCACATTGCCTGAGGAGACTGCGGAATTAAAGGAAGATTGATCCTATACACAGGACTCAGGCATAGACCGAATGCCTCTGTTTTCACTATTTGCAATGTGATCTCCTGGCAGCATCCATCCCGCCTGGGAATGCAAATCCAATTCTGTTTTCTTTGATTTATGACTTCATACTGATCAAATCCGTAAAGGAAAAGGAAAGGTCCTTTAAACTTTACAAGCTAACGTTTAATCTTTCCTTGTTCTTTTTTTTTTCTTCTTCTTCATCTTCTTTTTTCAAAACATAAAAAAATAAATAAATAAACTTGTGCCTGAAATTTGGGAGATTGGCTGGCTGGTTTGTCTGTTGCTGCTCGATCTGATTGCTGGGTGAAGGTTCTTTTGTTTATAAAGATTACTCTGTATGTTCAAAGAATTGACAGGAAACAGACATGCTTTCTTTAGCCAAAGAAAGGATACAAGCGTAGGTTCTCAGGGTCTGTTGGAGCTTGCTTACCTCACTCTTGACCACAGATATAAGATAGTACTCATACATATGAAGAAGAGGATTAAATGATTTATCAGTTAGCAAAACTGAGCAACATGTGAACACTACACATTCTAATATGACAAAGGTTGGTTTTATGAAATAAATTTTACTAAGCAATAAGCAATAATGTAGAAAAATACATTTTACCTACAAACTCAATAAACAAGAAACAAAGGGTTCATATTTAGTGCATAATTACTTACTAGTGGCTACAGAGGGGTTTCTAAAATTTACAATAAGTGCCTGCATCAAACAAAAAAAAAAAGTGAGAAGCATTCACAAGTTTAAGAGAAGTGAATGAAAAATGGTAAACAGTACTTAAACAGTGCAGGAGGGTAGGAAGGAGAGGTCTCCATAAAACCACAAAGGAAAAGGGTAGCTCCTACAGAGCAGGTTTCAAAGGAGAGGATCCTGGCCATTTCACAAGATGAGAAGCATGGACAGCACTGGAGAAAAACACATTGTACTTTGCATCCATTTCCAATACCCAGCGCCCAAAGTCAGGACCATTGGGACTGGATTTGCCCTCAGCTTCCCAGACCTGGGGCAATCTCAAACCAGTCCATTTCCAGGGTCCTCCTCCTACCACCTCAGGCTCTGCCTCTTCCAATATACCTCTATGTCCTTCACTTTGTTCCAATTGCCCTAATTTGGGGATATTAGATTCCCTGGCCACTCAGGAAGTACAGAAAAGAGAGCGGTCTAACGAAGCCGCCCTTTTCTGTACAGTTCCTCAACTCTTCTCCTAGGGAGAGGCGTGAATTCTGGGGAGAAGCACAATTTGGATCGAGCTGTTGTTTTATCAGGAGAATTTTCTTCTGGGCTGAGAGTCTGAAGAGAGACAACTACACATAAAAGGAGAATCAAAGAAAGCAGAAATATTGGAATTGCCACCCAACCAGGGGGACAGAGCCCAGTTGAGTTAGGCTGGGATTGAAGCAGCCTGCCCCAGAGACTCACTGGGAAAGAATGCCCTTCAGCAATTCTCCATATCTTTACCTCAAAATCTCCCTGGAGCAGGGCATCATTGTTTATGTACAGTAGCAAATGGTAAGTAGTAATATCTTCAGGCCTGTCATGGATAAAAATACTATCCTTTTAATTCCAGTTTACAAAAATAGGAGTAATATTCAAAACAATGATTGTCTACTTTTCTATTTATTTTTATAAAAACATAAACAGCTCGGGCGAATTTTCAATCCTTGTGCACGCTTTGTATGAACTTCTCTCTATACTTTATATATATATATATATATATATATATATATATTCTTTATATATATTTATAATATATATCAATAATTGGTCCACAAAGTATATCTGTGCATTCTCTAGTGCTTTGTAGAAAGAAAAACAATATTATTATCAAAATATTCATTTAATGGCTTTACTTCATTACATAAATACATGTTTGGATAGAACACACGAGCGATGACTGTTGAGTCAGTTTGGAAAACGACTTTTCATTGCGTCAGGGCTGTATACACAGGGTAGCTGGTAACCCATCGCTACAAATAAGCTATTCGGCGTCCTTTGTTTTTAACCCTTTGTTTATACCTCTTCCCTAGGACGGCCGCCAAGTATTTCTTGACAGCCATTTGTTTCCGGTAGCGGCTGTAGCTGTCCGTGAAGATCCCGTCCGAGTGGCGCTTGGAGAGCGGCTCCGCGTCGTCCCCCGCGCCGCCGCCGAGGCTCCCACTGCAAGCAAAGGGGTCGGGAAGAGGGTGGCGGGGCGGGAGACACAGGTTCAATCGCCGCGGGGAGCAGGCGGGCCCCACCCCACGCGGGAGCCTTCGGGGAGGGCCCGGGGCTCGCACTGCCCACCGCGTCGCCCGCCTCTGCCTGGAAGCAGCCGTGGGGAGGGCCGAGACGGCAGCCCCTCGATGCCCCCCTCCCCACGCAGGATCTCCTGGCACCAAACCCTGCGGAGGGGGCCCGGGATAAGATCCGGGCAGGCGACGCGCGCTTCAAGCCTAACCTTTCTCCCAGCGCTGCCCCCTTGAGATCCGACCCTTCGTGTGTTTGCGCTAAATTGTCCTCGCTGTTCCTCTCACCCGCGACATACAGAGAAAGTAACCGGAGAGCCCTACATATGCCAGTCTGGCTGCTGCCCTGGAGTTTGCATCGATCCTGCAATTCCTAGTCAAATATGAACACTCCTCTCCCTCCTCACGCCGAGTTGAAAAACGTGATAATAATATAAGTCGACAGGCTGTAGGCAATATTTTTCACTGCATGACTTATTCATGGCGAAAATGTAATCTGTTTTCCCACGGGCTTTATTAGAATGTTGCCTTCTGCCGAGATAGGCTTCACACAAGCCCTGTGCTCTCAGTTTCTCTGGCGTGAGCAAAACTGTTTGGGTCCATAAGTGTCCACATTTGGCCATTTATTATTTCGATTTGAATTTTCAGTAAATACAACCACCCCTTTCCCCTCCCCCAGAAACAGTCATGCTTAGAGAAAATTATAGCAAAACCTCCCTGGAAGCCTGAAGGTTTTGGATGACTGAGAGGTTTGGTTTGGTTTCTCTTTCTTTTCATTCAAAACGGATCAAACTCCCTGGCTCGCGTTCCCTTTTTGCCTCTTCCAGAGCTCTCTGGGCAAATTTAAAGTGCCACTTCAAAATCTCCAACTGCGACCCGTGGCGGATGCCCACCCCAGACCCAGGGGCGCAGACTCACCCTGGCCCCCACGGGCACCCACCGCCGCCCGCCCCGCGCGCCCCGCACAGGCACCCACCCCGGCGCGCGCAGGTTAATCCTTCCACAAACTCTTACCCCACGCCCCGGGCCACGAGCGACTGCAGGTGCTTCCCGGCGGACAGCTGGTCCAGCACTTTGCGGTAGGCCTCGTTAAGGATCCCGTGGGCGACATCTCTAACGGGGAGGCAAAGTGCGCGCCCAGGGTCACTGTTTCTGTCCCCAGGTGGCCGCTAGAGACCCCCTTGTTGGGCGCGCGCCCCCTCGGCGGCCGGGGAGGCTGACAGGGAAACCTCCAGAGGCCCAGAACTCGCCAATAACTCCCGGGATGATCTCGAGAGCAACTGCTAGGATCGGGAGCTAGTCCCGGCTCTAGGAGTGGCAGATGCGGAGTGTGGGTTCCTTGACGCCACTCACTGCCACTCTTTGGGCCACAGCCCCCCTCGGTCCCCACGCGGCCCTCAGGTCCACACAGACCCGCCCGCTGCTGATTTTCTGTCGCTGCAATAGGATCGGGCCAGGGAGAGGACAGGCTTGAGGACTTTCACGGGAAAAAAAAAAAAATCCTGGGTGGGTCACCACACTGCCCCTCCCGTCACCGCAGTCCCGAGCTCCCAGCCGCGGGTGTGCGCGAGGCCGCGCGAATCTCACCTTCTCCCGGCCGGGCGGTACCAGGCGGCGGCGGCGCGCGGCGCGGAGGCGGGGCTCCCTGCGCCCGGCGGCTCCGAGCCATCGAAGTCTGGCAGCGGGTTTCCGTCCTCGCCGTACGCCTCTTCCTCTGGCCTGCGGGGTGGCCGGGGACAGAAGGTGTGGTCAGTGCAAGTTCCTCCCCAGCTCGGCGAGGATCCAAAGTAAGGGGCTCGCGCGGATTTTCACAGGTGATAAAAGTCCTCCGCTGAGAATTGTCTCTTCTCCCAGGACTGGGGGTGGGAGCAGAGGTAAGGAGGAGGCAACGACACCCAACCACTCCTACCCCGCCGGGCGGCCCGCCCACCCCCCCTTCGCGGGTAAAGGGTCGTCCTGCGGGCCACGGCCTCAACAAGCGCTGGGAAACCGAGGCGTCTCCGCCGATCGCGCACACCTGTCTACGGAAAAGGACCGCCCCCCTCCCCGCCTGGCTCCCGAGCCTCCCCAAAGCAGCAACGGGCGGGGACGAGAAAGGCCCTGGGAGACCGGGCGCTGACCCACGCGAAGACCCGAATGGGGAGGCCCAGAAAGCAAAGGAGAGGATGCGTGGGGCGTGCGGGGGCCAACTCCTCAGCCACCCCCACCCCAGCCTCCGAGCCCAGGGGAGCCCTTCTCCGAGCAGATGTAGGTCACGGAGAACCTCGGTTTCTATTTTGGGCAGGCGAGGATCTGGCAGGAACATGAATAATAAATGCCCCTAAACTTAGCCAGTTCGGCGGCGGCTCAGACTGTGGCGCGTCCGCACCCTCCGGTGCTTCTCGCACGGAGAAAGTGCCAGGCACACGGGAACTTGAAAATAGCTGAGGGTGAAACCAGGGTGTTTTAAGGCCACTAAACGAATAGTTCGCGCTGATCTGTTATCGATGGCGGTGCCCCATCTCAACCCCAGAGCACGAGGAGGGGGACCGAGATCCAGCGAGTGCCTGGCGACTTCGCAGTCGCCCTCTACAGCCTCCGTTCTTGACACAGGACGGGTAGAGATGGGTTAAAACAAATCCCTCTCGCTTTGGACCCCTGGAGAGACTTGGCGTGCAGCCAGCGCTAGTAGCACTCTCTGGGCGGGGTTGGAGTCGTACTTCGCTGCTTCACTCGCCTTTTCTCCATCCTTGGAGAGGCCCGGGCAAGGCAAGCGCATCATTCCGCACGCCTCGCACCCAGCCTTTGCTCGGCGATGCGCCTCAGCCCTGGCCCGGGTACCCCGAACCCTGGGGTCTTTCTGGATATTGCCCTGCCTCGAGCCCAGATGCTGGAATCCTAATACAGAACCCAGAACCCATCTCTCCGTCCAAATCAATGATCAGCGGCCCCCCAGAGCTAATGTTCCTGGGCGGGGCTCGGAGAAGGCAGCTTCGCAGGCAGAACGCGCGCTCCTCGCTGCCCCAGGCGCCGCTGGTACGAACCCTCCCCTACCCAGGGCTCATCCACAGCCTGGCACATCGGTCCGCGACTCTGGGGCTGCCTCCGGGAACCTGGGCCGCGCCTGCCGGTTAGAAACCCGGGGTTAAGAAAAAAGCCAAGGTTCCTCCATCCCGGGCCAGGCAGGGCTGCTCTCCCGGTCCTGCCTGCCTGCTGGCTTTCCCTTCCTCCTCCTTTGCGCCTGTTTTTCCCCCTCCTTCGCAGTCTCGTCCTTGTTCTTCCCTCTCTTAAGTCGCTTTTCCTCAATCACACCGGGCCAACACCCTCCCCACCGCACGCCCCCCAAGACAGCCTGGGATTCAAAATGCAGTTGGAACACGGATCACTTGAAAGAAAGCTCTTCAGGGGAAAGAATTGGAATGAAATGAAAAGAAAGGGTGGAGGAGAGAGAGAGACCCCACCCGGATAGTCCAGAACAAGCAGTAACAAAGCAAAGTCCGAGGGAGCTTCACGCTCAACCCCCGGCCAGGCTCCAGAGCTGAAGTTCTCCTAACTCGTCCCAAGAATAGGTAAAAGAAACCAAGCTAGGGGCCGTGCCCTGCCCCCATCCTGTGGGCCGGGTTGGGGGAGGGGGGGTTCTCCAGCGGCCAGAAGCTCACTGGCTCTACCCGGGACCCTGAGCTGCCTAGGGCTGGGGGAGGCGTCCGAGCAGTCGCGGAGCCTGCCAGACCCTCGGCTAGAATGGGGACCCGCTGTCCAGCCGAGGCTGGCGGAGGCGCACCGGGGGCGCAGAGGGCGATGCTAGTAGTCTGGACCCAAAGGACTGCAGGAAGGAGACCGTGAGGAAGCGTCTGTGCCTGGGAAGCCCCAGCTCCTGCTTGGGCCAGGCAGCCAGCACCTACCTGATCCCGGGGAACCGGAGTCCGGCGGCGGCAGGTGAGCTGTAGACGCTGCTGTGCATGATTATCCCATAGACCAGCAGGGCCAGCCTCGCTCCGCTACACATGGTCATTCTGCGCAGGATGGGAAAGAGGACACACAGCTGTGAGAACGCCCCTGGCCTCCCACCCTCCAACCCCAAAAAGCTCTGGAAGCCGGGGGAGGGACGGAGCGAAGCCCCGGCTCCCTGAGTTGAACAGCACTTGGCGACAGCCGGTGCGCGCCCTGCCACTTCTTGCTTGCTATAGTTAGAAAAAAATATATATATATGCATCTACCCGGCGCCCAATAACTAGCCAGACCCGGCTGAAGGAAAGCTAACTCCCCTGACGCGATGCCAAGCGAAAGAATCAGCAGTCGAGTGAGCCGGTCGCTTTGGTAAGATTTTCCCTCCCTTACCCTTCAACTCCTCCCGCTGCCAGGAGAGCTGCCAGGTAGGACGGCGGGCAAAGCGCTTCTTCAAGTTCCTGCGCTGGAGTCACCACCCGAGAGGCATCGCCGTCTGGCGTTGGTGTCTGAGCAGAAGCCGCAGGAACCAGCGGGAGCAGCAGGAGGAGCTGCGGGACTCGTTTGCCGAGGCTCGTGTTCTGCTCAAAAGTTTGTAGACGCGCAGAACCAGGAGGGAGCGTGACACGGAGAGAAGGGGGCGCAGAGAGAGAGGCAGAAGAAAGAAAGAGGGGGCGATGAGGTGAAGCGCGGAGGAGCAAGGTGGCCGTAAGTCCACCCGGAGGAAGAAGCAGGCGATTAAGGGAAAGAGGGAAAGTCAGAAAAGAAGGGGAGGAAGGCAAGGGAGAGGGCGGGCGGCTAGCCCGCCTTTGTAGGAGCCGCGGGCCAGGCAGCCGCGAGGGTCGGCGGCGCCTTCTCTGCTCCGAGGTCTCTCCGGCTGCCTCTGAAGCTGCGGCTTCTGCTGCTGCTACCGCTGGTTACAGAGGTGACCGGCCTTCTGCTCCTATTTATCTGTGCAGTTCGCAAAAATCTATCCGAACATGGTTTTTGGAGAGCCCTCTTTGTCAACATCTGCCTGCCTGTTGCCTTTAAGTACAGAATATTTTGTTGCACTGTTGCGCTCCGATTTTTATTCATGAAATGACTTCCTTTTTTTTTTTCTCAGTCACGTAATGATCGGGTATCAGAAAAAGACGTCAGCATCCTAGTCCCTCAAGGAACATATTAACTATTCTGTGCTGTCCTCTTGGATGATAAGATCCGGAGTCATCGACTTCTCATAAACACCTTTCACTCATACAATCCAATTTTTAAGAAGTCCAATTGTTTTGATGGTTTTCAATTTCACCCGTTTCTCAAGGACAGGTAAAGAATTTTTAGAATTTTGAGGATGACAAAAGTTATGTTTTTAACTATATAATTACGATTTCTCTTTACTTTTTCATCAAGCCTCACCAATCAGAGCTCTGGTCTCTGGAATTAAGCATCATCAAGCTCTCCTATTAATAAATTTAATTTAGATCTCCTAATTTCTTGCGTATGTTCTTTCAGATAGACCATTAAATGTGGAAGTCGTTTTGTTTTTAAAGGGAAGTCTTGGAGGATTTTCAGTAAATCTCTCCTGAGTCTGGCTGCCGTTGACAGTAGGGCTATGAGTAGATTGATGAGAGCTCATGCTGCCTCCGGAGCGCGGCCTGCGGAGCTGTCCAGACTCCGGGTGCTGAAGTGTAGGGTAACAGATGCTACAAACGTTGAAAATTGCCACCGGTTTAATTTTTCACCAGAGCCTCTAAATTTGAAGATTTGGCAGTAGTGCTATTAACGTGGCGATTCATCGCCTAAATCACCCCCACCGTTCAGATACATCCTTTCCCTCTTGTAGCGTCCATAAATGCCCTAATGCTGAGAATGCTCCCCATCCCTGCCTGGATTTGAGGAAAAAGCATTCTGTCCCCCGTTAGTCCTGGCTTTTGGATTTCTAGACCGGCTGTTTGGCTACTTTCACACCTTCTGTGGCTCTTACAGATTTTAAAAATTGATGTTGTGAAATTGTGTTTTCCACAAGAAGTGAAATTTTAAGAATTTGGGGGCGAGAAATATGTTTTTCCACTTTGTTTACAACTTCAGCTCTGTTTGGGAGACACAGACAGACTGGGAAAGCATGAGGGTTCCCAGTACAAGTTCACCTGATGAAGGTTTCTAACAGGAATCCCTCTGCTGGAAACAGTTAATTTTTTTAACTGAAAATGATGTGGGAAGAGGAAAGCAATAAGGGAAGACCATATCCACCCAGAGGCTTCCAATTTCCTGGGTAATTGAAGAAGGTTCATATATTTCTACTCCAGTAAGAGAACTCAGGTCTATTTCTTTAAAAAAAAAAAAAAGAAGAAGAAGAAAGAAAGAAAGAAAATAGAGCCATCAATAACCATTAGAGTGCATTTTAATTATTTGGATCTTACACAAAAATTAGGGGAAATTCCAGTTTAGTGGGAGGGTTTCCTGTTACTACGATTTGGATCTCACATTTAAATAAGCTATATTAGTTCTGCATGCTTTTTCCAAGATATTATATTTCTCCTTCTAAATGCTGTTCCTGCTCTTATTTGAGATTTAATACTTCCTCCTTCTTAAAAAAAAAAACTAAGTTTTGTTTATTCCTGGCCATGAATGACCGAAAACTGTCTGCTTCCTCTTAGTTTATTCCTGGCCGTGCTTCAGATTGTCTGCCTTCAATAAAGCTTCAAACCACATCTACATGGGAATATGTCTCTTTTTCTCTGATACATATGCTCACTGATTTATGTTGGACTGTTTACATGCGTGTTTTCCATGTTCAGCTCTGCCTCTGCAGCAAGCTCGCACACAAAGAGCCTGCGGTGAACACTACCAGATAATCAAGCAGAGATGTCTTTCTTACTAAAGCGCCCAAAGCTATTCCCCACTGTGGCTTTCCTGTCTTCCGCCTTGCTTCACGTCAAAGGTGAACCCCATTAAAATCCTTACTCTTTCCTCCCACACGAATTCTGAGTTGAGTTCAATCTGGAGAAATATTTGAAAATTTCCAAGACTCCTTGTACAATTCACTACTCAACTTTAGTAAAGGGAGCCACCATGTGGGGAGTTTGCTGACTTCACGGCCCATTAAAGGGGGAAAACCACAAACACGATTAACTATCTGGGGAGGACGACTAACTGCTGGCTCCAAGGGCCAACAGAGGCTGAACTGTGCCTCTGACTTACCAAGGCTGCGACCCCGTGCTCTTCTCAGCTTAGATACTCTCAGCTCAGAACTCGGGGCTCAGCACCCAAAAATTACAGGCCTTCAGACCTGAACCCATTCACGAGAGTGAAAGACTAAACAGAGAACTTGAGATTCTTGGTCACTGAACTCCAGAAAATCAAGCTTCCTAGACCCACCAATTGCTCAACACAATCTAAAGACCCACACAGCCCTGCCCACAGCAGCCTGGGGGAATCAAACTCCTACAGGATCACCCACAGATCTTTTGTTGCTCATGGCCATTGTCTAGCTGGGCATGTTTGACATCTCTCTGCAGGAGAGCTTTCCTATTCATGAAAATCTGGCCTTGGCCCTGGGCCAAGGGAAAAGGCCAATAGATAGGAGGAACTAGAAGCTGCTAGATGAGAGTATAGGCCCCTTCTGCTTTCTATTGGGTAGAGGGAATATGGGATGACTGAAGTCTCAAAGACCAAAACTACCCCCAAATGCCCCTTTGATTCTAATCTTGGAAGGCTCCAGTCAAGCATTAACAGAGCATCCTGGAGGCCTTTGTGTCTGGGACTTTGAGGGAGCTGCAAGGAAGAGGGAACTTGTCAGCCCAAAGCCCCAGGCTAGAGAGACCAGGAGCCCCGGCATGCACTGAGGAGGCATGCGGCAGTGGCCAGGTGGGATACCGTGGCCCAGTCCAACAGACATACTAATTGCAAGTGCAGACCCCAGCCTGGCTTCAAGTGCAGATAGGAGCTGGAGGGTGAATCCTAGGAAGCCTCAACTAAAGCACTTTTATGAGAAGAGAGAGAGATAAAGGGAGGAGGAGCTAGAGGAGAATTGGGGAAGAGCAAGACCAGGGTAGGAGAGCCTTCCACTTTAATTGTTCTTACCCAGTTTCCCTCACAAAGGGTATTTAGGTGACTGGGGTTAAGAGCTCAAGAGAAACTTTCCAACCTCCTATATATAATTGAAAATGATGAAAGAGGGGGTTGGGGGAGAGGAGGAAGAAGAGACCAAAGAGTTAGAACGTTCTATTTACAGATAACACAAAGGAATTTCAAGTCTTCTTTCCAACACCCCTACTCCCTTCCCTCAGTGCTCACCAGAATACTTCCCAGGCCAGAAAAGTAGATTTCCCAGGCTGGCAGTTTCTTTCCAGGCTGTGAGATTGTTACATTAACTGGAATCATGTTTGGCTAGAAAAGTTAGAAGAACAATGGAAATCTTTCAGTGGGAGGTCTAACCAGCATCCTCCCTGAGGCACAGCAACTGAAAGTGACTTGAGCTAAGCCCTGACCTGCCCGGAAGACGCTGTTTATATATATTTGTTGGAAATGATTTAATAATACTCTGAACTTCAAGTCCCTAATGTATCAACTTTTATCCTGTTGGTCCTTCAGATGTGAAAACAAGTTTGGGTAAGAAATGATAAATAATAGCTAAAAGTCAAACTAACCCTTCCCCGAATTGTTTTTCCTGGTGGCTAACACATCCGCCTTTGTTGAAGGGTCAATCCTTGAACCTTGAATTAACATTCAATTTAAAGAACTCTAGCCTTTGAGGAAGTGGGTTTTTGTATTCAAACAGGAGGAATATGTCTAGTATATATACTGGGAGTTTGAATTGCAGATGGCTTCACAACATTAGCAAATACTATAGTGTTTGTACTGTTGTGTCTGTGCCAGGTTCCTGCCTTTGGACCATCACCACTTGGGAAATTGGCTTTCCCTCTCTTGCATGGGAATCTTCAGCATCTTTTAAACACTGCTCCCCTCCATCCCCATATTGCAAATCAGTGGTGAGCTAAAAGTATTTTTGCCTTTAAGCAGCCCAGTGAAGTGCGGCTTCTGGTCACTTAGATAAGATTTCCACTACTTTCTTTTTGGCTCAGTCACCCATAGTACCCAGGGTTTCTCCATGACATTCTCTTTCCTTAGGTACATATCTCTACACCATTACCTTTTACTACCACTATCTCTATATCCTACAACATTTGATTTTCTTAACCATATAAAAGGACATGTTTGTTCAAGGCATCCTCACACATTCCTAGTATAAATAATCTAAATCAAGATTGGAAAAGTTGTGCATTCTTTTTTTTTTTTTTTTTTGAGATGAAGTCTCGCTCTGTCCCCCAGGCTGGAGTGCAGTGGCACAATCTCGGCTCACTGCCACCTCCGCCTCCCAGGTTCAAGTGATTCTCCTGTCTCAGCCTCCCAAGCAGCTGGGACTACAGGCACCCACCACCACACCCTGCTAATTTTTGTATTTTTAGTACAGACAGAGTTTCACCGTGTTCGCCAGGCTGGTCTCGAACTCCTGACCTTGTGATCCACCTGCCTCAGCCTTTCAAAGTAATGGGATTACAGGCGTGAGCCACCGTGCCTGGCACATTCTATTCTTTTTTAGCCAGTACTTAGCATAAGAACCAGGCTATAATAAGCTTTTTCAGTAAACAAGCCTGATGCAAAACATCATCCTCTCCTGTGAGTGACAAAAGTGAATTATAACACTGTATTACATTTCACTTAAACTTTTCTCTACCGACTTTTCCAGAAAATGCAATGACTAATGACTCACTTCATACCGATTACACCTGTAGGGAAACCCAAATGTTCTGAACCAGAACATCATGACCATCACTTACTGGACTGCATGCATCATGCCTTTCAGAACTCACTGTGAAGTAAGAAGCTGATGAGCTTACCTATAATGTGTCATGACTTCTCTGACCTTCAAAATGTAGTGCTTCTCACACACTGAAAACAACTAGGAAAGGAAGCCTTCCAAACCACATGAGTAAAGCTTCTCTCTAATCTAAGAACAGAATTGCATATTCACAGAGCCAAGAAATTTTGCTTGTTGTTTTGAGATATAAAGCAGACATCTGAGAAACAAAAACCAGGATCTAACCTTTGCTACAGGTTTGGATGATTCCAAATATCTCACATATATGGCTCTACTAAGGCCTTATTCTCTGAACATGAGTTTACTGGGTACCAAAAATGTATATCCCAGACTTCACTGTGTAGCATCTTCCAAATTCCAGAGCACCTCCTCTAAAAAGCCAAGGAGAAGAAAGTCTTCTCTCTACTTAGTCTAAATCCTCTGCTGACATAAGGCTTAAATGCAGAAGGAAAAGCTTGGACAGGATCCAGGAAAACCAATATCCTAAATAAGCTTTTGAGACCACTTCAGAAAATGTTGGAAGGGGAATCTATATGCAAAATAAAACAAGGTTTTTGTGTGTAAAATCAAAAGAAGGTCTTCCTCTGTGAGCCCCTAGCATCCCTCTGCCCTTTGGGCTCAGGCTTGGCATTATCTACCTGTGAATATAGGTTTACATGTAATAATTTTGGAGCCTTTGTTTTTATTATCATTATTACTAGCACTGTATGGTAATCACGGCTTTGCAGTTTTTGTTTGTTTGTTTGTTTAGTTTTGTTTTTACTGAGTCTTCCTCGGTCACCCAGGCTGGAGTGCAGTAGTGCATTCATAGCTCACAGCAACCTCAAACTCTTGGGCTTAAGTGAGACTCCTGCCTCACCCTCTTGAATACCTGGGACTACAGGCACATGCCACCACCATGCCTGGCTAATTTTATTTATTATTATTGTTATTATTATTACTTTGCAGAGACAAGGTCTCCCTGTGTTGCCCAGGCTGGTCACAAACTCCTGGACTCAAGCCTCCCAAAGTGCAGGGGTTGCAAGGATGAGCCAGTGTGCCCAACCTGAAAATACTTTTTAAATAATCCTTTGTCTCTACCCAAATATACACAGGCATAAATTTTTAAAAACTATCATCTGCTTGGAATACTATTACATTTGTCATAAATGTACTGGTTGAAATTTTTAGTGATTATTTGTTTAAATTATTTTAAATCCTTCCTTCCAAAGGGACTGTATGGTTTTGTTATTCACCAGTGAATAACAGCAACAGCAACAACTGTTTAATGAACACTTCCTGGGCTAAGTGCTTGACTACTTATTTCCTTTCCCTCACAACAAACTTCTTTGTAGGCACTGTTATTACCTCCATTTTACAGACAAGAAATCGGGACTAAAAGAGCTCAGGTACCTTATCCAAAGTTACACAGCTGCTACATTGTAATGCTGAACTTCAGATTCAAGTCTCAATGACTCCAGACAGTCTTAATGACTATAATATGTTATACTGGCATATTTATTTTCTCTAGGAATTTTTTTTTTTTTTTTTTGAGATGGAGTCTCACTCCATCACCAGGCTGGGAGGCAGTGGTGCGATCTTGGCTCACTGCAACCTCCGCTTCCCGGGTTTAAGCAATTCTCCTGCCTCAGCCTCCCGAGTAGCTGGGACTACAGGCATGGGCCACAATGCCCAGCTATTTTTTGTATTTTTAGTAGAGATGGGGTTTCACCATGTTGGCCAGGATGGTCTCGATCTCGTGACCTCGTGATCCGCCCACCTCAGCCTCCCAAAGTGCTGAGATTACAGGCGTGAGCCACCCCGCCCGGCCACTAGGATTGTTATAAATACAGATTGCTAATTTAATATTAGCTTTAATCTGTTACTCAACTGAGAATAAAATCAGTTTCTTATTAATTTTTCAATTAAAAAGCATGTTTAATGTAATAGGGATCAAAGCTATTAACACAGTTGAAACTGGATAAGTTAGACTACAAACATATCACATACTCATGGGTTTTGCTTTATAGACTAAGTATGCTTCTAAAAATATGTGCATCAACAGTGTACCATGAATTCTTATTTACATATACCAGGTTGTTGAAAAAGTAAAAACTATTGCCACCCTAAGTCATTAATTAAAATGATTTTATTAACAAGCCTGCACATACCCCTGAATCTCTAAAAATTAAAAAAATTAAAAATTAAAAAAAAGAACGCAGGAGAAGTTTGTTATGTGCTTAAAAGAAACTCCTTGGCCGGGCGCGGTGGCTCACGCCAGTAATCCCAGCACTTTGGGAGGCCGAGGCGGGTGGATCACGAGGTCAGGAGATCGAGACCATCCTGGCTAACACGGTGACACCCCGTCTCTACTAAAAAATACAAAAAATTAGCCGGGCGTGGTGGCGGGCGCCTGTAGTCCCAGCTACTCGGGAGGCTGAGGCAGGAGAATGGCGTGAACCCGGGGGGCGGAGCTTGCAGTGAGCCGAGATCGCGCCACTGCACTCCAGCCTGGGCGACAGAGTGAGACTCTGTCTCACAAAAAAAAAAAAAAAAGAGAAAGAAAGAAAAGAAACTCCTTGAGCTCAGGAGTTTGAGACCAGCCTTGTCGGTATAAATTTTTTTTTAATGTAAAAAAATTATAACAAAAACTGCATGTCTTCTAGGTTCGTCATTTAACATCCATTATATCATCATCATATCTTATTAAATCATCATGTAATTCAATACCACAGAAACTGTACGATTAGTGAGTCAAGACCTTTGTGAGTCAAATGAGATGATGTGTATAAAAATGTTTTACAAACAAAACATCCTAGATCAGTAGAAGGAAAGGGAAATTAACATTTATTAAGCTCCTTCTTTGATGGCAATGATACACTCTGTATTAGCAAACATTGTCTCATTTAATCCTCTTATTGCCCTGTGAGATAGGTATGGTATTATTATCACTATTTTCATTGACAGCTAAACTGGGTTTCTTAAAGATTAATTAGCTTGCCCAGAGCACACAGCTAACAACTGACAAAACCAGCTTTCAAAGCTAAGACTAGCTATTTCCAAAGTTAGCATACTTCTTCTCCCTAGTTGTCCTCCCTGGAACTGCTGTACAGTTACAATCATCAGGAAGGGGAGAGGAAGCATAGCTTTCCCAAAATGCGCTTGATTCTTTAACTAAATGCCAGTTTTAAGGCAGGCATTTAAGAAAAACCATTTTTGTTCTTATTTCACATCTTAAAATAGATGAAGAGGTTATGTGTAAGTATCATTTCCAAGAACATTTCAAAAGAGAAGTAATGAATAAAGTTGCACTCACAGGTATTTAAAAATGTGATAAAGCTGCAGCAATTAAAACAATGTGATTCTGATGAAATAACAGAACAATAAATAAATCTAAAGTAGTTAAATATAAAAAAAACTACTAGTATATAATCCCCAATGAAAAGAGTAGAATACTGAGACAACTGTTCATTTGAAAAAAGAGAGAACTTAGATGTCTACTTCATATTCTTCAACCTCAAATATATTCAAATTGATTAAAGACTTAAATGTAAAAACCACAAAAGTACAAGAAAAAATATATGTAATTTTATAATTGTAAAGGAAATTTTAAGACTGCCAGTTAAAAAGAAACCATCAAAGGAGATAATGATAAATTGACTAAAATGTTTTTCATGTCTTTATATTAAAAGAAAATTCACAAACTTAAATGACAAATGAAATTTTGAGAGAAATTGTATCATTTATGAAAAATCAAGAAATCAAATTACTGAAATAGAACACAAATCCATAAAGAAAAGACAATCACACCTAAATGCCAAATGGGTCAAGGACATAAACAGGCAATTCAAAAAATTAGAAACATGAATGACCAACAAATTTGCAAAAAATCTTCAGGAGAATTTTTTCTTTTTTCAAATGGATGGTCAGTTCTCCCAGTACCCTACTCTTTCCATTGGAAATTGCATAATAGCATTTTTATTTCTTTATATTTATGTACTTAATATTTATTCCTTTTATCTATCTGATGCAGCAACAATGGACATGCAAGTACAAATCACAATCTATCAAATTGAAACAATGTCTTATATTCTACTGTGTTGTACTGTCACACAAGCTAGGAAGCACATGTCCTCAAGCACTGCTGGCAGGAGTGTATATTGATCCAACTTTCCCAGAGAGCAGTCTGTCAATTATGCATACATTTAACCCACTGACTTTACTTCTATGAAGGAAAGGAAATACTGAAGAAAAAAGTTAGCATGAATCTGTTCAAAGATGAACTACAACTCTATGCATAGCACCACTGATGATAATAAAGAATATTTGAAAATGATCATAAAATGTCCTATACGAGCATTGATTAAACTTATTAAATTATTTGTACATTCCTACAATGGAAGATAATTTCTATTGTAGAATGATGAAATGACATGATGCTATAGAAAAATATTTAACGACAAAAGAAAATACTTACAATGTGTTACTGAAAAGAGAGAGAGCAGATAATAAACCCACATGTACAATACAATATCAATTTTTAAAAAACAAAACATTTCTACTGTTTTTTCTTTATATTTTTATTTCTTTATATTTATGTACTTAACATTTATTCCTTTGATCTATTTGATGCAGCACCAATGGGCATACGAGTACAAATCATAATCTATCTTCCTTCTGGAAGGGTCTATACCAAAACATTAACAATGTGCATCACTAGTTTTGGAATTATGAGGGGGAATATGGATTGTTTTTATTTTCTTATGTTTATCTATTTTTTCGTAAAACTTTTTAAGTGTATATTTTTATAAAAGAAAAAAGTATGGGAATTATTTTTAATAAAATGCATGACTTCTCTTTATTATGTTTTTAATAAAGATATACTTCCTCTTTGTCAAAGTTTCTTTTGTCTTATACAGAGCTAAGCACCTATGGATTCTTCTCATCATGCTGATTTTTGACCTCCACTTGGAAGGAAAGCTAACAGCAAACCAGGACAGATAAAAGAAGAAGAGAACCAAGCCAACATATTAAAGAAGCAAGCTGAGCAAAGCAAGTGCGAGAAGGAACAGCAGAAGGGAGAGGCGAGCAACCCGGCTATCAGCAGTGGCCATTTCCAGTGTAGATAATGAATCATCTCATGTGTAATATTTGCTGATAAGATTAATTGAATGTGTTAAATCAAATTTGTGTCGAATGAGGTTAAGCAGTATCTTAGAAGCACAGTTCACCCACATTATTCAGAGGTAGAACATCTAGCTTGTGGTTTAGTCAGTGTTTGGCTCCTTTATAATCCAATTATCTTGTTATGTTTTGTGGGACCAAGGAGGTCCAGATACCTGGTGACTGTCTCCTGACTCCCCACACACATAGCCCATAAAGTACATCTTCCCCATGTCAGGTTTCAGGGCTACTTGTTACTAGGGCTGAACAACATTTAGAAGCATGCTTGGTCAGGGGCCATGTTGAGGCCATTAGTCAGAAGTTCCAAAACGTGGTGGATATAGGTTGATGTCTTATGCCCCAATACCTCAGAATGTGGTCTTATTTAGAAATAAAACCTTTGCAGATGTAGTTCAGATGAAATCATTAGGATGGACCCTGACCCGGTATAACTGGTGTCCTTACAAAAAGGGGAAATTTGGGCTGGGTGCAGTGGTTCATGCCTGTAATCCCAGCACTTTGGGACACCAAGGCAGGTGGATTGCTTGAGCCCAGGAATTCCTGACCAGCCTGGACAACATAGCAAGACCCCAACCCCACAAAAAAATACAAAAATTAGCCAGGGATGGTGGCATGTACCTATAGTCCCAGCTACTCAGGAGGCTGAAGTGGGAGGCTCAATTGAGCCCAGGAGGTGGAGGATGTAGTAAGTGGAGATTTCACCACTGCACTCCAGCCTGGGTGACAGACCTCATCTCAAAAAAAATTAAAAATTAAAAAAGATAAAAAGGGAAAATTTGGACACAGACACAGACAGGTACAAGAGTAAATTATGTGAAGACTGGAGTTGTGCTGCCACAGGGCAAGGAATGTCTGGGCTACCAGAAACTGGAAGAGGCAAGGAAAGATCCTTTGACTACAAGTTTCAGAAAGAGCATGGCCCTGCCAACACCTTGATCTTGGACTTCTAACCTCCAGAACTAAGAGACAGTAAATGTCTGTTGTTCTGAGCCACCCAGATTGTGGTTCTTTGCTAGGGCAGCCCTAGGAAACAAGTATGGATGATAGAGTCTCTCCCTCTCCAAAAGAAGGGCATCCCAAGTGATGCTGGGAAATACTCAAGATACTCAAATACTACTGTGCCCAACTAGCCTGGCTGCTGTAAAGCTCATCAAAGCACGAGAAGTCTCCTGCCTGCATGCATAGGCAGAACCTCTGTCTGTTTTATATATACATACATATACTCCCACCCTCAACTTCCATTTTCCTTTTTTTTTTTTTTTTTTTTTTTTTGAGATGGAGTTTCGCTTTAGTTGCCCATGCTGGAGTGCAATGGTGCGATCTGGGCTCACTGCAACCTCCAACCCCTGGGTTCAAGCGAGTCTCCTGCCTCAGCTTTCCAAGTATCTGGGATTACAAGCATGCACCACCACACCCAGCTAATTTTGTATTTTTAGTAAAGACGGGGTTTTGCCATGTTGGTCAGGATGGTCTCGTACTCCTGACCTCAGGTGATCCACCCTCCTCAGCCTCCCAAAGTGCTGGGATTACAGGCGTGAGACACCGTGCCCGGCCTTCCATTATTTTTTATTAAACAGAGAAAAAGAGTTGGTCATCCTCACAGGATTACTGCACAGAACTAATACCTTAAAACATATTGGGAAGCACTTTGGGAAGGAAGGGAATACATAAATACAACAGAACTAAGTAAGATTACAACCATATTAAACACGCTGAACAGAAGTAGCTACAGGGCATAATACATTAGGCCAATTGTTAACTCTAATACTGTTTAAATGGTCAGCAATTTCACGATGTTTCTCTAGTGCGTGTTAAAACAACAAACCACTGCACCAGCTCATATGTGCAGGCTGAGTGAGCTGCATGGAGCTGTCTGCATGGTTTACGTACTCTTGGGCAACAGTGTGTGATGGTCATTCCCTAGAGAGTCACAGGACAGACACCTAATAAATAAGGCTGTCCCCGGAAGGCAAGTGTTTTGCAAAATAAATAAAATCTCTCTAGGAAAACAGCATGACTCAGAGGAATAGGCAGAGAACAAAAGAAGGAGACCACAGTATCTTTAAGATGAAGCATCTTGAAGGTGTCTCAACACTCATAGATTCTAGATTCAGTGAAAGACACCACTCTAGGTCAGCCTCATGTCAGCCTCATTCTGAAGGCAGGACCATTCATCTTTCCTCTCCAAATACCCCCTCTCTAGGGATAAACACATATTGTAGAGCTGGAAATAATTTTACCTGTCCTCTTTTAACGCAGCCTAAATGCTAGGCAAACTTTTACATTTAGAACAAGCCCCCCAAAAATGTGAAACAAATGTCCTGTCTCTTGAGCCCAGAATTATGTAAAAAATCTAAACACAGTAATATCATGTGTAGGCTGCACATAGAGCAACTGGAAGGTTAAGGTCAGCAGTTTAGCACTATATGTACAACTGTAGACAGTAGACCTCTACTACATCTTCTAAAGCCAAGTCAAAATACAAATATCAGCAAGCTTTTGTCAGTTAACAACATCAAGTGCTGAAGGGGCTAGAGAAGCCGCATAAGACTTGAAAACCGCCTGCCATCAAGAAGTTTGCAATCAAAATAACTGAAATCAACATGCACTTTCGTAAGTTGTCTATTGAGTTCCTTAAGTCAGGTCCTCTCCACTTATCCGCTACTGCCCTCACTCAGAAAATATTTGCAGATGCACACAGCTGCCAGAAATATTTTGTTTAGAAACTTCTAGCAAGTATCCCAATTAGAGAAGGCTGACTCAGTAGGTAAGACATTGCCACTCACAAGGGTAAGTGCTGTGTTGTTACCTAAGGCAGTAGGTATGAATGGAAGCTTCGACAGCTTTGCAAATTGTTTTTAAAAATCACTTGCAAAGACTACTTGGCCTGCAAACTGTGCACTTTCCTAATACAGATTTTACCTAGGCTATTATCTTTCAGTTCCACAGTAAAAATAACAGAACAGGCTGGGCGCAGTGGCTCATGCCTGTAATCTGAGCACTTTGAGAGGCCAAGGAGGTTGCTTGAGCCCAAGAGTTCGAGACCAGCCTGGGCAACATGGGGAAACCCTGTCTCTACAAAAAATACAAAAATTAGTGGGCACGGTAACACATGCCTGCGGTTCCAGGTACTAGGGATGTTGAGGTGGTAGGATTGCTTGAGCCCAGAAGGTTGAGGCTACAGTAAGCAGTGATCACGCCACTGCCCTCCATCCTGGGTGACTGAATGAGACCCTGTCTCCAAAAAAAGAAAAAATAACATATATCTTTGTGTTACAAATAGCATACCACACACACACACACACATCCTCATTTACTTTACTCTCATGGCACATAGCAGATTCCACCCAACAATTAAATTAGAATACATAGAAGAGGCAGAAATTAAATGTCATTCTACTTACAACGTCATTTCTCTTAGTTTCCCCCAAAGTCTTATAGGACATGAACACATATACTAAAGAAGATTTTATGACTGCTATCTCCTTGCTTTTACTGTTTTTTTTTTAAGCCACACCATTCTGAAATTAAAAGCATGCAGTTAGCCAGATACAGAAAAATCTACAATGCTTTAAAAGTTGCTAAAATCATGCCTGTCTTTAACCTACGATGATAAAGGTATAGTGGTTTCCTTTAAAGGAAAGATATTGACAAGGTAGGGACAGGAAGGAGCCTTCCAGAATGGTGCTACACCTTAATCTGGATGATGGTTAGATATATCTAAACATAAGTAAAAGATTATCAGTATGCAGACTTGAGATTTGTGCACTTCAAGTTATACCACAATAAAAATTTTTATTTCTGCCTGTTAAGTGTATTCCTGCTCAAAATTAGGCAAATCAATACCACATCAAGTTATAGTAGTAATAACCTATAGATTAATAAGTTAATAAGAATTAATAAAATTATTGTATTTTACAAGTCATGAGATCAGCCAGGCATGGTGGCTGATGCCTATAATCACAGTGCTTTGGGAGGCCAAGGCAGGGGGATCACTTGAGGCCAGGAGTTGGCGATCAGCCTGGGCAACATAGTGAGACCTTGTCTCTATAAAATAATTGTTTTTTATATTAGTGGGGGTTGGTGGTGCACGCCTGTAGCTCCAGCTGCTCAGGAGATTGAGGTGGGAGGATTGCTTGAGCCCAGGAGAGCGAGGGTGCAGTGAGCCAATGATAGCACCACTGCACTCCGGCCTGGGCCACAGAGCAAGAATCCGTCTCAAAAAAAAAAAAAAAAAGTTATGAAATCCCGTGAAGCCTGTATACAATGGTTAAATATACACCACGTGGCCATGACATAGATTAGCCATAAAACCAAGCCTAGATATTTGTTGGCAATAGTTGAATCTGAAGCATCAACACAGTGGAAAAGGTTTGTTTCCTAAAACTTAATTCCCTTCTATTGCAAAAGCACAATGAGCACAGGAAGAGCAAGACCAACCCCTGTTGAACACCAGACTCACCTCACCTTTAAAGCCACCTGTAAGTGGTTCCTGGAACCTGAGGCCCCAGGGGCAGTTACACTGCTGCTGATAAAAATGAATCGCAGTTTCTGAGCCCCAGTCAGGGCCTGAACACTGAATTCAGCCGCAGAACACATTAAGAGAAACATCCATCCTGGGGGCCAAAAAGAGGGCTCAGTGTGGAAGATAATACCATTCTGATTTCTTGCCTTCAGCTTGTATGCAAATCACAGGGAAAGGATAAATAACTGACAGATTTGGTCCAGGCTCCCAGGACCCAACTCTCTCCATTCCCACCACTGTAAAGCTGGAAAGAATTTCCTTGAAGTTGGTTCACTGCTATGAAAAATTCAGGGACTTTTCACAGCAGAGCCAATCCTCAAATGCTAGCTGGGCAACCTTCATTTACCATTTTTTTTTCCTTTTTCTTTTTCTTTTTTTTTTTTTTTTTTTTGTTCTCGTTGTTGTTAATTTGTAAAGATGGGTTCTCACCATGTTACTCAGGCTGGTCTTGAACCCCTGAGCTCAAGTGATCCTCTCTCACCTTGGCCTCCCAAAGTACTGGGATTGCAGGTGTGAGCCACCATGCCCACCATCACTTACCATTTAAATAAAATCTGAAAAACATTGAAAAGTTATTAATTAAATCGTTTATACTTTTTTCACTAACTTTTCAAATTCAATATGCACTTTACTTATGGCACATCTCAATGTGAAATGGCCATATTTCAAGCACTCGACAGCCATGTGCGGCTAGTGGCTACCATGTTGAACAGAACAGATCTAGTCCTTACCTAGTCCTCAACCACTCCATTCTACTAACTAGGCATCTGCAATATATTAGCATTTCATAAACCCAGCATTTCATTCTATATGTCTGTGCTTTTTCAAAGGATGTTTCCCGTATCAGAATGCTCTCCTCCTCCCTCAAGTGTCTTCTCTTCTATGAAAACTTCCCTACAAACTGATTCTCCCTAAATTTGGTAAAGTTGATTATTCCTCCAGAGTGTACTATCTCTGGGATCACCACAAACTTAGCTCTATTAAAGCACTTATCACACTGGATTGCAACACTCATTTTCCTCTCTGATTCCCCTTAAATAAAAATTTGGGCTTACTGAAGCCAATGTTTGTATTTTATTCATGTATATATCCTCAACATTAATAAACCATTCTGCCTGAATGAAGAGCAACACTGCAGATTTCAGATTCAAGTATTATTTACTGAGTACCTTAAAATGTCTTGGATACTGTGATTTCATGTATTTTATCTCCTCTAATCAATATTTATTAAGATTCATATAGCCTGTACAATGGAATACTACTCAGCCATAAAAAAGAATGAAATCATGTCTTTTGCAGCAACATGGACAGAACTGGAGGCCATTATCTTAAGTGAAATAGCTCAGAAACAGAAAGTCAAATACTACATGTTCTCACTCATAAGTGGGAGCTAAACAATGTGTACACATGGACATAAGAGTGTGGAATTATAGATGGTGGAGACTCAGAGTGGTGGGATGGTGGGATGGGGTGAGAAATGAAAAATTACTTAATGCGTACAACACACATTATTCAAGTGAAGGTTACACTGAAAGTCCAGACTTCACCACTATACAATATACCCATGCAACAAAACTGCACTTGTAACCCTTAAATTTATACAAAAAGGAAAAGATTCATAAAGCCAACCCTGGAAACAAGAGCTTACAAAGTATTGACTCTTACTTAAATTGTTTATTAAAATATGCATAAGCCAGATCAAGAGAAGAATACATTCAGCAACTATTTTTTGAATATTTATTTATAAATATTTTTGAACATTTTGTAAACCCAGATACATTTTTAGGTTTTGAAGACAGATCCACAAAGAAAACAGGCAAGGCCCATGCTCTCATGGAGCTTACATCCTAGAGATAGGGTAGCAGAAGGTAAAACACGCCAACAAATAAATTAACAAGAGAATTTCAGACACTAATAAGTTCATGACTCATATATCACTCTTTCCCCTCACCGTCTTACAGTAGACAGAAGTGATTAATCATGGCACTCTTTCCTCCTGAGCCCAGACTCAGAGTCATAAACCTTCTCAATACAGCATTCCAGCCATGTGAAATCCATCAAAGTTGTCATATCAATGAAGTTTATTTGCCATCCTAGGCCTAGACCCTTTTATAGAATTGTTCTTTTCAAGCACCATGAACTAGTTGTAGCAGATATAAGCCCAAATCATCTTCCAATACCCACAAGATGTCATAGCCTGTGTATGTATAGAAGTGCATTTTTATTTATTTATTTATTTTTTTTGGGGGGGATAGAGCCTCACTCTTTCATCCAGGCTGGAGTGCAGTGACACGATCTCGGCTCCCTGCAACCTACCGCCTCCCAGGTTCAAGCGAATTTGTGCCTCAGCCTCCCAAGTAGCTGGGTTTACAGACATGCACCACCATACCTAGCAAATTTTTGTATTTTTAGTAGGAGACATGGTTTCTCCATGTTGGCCAGGCCAGTCTCGAACTCCTGGCCTCAGTGATCTGCCTGCCTTGGCCTCCCAAAGTGCTGGGATTACAGGCATGAGCCACTGAGCTTGGACAGAAGTGCATTTTTCCAGAGCTCCCAAACAATAGGCTATTTTTTAAATAAATTGGCCCATGTAATCGTGGGAGCTGGCAGCTCCAAAATCCATAGTAAGGCAGGTTGGCAGGCTGAGATCTCTTGAGCAAGTTGACGCTGCAGTTTTCAGGCAGAATTGCTTCTCTGGAAAACTACAGTTGCTCCCCTGCCATCTGATTAAATGAGGCTCGCACACATTATCAAATGATTATAGATGTTAACTATATCAACAAAATATTTGCACAGCAATACATAGATTTTCAGATGAAATAACTGGGTACTATAGCCTATCCAAGTTGACACGTAAAATTAAGTCATTCATCCCTTGTTAACTTGGCATTCATACACATGTTAACCCATACTTAATCCCCAAATAAAGATAATTACAAAGTCATACTTTTCCTAACATGATACAGCTATCCAAAACATACAATTTAAAATGCACTAACCCTTCCTCAGAAGGGTTATAGCCTTAGGGTGATATTCACTCTTCTCCTTGATATGCTTTAACTTAACTATTATTAACACATCTTAATGTTGTACAGTAAGAGAATAAGGGAGGAAAGAAACACAGATATTTGCCATAGATAGAGATAGATAAACAGACAGATACACTCAAACACATTAATAACAAAATGAGGAACAAATACTGTTAACACTTATGGCACTCATTTCCACAATTGGTCATATGGTCATAGTTGGTATTTATAACTACCTTCTTCCACTACCCTTCCATATTCACTATACCCCAAACAACTGAGCTAATCATGGTTCTTTGCCTGGTGAGGTGGCTCAAGCCTTTATTCCTGAAGAGTCTGGGCCATTAGCAGACTGAGAGAATTGGGTTGTAGTTTGCCATTGACTTTAATCATGGGGCACAATAGTACTAAGAGATACCCCAAAGGATGTCCTATATTCCAGACATACTCTTCCTTACCTCCTTGTGTAGTAGCAGCCCAATTTCCCCTTCATAATCAAGATCAATTACTCCATCCAGTACAGTAGTGCCTTTCTTTGCCTGTTGTTTCAAATGCATGAGAAGTCCAAAGTAACCCAGAGGCAGTCCTAACATCTAGTTCAACGGAATCATTGTTTCATCTTCTGGTTGAAGAATTCTTCCCTTTGAAACTAAGACCTCTGGACCAGCAGAGTATAAGGTCATGGGAACAGAAAGAAAAAAATTTGCTAGAGGAACATTAGGGCTAATAGTGAGTGGTGCCACTCCCATTTTCACCCATTGATTCCTAGAGCCATGAATTCTGGCTATAGGAGAAATAGTACTATATATTGGATGCTGATTTAAGGTATATATTCTGGAGAACATTACTCCAGTCGTGCGAGGTAATGCCACCTAGATAATGCTGTAATTGAGTCTTCAAAGGGCCATTCCACCATTTTATCAAACTAGCTCTTTCAGGATGCTGGGAACCATGGTAAGACCAGTAGTTCTACAGGCATGGGCCCATTGCCACACTTTATTTACTGTGAGGTTAATTCCTTGACCAGAAGCAAACCATGTGGAATACCAAGATGGTGGATAAGGCATTCTGTAAGTCCACAGGATGATAGTTTTGGAAGGTGCATTGTGTGCAGGAAAGGTAAATCCATAACCAGAGTCAATATCTACTCCAGTAATAACAAACGCTGCCCTTTTTATGATGTAAGTAGTCCAACAGGCCACCAGGTTCACCCCAGAAAAAGGTGCCATATCAGAAATTCAATGTTTGTCTCTACCACCAACAGACTGGCCACTCAGCAGGGGCTATAACCAGGTCAGCCATGGTGCGTGGAATTCAAAGTTTCCATGCCCATGCATAGACTCCATCTCTGCTACATGGATGCTTTGTTCATAAGCCCATTGGTCAATGACAGGGGTGGCTAGGGAGTCTGCCTGGTGTCCTCAGAATGGGTCAGCCCCTCTACTTGATTATTAAAATCCTCCTCAACTGAGGTGACACTTTGATGAGCATTCACACGTAGCACAAATATCTTCATGGATTCTGCCCATTTAGAGATGTCTATTCCACATACCTCTCCTCTTCATCACCAATTTTTCAATCATGTTTCTTTCAAGTTATTGACCACCAAGTCAAATTGTTGACCACAGCTCATGAATCAGTATACGCTTTTACCACTGGCCATTTCTTTCTCCAAGCAAAAACAACAACCAGGTGTATTGCTCAAAGCTCAAAGTTCTGCCCACTGGGAGGATTTCCCTTCACCACTGTCCTTTAAAGATGTCTTAGAAAGGGGCTATAGTGCTGCAGCTGTCCCCACTTTCAGGTGGTGCCTGCATATCAAACAAAGCCATCTGAAACCCGGACCCAAGTTTACACTTCCTCAGTCAACTGATCATAGAGAATGCCACATGAGGCCACGGGTGCAGGCTGGGAGAGAAAAGGCAATGTAGCACGAGTAGGAGCCATGGGCATTTGGGCCACTTCTTCATGTAATTTACTTGTGCCTTCAGATCCTGCTCAAGCCTGATCTCATGTATCCCACTTTCATTTGATGTTGGATGGAATGCCGCTGTACATGCCCAGCCTTATGGCTTTGAGGGCCAGACAACACCCAGTTCGTAACAGACAGTGGCCCATGGTTAAACTTTTAGTTTCTACTAAGCCTAGTAACACGCCAAGTGCTGTTTCTCAAAAGGAGAGTAGTCCTACGCAGAGAGTGGCAGGGCTTTGCTACAAAAAGGGCTTGTGGTGTGATTCACCTACAGGGGCCTGCCAGAGGCTCCAAATCGCACCTCCATCTGCCACTGATACCTCAAGCACCACTGGATCTGCTGGATCGTGATGCAAGTGGCAGAGCAGCTTGCACAGCAGCCTGGACCTACCAGAATCCTTCTCTCATTCTGGGCCCCACAGAAAACTAGAAGCTCTTCAGTCCCATAGAAAACTAGAAGCTCTTCAGCAGCCACTCAGCAAATGGGCTAGAGTAGCACATCCAAAAGAAGAATATGCTGTCTTCAAAATCCAAAGAGCCCCACTTGGTGTTGTGCCTCATTTTGGGTTGTAGGAGAGGACAGATACAACAACTTCTCTTTCACCTTAGAAGGGATATCTAGAAATTTCAGTGAAGTAGAAGACCCTTGAATTCTTGTCAAATTTATTTCCCACCTTCTGACATGCAAATGTTTTACCAATAAGTCTGAGTAGCTTCTACTTCTTGCCCATTTGATCCAATTAGACTGCTGTCATCAATTTTGTGGACCGATGTGATATCTTGTAGAAGGGAAAGATGATTAGTTCCCTGCAGACTAAACTGTGGCATAGGGCTGAAGAATTGATATACCTCTGAGATAGGGCAGTGAAGGTGTATTGCTGGCCAACTGAAACAAACTATTTCTGGTAGTCTTTACTAACAGGTGTGGAGAAAAATGCATTTGTCAGATCAGTACCTGCATACCACGTAGCAGGAGATGTGGTAATTTGCTCAAGTAATTAAACCATATCCAGAACAGCAGCTGCAGTTGGAGTCATCACCTGGCTAAGTTTAGGATAATCCACTACCATTCTTCAAGATTCATCTGTCTTCTGCACAGGACAAATAGGCTAGTTTAATGAAGAATGTGGTAGAAATCACCACCTCTTTATCTTTCAAGTCCTGAATGCTGGCAGTAATCCCTGCAATCCCTCCAGGGAAGTAGTATAGCTTGTAGTTTACTATTTTTCAGGTAGGGGCAATTGTAGTTACTTCCTCTTGACCTTTCCCATCATAGCAGCCCTCACTCACAGGTCAGAGAACCAATATGGAGTTTCTGCCAGCTACTGAGTATGTCTATTCCAATTATGCAATCTGAACTAGGAAAGTAACCACAGGATGGGTTTGGGGTCCTACCGAACCCACTATGAGATGGACCAGAACTAAAACTCTATGGGTCATCTGACCTCCATAAGCCACTACTCTAACTGGTGAACCACAGAGATAATTTGGGTCTCCTAGAATTAGTTTCAGTTCAGAGTCAATGTCCAGTAGTCCCCAAAAGGTCTGATTATTTATTTTTCTTCAATGTACAATTACCCTTGTAAAAGGCATACATCTCTTTTGGGAAGACTGAGAGAAAGAGTAACTGTATAAATATTTCTCATGTAGTGGGGGTATTCCTCGAGGGGACCTGGCCTCTCCTTCATTCAAGAAAGAGGTTCTACTCTATAAACTGGCTCAAATCTGGGAACTGATTGAGAGACTGTGACTCTCTGCTTCAGAGAGTCAAATTAAACTTCTGTTCTCCTGACCTAGAACCCTTGCACTTATACAGATCAAGTAGCAATTTAGTAGACCGCTCATGGGTTTTTTTTTGTTGTTTGTTTGTTTGTTTGTTGAGATGGAGTTTCACTCTTGTTGCCCAGACTGGAGTGCAGTGGCGCGATCTCGGCTCACTGCAACCTCTGCTTTCCGGGTTCAAGCGATTCTCCTGCCTCAGCCTCCTGAGTAGCTGGGATTACAGGCGCCCACCAAAATGCCCAGCTAATTCTTCCATGCCTGTGGAACATGGAAGGACTAGTCTGGCTGAGTCTTCAGCCTCCATTTTTCTCCTGTGCTGGATGCTTCCTGCCCTCGAATATTTTTGTATTTTCAGTAGAGACGGGGTTTCACCATGTTGGCCAGGCTGGTCTCAGACTCCTGACCTCAGGTGATCCACCCGCCTCAGCCTCGCAAAGTGCTGGAATTATAGGCATGAGCCACCATGCCCGGCCTCTTTTTTTTGGGGCGGGGGGGCAGGTAGGGGGACAGCATGTTCAACTAGCCAATGCCGTGGGTCTCCATGAATCAGACTATTCTGATTCCTGCTTGAAATCCACTGTCCCTTACAGCAACAAAACCCACCTGGTCTTTGGCATTAATTGCCACCACTTGGTCCCAGCTATTCCAAAGTCCATTGCATTTAAGGATCCCAGTTCAGTGGTAGTAATCTCCACTGCAATTTCTGACCTACATGGAAGAGAGACACAGTCACGCCCTGCTTAATGACAGGAATACGTTCTGAGAAATGTATTGTTAGGTGATTGGGTCACCTAGCAGAATACTTCAGTGCTGTTAGGGTTCCCCTCACAAATTTGTTTCTCACAATTACAGTGAAAGGTGTGTCCTCGGAATCCCTCCCCACAAGGAGGGCAAACATGCCCTACATGATAAATCCACTCTAATATCCTGTGATGGTTAATATTGAGTGTCAACTTGATCGGATTGAAGGATGCAAAGTATTGTTCCTGGGTGTGTCTGTGAGGGTGTTACCAAAGGAGATTAACATTTGAGTCAGGTGACTAGGAGAAGCAGAGTCACTCTCAATCTGGGTAGGTACCATCTAATCAGCTGCTGGGATAAAAGCAGGCAGAGGAACATGAAAGGACTAGACTGGGTGAGTCCTCCAGTCTCCATCTTTCTTCTGTGCTGGATGCTTCCTGCCCTCAAACATCAGACTCCAAGTTCTTCAGCTTTTGGACTCTTGGGTTTACACCAGTGGTTTGCCAGGGTATCTCGGGCCTTCGGCCACAGACTGAAGGCTGCACTGTTGGCTTCCCTACTTTTGAGCTTTTGGGACTCAAACTGGTTTCCTTCTCCTCAGCTTGCAGATGGCCTATTGTGGGACTTAACCTTATGATCTGTGAGTCAATATTCCTTAATAAACTCCCTTTCATATATACATCTACACTATTAGTCCTGTCCCTCTGGAGAACCCTAACTAGTATACATCCCAATCTCCTGAAGCCTTGGATGCCTTCCTCTACGGTGTACCAGTTCTGCCATTTCATCCTCACTTAGGGTAGGCTCACCTTTCAGTTCATGTTTCGGTCACCAACTCTTTGCAATCCATCATTGACCAAAATATCATTGTATGGAGTATCACACACACTCAAAAAGAGAGAGAGAGAAAGAAAGAGATTTGTCATAAGGAATTGGCTCATGCAATTATGGAAGCTGAGAAGTCCTACAATCTTCCATCTGCAAGTTAGAGCTCCAGAAGTTAGTGGTATAGTTTAATATGAGTTCAAACTGTTAGAGCTCTTTCTAACTCCTTGAGTTACAACACTGAATTCAGAATCTCTACCTAGTGGGCCCAGGGCAATAAATTCGACCTGATTCAACTTTCTGTTCCTTGCACAATTATCCTATACCTTCACTAATGCATTCGCCTGATTTCTGTCTGTATAAATTGCAAAAAACAATGCAGAAGAATCAGCAGTGTCTTGCAAGACAACAACCTCAAGGGAGGCCATTACAGTTTCTGCAGGCAAAGCAGGGCCAGCCTC
This sequence comes from Homo sapiens, assembly GCF_000001405.40. Classification (NCBI taxonomy): domain Eukaryota; kingdom Metazoa; phylum Chordata; class Mammalia; order Primates; family Hominidae; genus Homo; species Homo sapiens. Next base: position 881,095 of record NC_000018.10, on the reverse strand, counting down.
CTCTGACAGGGGTGGGAGGCTGCTTACATTGGTAAATGAAGCTCAGAAGAAGGCAGAAGTTCAGTGTCCCCAGCTTCATCGGAATCTCTCCATATGTTCCATTCCCATTTCCAGGATCCCATTTCTTCCCAATCAATGCAGTCACTTCAACAGAAGACAGTTGGCAAGGTTTGAAATTCAATTTGTGTTGTAGTTTAGCCACTTGCAGGATGATACTCTGAGCTTGGTTTTCAGAAATCTCAGGTCTGAGCCTACAGGACAAATGGGTTTCTTTCAGAACACAGAAACTTTCAGGTCATTTATGCAGAATTTGAGCTGGGAATTTAAAGCCCTGAGCTCATCCTTTTCTTTCTCCACTTTCTCCAGTGCAATTAAGAGCAAGCAGCCTGTATTAGCATTCTCCAGACAGAGCCAATAGGATATATATATACACAGTCATGCACCACTTAATGACAGGGATATGTTCTGAGAAATGCATTGTTATATGATTTTGTCATTGTGTGAACATCATAGAGTGTACTGACACAGACCTAGATAGTATAGCCTACTACACACCTAGGCTATATGGCATAGCCTATGGCTCCTAGGCTACAAACCCACATGGCATGTTAGTATACTGAATACTGTAGGCAACTGTAACATAATGGTAAAATTTGTATATATAAAAATATCTAAATATAGGCCAGGTGCAGTGGCTCACACCTATAATCCCAGCACTTTGGGAAGCCAAGGTGGGCAGATCATTTGAGGTCAGGAGTTTGAGAACAGCCTGGCCAACATGGTGAAACCCTGTCTCTACTAAAAATACAAAAATTAGCTGGGTGTGGTGGCACACACCTGTAATCCCAGCTACTTGGGAGGCTGAGGCACGAGAATCACTTGAACCCAAGAGGCAAAGGTTGCAGTGAGCTGAGATCATGCCACTGCATTCCAACCTGGGTGACAGAGTTAAACTCCATCTCAAAAAATAACAATAAATAAATAAATATCAAAAATCTAAATATAGAAAAAGCACAGTAAAAAAATGGTATTATAATCTCATAGGACCACAGTTGTATTTGCAGTCCATCATTGACCAAAACTTCATTGTTTGGAGTATCACACACACACACACACAAAAAGAGAGAGAGAGAGAGAAAGAGATTTGCCATAAGGAATTGGCTCATGAAATTATGGAAGCTGAGAAGTCCTATAATCTTCCGTCTGCAAGTTAGAGATCCAGAAGTTAGTGGTATAGTTTAATGTGAGTTCAAAGGCCTGAGATCCAGGGGAACTGATGCTGTAAATTCCAGTCCAAGTGCACAGAATACTGAAGTCCCAGCTCAGCAATGAAGCAAAGAAGGAATAAGTTATCTCTTCCCCTGCCTTTTGTTCTATTCAGAACCTCAACAGATTGGATGATAACCACCAACGTTGAGGAGGGTAATCTGCTTTGCTGGATTAACTGATTCAAGTGCTAATCTCATCCAGAAACACTCACAGACACACTCAGAAACAATGGTTAGACACTGACCCAGTCAAGTTGACCCACAAAAATTATCCATCATAGGCCGGGCGCGGTGGCTTATGCCTGTAATCCCAACACTTTGGGAGGCCGAGGCGGGCAGATCACAAGACCAGGAGATTGAGACTATCCTGGCTAACACGGTGAAACCCCGTCTCCACTAAAAATACAAAAAATTAGCTGAGTGTGGTGGCGAGCACCTGTAGTACCAGCTACTCGGGAGGCTGAGGCAGGAGAATGGTGTGAACCCGGGATGCAGAGGTTGCAGTGAGCCGAGATCACGCCACTGCACTCCAGCCTTGGCAACAGAGCAAGACTCTGTCTCAAAAAAAAAAAAAATATCCATCACACAACAAATCTCATTATCCTCCATTTGACAAAAATGCTCTAAGGCTTCAATTACATGGCCACCCATAACCTTGCCTCTTATAACTATTTGATTAGGAGTATCCAATGGTGACATTTTGCATATCTCTATTGCCACATCATGTCACAGACTATCAGTATCATTTTTATCATTGGATTTAAACCTAATCATATTCTATACCAATCCAGAAAACTCGTCCTTAAAATGCTTTCCTCTAGAGCCATTCTTAGCACAAAACTCTACATTAATCCAGCAAAGTTCTCCAGGGAAACAGAACCAGTAGGAGAGAGATAAATAGAATGGATGAGTACATACATGCATGCATACACACGTACACACAGAGAGAGACAGATACACAGAGACAGGATTGATAGAGAGAGGTTTCCAGGAATGGGCTTACAAGAGTGTGGAGGCTGGCAAGTTCGAAATCCATAGGGCAGGCTAGCAGGCTGCAGACGATGAGGGAGGAGCTAATGCCACAGCCTTGAGGCAGGATTTCTTCTTTCTCAGAGAAACCTTGACTTTGCTCTTCGGCTTTCAACAGATCGAATGAGGCCCACACACAAGAATAGTCTCCTTTACTTAAACTCAATTAATTGTAGCTGTTAACCATATTTACAAAATACCTTCACAGCAACACTTAGATTAGTGTTTGATTGAACAATTAGGCACTATAGCCTATCCAAATTGACACATAAAACCAGTCATTACAATCTCCAACAGTTATTTAAATAACAGAATTCTTTTGGTCCTCCAATTACAGTTAAGACATCACAAGTTTTGTCTAAACTATCAATGCAGTCACTTCCAAAATCATGAAGAAACTATTATTATAATATTATTATTATATTAAACTATTATATACACAATGCTCCCAGCCCTCCCAAAATCATGAAGAAACTATTATTTAAATTTAATTTATATCAGTAGTATTTATTCATTGTTAAACACTACTTACAGCATCCGAATCTCAAATAGAACAGCTCTACCACTAGGAAAAAACCCTTAGTGGTTTTTGGATAGTGTTTTGAAAACATTTATTTATAGCCAAGAATTGCCAGGAATAACAGCCAAATTAATAATTAAATAGAAAGCTTTTATTGCAAAAGGAGCAAGCTAAAATAAATAGCAACCATCTGAAACTTTTCAATATGCAAATTCATAAAGCTTTTAGTTAACTGAACAGTTATTACAATAATAACTAACAATCTGACACCTTCGAGATCCCCTGGAGCTCCTGACCTTTAAATCCAAGAAAGCTGACAGGGACAGCCTAGCAATTCAGCCTGTGTGGGAGGAAATAAGAAAGAAACCAATGGAAAACTGTGGGAAAACACGGAGGCAGGCAGAACATATTGGGATGTGTTTTGCGTTATTATATACAGGGGAATGGGTTTTTATAGTCAATGACTAAAGTGAGTAAAACCGTATTTTTATTTTCTTATAACAGGATTTAATTGTTTCCCTGAGCTTCCATTACTATTAGCGAAAGTTTAATCTAATAATTTCTAGGTAAACTCAGTCAAATCAATCATTACAAAAAAATTGATGTTATTAGTTAAGTCAGAATTTTTTTCCCAGGAAAATCCAAGGACCTTATGTTCCACTTTAACCTAAAGGTATGAGTTTTAGAGAGCTTGTGGAAGTGCCTATATTTGAGTGGGAGAAGCAACTGGGGTTTTTTGTTGTTGTTCTTGTTTTTTGTTTTTTGTTTTTTGGTTTTTGGTTTTTTTGAGAGACGGTCCTGCTCTGTCACCCAGGCTGGAGGGCAATGATGCAATCACAGCTCGCTGCAGCCTTGACCTCCCAGGCTGAAGCGATTCTTCCGCTTCAGCCTCCTGAGTAGCTTGGACTACAGGCATGTGCCGCCACACCTGGCTAATTTTTTTTTTTAAGAGACAGGGTCTCACTGTGTTGTCCAGGCTGGTCTCAAATTTCTGGGCTCAAATGAGCCCCTAGTCTCCAACGCTTCTGCCTCCCAAAGTACTGGGATTGCAGGCATGAGCCCCCAGGGCCAGCGGCATCTGGTTCTTGATGGCTCTCCACCCTCCAGGGCCTCCACAGAGCTAGTACTCACCTTGCTGGGTCTTTAGTGAGGGGCATCTATGCCAGCTGTGGTTTCTCTTTCAAATGGGCCATGCAGCATCTGCTGACGGCTCCCCTTCATCGTGATTGGCAGCCACTTCTACTCCATCCGGCTTCTCTCAGCCAATCTTGAGCCTCTCTTGAGAGCACGAGAAACTTTCCAGTGCTCTCCTGTCCCACTCGCCATGACTGGTGGTGGGCAGTGTGGGGAACAAGACCCAGGCACCCTGCCTAGGCCACCACTCTCACAGGCATTTGCCACTGCCATGCCAAGCTTTGGTGGGAGGGGGCTTCTCTGCAAAGCTTGGGTGTCCCCCAGCCTTACTTGGGAAAGGAAGCACTCACACACCACTAGCCTACCTAGAGTCGAATTTATTATGCTACACACATGCACAAACACACATATAGAACCCAGGGAGGGGAAGCAGAACTCTGGGACCCTTCTCAACTCTACTCTCTGCTCTCACTGAACAAACGTGCTTTTCCCATTAGATCATCCTTTTGGATGGGGGACAGGTGCATGCACAGACCCCTGGCTCTTAGCAGTCACAGGATTTTCTCTCTAACCTATGTTCTCCCTTAGGGAAACTCTAAAGATATTTTTTCATAACGATTGTTTTTTATTTTGGCTGCTTCACCCCTCACTAGAAAAAACAAAGTTCCACAGATGTAATGAGCTGAGAGTTTTGGCAGAAAATAAAAGTGAAGAAAACCTTGATTTGTCCTTTCATGCTACAATAGCTACAATGTTCTAACAGAGAAACTATTTTTGTTCCCCGTTGATGATGGCACATATAGTGGAGAAATTTTCTTGGGTTTCAGGTGGTCTAACAGGCTTATATTTGAATCCCAGTTCCATTATGGTCCCTCTAATTGCTCTTGGACAAGTTACTTAACCTCTTTGAAATTCATTTTCCTCATTCTCCATACCTATCTCATGGGATTATTGTGAGAGTTAAATGAATTACTCTTGTTTTCCCCAAGAATGTTGGTTCCATACATAACCCAATTAGGCAAAATTTGAAAGCCCCAGTTGGCACAATGTCAACATAAACTATAGTATAAATGCTAAGTTTCTTTGTAAATTAAATAGTGGTAAGAAAATCATGATAAACAACTATAGAACTCTAGCAGGTGTTCTTAAATGCAGGTTTCTAATAACTTTGGAAATTGTAACATTAGAATAGAGGAAACAACTTTCAGAACTCTCATGAAGACCTGGAATGTTCATGAATATCAAACAGAAAAGGAGTTAACTGAATTAACTGAACCAGCAGAAAACTGAAGTAATCTTTTTAACTTTGCTTTAAACACTGCTGACCCTTTGTTTTGTTTTTCAGAGTCAATGAAACTTTTCTTTTGAGCTATTTACAGCTTGTTGCAATTAAGTAAATTATACTGCTGTGAACAAAATTTGGAGCACATTTTTTTCTCTCTACCTAATTTCTCCAGACTTTGGAAACTAGTTGTGAGTATTCTTAACTTATGGCAATATAGTTATTTGCATAAGTGCAATAAGAATCTGTTTTCTTTTGTAACAGGACACAATTTGAGAAATTGGTTATTTTACCAAGGAATTTTACTGGTTATTTTACCAAGGAATTTTACTGGTTATTTTACTGGAATGGTGTGTTTTCCTTTAAGGAATTAAACTTACAGAGCCAATAAAAGCCCCATGGGGAACTGGCCTCATGCCTTGCCTACAATAGTCCTTGTACAAGGTTTCTAACCTGTGGTAAATAAAGAATGTCACTTTCTAACAGGTCCAGGAGCCCCAATTTACCTTGGGACCTCAAGAGGAAAGAAATGTACCTAACTCATAGGTATTTGAGGGTACAAACCTATGGCTGGGTTCAGCTTTTAAAAAGTCTTATCTAAAATTCCTTCTATGGAACAGAGTTCCATCAAAGCCAATTTTAAAAGAGCTTATGTGAAAAATAATTATTCCTGCTGCATTTTATGCAAATAATCAGGCCAAGTATAATAAAGCAAATCAGTCTTACCATGATTTGTCTTTAGTAAAAATGGGAAACTGGAGAGAGAAATATTATGTTTCAAGAACTGTGGTACACTTGGTATTAAATTCTAGTCTCATTAGTTGTTTTTAAGTTTGTTTCTGGAATTTAGGCTAACCCTGCTTATTCTTGTGAACCAATCAGTAATCTCTGACTGCTACTCAGAAGAAACAAGAGGTTTGGTAATGCAAAAATCTGGATCAATATTCTAATCCTAGGCACACAGTGGAATCATCTAGCAACCCCATATCAGCTTAGTTCCAACAGTGGCCCAGTTCATGAAAACCCTTCTAATTTAGTTTACTTGGAATCACTTTACTTATTTTGCTTTACTCTTGTGGAATATATTGCTGTTATATTCTTTGTGTAGGAATACAGGACAAGTTTACTGAATGTTTTCTTAAACACTTAATAATCTTCCAGATACCACTTTTTGTCGAAACTCAAGACTTATGAATGGACCTTACTATACTGATGCTTTCTGACTGAGCTCCTCTCTACCCTGAATGCAAGAGACCCTCATAGTTAGGCAGGAATATCATTGCCCCTATTCAGCCTAAGAAGTTACAGAAGATGGATCTTCATCCCTCTGCAATCCTTAGGATTAAGTGTTCTCTTATAAAAAGAAGGGGGGAAATGTCAGAGGCATGTGAACCAGAGCAACTCCATCTTAAATAGGAGCTGGGTAAAATGAAGCTGAAACCTACCAGCTGCATTCCCAGATGGTTAAGCCATTCTAAGTCACTGGATGAAATAGGAGGTCAGCACAAAATACAGGTCATAAAGACCTTGCTGATAAAACAGGTTTCAGTGAAGGAGCCGGCCAAAACCCACCAAAACCAAAACGGCCATGAGAGTGACCTCTGATCGTCCTCACTGCTACACTCCCACCAGCACCATGACAGTTTACAAATGTCAGGAAGTTACCCTATGTGGTCTAAAAAGGGGAAGCATGAATAATCCACCCCTAGCTTAGCATATCATCAAGAAATAACCATAAAAATGAGCAACCAGCTGCCCTCCGAGCTGTTCTGTCTAAGGAGTAGCCATTCTTTTATTCTTTCACTTTCATAATAAATTTGCTTTCACTTTACAAAAAAAAAAAAATGATAAAATAACCACCTATTCAGGAAGTTTTGAAGATTTTTTTTTTTTAAGACGGAGTTTTGCTCTTGTTGCCCAGGCTAGAGTGCAGTGGCGTGATCTTGGCTCACTGCAACCTCCGCCTCCCGGGTTCAAGCGATTCTCCTGCCTCAGCCTCCTGGGTAGCTGGGATTACAGGCACCCACCACCATGCCAGGCTAATTTTTGTATTTTCAGTAGAGATGGGGTTTCACCATGTTGGCCAGGCTAGTCTTGAACTCCTGACCTCATGATCCACCTGCCTTGGCCTCCCAAAATGCTGGGATTACAGGCATGAGCCACCACGCCCAACCCGCTTTTGAAGACATTTTAATATTTAAGTATTCAGAATGGGATGACATCTTAGGCCAGTCACTCAGCACTCCCTACCTCTTTCCACACAAACACACATACATTTTGTCTGCTTTATAACTCTATTTCACAACCAGCAGAGCAGAATCTACCCAGAGTGGTCAGCTCTTACATTGCAGCAGCTTTTCTTTTACATTTTTTTTTGGTCTGGAAATTAGAATATTTTATTTTATTTATAATTTCAACTTTTAGATTCAGTACACGTGCAGGTTGTTGCTTGGGTATACTGTGTGATGCTGAGGTCTGGGATACAAGTGATGCCATCACCCAGGTAGGGAGCATAGTACCCAATAGTTGATTTTTCACTCCTTTCCCCCCTCCTCACTCCCGGCTTTAGTAGTCCCCACTGTCTGCTGTTGCCATCTGCACGTCCATGAGTACCCAATGTTTAGATCTCACTTGTAAGTGAGAACATGCGGTATTTTGTTTTCTGTTCCTGCGTTAATTCACTTAGGATAATGGCCTCCAGCTCACTGCAGCCTTTCAACATTAGCTTGGCCATGCCCTGAAAAGGCCAAACACTGGGTCCTGGTGCATCTGGGATTATGTGAGAAGTCTTCTGTGGTTTAGAGGCTTCTTGATCTATGGATATTGTGTCTGTGCCTGCATTTCTGAATCGATGCTTGCTCCTGATTCGGTACTTGCTCTTCACCCCTAAGGGGAGTTTTTCACTTGATCTATTCTCAAGCTAAACCCCAGACTCACCTCTGCTATTTCTGTCTTGCTTCTGATCCTGCTTCCAGGATTCACTGCTGCCCACAGTGTCCCTCCCTGGGAGATGACCTAGGTCCAAAGTCCCATGGAAGGTATACTCCTAAATTTAAAGCCAAAAACAACAATTTGAAAGGTTTAAGGAAAAAATGATCACTATCAAAGTAAAAGAGAAAGATGCTATGTGCTAAGTATGGTGGCCCTTGAAAAGGATGTGGCTGGCAACAGGAGACAGAGATGGGATCTTTTAAGAAATGAGGGATTTCACAGGCAGAGGAGCTCAGAACCTACAGTATTGTACCATCCTTGCAAAGAAGGGGTGAATCCCATTCACCATATTCATGATTATCAGAAAGTGGGTTTCTAGCCAGAGGTGCCCTATAAAACAATCATCTAGTCTGATCCCCATATGTCACCTTTGAAGATTCTGACCCAGGAAGGTTAAATAACTGCACCAAGTTCATATGGCTGCCCAGTGGCAAAGGTGAGACCAGAGCCAGCCCACACTTTTCCCACTGTGCCTTATTCCCATTGCTTTTCTGTTTCTAGAAGTTGGACCAAGACCACCTTCCTCTAGGTGGATGAGGCAGCCATACAGTTACCTGTATCATTTTCTCCAGATTTCCTTCCACATGGTTATGTGTAAGACCATAAAATCAAAGTTTTAGAAATTAACTCCACCCAACAAGGCAGGTTTCTCCCTCTGCTTCCAGAGTCCTTCCAAGGTTCTATAGCCACATGTCACCCATGCCCCATGCCTTCCTTCAACCTTTATTCCCCATTCTTTTTTTTTTTTTTTTTTTGAGGCGGAGTCTTGCTCTGTTGCCCAGGCTGGATGGACTGCAGTGGCGCAATCTCAGCTCGCTGCAACCTCCGCCTCCCAGGTTCACGCCATTCTCCTGCCTCAGCCTCCCGAGTAGCTGGGACTACAGGCGCCCGCCACCATGCCCGGCTAATTTTTGTATTTTCGGTAGAGACAGGGTTTCACTGTGTTAGCCAGGATGGTCTCGATCTCTTGACCTTGTGATCCGCCCACCTCAGCCTCCCAAAGTGCTGGGATTACAGGCATGAGCCACCATGCCCGGCCCCCATTCTTTTCCCACCTCTTCAACTAGCTGGTTTTGGCTGGTAGAGTAGTAAAATATATTTTAATAGAGGTCCATTAAAAGCCAAAAATCTTCAAACCCTTAGGAATTAGGTTAATGGTAGGATTTGAGAAAAGATAACAGGTGGTGAAAAGGAAATCTCCCCATCACAGCTCAACTCTCATAAAAGGGACTGGGGAAACGCTCATGGAAGAATCATGTTTTTCACTCGTCAGTGAATAGAGCTTAGGGAGAGTGAGTTTATCAGACCTTCCCAGTATGATAACTGAGAGCTACTTCTGATGGGGGGCAATAGGAAAAATGTGTTCTGAAGTTGGGAAGACAACTGTGTGGATGACTCTGGTCTGCCTGGGTAGATTGATGGCACTGGGAAACTGAACAGAGGGAGGATGATGGTTTGAGTGAAGGCCAGGTCCCCAAATGGCACTGAAGACAAACTTCACTTAGTTCATATATGTGTTTAGAGCTGGCTTAGCACTCATGGCAATCTCCAGAGGTTCTGTTTTCTCCATGGTTTCTGGGGTTCTTTCATGCTTTGTGTTTATCTATTGTATCAGTCCATTTTCACACTGCCGATAAAGACATACCTGAGACTGAGTAATTTGTAAAGAAAAAGAGGTTTAATGGACTCACAGTTCCATGTGGCTGGGGAGGCCTCACAATCATGGCGGGAGGTGAAGGGCATGTCTTACATGGTGGCAGACAAGAAAGAAATGAGAGCCAAGTGAAAGGGGTTTCCCCTTATGAAGCCATCAGATCTCGTGAGACTTACTTCCGCGAGAACAGGATGGGGGAAGCTGCCCCCATGATTCAATTATCTTCACCGGGTTCCTACCATAACATGTGGGAATTATGGGGAGCTACAATTCAAAATGAGATTTGGATGGGGACACAGCCAAAACATATCACCCATTACCCAAGCATACTAAACAAAATTTTTTTTTGAGACCAGTCTCACTTTGTCACTCAGGCTAGAGTGCAGCGGCAGTATGATCATAGCTCACTGTAGCCTCAACTTCCTGGGCTCAAATGATCCTCTTTCCTCAGCCTCTCAAGTAGCTGGGGCCACAGGTGCACACCACTGCACTCAGCTAATATTTTATTTTTTGTAAAGACAGGGGTCTCACTATGTTGGCCAGGCTGGTCTAGAACTCGTGGCCTCAAGTTATCCACCTGCCTCAGCCTCCCAAAGAGCTGGGATTACAGACACAAGTCACTGCACCCAGCCGAGAAGTTTTTCTTCATCCATCTGAACTCCTTCTACAGCACAATTGCAGTGCTAACTACCTGGAGATCACGCAGACCCCACAGGCTGAGAACACAGTCCTCCATAAGAACCTCCCCACTTAGGCACCAGCCACCAGCTCCAGAGTCCCAAAGCCACCCATGCTTCTGTCCAACTGGTTAAAAACCTGGAGGTTCTTATTATCTGCCTCAGATTTGATAATTTAATAGGACAATTCACAGAACTCAGAATAGCACCATATTGATTGTCTTCAGTTTTGGGGTTCTTTTGGGGTTGTGGGGGGGAAATGTCCCTTGGGCCATTCCCATTTTTTGAGACAGAGTCTCACTCTGTCACCCCGGTTGGAGTGCAGTGGCATGATCTCAGCTCACTGCAACCTCTGCCTCCCGGGTTCAAGTGATTCTCCTGCCTCAGCCTCCCAAGTAGCTAGGATTATAGGCGTGTGCCACCACACCTGGCTAATTTTTGTATTTTAGTAGAGATGGGGTTTCACCATGTTGGCCAGGCTGGTCTCAAACTCCTGGCCTCAAGTGATCCACCAGCCTCAGCCTCCCAAAGTGCTGGCATTACAGGTCTTGACTACTACTACTAATAATAATAACATTAGTAAAGAAATGAAATTTTGGCCAGGCTCGGTGGCTCACGCCTGTAATCCCAGCACTTTGGGAGGCCTAGACGGGTGGATCACCTGAGGTCAGGAGTTCGAGACCAGCCTGGTCAACATGGTGAAACCCCGCCTCTACTAAAAATACAAAAATTAGCTGGGAATGGTAGCAGGTGCCTGTAATCCCAGCTACTCGGGAGGCTGACACAGGAGAATCTTGAACCCAGGAGGCAGAGGTTGCAGTGAGCCGAGATCACGCCATTGCACTCTAGCCTGGAGGACAAGAGCGAGACTTCGTCTCAAAGAAAAAAAAAAATGAAATGAAATTTTGATACATGCTGTCAACCCTTGAAACCTTGAAACTGTTATGCTAAGTTAAATAAGCCAGACATAGAAAGACGAATATTTTATTATTCTACTTATATTAAGTATCAAGAATAGGCAAATTCATAAAGATAGTAATAATGGTTGTGCAACATTGTAAATGTACTTAATGCGTGGAATTTGTAGAGTTCCTCTTGGAAACTGTGAGTAATTTATCTTTCAGCGGCAATCATTTCCTGAACTGTTGGCCTTACTATACCTCAAATTTTCTATTAATGTATTTCATTTTAGAACAGATCACAACAGAGCACAGAACAGAAATCAACTTACAATTTAATACTAGGTATCACTGTCACTCAGACATTCCCTTAAAGGGAATTTCTTAGCAGCCATATTTGCATGGGACTCTGCTCCCCACTGGGGCCGTTTCTCCCCATGGTTTTTCTTTTCTCAACCTTGGGGTTTCCCATCCCATCCCTCTTTATGTAGCAAAGGAATTTGAGAATGTTCATGGTATTACTTTATTAGAGAGAATGGCTTCATTTTCCTTTTTTCAATCTTCACCAGTCTAAGACTTCCATAACCAAAAGATCCACTAAGATTTTGCCTAAAGAAAAAAACAAACCATCTGCCTCTAAGATAAATGCTGCTACTCCCTACATATGGATAATGTGCAACAACAATTTAATCTTTTAAAGCAAATGTTCTTTCTGTTAAATATATATATTTAGTAAGTACAAAAGCAATCCATGCAGAGAAGGATCCTAAGTACACTACCAATTTAAAACATTAACTAACAGTTTAGGATTTATCATATAAATATTATTAAAGAATGGTATCAATAATAACATTACTATGCAAGAATTAATGGCTTTCTAGAATACCAACAATAAGCAGTAGAAAATAAAATGGTAAATATTCCACTAAAAATAGCCATCAAAGGCTAGATGCGGTGGCTCACACCTGTAATCCTAGCATTTTGGGAGGCCAAAGCGGGTCGATCACTCGAGGTCAGGAGTTCAAGACCAGCCTGACCAATATGGTGAAACCCCATCTCTACTAAAAATACAAAAATTAGCCAGGCATAGTGGCACACACCTGTAATCCCAGCTACTCAGGAGGCTGAGGCAGGAGAATCGCTTGAACCCAGGTGGTGGAGGTTGTAGTGAGCCAAGATCGTGCGCCACTGCACTCCAGCCTGGGCAACAGAGCGAGACTCTGTCTCAGAATAAATAAATAAGTAAATAATCATCAAAGAACATACCTAAGAATAGTCTTAAACAATGCAGAGGAACAATATTAACATGCTCAAAACTCTACTGAGGGCACAATTATTTAAACCTGAATAATAGAGAGGCAAGACATAATACTTGAATGGGAAGTCTCAATAGTGAACCAATATCAATTCTGATATTACGCAAAACAAAACTTTAAAAGCATTTGACATTAGAGAGAGGAAATCCAGCAGACTATTTTCAGATTAACCAGAAAATACTAACATGATGGAATTGCTAGAAAAAAAATTTAAGGAGAAGGATAATGGGAGGAAATACACACTGAGGGCATGATAAAATTACATTCCAGATACTTGTACATCAATATTCATGGCAGCATTATTCACAGGAGCCAAAAGGTGGAAACAATTCAAATACTCACTGACAGATGAATGGATAAACAAAATGTGATATATACATACAACAGAATCTTATCCAGCAATCAGAAAGAATGAGGCTGGGTGCAGTGGCTCACACCTGCAATCCCAGCACTTTGGGAGGCCAAGGTGGAAAGTAGCTTGAGCCCAGGAGCTCGAGACCAGCCTGGGCAATATAGTGAGATCCTGTCTCTACAAATAATAATAATAATAATAAAGAAATGAAATTTTGATACATGCTATCAACCCTTGAAACCTTGAAACTATTATGCTAAGTGAAATAAGGCAAACATAGAAAGACAAATATTTTATTATTCTATTTATATTAAGTATCAAGAATAGGCAAATTCATACAGACTGAAAGTAGAATAGAAATTACCAGGGGCAGTTGGGAAGGAGAATGAGGAGTTATTATTTAATGGGCATAGAGCTTCTGTTTGGGATGATGAAAAAGTTCTGGAAATGGATAGTAGTAACGGATGTACAACATTGTAAATGTACTTAATGCGTGCAATTTGTATAGCTGAAATTTGCTGACAGATCTTAAATGTTCTCACCACAAAACAAAACCAAAAAAAAAAAAAAGGTAAGTAGGTGAGGTGATAGATATGTTGACTAACTTGATTGTGGTAGTCATTTCATAATATATATGTATATCAAATCATGGATCGTACACCTTAAACTTCTACAATTTTGTTTGCCAATTATTTCTCAATAAAGCTGTGGAGGAATAAAAATAGGGATCTGCCAACGACATAAGATTATTGTGAGGACTAAAATTAAACAAGGTGTGTTCCACGGCTATCACAGTCAATTCTTCATCAACATTTTCTTGTACCTTCTCGTCTTTCCTGAGTTCTAGCTGGAGCACTGCAACCTATCAGATATGTAACTAAACTCCTCAAGATGTAGTTTTCCACCTGTAAAATAAGGGATTAGATGATCTTTATTGCTATGTTCGCCTCTAACATTCTCCAAATCAATACAAACACCCCGAAAATTGTCCCTGGGGAAGGGGTCAGAGTACATTCTGATTGCTAGACGTGAATTTGGCACTTAGAATAAGCCCAAGTTGTGGAAGTGATACAGAAAATGTTAATAAGGAACAACAGGAGAATCTGGCTGGGGGCAGTGGCTCACACCTGTAATCCCAGCACTTTGGGAGGCCGAGGCAGGCAGATCACTTGATGCCAGGAGTTCCAGACAAGCCTGGCCAAAATGGTGAAACCCCATCTCTACTGAAAATACAAAAACAAATTAGCCAGGTGTGGTGGCATGCACCAGTAATCTCAGCTACTTGGGAGGTTGAGGCAGGAGAATCTAGAACCCAGGAGGCGGAGGTTGCAGTGAGCCCAGATCGTGCCACTCTACTCCAGCTTGGACGACACAGTGAGACTCTATCAAAAAAAAAAAAGGAATAATAGGAGACTTCAAACATTCCATTTTGGGAGTAGAAAGAGGAGTTCATTGTCAGAATATATGCATCTTACACAAAGGATCATCATTAAAATCAAATTACTCATGAACAATGAGTAGGACTTTGTAATATTTCAATTGCATCAAAACTGTCCTTGAACAAAAAAACGTACTTCCTCCTCCTCCTCCATTCAGGTAAGAGTATAGCCTGTGTCATCCCATGCACTGTGGCATTTGTTCACTGAACTATTGTCCTTCTCAAGAGATGGTTTTTCACCCTAACAAAAATAACTATGAATCATTGATTCTGGGAATATTTTCTCCCTTGCTTTTTTCACAGAACGAATGACAAATTTCCATATATTTACTTCTTAAATAAGCAAAAGTTACCATGAACCTGAAATGGTCTATACTGCAAATGCAAACTGTTGCTTTTTAAATGTCAGTTGGGGGTAACTATGAGTTTCTAATTAGGATCATAATTCTCCTAAGGAAAGGATAATCTCCATGAGTAACAGGGGGAAAAACTTAATCATTCAAGGAAAAACAAATTAATGGGATTTTTGTTTGTTTGTTTGAGACAAGGGTCTCACTCTGTCACCCAGGCTGCAGTGCAGTGGCCCGATCTCAGCTCACTGCAGCCTCGACCTCCTGGGCTCAAAGGATTCTCCTGCCTCAGCCTCTCAAGTAGTTGGGACCTCAGGTGTGCACCACCACACCCAGATAATTTTCAAAAAAAAATTGTATGTTGGCCAGGCATGGTGGCTCACACCTGTAATCCCAGCACTTTGGGAGGCCAAGGCAGGTGGATCACATGTGGTTAGGAGTTCGAGACCAGCCTGGCCAACATGGTGAAACCCTGTCTCTACTAAAAATACAAAAATTAGCTGGCCATGGTGGTGCACATCCATAATCCAAGCTGTTCTGGAGGCTGAGGCAGGAGAATCGCTTGAACCCGCTAGGAGGAAGTTGCAGTGAGCCAAGATGGCACCATTGCACTCCAGCCTGGGCGACAGGGCAAGACTCTGTCTCAAAAAAAAAAAAAAAGGATCACCTGAGGTCAGGAGTTCGAGACCAGCCTGGCCAGCGTGGTGAAACTTCATCTCTACTAAAAGTACAAAAATTAGCAGGGCGTGGTGGCCCACACCTGTAGTCCCAGCTGCTTGGGAGGCTGAGGTAGAGAATCACTTGAACCCAAGAGGCAGAGGCTGCAGCAAGCTGAGATCACACCACTGCATCCCAGCCTAGGTGACACAACAAGATTCCATTTCAGAAAAAAAAATAAATAAAATGAAATAAAATTTTACTAATAATCTTTACAAAATCTAAACTTTGGCTTTACAGTTCCTGGACAATTTTTCAAAAAAAGCCATCACAGCTTTTAGAAAGACAAACAATAGTTTGATGACTTAATGAATTACAGCCTCAACAAAAGCTAAGTAGAAAATTCGGTTACAAGATCTATAATACAGAGAGACCACCTCTGCTGGGCCAACCTAAACGGCTCCGTCAGTCATCCGAGTTCTCTCTGCGGTAACGTTTCCCGGCCTGGAAGCACCACGGCGAGCGGGTTCTGGCACTTACGGTGCAGCACCGTCACCTAGTGGCGTTTTGAAGGACTCACGCATCCAAAACCTCAGTCCTTGGCCTTTCTGGTTTGCCGATCTTTTTAAATTATCAGGACCAAGATGTGATCCTGAAAATACTTCTACCTTATTACAAGGACGGCTGTGATCCGCAGATTGCAATCCATGTAGCAAAGAATCATCATCTATGAAAAAGCCAACCGGGACCAGAAACAGTTTATTCTGTTGAGCAGAAACCTCAATCTTCACATCTTTCACTTAAATATCTCAATTATTTAAACTGCATTGCTTTATTTCCAGCTGCTTCCTATGTATAAAAGATGGCAAAACTGGAATTTAAAGCAGCAGTCTGAAGTGCAACATTTTACAGAAACCTTCATGAGACAGAAAAGAGAACACAAAAATGAAATGGGAAAATACAGCATTTATTTGACCATTATGTATATACTAAATTTGACATCTTGCACCAAAGAGGCACTTGATTATCTCTGAATATAGTTAGAAAAAAGAGACTATGAGATACTTTTCTCCAGGTTTCCTTAGTGGTACGTGAACTTGAACTTTCTAAAAGTTCCTGTTCTTGTCTTGTGTTTGCCTGGACTCATGTACTTTAGATATAAGCTAAAATGACTTTTTTTTTCCGAAGACAGAGTCTCGCTCTGTCACCCAGGCTGGAGTTCAGTGGCACAATCTCAGCTCATGGCAACCTCTGCTTCTTGGATTCAAACGATTCTCCTGCCTCAGCCTCCCAAGTAGCTGGGATTACAGGCGCATGCCACCCCAACCAGCTACTTTGTGTATTGTTAGTAGGGACGGGGGTCTCGCTAGGTTGCTGAGGCTTGTCTCGAACTCCCAGCCTCAAGTGATCCACCCTCCTCAGCCTCCCAAAGTGCTGGGATTACAGGCATGAGCCACTGCACCCGGCCCAAAATGACATTTTTAAAAAGAATCTCCTCACCCTTGAGGACCAATGGCTGAAGAATGAAGCCTGAAGGAGTCTTTGTTGGTTGGTGGATCCCAAGTTAATGGCCAAACTTTGCTCTTCACAATCTATCTCCCAAGTAGTTCATGCATTCTATTCTGCATAAGAGAAGTCTGCAAGTTCTCTACACGGTGATTTTCCACAGAGAAAGACCAGAAAGTAATTTGTAACAACCTTTTATTTGATTAGCATAAGAGTGAATTTGGTAATTTCAAGCAGGAAAAAAAATAGAACTGCTTGAGTCAGTGCCTTAAGAAGAACTCATTCATAAGAAAGAAATCCAACAAGTCGTGTCTGGGTTTAAAAAAACAAAAACCATGAGAGCAAACAACCCTGCTGCAGTCTGAGTCTCTCCCACTTTCTATGTGTAGATGACTCTTCCAGACACTTGCCAGCAGTTACTGGATGATGCCTCATGTTGAAAGTGACCTTGGGCTTTCATAAACCAGGAGATTATAAAAATGGATCTTCGTTCTACAAGAGAAGTTCTGAAAAACTCCTTGCACATCTCAGGCTATTCTTCATTTCTGCACTTCATGAAGGAACAGAGTGTTCCCTGGGAACTCTGGGTAGCCTTGTGGAGAATGAGCTTCCCTGGGCTGCTTGTCCTTATGCTACAGGTCAGAAATACAAAGCATTGCCTGAATTGCCGATGTCACTTGATGGTCAGTCAGTAAAAAAAAAAAGGGTGAGGCCGGGCACCATGGCTCACGCCTGTAATCCCAGCACTCTGGGAGGCCAAGGCAAGCGATCTCAAGAACACCTGAGGTCGGGAGTTCGAGACCAGCCTGGCCAACATGGTGAAACCCTGTCTCTACTAAAAACACAAAAATTAGCCAGGCATGACGGTGCATGCTTGTAATCCCAGCTACTCGGGAGGCTGAGGCAGGAAAATCGCTTCAACCAGGGAGGCGGAGTCTGCAGTGAGCGCAGATCGTGACACTGTTCTCCAGCCTAGGCAACAGAGTGAGACACCATGTCAAAAAAAAGTGAAAAAAATCTTAAATAACTTGTCAGTGCAGAGGTTTCTAATATACATGTGAATGACCAATTCTAGAAACAATTTCTATAATAGTACAGGTGCTAAAGAGAACTAAAGCTGACTCAGGAAATGGCTACACAAAACCTAAGAGCCAAAAAAGGAAGGTTTTTTTGTTATCATTGATCGCGCTCTTCTATTTTTCTTATTCACAAAATTAATAGATGCTTCCTTGGTAGCTTCAAAGTGAGACATTTGCTGCCACTGTTTCCTTTAGGAGAAAAGAGGAAGGAATTTAGTATCACAAAGGAATTTAGAAAATAGTAGCCTCATTCTGGAAATTGCCCGAACCCAGTTTATGAAAAAAGAACCACCATAAAGGCAGGGAACTCCATTTGATTGAAGAAATCACTAATATCAGAATAAAAATTAGAAATCAGCAGCTATGTCATTACTTCTCAAGTGTGCCCAAATATTGTCATTTTAGGGACTAATTATTCTTTTCTCATTATTCTCTTTCTCATTATCATTCTTTTTTCACTAATGATACTTTGTAAAAATACACATTTTGCTTTCAGGTGAGACTCAATATCACTACTTTCATTCTGAATTTTTGAAATGATCTAGAAGCATTTTTATTTTCCCTTAATTTTCCCCAGTGTCATAAGGAATGTCAGATTTCCTTTTGTTGGGCAGCCTTGCCAAAAAGAGACTCTTGAAAGACACGAAGAGAGAGCTGGGAAGGGAAGACACCACGCACATGGCCTAAAGCACATTCCACCTTTTTATTCAAATGCTGCGGCCCTTACACTTTCGCTGTTGTGTCTTGCCATCTGTGTCCTTATTATCATTGGGAACGAAAAGCAAACTCAGGGTCAAGCAGCTGAATCTTTAGGTGTTAGAACAGTCTGGGTCACGCTTTAACCTTTGTCTGATAAAAAAAAGAAAAAGAAAAAATTATATAAAAATAAAAATAGAACAGTCCGGGGTCTCCTTTTATATAGCAAACCAATGATCCTGGTTGCCAAGGATAACTTTTCACCACAAATATGTAAAGTAGGCAGACTTTGACAAAAGATTAGCAATACTGAATGGAATCTTACAATGAGGCTGCCTGTTTCATATTGTTTTTCTTACACCTGAGTGTTGTTTTGAAATGGTATTACACTTATAAATGGCATCACAACCCCAGCTTGTTCAAAAATAATTCCAGGAACTTAATAAAATCAAATTCTGCAGCCTAACCTGCAAAACTAGAATTACTACAGTTAGCCCTAGAATTTTTAGAATTTGTACACAGTTCCAAGTGAAGTCGAAACCGGGACTGAATTTACCACACTGACTGCCTGAAAAGCTAAAATTCCCTACATTCTGCTAACTTGAGCTTCATTTCCTGCTGCCTGGTGATGGCCTAAGAGTTCATTCTACACAAAATGAAAAGGAAGAGGGGAGAGAAAATAATTGCAATGCTAATTCTCTTTGTATACATTATATGGACTTTATTTCTTGGACAATGAGAAATGAATCCTTAAAATTGTCAAAACAAAAGAGTAACAAGCTACAACTAGTAGCTTATTAGAAAATTGTCAAAACAAAAGACTAAGAAGCTACAGCTCATCCAGAGCATGCTACCGCTCTGAGAACGTCTACGTGAAAAAAAAATGGGCATAAGAAAAATGTTAGAAGTCACGTAACTCATGAGATTCACATATCAAATAAAAGATTCATCAAAAAATACATTGAGCCAGGTGCAGTGGCTCACACCTGTAATCCCAGCACTTTGGGAGGCCGAGATGGGAGGATCACTTGAGGCTAGGAGTTTGAGACCAGCCTAGACAGCATCACAAGACTCAGTCTCTACAGAATTTAAAAAATTAACCAGGCATCTGCAATCCAGCCTGGGCAACAGAGGGAAACCCTGTCTCTCAACACACGTGCACATACACACACACATACACATATTGAATAGTATGTCTCTCATACAAAATAGAAAAAAAATAATTCTTCACAGGGTGAGCATTACAGAGGAGGGTGTTTTCAAGACAATGTCATCAGAACCCCTCCTGAATAATGGAAGTCGGGATTCAGAAGATGAAGAGACTTCCCTACATGGGACCAGACAGGTCAGGGGCACAGCTACCCAGATCCACCCTCTTTCTATTTCACATCAGTGTCAAGGCCTCCACTACAGCTCTCTCCATCTAGCCCAAAGTGGGCCACGCACAGACTTCCCTGGGGCCCAGCAAGCAACACTTTTAATAAAAATTGAGCCAACATTTAAAAATCAAAACGTCTTATACAAAACAAAGCCCAGATTTCCTGCTTCTATTAAAATGAGAGGCCAGACGAGGTGGCTCACCCCTGTAATCCCAGCACTTTGGGAGGTCGAGGCAGGTGGATCACTTGAGTCGCGGAGTTCAAGACCAGCCTGAACAGAAAAACAAGACCCCGTCTCTACAAAAAATACAAAAATTAGCTGGGTGTGGTGGCGCATGCCTGTAATCCTAGCTACTTGGGAGTCTAAAGTGGAAGGATTGCTTGAGCTCAAGGAGGCCGAGGCTGCAGTGAGCCAAGATCTCACCACTGCACTCCAGCCTGGGCAACAGAGTGAGACCTTGTCTCAAAAAAAAAAAAAAAAAAAATCTGATCTGCTGGCAGTGAGCAGCAATCTGCCAGAGCTGTGCCCCCACCACCACCCCCACCCCCGCCCACCCAACAAACTAGAACAAACTAACCCTCAGTTTTCCAAACGTTTCAAAGACATGAATCCTGGAAGTATCCACATACGATTCCTCTGTTGAGGTGAAACCTAATCAAACTATGTTTAATCCCTCCAGAAATGAATCCTCTATGATTTGTTTTTAAGATGGAATGTCAGTAAAAGACTGCATTTTCAACATATGTGCATTAGGCGATATTATGATATCATAAGGTCCAATGGCAAGCATGTTTTCCTTTCTTTTAGAACTTATTGATGTATTTTATTTTTCATAAAAGCCAGGTATGTTATTTACAGTTAGTTCTACACTTAGACAGTTATTAGAATAAAAGATGAAACATATTTATTATTACACATACAACATATATATTATCAAAATGAGTTTCTAAGTTTTTTGTTTTTTGTTTTTTGTTTTTTTGAGACAGAATCTCACTCTGTCACCCAGGCTGGAGTGCAGTGGTGTGGTCTTGGCTCACTGCAACCTCCGCCTCCCGGGTTCAAGCAATTTTCCCGCATCAGTTTCCCAAGTAGCTGGGACTACAGGTGCGTGCCACCATATCCAGCTAATTTTTGTATTTTTAATACAGATGGGGTTTCACTGTGTTGGCCAGGCTGGTCTCGAGCTCCTGACCTCATGATCCGCCTGCCTTGGCCTCCCAAGGTACTGGGATTACAGGCATGAGCCACCACTCTCAGCCTCTACGTTCTTTTTTTTTTTCCTCCTGGCTACAAAGACGCAGAAAACTTTCTAAGTTCTCAAAGACAATAGTTCATTTTCTTTTTTATTGACAATCTTTATAACCACTGTTTCCATTTTCAGTTAGTTCATTTATAAATTCCCAGAAGCATGAAACCAACTCATTTTCTCAGTCACTAAAAGCTTCCTAAGTTTGTTTGTTTGTTTTTTTCCTAAATTGCTACTTTCAGGCTGGATGTGGTGGCTCACACATGTAATTCCAGCACTTTGGGAGACCGAGGTGGGAGGATCGCTTGAGACCAGGAGTTCGAGACCAGTCTGGGCAACATAGCAAGACCCTGTCTCTATTTTTAAAAAGATAAAAATTGATTTATTAATAAATTGCTACTTTCAGCCAAACTCAAAATATCTCCTCTTTTACAAACCAGCCTGCTGAGTATTCTGGGTGAATACAGGAAGCCTGGCATTTAGCTTAATCTCCATAGAAAAGGATAATGCTCTACATTATGAAAATGAAGGTGTTCTCACTTAACCCAAGATGAATAGGCTTGCCCCATTCTACTACCACTGTATTACTTACAATATTAAGCCTCACTTTGAAAACAATGGATGCATTAAATTAATAAATGAGAAAATGAATCACCAAAAAGGTTAATATAATGCATGATTTATTGTATTACAAATAAATCGGGCTGGGCGCAGTGGCTCATGCCTGTAATCCCAGCACTTTGGGAGGCCGAGGCGGGTGGGTCGCCTAAGGTCAGGAGTTCGAGATCAGCCTGGCCAAGATGGTGAAACCCGATCTCTACTAAAAATACAAAATTAGCCCGGTGTTGGTGGCACATGCCTGTAATCCTAGCTACTCAGGAGGCTGAGGCAGGAGAATCACTTGAACCTGGGAGGCAGAGGTTGCAGTGAACTGAGATTGCACCACTGCACTCCAGTCTGGGCGACAAGAGTGAAACTCCATCTCAAACACACACACATAAATTGGACACTTCCCATGCTTCAGGTACACCAATTCCAAACACAAAACTCAGCAGCAAATCTTTCTTCTTCTAACCCAGGTTCATGTTTGAAGTAATAACATGAGGGCTGTAGGAATAACTTTTGCCCAAAAGTGCTTCCCCCATAAGAATACTGAAATTACTTTTCCCATTAAAAATTCTGTGAATGATGATTTATCTTCTTCTACCAGTTATCATTAAAAATAGCTAATTTAAATTTTTATGAAGTAACTCAGAAATCTAACTGCCAAAAACCCTAAAGAGAATGAAGATATATTCCACTTTGAATGACAACAGCTAATGAAATGTTATTCTTCTGTGTAATGAATAGAGCAGCCAAAAGTCTGACACGAGCTATATTTTTGGCTTCAGCCTCACACCCAACCCAAGAGGAAGGCTCAGCACTCCTTGGCTCTATCCTGATCCTCTGTGGCTTCTCTGGGGGTTCCTTCCTGAATAATCTCACTCTTGCCCTCCATTCTCTTCAAGCCTACTCTTTTCCAAAAGACCCAGGGGGAACCGACCAGACAGTTTTGTATGAAATTCCTCAAATTCTAACCACAAATGTATTTATGGAATAGACAGAAAACCTGTTGTGGGTTCATGGTGAGGAGAAATGTTACTGTAGGAGGTGGAATTCTAAGATGTCCCCCAAGATTCCTGCTCCCTGGTATACAGGCTCCGTCTCACCCTCACCCCCTGAGCGTGACTGTGACTTGAGCCTATGATGGGACAGTTGCTCTCGTGATTATGTGACATCCTGTGACCAGTGGGATTTTGCAGATGTAATTAATGCCCCTTAGCAGCTGACTTTGTTGTGTGTATGTGTTTTTGGGGGGTTTTGGGGGGTTTTTTGAGATGGAGTCTTGCTCTTGTCACCCAGGCTGGAATTCAATGGTGCAATCTCAGCTCACTGCAACCTCCACCTCCCGAGTTCGAGTGATTCTCCTGCCTCAGCCTCCTGAGTAGCTGGAATTACAGGCAACCGCCACCAAGCCCAGCTAATTTTTGTATTTTTAGTAGAGACGAGGTTTCGCCATGTCGGCCAGGCTGGTCTCAAACTCCTGACCTCAGGTCATCAGCCTGCCTCCACCCCACAAAGTGCTGGGGTTATGGGCGTGAGCCACCATGTCTGGCCTGTGTTTATTATTATTATTATTATTATTATTATTATTATTATTATTTGAAAAATTGCTTAATTCATTGCCAACTTTTTTTTAATGGGACACTTCACCCCCTTTGTTGAAAAATATCTGGTACCCTGGCCCAGCATTCCTGTGTGTCCACAGCTGGCTGGAACATCCCCCTACCTGGGGCCATGCTCTCCTGTAGGCCACAGTGCTGCTGGGGCTCTACGGTGGCCATCTGTGTTTGAGACCCTGAGCAATGGCCATCAGACAGAGGCTGACCCAGTTGGAGGGTGTTATCTCCATCCCCTGAGGGCCCCAAAACTTATCTATCTCAGATATAAGAACTTGGCTCCTCACCATTCCAAATGGGGAGATAAGGGCCTGGAAGACAGAATGTCAATCCACCTTTATTAGAGGAAACCCTGCACTGTAACTGTTTTAAATAACGTATGCCCTGCCCCACCCAGTGCCTGGTGGGCTGCCAGGCATACTCAACTTGGAATGGTGGTGTCTTCCAGCTTCTGCTGCTGGCTGGCAAAACTGTAGTAGTTGTTGGGGCCCAGGACCCACCCTCACTTCTTGGTGTTGTCCATCATCTGTTTGGGTGTGTTGAGGAAGAGGATCCAGGTGGCCTTGGTGAAAAGGATTTTCTCATAGGCCTTCTCAATGCACCCAGCCATCTCATCCCTGATAGTGTCAAGCAGGATGTGGATGAAGGTGTAGCTCTTGGCAGGGATGTTACCCTTGGCCAGGAACACCTTGTTGTAGCCGCCCTCCATCAGGTATGGCTCCAGGGACACAGGGCGCTTGATGTAGGCATTGGTCTGTGTGTCCGTGGCAGGCAGCCACTCCAACTCCATGTGGAACTCAGCCACCTAATCCTGGGACAGCAGGAAGAGGAGGTTGAGGCCCAAGAGCTGGTGCATGTAGGCTGACTTGGGTAGCTCTTAGCAGCTGACTTTCAATCAATCGAAAGGAAAATTATCCTGGATGGGCCTGACCTAATCGGATGAGCTCTTCAAAGTCCCTGGGCCCATCCTGAAGGAGAGATTCAGAGTATAAGAGAGATTCTTCCACTGGCCTCACAGGAGCAACTGCCATGTTGGAGAGAGGACCACAGGGCAGAAAACCACAGGCAGCCTCCAGAGTATGAGAAGGGAGCCCAGTTGGCCAGCAATAAGAAAGCAGAGACCGCCATCCAACAACCCTTAGGAACTGAACTCTGCCAACAACCCATAAGCTTTAGATGAAGACCCTGAGCTCCAGGTGAAATTGCAGACCTGGCTGAAACCTTGAATTCAGGCTTGGGAGGCCTTGAGCCCAGGACCCAGCAAAAACATTCCTAGACTCTTGACCCTGGAAACGTTTTTCCATCTCTGAATGTGATATATCTCTCCATTTATTTAGCTCTTCAGTGTTTTCAATAAGGTTTGCATTTGGTTTTGTAGCTAATTCTAAATGTAACTGGGTTTCATGCTCATTACCAGTCCTTTATGCCACCATCTCACCATCTCTCATTTCTTAAATTCTACATTTCATCTAAATTTTGATTTTTTTTTAAATCTCAGCTCACTGCAAACTCTGCCTCCTGGGTTCAAGTGATTCTCATGCCTCAGCCTCCCGAGTAGCTGGGCTTACAGGCGTGCACCCCAATGCTCGGCTAATTTTTTTTTTGACGGGGTCTAGCTCTGTTGCCCAGGCTGGAATGCAGTGGCATGATCTCGGCTCACTGCAACCTCTGCCTCCTGGATTCAAGCAATTCTCCTGCCTCAGCCTCCCAAGTAGCTAGGACTACAGGCATGCATCACCACCTCCGGCTAATTTTTGTGTTTTTCGTGAAGACAGGGTTTCACCATGTTGGCCAGGATGGTCTCGATCTCTTGACCTCGTGATCCACCCACCCTCCCAAGTGCTGGGATTACAGGTGTGGATGCTCAGCTAATTTTTTATACTTTTAGTAGAGACAGAGCTTCACCATGTTGCCCAGGCTGGTCTTGAACTCCTGACCTCAAGTGATCCTCTCACCTTGGCCTCCCAAAGGGTTAAGATTAAAGCATGAGCCACAGCCCCCAACCAATTTTGATTTGTCTCTTGATGAACTGGGATGTATCAGAGCTTTTGCACATATAATAACATATTTCTTTAGTCTTCTCAAACAGATAACAGTTTGGCCAAGCATAATGTTCTCTAATTGTACACGTTTCTCTGCCAGCACTGATGGCATTGATCTGGTATTTTCCAGCAT
Source organism: Homo sapiens (assembly GCF_000001405.40). Classification (NCBI taxonomy): domain Eukaryota; kingdom Metazoa; phylum Chordata; class Mammalia; order Primates; family Hominidae; genus Homo; species Homo sapiens. The sequence continues at coordinate 855,227 of NC_000018.10, read as the reverse complement.
TCATAGAGGTCTAAGCCTCTGTTTTGTTCCTTTCAGGCAACCTGTTTTTATCTGCATGGGCTTTTACAGCACAATATTTCTTCTCTATCTGTGCAAAAGGGTAAAATTGCACTGAACCAATGGTCATTACGTGGTGCTATGTCACTGTTAGGTGGAGTACACAGGTCTTGGAACCCAAAGCATAGAAGTAGTGGCTGTCCCTGCAAGTTTAGACTCTGCTGGACCCCAGGTCCTGGTTCCCTGAAAGGGTAATACTTCTTCCAAAGGACTAAATAAGGGGTTCCACTGAACCTAGCGCTTCAACTGCCATTTGGAGCTTCTCATGCTAGTGAATCAGAAAGCAATGTGGAGCTGTAGCATGAGCTTCCTGCCATCCTGTTGTAAGTCTAGTTTTGAGAAATTTTGACTGGTCACCCCAGAGGAACTGGTGACAGAATGCCATGAACCAATTGGGGCATGAATGGATCCGAGTGGTGCAAATGCTGGACAATAGTGACGCCCCCAATGCAGCCCCCGTATCTCCAGTCTCTTAATGCAGCCAGTCTGACTTCCAGCTGCTAGCACCTGCGCCTCCTACTGCAAGCTGGAATGCCATCAAAATATGCCCATGGAAGCAGACTTCAACCAGTGACTGACAGAAGGAAGTGTACACAAATATGCCCCAGTTTCCTTGACTTTCAAGTGAGATAAATCTGAGCTTCCTGGCCAGGCGCGGTGGCTCACGCCTGTAATCCCAACACTTCGGGAGGCCAAAGCGAGCGGATCACCTGAAGTCAGGAGTTCGACACCAGCCTGGCCAACATAGTGAAACCCCATCTCTACCAAAAATAAAAAAATTAGTTGGGCGTGGTGGCGCATGCCTGTAATCCCAGCTACTCGAGAAGCTGAGCGGAGATCGTGCCACTGCACTCCAGCCTGGATGACAGAGCGAGATCCTGTCTCAAAAAAAAAGCAATCATCTGAACTTCCGTTCTCTGCTGTCTCCCAGGTCTCTGTTTAGGATTATGCACGTGCATTGACTTATTTTCCTTCCCTGCCTCAGTTCCTCATCACCTACCAGCAATTCCTGAGGTTGCTTCCCATATCAACCACCAACACTCAAATCCCCATCCCAGTTCTTCTTCTGGAGAAATTCAAACCAAGACACTTGAGCAGACTCAGTGCAAAGCTATTGATGCATTGTGCCACAGCCCTCGCTAGCGGAGGCTCCTTCCATGACCCTGGCAGGGGTCCCAGCAATGTATTCTCGTGGTCATAAGTTTTACAAAATTTGCCACGGAAGGTAATTTTGGTTTTAATTTTCTTAATGTGTGCCCTACATCTGTGTAAGCTCCAGACCTCACAAAACCCAGATCTGCTCCTGATTATCTCATATTCCACATACTCTACTCACTTGTTTATTTGTTAGTATCTCTCTTCCTTCACTCCAATGTAAGCTTCATTTGGGCAGAAATGTTGTCTCATTCATTCACTGCTCAATTCCCAGTACCGCTGACCACATAGTAGAGGCCAACAATTTTTGTTGAATAAACAAGCGAGTAACCCCCAAAAGAATGACGCGCTTTCCTCTGTCTCTCCACATTTGCTCTGTCCTCTGATCAGAATCCCCTCTGCCCTCCCTTGAGTGGCTACTCACTCAAGACCTCTGTCAAGTGTCCAAGAATTGCCTGGGTAGAAGTGCAGAGATGAATTTCGGGAAGGATTTACAGCTGCCCACAGTGCCTATTTCCCTTTCCAAGTATGATTTCTTAAATGTGCCTATTTTGGTTTAACTTCTTATTTTGAGTTTTTTGGATACAACTAGAACAAGCACAATAAATAATCATCTATCCACCGTCTAAATACAATTGTTAGGCCAGGCACGGTGACTCACACCTGTAATCCCAACACTTTGAGAGGCCGAGATGGGCAACTCACGAGGTCAGGAGTTCGAGACCAGCCTGGCCAACATGGTGAAACCCCAACTCTATTAAAAATACAAAAATTAGCTGGGTGTGGTGGCCCAGGCCTGTAATCCCAGCTACTCGGGAGGCTGAGGCATGAGAATTGCTTGAGCCCGGGAGGCAGAGGTTGCAGTGAGCTGAGAACATGCCATTGTAGTCCAGCCTGGGCAACAGAGCGAGACTCCTTCTCAAATAAATAAATAAATAAATAAAGTTGTTGATCTTTCACCATATCATTTAACATGTATAAAGATAACACATTTTGCATATAAAATATGCATGAAATAAGATATATTTATTTATTTATACATGTACATATAAAATTTTTATTGATGTAAAACAATTTCTTGTATTTCTTGACTCATAGCTCGGCTGGGCATGTCCTCTGCTGGACTTGCTCATGTGGCTGCAGTCACCTAGAAGCTCATCTGGGCTGGAAGGTCCAAGAGGGACAAACTCCCATGTGCAGTGAGTGGTTGGTGCTGCTGTTGGCTGGGTGCCTCAGTTTCCCTCTGTCGCAGTCTCAGGGGAGGTTCCATAGTGGGAAGGTAAAAGCACAAAGCCTCTTAAGGCTTCGGCTCACACAACATCACTTCTGCCATGTTTTTTTGAAATTGGTTTTATTGAGGTATCATTTACCATGAAATTCATTCACTTGAAGGGTACAATTCAATGATATTTTTGGTAAATCTACAGAGATGTGCAACCATCACCACAATGCGGCTGTAGAACCTTTTCTTCACCCAAAAAGATACCACATGCCTATTAGTAGTAAATCTCCATTTCTACCCTGAGCTTCTGAGCAACGACTAATCTACTCACCATCTTTAGAGATTTGTCTTTTCTGGGCAGTTCTTATAAATGGAATCATAGAATATGTTGTCTTTCGCATCTGGATTCTGGCTTCTTTTACTTAGCATAATGTTTTTGAGGTTCATCCATAGTTTCTTTCTATGGCAGAGTAATGTTTCATTGTATGAATAGATCACATTTTCTTTTTTGATTGTTTGTTTTGTTGTTGTTGTTGTTGTTGAGACAGAATTTTGCTCTTGTTGCCCAGGCTGGAGTGCAATGGCACGATCTCAGCTCACCGCAGCCTCCGCCTCCCGGGTTCAAGCGATTCTCCTGCCTCAGCTTCCCAAGTAGCCGGGATTATAAGCATGCACCACCACACCTGGCTGATTTTATATTAATTGTAGTGACGGGGTTTCTCCATGTTGGTCAGGCTGGTCTCGAACTCCCAACCCCAGGTGATCCGCCTGCCTCAGACTCCCAAAGTGCTGGGATTACAGGCGTGAGCCACCACGCCCGGCTGGATCACATTTTCTTTATTCATCTGCCAGTTGATGGACATTTGGATTGTTTCCAGTTTTTGATCATTACAAATAATGCTACTATGAGCGGGGTGCAGTGGCTTACACCTGTAATCCCAGCACTTTGGGAGGCCAAGGCAGGTGGATGACCTGAGGTCGGGAGTTCAAGATGACCTGGCCAACCTGGTGAAACCCCATCTCTATTAAAAATACAAACAAAAAAAACAGCTGGGTGTGGTGGCACATGCCTATAAATCCCAGCTACTCGGGAGTCTGGGGCAGGAGAATCATTTGAACTCAGGAAGCGGAGGTGGCAGTGAGCTGAGATCTTGCCACTGCACTCCAGCCTGGGTGACAGAGTGAGACTCCATCTCAAAAATAATAATAATAATAATAATGCTACTATGAGTATTCATATACAAGTCCTCGTGTTCACATATATTTTCTCTTGGGTAGATACCTAGGAACGGAATTGCTGGATCACATACTGGAAACATTAATTATTTTCCAGAGAGGCTGTACTATTTTACATTCTCACCAGTAATGAAAGTTAATCTAGTTTCTGTACATCGTCCCATCTCTTTTATTCTAGAACAGACTCCATCTCCCCAATTATTTTCATGAAATTAAGTGTTTTAGGCGACCTGGCTAGTTGCATTGCATTAGTTGGTGCAAAAGTAATTACCACTTTTGCCATTGCTCGGTTTTGGACTTGCTTATGTGGCAGTCCCATAGAAGGTTGTCTGGGCTGGAATGGCCACATGAGCAAGTCCAAACCAACTAATGGCAAAAACCGCAATTACTTTTGCACCAACTAATACAGTCTCCCACATTCCAGGTTTGACTTTATTTCTTTGTGATATTGTTTGGCTTGTTTCTCTATCCCCTGTATTTCCAGGAATTGGAAGTAAGATGTAAAGGCTTCCTCTTATTCAGGTTAATATTTACATCAAGAATCATATACTGCCTGACTGGTCCACTATTAGTAATTTTTAAATTGATTTGCTACGTTGGGGTAGTAAAAGCCAGATGTCTCCATTTCAAAGGTATTTTGCCCTTTGCAATTAGCAAGTAACGCATGGGAAAATGCCATGCCTATTGCCAAAAAAAAAAAATAGGAGGGGTGTCTTAGATAACTTACAACATATTAAAACTGACAATGACAATTGAAATTAAACATGGGCCAGGGACTCAAAAATGAGGACTCATACCTATAGTGCCAGCTGCTCAGGAGGCTGTGGTGAGAGGATCACTTGAGCCCAGGAGTTGGAGGCCATAGTGAGCTATGATCATGCTACTGCAGTCCAGCATGGGCGACAGAGCAAGACCCTGTCTAAATAATAATAATATTATTATTTTAAAGAACCATATGTGTACTTAGCATCTGTTAGGAATCAAGCAGTACAACTGAGCACTCATTTGGCCCTGAATTTTCTGATAACCAAAACAATAAAGCAAAGATATTTAGTTAGAGGGCCAGGTGCAGTGGCTCACACCTGTAATCCTAGCATTTTTGGGAGGTGGAGGCAGGCAGATCACCTGAGGTCAGGAGTTCAAGACCAGCCTGGCCAACATGGTGAAACCCCATCTCTACTAAAAATACAAAAATTAGCCGGGCATGGTGGCAGGGGCCTGTAGTCCCAGCTACTCAGGAGGCCGAGGCAAGAGAATCGCCTGAACCCAGGAGGCGGAGGTTGCAGTGAGCCCAGATCGCACCTCTGCACTCCAGCCTGGGTAACAGCGAAAGTCTGTCTCAAAAAAAAAAAGATATTAAGTTAGAGGTCTCACTTCCAACTGGAATAAGGTACATGAATTGTTTCATAAAAGTGAACTGGACTTCAGCAGGAATTTCTCACAGGGATGCTTATATAAATACCTCAAATAAGATAGTGAATAATTATTCTAATGAGTATGAAAGCCCAGACATTTGTATACCTTCACTAAGGAACCAGCCTTCTGTATCTGAAAAGAACGACCTCCTCCACCAAACATCCAGTTTCATGAGGCAGACCCCAAAGAGTGAGAAAAGGAGATACCTGTCATTCCTGCAGGATCAATTAAAGCAGCTTTAGTAACTAGTAAAATGACAGACATTACAAGCAATTTCACCTAACAGTGTTTTTTTGGTTACTTTTATATTGATATTTCTAAGGGAAATAGGACTACACACACACACACACACACACACACACACACACACACAGACAGTCAAAAAATATTTCTAGGATGGGCGTGGTGGCTCACACCTATAATCCCAGCACTTTGGGAGGCCGAGGCAGGTGGATCACCTGAGGTCAGGAGTTCGAGACCAGCCTGGCCAACATGGCGAAACCCCGTCTCTACTAAAAATACAAAAATTAGCTGGGCATGGTGGCACACGCCTGTAATCCCAGCTACTCGGGAGGTTGAGGCAGGAGAATCGCTTGAACTCAGGAGGTGGAGGTTACAGTAAGCCAAGATCACACCACTGCACTCCAGCCTGGGTGACAGAACAAGACTCTGTCTCAAAAAAAAAACATTATTTCTGATCACCTAATATATTACAGTCAGATAACAGATACCCTAGAACACCAGACAAATATAACTCCCACGAATCTTCTTTCACATTAAAATTATTCCTTTCTCTCTCTTTCTCCCTCCCTGTCTCACCAGATGTCACAAGCAAACTTCTGTCAAATGCTGAGTTGCAACCAACTCAGTGGTGAGTGAGTAAATGCCAGTCTTCTGTGTTGTGAGTAGAAGAAAACACACATGTCTTAGGCCCCAGACATGCAGATGGCAGGACTGCAAGTGCTGGGAAAATGGAGGAACGTGATTTATTTTCTTGCCAGAGACAAGCCTGTCCTGCTTCCTCAGGGGTGCCGCCAGAACCAATTATTTCTCTCAAAAAACAGCTTTGGATCCGCTCAGAAACTCAAAGAGAAGGGCTTTGTTGATAAATCCATATCATAAAACATGGAAGAAACAAATTTGTCTTCAAAGTGCTAAAAGTATAGGTTTTAGAGTCCAGACAAACTGAATTTCAGCTTTATTACTCACTAAGTAGCCCAGAGTTACTAATGTCCCAAATTTTCTGCTTCCACGTCTTTGAACCAGGGACCGCACCTATCCCCCAGAGTCATTTTGAAGAATAAAGAAGATAAGGTACAGAAAGTGCCCAGCACAGTGTGAGCGCTTCAAAGATGGCAGCTCCTGCGCCCCAGAGCTCCCAGCGCCTTTCGTCAGCCCAACGGGTGGAGCTTGCACAGCAGGAAGACCTCAGGAGGTAAGACAGTGGCTGTTTGTGAAAAGCTGAGCAAGCACTTGACATAAACTCTGCTAAAAGCTGGGCTGGAGAAAGGCTTAGGACTGAGGGTAGTGGAGCTTTCCACTGCTTTCTCCATAAATATCTGCCATTTCACCTGCAAATCTTAGGGTAGATGGAACTATTGCCGCCTAAGGAAATCCCAATGCACAGTGCATTCCTACTGCCAGAGCAAAGGGCAACATAGCACGAGGGAGTCACACACCTTCCACTGGCCCAGGCCCCAGCTCCGAGAGGACTTTGGCCATTTAGCCTGTGGCTGGGGCAGGAATGCAGACCAAGCTGCTGCAAAAGTGGGAAGTGAAGGAGGAAGGGTGAAGTCTTGGGCACAGTAATCTCACTGATGAGTAAAACCTGCCTCTGTGAATATTCTAGGCTCACAATCAAACTAATCACTCCTTTTCCCAGAAGAAAGAGAGAGAGGGGCTGTACCTGCTTCCTCCAACACTGGCCAGAGTGGAGAGGAAGTAGAAGGCCCTCATCTGTGAGCTGTGGTGGAAATGAGGTAGAAGGGCCTGACCCTAGCAGTCCCTCTGGCCATTAAAGGATTCCTGATGGCCTCAAAGCCCCTGGGTTTTCAGTACATTGTGTATTAGTGAGTTTATTAGAATTATTTAGTAATGCCGCCAGGCGTGGTGGCTCACACCTGTAATTCCAGCACTTTGGGAGGCCAAGGCGGGGTGGATCACCTGAGTTCAGGAGTTCGAGACCAGCCTGGCCAACATGGTGAAACCCTGTCTGTACTAAAAATACAAAAATTAGTCGGGCGTGGTGGTGGGCACCTGTAATCCCAGCTACTCGGGAGGCTGAAACGGGAGAATCGCTTGACCTGAAGAGGCAGAGGTTGCATTGAGCTGAGATTGCGCCACTGTACTCCAGTCTGGGCAACAGAGCAAGACCCTGTCTCAAAAAATATATATATATACAAAAATTAGCCAGGTGTGGTGGCATGTGCCTGTTATCCCAGCTTACTATGGAGGCTGAGGCATGAGAATCTCTTGAACCCAGGAGGCAGAGGTTGCAGTGAGCTCAGATCAGCCTGGCCAACATGGTAAAACCCCACCTCTACTAAAAATACAAAAATTAGCCAGGCGTGGTTGTTGGCGCCTGTAATCTCAGCTACTAGGGAGGCTGAGGCAGGAGAATCGCTTGAACCCAGGAAGCAGAAGTTGCAGTGAGCCAAGACTGCGCCGTTGCACTCCAGCCTGGGCAACAAGAACGAAACTCTGTCTCCAAAAAAAAAAAAAAAGAATTATTTAGCAATGGAAAGTGCTAACTCTTTGGGGATAGGAATAATTAGTATTGTTCTCTTTAAAGGCTGAAACTTGTTTTATACATGCAAAAACTTTGGCAGAGTTCTTTGTTCCTCAAGGAGAGTGTCATTAGCACTTGGGAGTGGTGGTGGGACAATACTGGCGGAGAATTTTAGCATCCCTGGTTCCAAGATACTAAAGGCCAGCTGTACCTCCCTATTCATTATGACAACCAGAAAGGGCCCCTGTGTGGTTCCAAATGTCCCTTGGAGGGTTAACCCCCAACCTTATTGAGAATCACTGGCTGATGGGCAGATGCGCTTGCTAAAAATAGTCAACAAGTATCAATTTATTTTTGTAGCTATTGGCTCATGATAAACAAGCCAAATGATTTTATGATATTTATTTTTCTATTTGCTACAGTCAGAGAGAATAAGTCCCATTTACGTAACAGTTTTACATATTTGATTAGCTAACGCATAAGACACTTAATATTGTGCTCAGCAAATTCTGAGCACTCAGACAGCTACAATTTTCCTTACTAGTACTATTATTAGTTATACTTGACTGTTAAATATTCGCTAACAGGAAGACCAAAAGTAGCAATAGTGTATACGATTTTGAACTCAAATTTCCCCTGAAAATGATTATTTTTATCTTTTCCAATTCCTACATTAGCACTCTCATCTCCCCAAGACTCAATTTCCTTACCTATAAGGTAGGGATGCTAGTAATGACACTGTGGGGTGATTAGGAAGCTTAGCTGAGATATATGTGTGAAGGATCAATGAAATCAATGAATGATAGCATCTAAACATACTTCCTCCTGGGTTATCTTAACAGGTATATGGGAAACCAGGTGGAGATAGGGGGAAGAAAAACAATCAAAGAACCTCAGATAGCTTCAAACATTTCTATGTAATGTAGGCCCAACCAATAATACACATTAATATACAATTAATGTGCATCCCAGTCACCTATAGGAAAACTTGTTAAAATGCAGATTCTGACTCCGTAGTTCTGATGGGGGGCACCTAAGATTCCCCATTTCTAACAAGCTCCCAAGAAGAGGCTTTACAGTCCAACAGAGCAGGATTTGCACCTGATTCAATAATAATTATGTGACAAGTTATCTTTGAAACTGTTTCCATATGAGTAAAATGGTGATAATAATACATGTGTTACATAATCAGTATGATAATTATATAATACAGCATATGTAAAGCAATTAGCATATTGTAGGCACTCAGTATAAGTTCTGCTTTCCCACCCAGAAGAAAACTACTAGAGTTTTAAAAAAGATTTATCAAAATAACAAAATTCCATTTCATGTTGGGTGGAAAAGTTACTCATGAGATTGGAAAAATGCCTACTTTTGCCTAACATTTTTATTATCATTACCTTACTCTTTGAATTAATAATGGTCAGATGCACTTTTGAAAAGCAACAATATTGAGGGACAGAATATATTTTAAAAAGAAAAATGATCACTTTTAATTTGGTCTAAAATAGTTACCTCAAAATGAAATAGGTAAAGAATGACTGATTATTAAATTGTCAATTTTTTTTTAAAAAGCAGCCCTTCATTTGATATATTAATATATAGTGTTATCGGCTCACGACAATAAATTTACTTGGCCAAATGGTTTTCATTTGAGTCAGACCAGTATTCCCAGAAAAATGGTCCATAGGTCCAGCCTCTGCACACCAGGATTCCTGTGGTTGAAAGTTAAAGCACTTCAGTGCCAATCCTAGTGCACATTTCCTAAAATTATTAAGCAAGTTAATGAGGGCTTAAGAGGTCGTCACATTTGTTCCAGAGATCTGAGAGTTCTAAACGCACAGCAAAAAGAAGTATGTGCATGTTAAAGCAGGCCAAATGGGACTAACCAGAAACGTGGACCAGGAGAAATAACATCTTCCTGATGTTAGGGAAGGTCAGCCTGGCCATCCCCACCACTTACTTTTCCAGAAAAGCGAATAAGGAAGTATCTAAAACTTTGGCTCAAGGGTGTTGTTTGGTTTGGCTTGGTTTCCTAAAATTGTTCCTTTGTAAACAGATCTGATTAAAGCCCGAGAGGAAGTTTAGAAGGTCACAATCTTTGCATTCACTTCCCCTCCTATCACATTTCAGAGAGGAAGTTTAGTCATGACGAAATGAATTCCTGCCTGGCATAGAGTCTCACAGCTGTAATCCCAACACTTTGGGAGGCCAAGACAGGAGGATCCCTTAAGCCCAGGAGTTCGAGACCAGCCTGGGCAACATAGCAAGACCTCATCACTAAAAAAATAAATAAATAAATAAATGAAATATAAGTAAATAAATAAGAACCTCATCATTTGCCCAGGGAGCTTGAAGGAAAGTGATTCCACAGTGGCTGCATTACTGTTACAACCAGGGTGAGAGAGGCCTTGGTCTCACCTGGACTGGTGGGCAACATTTGTAAAAATGGAGAGGAGAGAGGACAAAATAAAAAGTCATCCAGACGTACATGGTGATCTGACTGCTGGAATGAAATTAAGTAAGGGTTAAAATCTACTGAAAGAGCTGGATCGGGCCAGGCACAGTGGCTCATGCCTGTAATCCCAGCACTTCAGGAGACTGAGGTGGGCAGATCACTTGAGGTCAGGAGTTCAAGACCAGCCTAGCCAACATGATGAAACCCCATCTCTACTAAAAAAAAATAAAAATAAAAAAAAATACAAAAATAATTAGCCGGGTGTGGTGGCAGGTGCCTGTTAATCCCAGCTACTCAGGAGGCTAAGGCAGAAGAATCGCTTGAATCTGGGAGGCAGTGGAAGTTGCAGTGAGCCGAGATCGCGCCACTGCCCTCCAGTCTGCGTGACAGAGCGAGACTCCGTCTCAACAACAAAAAAAAGAGCTTGATGATTCACAAAGACAAATCTAAGGAGGAATTAATTCAAAGGGCTAAGTGGCTGGAGATAGCTATCAAAGAGCATGTCAAGGAAGTTCAGAGTTCATACAGATTTCCCACTTACGTGAGTATTCAAATAGAAATTGACAAGAAAACATTCACTGGGGGCCGGGCGCGGTGGCTCACGCCTGTAATCCCAGCACTTTGGGAGGCCGAGGCAGGTGGATCACGAGGTCAGGAGATCGAGACCATCCTGGCTAACACGGTGAAACCCCGTCTCTACTAAAAATACAAAAAATTAGCCGGGCGTGGTAGCGGGCGCCTGTAGTCCCAGCTACTCGGGAGGCTGAGGCAGGAGAATGGCGTGAACCCGGGAGGCGGAGCTTGCAGTGAGTCGAGATCGCGCCACCGCACTCCAGCCTGGGCGACAGAGCGAGACTCCGTCTCAAAAAAAAAAAAAAAAAATCCACTGGGAAATTTGACCGGGATCACATGACCTCCTGAGGGAGCTAATGTTACTAGGCTGTTTTCTGATGAAGAGTCTCATTAGAAACCATCCTAGGATAGATTGACAGGAAATTCTGCGACAGGGAAAAAATGCAAAAAAGTTTTGGAAAAAATGCCCAAAATACAAACTACCACTTCTTGCAAGTTAAAACGCAGGAAGAAACAGCGTTCCCTGCATTTTGTGCGCTCTGGACTTGGAGTCAGGTTTTGATTTTTCAAAGGATATCTGAGGGTTAGAACCACAGCAATTTACCAAACACCACATGTTCTCACTCATAGGTGGGAATTGGACAATGAGAACACTTGGACACAGGGTGGGGAACATCACACACCGGGGCCTGTCGTGGGCTCAGGAGACGGGGAGGGATAGCATTAGGAGATATACCTAATGTAAATGACGAGTTAATGGGTGCAGCACACCAACATGGTACATGTATACATATGTAACAAACCTGCACGTTGTGCACATGTACCCTAGAACTTAAAGTATAATAATAATAATAACAAGGAAAAAAAAAGAACCACAGCAATTTATCATAGCAACCAAGGTGGTGTGAAATGAGGCGGTAGATATAGGTTGGAGGTAGGTCCTGACCACAGAAAGAATTTCAGTTTTACCCTACATGCAATTGGAAAATTTTTAAATGTTAGAACTGCTTGGTTATTTTCCTTTTTTTTTTTTTTTTTTTTTTTTTTTTTGAGATGCAGTTTCGTTCTTGTTGCCCAGGCTGGAGTACAGTGACTGGTACATATTAGGCTTTCATAAAATATTTAGTGAATTAACGAAAGGGAGTAACGTAGCTGCAGGACAGATTTTTTTGTTTTGTTGTTGTTGTTGTTTTTGAGACGGAGACTCCACCTGTCGCCACGCTGGAGTGCAGTGGCGCCATCTCAGCTCACTGCAACTTCCAACTCCCTGTTTCAAGTGATTCTCCTGCCTCAGTCTCCTGAGTAGCTGGGATTACAGGCACGTACCACCACGCCAGGCTAATTTTTGTATTTTTAGTAGAGACAGGGTTTCACCATGTTGGCCAGGATGGTCTCCATCTCTTGACCTTGTGATCCACCTGCCTCAGCCTCCCAAAGTACTGGAATTACAGATTTGAGCCACTGCTCCCAGCCAGGATAGAAAATAACCAAGCAGGCTGGGCGCAGTGGCTCATGCCTGTAATCCCAGAACTTTGGGAGGCCGAGGCGGGCAGATCACCTGAGGTCGGGAATTCGAGACTAGCTTGACCAACATGGAGAAACCTCGTTTCTACTAAAAATACAAAATTAGCCAGGCGTGGTGGCACATGCCTGTAATCCCAGCTACTGGGAGACTGAGGCAGGAGAATCGCTTGAACCAGGGAGTCGGAGGTTGCAGTGAGCCGAGATTGTGCCATTGCACTCCAGCCTGGGCAACAAGAGGGAAACTCCATCTCAAAAAAAAAAAAAAAAATACTGTCCTGCAGCTACATCACCCCCTTTTATTCATTTGCTAAATATTTTATGAAAGCCTAATATGTACCAGTCACTGTTATAGACTATGAAAATAAACTGCTGGATAAGACACACAGGGCCACATCCACTGCTACCCTGGATGGTGTCTTTGTACAATTTTTTTAAAGATAGCCCTTCTGGTCAGAAAGTGGAGGCAGACTAGATTTGAGCCCACACACCCACCTCAGCTAGGTGTCCTTGCACAGTGCACAACCTGTACAAATATTTATATGTGCCTGAACAAATGACGACTTCAAGGGACATATGTTTTGATGGGAGCAGATAGACAACAACCAAGCAAAATCCAAGATAATTATAAAGGATGATGTGATCAGGAAAAACTACAGGGGAAACACTTTCATAGATAGGATGGTCCGTAAAGTTTCTCTAAGGAGATGGCAATTCAGCTGAGACAAGAAGTCCAAGAAGAAGCCAGCTGTGAAATAAGCAGTGAAAAGTATATGCTGGTAAATGAGAAGAGCCCGGGCAACGGCCTTGGAGCAGGAATGAGTTTGACATCTTTGAGAAACAGAAAGGAGGTTGGGTGTGGCTGTGTAGCAGGACGAGTCGCAGACAAAACTCCTCAGGCACCGGATTAAAGAAGGAAGAGGTTTTTACTTGGCCAGGAGCGTTGGCAGACTCGTGTCTTAAGAGCCGAGCTCCCCGAAAAAGAAATTCCTAGCCCTTTTAAGGGCTTACAACTCTAAGGGGTCCACGTGAAAGGGTCATAATAGATCAAGTAAGCGTGAGGAACGTGACTGGGGGTTACATGCATCAGCTAACAGAACAAAAAGTTTTACAGTTTTACAGTGCTTTCTCATACAGCGCTTTCTCATACAGTGCTTTCTCATTGTATGCTTTCTCATACAATGTCTGGAATGTATAGATAACACCAGTAGTTTTGGTCAGGGGTTATTATTATTATTATTATTATTATTATTTTAACCACCAGGGCCAGGTGTTGGCGCCAAGGTCGTCTAGCTATTTATCTTACTTCTGTTTCTTTCCAACTGTTTGCTTTCTCCCTTTTCTCCTGTCTTATAAACTAGGGGAAGGGGAGGTGGGGGAGAAGCTGGGAAGGACAACAGGAGAAGTGGTGGTCTCATTCCAGCTGGAGTGCCCTGACCAAGTAGAAGAGCAATATGGGATGAAGCTGGAAGTGGGTAAAATTCCCATGTTATGTGGGCTTTGATAAATTGCATGGCCTATGGGACATGAATTTAGAGATGCTCAGTGGGCATGGGTGTGGAATGACAGTGCACACAGTGACTTCACATGCATCAGCTTAAAAATGTCATTGAATCCCTGGGTGAGAATAATACTCCCTAGGGAAATATGGACTGTGGACAGCACCTTCAGGAAGGTTAAACTTCAAGAGGCATGATAGAGGAGTCAGTATAACATCAGAGAGTAAGAGCTCAACCTCTGAACACCAGTGTCTCTGGGTTTGAATCTGTTACTTTCTGTAGAACATGGACAAGTTATTTAACTTTTCTGAGTCATGGGCTCATCATGTAAAACGGAAATTTAAAGTACTGATGTCAAGAAGCCATTCAGAGGATTACACTATAAAATGTATGCAAACTATTACAGTGCCTGGCACTTAGGAGGGGCTCAGTAAATGGCAAACAAGAACTTACACAAACACACACATACACACTCGCATTTTCAAAAAAAAAACTGAAAAGGGATTTTTAAAGAGGAAGAATAAGAGTCTGGATAATAGTGTCACTGAAGCCAATTGAAGAGAGAGTTAAAAGATGAAGATATGGCTAGGCACAGTGGCCCACACCTGCAAGCCTAGCACTTTGCGAGGCTGAGGCAGGAGAATTGCTTGAGCCCAGGAGGTTGAGACTATGAACCCTGAACTCCTGGGCTCAAGAGATCCTCCTGATTCAGATTCCTGAGTATGTGGGACTACAGGCATGCACTGCCACAGCTGGCTAATTTTTCTTTTTTTTTTCTTTTTTTTTTTGTAGATGTGGGGTCTCCCTATCTTGCCCAGTTCATCTCAGGCTGCTGGGCTCAATGGATCCTCCTGCCTCAGCCTCCCAAAGTACTGGGATTATAGGCATGAGCCACCACACCTAGCCTATAGTTTTTAATCCACAAGTTTCTCATAAAGAAAATAAAATGACCATAAATGTAAAGGAACTGAGCTCTTGCAAGGAGTTTTTGAAGCTACTTCTTTGGAGGGTACATTTTTAGTCTGAAACTTTTCTGGAAAAAAAAAAGTAGGAGTTAAACAAAGGGAGTGGGTATCTGTAGTCCAAAGCCAGAGGCACTGTTATCTCTTTCCTTGAGGGTTCAGGGACTAACACAATGACAGAAAAACTCCCTCCCACTTCCGCTCTATTATCATTTTATATCATTTGTTTTGTGACAGAGCCTGTGTTGCAGACACCTTCTATGCCCATGGATAGGAAATTAACAATCCAAGGCCATTTTCAGAATTTTTTGTTCCAGTAACCCTTCTGAATCATACACCTGGCTCTCCAGTATTACCAATCAGCCATTTTAAAAATTATTTAGAGACAAAAGAGGCTGTCGTGGCTCATTGTAGAGTGACCCTGACTTCATCGCCACTCAACAAGTGCTGGAACATAAACAGCACACACATCAGATCAGTTTTATAACTATTCTGGGAAACACATGAGATAGGCCTGAATATGAAAATGAAGTCATTTTCAAGGTCACTGTTTCAATAAAGGAAAACCTAATTGAAGCAAGCTGATTGTAAGTAAGTTCTGACTAATAGCATGGGCCTTCTCTCTCCAACAGGCTGCATATGCCATAAATTATTCACATATGTGGATGAGTTATTCTGATTTTCATGATGAGATCCTGGCTACTGTGCCATGTTCAGCTCATCCTCAATTTATTCTAACAAAAGAGCTCTCTTACCCTGGTTAGGGCACCCTGTCCCCTGGAGAGATTGTTCTCTAATGTAAATAGAAGCCCATCTAGCAAGCTGCCTGGGTTCTCACGTCCCGCTGAGCCCGCTAACGGCACTGCCAGTTTTGACCACCAGGTGGCGCCCGCAGAGCTCCACAGACGCTGCACAGCTGTGAACTCAACTCCAGCCCTCAGGGAAGGCAGCTCGCAAAGACCTAGGGCAGCCCGCCGATTTCCCAAAAAGAGCACTGAGAACCCAGCAAGGTGAGGGCCTAGCCCAAACTACACTGCTAGTTTGGAGGAGACAGAACTATGCCTCCTGATATGGTTTGGCTGTGTCCTCACCCAAATCTCATCTTGAATTGTAGCTCCCAGAATTCCCACGTGTTGCTGGAGGGACCCGGTGGGAGATAATTGAATCATGGGGTCAGTTTCCCCCATACTGTTCTCGTGGTAGTGAATAAGTCTCACGAGATCTGATGGCTTTAGAAGAGGGTTCCCCCTTCCCTTGACTCTGTCTCTCTGGCCTGCCCGCCATGTAAGACGTGCCTTTCATTGTGAGGCCTCCCCAACCACGTGAAACTGTGAGTCCATTAAACCTCTTTTTCTTTATAAATTACCCAGTCTCAGGTATGTCTTTATCAGCAGCGTGAAAACGGACTGATACACCTCCTCACTGTCAAACCCAAGTTCATCCAGCCAAACCAAAGTGGTTTTCAAACCAGAAGCAAAAAACAAGCAACACCACTTTTTTTAGTCAAATTTTATTGATAAAATATACTTTTGTCACTGCCCCCATCCACCCCACCCACGCCCCCACGTCTCAACAAATGAAAATGGAGTCGCCCTGATTGAAAGAATCATTCCTGAGGCATCGCTGAAGAACCATCAGGTTCCTCAGAAGAGTTTGAAAATGATTGATGAGGCTAGGTGCAGCGGCTCACACCTGTAATCCCAGCACTTTGGGAGGCCCAAGGCGGGTGGACTGCTTGAGGCCAGGAGTTTGAGACCAGCCTGGCCAACATGGCCAGTAGAGAAACCCCATCTCTACTAAAAATACAAAAATTAGCTGGGTGCCTGTAATCCCAGCTACTGGGGAGGCTAAGGCAGGAGAATTACTTGAACCTGGGAGGCAGAGGTTGCAGTGAGCCAAGGTCCCACCACTGCACTCCAGCCTGGGCAACAGAGGGAGATTCTGTATCAAAAAAAAATAAAAAATAAAAATAAGAAAGAAGAAGAAAATGATTGATGGAGTGGAATAAACTCTGAGCCGGGAGCCCTCAAACATGCTTGTCGTATTGATATTCTCTCTGTGGTCATAATTCTCTTCCCTGTTGCATTTCCACCTCCTCCACAGCCTCTAAATCTCCCCTGGACTCTGCCAGGGCTCAGACACCTGATGTCCCCCTGACCTCTGAGTTTACGAACCCCAACCTGGATCACAGTTGAACCATGTGGCCACAGTCATGGGAGCACTGGAGATTCTCCAGCCCCTGGCCCTTCTGCCCCACCTCCCTGGCTAATGCCTTACCTTGGCTTCTTCCTGCTGCTGAGTTCTGCCAAAAAAAATAAAATAGTCACTAGTTGGTTCTGTTACAAAATTAATGGTTTCCAGCTTTAGCTGGGCCACTGACACTATGAACACCGCTTTGCAGCTCTAGTGGGTTTCTTTTTCCATGCCTCACAGAGATGACCTGGCCATCCAACCCATTCCTTGCTTCTATCACTGTTAACACAAAACTGAGTCCTCACTGCATGCCAGATATTATTCCAAAAACATCATAGGTACTAACTCCTTTAACCTTCGCAACAGTCCTACAGGGCAGAAAAAAATCCCCATTTTACAAATGAGAATCAGAAGAACAGAGATCAAAGGACTGAGAATGTGAGCCTAGGTCATCTGGCTGTAAAACCTATGTTCTTGGTCACCAGTGCCATGTGGCCTCTGGTGACTGTGCCTGAAGTGCCACTTAGAAAATAGAAGCTCTCTAGTTCTAGATCCCTGAGGAATCGCCACACTGACTTCCACAATGGTTGAACTAGTTTACAGTCCCACCAACAGTGTAAAAGTGTTCCAGCCATCCCATTACTGGGTATATACCCAAAGGACTATAAATCATGCTGTTATAAAGACACATGCACACGTATGTTTATTGCGGCACTATTCACAATAGCAAAGACTTGGAACCAACCCAAATGTCCAACAATGATAGACTGGATTAAGAAAATGTGGCACTGGCCGGGCGCGGTGGCTCACGCCTGTAATCCCAGCACTTTGGGAGGCCGAGGCGGGTGGATCATGAGGTCAGGAGATCGAGACCATCCTGGCTAACAAGGTGAAACCCCGTCTCTACTAAAAATACAAAAAATTAGCCGGGCGCGGTGGCGGGCGCCTGTAGTCCCAGCTACTCGGGAGGCTGAGGCAGGAGAATGGCGTGAACCCGGGAAGCGGAGCTTGCAGTGAGCCGAGATTGCGCCACTGCAGTCCGCAGTCCGGCCTGGGCGACAGAGCGAGACTCCGTCTCAAAAAAAAAAAAAAGAAAATGTGGCACATATACACCGTGGAATACTATGCAGCCATAAAAAATGATGAGTTCATGTCCTTTGTAGGGACGTGGATGAAATTGGAAACCATCATTCTCAGTAAACTATCGCAAGAACAAAAAACCAAACACCGCATATTCTCACTCATAGGTGGGAATTGAATAATGAGATCACATGGACACAGGAAGGGGAATATCACACTCTGGGGACTGTGGTGGGGTCGGGGGAGGGGGGAGGGATAGCATTGGGAGATATACCTAATGCTAGATGACACGTTAGTGGGTGCAGCGCACCAGCATGGCACATGTATACATATGTAACTAACCTGCACAATGTGCACATGTACCCTAAAACTTAGAGTACAATAAAAAAAAAAAAGAAAATAGAAGCTCTCTTGGCCCGGCTCAGTGGCTCACGCCTGTAATCCCAGCATTTTGGGAGGCCGAGGCAGGTGAATAACCCGAGGTCAGGAGTTGGCCAGCGCAGCCAATATGGTGAAACCCCATCTCCACTAAAAATACAAAAAATAGCTGAGCACGGTGACACCCACCTGTAATCCCAGCTACTTGGGAGGCTGAGGCAGGAGAATCGCTTGAACCTGGGAGGCGGATGTTGCAGAGAGTGGAGACCACACCATTGCACTCCAACCTGGGCGACAAGAGCAAAACTTCGTCTCAAAAAAAAAAAAGAAAGAAAATGAAAATAGAAGCTCTCAGGCATCAAGTCCCTCTATTTCCATCCCTTCTACCTAATTATTTAACCGTATCTCCATCCATCCTTTAAACCTTCCCATTCTACCTGTAATTTTGCTTCCAATTTCTCCAGAGTTCAGAGAACTTTCTCACCAATGATTCTTCCCTCATTCTTCTACTAAAACTGCTCCTATTAAAGGTTCTGATGAAACCTTGTTTGCCAGACCCAGTGGCTGTCCCTAGTCCTCGTCCTTTCAAACCTCAGAGGTGCTTTGTCACTGCTATATCCCTCTGCCGCAGCCTTTCCTCTTGCAGCTCATGTCATGCTATTCCCCTCCCATCTTCTACTTCTACAACAGGCATTCTCACTTGCTCTTTCTAAATGCAGGTGTTTGACGCCTTCCTCATACCATGTAGGTCAGAATCGCTAGCTGCATAGCCCAGGCATTAGCAGGTTTTCAAAGCTCCAAAAGTGAATTTTTTTTTTTTTTTGAGACAGAGTCTTGCTCTATCACCCAGGCTGGAGTGCAGTGCCACAATCTTGGCTCACTGCAACCTCTGCTTCAAGTGATTCTCCTGCCCCAGCCTCTCGAGTAGCTGGGATTACAGGTGTGTGCCATGATGCCTGGTTAATTTTTGTATTTTTAGCAGAGACAGGTTTCACCATATTGGCCAGGCTGATCTCAAACTCCTGAGCTCAAGCGATCTGCCCACCTCGGCCTCCCAAAGTGCTACAATTACAGGTGTAAGCCACTGTGCCCGACCTCAGATCAATGGTTCTTTTTTTTTTTTTTTTAAATACTTTAAGTTTTAGGGTACATGTGCACAATATGCAGGTTAGTTACATATGTATACATGTGACATGCTGGTGCACTGCACCCACTAACTCGTCCTCTAGCATTAGGTATATCTCCCAATGCTATCCCTCCCCCCTCCCCCCACCCCAGATCAATGGTTCTTAACCCTGACTGAGCAGCAAAATCACTTGTGGAGGCCGGGTATGGTGGCTCATGCCTGTAATCCCAGCACTTTGGGAGGCCAAGGCAGGCAGATCGCTTGAGCTCAGGAGTTCGGGGCCAGCCTGGGTAACATGACGCAACCCCATCTCTGCAAAACTTAGCCAGTGCGGTGGCGCGTGGCTGTAGTCTCAGCTACTCAGAAAGCTGAGGTGGAAGGATCACTTGAGCCGGGAAGCAGAGGTTGCAGTGAGCCAAGATTGCACCACTGGACTTCTGCCTGGGCAATAGAATCAGACCTTGACTCAGAAAAAAAAAAAAAAAGGAACCACTGATCTGAATAAGCCAGACACTGACAATAAATTCTGTATGAGTCCACTGAGGTACTGGAATAGTCAGATTCATAGAGACGGACTAAACGAACCTGCTCTTGGCCAAGAGAACCCCCGAGAAACCTTTTTTTCTTTTTTTCGTGGTGAAGTTTTGCTCTTGTTGCTCAGGCTGGAGTGCAATGGCGCGATCTCGGCTCACTGCAACCTCCACCTCCCAGGTTCAAGCAATTCTCCTGCCTCAGACTCCCGAGTAACTGGGATTACACGCATGTGCCACCACACCCGGCTAATTTTGTATTTTTAGTAGAGACGAGGTTTCACCTGTTGGCCAGGCTGGTCTCAAACTCCCAACCTCAGGTGATCCACCCACCTCAGCCTCCCAAAGTGCTGAGGTTACAGGCGGGAGCCACCGTGCCGGTGAGAAACCTAAAAAACTGAGTTCCCAGCCATGACAGAATGGGAGGGCAGGCACACCTCATTATATCCCTTCCCTTTTGCAGATTTGGCACAAAATCTGACCAGCATTCATGTTAAAATGGAGCTCATAATCCTGACACAATGGACTTTTTGTGGCAATAAGATACGACATTATAAACAGGACCTAAGGCCATGCATGCCAGGCAAGGATTAAGTCATGTACTCCCTAGAATTAAAGAATAAACTATGTTCCCACTGCCATCAGGGTTTTCTTTTTCTCTAGCAGCTAAACAAGCACTGGCCTTGAGATGAGCAATGTTGAAGCAGTTGCAGCTCAGCCACCATCAGACACTTAGACCGACTCCTCGTTCCACCAGCCATCACTACAGCTTTGACTGGACCAGAGACTGAGTTCTGTTACTTTCTCCTGATAAGAGGCCGCCAACTGTGGACTGGTTCTGGCCAGTTTACAGAAGCTGTGCACTTGAGAGGCTTCATGTCCCTGCTTCACCTTTTGATGTATAGGCCCTAATTGTAATACATTTAAATGTTAAGTCTCCGCTCCAAAGTGAACATGGGTCACATGTAACATGCACGTTTGCTACATGCTTCAGGACCCCTTTCATGAACATTCATAGCTCCTCCTGTAACCTGTTGAATATGTATGTTTGGCCAACCCCCTCAGCATAATTCCCGTCTCCCTTGAAAAACCTGCCTTTCAGCCTCTCCCAGAGGCTATACTTCCCAACCTGTCAGAACGGCCACCTTGCAGGCTGTAATCCTTTATTAAAAAAAAAAAAACAACCAAGTCTCCTTCTAAATTTTTTTTTCTTTCTTTCTTTCTTTTTTTTTTTTGAGATAGGATCTTGCTCTATGACCCAGGCTGGAGTGCAGTGCAATCATACTTTACTGCAGCCTTGAAATCTTGGGCTCAAGCAATCAATCCTCCCACCTCAGCCTCCGGAGTAGCTGGGACTACAGGCACACGCCACCCAGCTATTTTTATTTTATTTTTTGTAGAAATGGGGGTCTTTCTATTTTGCTTAGGCTGACCTCAAAATCCTGGGCTCAAGACATCCTCCCACCTCAGCCTCCCAAAGTGCTGGGATTAAAGGTGTGAGCCACCATGCCTAGCCCTCCTTTCTAAATTTACAAATCCTGTGCTTTTTCAGTTGATCCCAGGGACCTGCAGGTTTCTTTGCTATCACTATTTCCTCCGCCTGAAATGACCTCTTCGGCCTTCTTTCCTAGCTAATTCCTGCTCATCCCTTTGGCTCAGCTCAGGGCTGGGGCTGGACTAAGTGGACACTCCGCATTCTCTCTCTCTCGGGAATCTCATTTGTTCCACAGCTTCAGCTCTTATCTACATGTTATTGATTCCCAAATCTATCTCCAGCCCTGGCAGTGCTCCTGAGTTCTGCCTCCCATTGACACTTCCACTGGCTTTCCCTCAAACACCTCAAACCCAACATGCCCAGCACTCAAGTAATCATTTCCCCCTTTGCTATCCTGCTTTTTCTCCTGTGTTTTCTATTTCAAAGACTAGCATCATCACGTATTGTCTGTCTAGTACTTAGAACAGTGCCTAATAGCTACAGTTTTCTCTTTTCCAGAATGTCATATAAATATAGTCATACAAAATACAGCCTTCTGGCCAGGCGCAGTGGCTCATGCCTGTAATTCCAGCACTTTGGGAGGCTGAGGCGGGTGGATCACCTGAGATCAGGAGTTCAAGACCAGCCTGGCCAACGTGGTGAAACCCCGTCTCTACCAAAAAATACCAAAAATTACCTGGGTGTGGTAGCAGGTGCCTGTAATACCAGCTACTCGGGAGGCTGAGGCAAGAGAATCACTTGAACCTGGGAGGCAGAGGTTGCAGTGAGCCAAGATCACACCATTGCACTCCAGCCTGGGCAACAGAGCAAGGCTCCGTCTCAAAAAAAAAAAAAAAATGAAAAATTCCAGAAATAAACAATTAATAAGTTTCCCGCGCTGTTCTGATAACCAGGATGAAATCTCTCGCTGTCCTGTTTCCTCCTGCTTGGGGCTGGTTGTGAATCATCCCTTTGTCCAGTGTCTCCATGCCGTCTACACTACCTGCCCATCAATCACTTAGTAGCTGGCCCAGTTATCAGATCAACTGTCACGGTATTGAAGAGTGTGTGCTCATGTAAGTTTTTTTGTTGTTTTTTTGGGGGGGGTCCAGATTTATAATTTAATGGCTGTGCAGCTTCCAGTCCCTCATTTCTGCTGCTCACGGGCCCACTGCTCTGGGGTCAGGGTTTTCTGTTCAAAGGCATGGATGTGTGGGAGCTCTTCTGCTAGGCACGCATTCACCAGCTGGTGTCTCTGAAGCAGCAGCTGACACCACCAGGACTCGGAAGCTACAGGTTGAAGGTCGTGTCCTCCACCTCCACATGCTCCGCCTCCAGGTCCCGCTGCAGCTTCTCCTGGAGGTAATTGGCGCTGAGTTCCCTGGCGGTAGTCCAGCTGGGGCGGCAGCCCAGCGGGGACAGAACCCCAGCTCGGACCCCTGCCACGCTGCTTTGCGCCCTTACAGGAGCCACTTCCCTCACGTAAGCTTTCTTTGACTTAATGATGGCATCAAAGCACAAGGGTAGGGATGCTGGCATATTGTTAAAATTGTTCGATTTATCACTAGTTATTGTTGTTGATCTCTTCTGTGCCTCATTTATAAATTAACTTTTATCATAGGGATATGTGTGTGTCTATATCTACAAAAAACCGCAGTATCTATAGAGTTTGGTACTGTAGCGATTTCAGGCATCCACTGGGGATCTCAGAATGTATTCTTCACAGACAAGGAGGGACTACTGTATTATTATATGGAGGTTAACCACACTATTAGCAATAGAATTATAATAAAAACTTTCAAAAACATGGCGAAGCTGGTAATAATGTGCCTAACATCCTACAGCACCTCCCTATTGTCGACAGAAAGAGTCAAACTTTCTAAAATATGTGAAGAGTTTTATTCTGAGCCAAATATGAGTGACCATGGCCCATGAGACAGCCCTCAGGAGGTCCTGAGAACATGTGCCCAAGGTGGTCGGGGTGCAGCTTGGTTTTATACATTTTAGAGGGGCATGAGACATCAATCAAATACATTTAATAAATACATGGGATTGGTCCAGAAAGGTGGGACAGCTCAAAGCTGGGGCTTCCAGGCTATAGGTGAATTTAAACATTTTCTGGTTGACAATGAGTTTACCTTGTCTGAAGACCTGGGATTGGGCTGGGCGCAGTGGCTTATGCCTGTAATCCCAGCACTTTGAGAGGCTGAGGCAGGCAGATCACGAGGTCAGGAGTTCGAGACCAGCCTGACCAACACAGTGAAACCCCATCTCTACTAAAAATACAAAAATTAGCTGGGCATGGTGGCGGGCACCTGTAATCCCACCTACTTGGGAGGCTGAGGCAGGAGAATCGCTTGAACCTGAGAGATGGGGGTTGCAGTGAGCCGAGATCATGCTACTGCACTCCAGCCTGGGCAACAGAGCGAGACTGTGTCTCAAACAAACAAACAAACAAACATCCAAAGTGGCCGTCACTAAATGCTAATAAACACTAGAGGGCACAATTGAGTTGTGGAAAATTTCAGCCAATATTGCAAATGAAACAAGGTATGGACTCTAGCAAAAATTAATACACCAGAAAAATGGGTAGTGAAAATCATAAGCTTTGAAAACAATTGCTTTCTTTGTAAATCTGTTGATTAACCTTAGCCCTTTGAGATAATTGAATTAAAGTAGACTTAACACTTTAAATTTAATACCAAGCCAATACTGTATTCCAAAAATAAAGCATAGATACATTGACAAATAGGACTACTTACATCAAAAAACTAGTGGGGGTGTTCTCAGTGTTAAGAGTCAGTTTCTGTCTGAATTTTTCTTTCTTTAGATATTCCTGTCTTCTGGCAATGACGGTTTGGCCATGGAATTCACACTCATTCTAAGCTGGCCACTTGAGAAAGCTTGAAATTTCTAAGGTTTTGTTATTGTAAGAGGTGACCAGATGTTCCAAACATCAAGCTATACAGGAAGCTCTCCACCCACTCCAAATGTCATGCTGAGTTCTCAACAGACTTCCGTTTCCCGTTTCCTTTTTCCCCTCTCTCTGATTTTTTTCTTCAAAGTCTATTCAAAAGCTGCTGCCAAAACCATCTTCCTCTATTGTTGTTCTGATGACATCATTCCCTTCCCCAGCTCCCCTTGTCTTTGGTCTCATGACCACAGTTTGCCTTCATTTCCTTGGGCTGCCACTGTGCCTGCCTCTACCTCCTTTCCCCCTGATTTCCCGCTGCTTCTCACCAACTGTGACGCAGGATTATCACTGCTGATGTCCCAGTGCTGAGGTATCTATTATCTTCTAACAAAGAAGAGTATTCCCATTCCACTACCCAGACTTTCCCAGGTCTCTTCTAAACTCATTTTATTTATGTATTCATTGCTCACGAGTATACTAAGCACCTTCTGCATGTGTTCTAGGTACTAGAGGAGAGAGAGAGAGAGAGAAGAAGAAAAGACATAATCTTTTTTTTCTCTCTTTATGCCAGCTGCTCTGGCCAGCTTAAAAAAAGACAATCTTTAAGATCAAAATTGCCAGGAAGCCATTTAAGTTGGGGCTTTTGGAAACCAACTAGAACTTACTCTCCCTTAGAACCTGAAGGAATGAGTAGCAGGAGAAAATTATACAATGATACAAAATAACTATACCATTCGGGATAGTAGATTTGGGATAATTCTAATCATTTCATCACCTTGAGACAGGGTCTTGCTCTGTCACCCAGGCTGGAGTGCAGTGGTAGAATCACAGCTCACTGCAGCTTCAACCTCTCGGGCTCACGCGAGCCTCTCACCTCAGCCTCCCAAGCAGCTGGGACTACAGTCATGTACCACCACACCCTGCTAATTCTTTTTCTTGCCCAAGCTGGTCTCAAACTCTTGAGCTCAAGCAGTCCGCCTGCCTCGGCCTCCCAAAGTGCTGCAAGTACAGGCTTGAGCCACCTCGTTTGGCCTCTAGCTCAGTAATTAATCTGACACTTGGTGACTGGCATACTGGTTTGCATTTCTCATTCCTCAGTTTCCTCGCCTGTAAAATGGGGGTAGTGACATCTACCTATTCATCTTTTAAGATTGTTATACGGATCAAATGTGATAATAAAATAATTTGAAAAATATAAAGTATTATTTGGCATAACGTAATATTATATTTGTGCCACTGAAATCTAAATATGTCATGATGCAAACATACTGTATATTTTATTGATTGAGTCAACCATCATGTCTTGTTTAGTTGTTCATAGAAACTATTTTAGAATGAAAGGTTAAAAAGGCAACATAATTAAGAAACACAAAGGAAAAGAAGACATTTGACTTCTGCTATTATAACTTCTCCAAAGTTTCATTTCAAATCAAATAAACATTTTTGCATAAATAAAACTTAGTTGTTCTTAAACTTTGTATATTAAAAATATACAGATTTTCGGCCAGGCGTGGTGGCTGATGTCTGTAATCCCAGCACTTTGGGAGGCTGAGGCGGGTGGATCACCTGGGATCAGGAGTTCGAGATCAGCCTGATCAACATGGAGAAACCCCATCTCTACTAAAAACACCAAATTAGTCAGGCGTGGTGGTGCATGCCTGTAATACCAGCTACTCGGGAGTCTGAGACAGGAGAATCGCTTGAAGCCGGGAGGTGGAGGTTGCGGTGAGCCTAGATCACGCCATTGCATTCCAGCCTGGGCAACAGAGCCAGACTTCGTCTCAAAAAAAAAAAAAATATATATATATATATAATATATATATACACACACACACAGATTTTCTTATAGGGCTACAGAATTTAGATACATAACTTATGTTTTTCTCAGAGACAACAATACTAAATATTCTTTTTTTTTTTTTTTTTTTTTTTTTGAGACGGAGTCTCGCTCTGTCGCCCAGGCCGGACTGCGGACTGCAGTGGCGCAATCTCGGCTCACTGCAAGCTCCGCCTCCCGGGTTCACGCCATTCTCCTGCCTCAGCCTCCCCAGTAGCTGGGACTACAGGCGCCCGCCATCGCGCCCGGCTAATTTTTTGTATTTTTAGTAGAGACGGGGTTTCACCGTGTTAGCCAGGATGGTCTCGATCTCCTGACCTCATGATCCACCCGCCTCGGCCTCCCAAAGTGCTGGGACTACAGGCGTGAGCCACCGCGCCCGGCCCTAAATATTCTTAAAATTTTTATCACATGCTTACTACATACCAGGCACTATACTAGGAATTGAAGACAGGAATGTAAATGAGGCTGGGCGTGGTGGCTCATGCCTGTAATCCCAACACTTTGGGAGGCCAAGGCCTGAAGATCACTTGAGCCCAGGAGTCTAAGACCAGCCTGGGCAACATGGAGAAACCACTCCTCTACAAAAAAAAAAAAAAAAAAAAAAATATATATATATATATATACACACACACACATATATATCCATATATATATGTATATATATACATATATATATATATATATATACGTATATATATATATATAAAAATTAGCCAGGCATGGTGGCACGCGCCTGTAGTTCCAGCTGTTCAGGAGGCTGAGGTGAGAAGATTGCTTGAGCCTGGGAGGTCGAGGCTGCAGTGAGTCGAGATCACACCACTGCACTCCAGCCTGGATGACAGAGACCCTGCCTCAAAAAAAAGAGAAAACAGAAATGTAAGTGAATGGTTTCTGCAATGCAGGAGTATCACAACTCAATATTTGGAAAGACTATTTATCTGATAAAATCAAAGAAGTAGTAGTGGTATGCCGTATTTATTAAATGCATTAATATTTCCTATTAGCCAGGTGCGGTGACTCACGCCTGTAATCCCAGCACTTTGGGAGGCCAAGGTGGGCAGATCACCTGAGGTCAGGATTTCAAGACCAGCGTGGCCAACATGGTGAAACCCCATCTCTACCAAAAACACAAAATTAGCCAGGGGTGGTGGCACGTGCTGGTAATCTCAGCTACTCGGGAGTCTGAGGCAGGAGACTTGCTTGAACCCGGGAGGCAGAGGTTGCAGTGAGGTCAGGCAACTGCACTCAAGCCTGGGTGAAAAAACGAGTCAAAAAAAAAAAAAAAAGAGGGAGACAGAGAGAGAGAGAGAGAGAAGGAAGGAAGGAAGGAAGGAGGGAGGGAGGGAGGGAAGGAAGGAAGGAAAGAAAAGAAAGAGACAGAAAGAGAGAGAGAGAGACGAAAGAAAGAAAGAAAGAAAGAAAGAGAAAGAAAGAAAGAAAGAAAGAAAAAGAAAGAAAGAAAGAAATCTTCCCGACTGCCTTCAGTGTGAGACACTGGCTTTTTCCCTGACTTCATTGGCTTCCTGGTTTTCAGGCCTTCAAACTCTGCCTGGACCTACCCTACCTGCTCTCCTGGGTCTATAGCTGTTGACTCACCCTACAGATGCTGGGACTTCTCAGCTGCCATAATCATGTGAACCAATTCCTTCTCATAAGTGTCTTTCTATGTATATTACATCCTACTGGTTCTGTTACTCTGTAGAAGGTAATGTTCACCCGAGAAAATTTCCAAAAAGCAACGGAGAATGAAGAAATAAGGATTCTGTAACATTTCATCATTCATGTCTGAATAGAGTAAAAACAAATGGTTGAGGCCCGGCATCGTGGCTCACGCCTGTAATCCCAGCACTTTGGGAGGCTGAGGTGGGCAGATCATGAGGTCAGGAGTTCGAGACCAGCCTGATCAATATGGTGAAACCCTGTTTCTACTAAAAATACAAAAATTAGCTGGGTGTGGTGGCACATGCCTGTAATCCCAGCTACTCAGGAGGCTGAGGCAGGAGAATCGCTTGAACCTGGGAGGCAGAGGTTGCAGTGAGCCAAGATCGCGCCATTGCACTCCAGCCTGGGCGACGGAGTGAGACTCTGTCTCAAAAAAAAACACAAATGGTTGATTACAGTCATAATACTATCACCTACCCATTGTTTGACCTTGAGAAATTCACTTACTCTATCTGAGATTCATTCATTCATTCATTCAACAAATACTTACAGAATACCTTTTCTGTACCAGGCACTGAAAGTACCGTGTTAGGCACCAAAGGTATCAAGGTTGATAAGATGAAAGTCCCCACCCTTCAAGGAGTTCAGTAGAGTGCGACCTGGAGGCATTTGATAGAAAAATTAATGTTCAAATTGTAAGAGCTGTAAATGTTGAATCATCAAGGGCCCTTATCTCCTACTCTACCCCCATACGAATCCTCTACTTCTGGCATAATGGAGCACTCTATTTCATGCACATTTACTCAAACTGAAACTCTGCCTCTGCTCTCATCTTCCTTTTCTGGAATGCCTTTCCGGAGCTGTCTCTCCTGATTATCCCACTGCCTTTTCAAAGCTCTTGTCAGTTGCCTCCACCTACTAAGATCCCTACTGTAAATTCCCAAAGATTTAATTTTCTGTACTCCTCATTAGCATTTATCAAATATAAGCTACTATTCATGTTTGTATATAATATTCTATCAAGCTTCTTAAGTAGGATATGTTCTTATATTTCATTGTTTCATCCCGTACAGTAAGCATGCCTTGAGTGACAATAATGATTTTCCGTTACTGACTCAGTATGAGAAACTGGGGAGTCACTTTGTTGCAATGTCCTGAGTTTTCAAAGGCTACACAATGAGGAAAATACTTGATAACAGGAATATTATCTAAAATATTTTTGTCTTCCAAGAAGGATAAAAAGAGCAAGTAAGTTACAGAGAAAAATAATTTGTTTAGAAAAAATAATTCGTTTATAATGTTATTATGACAAAAAGAAATTAACATAAATTGCTGAGATTAAAAATCTCCTATTAATGGCAAATATCCAAAAATACTCCTTTATGTAAGAATTCTAATCCATAATCAAAAATCAAATTCCAACTTTTGGAAAAGGCATAAGCCGTATACTACATGCAATTGAAATTTTTTTTTTTTTTGAGACAAAGTCTCACTCTGTGGCCCAGGTTAGAGTGCAGTGGCATGATTTCAGCTCACTGCAGCCTACCCCTCCTGGGTTCAAGCGATTCTTCTCTCTCAGCCTCTCGAAGCTGGAATTACAGGCGCCTGCCACCACACCTGGCTACTTTTTGTATTTTTAGCAGAGACAGGGTTTCGACATGTTGGTCAGGCTGGTCTCAAACTCTTGGCCTCAGGTGATCTGCCCGCCTCAGCCTCCCAAAGTGCTGAGATTATAGGTGTGAGCCACCTTACCCGGCCACAGTTGAAATTTATTGATATGTGGTTAAGGAACTGAGCTCTGTAAGAAAAACTGCAGGGCTGGGAACACCTTTTTAATCCGTGGAGGCAATGGAGAAAAGTGATTATGAATCAGATTCCTTATAACTGCACAAACTTGCACATATTAGTTAGCATTGCTAAGCCCCACTTTTCTCATCTTAAAAATTCATAAATTAAAATTTTATTCTGCTTTTGGTTGGCATAAATTGAAAAGTGTATTTCTCACAAATGGGATGTTTCTGACTCCCAGGGGATTTTAATTTCATTACTAAATTTATAGGACTTTGTGAGGGATTAATGAGTTATGATGATGTAAAATACTAGTAATTTGCCTGGCTTTTAGTAATTGTGAAAAAAGTGGTATCTACCTTCGAAAATAAACGAACAGAAAGCTTGTATGTGGCTAGGCACACTAAATTCTTCATAGCGGTTCTGCATTATTTCTGCTTGGCTAAAATCTCTGTTAAATGTGTTCTTCCTATGCCTTGAAAGAACTTCTAATCTGATTTTTCCAAAGTAGATTTTACAGGCTGAAAGTTCATCTCTCATTTTACATTTTATACAAGTGTTTTTTTCTCTGCATAACTTACATTTTCTTGTGGGAATCATTATCTCAAGCATTGTCCAAGAATAAGATTATAGTTAAAAACACATACACACACACAACTAAGTCAGGGGTCTCCATTCCTCTGTAAATTCCATGATCAATTTGCAAAATTCTGTATAAACAGCTATACTGTTCTTACCCCATTAGTCATTAGCAGCTGGACCTAAATTTAACAACTTATAGTGTAGTATTTATTAAATAGGAAATAATGGGGAACATTTGCATGTGACTATTAAATATAAATATTCAAGATTTGAGCTGAACTGAAGGTAAAAGAACAAGATTCCCCATTGTTTGACTAAATTTTCAAAATGTTCTCATTTATTTATTTAGAGACAGTGTCTCACTCTGTCACCTAGGCTCAGGCTGGAGTGCAGTTGTGTAATCATAGCTCACTGCAACTCCCGGGCTCAAGGGATTTTCCTGCATCAACCTCCGAAGTAGCTATGACTACAGGCATGTGCTGCCATGCCTGTTTTTGTTTTTGTTTTTTCTTTCCATTTTTTGTAGAGACAGGGTCTTGCTGTGTTGCCCAGGCTGATTTCAAACTCCTGACCTCAAGCAATCCTCTGGCCTCAGCCTCCCAAAGTGCTGGGATAATAGGCATGAGCCAACATGCCTGGCCTTAAATGTTCTATAATAGTAAAATATAGATCCCATAGCAGATGAAAGCAAAAGAATGGAAATGTATGAGTAGATATAATACATCTGTATAAATTGTAACAATGGAAAACATATGAAATGCATGTATACATGTACACAGTGTATGGAGGTGCATTTGAGTAGGGGAGCAATACTTCAGATTCATATAGTAGGAAAAACTACCAGGGTTGGTTCACAGAAACTGAAGCTTAATTTAAGCTGGCTCTCTTAACACTAAATTATTTTAAGTGAGTTGCTGTGTACTCACACTAAAAACAAAAACAAAACAGGGATGACCTCACAGATTGTGGTGAAGATGAATTTAAATGTGTTAGCATATAAAAGCAGGACAAGTACCTGCTAAAGAACACCCAACAAATGAGAGTTTCCGATTTTGATTGCCAAGAGATCAGAAGTTCCTTGAGAAGCCTCCAAGCAAAAAATGTTTTGTGTTTACTACTTTTTTTTTTTTAAGATGGAGTCTCACTCAGCCACCCAGGCTGGAGTGCAGTGGTGTGATCTCGGCTCACTGCAACCACCATCTCCCGGGTTCAAGCGATTCTCTGTCTCAGCCTCCTGAGTAGCTGGGATTACAGGCACCTGCCATCATGCCCCACTCATTTTTGTATTTTAGTAGAGATGGGGTTTCACCATGTTGGCCAGGTTGGTCTTGAACTCCTGACCTCAGGTGATCCACCCACCTTGGCCTCCCAAAGTGCTAGGATTACAGGTGTGAGCTACCGCGCCTGGCGTTTTTGCTGAATTATTAGAAGCATGGGTATATGTGTGTGCCAATGAATATGGCTATCATCAAAAAGAAGATAGGAAGACAGACAATTTGGTATTTTTTTTTATTAAAATCTCATTGACTTCAGTCATCCATCTGAATTCTGTTTCACATTTCTCATGCACCCTGTTATCACTGCCTTCCTTGGAGACTAATTAGAACAATTGTTACCTGGGGAAAAGCACTGGACATGTTTGCGGCCAAATTCAACTGAAGTTGAAGACGTCTTTATATTAATAGAACGAAACAAAAGAAAGATGGGAGTTTTTAATTTTTCTTTATTTTATCTATTTTTTTTTTTTTTGAGATGGAGTCTTGCTCTGTCACCCAGGCTGGAGTGCAGTGGTGCGACCTTGGCTCACTGCAACCTTCGCCTCCTGGGTTCAAGCGATTCTCCTGCCTCAGCCTCCCGAGTAGCTGGAACTACAGGTGCCCACCACCACGCCCGGCTCATTTTGTATTTTTAGTAGAGACAGGGTTTCACCATGTTGGCCAGGCTGGTCTCAGCCTGGCCTCCCAAAGTGCTGGGATTACAGGAGTGTCCACCTGCCTTGGCCTCCTAAAGTGCTGGGATTACAGGGGTGAGCCACCGCACCCAGCCTACTTAATTTTTCTTAAGGGAAGATTATTTAATACAGAGTGTCCTTTTCTGTTGTTTTTGTAAGTGAAAATTTCTGCTACTCAGCCAAAACCTTGAGTCTACAGAGGGCACTGGCAAGAGGACTGATGGACCAAAGTGATTTGATGACTATGCTTCCTCCATCTCCTTTAGTGCTTTCTCCAGTATGGTTTCTTTCAGATCAGTGAAACTTTTCTTTTTTTTTTTTTTTTTTTTTTTTGAGAGGGACTCTCGCTCTGTCACCCAGGCTGGAGTGCAGTGGCATGATCTCGGCTCAATACAACCTCCGCCTCCCAGGTTCAAGTGATTCTCCTGCCTCGGCCTCCCAAGTAGCTGGGATTATAGGTGCCCACCACCACACCCAGCTAATTTTTGTATTTTTAGTAGAGATGGGGTTTTACCATGTTGGCCAGGCTGGTCTTGAACTCCTGACCTCAGGTGAGCCACCTGCCTCGGCCTCCCAAACTGCTGGGATTACAGGCATGAGCCACCACACCTGGCCTCAATGAAACTTTTCTTATTTTTTTGGACAATATTCACAACCAAAAATAGATTTGGGAAAACAGAATTGGGAAATTTGCTGGTTTAAGATTACGTAGCTACAAAAGGGCATACAATTCTGGGACTAATTTTTTTAATTGAGATATAATTTACATACTGTAAATTAAACTATTAGGGCTCAATTTCTAGCTCCACCACTTCTAACTGTATGATTTTGTCTTCCTTATTAACTTATCTTTCCTTCATTTTCCTTGTCTATAAAATGAAAGAACCATAACAATTGTTCTGTTTCATAGTGTGCAGTGAGGATTGAGTTAATACGTAAAGAGTTCAGAATGGTGTCTGATGTGTGGTAAGCGTTCCAAGAACATAACCTGCAAATATAAGATCAAATGGAGAGTTTGCTACTACTAAATTGAATGTAAATTGACTAAATTTTATGGAGATGTCACAAATCAGGAAATACAGTGGGTTTCAACCTTTATAACTGTAACCCACAATGAAAAAAATATATTTTATATCATAACTCAGTATATACACATAGAAAAAATAAAAGTTTTGCCAAATTATACTTAGTATATGCAGTATGCTGTGATATTTGTTTCATTTTTTAAAAGGTGCTGGTTGCCATGCACTAAATTGATTTTGCTACTCAGTAAGGAATTGCAACCCACAGTTCAAAAAACATTGACCTAATACAATCCCTTCACTTTACAATGGAAAAAACTGAAGTCTTTGAGAAATTGGGAAATTCGCTTGCTTAAGATTACATAGCTATAAAAGGGCATAAAATTCTGGTACCAGAAATTTTTTTAATATTGTGATATAATTTACACACAGTAAAATTCACCGTTTAAAGTGATTTTTAGTATATTCACAAAGCTGTGCAAGCATCACCACTATGTAATTCCAGAATATTCTCATCGCCCCAAGAAGAAATCCTGTACCCACTAGCAGTGGAACAAGAACTTATATTTCACTTCTAGCTCAAAGATTTTTTGCATTCTCATAGTCATATATATGGATATTCAAATTGATTAGTTAAGTAAAGTTTTATTTAATAAGTATTTAATGTCTAAATAATCAAATTTATCAAATGCTTGCTAAGACTTTGCATAATTCTGTGCCATTAATCATCTCAAGCTTTTATATAAGTTTCTGTATTCTTTGGGATTTTTTTGTTTTTTTTTTTCAAATATATGCCAGATTCTTGAGGATACATGGTAAACACTTAAGAACGGGTTCTACATACTCTAAACAGACTCAGGAAATGCTTTGTTCTCTGGATGCACAGCACACCATCTCAAAGGAAATGAGACTGGTAATTTTCACAGAGAATATGGGAGACGTTAGAGAAAAGCTTAAAGAAGTTGTTTATTCTGGAGGCTTTTATTAAACGGAGGATTATTTTCTGTTTCAAAGTTTTTAAATAGAATCCACGACTGGACAATATGTCCTTAAAAGGTTTAAGGAGAACCTGAATATTTTCCTGAATAGGAGTTCATATACATTTTAAAAGTCACTCATTATAACATAAATCAAATTTTCCAGTCTGTGGTTTTCAAAACATCCATTCCTTGGTCTCCTGCATTGCTTCTATTTTAAACTTGGAATTAATTTTACATAAAATAAGCATGAGTGCCAATTTTCTATTTTATGCCAAAATTACTAGGTCTCCAAAAGAAAAATCTCTACAACATTAGTCGTGTTTAGATAATTTAAATAGCACCCTTTAAACAGTGAGAGTCATTGCATACATTTTGAATCTTCAGTGCATGGTTGTTGATTCTTTAGTAAATGTGGTTTCAAGTATTCAGAAGAACATATACCTATGCAAATTAATGATCAGAACTCAGGGCTCAAATAATTTGAAATGATTGTAGATTATTCCACTATAAAGAAATGAATATGATAATAATGGTAATAAAGCTAGAAGGTAATTTTTTTTTTTTTTTACATGGAGTTTCACTCTGTCGTCCAGGCTGGAGTGCAGTGGTGCCATCTTGGTTCACTGCAACCTCCAGCCCCCAGGTTCAAGCGATTCTCCTGCCTCAGCCTCCCAAGTAGCTGGGATTACAGGCACAAACCAACACGCTCAGCTAATTTTTGTGTTTTTAGTGGAGACAGGGTTTCACCACGTTGGCTGGGCTGGTCTCGAACTCCTGACCTCAAGTGATCCACCCGCCTTAGGCTCCCAAAGTGTTGGGATTACAGGCATGAGCCACTGCGAAATTTTTCTATTTTTACTAGAGATGGCCTTTCACCATGTTGCCCTGGCTGGTCTCAAATTCTTGGGCCCAAGACATCCACCCGCCTTGGCCTCCCAAAGTGCTAGGATCACAGGCGTGAGCCACCGCACCCGGCCGTGGCTAGTTATTTTAATCAAAACAAATTTAAAACCAAATTAGGTATAAACTGAAAAAAACAGATTTTATTAGTCTCTAATGAAAACTTCCACGAGAAACCTATGGGTTTTTTACCCCCCGCACCGAGACAGAATCTTGCTCTGTCGCCTAGGCTAGAGTGCAGTGGCGCAATCTTAGCTCACCACAACCTCCGCCTCCCAGGTTCAAATGATTCTCCTGCCTCAGCCTCCTGAGTAGCTAGGATTACAGGCATGTACCACCACGCCTGGCTAATTTTTGTATTTTTAGTAGAGATGGGGTTTCACCATGTTGGTCAGGCTGGTCTTGAACTCCCGACCTCATGATCCCCCCCGCCTTGGCCTCCCAAAGTGCTGGGAGTACAGGTGTGAGACACCACTCCCAGCCTGACACCTATGCATTCAAATATAAACTTTCGCCGGTGGCGGTGTCTCACGCCTGTAATCCCAGCACTTTGGGAGGCCGAGGTGGGCGGATCACCTGAGGTCCGGAGTTCAAGACCAGCCTGACCAACATGGAGAAAACCCGTCTCTACTAAAAACACAAAATTCGCCGGGCATGGTGGTGCATTTCTGTAATCCCAGCTACTTGGGAGGCTGAGGCAGGAGAATTGCTTGAACCAGGGAGGTGGAGGTTGTGGTAAACTGAGATCGTGCCATTGCACTCCAGCCTGGGCACAAGAGCGAAACTTGGTCTCAAAAACAAACAAACAAAAAACCCATGAAGTTTGGTAGGATATTAATTTCCTTATCTCTGAAAATAAATTTTAATAAAGTATTTGAAAATCTATTAATGTTCACACTCCTTGGATTTCAGTACAATGTGTCCTGGTATTTATCTCTAAGTTAATAAAGTCATAAGATCTCTCTTGGCCAGGCACGGTGGCTCATGCCTGTAATCCCAGCACTTTGGGAGGCCTAGGCAGGTGGATCACGAGGTCAGGAGGTTGAGACCATCCTGGCTAACACAGTGAAACCCCGTCTCTACTAAAAAAAAATACAAAAAATTAGCCAGGCATGGTGGCGGGCGCCTGTAGTCCCAGCTACTTGGGAGGCTGAGGCAGGAGAATGGCATGAACCCGGAAAGCGGAGCTTGCAATGAGCTGAGATCGTGCCACTGCACTCCAGCCTGGGCAACAGAGAGAGGCTCCCTCTTGAGAAAAAAAAAATCTCTTAATATAGGCCAAAAGACACAGAATTTATCAGGAGGCACTCTGTTTTATGAATGAATGAGCTGATTTTTAAAATATTAAACAATCTTACCTAGTGTTGGGCTATTATTAACTGTTAATGACTTTTATCATTGAGTTACTATGGAAGGTTTAACTATACAGTTACACAGTCAGAGCAGATTAAAATACGAACCTTAATATTGACGTAACTTGGACATTTTGTATTTGGTAAGGTAATTTATGCATGTATATGGTCATTTCCCATATTTGGTTCTTTGTTGGAAGACCATGATTTTAGGTAGTGTCGATGGAAGTTTGACTTGATAGATGCAAATAACTAATCTCTCCAGAGAGTCATATTTAATACATGCTTTTTTTTCTGAAATGAATTCATTCTTTTTAGGCTAGTCTCTCATAAATCTGTTTGCTCCAACCCTTTCTTCGGGATGTGAGATTGTAATATAAAGAAGGATTTCCTTGAATTTGTACACTCTCACATTTCTTAGCTATATCTTCCTAATTTTAAAGGCAATTTACCCATTTTTATGATTCCAGAATTTAGAGAAATAATATTTTACATGGTCACTGAAATAACATTTAAAAATAATTTCTTTTTTGTAATCACAGTGACTTTGAGTAGAATAGGTTTTGGAGCATCTCCTCTTATTAGTTGTCTGTTGCTTAACCCCTCCAAGCCTGAGGCATCCAATCAGTAAATGGTGATAATACTACCAACCTCCAAGGTTATTGTGCAGATTCAGTGAATGATGTAGGTAAAGCACCTGGCATATAGTGAAGGCTCAATAAAAAGACAGCCATTGCCACTGCTGTTGTTTATCAATCCTCATGTCTGCACTGATTAATTCATTCATTCACATGACGTAAAACACCTTTCATCAAAGCATGGGTCTTACATTAAACATTTGTTGCATATGTGCTTTCCTTAGAAAAAAGAAACATTAAGTAGCTATTTCAAGTAATCAAAAGCCCTTTTCATATACAAGTCAAAGAAGATGAACATAGTTTGTTAATATTAAATGTTTTATTGTTTTTTGGTTTGTTTTTGAGACAAGAGTCTCACTCTGTCGCCCAGGCTGGAGTGCAGTGGCGTGATCTTAGCTCACTGCAACCTCTGACTCCCAAGTTCAAGCGATTCTCCTGCCTCAGCCTCCAGAGTAGCTGGGATTACAGGCGTGTACCATCATGCCTGGCTAATTTTTGTATTTTAGTAGAGAGGGGTTTTCACCATGTTGGCCAGGCTGGTCTCAAACTCCTGACCTCAAGTGATCCACCTGACTCAGCCTCCCAAAGTGCTGGGATTAGAGGCGTGAGCCACCGCGGCAGGCCTGTTTTACTCTTTACATCATATAATATCTCTAGTCAGAATTTAAAATTTGCTCAATGTGAAAAATAAGGATCTATACAGCCAAAAATGC
This sequence comes from Homo sapiens, assembly GCF_000001405.40. NCBI lineage: Eukaryota > Metazoa > Chordata > Mammalia > Primates > Hominidae > Homo > Homo sapiens. The sequence continues at coordinate 817,277 of NC_000018.10, read as the reverse complement.
ATAAAGAAGATTTAGCCTTAGAGAGGAGATTAAAACAAGGTTTTCAAAAGCATGGATTTATTCTAAACACATTAAAAAAAAAACCCAGTTACAGTGTTACCTTGCAAAACATCTAATACAAATTTCCTTAATACTAACCTTTTATGTTTCATGATCTGATGTCCGTTAACTTTAAAGATAAGAGCTTGATTTATAGTTTCTTTTCTAAACACTCAATGCAGGTAAACAATCTACTTTAACTTCTTGCCTTCAAGCAATGTTATGTTCTACTTTTCATAACCCATTTGTAAAGATTTCCAGGAAGTAGCAATCTGGTAGCAATTTTACTGGTGTCTAAACTCAATGTCAGACACTGACACGACTATATATCAGCTTAATATTTCAGAAAAGTATGGGCCAAACACTTGCTAATGACTACAGAAATTGCAAATATAGACTCAGGAGGAAATTGTAAGCCGATAGGGCAGAGATATGAAATGGTTTTCAATGTATTCTAACTCCAGTTTTGCAGTGGCTGTTGCCTGAATTGTGTTGAGGATTCTGAGGATGGTATTAATGCTCTGGGGGAGAGTATATGCTATGCCATGGTCTAAAAGCCATGACTGCCATGGGCAAGCAGGAGGAGAGACTGACCTGCCAGCTCTGTTCTAGGTTTGGGGTCTTCTATGTGACAAAAGTCACAAGTCTCAAGTCTCAGTGTTGGGGTCCCACAATCTCTTATCTCCCACCTCTGGCTGTGCCTGCTTCATCCTCTGTGAAAACTGGATTCCCCATCCCACTCCCACTGCCTCTCCAAGCACGTGGCAGGAGATGCCACCCTCACAGCTCCTGAGTTTACTGTTGGCTGCACAAGTAAGTAGCAAAGACTAAGTAATGGTTTTCATTTGCAAAGAACAAAAATGGTCTCTATTGAAGCATAAAGGGAATTTATTGGAGGATGGTGAGAATCAACAGGAAGACTAGAGGAGCAGGCTCAGGCAGGAAGCAAGGAAGGCAAGACAAAGTCCAGGTTCTGCCACGGGGATGGTATGCTCATGACGCAGGCACCACCAGCACTGGAATCCTCTACCCCTGGACACTCATCTTCTGTCATTTGACTCAACTCCACCATGGTTACCATGAATAATCACTAACCGAGTTACTTTTGTGTTACTCCTCAAAATTCAAACTTTCAGCCTAGAACCTGGGATTAGCAGTACTCAGATCATAGGCCTACATGCCACCTATCGAAGAATTAATTCTCAGAGAAGAGGAACTTGAGTTAAACAGGCACCCTCAAGAGGTGTCCACTACAGGCTGTATTCTACTCGGCAGAGGGCATGTAAGAGGATGTAAGGTGCTCATCTGGCCTAGAAACTGCTGTCACCAAACAGAGTGAGAAACCAAGCTGAGCCTATGAAAGTCTGAAGCTGTGGGTAAAGCTACCTAGGAATAAGCAGAGTGGTACCAGAAGCTAGAGCTGAAACCAGGGACTTTGGTAGATAAAACAGGCCTGGGTCAAGCTGCAGAACTAGAAAGAATTGAAGTCAGAAATAAAACAAGAGATGTCCCCAAAGTAGATTCCAGTAGCAAAGACTATACTGCCAGAAAATAGTTCTGGAGCGGAGAAGGCATACTCAGCACAGGGTTAAATTCTAAGATTGTAAACCAGGTAGTGAAGAAGTGAAAAGCTAGAGAGAGCAACAAAAGGGAGCAAGATGGAGACAGACTTGCTGAAGTTCATGTAAGATTGCCATGTTTGACATTTATTAATTGCAAGACACATTTGATTGACAAATATTCATTGCAGGATATGTCCTTCTATATCCATTTATTTATTTATTTATTTATTTATTTTGAGACGAAGTTTTGCTCTTTCACCCAGGCTGGAGTGAAGTGGCATGATCTCAGCTCACTGCAACCTCTGCCCCCGGGGTTCAAGCAATTCTCCTGCCTCAGCCTCCCGAGTGGCTGGGATTACAGACGCATGCCACCATGCCTGGCTAATTTTTGTATTTTTTTTTTTTCAGTAGAGACAGGGTTTCAACATGTTGGCCAGGCTGGTCTCAAACTCTTGACCTCAGGTGATCCACCCACCTCAGCATCCCAAAGTGCTAGGATTACAAGCTAAGCCACCGCGCCTGGCCCTCAATATACATTTACTTAGGTCGCTTAGACAGTCTTTTCCCAGTTGAGGGGAAATAAAACTGTAATATAGAAACCACAGTCCTTGAGGCAATGAAGACATCAGGAGCATTGAGAACTTGATGAGTTGGTGCATTTCTCCACTGAGCTTGGCACAATAGGCCCAACACTCAAGGAGAAATACCTTCCTTTTTCCTGATCTTCCAAATTAATCCTTAGAGAGGGGTTCTCATATTCTTCCTAACTGGGCATAGGAGCAGTCTTGGCCAGGTGGAGGCGGCAAAGCTAAGGTGGTGCAGACAATGTCAGGCACTGAATGGATTTGAGGAAGGTGGTGAGGGGATGGTTGTTAGAAAAGAGGCACCTTGTGTAGGGCTGCAGGCTTTTTTACTGTTACCAGGAAGAGAAAATCATCATAGCCTCAGTGGCGGAAGCAGCAGCAGCAGCATATCACTGATAGCACGTAGGAGAGGTTTACCCTAAACAAAAACATTTCCTGGTAGAATCACAGGTTCCAAGGTGGTACTGAGTGGGCCCTAGTTCAACTTTCAGCTTTTCAAACTTCCAGCCAAATAATTTTAAGCATTAATCAACTTACATAAATGAAAGCATTTTACTTTTATAGGGACCTAACATATCTCATAAAGTTTGTTTGTTTAAAGCTTTCCCCTAGCTTTTTCCTCCAGCAGACATTTCCAGGGGTTTCAAGACTTAAGTTCCTTATCACTCCCTAACACACATGTACATACCACACCTCTATGCTGTGCAGGAGGGAAAAGTAGGGGCAAGCTTATTTGTCCGTTTCAGGATGAACAGATTAAAAGCAATTTTTGTTACACCAAACTCAGTAAGACTTTCCAGTTTTCTCTTCCTCATTAAAAAATTTTTTAAAAAATATTCCTGGAAACAAGTGAGCCACTAAATGTAAGATTGAAAACTTTCCAGGTTATTTACAGACTGAAGTTTGACATTGATGAATATACTAAAAAAGAAATCAGGGAATGTAGTAATAAAAAAAAAAAGGGAGGGCGAAGAGAAGCAAACTCAGTAAGTCAATGTAATCCATAACTTGTAGGTGACATTCTGACATACTCTCCCAACTTTAAAACTCCATATAGAACATCTTCAAAGCCACCTTACCCCTTAAACTGGGGCAAACTACTATTTCATTTCATTATTATTTTTTAAAATATATTTTACTAAATAGATAGGAGGTCTCCCATGTTGCCCAGGCTGGTCTCCAACTCCTAGACTCAAGTGATCCTCCTGTCTTGGACTCCCAGAATGCTGGGGTTACACGTGTGAGCCACTGTGCCCGGCCTATTTTAGAGGTGATTTTTGAGACTGAGTGTTTAGGAAGACGAAATTATCTCTATTTAGTGAAGAAAGGCAACAGCTCAAGGAATTTTCTATTTTAATAAAAGCTGAATATAGACCTACATAAAATTTTAAAGCCCTGAGACAGTCAATGACAAATGAAGTTTTAGTAGCTAAGAAAATACAGCATCGTTCCACATTATGTGTCTCTTTAACGCCTACGCCTACCTTTCGTTCATTTAGTGAGCTGAAGAAAAAAATGTTCAAACCCTTATATGCATTTCCTTAAGTTCCTAGAATACCGGAATACTGACACATATGATTGCACTATTTCCTATCCGTCGAAGATGATTCTGAATTTCACTAAAAACCGCAAAGGAAACCAATAGTCACAAAATAATTCTGATAACCCCACCAAAGAGGAAATAAAGAGAGGAAGTTACTCTAAAAGTCTGATAGGGCAAAAGTGACTGCAGCAGAAGGGCCTCAAGGTTCAGTCCATGAGGACCTTGATTAACCTTCATCTTTACGCCCCCACCCCATCCTTCCGGGTCCTCCCCCTTCTTCAACGACTGGCTTTACAAGGCTCATAGGAAAGGTGCGTGTATTCAGACGGACACGATTCCAGCTGTGGCTCCTCCACTTTCAGGGTCGCTGTTTCCACAGTTGACAAGCAGGAGAACCATACTTGTTGCACTTCCCTCACTGGGCTGCCGCCAGCATCATATAGAAAAACGCTGTCCCAACATAAGCCAAAGCCACCATGACTGGGATAGTCGCCAAACAGAACTCAGCTTCGGTTCCCCTCCCGGCAAGGCTGGTTCGACCTACAGTCAACAGGAAGCTCCTGGGGGCAGGGACAGGATCCCTGCCTCGGAAGGAGGCAAGACGTGAACGTTTTTTGGACGGCGATCAGGATGGTGATGAGGGTGTGAGTAACGCCCCCGGCTCACGCGGTTGGGCTTGAGATTTTACTACCAACGACAAAGGGTGCGGAAGCGTAGCGCTGAGAAGCAAACAGCCAACCAAAAAAACTCAACCCCGTCCTCCCCCACAAAAGCAAGCCCCAAAGCCCTGGCCACTACTGAGAGCTGGGCCAAGGAACAGAGAAAGGCAGAGGGGCAGAATCGGAGCGCTCCATTCAATCTCCGCGGCAGCCGAGCGTCGGTGGGTTCGCGGGTGGGAAGGGACGCCGCGGGCCTGCTCTCCGGGCAGGGAAGCACCTCCTCCTCACGCCCCCTCGGCCTGCACCGCCCCCGGGAATCCGCCCCGGACCCCGCCGCCATGTTGGGTCGGGAGAAGTGACACGGACCGGTCGCCTATCCTGACCACAGCAAAGCGGCCCGGAGCCCGCGGAGGGGACCTGACGGGGGCGTAGGCGCCGGAAGGCTGGGGGCCCCGGAGCCGGGCCGGCGTGGCCCGAGTTCCGGTGAGCGGACGGCGGCGCGCGCAGGTACCCGCAGCCCCCGCCCCCGCTAGAAGTCAGGGGGCGGGGCCGGGGGGGGGGGGCGGAGGAGGTGGAGAGTGAGGCCGAGGCGTGGGGAGCCCGGGAACTCCCTCCTCCTGAAGTAACGCGTCCCGGGCCGGCTCTGCCGTCGTTGCTGCCGCCGGGCGCCCCGGGACGAGGAGGTGGAGGAGGGAGAGGGCCCGCGGGCCTCGCCTCCGCCCTCCGCCACCTCGAGCTGCGGTAGCAGCGACTCATGAGAGCGCGGCCGGAGGACAGGTAAGGACCCGGTGGGGCCCCGCGGGCGGAGGGTTCCACCTCTGCCCGGACAGGGCTAGGCCCCAGCGCCCGGAGCCGCCGCCGCCGCCGCCGCCGCGGTTCCCCGCCCCCGCGGGCCCGAGTCGGGAAGTTGGGAAGAAACTTCTCCCCTCCCCCGGATCGCCCGGCGGGCTTGTCTCGTTCCCCGCGCTACCTGCTCGCCCCTGACTCGGTCTCTGCCCTGTCCAGACCTGCCGGGTCCCGCCCAAGTCCGACCTGAGGTTCCAGGGGCGTGGGGACACTCCCCACCCCTTGTCTTTGGGGTCGTGTGGACCGCCCGGCGACGGGGAGGAGAGGTTTATTTTTGCCCCTACGGCCGAAGTAGGGGCGAGGGAAGCGGCCCCTTTGGGTCCTAAAGGCTGGGGGTCTGTGTATCGGCCGACGCCGGTAGCAGCTGTGCGGGGAGAGGAGCGGGTGTGTGGGGCGAGTGGATGAGCCTTTCTGGCTTTACTTGGTTTGATTGAAAACCGCAACATGTTTAAAGTTTTCCTTTGTTTTGGGTTGGGGGTTGGGAAATTTACCATTCAGCGTCCACTTTTACGGAATCATGCCACTCCGCCTCCCGTTGCGTTCGGTTCCCTGTCCACATGTGTTAAAGAAAATTGTCTTAAAGTGTGTTTTTCTTCTTGATAATTGCTTCCAGCTTTCACTTTATTGGGCATGGGGCAGAGCTGTTTTAAGAAGCTCTTTGAAAATCAAGTCTGGTGTAGGGACTTTAGTTTTTGTTTTGTAATGAGTAGGACTTAACAGTTCGGATTTGGTTGAATCATTTTCTGCATAATTAATTGATACAGGCGTGGAATAACATACTGTATAATTATAAATTACTAAAGGAAATAATGAAAGTCTTTGGTGGAAGCACAATTTTATGTCCATTTATTATGTATATACGTTCCACGGGTGTGTGTTTTCACAGTCGATTTCACATGATATGATTATAGTATCTTCATGTATTATAACTGTAAGATTACAGTGCCAAAGATACCTTGATAATTTTAAATATTTAAACCATCCTGTTACACTTCTAAAGTTAAATTACGCACTAAGGAAAGTATTACTAAATGTATACACGTGACTGTGCATTTAAGGAAAAGTGCATGGTAAATCTAATATCTTAACTATCACAGTGCTTGGCACACGGTGGACAGGAAGCATTTTGAATGGTCAGGTAATAAAGGAGTATCTTGTATTAGCCAAGGATCTTGTATGCATCACTTACGATGTTCATATATTGTACAGTAAGAAAGTTTTACTTTAGCAAATAATATATATGGTTTTTTGGTTTTTGTTTGTTTGCTTATAAGTGTGAGACCCCTGCCACAATTGACATGTAAGGAAAGGAAGTTAAATTGTATTTTTATTTTTGGACATTAGCTAAAAGTCGGTGGAGATTTTAAATGCTGGTTGACAATTCAGAGGGTCCTACATTTGAAAAAGACAATTGCCTTTGATCTGAAAACAAAACAGTTTATATCCATGTTTCCAGGATAAAAGATAAAAGGGCTCTTAAAATATATACTCTGTTGTAACCACTGTAATGTTATAATGGCTTTAATTTCGTAGTTAGGTTTTGCTGACTTCATAAACCACAAAATTGATTCCTTTCTGTTCATCTGAAAGTGAAATTACAGCTTTGACCTGTCTTCCTGGGTTAGGTGGAATTTGTCTTGTGGTCGAAGTATAATATTAATACATGGGCTGTTTTTGTGTGTGTGTTTTAGTTCAGGAAATTCACAAGCTGAAAAATTAATGTCTATGCAAGTAAAATTTCTTCATGGTATGTATTGATAAAAGAATAAATGTGCTAAAAGACTAGAAGTAAACCTGTATAAGTGAAATATTACCAACCGATGGTGTAAGACTTACTTATTCAAAGTTGAAATTTGCATCATGTTAGACAGTAAATGATTTACTACTATGGCTAGTTTTTCTTTACAAAATCAGTGTAGACATCGTTTATTCTATTAGCATTATAGTAAGAAAGAAGACTAATGCCAAAACAATTTTTTAAGTGATGCTAAGCGCTGGGGTCACCCAAACTTGGGTAATTAAAAAAAAAAAAAAACCTGCAAGGAAATTCTGTGAACGTAAAAATAGAAGCATAGAATACCTGTGGTTCTATGAAGGGAAATATATGGGAAGAGGGAGGAGATTGTGATAGGGACCTGGCTTCTGAAGTGGTGACAAAGTTCTTTTAACCTGGTAGGAGTTACCAAGGGTATTGGTCTTAGTGTAATTCATTAAGCCCTACGTTTGTGTGCAGAATCTGTTTCTATGTTTTATTTTACATGAATTTGTTGTTGTTTTTTTAAGGAATCCAGTGTGTAATGTCTATATAAGGTGCTTGGTTTAAGAACATAACTTGGTGGCTGACTTTCGAACACTACCTAGGCTATCCTTTGCAAATAGGATTAGATTTATTAAATCATAATTGTCATATACCAGCTGTATGTATAACTACTTTGAACACGTCAGGCTGGGCACGGTGGCTCACACCTGTAATCCCAGCACTTTAGGAGGCAGAGGGAAGGGGATCACTTGAGGCCAGCAGTTTGAGACCAGCCTGGCCAACGTGGTGAAACCCCATCTCTACTAAAAAGTACAAAAATTATCTGGGTGTGGTGGCGCGCCCCTGTAATCCCAGCTACCTGGGAGGCTGAGGCACGAGAATCGCTTGAACCCGGGAGACAGAGATTGCGGTGAGCTAAGATAGTGCCAGTGCATTGCAGCCTGGGCAACAGAGTGAGACTGTCTCCAAAAAAAAAAGTCAAATACTCCGAAATGTACAATAATTAGAGAATTTTTGGGAAAAAATTTCTAAATAAAGTTCTAGTTCGTTTTCTTTAATAACTTAATTGTTTTAATATTTTCACAGAAGACACAGGTTTTACAAAATTAAAATCCGCTTCGGCTTGTATGTTGTAAATAACCAATAGAAGATAATCAAAATGTTTATTGAACGAATGGATACTGTTCTGTCATCAAATACTCTGTTTTTCTGAAAATTACATAACATGACAATTAAAACTCAAAACTCAATTACGGCATCAAGATCCTAAGTTTTGACTTTTATCTATTTTCGGTTTTCTAGAACAGTAATTCTTTAGATCAGTAATTTCAGCCTTAGTTTTTCTATTCTTAAGAATGCCATGAAATCTCAGCATAAAATAAGTTTTTGTTTAAAGTTTATGAAGATTCACAGCACCTGAAGGATGAATATGTTTTGGTTCAAAAGGCAAATGACAATATGGTGTTGGAGTTTCAGAAATGCAGAGAATCATTGGGTCATGCTATTTTATTTGCTTTATGTAATGGCTTGCTATTTTAGTGGTTGATATTGTGGCTTTGCATTGTTGTAGAGTTGAAGAAGAGATCTCATCTGTGCCAAATTTTTATATCACAGGAACTTTCAGTCATGTTATAAAGGTGATGTTTGTGGTGCACGCTTTGTTGTGTGAATATTTACAGGAAGTTTTAGTAAGATCTTCCATTGTTTAGAACCCTACATGGCTTAGGTCACCTTCAGTTCACATTTAAACAGTTTTATAATATAAGTCCTATAGCGAGGCACAACTGCTTTTCTTTAAAGGAAATAATCTGTTTCTATTAAAGTGTCTTGTCTTATTGGTAGTTCGTGTATGGCTATGGTAGGGTATGTATTATCTCTTTTCTTCCTCTCAGCTGCTCCAGTGCCACAATTAGGCTGAGTATTGCTCAGCTGCAGCTGCTGGGTGATTACTAACCATCCAGCTCCTGTCTAAACTCAGAGGCAGATTTAGCAAAAGGAGCTATAGTAACAGTAGAGGGTGAAAGAGAAGAGCCAGTGCTGCCGCCAATATCGTTTTCACATGTCTGTATGCCAAGGAATCGTTGGCTGCAGCAGCACTACTGTTGTCTTGGAACTAGCAGACTTGATGGCAATATATCCTGGTCTGCGTTGGGTTTACCTTTAAGATCTGAAAGCCCACTCCAGGAAAGACAGAGAATCCTGTAATTTTAGAGTATAGAATAATGTACTGTTGAGGTACTAATGGACTGAGTTACAAGCCTCTGTGCCTCAACTCCTTTTCCCCCCCAAATCTAGGGTAGCAATGCCCTTCAGTTTCTCTTGTTCAAATGTACAGTAAGCTGTGAGACTGCAGGTTCCTTGAAGCATTATACTTCATTTCACTTTAAGCTGTGATTCTTAGAATTGCTTCTTTTATTGTTGTTTAGGGGAGGGGAGTAGAATTGCTGGCATATAGGTTCTTTGGACTCTACTTTCTCCTAGGAAGTGGAAGGCCTTCAAGAGGGATAACTTCTAGAATTAGCTATACATTGCATATCCGTGGTGGCTGCCTGAATTTTGCTAGTAGGAACTCTGCATTCTTTTCCTTTTGTTCTTTCTTTATCCCTGGCGTTTGAGAAGATGGACATCAACAGTTGCAAATACGTTATCAGCTATATATGGCAATCCCCAGACTGGAAGATGCCATAGGCAAATTTTGCTGCTTCTAAAATGCTGCTCAGCTTATAAATATGCCAAGCAAATAGCAGCAGTCGCATCTTTTGTGTTTTTGTGTTTTGCTTTGTTTTTGAGACAGGATCTTGCTCTGTTGCCCAGACTGGAGTGCAGTGGTGCAGTCACAGCTCACCGCAGCCTTGACCTCTGGGGCCCAAGGGATCCTCCCACTTTAGCCTCCTGAGTAGCTCGGACCACAGGTGTGCACCACCATGCCTGGCTAATTTTTTTTTTTTTTTTTTGATGAAGTATCACTCTACTGCCCAGGCTGGTGTGCAATGGCACGATCTTGGCTCACTGCAACCTCTGCCTCCCAGGTTCAAGTGATTCTCCTGCCTCAGCCTCCCGAGTAGCTGGGATTGCAAGCGTGCACCACCACGCCCGGCTAATTTTTGTACTTTTAGTAGAGACAGGGTTTCACCATGTTGGCCAGACTGGAGCATGCCTGGCTAATTTTTGAATTTTTTGGAGAGATGGGGTCTCACCGTGTTGTCCAGGCTGGTCTCAAATTCTTAGGCTCCAGCAGTCCACCTGCCTGGGCCTCCCGAAATGCTGGGATTACAGGCCACCACACCCAGCCACAGCAGCGTCTTGTCCTTACTTTTACCACTACTATCTACTGAAAATCTGGAGATATTCCTTTGACTTATCTTGTCTTTGGAATTTGGTAGTTTGGGGTTTGGCATTTGGGATGGAGATTAGAGAGGATTGAGAAAAGTAGTGCTCAAACTTGTATAACCAGAGGAAGGATGAGGTACAGTTAGACCATGCATTTGAACAGTAAGAAGTACACATCATTATGGCATATACTTAGCAAGAGATTGGTGTTATGACCTCTTTGTGCTCCCACAAAACACTTATGTCAAAACACACCTCTCCTTGCACTGTAATTATTTCTTTCCATGCTTGTCTGTTATTCTTGACCTAGTATTCACTGTGTCAAGGAACTGTTTTATAGCAATCTTTGAGAACAGCCCTTAGCACAATAAATACTAAATAAATTCTGAATTGTATGTAGGGATGTGGTTCTGGGCAGATTTATATGAATTACAGCTATGGACTTTTCGCAAACAAAACAAATCTTTTGAGTACACCTCTACTAAAATGTTATAAAACTAGCTTAATACTTTTTCATAGCTCGAAGTTAATTCTTTAGATTTTTGCTCTCAAGGTTTTGTTCTAGAAGGTGATTTTACAAAATAGCTTAAGCAGTCCTTCAAATATGAATTTAAAGGTCATTTTGATATTTCTAATATGAACTGAAAATTCATTGTAGTTGAAGTTAAACTAGTCTCTAGTAAGGTTTATTTTAAATAAATACGTTGTACTATTTTAGTGAAGAAAGTCCAAGTTATGCTGAAGAAAAATCCTAGATTTTTAAAAAATGCATTTGGTATCTCATCACAGTAGTGACAATCAGTATTACAATTATGACTTGTTCATATATACCTAGGACAAAAAGAAAAAGAAGTCCTGATTTTCTTGCAGTAATGTGTGTGAAGGAATGCATAATTCATAGGTGTACTTTTGCTGGGTTATTGGGGGTGAGGACGGAACAGGAAGTGCTAGGAGGAAAAGTACTGACCCCTGAAACTTCAAGATTGTCTGGTTTTCAGCCTCTATTCCCAGCAAAATGTGGATTCTAGGTTTTCTTCAACTGACTTAAGAGGATTTTCACTTCTCTAATTTTTTAATGTAACTTTTCAGTTTCTTAGCATTAAGTAGAAATTGGGGTGAGGTGAGGAAGTTGGTGGTGGTTGTGTATAAGTTAATACTTCACATTGTTTCCTGGCGAATGTATTGACTTCTAACTTTTGTTCTGATGTGATTAATATTTTACAGATAAGGATACTTTAAAAATAATAGCAGCCAGACATTTGGAAGGAGCAGAGAAGGCAATATGGTGTTATAAGGAAAGGACTGGAAGGTAGAGCACTAACACTATCTAGATTTTAGTTTCATTTCTGACAGTGAAGAGCTGTTTAGCCTTGGTCGATTCAGTAAACTCCCTAGGCGTTAGTTTTGCAATTTGAAACAAAAGGTAGTTGGGCCTCATGGTTTCTAATAGTTTCTCAGCTTTATATATAAATGTGTGCTCTGCCGCAGTTGAAGTTGTTACAATATAGTCATGCTCTGCCTAAGGAAGTTTCAATGATGGTGATCCTGTAAGATTATAGTAGAGCTGCCCTATATAGGTGTACCATTTTTTATTTTTTTATACTGTGTAATTACTGTATCTCTTCTACATTTAGTTATGTTTAAATACACAAATACTGTTACAGTTGCCTGCAGTATTCTGTACAGTTGTGTGCTGTACAGGTTTGTAGCCTGAGAGAAATAGGCCATACTATATGGCCCAAGGTTGTAGTCAGCTATACCACGTAGGTTTGTGTAAGTACACTCTAGAGTGTTCACATAATGTCAGAATTGCCTAATGAGGCATTTCTCAGAATATATGTTAAGTGATGCATGACCGTATTGATAAAATTTTAAGGAAATGTTTGAGTCTAAAATTTGGAATCACATTAGATATAAGTAAAGATTATAAAAAACTGACCCATGGACTTGACACGGAACTTTCTCAAGCAAATTGCAGTTCTACTAATTAAGCAAACATTTATACTACTATGCTAGGTTTTTGGTTTGTGTTTTTTTTTTTTGAGTCAGAGTCTCACTCTGTCGCCCAGGCTGGAGTGCAGTGGCTTGATCTCAGCTCACTACAACCTCAGCCTCCTGGGTTCAAGTGATTCTCCTGCCTCAGCCTCCCAAGTAGCTGGGATTACAGGCGTGTGCCACCACACCCGGCTAATTTTTGTGTTTTTAGTAGAGAATGGGATTTCTCCATGTTGGTCAGGCTGGTCTCCAACTCCCTATCTCAGGTGATCCGCCCGCCTTGGCCTCCCAAAGTGCCAGGCTTACAGGTGTGAGCCACCTCAGCTGGCCTTTTTTTTTTTTTTTTTTTTTGAGACTCAGTCTCACTCTATTGCCCAGGCTGGAGTGCAGTGGTGCAATCTCGGCTCACTGCAACCTCTGCCTCCCGGGTTCAAGCAATTCTCCCTGCCTCAGCCTCCTCAGTAGCTGGGATTACAGGTGTGTGCCACCACACCCAGCTAATTTTCTTATTTTTAGTAGAGATGGGGGTTTCACCATGTTGGCCAGGCTGGTCTCGAACTCCTGACCTCAGGTGATCTGCCTGCCTTGGCCTCCCAAAGTATTGGGATTACAGGCGTGAGCCACTGTGCCTAGCCCAGATTTTTTCGTAATAAAATTAGAAAAATGACTTAATTATTCTGTTGAAGTGGATAGTTATGATGTCAGTTAACAAGTAATCGTGGCTATTTGAATAAAAACTTTGCAACATTATATGAGAAAAATAGCCACTATCATCAAAATTTACATTTAATTTTTTTAATTGACAAAGGTATGGACAACTTGTTCTGGATATTTGTCTTTATACACATACAGTTAATATTTAGAACAAGACAAGCATGGCATTGGAAAATGGTTAGCCTTTTAAGGTTTGTAAAATAGATTTTCTAAAACAAAGAAACTAAAATTACAGTGTTCTGAAAGTTTGTAAGTTGATGTTTTGAAAATTAGAATCTGTTTTTCCAGGAAGTCTTTTCTGTAACATAAGCCTTTTGGCCTGATTTCTAGGCAGCCCGTTGGAGTCTTATAAAAGCCTCACAAATAGGTAAAATAATACTTTGGTGGTAAAATATTTTCTGACTGATTATCAGTTTTTGCCTGGTTTTTGTTAACTGCTGAGCTCTTTGAACAAATAAAATATTTGGCCTACAAGTGCTCTGATTATGAGGTGGGTGAACCTGTAGCCTTGCCAGTCACCCTCCTTTCCCACCTTACCAGCTCCTCACTATTTAAAAATCACTGTTTTGAGTTCCCTGTTAGGAGACTCAGATTCTCCCAATAAGGCATTGCTATTAAGCTTAATTTAAGTACAGAAACTTCCCTAGGTTTCCCCACCTGCTTGCTAGTGGCAGTGAAACCTGCCTCATACTCTAACCCTATAGGACAGTATGAGGTATAGAAAAGCTTCAAAAGATTGGGGGTAATAAACAAAAATAGTAGAAAAGGGTTTGGGAAAATGAGGAGTGTTACAATATGGAGTTTGTAACTTCTTTACCTTCTCTGTGCTTTTTTTATTTCCCACCCATTCACCTCACTTTGGCATTGGGTAGGGAAAGAAGAAAGCCTGTCCTATGATAGGTGCTATGCCATACTTTTATATGCATTATCACATTTGACTTGAATCTTTGAAATGTGTTTCCAAAATACACAGAAAAATTAGGAATGAGATGGGTATTTATTTTTTGTTTTTGAGACGGAGTCTCACTCTGACACCCAGGCTGGAATGAAGTGGCAAAACCTTGGCTCACTGCAACTTCTGCCTCCCAGGTTCAAGTGATCCTCCCACCTTGGTCTCTGAGTAGCTGCTGGGACCACAGTTGTGAGCCACCATGCCCAGCTAATTTTTTTTTTAATTTTTAAAATTCAAAATTTCTCACCATGTTGCTCAGACTGATCTTAAACCCCCTAGGCTCAAGGGATCCTCCCGCCTCGGCCTCCCAAAGTGCTGGGAAAACAGGTGTGAGCCACCATGCCCAGCCTGTTTTTTATTTTTATTTTTTTTTAGAATAGAGACAGGGTTTCACCTTGTTGCCCAGGCTGTCTCGAACTCCTGGGCTCAAGCGATCCACTTGCCTCAACCTCCCGAAGTGCTAGGATTATAGGTGTGAGCCACTGTGCTGGGCCCCTTGAGGTAGGTATTTATTACAGATAAAGAAACTGAGAATCAGAAAGTATATATAATTTGCTAAGGTCACACAACCGGCAGAACTGGGATTTAAACCTAGGGCTGACTACAAGCCTGTTCCATATGCCATAACTTTCTTAGGAATGAGGAGCAATGATGGAAAGGGAGATTTCTTGTCTTTTTTCTTCTTCATTAAATAGTACATTTGAATTGCTGGCAGAGAATGTTCAATTAATACTTTTTTTTTTTTTTTTTGAGATGGAGTTTCACTCTTGTTGCCCAGGCTGGGGTGCAATAGTGTGGTCTCCGCTCACTGCAACCTCTGCCTCCCAGGTTCAAGCGATTCTTCTGCCTCAGCCTCCTGAGTAGCTGGGATTACAAGCGTGCACCACCTTGCCTGGCTAATTTTTTGTATTTTTAGTCAGGCTGGTCTGGAACTCCCGACCTCAGGTGATCCACCTGCCTTGGCCTCCCAGAGTGCTGGGATTACAGGCATGAGCCACCACGCCTGGCAATACTTTCTAATTATTTTATTTTCTTTCTTTTTTAAGAGAGATGGTCTTGCTGTGTTTGCCCAGGCTGGAGTGCAGTGGCATGATCATAGCTCATTACAGCCTCGAACTCCTCGGCACAAGTAATCCTCCTGAGCAGCTAAGACTACAGGCTTGAGCCACTACACCCACCCTAGACTTTTCTTTTTAATGGAAGTAGCTTTGTGCTGCATGTTTTATAATAGATATCAGCTGTTAATTAAGGTCAGATATTAAATATATTCATTAACTGAAAAAGATGTGTTATTACACTAACAACTGTAGCAAATGCTGTCTTTTTGTAAGTTGGGGTTTGTAATGGAAAATGATATAGTAAGTCCAAAACATTCCTCATCTTTTTATAAAATAAGGTGTTTGTTCCGCCAGATTAACAGAGCATGTTTTCCCAATCAAGTTTCTTTTTTTCCTAAACTTAATTCATCAAAAGAATAAAGAAACATGCAAAAGATGAGTTATTACACTAAACTGTTTCAAGTGTTGCCCTTTTATAGGTTTGGGTTTGTGAAGTCTATATATTCTCTCTCTCTCTGTATATACACATACACACTCTCTATACATATATATGTAGTTTGTACTCAAATCTGTCTTCTGCCTCAAAAGCTGGATCAAATTGCTACTGTACAATATTGCCTTTATTTCTACTAATTATATCATTTATTTCTAGGTGAGTTAGTAGAAATAGATGGAAGGTCTTTATTGCCTGATGGTTCAGTTAAAATTTCAGACGTGTTGCAGAAAGATAGCCATTTTCTAATTTGCCCTGTCAGTAGAATAGCAGTTTCCTACATACATCTTGGTACAGACTCATCAGCCATTCAAGGCTATACTTCTAGAGGAAGTGAGGATTCTTCCATACTGGCTTGTTCCTCATTCTTATAGTCTTCTATACTAGTTTGTTCATGTAAATCATTTTTTTGAGACAGGGTGTCACTCTGTCTCCCAGGGTGGACTCCAGTTGCACAATCACTGCTAACTGCAGCCTCTTCTTCCTGGGCTCAAGCGATCCTGTCACCTCAGCCTCCCCAGTAGCTGCGACCACAGGTGTGCACCACTATGCCTGGCTAATTTTATTTTATTTTTATTTTTTATTTTTATATTTTTTTGAGATGGAGTCTCGCTCTGTTGCCCAGGCTGGAGTGCTGTGACGTGATCTCAGCTCACTGCAACCTCCACCTCCTTGGTTCAAGCGATTCTCCTGCCTCAGCCTCCTGAGTAGCTGGGATTACAGGCACACGCCACCACACCCAGCTAATTTTTATATTTTTAGTAGAGACGGAGTTTCACCAAGTTGGCCAGGATGGTCTCGATCTCCTGACCTCGTGATCCACCCGCCTTGGCCTCCCAAAGTGCTGGGATTACAGTCGTGAGCCACCACACCCAGCCTTTGTTTTTATTTTTTCCAGAGATGGGGCCGAGCATGATCCTCCCCGACCTTGGCCTCCCAGAGTGCTGAGATTATAGGCATGAGCCACCACCTCCAGCCTTGTAACTATTACTGTTATATGAACATCACTGGAAGAAGAGTCTCATCAGAAGCTACCAATGGAAATTTTATTTGCCACTCTTTTGCCACTGTGTCAAGTTCTTACATTAACAATAATTTTCTTCACCATCTTAGTAGCCTTTTCTTCTTTGGCTTCCTTTTATTTCTCCAATTGTATCTAAGAATGTACCCTTTGTCCTCCCTAATAAGCTGGAACATTGTTTTCTAGCGGGAATACTAGCTTAATTTTTGTAGCATTATTATCCCACAATATCTACAGTACAACTCCTTCACATGTTAACTCTAACAGTTTATTAAGTCTTTACATAAAGGTTGGCAGATAGGTTTCGAACTGCTGTTGTACCAACTCCAAATGACTGGAATGGCTGCCACTGGAATGTAAGCTCCGTGAGGGTAGGGATCTTAGTTTTGGTTACTAAAGTTGTTCCAAGCACATAGAACAATGACACATAGACATTTATTAAATATTTTTGATTGTAGGAACATGCAGCAGTCAGCTGGCATGTTCTGCCTATCATGGGCATGAGAGAAAGAAGTAACAAGTAGTTCTTCACTAAAAGCTCATGCAGTAACCACAAATGTTTTTTACTCAAGACTCTTTGAAGTGGCAGACTTGTGCTAAACTAGTATCATTAACGCTCAGGATGAATTTCAAATAAGCATTCTACTTGAGTCTGATGGAGAAACTAAGGTTTGATGCAGTTTAATAGCTTGTAAATGTTAAAGAGCAGTATTTAGCCTAAGCATATTCACCCACTTACAATATAGGAGTTCTGTTTTTTTATATCATATTCCATAAATATATGTCCAGCAATCATACCTTCTTTTTTTTTTGTTTTTTGTTTTTGTTTGTTTGTTTTGAGACAGAGTCTCGTTCTTTAGCCCAGGCTGGAGGGCAGTGGCATGATCTCTGCCTCCTGGGTTCAAGTGATCCTCTCACCTCAGCCTCCCAAGTAGCTGAGATTACAGGTGTATGCCACCATGCCCAGCTAATTTTTGTATTTGTATTTGTGTTTTTTATTTTTAAATTAAAATTTTTTTTGAAATGGAGTCTCGCTCTGTTGCCCAGGCTGGAATGCAGTGGCGCGATCTCAGCTCACTGCTACCTCCACCTCCCAGGTGGATTCTCCTGCCTCAGCCTCCTGAGTTGCTCATTACGGGCATGCACCACCTTGCCTGGCTACTTTTTGTATTTTTAGTAAAGATGGGATTTCACCATGTTGGTCAGGCTGGCCTCAAACTCCTGACCTCAAGTGATCCACCCACCTTGGCCTCCCAGAGTGCTGGGATTACAGGCGTGAGCCACCATGCCCAGCCTCACAACCATACTTCTTAAAAACTCTGGCACACATTAGTTCCTCTTATATTACATTGATATAAGCAAGTCATATGGATTTATCTGAGTGTAAGGAGAGCTGGAAAAAATAGTTTCTAGCAGGTCAGCCACCTCCCAGTGAGGGCTGCATACCATAGAAGGGGAGAATGAATTTTGGGAGAACAGGTAATTATCTCTGTCACAGAAGGGGATGAAAAGTATGGTAGTTACACAAGTTAGACATCTGTATGGAAAATACCACTTGGTTCTACAAATGTGGTTAGAATATTTGAAAGGTATGGGCATCGATGGTATCTTAATTCGGGTTACAGTATTGGTATAAAGCAAACTGGTTAGTCCAACGGACTAACACATTTAAGAAATGTGTTTCTTAAAGCAGAGCATCTGACTAATTTAATTTTATATTTGAGGTGGTAAGCTATAAAGATATTTGCTATTTTGAACTTAATTAGGATCAGTAGGAAAAAAAGCTAGTGATATGTAAATTCTAGAAAGAACCTTTGACGATAGGAGTCATGTCATCTCGGGTTTATATTAAAAGTAGCAGGAAAGACAGTTCTGGATTTTAAGATGTGTGCACTAGACTTTAGGAAACATTGGAAAACCAGTAAGAGTGAGGCTTAAAATTCTAATGGACAGTGTACCCCCTGAAGGAGTGAAAAGTCTTAAAATGCCCCAGACTTCTTATATGAAAGGTTAGGAAGCGCACTGGTGGAGGGAGGGGGTCAGAGTAGAAAAGTATTATATGTCCATCTACATACCACTTCTAGTGATTGAGAACAGATACTAATTAGCCATATCAAAGAATTCCATGGTGGTAGTAGCAGGTAGAAATTAGGGTGGAGCTAAAGCGGCTCCCCTATGCATCTTCTCACCATTTCCCCTTTTCCCCCACCCTACCCCATCAGTCACTCCAACTTGGGTCTTAGTTTTTGTATTGTTTTTGTTTTAATGCATGCACTGTAAGTCAGAAGGAGAAACTCATAACAAATGTCAAGTAGAAAAGAGGGTTGTGAAGCTCTTAGGATGTTGTCAGAAGATGAATAGGATTTTTACAATGACCGATGTTTCAGAAAAGGAAAAACAATATTGATGATTCTTAGAGATAAATTTATAGCTAGAGTAAGAAGTCATGAATCTGTAGTTCAGGAAACTTGAAATAATAGGTGACACAGAACACATAGTTTATCTCCTTTTTATCTTCTCATTTCTGAAACAAGAAGTTGCTCTGTAAATTAGAAAAACTAGAACAAACAAAAAGAAAATAGACAATACACTTATCTGGCTGGGGAGATACCATGATCATGAAGGTGGTTCTCAGAGTGAGGCTCATCCATTGCACTTTGGTTGTGCTGACCCCTGTGATTTCCCCAAATGCAGAATTTGTAGTAGTGAGGGACTGTGTTCGTGCTTTCCCCTGTCATTTTTTGTCCTAAGAGATCATAGTGTGAAGTTTATATTATTAAAAACAAATAAATAATAAGAAAATAGAGGCATGTAGCTTTACATGAGTTCATGTCTCTAGGTCTAGAAGAATTATATCTCAAGGTTCTGAAAGGTATTTCTGATACTTCCAGGGCCCTACCAGTAAGAGAGAAATCATGGAGACAGGTAGATATCTTAGAAGAATGATTAGATGATGTCTTAAAAGGTGAACGTTAATAAATGCAGACACTGAAAGTTGCCTTTGATTCCTGACAAAATTTTTAAAGTTTGTTAAAAAGATGTTTATCATTTTTAAGCAATTTGAAGATTATAAAGAAGTAATTTTTAACAGTTGTTTAGAAGTGCTTTATTGAACTACCTTGTCTCGAGTTTGAGTAAATGCTGCATATAGGTCATTGTCAGTGGTACTTTCTTGTGTTAGTGAGTGGTCAGACCTGATAAGCTTAGTTTTCTTCTAACAGTAAGGTTCAGTGATTGCTTTTCTACCTGTGTTTTTTTTTGGTTTTGTTTTTCCTCTTTCCATAATAAAGTGTTCTAATGGCATGATAGGTGTTGCTTTTTCTTTTGGTGATAAACAGAGCCAGGGATGTTAGCAGGTTTAAAGCTCTTTCTATATTTTCCCAGTTTTTTTAGGGGGATTGATAGAACATTGTTTTATTTTTGTTATATATATGAATAAAGATATCTTAAAATTATTTTAATTTGCTTTTTCAATTGAAGGCTACTATGCATCTCTCCTTGTGGTGAACTGCTTGCTCATAATCTTTACCAGTTTTACTATTGGGTTATTTGTCTTTTTCTTACAGGTTTTTAGGGACTCTTCAATATATTATAGATATTCTTTCTTTGTCTTTATGTTGCAAAGACTTTTCCATGTCTGTGCATAATGTTCCTTCTGTAACTTTTGGATTTTGTGTTTCAAGAATATTTTCTCCACTTGAAGATGATGTTAAAAATTCTACTTACAGGTTTTTGTTTTGTTTTGTCTTACAAGTCATTTAGCTCTATACTCTGGATTTTATGTATGTTGTGAGGTAATTTTTTTTTCCTCAGATGATATACCTCACTACTGCTAGTTATTAAATCTATTTTCACACTGGTTCAAAATGCCACCTTTTAGTGTTTGCAAATTCTTTTTACTCTTGGGCCTGTTTCTGGGCTCTTTCTTTTGAGGGATTTAATTGTTTATTTTATTTATTTATTTTATGAGACAGAGTCTTCCTCTGTCACCCAGGCCAGTGCAGTGGTGCCATCTTGGCTCACTGTAACCTCCACCTCCCGGGTTCAAGTGATTCTCCTGCCTCAGCAACTGAGACTACAGATGCCTGCCACCACGCCCGGCTAATTTTTGTATTTTTAGTAGAGACGGGTTTCACTATGTTGGGCAGGCTGGTCTTGAGCTCCTGACCTTGTGATCTGCCCGCCTCGGTCTCCCAAAGTGCTGAGATTACCAGCGTGAGCCACTGCACCCGGCCTAATTGTTTGTTTCTATGCCAATACCAAATAGCTTGATGCTGTTGATTATAACCATGATAACAGCAACTAATGTGTATTGATAATTGACTGTGTGACAGTCCCTGTATAAATACTTTAACATATTTAGCTAACTCATTTCTCACAGAACCTTCAACAGTTAAGTATTCTTGATATCTTTATTTTTACAGATAAAGAAATAGGCTTCAAGAGGTTAAATTTACTCAAATTACACGCTAGGACTGTAACCTAACTTTGTGACTCCAGAGCCTATACCCTTAACCATGAGGCTGTGATTCCTAGAAGGACAAATTTCCTGTTTTCCTTTTCAAAACTTTCTCAGCTATTCATATGCATTTACTTTTTCATGTGAACTTCATTGTGATTTTGATTTAATGTTACTTAGATTTATGTAGGAAGGATGGGCATCTTTGTAATGTACCTTCTAAAAATAAGTGATGTGTTTATTTTTTGAGATTGTCTTTTATATCCCAGTTTTATTATATAGACTCTGAACTTTTGTTTTACTTACTCATAGGTCTTATGTGTGTGTGTGTGTGTGTGTGTGTGTGTGTGTTTAAGTTCTGGGATACATGTGCTGAACGTGCAGGTTTGTTACATGGGTACACATGTGCCATGGTGTTTTGCTTCACCTATCAACCCGTCATCTAGTCTTAAGCCCCGCATGCATTAGGTATTTCTCCTAATGCTCTCCCTCCCCTTCCCCCCACCCCCTAACAGGCCCCAGTGTGTGATGTTCCCCTCCCTGTGTCCATGTGTTCTCATTGTTCATCTCCCACTTATAAGTGAGAACATACGGTGTTTGGTTTTCTGTTCCTGTGTTAGTTTGCTGAGGATGATGATTTCCAGCTTCATCCATGTCCTTGCAAAGGACATGAACTCATTTCTTTTTTATGGCTGCATAGTATTCCATGGTGTATAGGTGCCACATTTTCTTTATCCAGTCTATCATTGATGGGGATATGGGTTGGTTCCAAGTCTTTGCTGTTGTAAATAGTGCTGCAAGTTTATTTAGAAATAACTTCAAAGTTCAGAAAAGTTGCAAGAGTAGCACAAAGAACTGGATACCCTCCACCCAGATTTACCAGTTGTTAACATTTTGTCACATTTCCTTTATGTTTCCCTCCTTGGGTATGTGTGTATACGTGTCCCCACCACCACCATTTGAAAGTTAATTGCAAATGGCATGTCTCAGTACCCTTAAATATTTCAGTATGTATTTCCTAAAACAAGGACGTTTTCTTATACAACTGCAGTACAGTTACTGAATTCAACAAGTTCAACATCAGTATAATACAGTTACCTAATTTGCAGTTGCGGATTCAGTTATGTTCCCCAAAAGGGTCCTAACCCTCAGTACCTGTGAATGTGGCCTTATTTGGAAATAGCATCCTTTGGGAGGCCAAGGCAGGCGGATCACGAGATCAGTAGATTGAGACCATCCTGGCTAATGGGTGAAACCTTGTCTATACTAAAAATACAAAAATTAGCCAGGCATGGTGGCACGCGCCTGTAGTTCGAGCAACTTGGGAGGCTGAGGCAGGAGAATTGCTTGAACCCGGGAGGCAAGGTTGCAGTGAGCCGAGATTGCACCACTGCTCTCCAGCCTGGGCGACAGAGTGAGACTCCGTCTCAAAAAACAAAACAAAACAAAAACCAAAAACCCACATGTGAAGACAGACACCCAGAGAGAATGCCTTGTGACAACAGAGGCAGAAATTGGTGGGATGCACCTGTAAGCCAGGAGCACGAAGGATTGCCAGCTACCATCAGAAGCTAGGAGGAGGCAAGGAAGGATGGTATCCAGAGTGTCAGGGGGAGCATAGCCCTGCTGACACTTGAATTTTGGACATCCTGCCTCCAGAACTATGACATAATAAATTTGTTATTTTAAGCCATTTTTTTTCTACAGCAGCCCTAGGAGGGAACAATAAAGGAAATGTGGCAAGGAAAGTAATACAGTAGTTCATATATTTTTCCAATTGTCCTAATAATATTCTTTATAACAAAAATCCAAAATCCAATCTAGAAATACATGTTGCATTTAATTGTCATGTTTCTTTAGTCTCCTTTAATCTGAACAGTTCTTCAGGCTTTATCTTTCATGACATTGATATTTTTAAAAGTTAGACTACTGGTTTTGTATAGTGTACATCGATGAGTTTTTGTTTGATGTTTCCTCATGATTTGATTTAGATTATGAATTTGAGGCAGGAGTACCACTTAAAGGCTATTATGTTCTTCAGAGTACAAGACATCAGGAGGCACGCTGTGTTAGTCTATCCTACTATTGGCAGTATTAACTTTGATTACTTAGTTAAGTGATATCTGTCAGGTTTCATCACCACAAAATGAACATATTTCTCTTTTTAGTAAATTACAGATAAGGTAATAGTTTTTGCTTCCATTGATGATTCCTTGGCTGAATTAATTATTGCAGTAAGAGTTGTTCTGGGATACGTGTGCTGAATGTGTAGCTCTCTTACTCCAAGTTTAGTAGTTGGGATTCTGTAAGAGAGAACCTTCCTGTCCTTATTTATTTATCAGAGTGACTTATGGATTATCTTAGTCAACTAGTTGTAATCTGTTAGTGTCACCATTTTTTTTTCTTGATGCTCAGATTCTGTGTTTGGTCAGCAAGAGCCTCTTCAAACTAGTTCCTATGTACTTTTGATAGATCCCTATCATTTGTTGAGTACTACTTTATAACTATTTTTGGTATATTACAAAACTACTTATTTCTCAATATATTTTTGTAGCTGCTCTATAGAAATCTGTGTCTGATAGCTTTTCAGTTAATTCTCTTACTTTTTTTGTATAAGGGATCATGCAGGTCAGACACAGTGGCTCACACCTGTAATCCCAGTGCTTTGGGAGACTGAGGTGGGAAGATCACTTGAGCCTAGGAGTTTGAGACCAGCCTGAGCAATTTAGTGAGACCCCATCTCTGCAAAAAATTAAAAAATTAGTTGGGTGTAGTGGCAGATGCCTGTAGCCCTAGCTACTCAGGAGGCTGAGATGGGAGGATTGCTTCAGACCAGGAGTTCGAAGCTGTAGTGAGCGATGATCATGCCACTGCACTGTAGCCTGGGTGACAGAGTGAAACCTCATTTCAGGTAATAATTATAATGGCCAGGCGCGGTGGCTCACGCCTGTAATCCCAGCACTTTGGGAGGCCGAGGTGGGTGGATCACGAGGTCTGGAGTTTGAGACCATCCTGGCCAACATGGTGAAACCCTGTCTCTACTAAAAATACAAAAAATCATCCGGGCATGGTGGCATGCGCCTGTAGTCCCACCTACTTGGGAGGCTGAGGCAGGAGTATCGCTTGAACCCGGGAGGTGGAGGTTGCAGTGAGCCCAGATCGCACCACTGCACTCCAGCCTGGTGACACAGTGAGACTCTGTCTCAAAAAAAAAAAAAAACCAATAATAATAATAATTATAATGAACCTTAAGACTCTTTCTATTGTTTGCCATTAAGCTGTGATGCCAAAGTTGACTTGAACTTTATAGATATATAATATCATGGAAGGATTCCTCTATTTTTAGTTCATGAGAGTTATTAAAAAGTAGGGGTGGGTGTTGATTTAAGCTTTTTCCCCCCCCTTGGCTTTTATTGAGATAAATAACTTTTCTTCTTTTTCTTTCTTTTTTACATTTTTTTAAAAAATAAAGACAAGGTCTCTCTATGTTGCCCAGGCTGATCTTGAACTCCTGGCCTCAAGCAATCCTCCCTTCTCAGCCTTCCAAAGTGCTGGGATTACAGGTTTGAGCCACTGCACATGGCTGCTGCTGCTGCTGCTCCTGCTGCTCCTCCTTCATATATATATGAATGTGTGTGCGTATATATATGTATGTATATATATGTATATATGTATATACACACACACACACACACACATATACAGAGGGAGAGAGAGAGAGAGAGAGAGAGAGAGATGGAGTCTCAGTGTGTTTCTGAGGCTGGAGTATAGTGCTATTCACAGGTGTGACTATGGCACACTACAGCCTTGAATTCCTGGCCTCCTGCCTCAGCCTCCAGAGTAGCTGGGACTACAGATGTGTGCAGCTGCACCTGACTTCTTTATTTTTTATTTTATTTTTTTAACCCAAATCCAAAATGGTAAATATGACTTCTTTATTTATTTGTTTGTTTGTTTTTCGAGATGAAGTCTCACTCTGTCATCCAGGCTGGAGTACAGTGGCACAATCTCAGCTCACTGCACCCTCTGCCTCCTGGGTTGAAACAATTCTCCTGCCTCAGCCTCTGGAGTAGCTGGGATTACAGGCATGCACCACCACACTTGGCTAAACTTCCTTATTTTTTAATATGGTGAATTAATATTATTAATAGACCCTAAAACTAAACCATTCTTGCATACTGAGAAAACACTATTTTTTTTAGTAGAAAAGCATAGAACAGTGGTTATGAACACTCTCCAGTATAATAGATGAGCACTTGAAATGTGGCTAGTCCAAATTGAGATGTACTGTAAGTGTAAAATACACACCCGATTTCGAGTAGCTGGGCTCACAGGTGCACGCCAACACCCCCAGCTGATTTTTGTATTTTTAGTAGAGGCGGGGTTTCACCATGTTGGTCAGGCTGTTCTCAAACTCCTGACCTCAAGTAATCCACCTGCCTCAGCCTCCCAAAGTGCTGGGATTACAGACGTGAGCCACCACGCCTGGTGCAGTACACACCAGATTTTAATATGGTAAAAAGAATGTAGAATAATTCAACTATTAAATATTAATTGCATGTTGATAACATTTTTGATATAGTAGGTTAAATAAGATATTAAAATTAATCTCTTTCTGTTTTATGTTTTTAAATGTGGCTACTGGAAAATTTAAAATTGCATATGTGGTTTGTATTTGTGGTTCACATTATATTTCTATTGGACAGTACTGTTCTGGAGCTAAATTGCCTGAGAGTGTCTTTGACCTTAGACTAGTTACCTATTCTGTGTGCCTTAGTTTCCTCATCTTTAAGGGGTGAGTAAAAATAGTCCTTAACTGAAAGGGTGGTTGTAAGGATTAAATGTGTTAGTATACACAAGAGTACTTAGGATAGTATTTAGCACATAGCAGCTGCCTAATGTTATCTGTTACTATTCTTAATAAGATTGCAAGCTGCATGATGCCTGGGACGTTTTGTTCACTGTTGCATCTCTACTTTCTAGACTTTCTTTTTTTTTTTTCTTTTTTTTTTCTTCTTCAAGTTTCACTCTTGTTGGCCAGGCTGGAGTGCAATGGCACAATCTTGGCTCACTGCAACCTCCGCCTCCTGGACTCAAGCGATTCTCCTGCCTCAGCCTCCCGAGAAGCTGGGATTACAAACGCGCACCACCACGCCCGGCTAATTTTTGTATTTTTAATAGAGATGGGGTTTCACCATGTTGGCCAGGCTGGTATCGAACTCTTGACCCCAGATGATCCACCCGCCCTGGCCTTCCAAAATGCTGGGATTATAGGCTTGAGCCACTGCACCCAGCCTAGACTTTAAAAAAATATTTTTTTGAATTAATGAATGAATATAGAGAATTTCTGAGAAACCTCGGTAACAGTTGGGAAGGAGCTCTTTTGATAACCCCAGATATCTGTTGGAAGGATACTACAACCAAGAAAGCATCCTGTAATACCCATGAAATACATAATATTTGTGCTTTTCTGGTAGTTTTTTAAAACAAGATTTAAACTATTTTAGTGGTTATTGCTTTATTTAGGTCTCCTATCTTTTAACTGAGTTATTTTTATTAATTTTTATTTGCCTAGTTAGCCATTTTATCTAGTTCTGAAAACTTTATTGGCAGGAGTTATACAAAGTTATCACTTTCTTTTCAAATCATCTGTGGCTCTAGTACCCTTCTCATACCTAATACTGTGTACTCTCCCTTTGTGTTTCTAGTTTATGATGAAATCTAGTGATTTATCTGTTTCATTGATGTTTATTTGTAAACTATACTAGATTTTTTGTTATAATAAGAGGAAATTAAAAGAAAAGGTAATGAATTAGAAACGAGAAACAGAAATCTCAGTATGATTTACAAATAAAAATCCTTTTGGGAGGTTACCCCCGCCAGCTCTGAGACGGAGTTTTACTCTTGTTGCCGAGGCTGGAGTTCAGTGACGCCATCTCGGCTCATTGCAACTTCCGCCTCTCGGGTTCAAGCAATTCTCCTGCCTCAGCCTCCCAAGTAGCTGGAGTTACAGGCACATGCCACCACGCCTGGCTAATTTTTGTATTTTTAGTAGAGACAGGATTTCACCATGTTGGCCAGGCTCATCTCAAACTTCTGACCTCAGGTGATCCGCCCACCTTGGTCTCCCAAAGTGCTGAGATTACAGGCATGAGCCACTGCACTCAGCCGGGAATCTTTTGTTTATTTTATTTTATTTATTTTTATGAGACGGAGTGTTGCTCTTGTTGCCCAGCCTGGTGCAATGGCACAATCTCAGCTCACTGCATCCTCAACCTCCCTGGTTCAAGCAGTTCTCCTGCCTCAGCCTCCAAGTAGCTGGGATTACAGTCATGTGCCACCATGCCTAGCTAATTTTTTGTATTTAATAGAGACGGGGTTTCACCACGTTGATCAGACTGGTCTCAAACTTCTGACCTCAGGCAATCTGCCTGCCTCAGCCTCCCAAAGTGCTGGGATTACAGGCTTGAGCCACTGTGCCTGGCCATTTTTTTTTTTAGATTGTAAATTCTCCTAATTTTGTTTGCTCCTAAATTCCTCAACTCATTTGTTTATGTTATTTCCTTTTTAGTAACAGGTGTATAAGTATCTGAAATTTGCTCTGAATACAGCCTTTGCTGTAGTTCATTGATGTAGAACGTTGTTGGGTTTTTTTGTTTTGGGGGTTTTTGTTTTTGTTTTGAGACAGAGTCTTGCTCTCTTGCCTAGGCTGAAGTGCAATGGCATAGTCACCATTCATTGCAGCCTTGACCTCCTGAGCTCAAGTGATCCTCCTACCTTTGCCTCTCAAGTAGTTGGGACTACAGGCCTGTACTACCACACTTGGCTAATTTTTAAATTTTCTGTAGAGACAGGATTCTCCCTATGTTGCCCAGGCTGATCTTGAACTCCTGGGCTCAAGCCATCCTCCCACCTCAGCCTCCCAAAGTGTTGGGATTACATGCGTGAGTCACCATGCCTCGCAAAGTTGTTCTTTTATAATTGTGGGTTTTGTTCTCTCTTTGACATAAGTGTATTGGGTCATGAATATTTTAATATAGTCATCTCACTTAAGAAAACTTTGAAAAAATACCTTGTGTACCATTTCCTTAGGTTTTATAGCATATGTTCTGTTATCAGTACTCAATGAATGCCAAACAACAGTGTGGAAAATTGTTTCCAATCAGAAGCAACTAAAGCATGTATAGGTAATTTCATGGAATTTAAAATATCCATTCTCAAACTAATAATGTTATAAAATGGGGGCCATAATATGATAAATCTTTATATAATTCAGTTCAACAAACTTTTTACATGCTCTGAGCAAGGAAATATTTCTCATACTGTTTTTGTTTGTTTGAGACAATCTTTAACTCTGTCATCCAGGCTGGAGTGCAGTGGAGAGATCTTGGTTCACTGCAACCTCTGCCTCCTGGGTTCAAGTGATTCTCCTGCCTCAGCCTCCCAACTAGCTGGCACTACAGGCGCACACCACCATGTCTGGCTAATTTTTAAAAAAATATTTTTAGTAGAGACAGGGTTTCACCAAATTGGCCAGGCCGGTCTCAAACTCCTGGCTTCAAGTGATCTATCCACCTTGGCCTCCCAAAGTGCCGGGGATTACAGGCGTGAGCCACTGCACCTATCCCTAATACTGTTTTAAGAGCACAAAGTAGTATCAGGATTACAAAAATTCTTAATGTTGTTGCATTCTAAAATAGTTTTCCACAGAATATTAGTGCCTTTCTGGGTGGAAACTTCCATACGTGTATGTGCTAAACTTTGAAAATCAAAAGGTTTTATTTTTTAATAAAACAAAATTTTAAATATATACACATCGTTATTATGTACATATTTTAAACAATGATTTTAGGGTTGAAATAGTGTAGCCAGAAGTAAGCCCTATTTCAGAAATACGAAGTTCTGGTTTTAATTTTTAGGTCATCCTAAGGAATGAAAAGCTGAATATAAATGATCATTTTATAGCCCACGCTAAAAGGCTCCCCATGTAATATGAAAATAGAAAGGAAACATGAACTTTTTTGAATCAAAAACTTTGTATCTCTTTTTAATATAACAGCTTTATTGAACTAGAATAAAACCATTCATGCTATTTCCATATTAATTTTTTTACTTCATTATTTCACTCCAAAAAGCCAAAGGAGGCAAGTTCATATAGTTGGGAGATTAAACATGTAAATGGATGTGAAGAGTCAGAATATAAATATGAGGAATGGCTGGAAACAGTCAGCGTGCATCCTGCCTTTCTCATATACGTGCTGTTTTCCTGTCTCCCAGCGTTGATGCCTTACCTGGACATTTCGAGGCTAAAGCAGTTGTTGAACTCCAGAGCATTATCAAGTCTTCACAGCTTAAAAACAGGTGCAGATAACTAGTAAATTAATTTGATATATGTCGATCTATGGATTAATATCAGTCTTTTTTATCCACACTCTCTTCAATTAAAAAAGTAGATTCAAACATTAATTTTTGATCAGTATTTATCATTTGGGTCAGGTCCTAAATGATGATGGGGAAAAGAATTGATAATTCAACAGAATATTTTTTTTTTTTTGAGACAGAGTCTCACTCTGTTGCCCAGGCTGAAGTGCAGTGGCGCGATTTCAGCTCACTGCAACCTCCGCATCCCAGGTTAAAGTGATTCTTCTGCCTTAGCCTCCGGAGTAGCTGGAATTACAGGCACGCACCAGCATGCCCAGCCAATCTTTGTATTTTTAGTAGAGATGGGATTTCGCCATGTTGGCCAGGTTGGTCTCGAACTCCTGACCTTCAGTGATCCACCTGGCTTGGCCTCCGAAATTGCTGGGATTACAGGTGTGAGCCACCGCGCCCAGCCCAACAAATTTTTTTAAATACAGTATGTATCAGCTGGGCGCGGTGGCTCATGCCTGTACCCCAGCATTTTGGGAGGCCGAGGCGGGCGGACCACCTGAGGTCAGGAGTTTGAGACCAGCCTGGTCAATATGGTGAAACCTATCTCTACTAAAAATACAAAAATTAGCCGGGCTTGGTGGTGGGCACCTGTAGTCCCAGCTACTCTGGAGGCTGAGGCAGGAGAATCTCTTGAACCCGGGAGGTGGAGGTTGCAGTGAGCTGAGATTGTGCCACTGCACTCCTCCAGCCTGGGCCACAGAGCGAGACTCTGTCTCAAAAAAAAAAAAAAAAAAAAAAAAAAAAAAAAAAGACAGTATGTATCACAGTTTTTTAAAAAACATAATTTTGGCCATCTTTTCTATCAATATTCATATATAGTCAGTTCTCATTATTTGTGCTAGTTATGTTCTATAAAATTACAAATAACTACCTAATCAAAGACTGAACCATTCCTCCTAGAGGGAATACAGGCTTAGGTTCCTATGAGCTTTTTTAAATAAATCATGTAACCTTGTTATATGTGTGTTTCTGTTCAAAGATGCCGTATATATATTAAAATGTAAATGGAATGAAGTCCTTCAGAACATGCAGGTATATTTGACTTTATGGTAGAGATATGGTCCTTGGAGCTTGACCATATAAAAACTTGATGTGCAGCAAATCCTATTTTCCCATACGTTCTTATTCAGGTGGCTCTTAGTTTCCTATTTCCAAGTGGAAACAATAGCAGTTGCTAAATAATGCAGAAATTGATATTATCAATTGTTATTGCCACCCTGAACTGATATGGTATTAATTTTGGCAAGCAGGTGAATTCATAAATATGGAATTCAAAATAATGAGGAGCAACTCTGTGTGTGTGTGTGTGTGTGTGTGTGTGTGTGTGTGTGTGTATGGACTTATTAATGATGATGTTTATAGTAATGAATGTTGCAAAGTGCCTTCTAGGCTAACCACAACAATAGACAAAGATTCTATTTTAGGTTTCCTTAGCTCTCTTGCCAGTGTCCCTCAAACTTGACACTCTTATGTGAAGCTCCCCTTCCTCCTACTCTAGGGAGGAAGAAAAAAGGGAAAAAGTCTCCATGTTTGATATTGTGACAAAGAAGGAAGTCAACCCCCACCCCCACCCCATCTTCTATCTTTTGAGTCCTGGTGATTTGAGTAATTCCTGTGTGGAGACCAGCTTCCTGCCAAATTCTCATTTAGAGGTTATTTGAAGAACAATTGCATCTTAGGGTTTCTTAGTTTATTTTGTGTTGCTATAACAGTACCACAGATTTGGTAATTTATAAAGAAGAGAAATTTACTTCTCACAGTTCTGGAGGCTGGGAGGTCCAATACCAAAGTGCTGACATCTGGCAAGGGCCTTCTTCTTGCTGTGTTATCTCATGGTGGAAGGCAAGAGGCTGAGAGAGGGTTAGAGTGAGGGAGAGAGAGAAACTCACTTTAAAAAGACAGTGTCACTCTTTTGCCCAGGCTGGAGTGCAGTGGCACAATCCTGGCTCACTGCAGCCTTGAACTCCTGGCCTCAAGTGTTCCTCCCTACTTCAGCCTCCCAAGTAGCTGGGACTACTGGTGCTCAACAGCGCCTGGCTTTTTTTTTTTTTTCCTTTTGTAGAGACAAGGTCTCACTGGGCTTAGACTGGTCTTGACAGACTGGCTTTTATAACAAACCCACTCCCATGATGGTGACATTAACCCCTTCAGAGGGCACAGTCCTCATAACCTATTTACATCTTAAAGATCCCACCTCTCAACACTGTTGCATTGTGGATTAAGCTTCCAACACGTGAACTTTGGGTGCATATTCAAACCATAGCATAGAGTATCATCTGAACAGGCTGGATGTAATGCCAACCACAGCCCTACTACCAGAATTCAGACCTTTTATAGTGCTTCTCTCTCCTTCCAGCTACTTAGAACAAGCTACTTAGAACAAGCCCAGCTTTACTTGTTTCTCTTTCTCCCCCCTAACACTCAGTATTATACTTCAGAAGCTTGGTAAGAAAGGGGAAGATGATATCTCTTATTGACTTGTTTCCTTTTAAGACCTATTTAGATAGATGAGTTAACTCCATTGACTCAATCACTTGGTTTTACTTTGAGAGTTAATAATTTCCACCAGTGTCCAACATTTTGGCTTCCCTGGGCCATATTGGAATAAGAATTATCTTGGGCCACACATAAAATACAATAAAACTAACAATAGCTGATGAGGTTAAAAAAAAAAAAAGGTCTGTGCATAACTTTTGTGATATCCGCCACCACAGATAAGCAAAATAGTCCTCACATTCAAAGGGTTGGACACTCATGATCCTCCTAATTTAACAGTTATGTTGCTTAGTATGGAAGCATACTGACTCTCTGAACCCTAACAGTTGAGCATGAGCATGATTGTTGTAGTATACTGATTATAAGCATGGGTACTGTGGTAGGCAGCATCTTGACTCCCCAGAGATGTCCATGTTCTGTGAATTCTCGGAACCTTTGAATATATTAGGTTACATGGTAAAGAGGAGTTACAGTTGCAGGTAGAGTTAAAGTTCCTGATAAACTGATTTTGAAATAGAGAGTTTATCCTGGCTTATCCAGGTAGGCATAATAGAGTAACAATGGTTTTTAAGAGTGGAAGAGAAAAGCAGGAAAGTCAAGGAAATGTAACAACAAAGCAGCATCAGAAAGAGACAACATTCCAGGCCTTAAAGGTGGAAGGAGTCTGTGAGCCAAGGAATGTGGGCAGCCCCCACAAGCTAGAAAGGGCAAGAACTGATTTTGTCTTTGAATCTCCAGAAGGAAATGCAGCCCTGCTGACACCTTGATTTTAGTCCAGGGACACCGGCGTCAGACTTCTGAACTGTAAGATAAATACGTTTGTATTGTTTTAAGCCACTAAATTTGTGGTAATTTGTTGTAGCAGCAATAATTAATAGACACTGAGCTGAAATATTCTGAGTTCATTCTCAGCTTCTGGCTCTGTCACTTACTAGTTTTGTGACATAGAACCAAAACCTATTTAACGTCTCCAGCCTTAGTTTCCTCATCTGTAAAACAGAGATAATAACAACACATATCTTCAGTGGTTATTGCCTGGATTAAATCAGTTAGTGCATCCAATGTACACACTTAGATACATCTTTATTATTTATATTTTAATATGGTGAGCATATAGAAAACTTGTAATGAAAACAATAATTATTCATCTTAATTCTTCTTAAATATGAGAATAAATTAGACATTTTATTTAGTAACTGTCCCATGGACATTTAAAATTACAAGAAAAGTTTGGCCATATGTATGACAACATGTGTGTTAAAATGAATATTTTTTTGCCAGTATGAAATTTGGGGAAATTCCGTCGTATTATGCCTGTTTTGCTTAATGTAAGGAAATGGATTTTTCTAATTATCCTCAAAACAAAAAAGCTTTTAGTGTTTATTGCATGTTACAAATATTAATAACATGAAAAATTAATGAGCTAGGTGCGGTGGTTCACACCTGTAATCCCAGCACTTTGGGAGGCTGAGCCAGGTGGATCACCTGATGTCAGGCGTTCAAGACTAGCCTGGCCAACATGGTGAAACCCGTTTCTACTAAAAATACAAAAATTAGCTGGGCATGGTGGCAGCGCCTGTAATCCCAGCTACTTGGGTGGCTGAAGCAGGAGAATTGCTTGAACCTGGGATGCAAGGTTGCATTGAGCTGAGATTGCACCATTGCACTCCAGCCTGGGCAACAGGAGTGAAACTCTGTTTCAAAAAAAAAAAAAAAAGAGAAAAATTGATACATGTAGAAGCTTAGAAAAATCTGTTGGGGGTAGGGAATGGGAAGCAGATACGCTATGAGCTTACAGACTTCTCACTTTTTTCTCCTGGTTTTTCCAATTCAACTCAATTGAGCTTTCAGATTCAATTTTGTTATAACATTGCATTCATATTAATTCCTTTAGAGCTATAGGTTATGTGATTATTTTTTCCGTGTGTGTGTGTGTGTGTGTGTTTCCCCTACATAACCAAGAAGAGTTTTCTGTTCAGTTTGGAACAAGATTTTGAGAAGACATTTAGGATGTACTAGTTTGAGTTTTTAAATGTATATTTGAGATATTTTCTCAACTTTCTCTTTGGGTCTGTAGCTAAAATATGCAGTATAATGTTTTATTTATTTATTTTTTAAGAGATGGGGTCTAGCTATTTTGCCCAGGCAGACTCAAATTCCTGGGCTCAAGTGATCCTCTGCCTTGGCCTCCTGAGTAGCTGGGACTTACAGACATGTGCCACCAAACCTAGTGGCTATATAATTTTTAAAAATATTCTTAGGATATCTTTACATACTTTTCTTAAAAAAAAAAAAGTTAACCTTTGTAGTCTGTTTGCAGCATTAGCTATTGAGATCAGAAATTCAGAAAGTTAGCCGAGCGTGATGGCTCACGCCTGTAATCGCAGCACTTCGGGAGGCCAAGACAGGTGGATCACTTCAGGTTAGGAGTGGCTAATATGGCGAAACCCTGTCTCTACTAAAAATACAAAAATTAGCCGGGCATGGTGGTGCACACCAGTAATCCCAGGTGCTTGGGAGCCTGAGGCACAAGAATCACTTGAACCCAGGAGGTGGAGGTTGCAGTGAGCCGAGATTGTGCCGCTGCACTCCAACCTGGGTGACAGAACGAGACTCTATGTAAAATTCAGAAAGTTAAAATTAGAAAGAAAAAATAATCCTTTTTACATGTTTTATATTGATGTCACACATTTCCCATTCATATAAGATTTAAAATCATAGATGTGTAACTTTAAACTTGTGACTAATTAATAATATATTTTTATTACAGCTAATTCACTTAAGTAAAACAATTCTCTTGAAATGTTAATAGCCTTTACTGAGTAGATGGAGTAGTGAGCCCTAAGTATTTTGATTGCCCAGACTGTCTCATTTTCTAGGACCTTTCCTATCATCTCATGGTTCAGGTGGGATCTGCCATGTTCCATCAGTGACCCTGCCTCTTGGCTGGAGAGGGCTGACCCAGAGGGAGGCGGCTGATCCAAGCTGGGCCAGGGTCCTTTAGG
The DNA here is from genome assembly GCF_000001405.40 of Homo sapiens. Classification (NCBI taxonomy): domain Eukaryota; kingdom Metazoa; phylum Chordata; class Mammalia; order Primates; family Hominidae; genus Homo; species Homo sapiens. The sequence goes on along the minus strand of NC_000018.10, from coordinate 782,329 downwards.
AATTAGGAATTGATATTTTATGGTTCCTCAGCCTAGCTCTAAAATGAAAATACTAACTCTGGGACTATTGCCAGCCATGTTTTACCTTATGAAGAGCCGAAAAGGCCATTGTGCCACAGGAGAGAAGAATGAAGCACATGAGCATAGTAGCAAAGATGAAAGATGAAGAGAGACTAAGATAAAACACATGGAGGTGGTGAAGGAGAGATGGGAGTGGGGTGGAGAGAGGGACCAGGTAGTTGGGGAGAGGAGAGAAAATGGGGAAGCAAGGGAAGTGATGGAAAGACCAGGAGAAACAGAGAAGAAATGAACCAAATTTCCAGAACATGGGTTGCTGGTTCTAGTTTCTCTTATGACCCTGAATTCCATGAGGCACTCCGATAATGTTTATAAAAAATCCCCTTTTTGCTTAAGCTACCTCTAGTCAGATTCTGTCCTTGAAGCCATAAGTCTTAACCAAGGCAAACACTGCTGTCATTCGGGTATGTGCTATGATTGCTTTGCATATGATATCAGTTAATTCTTACAACCTTGCAAGATAGGTATTATTCCTCCAAAAAAAAAAGGAAATTCAGTCTTAGGAAAGATAAAGTAATTTGATCAAGGATCACAGTAGCTAATAAGTGACAGAACCAGAATTGAAATGTGTGTCTGACTCCAAAGTCAGTTTGTATTCATGATCTGTAAAAATATTCATTGGGCATCAGCTATGAGCCAACACTAGGCTAAGCTACAAGAGAGAAATTTTTCTTGTCTCAAAGTTTGTAGCTCAGAGAAGGATAGAAATAAACAGGCAGTGACAATTCAGTGTCATAAATGGTGTGGGGGCAGGAATAAAATGTACTGTGTGAGCACATGGGAGATCAAGGAAGATTCCTTGAACGTTTAAGCTAAGACCTGAAGGTTGAGTAGTCACAAGCCAAGCGTAAGGAAAGAGGGAGGTTGTGCCAAGCGTTTATGAAAACAGTATGGTACATTTGAGGATCTAAAAGAAATCAAGAGCCAAGAGAGGTAAATTAAGCAAATCATACAAGGCCCTCTTATTTTTTTTTTTTTTTTTGAGACAGAGTTTCACTCTCGTCCCCCAGGCTGCAGTGCAATGGCGCGATCTCGGCTCACTGCAACCTCCATCTCCCAGGTTCAAGCAATTCTTCTGCCTCAGCCTCCTGAGTAGCTGGGATTATAGGTGCCTGCCACCACTCCCAGTTAATTTTTTGTATTTTTAGTAGAAACGGGGTTTCACCATGTTGGCCAGGCTGGTTTCAAACTCCTGACCTCAGGTGATCCACCCACCTCGGGCCCCAAAGTGCTGGGATTGAAGGCGTGAGCCACCGCCCCTGGCCAAGGTCTTCTATTTTATGTTAAGGAGTTTGGACTTTATATTGGGAGAAAGAGGGGGCTGGACCATCAAAGGCTCATAATTAGACTTTCTTTTCTAGAGAACACAAACATTTTTCACATTATAGCCAGGAAGGATTGGAGAATTAACACTGTAGAAGGATGGAAGTCAGTTAAAGAGGCTTTTGCAATAATCCAGACCGTAAATAATTAGTAGTCAAGGGAAGTTTCAAGGGAAGTATAGGCAACCCTATAGAACAAGTAAGTAGTTGGGGGAGAAATGGAAGAATTCTAGAGATTACAGGGCAGTATGGTCAGGTCCTGGTGACCAATTGGCCATATAGGGCACAGGAAGGTATCTTAGTCCATTTTCAGAATACTTGAAACTGGCTAATTTATAAAGAAAAGGAATTTATTTCTTACAGATCTGGAGGCAGAGAAGTCCAAGGTCATGGGGTGGCATATGAGAAGGGCTTTCTTGCTGGTAGGACTCTTGTCTACAGAATCCTTAGGTGGTGGAGGATATCACATGGTGAGGGGGCTGAGTGTGCTATTGTGCTAAGCTAAGATCTCTCTTCCTCTTATAAAGCCACCAGTTGTACTCCCATGATGACCCATGAATCCATTTATCCTTTAGTAATCCATACATGGATTAATTTATTAATAAGGGTGGAGTCCTCATGATCCAATCACCTCTTAAAGGCCTCCCTTTCAATACTGCCACACTGGAGATTAAGTTTGTGTTTTTGTTTTTGTTTTGGAGACAAAGTCTCATTCTGTCGCCCAAGCTGGAGTGCAGAGGGCAGTGGCATGATCTTGGCTAACTGTGACCCCCACCTCCCTGGTTCAAGTGATTCTCCTGCCTTATCCTCCCAAGTAGCAGGTGCGTGCCACAGCGCCTGGCTAATTTTTGTATTTTTAGTAGAGACAAGCTTTCACCATGTTGGCCAGGCTGGTTTCGAACTCCTGACCTCAGGTAATCTACCCTCCTCAGCCTCCCAAAGTGCTGGGATTACAGGCGTGAGCCACTGCACCCAGCCTCTTTAGTCTCTCTTAAAGAGATTTAAGAAAAAAAAAAAAAAAGGACTACATACATTGTTATAGAAACAAGTGGATGATGTTTTTAAAGTTTAAAACCCCAATTAAAGAAGAGTACGTGCAGTGCCTGAGGAGCATTTAATTGACATAAGGGCTTGAAAGTGGTATCTAATTGTTTACTGTAATTTGCTGGTCAAAAATCTTGACAAAAGACTGGAAGTAAGGTGTGAAAATCTGAGAGAATAAAGATTCTTGAGATAGGTATATGGTCAGCTTATTTTTTGAGTTGACTGGATTTGTAGAGGGAATGATACATAATAGTACTTGATAGGTGCCTTTCTGCCAACAAACTGCCTTTAATAATTGCCTAAGGTGGCTGAAAGTAATTAACTGTTACCTGGGATCTGCATAATTCAGATCTGTTCTGTGTTGAATTTAATACATTTTTTAAAAATCTTGAGGCTTTAATTTGTAAGTTATTTTTGTTACTATAATCTATAACAAAAAAAATTATTCTATACATTTCTTTCTTTCTTTTTTTTTTTTTTTTGAGACAGGGTCTCACTCTGTCTCCGAGGCTGGAGTGCAGTGGTGCGATCATAACTTACCGCAGCCTTGACCTCCCAGGCTCAAGCTGTCCTCCCACCTCAGCCTTCTGAGTAGCCAGGACTACAGGTGTGTACCACCATGCTTGGCTGATTTAAAAAATTTTTTGCCGGGACGGGGGTCTCCTTTTGTTGCCCAGGCTGGTCCTGAACTGCTGGACTCAAGTGATTCTCCCACCTCAGCCTCCCAAACTGCTGGGATCAGCCACTGCCCCCATCCATAAAATTCCTTACATATTCTTTACATCAGGCTCTTCTCATGGCTGATCCTATATCAGACTTCATTAAAGAAACTACGAGGTTCCAGGAATTTAGAAGGAGTTGGGTTACTTTAAGGTCAATTGTTTGTATATCTAAAAGGCAGAAAAAAGAAAAAGATGGTAAAAAATTGGTACCATTACCGACCCCTGCAAGATCAGTTGTCCATTGCTAACATTTCTTTTCTCCTTCGACTCTTGGAAAATGGAGTTCTTTGTTTGCTTTTACAAGACAAAGTGTATGCCCTTTAGTAGTCTGCTGCTTCCTTCTCTCTGCCTATGTTTTCTCTTTTATGGTCCTGCCTATCCTTTGTGCTTTATGCTTAAGGGAGGGGATTTATAAATGAAAGAGAAAAATCATAGACTACGGCCTGTAGAACACCGTGACCTATGGAAATTGTTCATGTTTTATGAAGTTAAGTCTCTAAATTTATTTTTCTAGGATTTCCTAAAGATTTAAAACTTGTATGTAAATTGGAGCCATCTGGGCAAAATGCCAGACTAGGGCTATTCCTTCCAAACTAGATAGAGCATGTAATGTCACAATTAGTTAACTTATTAGAGTTCATTTATAGGAATAATGTACATTTAATTTTTTAAGAGGTTCAGAAATGTGTTAAATCATTTGAAAATTTTTAGTCACTGTTACTAATAATAAGGCAACATTGTCATGCTGACAGGCAGGGTGCTGTTTCCAAAGTTAGTAGATTGTGCCATAGGTTGAGCAGTGGATTTGGCTGTAAATAATGTTATCATGTTTGTTACATTTTCTAAAGGGCTAATATTTAATAACTTACCAATGAACAAAGAATGCTATACACAAGGCTTCCCTGAAGATCGTATGGGTAGTAGAAAGAATGCAGTATAGAAGTCAGAAGACCTGGTTCCTAGTTTTGCCTACTTTTAGCCCCCTGTCCTTGAGCAAGGCATGTAATAACCTCTCTCCATTTCAGTTTCTTCAAATGTAAAATGTAGAGATTATGCCTACTTGTCCTGGTAACATATTGGGATTATTTTGGGATCAAATTAAATAATAATAACAAAGAGCTTTGAAGACATAAAGCACTGTCAAAGTGTAAAATTGTATTAAAGCAAAATACTTTAACAGTGTAACACTGTACAACATAATGTGTGTGTACAACATAATAATGTGTTAACTGTTAATGATTGAGCCAGATACATTATAAACTTATTTCAAATTTGTTATAGCTTTACTAAACATGCTGCTATAAAGTATGTTCTGATATAGGTAATTCTTTTTTTAATTTTTTTTTTTTTTTTTTTTAAGCCAGAGTCTCACTCTGTTGTCCAGGCTGGAGTGTAATGGCGTGATCTCAGCTCATTGCAACCTCCGCCTCCTGGGTTAGAGCAATGCTCCTGCCTCAGCCTCCCAAGTAGCTGGGATTACAGGCGCACACCACCATGCCTGGCTGATTTTTGTATTTTTAGTAGAAACAGGGTTTCAGCATGTTGGCCAGGCCGGTCTTGAACTTCTGACCTCAAGTGATCCGCCTGCCTCAGCCTCCCAAAGTGTTGGGATTACAGGCGTGAGCCAATGCACCCGGCCTGATATAAGTAATTCTGATAGATGACCACCTAACATAAAGTTGAAAATTTTTCATATGACTTATGGAGTTGATAAGTTAGGAAATAGTTGGAAAACCTACAAGTATTTCTAGAATTTTTGTTAGGCTTGGCTTTTTGGAGGAGGGAAGAATATAAATGTCTGGCAGGTTGTTGAATAGAATTAATCAGAATCAAGTTACAATTCAGTGGTTTATTTTTCCAACAAAATTAAATGAATGTCTTTATATACATATATAAAACAATTAGTGCTAAATAGAAGGAAATAGAAGATCCTTGAGTCATAGGCTCTGTTCCTTGTTGCTGTTTTAGCCTCCTCCCCTTCTTGTTCTTCTATGTTGTACTTCACCAGCACCAGACTACTTACAACTTAAAACCCCACTTTGTTCCCTCTTGTTTATGAGCTTTTGCACATCCTGCTGCCTCTGCTTCAGAAATAATTTCTCGAGCAAAAGAATGAAAAAAATTAATAATTGCCCCCTGATTTTTGTGGTTAATGTCTAATTGGCCTTTTTGTTTTTCATAACCACAAATACATGTTTTGGAAGATTAGTAGATGATAGGGAAAGCGTATTAGAAAAGTAAGTTGGGGAAGTTAACCTGGAATGCCTGGTTAAGGGTTGAGGTTTTATTTTGTAGGTTGTAGGAAGCCCTTGACAGGTGTATCCAAGGGAGTGTTACAGACAGAGTTCTACTTTATAAAGATTGTTAGGCAGTCAACATTTTAGAACCTCCTTGGGTTGGATTGGAGGTTAGGAATCACCATATATTGTCAGATTATGAGGCAGAATTGTAGAAACGGGTATGATTAGGATCTGAAAACAGCCAGGCAAGCATTCATTCATGTAAAAAATATTAATGCTTTTTATGTTTCAGACTGTCTTCTAGGTTCTGGGGATACAGGAGTAAATGCACTAAATCCTACTCCTCCAATACACAGAAAATTAAAGAATGCCTTACAAGTCAATAAGAAAAGGACAGACAACCCTATAGAACAATGGATAAGTGTCTTGAACAGACCTTTCACAAAAGATAATGTCCGGTAAACATATGTAAAGGTGCCACTTCATTAGTAATTATGAACATAAAATTAAAATCACAGTGAGAGACTCCTACACACCCACCAAAACAGATACATTTTAAAAGATTGGCCAGGCGTGGTGGCATGAGCCTGTAATCCCAGCTACATGGGAGGCTGAGGCACGAGAATCACTTGAACCCCAGAGGCAGAGGTTGCAGTGAGCCAAGATTGCATCACTGCACTCCAGCCTGGGCGACAGAGGGAGACTCCATCTCAAAAAAAAAAAAAGATCGAGTATACCAAGTATTGATGATGTAAAGCAATGGTAATTCTCATGCTTGCTGGTGAGAGTATAAACTGCTATAGCTACTCTGGAAAACTGTTTAGCAGTGCAAACACTTTGACCCAGCAATCTATTGCAAGGTTACATCCAGTAGAATATGCATACATGCGTACCAAGGAGGGCTCGGGAATGTTCATTGCTGTCATTATTCTAATAGCAAAAAAACTGGAAACAATTCATATCCCTTACCTATGGTATATTCATATAAAAGAATGCTACACAGAAGTGAAAACAAAGTACAGCTGTTCCTGATAATAGAGATGAGTCTCAGAAGCATCGTTAAGTGAAAGAGGTCAAATACAAAATAATGCATTATATATGATTCTATTTTTTTTTTTAATTTATTTGAGGCAAGTTCTCACTCTGTCACCCAGGCTGGAGTGCAGTGGCACAATCACGGCTCACTGTAGCCTCTATCTCCCAGGCTCAAGCGATCCTCCAACCTCAGCCTCCCAAGTGTCTGGGACTACAGGGGTATGCCACCATGTTCAGCCAATTTTTTTACTTTTTGTAGAGATGAGGTCTCATTATGTTGCTCAGGGTGGTCTCAAACTCCTGGGCTCACACAATCCTCCTGCTTTGGCTTTCCAAAGTGTTGGTATTACAGGTGTGAGCCACTACATCCGGCCGTGATTCCATTTATGAGAAGCCTTACAAGCAGGCAAAACTTAAACTGTAATGTTAGAAGTCAAGGTAATGGTTAAGAGGAACTGAGCAGGGTTAATAGCATGAGATGGGCTTCTTGGGTGCTGACAGGGTGTCTTGGTCTGGGTGGTGAGTACATTGGTGTTGAGTTTATGTAATTCATTCACTTGTACATTTATTTTTCTTTGTACTATATTTCAATAACTTTTTTTAAATTTGCCCACATTTACATGCTGTGGAAGAGAGCCACCATTATCAAAATGATCACAGTTGCAAACATTCGTGCTTCAAATACCAGCCACTATGTTAGGTGTGTTTTTTATATATGTATATATTTACTCATTTAATCTTCACAACTCTATGAGGTTTACTTTTATATTTTACAGATAAGGAAACTGGGACACAGAAAGGTTGAGTAACTTGTTGAAGTTCACCCAGCTAGTAAGTGACGGACTCAGACTTTGCACCCAGACACTCTGTCTCTGACCTCTATGCTCTTAACTGTTCTGCCATACATACAATAAGCTGGGAGTATGCTTGGTCTGTTTGAAGGAGAGCAGGAAGGCCAGTGTAGCAGAAGTGAGGCAAGTTGGGGCACAGTAGTAGGAGTTGAAGGCTGCATAATAGGTTATTGGATCTTGAAGGCCATAGTAGGAACTTTGGCTTTGACTTTAAGTGCAATTGGAAGTCTTTGGGTGGATTATGGCAGAGGAGTGATGTTAAACTACTGCTGTGAGACATGCCTGTAAAAGGTGCAATGGCAGGAACTGGGAGACCAGTTAGGCTATTAGAATAATTCAGTATTGTTGAATTAGTGAAAGGTGATGTGACCTAGACCAGGGTAGCAGTGGGAGGTGGAGAGAAGTTGTCAGATACTGAATGTATTTTGAGAATAGGGCCGGGGGGTTACTGAGGAGTTTAAGGGTGTGAAATAGGTAATAAGGGTGACTTCAGAGTTTGGGCCTGAAAAACTAGAAGAATGGCGTTAACATTTATCGAGTTGGGGAAGATTGCAGGAGGAGCTGCTTTGGGGAGGAAGATTAGGTTTCTTGGAAATGTTAAATTTGAAATCCTTTTAGACGTCCAAGTGAAGGTATTGCGTAGACAGTTAAAAGTGAGTTGGAGTGAGAAGTCCAGAAGTCCGTAAAGATACAAACCTGGTAATCATCAATTTGCAGGTGGTATTTAAAGATATAAGACTGGGTGATATCACCAAAGGAATGAATGTAAATGGAGAAGTCTTTTCGGCAACAGTCCAGTGTGTAGATGTCAGGGAGATGAGGAACAGTTAGCAAAGGAGACTGAGAAGGAGCAGCCAGTAAGACGGGGGGAAACCAAGAGGGTAATGTCTTACAAAGCAGATGGGAAGGCCAGGCGCCGTGGCTTAAGCCCGTAATCCCAGCACTTTGGGAGGCCAAGGCGGGTGGATCACAAGGTCAGGAGTTTGAGACCAGCCTGGCCAAGATGGTGAAACCCCGTCTCTACTGAAAAATACAAAAATTAGCCGGGCAAGATGGTGGGCGCATGTAATTCCAGCTACTCGGGAGGCTGAGGCAGGAGAATTGCTCAAACCCAGGAGGTGGAGGTTGCAGTGAGCCGAGATCACACCACTGCACTCTAGCCTGGGCGACAGAGCAAGATTCCGTCTCAAAAAAAAAAAGGGAAAAGTGTTTTAAGGAAGAGAGAGAGAGAACCTCAGTTTTTTTCTTATTTTTTTCTTTTATTAGTCAGCATTGGATCAGATTGTATTTTAAGTGAATGCGAGAAACATAGGAAAGTTGGAACAAAGTTTGCTAAAAGAAGTGGGTTATGTGGAAAGAAAAGAAGCAGGAAAGTTATTATACAATGGACAGGATTATGAAAGTCTAGAGGTTTTAAAAGAGAAGAGAATGCCTGACCATCTTAAATACCTGGTAGCATTTCTTGGTGTCTGTCTTTCCTCACTGTCTTACCAGCCTTTTAATTCGTACAGGATTTTGAATCGAAACATGACTGTCATGGTTCAAGTTTTTGAATACACTGATTTACCTTCTTTTAGGGGGTGACAAGACAACCATATAAGAAATAGGAAAGGGGCTGTTTTACTTCTCTGCTCCTGAGAACTTGCCCCATCAGCAAAGCCCTTTTGGTTCCACTCTGCCTTCTCTTGCCCGTTATCCAGGAAGATGAAAGTAGTTCAGGTATGAGGAGGGAACAAAGTAAAGCTGTCTGTACTGACCTGACTCCTCCCTCTGGTAATGGCAGGTGACTTAGTAGAGCTGGATCAGCATTAAACATTAATCTTCCAGATTTTTGACTTCATCTCTATTAAAGAAAAATCTAATGTGGAAATTTGTTTCAATTTGAAAAGTTATTACTTTCAGTGCATTTTGCTAAAATGTGTATTTCTACTAGCTATTAAAGCAAGATCAATCTAGGAGACCTTATGTTAAGAAGAGATTGTGCTAAAGAGGCCAGTCATCATAGTACCTTCTAGTCCACAGCCTCTTAAGGAAACCATAGGACCAGCCTATAGCCAAACCATAACTGGTCAGCAGGTTAGTGCAGTTAGATAGCAGTTTATATTATTTTGCTTTTACTCTTGGCCATGCAAATGCAAACTCAGAAACAGGCAATTAAAGTGCTGTGGAAGATAGAGGGAACCTGGAGCAGACCACAAATGAATAAAAATTATGAGTAAGTAGAAATTATGAGGTAGAGAATAGGTATGTCAGTAGAGAGTAAAGTAGTTAGCCAGAAACATCAGAAATACAGAAATAGAGATGCTGGCCGGGCGTGGTGCCTCATACTTGTAATCCCAGCACTTTGAGAGGCCGAGGCAGGTGGATCACCTGAGGTCAGGAGTTTGAGACCAGCCTGACCAACATGGTGAAACTCTGTCTCTACTAAAAATACAAAATTAGCTGGGCATGGTGGCGTGTGCCTGTAATCCCAGCTACTCAGGAGGCTGAGGCAGGAGAATTGCTTGAACCCAGGAGGCGGAGGTTGCAGTGAGCCGAGATCGCACCATTGCACTCTAGCCTGGGTGACAAGAGTGAGACTCTATCTCAAAAAAAAAGAAAAAAGAAATAGAGATGCTTAATCCACATTATGGTAGGGAAGCGATAAGTTCTGGAAAACAAAGCAATGTTTACCTAGTATCAAGACCTGCATTCAAACTTGAACATGCAGGCCGGGTGCGGTGGCTCATGCCTGTAATCCCAGCACTTTGGGAGGCCGAAGTGGGAGGATCACTTGAGGTTGGGAGTTTGAGACCAGCCTGACCAACATGGAGAAACGCTGTCTGTACTGAAAATACAAAATTAGCTGGATGTGGTGGGTGCATGCCTATAATCCCAGCTATTTGGGAGGCTGAGGCAGGAGCATCACTTGAACCCAGGAGGCAGAGGTTGCCGTGAGCCGAGATCGTGGCATTGCACTCCAGCCTGGGCAACAAGAGTGAAATTCCATGTCAAAAAAAAAACTTGAACATGCTTTTGTGGTGTACGATCAGACTGTCTTGTAATTTCTGATTTTTATGTGAAATTCTTGCCTCTTCCTTATTAACATTTTTATCTTTACAATAAAATCCCTTCTTCAGTCCAAAAGAGCCCAACGTTAAGCTGAGTATAAATGTTTAGACTTACCAAGCAGATACATAAGGAAATACTTTTTAACATTTTTTCTTCCAGGCCAGGTGTGGTAGCTCACACCTGTAATCCCAGGGAAGGCCGAAGTGTGGGGATCCCTGTGCCCAGCCTGGGCAACATGACAAAGCCCTATCTCTACAAAAATGTACAAAAATTAGCCAGGCATCATGGCCTGCACCTGTGGTCCCAGCTACTAGAGAGGCTGAGGTGGGAGGATAGTTTGAGACCGGGAGGTCTAGGCTTCAGTGAGTCGTGATCGCGCCACTGCACTCCAGCCTGTGTGACAAAGTGAAACCCCATCACAAAAAAGTTTTCTTTCTTGAAATGTAAAAGAAAAATGCCACGGAGTGGTTTAACAGATTACAATAAAACACTTAAAATGTTAATTTATTTGAAGGTGATTTTTAAGGAATAAATATTTTATCTGTTATAATAAAAAGTTAAACACAAGTTCATTTAAGAAATAATACCCTCTGCACTCAAATGAATTTTTTTTTTTTTTGAGACAAAGTTTTGCTCTTATTCCCCAGGCTGTAGTGTAGTGGTGCAATCTTGGCTCACTGCAACCTCCGCCTCCTAGGTTCAAATGAGTCTCATGCCTCAGCTTCCCAGGTAGCTGGGATTACAGGCATGCACCACCATGCCCAGCTTATTTTTGTATTTTTAGTAGAGACGAGGTTTCGCCATGTTGGTCAGGCTGGTCTTGAACTCCTGAGACCTCAAGTGATCTGCCTGCCTGGGCCTCCCAAAGTGCTGGAATTACAGGCATGAGCCACCATGCCCAGCCATCACTTGAATGATTATTAACACCGGGGAATGAAATGTTTTTCTAGGTTTTAACTTTTCAGATTTTTTTTTTTTTTTGAGATGGGATATCTCTTCATTGCCCAGAGCAGAGTGCGGTGGTACCTACTGTCACTGCCTAACAGTCACTGCCCTCAAGCTGTTCTCCCACCTCAGCCTTCCAAAGTGTTGGGATTAAAGGCATGAGCCACCACTCTGGCAACTTTTCAGAATTTTCAAGTGACCATGATGGAGTTTACCATCTGTCAACCCCCACACCTCCACAAACACACAAAAACCTTGAAAATCTGGACAAAATAATGAAACAATGGGTTTTAGACTTTGGACAACAGCAGTGCAGGACTGTGATCCCTAAAAGAAGGGAAACAAACAAAGTGAGCTTTACAGGCACCCACCCACCCTGGCTTTTTGCCTGGGGCACATTCTAAATTGTAGATCTGGGACAGGGAATCTTGAGCAAAGAACAAGATGAAGAGATAGAGATCAGAATTTATGGAAGCTGAGGCAGCAAGAAGTTGTAGGGCAAAGTTCAGCAGGAAGGACACTTTGTCAAAATTAATGCTATCCATAGAAGTCTCTGACTTTTTGCTGAATTCTAGAATGAACATACATGGAGTAAAACTGTAAAGCCAGACAAAGAGCAACCAGATTGATGTGAACTGACAGACATCAGAGGTCACAGAGGGCTGGGAAGCATTTGAGGTTTTACTAGCTAGAGGGGAAAGTCCTTGTTGATCACTCACATTGAAGGACGAAATAATACCAATCTTAAAAACTCTTAAAAAAAAAAAAAAAAAGATAAAAGGGCCGGGCGCAGTGGCTCACAGCACCTGTAATCCCAGCACTTTGGGAGGCCGAGGCAGGCAGATCACGACGTCAGGAGATCAAGACAATCCTGGCTAACATGGTGAAACCCTGTCTCTACTAAAAATACAAAAATTAACTGGGTGTGGTGGCGCGTGCCTGTACTGCCAGCTACTTGGGAGGCTGAGGCAGGAGAATCCCTTGAACCCAGGAGGCAGAGATTGCAGTTGCAGTGAGCCGGGATCACGCCACTGCACTCCCAGTCTGGGCGATAGAGCAAGACTCCGTCTCAAAAAAAAAAAAAGAACAGGAAGAGAATACTTCCCAATTCATTTTGTGAGGCCAACATCCTGATACCAAAAGCAAACACAGAAATTACAGGAAAATACTACTAAAGAACAATGTGGTTCTTGACCATAGACAAAAATATTTAGCAAAATATTAGCTTTCAGGAATATATAAAAGGGTAATATACCATGACCAATTGGGTTTTATCTCAAGAATGCAAAGGTCCCAAGGTTTACTTAACAGTCAATAATCAATTAGTAAAATTCACTACATCAATTGAATAAAGGAAAAAAACCTATATGATAATCTAAGTACATGTAGAAAAGCTTTTGACAAAATTCACTCATTTATGATAAAAACTGTCAGCAAACAAGGGAACTTTGCTTGGCCTTATGAAGTTCTGCTATAATACAAAAATCCTACAGCTAATATCATACATAATAGTGATGGACTAAATACTTTCCTCTTAAGATTGAGAACCAAGGCATAGATATTCTCTCCTCACTTGTGTTCGACATTGCACTGGAGGTACTAGTCAGTGAATAAGGTAAGCAGGGAAAAAGACGTATGTAGGAGAGTAAAGAGCAAGACAGTGTTTATTTGTACACATGATCTTGAGTGTAGAAAATACTGTAGAACCTATAAAAGTACTAGAAATCATAAGAGTTTAGTACAGTCACAAGAACGTAATATACAAATATACTTTGTATACAGATTTACTTACGGTCGCACGTCACTTTAAAGACAGGAATATGTTCTGACATTGTGTCATCAGGCGATTTCATCATTGTGTGAACATCATGCAGTGTGCTTACATAAACCTAGATGGTACAGCCTATTATACCTATATACCTATATACCTAGGCTATATGGTATAGCCTATGGCTCCTAGGCTACAAACATGTCACTATACTGAATGCTGTAGGCAGTTGTAACACAATGGTAAGTATTTGTGTATCTAAACATATCTAGGGCCAGGCACAGTGGCTCATGCCTGTATCCCAGCACTTCGGGAGGCTGAGGCAGGTGGATCACTGGAGGTCAGGAGTTCAAGACCAGCCCAGCCAACATGGGGAAACCCTGTCTCTACTAAAAATACAAAAATTAGCCAGGCGTGGTGGCAGATGCCTGTAATCCGAGCTACTCGGGAGGCTGAGGCACGAGAATCTCTTGAACCTGGGAAGCGGAGGTTGCAGTGAGCCGAGATCACACCACTGCACTCCAGGCTGGGTGACAGAGCAAGACCCTGTCTCAAAAATAAATAAATAAATAAATAAATAACATATCTAAACATAGAAAAGGTATGGTAAAAATACAGTATTATAATCTTACGGGACCACCGTCATATATGTGGTCCCTCCTTGACCAAAATGTTACGCTGCACATGATGGTATATGTTAGTGATGAAGAGTTGGAAATAGAAATAAAGTAGTAACATTTATAATGGCATAAACCATAGTGTCTAGAGATAAGCTGTACAAAAATTGGACAAGACCTGTACACTGAAAACTATAAAACACTGCTGGGAAAAGTCTGTAAATGCCCAAATAAATAAAATACCACATTCATGGATCAAGCGGAAGTCAGTATTCTTAAAATATCATTTCTCCCCAGATTGATCTATAGATTAAGAATAATCCCAGTCAGAATCCCAGCAGGCATTTTTGTGGAGATTCTAAAATTTGTATGATTAAAATTTGTAGAGATTTTAAAATTTGTATGGAAATGCAAAGACCCTCATGCATGGTTTGGCAGGTCTTAGCAAGCCAACTGCCTGCTTTTGGAAATGGTTTTTTAACATTGCCACACTTAGTGTGTTGTGCGTATTGTCTGAGCCTGCTTTTGCAGTAAACCAGCAGAGTTGAGTAGTTGTTACAGACACCATATGGTCCACAAAGCTTAAAATATTTTACAGAATAAATTTGCTGACCCTGCCCTAGAGTATTTAAAGCAATTTTGAAAAAGATGAAAAAGGCTGGGCACAGTGGCTCATGCCTGTAATTCCATCACTTTGGGAGGCCGAGGCGGTTGGATCACTTGAGGTCAGGAGTTTGAGACCAGCCTGGCCAACATGGTGAAACCCCATCTCTACTAAAAATACAAAAATTAGCCAGTTGTTGTGGTGCACGTCTGTAATCCCAGCTACTTGGGAAGCTGAGGCAGGAGAATCACTTGAACCCAGGAGATGGAGGTTGCAGTGAACCGAGATCGTGCCCCTGTACTCCAGCCTAGGCACAGAGCGAGACTCTGACTCAAAAAATAAATAAAAATGAAAAAACTGGAGGCTTTATATTATATAATTTCAAGACACAGTAAAGCTACAGTAATGACGACTATCGTCATTGACATGAGAATAGATATGTAGGACAATGGGAAAAATAGGGAATGAAAGCAGACCTACACACATACATGGTTAATTGCTTTTTGACAAAGGTAACAAGGTAATTCAGTGGGAAATGGATAGGTTTTTCAACAAATTGTACTAGGAGAACTAGATATCGAGTTTTAAAAAATTGAACATGGGGCCGGGCATTGTGGCTTATGTCTGTAATCCCATCACTTTGGGAGGCTGAGGCAGGCGAATTGCTTGAGCTCACGAGTTCCAGAACAGCCTGGACAACATAGTGAAACTCTGTCCTTACAAAAAAATACAAAAATGAGCCAGGCGTGGTGGTGCTCGCCTATAGTCCCAGCTGCTCAGAAGGCTGAGATAAGAGGATGTCTTGAGCCTGGAAGGGGAAGGTTTCAGTGACCCATTATCATGTCACTGTACTCCAGCCAGAGTAGCCAGACCTTGTCTCAAAAAAAATTTTTTTTGAATGTAAGACTATTATAATATATTCAAAAATTAGCTTAAAATGGCTTGATAGGCCTGACTTACAGAAGAGTTCAGACTTACAGAAGAGTTCAGACTTACAGATGAACATGTAGAAAATCTTCTGGTGAAGAATTTTCCGGACACATAAAACATAAACCATAAAAATAAAAAATTTTAATTGAACTTAAAATTTAAAAGCATGTTCAAGGATACTGTTATGGAAATGCAAAGGCAACCTATGAACTGGGAGAAATATCACAGTTTAGTATAAACATCTGACAGAGAACTAGATTCCAGAATATATAAAGAATATAATAGTGTTAGAGTAGTAAATATTCTTGTTTCCAGAACATAACAGAAAGAAGACAGCCCAATTAAAAATTTGATTTGAACAGACACTTTAGTTTAAAAACTGATTTGAACAGTCACGTCACCAAAGTAGAGATGGGAAGCAAATAAGCACATGAGAACATGCTCAAAATAAGGTGTAGTCATTAGGGAAATGTAAAAACCACAAAGGGATATCACTACATACCAATTAGAATGAGAAATTAGAATGTTTTGATTCTAGAATGAAGTTGATGATTATCTTTTCTATGTTTTTGTATTTATGGAAGTATTCCTAACTCTAATGGTTGCTTCCTATTAGAGTTGGGAATACTTCCATAAATACGAAAACATAGAAAAGATAATCATCTTTCACTAATCATGTAGTGCTATCCCTTTGCGGTTTTAACTTACATTTAATTAGCAGTTTTTAAAAGTGTTAATAACAAGTCTTAAGGATGTGGAGCAAGTCATTTGATCTAGGCATCATCGATGATAACATCTATGGAAAGAAAATAGAATATTTCTGTCTTGTATTCCTCTTTACAAGTGGGGAAAACTTCCTGGAAGCCCATGCTCATGGCTCAACTAGCCAACTGGCAATAGAGATAAGACCGTGTAAGTGGCTTAAATAAATCAATATTTACTACGTAGGGCTGGATAGGCACTGAGCCTCCCCTGAAGGACTTGGCAAACGTAAGAAGGATCAACAAAATCACAGTTCTTTTTATCAAAGAAGAGGAAGAATGGCTGTTGACTAACCAAGTGGCAACTGTATTTGATTACACTAATACTGTGAAGTAGAGGATCAGTGAAGTAGACAAAGAAATGATAGGAAACATCTTGATAATGCATGTGTTCCCAACTTATGAAGATATTCCAAAGATTACCTCATTTCATGGCTCACTTATTATTCTTCAACTTACTGCAATCTCGCTTTTGTCTTCATGATGTTAAGAAATGCTCTTGGTAAAGTCACCAGTGAGCTCCAAATTACTAATCAGCTGGCCTTTAAAAAAATCATTTTAAGTGCCACTTGACTTGATTTTGTCTTTAACACTATTAGCCATTTTCTTCCTGAAAGTCTGTTTATTCCCACTTATTTTACTCCTTATTAAAAAGTGTTAAATTGGCCGGGTGCGGTGGCTCACGCCTGTAATCCCAGCACTTTGAGAGGCCAGGGTGGGTGGGTCACAAGGTCAGGCGTTCGAGACCAGACTGGCCAATAAGGTGAAACCGTGTCTCTACTAAAAATACAAAAAATTAGCTGGGTGTGGTGGTACACGCCTGTAATCCCAGCTACTGGGGAGGGTGAGGCAGGAGAATCGCTTGAACCGGGGAGCGGGAGGTTGCACTGAGCCAAGATCACGCCACTACACTCCAGCCTGGGCGACAGAGCGAGACTCCGTCTCAAAAAAAAAAAAAAAAAGTGTTAAATTATAAAATACTTCAAACAAAAATAATTTATCCACATTTAACACACTAACATTTTCTCTGTTTGCTTCATGTTTCATATAATGAAAAAATTGCTACAGATATATATATATATATATATATATATATATATATATATATATATAGTTGTAACTCTTTCCCAAACCTGTCCAGTGTCTTGAAGTTGATGATTATCTTTTCGTATCTATGGAGGTATTCCCAACTCTAATGGTTGCTTCCTAATTTCTCTCCCTGTCTTATGCTTGTATGTAGGTGTCCTCCAACATTGTGTTAATTCTTTTGATTTCCTCTAAAGCTGTACATTATTTGAGAGTTCTGTTATCTTTAAAAGATTCAGATAAGCCGGGCGAGGTGGCTCACGCCTGTAATCTCAGCCCTTTGGGAGGCTAAGGCGGACGGATCACAAGGTCAGGAGTTTGAGACTAGTCTGGCCAACATAGTGAAACCCGGTCTCTACTAAAAATACACAAAAAATTAGCCGGGTGTGGTGGTGTGCACCTGTAATCCCAGCTACTCGGGAGGCTGAGGCAGGAGAATCGCATGAACCCAGGAGGCGGAGGTTACAGTGAGTCGAGATCGCGCCACTGCACTCCAGCCTGGGTGACAGAACGAGACTCCGTCTCAAAAAAAAGAGAGAAAAAAGAAAGATTCAGATAAATTATGAAACTATTTTTGTTTAATCTATCTCTGGCTTCCATCTTTTTCTGAGCTTTAAACATATTATTAATCCCCCACCAGACTTCACAGCATGAACCTAAAACGAACCATCTGAAACTGGTCCAAAAAATCTTTTCCTCTGTCCTCTACCTTAATTATGGTGTTACTCTCCACTTGGTTAAAACTAGAAACTTTGGCCAGGCACGGTGGCTCACGCCTGTAATCCCAGCACTTTGGGAGGCCAAGGCAGGTGGATCACTTGAGGTCAGGAGTTCGAGACCAGCCTGACAAACATGGTGATACTCTGTCTCTACTAAAAATACAAAATTAGCCGGGCATGGTGGCACATGCCTATAATCCCAGCTACTTGGGAGGCTGAGTCAGGAGAATCACTTGAATCCAGGAGGCAGAGGTTGTAGTGTGCCGGGATTGTACCATTGTGCTCTAGCCTAGGCAACAAGAGTGAGACTCAGTCTCAAAAAAAATAAAAAACTGGAAACTTTGGAGTCAGCCAACCCTTAATACACGTATAGTAAGTACTTTAAAAGGTTCAATAAATACTGAAGAATGAATGACTTTTTCTTTTTTTTTTTTTTTGAGAGGGAGTCTCGCTCTGTCGCCCAGGCTGGAGTGCAGTGGTGTGATCTCGGCTCACTGCAAGCTCCGCCTCCCGGGTTCATGCCATTCTCCTGCCTCAGCCTCCCGAGTAGCTGGGACTACAGTGCCCGCCACCACACCCCGCTGATTTTTTCTATTTTTTGTAGAAACGGGTTTTCGCCCTGTTAGCCAGGATGGTCTCGATCTCCTGACCTCATGATCTGCCCGCCTCGGCCTCCCAAAGTGCTGGGATTACAGATGTGAGCCACTGCGCCTGGCCTCGACTTTTTCTTAATGTCTCCTCTTTCCATATTTAACTGACAACCTTGATTATTATACTTATACACTTCTCATTTCCCCCATTATCACTGGCCCCACACTGTTCCAGCTCGTCTTTTTTTTTTTTTTTTTTTTTTGAAGACAGGATCTCCTCTGTCATCCAGGATGGAGTGCAGTGGCACGATCACAGCTCACTGCAGCCTTGACCTCCCTGGGCTCAGGTGATCTTCCCACCTCAACCTCCCAAGTAGCTAGAACTATAGGGATGTGCCACCACACACCACAACTGGGTAATTTTTTGTATTTTTTGTAGAGACGGGGTTCTGCCATGACGCCCAGGCTGCTCTCAAATTTCTAGGCTCAAGCAATCTTTCCACCTCAGCTTCCCAAAATGCTGAGATTACAGACATGAGCCGCCACACCTGGCTGCTTTTGCCTTTTCTCACATGGGTCAGTTGGAATAGTTTTATAACTTGTCTAACTGCTGTCATTTTTTCTTCTTTCTAGGCTGTATAATTCATCCTTTTGTCATAGTTATTATAAAACACATATCTTCTGCTATTCCTCAAAACAAAAATTCTGGATTCCTAATGCTCCCTGGAGAAAGTCTAAAAGTTATTGCATAACAAATAATCTTCTATATTAAATCTCCTCTAGCTGCCTGTCCTACCCAGCTCACAAACAGCCCCTCACACTCTTGGAACAGAGAAATTTTCTGTTCCTAAAATGAACCATGCTGTTTCAAGCATCTGAGCCATTCTGTACACTTTTCATTCTTCCTGGAATATCCTTTTCTTTCCCCCAAGTCTCCAACTCTTCAAGACCAAGCTCAGATACCACTTCCTTTGCAAAACTTTTTTTCCTAAGTGCTTTAAGCAGAGCTGATAACATTTGTTGTATTTCCATGGTATTTTGTACATACCTCCACTCTAACATTTTGTCACACTCTAGCATTTTTCACATTGTACAGTGTTGTATTTGTTTCATACATTTGTGACCTTTTAATGAAAAGGGACCATTTATTGTCCTCCCAGCTCCTTTTACAGTGTCTAATATACAATATTTTTAGTTTTTGGTTTTATTTTGATAGCTTTTGAGGTACAAGTGGTGTTCGGTTAAATGGATGAATTATGTAGTGGTGAATTCTGAGGTTTTGGTGCACCCGTCACCGGAGTAGTGTACGTTGTACCCAGTATATAGTTTTTTTTAATCCCATAATGTATGTTATTAATGAATATATAAGTCAGTAGCTTGGAACTTGGAAGAGACTTTTCCATATAAATGTTTTATTTTTTTATTTTGGGGGATTTTTCTTGTTTGGTTTATTGTTTGTTTTTTCTTTCCATCTTTTATTTTAGATTCAAGGGGTGCACGTGCAGGTTTGTTACATGGGTAAATTGTGTGTTGTGGGGTTTGGCCTACAGATAAATTTTGTTACCCAGGTAATCAGTGTAATATCCAACAGGTAGGTTTCCATATAAATGTTTTAAATGATGTTACATTTCTTTTTTCTTTTTTTTGAGATGGAGTTTCGCTCTTGTTGCCCAGGCTGGAGTGCAATGACGCAATCTCGGCTCACCGCAGCCTCTGCCTCCTGGGTTCAAGCGATTCTCCTGCCTCAGCCTCCTGAGTAGCTGAGATTACAGGCATGGGCCACCACGCCCAGCTAATTTTGTATTTTTAGTAGAGACAGGGTTTCTCCACATTGGTCAGGCTGGTCTCAAACTCCCAATCTCAGGTGATCCGCCCACCCTGGCCTCCCAAAGTGCTGGGATTACAGGCATGCACCACCACGCCCAGCTAATTTTGTATTTTTAGTAGAGACAGGGTTTCTCCACATTGGTCAGGCTGGTCTCAAACTCCCGACCTCAGGTGATCCTCCCATCTTGGCCTCCCAAAGTTCTGGGATTACAGGCATGAGCCACGATGCCCAGCCATGATGTTAACGTTTCTAAGACAACCCATAAAAATCAGTTTAACTCATATTGCACCTGAAATTTACTTAAAAATGTGAATCACGTATGACATTAGTAATATTTCAAAATGAGATGAGCAGCAATGATGGGTCCTATGCATTGATACTGGGGTGCTGGTGGAATTGGACTGAAATTAATGGGCTATCCTAGAGTTATTGGAAAGATAAGTGCGTAGATGTGTGAGGCATTAGGCTCAATACTCTGGATTAAGAAAATGAGGCTGGAGGACAGGTTAAGCATAGTAATGGAAGACTTGATAGGGTGAGGAGAAAAGGTGTGACTTTTGAGGGAAGAGGACTTTAAGATGGTTATGGGTAAAGGAGGTGAGGATGAGGAATTAAGCTGGGAATGGAAACTGAGGTAGTTGGGCAATTATAGGAGCCTCTGTTGTGAATTGACATGGTATTTCCGAGTTGGCCTCCTATCAGAATTTAAATTACAGTATTACTGGGTTTCCCCCATAATTTTTCCTCCTTCATACAACTGCTGTTCTTTCAAAGTATAATTTATGTAATAATTAATGCTGTTTTCTTGATATTTAGACTTTGGATGCAGGTAATTTTGTAAATTCCTTGTACCGACTTTTAAGATTTTTACAGTTAAACTTTTTTTTTTTTTTTTTAAACGGCAAAGAACAGTGCTTGGCCCTGACAGAAAGTGGGGTGGGGAACAGTAGACCTTTCCCCCTCCCAGTTTTTACATATTTTGTGGATATATATTGATTGTTACAATTTTGCCTTCAGGCTTAAGTATATTGAGTCAAAATCTTCCAGTCTGGTAACCACAAAAGGTATCTTCTTATAATGTGCATTTCTTGGAAGACTGGGAAGGTTGGATGCATTTTCATATGTTAATTGGCCTTTCCTGTGTTGTGAATTGTCTCTTGATAGGTTTTCATGTTTTTCTGTTGGACTTTTTCTTTTCATGCATAAGAGTTGTCTGTATTAAGAGTGTCAACCAGATTCCACATGTGTACATTTATTATATATTGAGAGAACAAGAAAGCATGAGCAAGTACAAAGATATTTTAGCTTCTCTTAAACTTCTGTCCCCACCCCTGCCCCTCTCAATGTGGAAGTTACTTTATACTTTAAAAGACTTTTCCAACTTTAGATTATGAAACTACTTACCTTTAATTTTTTCTAATACTTTTAGAAGCAACTGCCTTTTATATATTTAGCTTATAATTCCTTTACAATATTTTCACTTTAGTCATCCCTCAAGATCCATGGGAAATTGTAGAGCCTTCTAGAACCTCCTGTGGATACCAAAATCCCCAGATGCTCAAGTCCATGATATAAAATGGCATGTATTTGTATATAACCTGTGCACAAATCCCCCATATGCGGTTTTTTGGGGTTTTTGTTGTTGTTGTTGTTGTTTGTTTGTTTTTTTTAGACAGAATCTCACTCTTTCACCCAGGCTGGAGTGCAGTGGCATAATCTTGACTTACTGCAACCTCCGCCTCCCAGATTCAAGCGATTCTTCTGCCTCAGCCTCCCGAGTAGCGGGGACTACAGGTGCGCACCACCACACGTGGCTAACTTTTGTATTTTTAGTAGAGGCAGGGTTTCACCATGTTGGCCAGGCTGGTCTCAAACTCCTGACCTCAGGTGATCCACCCGCCTTGTCCCTGCAAAGTGCTGGGATGACAGGTGTGAGCCACTGTGCCCAGTCCCCCTGTATGCTTTAAATTGTCTCCAGATTGCACTATTCACAATAACAAAGACTTGGAACCAACCCAGATGTCCCTCAGTGATAGACTGGATTAAGAAAATGTGGCACATATACACCATGGAATACTATGCAGCCATAAAAAAGGATGAGTTCACGTCCTTTGTAGGGACATGGATGAAGCTGGAAGGCATCATTCTGAGCAAACTATCACAAGGACAGAAAACCAAACACTGCATGTTCTCACTCATAGGTGGGAATTGAACAATGAGAACACTTGGACACAGGAAGGGGAACATCATACACCGGGGCTTGTCGTGGGGTGGGGGGAGGGGGGAAGGATAGCATTAGGAGATATACCTAATGTAAATGACGAGTTAATGGGTGCAGCACACCAACATGGCACATGTATACATATGTAACCTGCACGTTGTGCACATGTACCCTACAACCTTAGAGTATAATAATAATAAAAGAAAAAAAGAAATAAATAAATTGTCTCCAGATTACTTATAATACCTAATACAGTGTAAATAGTTATTGTACTATGTTGTTTAGGGAATAATGACAAGGAAAAAAAGTCTGTACGTTATTTAGTACAGACACAATTTTTTTCTGAAACTTTTGAATCTTGGCTGAATCCATGGATGCAGAACTCATAGATACAAAAGACCGTATATTAAGTTTCCAGATCCGGTTATGGGTTTTTGTTGTTTGTTTTTTGAGACGGAGTTTCGTTCTTGTCGCCCAGGCTGGAGTGCAATGGCACAATCTTGGCTCACTGCAACCTCCGCCTCCTGGGTTCAAGCAATTCTCCTGCGCCAGCCTCCCAAGTAGCTGGAATTACAGGCGCCCGCCACCTCGCCCAGCTAATTTTTGTATTTTTAATAGAGACGGAGTTTCACCATGTTGGCCAGGCTGGTCTCAAACTTCTGACCTCAGGCTGTCCACCCATTTTGGCCTCCCAAAGTGTTGGGATTACAGGCGTGAGCCACCGCGCCTAGCCCCGGTTATATTTTGATGCTTATAGTTAACTCACATCTTTAGAATATACCAATTTAAGAGAGTGATCTAAAACCCAATTCTGAGGTTCTGAGACTGCTTCTATTTTAATATATGTAGCTACATTTTAAATTATTATTATACAGCTGAGGTTGTAAATGTTTAGTCTTTCAGAATTTATGAGGCGGCCAACACTCACCTACTTCCTTTTGAATGTCATAGAAAGGGAAAAACTATACAAATAAGAATGACCTTTGAAAGTTAAGTGAATTAATGAATTCTATATTAGTGCTTCTGTAGACAGTGAATAGAATAATGCAGATTTTGTAATGTTAGTAAACCTATATGATAGATAATACGGTAGGTAAGCGATGAGTAAAGCACAACTCTTGTTTTGAAGGAGTGTATTGCCATTAATTTGGGGGTAGGTTGGGATTTGACCAGTAAATTAAAAATGGTATATAAAATGGAATAAAGTGAGCCTCATAAGAAAATCTCCCCAAAGGTATATTGTGGGTTTTAAGAGAAAAGATATTTTACTGATTATAAGGAAAGCCTGAATGGAAAAGTAACATTTGTGATGACCATCAGTGAAAGGATAGGATTTTAGCAGGTAGAGAGGTGGGGAGAATACTTGGAACAGAGACAATTTTAGAAGGGGGAAAAAGAAACCCAAAATGGGAAAGCACAGGGCATATGCACTGGGGAAACAAGATTTGTGTGTGTGTGAGCGTAAGTATGAGGACAGTAGGAAATAAAGTTGGAAAGGTTGGAAAGATAGATTGGGGTTAAATTTGGTGAGCGTTAGGGGTGTTTCCATTGACAGGGAAGGGAAAAGGTATAGATCTACTTTGTCCTGTATGATAGCCACTAGCCATATACAACTCTTGAGCCCTTGAAATGTCTCTAGTCCAGTTGAGATGTACTTCAAGTACAAAATACACATCAGATTTTTAAGGCTCAGTATGAAAAAATAAAATGTCATTAAAATGTTTATATCGGTTACATGTTGAAATAAATGTTTTTTATATACTGGGTTAAATAAAATACTAAAGTTAATTTTACCTGTTTCTTTGTATTTTTTTAATATGGCTACACTAAATTAGAAAATTTAAAATTATGTGGCTCACATTTGTGACTTAGATTATATTTCTGTTGACATAGTCCTGGTATAGACAGAATACAACAGTATTTGCTAGTACCCATTGTGTGCCAGATTGTCTAGAATTTGTAATAAAGTTAATCCTCATAGTAAACCTTATGAGGTAGGTTTTTCTCTTTTTTTTCTATTTTGTTTTCTTTCTTTTTCTTTTTTTTTTAACAGATAATTTTATCACCCAGATGCTTTTTTATTTTTTATTTTTTTTGAGACAGAGTCTTACTCTGTCACCCAGGCTGGAGTGCACTGGCACGATGTCAGCTTACTGCAACCTCTTCCTCCTGGGTTCAAGTGATTCTCATGCCTCAGCCTCCCTAGTAGCTGGGATTACAGGTGTGCACCACCACGCCCAGCTAATTTTTGTATTTTTATCAGAGACAAGAGTTTCACTGTGTTGGCCAGGTTGGTCTTGAACTCCTGACCTCAAGTGATCGGTCCGCCTAGGCATCCCAAAGTGCTACAATTACAGGTGTGAGCCACTGCGCCTGGCCCCCCAGATACTTTTTCTTTCTTTTTTTTTTTTTTTTGAGACGGAGTCTCGCTCTGTCGCCCAGGCTGGAGTGCAGTGGCGCGATCTCTGCTCACTGCAAGCTCCGCCTCCCGGGTTCACGCCATTCTCCTGCCTCAGCCTCCCGAGTAGCTGGGACTACAGGCGCCCACCACCACGCCCGGCTAATTTTTTGCATTTTTAGTAGAGGCGGGGTTTCACCGTGTTAGCCAGGATGGTCTCAATCTCCTGACCTCGTGATCCGCCCGCCTTGGCCTCCCAAAGTGCTGGGATTACAGGCGTGAGCCACTGCGCCCAGCGATACTTTTTCAAGTAACTGGAGTGCATAGAGGTTAAGCAACATACCCTGAAATCACTCCACTACTAAGTAGGAAGCCAGGATTCAAATTTAGGCCTCTCTGGCTTCAGAGCCCATGGTTTTTTCCCAATATACTGTGGCATGTTGTCATTGGACTATTAAAGGTGATTGAGTTGGAGAATGAAGCGATTGGAGTAGGGCTTTTGCAAATTGTAATAAAGATAAATGAGGGGAAGAGACCTCGTTTTCAGCTTTCTATTTTTTGTTTTGTTTATGTTCCTTTTTGCAGGGATGGCATATGCTTTTCTTAAAATGATTTTTTGAACCCTGTCTTTTTGAAGTATCCTGTGTGTTAACTGACTCTCAAAATATTTTATTGTCTCTGTAGATTTGATAATGGGCTGCATTAAAAGTAAAGAAAACAAAAGTCCAGCCATTAAATACAGACCTGAAAATACTCCAGAGCCTGTCAGTACAAGTGTGAGCCATTATGGAGCAGAACCCACTACAGTGTCACCATGTCCGTCATCTTCAGCAAAGGGAACAGCAGTTAATTTCAGCAGTCTTTCCATGACACCATTTGGAGGATCCTCAGGGGTAACGCCTTTTGGAGGTGCATCTTCCTCATTTTCAGTGGTGCCAAGTTCATATCCTGCTGGTTTAACAGGTGAGATTTAAATGGACAATTATGTTGTCTGTTTGAGAACATCACCTTGGGTAATATATACTTAAGGCTTGTCTGCCTTTAAGAAAGATATCTTACTTGAGGACTTTTCAAATAATTGTATGTGAAAATCAGTCTCTAACATAAAAATTAGTTTTATTGTATACATGGGTATGGTTCTGGAAAATTGGTAGTAACCTGATGGTGATTATGTACTGGATCATGTCATTAATTATTTTATTAACTCATTATTCAAATAGTTATTGAGCCCCCCCCCACTGTAGGCACCGGGAACATAAAGATTAAAAACATATACCTTTCCCTCAAGAATTTGACAACTTCTCAGGATTGTAAAGTACTTTGCAGTATTAAAGTCTTATAGTGGTTACTTAATAGATGTTAATTAAATGACAGTAGAGTAGCGATAATACAGAATTTCTCCCAGATGCTGCTGATTTAAAAAAGAAAAATCCTAAAGCTCAGACAGTTTAAAATTTTCCCCCAAGTCACAGATAGTAAGTAGGAGAGCTCAGATTTATTGTCCTATTCCAGAACTCCAATTATTACATTATTATATCCTTTTAGAGAATAGCAAGAAGTGATTGTTGACAACCTTTCGTGGAGACAGAAGGCTCTTAAAAAAATAGATTCAAACAATTTTAAAAGAGAGAAAATGAGCTCTTTTGTAAAGGGTCCCGTATCAGGATGCTTTTTCACTGAAGTAACAAAGTATAGCTGGCTTAAAAAGGTAGAGTGAGTTTCAGGATTCCTTGATAGAGCAGTTCCATGGTGTCATCAAGGACTCAGATTTCTTTATCTCTATTCTGCAGCCCTTGGGAGTGTCTGCTTTATCCTTAGGCTTGGCAAAACAGCTGCCAGCATCAAATCAAGCAATATATGTCCTCATTAACAGCCAGTGGGTGCAAAAGATAAATCCCCACTACAAGCATAGACTGACTATACATTTGTCTCTTCAGTCTGTTCCAACTGGACCAAAAACAATAGCCAGGCCAGGCGCAGTGGCTCACACCTGTAATCCTAGCATTTTGGGAGGCTGAGGCAGGCAGATTGCCTGAGCTCAGGAGTTTGAGACCAGCCTGGGCAACATGGCAAAACACTGTCTCAACTAAAAATACAAAAAAAATTAGCCAGGTGTGGTGTTGCGCACCTGTAGTCCCAGCTACTCGGGAGGCTGAGGCACGAGTAGTGCTTGAACCCAGGAGGCAGAGATTGCAGTGAGCCAAGATTGCGCCACTGCATTCCAGCCTAGGTGACAGAGCGAGACTCTGTCTCCAAAAAAAAAAAAAAGGCAATGGCCAGAGGACTGCCATACACTGATTCTGTTAGACTTCATTTAGGGAGTTATGCATGTTAAGTCAATTACAGTCTTAATTCCAGCCCCCTAATTCTGAATACTTCAGTAGTAGATGGCCATGAGGGCATTTCTAAGTCTTTAGCAAAAGTTTACTTTTAGAGTTATGTTTGGGAAAGATAGTAATCTAAAATGGTTGAATATTGATACTTAAAGACACACTTTAGTTACCTAAAGCAATTTACTTATATGAAATATTCTATTAGGGGTATTCATTTATTAACTCAGTGTACACTCAGTGTCTGTGTATCAGGTATGGAGAGGTGAGCAAGACAAAGTTTCTGTTCTGATGGAGCTTACATTATAGAGGGTTGGACAATAATTAATGAATAAACAGCTAAACAGGATGGATGATTAATGATCCTTAAATGCTATGAAGGAACTAACTAGAATGATGGTGAAGGCCCTGCAGTTAATCAGGGAAAGCTATCTCAAGAAGAAATCATTTGAGCTGAGATTTTTTTTTTTTTTTTTTGGAGTTGGAGTCTCTCTCTGTCACCCAGGCTGGAGTGCAGTGGCGCAGTCTTGGCTCACTGCAACCTTCTGCCTCCCAGGTTCAAGCCATTCTCTTGCCTTAGCCTCCCGAGTAGCTGAGATAACAAGAAACAAACACCACGGCACCCGGCTAATTTTTTTTGTACTTTAGTAGAGACGGGGTTTCACCACGTTGGCCAGGCTGGTCTTAAACTCCTGATTTAGGGGATGTGCCTGCCTTGGCCTCCCAAAGTGCTGGGATTACATGCGTGAGCCACCGCACCCAGCCTTGAGCTGATATTTGATAAGTGAGAATGACCCACCTATGTGCAATCCTGGGAAAGAGCTTTCTAGAGAGAGGAAATAACAAATGCAACATTTAGGAGATACAGAGAGACTTGGAAGTTTTGAGTATTAGTGTGGAGACTAGTATAAACAGAGGGGAGAATTGTATTATATGGGATTGAAGAGTTAGGAGACCACGATTACTCAGGACCCCACAGACTCTGGTAGCGAGTTTAGGTTTTATTCAAAGCTAGGAAGAAACTGCTGAAGAGATTAAGTAAAGGATTTGATTGAATTTTCTTTTGAGAAAAACTGACTCTGACATCTGTGTGGGGAATGGATGGTAGAGAAGCAGTATAGAAGCAGATGAGACTGGCACTCTCAGTAGTCCACCCAGTCCCTGTGAGAAATGACAAGGACTTGGGTTAGGGTAGCAGCAGTGGAAATGGAAAGTAAATAGTATTTTAGAGGTAAAACTGATAGCACTAGTAATGGACTCGGCTTGAGTACCTGATTAGATGGTAGGGCCATTTACTTAGATAGGAAAGACTTGGGTATGTAAATATAGGTTAGAGGAGAAAAATCAAGAGCTTTGTTTTGTAATAAATTTTAAATGCTTATTAGACATTCAAGTAAAGATGTCAGCCGGGCAGGGTGGCTCACACCTTTAATTCTAGCACTTTGGGAGGCCGACTCAGGTAGATCACTTGAGGTCAGGAGTTTGAGACCAGCCTGGCCAACATGGTGAAACCCCATCTCTACAAAAAATACAAAAATTAGCTGGGCGTGGAGGTGCACGCCTGTAATCCCAGCTACTCAGGACGCTGAGGCAGGAGAATAGCTTGAACCCAGGAGGTGAGGTTGTGGTGAGCCCAGATCGTACCACTGCACTCTAGCCTGGGCAACAGAGCAAGACTCCGTCTCAAAAAAGAAAAAATTTTTTTTTGATCTGACAAGTCAGTGGGATTATGTTGAGTAGAGTATATACATATTCAAATTAAAAATATGTTGGCTAAAGGATACAAAATTTAGATAGGAGGAGTAAGTTCAAGAGATCTATTGTAGAACACAGTTAATAACAATATATTGTATTCTTGAAAATTACTAACAAAATTTTAAGTGTTCTCACCACAAAAATGATATGTGATGCAATGCATACGTTAATTAGCTCTACTTAGCCATTCCACAATGTATATATATTTCAAAGCATCATGTTGTATGCAATAAATATATACAGTTTTTTAAAAGAATATTAATATATTATGGAGTTTTTAACCTGAATACCTGCCTTGAATAATTTTAACACTGAGATGTCATGCATATTGTATACATCTGTTTTATTATTTGTTTTGTTTGCAAATAATAGTTTGGCTGTTCAGTATGCTAATCTCTTTAAGCATCTGCACATAATGCTAAATATGACAGTTTTTGAATTTATACTTTATAATTCATATCATCCATACCATTTTATTTTATTTATTTTTTTGATACAGAGTCTTGCTGTGTCACCCAGGCTACAGTGCAGTGGCATAATCTCGGCTCATGGCAACCTCCACTTCCGGGTTTCAAGCGATTCTCCTGTCTCAACCTCCCAAGTAGCTGAGATTACAGGCATGCGCCACCATGCCTGGCTAATTTTTGTATTTTTAGTACAGACAGGGTTTCGCCCTGTTGACCAGGCTGGTCTCGAACTCCTGGCCTCAAGTGATTTGCCCACCTCGGCCTCCCAAAGTGCTG
Source organism: Homo sapiens (assembly GCF_000001405.40). Lineage (NCBI taxonomy): Eukaryota > Metazoa > Chordata > Mammalia > Primates > Hominidae > Homo > Homo sapiens. The sequence continues at coordinate 752,691 of NC_000018.10, read as the reverse complement.
AGATTACAGACGTGAACCACTGTGACCGTCTGATACCATTTAAGACAAAACATGACATTTTTATCTTTAAGTGTTAAATATGTAATAATTTTGCTAAAACTAGTAAATTAGTTATTACTGGTAATGATTAGATGCAATTGTTCATTCATTATTTATATGAAGAACACTGCCCCACTAGTTTGTAGTAGTCATCAATCCTTTTTCTGTCAAATAATTGATTTGAAATTTGACTGCATTTCCAAGCCTGAGATGTTGCTACAGTGAGTCAAAATTAAATTTGTTGGCTGGGCACAGTGGCTCACGTCTGTAATCCCAGCACTTTGGGAGGTCAAGGCAGGCGAATCACTTGGGGCCAGGAGTTCAAAACCAACCTGGCTAACCCAGTGAAACCCTGTCTCTACTAAAAATACAAAAAAATTAACTAGGTGTGGCGGCACATGCCTGTAATCCCAGCTACTTGGGAAGCTGAGGCATGAGAATCACTTGAACCTAGGAGGCAGAGGTTACAGCAAGCCAAAATCACACCACTGCACTCCAGCCTGGGTGACAGAGTGAGACTTTGTCTCAAAAAGAAACAAAATTAAATTTGTTTCTCCAAGTCTACAGAGTTTTATAATTTGTAGAATACAGTAGTTTTATGGAAGGTCTTCGGAGAGTTTAAGACTAGTTATTGCTACCAGTTATTGAGTTATTGTCCCAGAACATAAAATATGGTCATGTCTCTCTACTTTAAAATTCTTCAGTAGTTCCAACTTCTAAAAATAGTTTCTGGAGACTACAGAAAAAACTATCCTTAAGCTTTTTTTTTTTTGGCTGGCAATAGTTCTTTTTTTCTGTTTTGTTAAGTTAGCTACATAATTTACCTTGGTCTTTTTTCCCTCTGATAGGTGGTGTTACTATATTTGTGGCCTTATATGATTATGAAGCTAGAACTACAGAAGACCTTTCATTTAAGAAGGGTGAAAGATTTCAAATAATTAACAATACGTAAGTGTCATGAATATTTTGTGAGAGAAATACTGACAGAAATCTGGTCTTTACACAGGAACCACTGAGCTGGTTGATGATCCAGAGATGAGAGAGGTAGGGCATGGGCTGCCCACTGTGTTTAACGATGCATTGGCTTCTATAGATGCATGTTGCAACACTGCTGCTGTAGCCAGAAGTTATTACTTCTACAATTTGTGCTGCTGTGGTTCTGCCATAAACAGTAGAGATTTAAGAATGAAGAGTTACTGAGGGGAGTACATGCAAGTGTATTATTTTTTTAAAAAACTTTATAAAGAGAGTTTGATGCTCCTATTTTTCTAAGTACCAGATGGTGTAAAGATCTTGTCTCATTCTATTAAAAAAAAAGGAGGGGGAGAAAGTTGGGTAAGGAACCCATCTACTTTCCAATTGATGAAATTAAGTTGTGTTTTTCCTTTTGTGACAGACTTTTTGTCTAGAGGTACACTGTAGAAAATTTGATGCTCGTTGTAGAAAGTAGATCGAATAATTTCATTAGCAAGCATAATGACCACTTTGTAACTTCTCAAAATATATATTTATGGTCTGCTTCCAGTCGTATTTTCTTCCATCCATGTTCCCATCTGCTACCAGTTATTGTTCCGGAACATAAAATATGGTCATATCCTTCTACTTTTAAAATATTCAGTACCTACCACTTGCCATCAAGATAAAAGGAAAACGACAATGATAACAACAATCATTCATTGAGAATTTACTATGTGCTTCTCCCCTCTTCTAACTCTAATACCCAGACATACTGAATTACTTGCAATTTTCTGAGTACGCTGGAGTTTCTTATACTCTCATGCTTTCACACATACTGTTTCTTTTTTCTGGAATGTGATTTCTCATCTTTCCATTTCTTTCCTTTATTTAGCTAATCCTACTCACCCTTCAAAATATAGTTAATATGTCCTTTCTCAAGATGCCTTTCCTTAACATTCTTCCTCCCCTGCCTGGCCCAGTCCTTATCCCCTGCTGGATTAAGTATCTCTCTTAGGTGTTTACATAGCACCCTATGCAAACCTCAATCATAGCTGTCATCACATTTTGAATTACAATTTGTCACTTGCTTGTTATTCTTTTAGACCAATGGTTCTCAACCTGGGACAGAATCACCCAGGGGATATTTGGCAGTATCTGGAGACATTTTTGGTTGTCACAGTTGGGGTGCTGCCGCTGTCTTCTAGTGAGTAGTGGCCAGGGATATTGGTAAATATCTTAAAACGCACACAGCAGCCTCCCACAACAAAGAATGATCAAGTCCAAGGTGTCAATAGTGCTGAAGTTGGAAAACCCAGCTCTAGACTGTGAATTCCTTGAAGTCAAGGACTGTCTTTTTACTTTTATTTCCAGCACACTCTAAAGTCTGTCACTTAATAGGTATTCAGTAAATGTTAGAGTGAATCAATGAATGCTTAGCAGGATCAAATACAAGGTTTTTGGTTTGTGTATCTGAAAGTGCTTAGTATATATGAGGAACCACAAACCAAGTGTATGAGTTTCTAAATATTTGAATTATTAAGGGATTTTTCATTCATTTTCTAGAGAGCAAATTTATCTAGGCATTTATAACATTTTAATTTAGACAGTGCCTTTTCAGTTTTTATCTTTGGTGAAGCAAAACATGAATTTAATCTTTAGTAACAAATCCCATATCTATCTTCCTATTTAAAGACTAATTGTATTTGGTCTTTTCACATTAATTTTGAAAAAATGACGGCTTATGTGTTATAAACCACATGTAGTTCTCATGTTCTGAATTATCATTTAATTTTGGTCTTACTGGAATATTTCTAGATAACTTTTTTTTTTTTTTTTTGAGACGGAGTCTTGCTCTGTCGCCAGGCTGGAGTGCAGTGGCGCAATCTCGGCTCACTGCAAGCTCTGCCCCCTGGGTTCATGCCATTCTCCTGCCTAAGCCTCCCGAGTAGCTGGGACTACAGGCGCCCGCCACCACGTCTGGCTAATTTTTTTTGTTTTTTTTTTAGTAGAGACGGGGTTTCACCGTGTTAGCCAGGATGGTCTCGATCTCCTGACCTTGTGATCCGCCTGCCTCGGTCTCCCAAAGTGCTGGGATTACAGGCGTGAGCCACCGCGCCCAGCCTTCTAGATAACATTTTTATAAGTATGCATTATTCTAGAAATTCAGGGGGTTTTTTTGTTTTGCTTTTGTTTTTTTGAGATGGAGTTTTGCTCTTGTCACCCAGGCTGGAGTGCAATGGCATGATCTTGGCTGACTGCAAACTCTGCCTCCCAGGTTCAAGCGATTCTCCTGCCTCAGTCTCCTGAGTAACTGGGATTACAGGCACACGCCACCACTCCCACCTAATTTTTGTATTTTTAGTAGGGACAGGGTTTCATTCACCATGTTGGCCAGGCTGGTCACGAACTCCTGACCTCAGGTAATCTGCCCACCCCGGCCTCCCAAAGTACTGGGATTGCAGGCGTAAGCCACCGCGCCCGGCCAGAAATGCAGTTTTTTTGGGTTTTTGTTTTGTTTTGTTTCTTTGTTTTTTTTAGATGGAGTCTCGCTCTGTAGCCCAGGCTGGAGTCCAGTGGCATGATCTCGGCTCACTGCAACCTCCACCTCCCAGGTTCAAGCGATTCTACTGACTTAGCCTCCCAAGTAGCTGGGACTACAGGTGCATGCCGCTGCATCTAGCTAATTTTTGTGTTTTTAGTAGAGACCAGGTTTCACCATGTTGACCAGACTGGTCTTGAACTCTGGACCTCAGGTGATCTGCCTGCCTCAGCCTCCCAAAGTGCTGGGATTACAGGCTTGAGCCACTACGCCTGGCCCAGAAATTCAGTTTTTAACTTTGTTGCTCATTGTTAATTGTCTGGCTACAGGAATGTTAGAGCATTGTGATTTTTTTTTTTATCTAAAATGAGTAAAAAAGAGTATTACAATTTTATGTACTATAAAGAGAAAAGCATTTGTCAGTAAAGAATGAACTACTGATAGACATGCTATAACCTAGATGAACCTTTAAAAAATTATGCCAAGTAAAAGAAGTCAATTACAAAAGACCACATAAATGCACATATTTTCATTTATATAAGGTGCATGCAGTGGGCATATCCATAGAGACAGAAAGCTGATTAGTGGTTGACAGTGGTTGGAGGTAGTTGGGGGTGCAGAGTGACTGCTAATGGGTACAGAGTTTCTTTTGGGGGTGATGAAAATATTCTAAAATTGATTGTGATAATGGTTGTACAACTCTGTAAATATATTAAAAACTAGTGAATTGTACATCTTAAGTGGGGGAATTTTATGGCATGCAAATTACACCTTAAAGCTTTAAAAAAAAAAAAAAGAAAAGAATACTGAGTAATTTGAAAGATTTACCTCCCAAATTGTTTTATTCACTATCGTCTGTCTTAGGTTGAAAGAATTGTGTTAAAAAAAGAAATCTTATAACTAAGTGTGTAGGATTTTGAGGCTTTATTTGGAGCAGAAGTATGCAATTGTGCTTCCTTTAATTCATGTAACCTATTTTTTAATATCATTCTTTGAGTTTAATTCTTCATCCAATGAATGCATAAATAAAAAATGAAAGTAATACCCTTTGTTTACTTCAGATACAAGATAGCACTGCAATATATTGTACCTTGGGCAATAGTCTACCTTGCGGTGATTGCTGTTTTATGTGTTGCAGGGAAGGAGATTGGTGGGAAGCAAGATCAATCGCTACAGGAAAGAATGGTTATATCCCGAGCAATTATGTAGCGCCTGCAGATTCCATTCAGGCAGAAGAGTATGGCACTACTTCATATTTTATTAATTATTTTGATTTTTGAAATGTTTTAATGCACATTCTACTTAGCCACAACTTTACACACACAGAATTATATACCAGTCTTAATACAGCTTATGTATCATATTAATAGATGTTACTTAAAAATTAATAACTAATGTCATACTATTCACTTAGAGTAGGATCATAAACGAATCTGCATCAGTCATATTTCCTTATGCCTAGTCTCTCTCTTTTATGTTTTCACTTAAATATGTATCTATAAGCCTTTTGCATATTTTTCAGACTGTCTCACTTCAAAAATTTGCCTTCTGATTATCCTCATTCCCTGCCTTGACTTATTTTTTAACTTACAGCTTATATATGAGGGTGTGTTGATAGGGATGGGTATATTGGTATATATATGCATCCCATATTTATGATGCCAAGACTTACATTCTTCTTTTTTTTGAGACAGGGTCTTGGCTCTGTCGCCCAGGCTAGAGTGCAGTGGCGTGATCTCGGCTCACTGCAACCTCTACCTCCCAGGCTCAAGCAATTCTCCTGCCTCAGCCTCCCAAGTAGCTGGGACTACAGGCATGCACCACCACGCCCAGCTAATTTTTGTATTTTTAGTAGAGACGGGGTTTCGCCTATTGGCCAGGCTGGTCTCAAACTCCTGACCTCAAGTGATCCACCCGCCTCAGCCTTCCAAAGTGCTAGGATCACAGGCGTGAGCCATTGTGCCTGGCCCAAAGACTTACATTCTTTAAGGTTTTACTATTTTTGAAATATTTCAGAGATTTATTATCATTTTATGATTATAAAAGTAATATGCCCATGAAAGAATATTACTTTCAGTTAGTTTTATATGACTGTTAATGTCTTCATTTAAGCACTTGCATTGTAGTTATGTAGGAAAGTATCCTTCTCTTTTAGCAAGTACACACTGAAGTATTTGAGGCACTAATTCAGCATGTTTGCAACTTACAATTAGTTAAGAAAAAATACATGTGTATATATATACATGCACACACATACATATGTAGAGAGGGAGAGAGTATGACAAAGCAAAATGTTAGCCATTGGGGAACCTAGTTGTAGGGTTTATTGTAGGGTGTATGGGAGTTCTGTGTCCTATTTTTGCAACTTTTAAAAAGTAAAAATTCACCTTCAGTGACACACTACTTTTAGGTTAAACCAGTTTATCTGGGATTCATAAACGCTACTTTATTTTCATGTTATAACACTTAACACCGTACCTTGTATATGATAGGTGCTCTATCAATGTTTGTTTGCTTTTATTAATGATTTGTAATGTGTCTCAATAACTCTTTGTTCTACTATGGTGCTTCTTACTTTTTGTTTTGTCCTTTTGTCTTTCTTCTCATTTTCTGTGAGCTCTTCCATAGCAGACACTGTCATTTTATTCACAAAACCTTATTAAATTAAACCCACACATATTTAGAGTTACTAATAATTTGGGTATGATATGCCTGTGTCTTACTGAATGCAGATGATGATGCTGTTACCAGGGAACCACTTCTATTCTTCCTGTCATAGTCTTAATATTTCCATTTGTCACTGACAGAAAGGGTCTGTTATTTTGCTGCCTTTCCCTCTCTACTGTTCCTGTGACTGTCAGGTGGAGTTTTGAGAGACACATTGAGTAGTTAATATATAGAAATACTGTAAGAGTATATTCTAACAGTAATATTTGTGATATTACTATTTAATCAATAAAACTCTTACATTTTCCTGTATTTTGAGCCATGTTCTCTAGCTATTCTTTGTCGTCCAAACCTATCCCAGTCCATTCTTACTGACACTTCTGTATAATTTTTCTGAACCTCATACTTTTCAATTCAAAACACTTAATTTTTTTCCAGATGGTATTTTGGCAAAATGGGGAGAAAAGATGCTGAAAGATTACTTTTGAATCCTGGAAATCAACGAGGTATTTTCTTAGTAAGAGAGAGTGAAACAACTAAAGGTATGAATATTGTTATATTAGTATAAGTATAAAATTTCTTGGGGCAGTATTTTGAGAAAGATATAGTGAAAGTATTTATTTTTCACCCAGGTGCTTATTCCCTTTCTATTCGTGATTGGGATGAGATAAGGGGTGACAATGTGAAACACTACAAAATTAGGAAACTTGACAATGGTGGATACTATATCACAACCAGAGCACAATTTGATACTCTGCAGAAATTGGTGAAACACTACACAGGTATGTGAATATTTCAAAGGTAAAAATTATTTCTTCATATTCTAGTTTATGAGGACAAAATCCATATCCTCATTTCTCTTAAGATTTAACACACTTATTTACACATAATACATGCCCAATAAATGTCTGTTGTATTCTAAAGGGAGGAACAGGTAATACTTAGTACTTGCATTGTGCTACTCAGATAATGTGCTAATAGACTCTCATCATTTGGGTCCTTATATCTTACTGGCATAGTATTTACATTGGAGTTCATTTCACCACATGTACCTTATGAAAATAAACCTAAAAGCAAATATTTATGGGCACTTAGTAAGTAAAACTAAACATTGGGTAACAGAAAAAGCTATGTCAGAAGGATTACCTTCCTCTGCATGGGCTGGATCGCATAAGCTTTCCTAAAGTATAAATCCAGTGAAATTTGGTCTGACGATGCATTTTTCTTATCCTAGAAAATTAACCTATAGCAATTATAGACATTTTTGTCTTTCAAGGACCTCTGAAGGTATTTAATATTAGAATCTTCTGTCTCAAAATTTTTCATTACCAATTTGGCATATGAATGCACCTGAAAGTCTTTACATGATTAATACTAGGAGAGGGGATGTTTCCATGGTAATGTCTTCAATGACAGCTAGCTGCAAACTGAGTCTATCAAGTCAGCCAGCAATCTTGACATTGATCAAGCATGTTACCAAGCAGTGGCATCACTTGTAATTGCCTTTGTCACAATGTGAATTTATGTGGTTATTTTAGTGAGAATAGGAGAGAACATGTCTCATTTATAATAAGAAAGATTGTATAAGCAGAATTCATAAGTCAAGCTGTTATGAATCTAGGGTTCCCTGACTTTGTGTCTCCCTTATTTAAAAAAATCAGTCTCCTGTTAGGCATGTGGATTGTGCCTTTAATCCCAACTACTGATGCAGGAGGATCACTTGAGGCCAGGAGTTCAAGAACAGCCTGGGCAACATAGCAAGACCTCATCTCTTAAAAAAAAAAAAAAAAAAAAAAAAAAGGCCAGGCGTGGTGGCTCACTCCTGTAATCCCACCACTTTGGGAGGCCGAAACAGACAGATCACTTGAGGTCAGGAGTTTGAGACCAGCCTGGGCAACATGGCAAAACCCTATCTATTAAAATATAAAAAAATTTAGCCAGGCGTGGTGGCATGCACCTGTAGGCTCAGCTACTTGGGAGGCTGAGGCAGGAGAATCACTTGAACCTGGGAGGTGGAAGTTGCAGTGAGCTGAGACCACACCACTGCACTCCATCCTGGGCGACAGAGTGAGACTCCATCTCAAAAAAAAAAAAAGAAAAAATCTCCTAAATGATCCTAAATGAACTTTTTCCTTGATTTTTTGGTATGCCTCTTACAAATTAGTGGCTATTAGATAATAACATTTAATGATAACATTCTCTTTGAGAATTAATAAAACCCAGTGTACAAAGGCAGAACTTTGGAAGCAGACAGACCTAGATTTGAATCCCATCTCTACCATTTACTAACTGCAGGGCCTTAGGGGAAAGTTGCGTATGTTTTCAAAGCTTCATTTATATATGAGATACTTGTGAAGTGCTAATTTAGCACAATAGTGGAACATACTAAGTATTTAGTAAATAATAACTTAAAAAAATATATATTTTAAGTTATACTAAGTATTTAGTAAATATACTAACATATCTACTATATATTAGTATATACATACTAAGTAGTAAATACAATATATTTACTATATATTAGTATATACATACTAAGTAGTAAGTAATAACATGTATATATATATATATTTTTTTTTTTTTCGAGTCAGAATCTCACTGTGTCACCCAGGCTAGAGTGCAGTGGCGCAATTTTGGCTCACTGCAACCTCTGCCTCCTGGGTTCATGCGATCCATCTGCCTCAGCTTCCTTAGTAGCTGAGACTACAGGCATGCACCACCATGCCCGGCTAACTTTTGTATTTTTAGTAGAGACAGTGTTTCACTGTATTGGCCAGGCTAGTCTCGAACTCCTGACCTCGTGATTCATCTGCCTCAACCTCCCAAAGTGCTGGGATTACAGACGTGAGACACCTTGCCCGGCCTTAAAAATAAATTTTACAAAATGTTTCACTTATGTATATTTCATGTTTTGCTGCTTATGGACAACTCCCTTTTTGTTTTGTGCTTTTAGAGTAAAACTCGAAAGGACTTCTGTTTTTGTTTTTCTACAGTTTAAACTTAAAACATTGATACACTATATGCCCCTTAATTTTTGTAATTGATATTACAGTATAGTTTATTCATTTATCTAGAACATGCTGATGGTTTATGCCACAAGTTGACAACTGTGTGTCCAACTGTGAAACCTCAGACTCAAGGTCTAGCAAAAGATGCTTGGGAAATCCCTCGAGAATCTTTGCGACTAGAGGTTAAACTAGGACAAGGATGTTTCGGCGAAGTGTGGATGGGTAAGAAGCCTGAATTTTTGTTTTCTGTCATTGTTTAGCTGTGGATTAAAGTGCAACAATTTATGATAAAATATGTTTCAATATTTAAGAGAAGTGCTGTTCACTGAAGTTTGGTCTAAAATCCTTTAAAATATAAATTCCTAAAATGTGTTATTTCTTTAGGAACATGGAATGGAACCACGAAAGTAGCAATCAAAACACTAAAACCAGGTACAATGATGCCAGAAGCTTTCCTTCAAGAAGCTCAGATAATGAAAAAATTAAGACATGATAAACTTGTTCCACTATATGCTGTTGTTTCTGAAGAACCAATTTACATTGTCACTGAATTTATGTCAAAAGGTATGTATTAGTATCTCCTTAGGTATTTGTGTTGATAATGTTTTTAAGAGTCTTGATTTGTATGCATATAGACTTATACTGTTTTCTAATTTAAGATTTTTATGTAGACATATTTGGATAGAAGAAACCTGACACTTTGTTTAATGGAATAGTGATTATCCAGTTATTCCAGAGGATAGTATGACGTTTAAAAGGAAAAGTAGGCAGGCTGAATTAATTTTGAAATTAAGTTTGACTAAAACAAATGGAAAAGCTAGAAAGGTGAAAAATAGAAAGTGTTTGTACACATTTAATTAAAATGATAAAATCAGAAAGATACTTACATTTTTAGTACTAAAGCAAAGAAATAAGGTAAAGTTAAAATGAATTAGTTTTCTCATTTTAATATAAACATAATTCCTATATTCAGGACTTCTAGGAACTTTTTTCCCCACTGCTTTCTTTTTTTTTTTTTTTTTAAATAGAGACTGGGGTCTCAACTATGTTGCCCAGGCTGGTCTTGAACTCCTGGCCTCAGGCAGTCCTCCCTTTTTGGCCTCCCAAAGTGCTGGTATTACCAGCATGAGCCACTGTGCCTGGCCTCCCCACTACCTTCAATGGAAGTTTCTTCATTTTCCTTAACTCTAGACCACAAGATGGGATCTTCAGTAACAGGGTTAGTTAGGGGGAGGATAAAGAGAAGATTGATACTCTTTCCTCTTTTTCCCTGTGCAGATGGTACTTAGAGGAACTAGTAAGTCAGCAGATAAGCTGACAGGCCTGATTTTTATGTGTTTGATTTCATCTGCTTTATTATTATTTTTACTCTTGAACCAATAATATACAGTAGTCACTAATTATGTCACCCTCTCCAGTGGTGTGTCTTGGTCAATGATGTAGTTCCATCTAGTGGTGACAAGGACAACTACAAGTTACATATTTGCTGTAGGAAAATTTTTCCCCTCAAAAGGGGACTGAAACCAAAAGTTAAGAAATTATACAGCCTATTAATTGATAGCCAGAACACACCTAAAGACCCAAAGCACCTGGCGCTCTTTGGAAGGAATGTCTACTGCAAACAGTTGCCAAATATGACATTTTTTTGTTTGTTTGCTTGTTTGTTTGTTGTTTTTGTTTTTTTGTGAGGTGGGGCCTCACTCTATCCCCCAGGGTGGAGTGCAGTCACATTTCTCTGCAGCTTGGACCTCCCTGGGCTCAAGCGATCCTCTCATCTCAGCCTCCTGAGTAGCTGGGATTACAGGTGCATGCCACCACACATAGATAATTTGTGTATTTTTCTACAGATGGGATTTCACCCTGTTTCCCAGGCTAGTTTGGAACTCCTGGGATCAAGCAATCAGCCTGCCTTGGCCTCCCAAAGTGCTGGGATTACAGGTGTGAGCCACCACACCCAGCCCAAATATGCCCTTTCAAAGAGTATATTAGATGAACCAGAGGGGAAGGGAGGGCCAGGCATGGTGGCTGACCTGAGCAACATGGTGAAACCCCATCTCTACAAAAACTAAAAAAATTAGCAGGACGTGGTTGCACACACATGTATTCCCTACTCAGGAGGCTGAGGCATGAGGATTGCTTGAGCCCAGGAGGTTAAGGCCATAGTGAGCTGTGATTGTGCCACTGCACTCCCATCTGGGGTGAAAAAATGAGACTGTCTCAAAAAAGAAAAAAAAAAAAAGGAGAAAAGGACAGGGAAGATGTTTAAATCAAGATATTGGAAGCAGGCCAGGCACAGTGGTTCATGCCTCCAATCCCAGCGCTTTGGGAGGCCGAGGCAGGCAGATCACTTGAGGTCAGGAGTTCGATCCCAGCCTGGCCAACATAGCGAAACCCCGTCTCTGCTAAAAATACAAAAAACAGCTGGGCGTGGTGGCTTGTGCCTGTAGTTCCAGCTGCTCGGGAGGCTGAGGCACGAGAATGGCTTGAGCTAGGGAGGCAGAGGTTGCAGTGAGCCAAGATGACACCGCTGCACTCCAGCCTGGGTGACTGAGTGAGACTCCGTTTCAAATAAATAAAGACTTTAACAATTAAAAAAGATATTGGAACATAAGAAATATAATGAAGGTAAGGCTAATAGCCCATTTAGCTCTGTATATTAATTTTAAGAATTATTTAATTGGGAGAACATGGTAAAATTCTGTGTTGTCAGACCACTGGGTACAATTATTTCCAGGCGGGAGAGATTTAGAATACAAGATAACAAAAGTCCTTTCTATTTTTAAAACTCTTTAATTCCTCATTTTGGTATTCACTTAGCACTTGTCCCTTTATAATCTGTCCAAACTCATTGTCCCATGCACTCCAGCATAAACCCACTGTTCTGCTCTTTGTTTTCATGATTTTTTCATGTTTTCTCTTTGACCTGGAATTTGGTCTCCCTAGCTCTGGACCAGTCCACCAACTACACTTCCCCGATCCAGTTTATGGTCAGGCATTCCATTTAGTTGTCATTTCTATTTAGTCTCCTTTAATCTAGAGCCATTCCTCAACCTTCCTCTGTCTTCCATAGCATTGTTACTTCTGAAGAGAATAGACCACTTTTATGTTTTAAATGTGCCTTAATTTGGTTTTGTGTGATGTTTTCTCTTGATTATAAGCCTTAACAAATAATAGTGAAGCCGTAATCAGACTTCTAGCCTTTTTCTTTGCTGTTATTCATAGTACTTTGTAGTTTTCAGAGAGAGAGCTTGGTCACAGCAGTAGTTCCACAGCGACTCATTTAGCTACCTATATTTAGTTTTAACCACACCCAAGATATTCCTAGTTGTCTGAATTCTTGATTCAGATTTACTTAAAAATATGTAAGTATTTAATACTACTTTTTGAATCAGAATTGGGATATTGATCAAAGCGAGGAAAAAATGCCTCTTGTCAGGTAAAGTTAATGCATTTTCTTTTTTTGCATGTGTTATCAGAAGTTTTCAAAATTTCAGCTTAGAGACCTCTTCTAGGACCTAGATAATTATTTGGAAACTGCAAAACTGCACAAAATTTAAAAAAAATGAAAAGCTAAGAAGTTTTGTGTTGTGATTTGGGGTGGAGGAGTATTCATTTCAATCCTAATATAAGATTTGCTTATTTTTTATGAATATCTTGCTGTCTGTTACAGGAAGCTTATTAGATTTCCTTAAGGAAGGAGATGGAAAGTATTTGAAGCTTCCACAGCTGGTTGATATGGCTGCTCAGGTATCTGTATATATACATGTATCCATTTGAATTAAAAGTGTAAATTAAAATGTGGAATAATCTTACCAGAATATTATAGTATGTGTAGTGAAATGGTGGGATTTTATTTTTATTTTTTATTTTTTAGAGACAGCGTCTCATTCTGTCACCCAGGGTGGAATGCAGTGGTGCACTGATAGCTCCGTGCTTGAAGAGCCTTGAATTCTTGGGCTCTAGCAATCCTCTCGCCTCAGCCTCCTGGGTAGCTAGGACTGCAGGCACAGGCCACCATTCCCAGCTAATTTAAAAAATTATTTTTTTTGTAGACACAGGGATCTCTCTGTGTTGCTTAGGCTAGTCTCAAAGTCCTTGGCTCAAAGGATCCTCCCACCTCAGCCTCCCAAAGTATTGGGATTACCTGGCCAATAATGGAATTTTAGAACTGGCAGGAACGTCAGAGATAATCCAATGTGAGCTCTTAATGATACAGATTAATGAAGTATCAAAAGATGAGAGGTATCTAAAATTCACAAAACTTGTTAGTAACAGAACGAGTATTAGAACCAGCTATCTAACTCTTAGTCCAGTGGTGTCCTGTATCATACGGTTTCTTAGAAAATAGATGTTTCCAGGCCAGGTGCGGTGGCTCACGCTTGTAATCTGAGCACTTTGAGAGGCCGAGGTGGGTGGGTCACTTGAGGTCAGGAGTTCGAGACCAGCCTGGCCAACATGGTGAAACTCTGTCTCTACTAAAAATACTGAAAATTAGCCAGGCGTGGTGGCGGGCGCCTGTAATCCCAGCTACTCAGGAGGCTGAGGCAGGAGAATCGCTTGAACCCGGGAGGCGGAGGTTGGAGTGAGCCAAGATCTCGCCATTGCACTCCAGCCTGAGCAACAAGAGCGAGACTCCATCTCAAGAAAATAGATGTTTCCACAAATGTAAAGTCTATATGTATTTATATTTCAACAGATAATTTTAAGAAAATTAAAATGGATGAGGGCTGTTCCAAAGAAAATATTAGTAATCTAAAGTGTATGCTGAATTTTTTTTTTTTTTTTTTTTTTGAGATGGGAGTCTCGCTCTGTCACCCAGGCTGGAATGCAGTGGTGCAATCTCGGCTCACTGCAAGCTCCATCTCCCAGGTTCACACAATTCTCCCGCCTCAGCCTCCCGAGTAACTGGGACTACAGGCGCCCACCACCACCCCCAGCCAATCTTTTGTATTTTTAGTAGGGACGGGGTTTCACCGTGTTCGCCAGGATGGTCTTGATCTCCTGACCTCGTGATCTGCCCGCCTCGGCCTCCCAAAGTGCTGGGATTACAGGCGTGAGCCACTGCACCTGGCCTGAATTTGTTATTTACTATAGTCCAACACAAGAATTAAGATGGTATATATACAGTTTAAAATGGGACTTTTTTACTCTTCTGACTTTTTGTTTTAAATATATAGTGAAAACTGTTAAAAGTTTCTCTTCAGATATGTGGTAGGTATTTGAGAGGCCTTATTATTGGCTTTGGTTGACATGCTGGTTTTGGAATCTTACCTCCTAGCCTCCAAATGTCCACAGAATCTGACAATTCAGAAAAGCTTTATACTGAGAAACTATACATAGGCAACAGGCATATGCCACGCCAGTTCATGCTTCTGAGTTAGACACTCTATGGTAGGGGAGGTTGGCAATCCATTTTTGTTTTTTAAAAAAAAAAAAAAATTAGGTTTTGTGAGCCACATCCAATCTGTCATACTTTTTTCTTTTTACAACCCTTTAAAAATGTAAAAACCAGGCTGTGCGAGATGGCTCCTATAATCTCGCTTTGCGGGGCCTGGGCAACATAGTGAAACCCCATCTCTACAAAAAAATACAAACATTAGCTGGGTGTGGTGTCGCATGCCTAAGTCCCAGCTACTCACTAGGCTGAGGTGGGAAAATTGCTTGAGCCCAGAAGATAGAGATTGCAGTGAGCCACGATTGCACCACTGCACGCCAACCTGCGTGACAGAGTGAGACCCCGTCTCAGTCAATCAATCAAAATGTAAAAAACAGTTTTAGTTCTCTGGCTGTGCAAAAACAGGCTGCAGGCCACTTTTGGCCTACAAGCTGTAGTTTGGGAACCTATACCTTGTGGTTAATACCTTTATCACCATGTCATCTTAGGTTGTGCCTGATAGAGACCTTGATGAGCTTGTATCCAGAGGTACTAAATTACCTTGTGATTTACCTCTTCTCCTAACCACAGACACAAGAAGACATTAGGAGGGTTAATCTTGGTCTTCAGAGTAATGTTAGGTTTTATTTTTTTTGAGGCTGAGTCTCGCTCTGTTTCCCAGGCTGGAGTGCAGTGGCACAATCTTGGCTCACTGCAACCTTTGCCTCCTGGGTTCAAGTGATTTTCCTGCCTCAGCCTCCCAAGTAGCTGGGACTACAGGTATGTGCCACCACACCCAGCTAATGTTTGTATTTTTAATAGAGACAGGGTTTCACCGTGTTGGCCAGGCTGATCTCGAACTCATGACCTCAAATGATCCACCTGCCTCGGCCTCCCAAATTAATGGGATTATAGGTGTGGGCCACCGCACCCAGCCAGTGTTAGATTTTTGAAATCTGAATTTAGCCTGCATTTTTATTATGTTTTCTGGTTTTCCTGTTATCTTCTAGACTATACCCTGTTACCATCATCTCCTTCTAAAATAATATGATTTTCAGTGACACAATTTGATATTAACCATAATTGTCTTCTCTCTGCTTCCCTTTGTATCGTATGTCTTGTGTTTTTTGTTTTTCTCTTTCCAAGATTGCTGATGGTATGGCATATATTGAAAGAATGAACTATATTCACCGAGATCTTCGGGCTGCTAATATTCTTGTAGGAGAAAATCTTGTGTGCAAAATAGCAGACTTTGGTTTAGCAAGGTTAATTGAAGACAATGAATACACAGCAAGACAAGGTAAAATTACTTTTACATAAAAGCTTGTAATGTGTTGTGTGTTTTGCTTAACTCTCTTGACTATACAGGGTTTTCCAGAATAAGAATTGTTTTAGCTTCCCTCAGAAGAGTCATAGAGACATTGATTTCATTCATAAAATCATGTACTGCTGTGGCTTTCTGATAGTTATTTCCTCCAAGAAAGAACTTGACTAGGTATCCTTTGCATTATACATAGAGCAAGTAGTAGCCTCTTTACACTTCTTTTGACATGACAACAAATATATTTTAATTTCTTTCCTAGAAAGGCCAGAGGTTCTCAGTCAGAGGAGATATTGCCCTGTACCGCCACTCACCAGGGGACATCTGACAATGTCTACAGACTTTTTTGGTGGTTACAACCTGGGGGCTACTGCTTGACATCTAGTGGGTAGAGGCCAGGTATACTGCTGAACCTCCTACAGTGTACAGAAATGTGCAGGCAAACCCCCCCTTCCCCCCACAACAGAATTATCAGGCCCAAAATGGTAGCGGTGCTGAGATTGAGAAACCCTGCTTTAGACATAGTGCTTTCTTTCAACCTCCATACTTCTGTACAGTTACCTCCATCTGGAATGCCTTCCTATCTGTAATGTTTGTTGTTGTTGTTGTTTTTCGAGATAGGGTCTCCCTCTGTTGCTCAGGCTAGAGTATAGTGGCGTGATTTCAGCCCACTGCAGCCTTGACCTCCTGGGGCTCAGGTGATCCTCCCACCTCAGCCTCCTGAGTAGCTGGAACTACAGGTGCACACTACCACGCCTGACTAATTCTTTGTATTTTTTGTAGAGACGAAGTTTTGCCATGTTGCCCAAGCTGGTCTCGAACTTCTGGGCTCAAGCAGTCCTCCTGCCTTGGCTTCCCAAAGTGCTAAAATGGCAGGCGTGAGACACCATGCCCGGCCTGTAATCTTTACATGTGAAAATCCTAACCATTCTTTAGGGCCTAATTTAGCTGCCACTTTTTTTTTCAATAGTTTTTGGGAAACTAGTTCTTTAGTGGTGATTTCAGTGCACCCATCACCCAAGCATCTTGCACTGTACCCAATATGTAGGTTTTTTTGTTTGTTTTTTTGAGACGGAGTCTCACTCTGTTGCCCAGCCCAGGCTGGAGTGTAGCGGCACGATCTCGGCTCACTGCAACTTCCGCCTCCCAGATTCAAGCGATTCTCCTGCCCCAGCCTCCCGAGTAGCTGGGATTACAGGCTCGTACCACCACACCCAGCTAATTTTTGTATTTTCAGTAGAGACGGGGTTTCACCTCCAACATGTAGTCTTTTATCCACCCCCCAACCTTTCCCCCTTACTCCCCAAAGTCCATTATATTACTCTTATGCCTTTGTGTCCTCATAGCTTAGCCCCACTTTTAAGTGAGACCATACAATATTTGGTTTTCCATCCCTGAGTTACTTCACTTAGAATAATGGCCTCTAGCTCTAAGTTTCTGCAAAAGACATTATTTCATTCCTTTTTACGGCTGAGTAGTATACCATGGTGTATATATGCCACATTTTTTTTTATCCACTCATTGGTCAATGGTCATTTAGATTGGCTCCATATCTGCAATTGCGAATTGTGCTGCTATAAACATTTGTGGATGTATCTTTTTCATATAATGATTTTTTTTTTTTTGCTTTGAGACACAGTCTCAATCTGTTGCCCAGGCTGGAGTGCAGTGGTACAATCTCAGCTCACTGCAACCTCCACCTCCCAGGTTCAAATGATTCTCCTGCCTCAGCCTCCCCTGTAGCTGGGATTACAGGCACCTGCCACCAGGCCCGGCTAATTTTTGTATTTTAGTAGAGACACGGTTTCACCATGTTGGCCACGCTGGTCTCAAACTCCTGACCTCAGGTGATCCACACGCCTTGGCTTCCCAAAGCGCTGGGATTACAGGCGTGAGCCACCACACCTGGCTGATTTCATTTCCTTTGGGAAGATACCCAGTAGTGGGTTTGCTGGATTGAATGGTAGTTCTGCTTTTCGTTCTTTAAGGAGTTTCCATACTGTTTTCCATAGTGGTTGTACTAATTTACATTCCCACCATCAGTGGAAAAATGTTCCCTTTTCACCACATCCACACCAACATCTATTGTTTTTTTTTTTTACTTATTCATTATGGCCATTCTTACAGGAGTAAGGTAGTGTCTCACTGTAGTTTTAATTTGCATTTCCCTGATGATTAGTGATGTTGTATGTTGTAGTTGCTCCTGGTTTTTTTTGTTTTGTTTTGTTTTTGAGATGGAGTCTCACTCTGTCACCCAGGCTGGAGTGCAGTGGCGCGATCTTGGCTCACTGCAAGCTCTGCCTCCCGGGTTCTCGCCATTCTGCCTAAGCCTCCCGAGTAGCTGGGACTACAGGTGCCTGCCACCAAGCTCGGCTAATTTTTTTTTTTGTATTTTTAGTAGTGACGGGGTTTTACCGTATTAGCCAGGATGGTCTCAATCTCCTGACCTCATGATCCGCCCACCTCGGCCTCCCAAAGTGCTGGGAATACAGGCGTGAGCCACCGCGCCTGGCCAAGTTTTGCTTTTTTGCCCAGACTGGAGTGAAGTGGCATGATCTTGGCTCACTGCAACCTCTGCCCCCCAGGTTCAAGCAATTCTCCTGCCTCAGCCTCCCGAGTAGCTGGGATTACAGGCATGCACCACCACACCTGGCTAAGTTTTGTATTTTTGGTACAGACAGGGTTTCACCGTGTTGGCCAGGCTGGTCTTGAACTCCTGACCTTAGGTGATCTGCCCACCTCGGCCTCTCAAATTGCTGGGATTATAGGCGTGAGCCACTGTGCCCAACCACCTGCCACTTTTTAAATAAAACATTTTGTAATGGTGCCAAGGAAAATTGATCATCTGTTTGTCTAAATATCTAAAGAACTCTGTTTTAAAACACTATCTACAAACACATATAAATAACTTAAAGAATGTAAGACACCTATAATATTATTTCTGCAATAAGTTTATAAACTTCATGAAAGCCATGCTTTTTTTTTTTTTTTTTTTTTTTTTTTTGAGACGGAGTCTCACTCTGTTGCCCAGGCTGGAGTGCAGTGGCGCAATCTCAGCTCACTGCAAGCTCCGCCTCCTGGGTTCACACCATTCTCCTGCCTCAGCCTCCCGAGTAGCTGGGACTACAGGCTCCTGCCACCTCGCCCAGCTAATTTTTTGTATTTTTGGTAGAGACGGGGTTTCACCATGTTAGCCAGGATGGTCTCAATCTCCTGACCTCATGATCCACTCACCTCGGCCTCCCAAAATGCTGGGATTACAGGCTTGAGCCACCGCGCCCGGCCGAAAGCCATGCTTTTTAGGTTTCCATAGTGATTAGCATAATGCCCTCCACAAAAAAGATATACAGTAAGTATTTGAGTTAATTAACATGGACTTTTAAAAGTAGTACAATAAAATTTTCCAGAATGATATAAAAAGTAGGAAAACCCATAAACATTATAACTCAATAGAATATTCACTCATCAACCAATAGTTAACTACAGCTATTAGGTGCCAGACTGTACTTAAAAGTTACACATATTATAACATGTATCTTTGGCTTA
Source organism: Homo sapiens (assembly GCF_000001405.40). Lineage (NCBI taxonomy): Eukaryota > Metazoa > Chordata > Mammalia > Primates > Hominidae > Homo > Homo sapiens. The sequence continues at coordinate 733,240 of NC_000018.10, read as the reverse complement.
CTAGAGCTTCAACCTCTATTTTCTTAAATTGTTTTCTGTTCCCACAGCCAACTTATTTTTTATATCATCAGCTGTCTAATCAGGAAGAAATGTGATTTATTTCAATATGAATTTTAAAAATTAAAGAATTTTTATCCCATGTATCTTGTACATTTAAAGAATTGACACTGATGACTACAGTAGAGATATTGACAGAACATTAGCCCTGCATATGCTATGTTTACACAAATAGATTTTTAAAAAACAATTAAGCAAGATGGTCAACATTATTTTAGGTGCAAAATTTCCAATCAAATGGACAGCTCCTGAAGCTGCACTGTATGGTCGGTTTACAATAAAGTCTGATGTCTGGTCATTTGGAATTCTGCAAACAGAACTAGTAACAAAGGGCCGAGTGCCATATCCAGGTAAGCTTGCATTTTATAGCTCTTGGTTATCTCATGAGTGGCTTTATCAGGAGTTTATTAGGAACAGAATTGTAAGCGGGGAAAAGGCCTTTATTTCTTCTCATAGTCCCCCTGCCTCTCCCTCTCCCCACTCCTTCCCTTTACTGTGGCATTGGATGGGTAACTGTGGCATTGGACGGGTAAGTCAGTGAAAGCCACGATCCTTGACAGGGTGAGCACATGAGATAGGCCCCACATTCACCTCAGCTTTCTCAGGACATTTTCCAAAGGGGCCTCTTACTGTTCTCTCAGATAATAAACATATCTTAAATATCCTGGCTCATCCACCCTATACCCTAAATAACTGTTCTTTCCCAGTAGTGTGATTGGTGTTTTGTTTTTTTTTTTTTTTTTTTTTTAAACACAGTCTTGCTCTGTCACCCAGGCTGGAGTGCAGTGGTACAGTCTGGCTCACTGCAACCTGTCTCCCGGGTTCAAGCAATTCTCCTGCCTCAGCCTCCCAAGTAGCTGGGATTACAGGCACCCACCACCACACCCAGCTAATTTTTTGTATTTTTAGTAGAGATGGGGTTTTGCCATGTTGGCTAAGCTGGTCTCGAACTCCTGACCTCAGGTGATCCACCTGCCTAGGCCTCCCAAAGTGCTGGGATTACAGGCGTGAGCCACCGTGCCCATCATGGTATATTTTTTTAAATATGTACTTGCCTTGTTTTCTTCAGTAGATTATTTTGAGATTCTTTTCTTGTTTTATTTCTCTAACCTATTTATAAACCAGCACTTTAATAAATATATCTGCCATTAATAAAGAGGAAAAATGAAAGTGTTTCCCTTTCAAAATTAAGAGACTTTTTTTTTTTTTTTTTTTTTGAAATGGAGTCTCGCTCTGTCGCCCAGGCTGGAGTGCAGTGGCACGATCTCAGCTCACTGCAGCCTCCACCTCCCAGCTTCACGCCATTCTCCTGCCTCAGCCTCCCGAGTAGCTAGGACTATAGGCACCCGCCACCACGCCCAGCTAATTTTTTGTATTTTTAGTAGAGACGGGGTTTCACCGTGTTAACCAGGATGGTCTCGATCTCCTGACCTTGTGATCTGCCCGCCTCGGCCTCCCAGAATGCTGGGATTACAGGCGTGAGCCACCGTGCCTGGCCTCAAAATTAAGAGATTTATATAGTTTCTAGGGGGAAGGAGAAATTTTAGCTCACTTGAAATTCAGCGATCAGTATTACTTTAGTTTGTTACTTCTAAACTCTTGTACTGAAGTATCCTAATGTTGAGAGTGAAAGCATATAAAATTTAATCTTTAGGAAAAACTGTTTTGCTAATCTTATGGGTTTTGCATGTTATCTAACATATTCCTCTTCCCTACAGTTCCCTCCAGCTGTAGATCTAATGCCATCAAATTTTATCACCCACTTTGTCTGGTTGCTGTTATTCACTGATACCATTCAAGTTATTCTCATTTAATGACTCACCATTGTCCTCTCCAACAAAACTCCTCTCCTGTCTTAACTCATTGTCATCTTAATACACATGGTGATGATTCTTCTATTACCCTGGTCTCTTGTAGCTTGAACTCTTCTCCTGTGTAATCTTGTCTTTCACTCTACCTTAGCCAGTCTTTCCATCTTCATACCTTAAACCTTAATGTTACCAATAACTGCAACCCTTTCAAAATCTATTTCATGCATCTACTTTCTGACCACCACTTGCCATCTTTCCAGATAACTCCCTCCACCCCAACCCTAGCAATTTCTTGATGCTACCAGGATCTTTACTCCACTGTTTCTGCCACCTTTTCCTGCTTCTCACCCCCTTCATGAAACAATTCTACTCCTTAAATTCCCTAGTGAAGCAGTATAATCACTCCTTTGCTGATTTCACCCTTCTCTGATTTCATCATCATTGCTTAGCAAAATCACCACATTAAATAAATCCAACTCTGCCTACACCACACTTGCAGACAGGGCTAGAAAAAAACCACACAGCCATGCAACATAGTGTCACTTTAAATGTATAACCATGAGGAACTTTCAGTTTTAGCTATGATGGAGAGGCTAATATCCAACTTATTATAGCACTGTAAACAACTACAAAAGTTAAATAAAATATGTAAAAGAACTGATAGGACATTGCATCAAGGAAGCCCATTTATATTGGCTTTTCTGAAGGCATTTTCTAAAATAGCACAGGGCAGTAAAACCCAGACAGAAAGCATAAGTCTTATTAAGCAAATGAGGCAGAGATCCTAGTGCTGGGATCTGAAGGACAGGGTCCCAGAGAAGGAACCATAGGGAAAGAACTCTAAAATTCTGCTTTAAAATTCCAGTTGGGCGTGGTGACTCACTCCTATAATCCCAGCACTTTGGGAGGCTAAGGTGGGTGGATCGCTTGAGCCCAGGAATTTGAAGCTGCAGTGAGCTATGATTGCGCCACTGCACTCCAGCCTGGGCAACAGAGCAAGACCCTGTCTCAAAAAAAAAAAAAAAAAAATCCTCTTGGGTCCTTGGTCAGTTCTAATCTGCACATACACAGGGAGAGTCTCTGGGAGACCTAACAGAAAATAGCCACTAGGAGGCTGGGGAGTCGAGCAGAGTTCAGAGGCTACAGAGTGCTGAGGAGTTCTTGCCCAGCCAAACTGGATAGATGTTGGAGAATACGCTAGGCTTTTTGTTGAGACCCCAGAAAGTCCATACCCTAGGAGAAAGGGCAAAACTGAGCAAAACTAAGCCCTAACAACTAGGTGATCTGCTGGTAAATTCCAAATGGAATTAAACTGAACATCCTTCAGAAAAAGATAACATGATCCAGATAATCTACAGTGTATGATTCAAAATGTCTAGCACAAAATAAAAAGTTACTAGATATATGAAGAAGGGAAGAGATGACTGATTATCAAGAGTTCAAAATCTGGCTGGGCGCTGTGGCTCACGCCTGTAATCCCAACACATTGGGAAGCCAAGGCGGGTGGATCACAAGGTCAGGAGTTTGAGACCAGCCTGGCCAAGATGGTAAAACCCCATCTCTGCTAAAAATACAAAAATTAGCCAGCCATGGTGGCGGGCGCCTGTAATCCCAGCTACTCGGGAGGCTGAGGCAGGAGAATCGCTTGAACCCAGGAGGTGGAGGTTGCAGTGAGCTGAGATTGCGCCGCTGCACTCTGGCCTGGGTGACAGAGCGAGACTCTGTCTCAAAAAAAAAAAAAAAAAAAAAAAAAGTTCAAAATCAATAGGAGCAGACTCTGAGATAATCCAAATCTTGGAGTTAGCAAAAGACTTCAAAATAGCAATATATGGAATGTTAAAATAGAAGAAAAGTTTTGCAAAATAATGAAAAACTGGAGAATTTGAGCAGAATTGGAATCTATTAAAAAAAAAAGAATCAAATGGAAATTGTATTTATTTATTTATTTATTTTCTTTTGGGACAGAGTCTCGCTCTGTCTCCCAGGCTGGAGTACAGTGGCACGATCTTGGTTCACTGCAGCCTCCGCCTCCCAGGTTCCAGCGATTCTCCTGCCTCAGCCTCCCAAGTAGCTGAGATTACAGGCGTGAGCCACCCCGCCTGGCCCTCAAATGGAAATTTTAGAACTGTAAAACATTATATCAAATTAAGTACTCACTAGATGGGCATAATAGAAGACAAGATTAGTGGATTCAGACACATTAACAAAGTATCCAAGGTAATGCATAGATAAAAGCTAATGGGGAAGAAAGCAGAACAGAATGTATGAAACCAGTGGGGCATAGTGAAAAGGTCTAATTTGTGGAGTCCCAGAAGCAGAAGAGAGAAAAAAATGAAACAGTAACAACATTTTTAAAAAGTAATGGCTAAAAATCTTCTAAATATGATAAAACAAAATACTAGCCCACAGATTAAGTGAACCTCAAACAAGAAAATTAAACTCAGTGAAATTCAAGCAAACATATCATGGTCAAATTACAAAAATCAAAGCCAAACAGCCATAAGGAGGTGGTGCAGATTGAGCATTCCTAATTCAAAAATCCGAAATGCAGCTGGGCGCAGTGGCTCAGGCCTGTAATCCCAGTACTTTGGGAGGTCGAGGCCAGTGGATCACGAGGTCAGGGGTTTGAGACCATCCTGGCCAATGTAGTGAAACCCCATCTCTACTAAAAATACAAAAATTAGCTGGGCATGGTGGCACACACCTGTAGTACCAGCTACTTGGAGGCTGAGGCAGGAGAATCACTTGAACCTGGGAGGCAGAGGTTGCAATGAGCCAAGATTGCACTACTGCACTCCAGCTTGGGCAACAGAGCAAGACTTCATCTCAAAGAGAAAAAAAACCGAAATGCTCCAAAATCCAAAACTTTTTGAGCATTGACATAACAACACAAATGGAAAATTCCACACCCGTCCTCATGTGACAGGTCACAGTCAAAATACCATCAAAATTTTGTTTTGTGCAGAAAATTATTTTTAAAATTATGTAAAATTACCTTCAGGCTATATGTATAAGGTGTATATGAAACATAAATGAATTTTTTTTTTTTTGAGACAGGGTCTCTGTCACCCAGGCTGGAGTGCAGTGGCACAATCAGGGCTCACTGCAGCCTCTACCTCCCTGGGCTCAGGTGATCCTCCCACCTCAGCCTCCCAAGTAGCTGAGACCACAGGTGTGTGCCATCCACCTAGCTAATTTTTGTAGAGACAGGGTCTCACCATGTTGCCCAGGATGGTCTCAAAATCCTAGGCTCAAGCGATTTGCCTGCCCTGTCCTCCCAAAGTGCCGGGATTACAGGTGCGAGCCACCGTGCCTGGCTCATAAATGTATTTTGTGTTTAGACTTGGGTCCCATCCCTTAAGATATCTCATTATGTATATGCAAATATTCCAAAATCCAAAAAAATCCAAAATCGGAAACACTTCTGGTCCCAAACATTTCAGATAAGGGATACTCAGCCTATATATTATCTACGCAGGAACAACAGTCAGACAGCTAACTTTTCCTCAGATATGGAAGCCAGGGAAGAGTGAAATTATGCCTTTAAAGTGCTTTGGGGAAAACTGCTGATCTAAAACACCAACAATAAAAAATCTTACCGAATTTATAATGTATATAAAAATAGACTGTGACAGTAACACAAAGGGTAGAGGGGGTCAGGGAATAAGAGGTAAACCGTTCTAAGTTTGGAACAGGTAAAAGTACTTATTTTGAGTAACATACAATAAACCAAGGAAGCATATTGTAGTCTCAATGATAACTACTAAAATAACAAGAGAAGACAAAAAGCCAACAGAGGAGAGAAAAAATTGAACATTGAAAAATGCTTGTTTAATCAAATTAAAAAGCAAGAGAGGAGAAACGAACAGATGGAACAAAGATCAGGATGGTAGAATTAAACCCAACTACATCCATAATTAAATGACATTTAGGTACACTAAACATTCCAATAAAAAAAGATAAGACTGGATTTTAAACACATACACAAATACTATAATGGTATTTATAAGATACATACTTTAAGGTATTTTAGGAGACTGAAATTAAAAGGATGGAAAAGTTATACTCTGCAAATCCTAACTGAAGAAAGCCTAGATAGCAGTAGACTTTAAGGCAAGAAATAGTACTAGGGACAAAAAGGGACGTTTCATAATAATAAAAGGGTCAGTTCAACAGGGAAACAAAAATCCAAAATGAGCTATGTAACTACATAGCTTCAAAATGCATAAAAATTTATATGATCAGGATATTCTAGTTAATTATTCAGATGATAATCAGAATATAAACGATTTGTAGATTACCCATCTTTAAAGAAGAAAAAGAGATACTTTATCATTCATTGTCTTTCTTTGACGATTTTAAGAGGATTTGGAAAGAACTTTCCACATGTAGCGTGGACCGATCCATTGCCTACTGTTCTTACAGCAGATTGTCCATTTCAAAGCAACAGCGCCTGTTTACTCATCTTATTTGGGGATAGTAATAAACCTTGGTAAATGCTAACAGGTATGAAATCCTTACATTTATTGACAGTATGCTAAGTATTTACCATGTGAATTTTTTTTTTTTTTTTTTTTTTTTTTTTTTTTTTGAGACAAGAGTCTTGCTTTGTCACCCAGGCTGGAGTGCAGTGGTGCAATCTCTGCTCACTGCAACCTCCGCCTCCCAGGTTCAAGTGATTCTCCTGCCTCAGCCTCCCGAGTAGCTGGGATTACAGGTGTGTGCCCACCATGCCCAGTTAGTTTTTATATTTTTAGTAGAGAGGGGGTTTCGCCATGTTGGCCAGGCTGGTCTCAAACTCCTGACCTCAGGTGATCCGCCCACTCAGCCTCCCAAAGTGCTGGGATTACAGATGTGAACCACCATGCCCAGCTGGCATCAAATAATTTAATAGTTCTAATTATCAGAAAATTCTGAAGAGTGAAGTTGTTTTTGTTTTTGTGTTTTTGAGATGGAGTCCCACTCTGTCACCCAGGCTGGAGTGCAGTGGTGCGATCTCAGCTCACTGCAACCTCCACCTCCCAGGTTCAAGCGATTCTCCTGCCTCAGCCTCCCAAGTAGCTGGGACTACAGATGCCCACCACCACGCCCAGCTAATTTTTTGTATTTTTAGTAGAGACGGGGCTTCACCATGTTGGCCAGGATGGTCTCAATCTCTTGACCTCGTGATCTGCCTGCCTCGGCCTCCCAAAGTGCTGGGATTACAGGCATGAGCCACCGCACCCGGCCTTTGAGTGAAGTTTTGAATGAAAGCTTATTGGTAATTAGAAGTTATTTTCATAGGTTCCGGCTTATTTGGATTGCTTAATCCTAACAGTCAATTAAAATAATAAGCATAAAATAAAAGAACACAGAATGGAAAAGAAGTTCAATTATAGTAAGCCCTCACTGAATATTAATTCCCTTACTCCTTTTCTCCTTCACCCAACAACTTCTAGTTGTATTTCCACTGTTAGTAAAATGTACTGGATTTCACTTCCCCACCCCGCGAGATGGAGTCTCGCTCTGTCACCCAGGCTGGAGTGCTATGGCGCAATCTCGGCTCACTGCAACCTCCGCCTCCCGTTCAAGTGATTCTCCCACCTCAGCTTCCCAAGTAGCTGGGATTACAGGCACCTGCCATCATGCCTGGCTCATTTTTGTAGTTTGTAGAGTCGTGGTTTCACCATGTTGGCAAGGCTGGTCTTGAACTCCTGACCTCAGATGATCACCCGCCTTGGCCTCCCAAAGCGCCAGGATTACAGACGAGAGCCACTGTGCCCGGCCAGATTTCACTTATGAAGATGACAGTACCTAGTTAGATGAAAAGCTCAGAAAACTTCCTTTTAAGTATTGAGTTTCAAAGTAATGTCATGTAGAGTTTTTTTTAATAGTTTAAAAAATGTATTTTGAGAAATCACTTATTCCTCAAAAAAATAACTAAAAATCTAAATAGTAATGATTTAACCCCATTACATTTTCTTTAGAGAATCATAGACTATTTTAAATATCATTCCTGATTGGTTGATAAAGTTTCCAAGAGATACAAGGGATGGCCTGACTTGCAGGCAGGGAAGGAAGGTGATGCGGGAGATAGGACGTGAGGTGAGGTTGCTGGCTTAGTGAGACACTATCAGGAAGAATTTGGAAAAGGAGGCATTTTGCTGTCCTGTGATAAGATGGGGTGAACTGCTGATCAGGGGGTTGAGGAAGGGGGGATTACAAAGGAATACAAGAAAGGAACTATGTGTAATATCTTGAAGAAAGTCAAACAGGTAATATTAGATAAGGAAACTTTCACAGAAGTAATTCAATATAAAGTTATGTAGTTGGTATATTTGGCAAAACCAAGACTAGAACTTTCTTCTGAATTCCTGTTTTAAAGTTCTTTCAGACAGGATCTTGCCACCATTCCTCAGTAACCCAAGTTTGGTCATTGTTAAATGTTAATATTAGAAAGTACCAGTACCTCATAGTAGCACCCTAAATTCTTATTAATCAAATGGGGTTGGCTTTTGAAGACATTAGTATTAAAAATAAGATATAAGATGGAATGAAAAATTAGACATGTTAAAACATAGATTAGCATTTTCTAAGCTCTTCTTGATATTCTCATGTTTAAAATTTATTTTGTTGCTTTGTTAAAAGAATTGTTTCACTAAATAATATACTTTGAATGAGTTAGTGGCTAGGGGGTTTGTTATGTTTTCCTAGTGGTAGTTAGGACCATTGTTCTTTAATGTTTTAATCTTGTGTATTAGGTATGGTGAACCGTGAAGTATTAGAACAAGTGGAGCGAGGATACAGGATGCCGTGCCCTCAGGGCTGTCCAGAATCCCTCCATGAATTGATGAATCTGTGTTGGAAGAAGGACCCTGATGAAAGACCAACATTTGAATATATTCAGTCCTTCTTGGAAGACTACTTCACTGCTACAGAGCCACAGTACCAGCCAGGAGAAAATTTATAATTCAAGTAGCCTATTTTATATGCACAAATCTGCCAAAATATAAAGAACTTGTGTAGATTTTCTACAGGAATCAAAAGAAGAAAATCTTCTTTACTCTGCATGTTTTTAATGGTAAACTGGAATCCCAGATATGGTTGCACAAAACCACTTTTTTTTCCCCAAGTATTAAACTCTAATGTACCAATGATGAATTTATCAGCGTATTTCAGGGTCCAAACAAAATAGAGCTAAGATACTGATGACAGTGTGGGTGACAGCATGGTAATGAAGGACAGTGAGGCTCCTGCTTATTTATAAATCATTTCCTTTCTTTTTTTCCCCAAAGTCAGAATTGCTCAAAGAAAATTATTTATTGTTACAGATAAAACTTGAGAGATAAAAAGCTATACCATAATAAAATCTAAAATTAAGGAATATCATGGGACCAAATAATTCCATTCCAGTTTTTTAAAGTTTCTTGCATTTATTATTCTCAAAAGTTTTTTCTAAGTTAAACAGTCAGTATGCAATCTTAATATATGCTTTCTTTTGCATGGACATGGGCCAGGTTTTTCAAAAGGAATATAAACAGGATCTCAAACTTGATTAAATGTTAGACCACAGAAGTGGAATTTGAAAGTATAATGCAGTACATTAATATTCATGTTCATGGAACTGAAAGAATAAGAACTTTTTCACTTCAGTCCTTTTCTGAAGAGTTTGACTTAGAATAATGAAGGTAACTAGAAAGTGAGTTAATCTTGTATGAGGTTGCATTGATTTTTTAAGGCAATATATAATTGAAACTACTGTCCAATCAAAGGGGAAATGTTTTGATCTTTAGATAGCATGCAAAGTAAGACCCAGCATTTTAAAAGCCCTTTTTAAAAACTAGACTTCGTACTGTGAGTATTGCTTATATGTCCTTATGGGGATGGGTGCCACAAATAGAAAATATGACCAGATCAGGGACTTGAATGCACTTTTGCTCATGGTGAATATAGATGAACAGAGAGGAAAATGTATTTAAAAGAAATACGAGAAAAGAAAGTGAAAGTTTTACAAGTTAGAGGGATGGAAGGTAATGTTTAATGTTGATGTCATGGAGTGACAGAATGGCTTTGCTGGCACTCAGAGCTCCTCACTTAGCTATATTCTGAGACTTTGAAGAGTTATAAAGTATAACTATAAAACTAATTTTTCTTACACACTAAATGGGTATTTGTTCAAAATAATGAAGTTATGGCTTCACATTCATTGCAGTGGGATATGGTTTTTATGTAAAACATTTTTAGAACTCCAGTTTTCAAATCATGTTTGAATCTACATTCACTTTTTTTTGTTTTCTTTTTTGAGACGGAGTCTCGCTCTGTCGCCCAGGCTGGAGTGCAGTGGCGCGATCTCGGCTCACTGCAAGCTCTGCCTCCCAGGTTCACACCATTCTCCTGCCTCAGCCTCCCGAGTAGCTGGGACTACAGGTGCCCACCACCACGCCTGGCTAGTTTTTTGTATTTTTAGTAGAGACGCAGTTTCACCGTGTTAGCCAGGATAGTCTCGATCTCCTGACCTTGTGATCTGCCCGCCTCGGCCTCCCAAAGTGCTGGGATTACAGGCGTGAGCCACCGCGCCCAGCCTACATTCACTTCTAAAGTCTATGTAATGGTGGTCATTTTTTCCCTTTTAGAATACATTAAATGGTTGATTTGGGGAGGAAAACTTATTCTGAATATTAACGGTGGTGAAAAGGGGACAGTTTTTACCCTAAAGTGCAAAAGTGAAACATACAAAATAAGACTAATTTTTAAGAGTAACTCAGTAATTTCAAAATACAGATTTGAATAGCAGCATTAGTGGTTTGAGTGTCTAGCAAAGGAAAAATTGATGAATAAAATGAAGGTCTGGTGTATATGTTTTAAAATACTCTCATATAGTCACACTTTAAATTAAGCCTTATATTAGGCCCCTCTATTTTCAGGATATAATTCTTAACTATCATTATTTACCTGATTTTAATCATCAGATTCGAAATTCTGTGCCATGGCATATATGTTCAAATTCAAACCATTTTTAAAATGTGAAGATGGACTTCATGCAAGTTGGCAGTGGTTCTGGTACTAAAAATTGTGGTTGTTTTTTCTGTTTACGTAACCTGCTTAGTATTGACACTCTCTACCAAGAGGGTCTTCCTAAGAAGAGTGCTGTCATTATTTCCTCTTATCAACAACTTGTGACATGAGATTTTTTAAGGGCTTTATGTGAACTATGATATTGTAATTTTTCTAAGCATATTCAAAAGGGTGACAAAATTACGTTTATGTACTAAATCTAATCAGGAAAGTAAGGCAGGAAAAGTTGATGGTATTCATTAGGTTTTAACTGAATGGAGCAGTTCCTTATATAATAACAATTGTATAGTAGGGATAAAACACTAACTTAATGTGTATTCATTTTAAATTGTTCTGTATTTTTAAATTGCCAAGAAAAACAACTTTGTAAATTTGGAGATATTTTCCAACAGCTTTTCGTCTTCAGTGTCTTAATGTGGAAGTTAACCCTTACCAAAAAAGGAAGTTGGCAAAAACAGCCTTCTAGCACACTTTTTTAAATGAATAATGGTAGCCTAAACTTAATATTTTTATAAAGTATTGTAATATTGTTTTGTGGATAATTGAAATAAAAAGTTCTCATTGAATGCACCTATTAATCGTTTTAGTTGCTATTCATATTCTCATTCGTTTTTTAAAAACTGATATATTCTGAATTTATTCTTCCATTGAGAAAAAAATGTTCAGTTACTTGTAACTACTGAGCAGAATTTAATCAATCCTTTATTAAATTCAGAACATTATTGAACTCATTCTTTGTGGTCAATTTTCTTTTTTTTTTGTTTTGTTTTGTTTTTTTTTTGAGACGGAGTCTCGCTCTGTCGCCCAGGCTGGAGTGCAGTGGCGCGATCTTGGCTCACTGCAAGCTCCGCCTCCCGGGGTCACGCCATTCTCCTGCCTCGGCCACCCGAGTAGCTGGGACTACAGGCGCCTGCTACCACGCCCGGCTAATTTTTTGTATTTTTTAGTAGAGACGGGGTTTCACCATGTTAGCCAGGATGGTCTCGATCTCCTGACCTCGTGATCCGTCCGCTTCGGCCTCCCAAAGTGCTGGGATTACAGGCGTGAGCCACCGCGCCCGGCCTGTGGTCAATTTTCTATGTCAAGTGAGTGACATTATTTTTACAAGTATTTTCTTCTTCTTAAAATTATACCAGCAAATACAGTTAATGCAGAAACCTAAGTAATTTGAGTGTAGCTATTCACAATCTATGTGAAGAATATAAAATAGAATGACCAGTTTTATTATAAATTAAGGGGCTTAATTTTCTAAAAAAGAAAAAAAATGAGCCTTATCTCTGTGTTTTATAATTATTATATAGGATAATGAAAATAAAATTGTCTAATACTAAATTTTGAATGGTCATTCAAAAGCATTTATTTTCAATAAGTTAATTACAAAATTATTAGCTTTTTCTCTGATTTCTAAAACACTTCATTTAGTAAACATTTATTTTTGTAGTATAGCAATAGTTCCTCAATTTAAGAATGTTTTTCTAGTTTCCTGTTTGCCTTTTAATTTTCCATATAATTTCTGACATGTAAGTTGTACATTTGTAGATTGTCAAATCTGTTCATTCCTTTTTTATGTTTAGAAGTCTTCATCCACCCCAAGATTAATATTCATCTATCTATATTATAGTTTATGCTTCTGTGTGTGTGTGACAGGATCTTGCTCTGTTGCCCAGGTTGAAGTGCAGTGGCACCATCATGGCTCACTGCAGCCTCGACCTCCCAGGCTCAAGCAATCCTCCCACCTCAGCCTCCCAAGTAGCTGGGAGTACAGGTACGAGCCACCTTGCCTGGCTAACTTTTGATATTTTGTAGAGACAGGGTTTTGCCATGTTGCTTAGGCTGGTCTCAGAACTCCTGAGCTCAAGTGATCCGCCTGCCTCAGCCTCCCAAAGTGCTGGAATTACAGGCATAAGCCACTGCGCCCAGCTCTATAGGTTGTGCTTTTTAAAAAGCATTTTAGGCCGGGCACGGTGGCTCATGCCTGTAATCCCAGCACTTTGGGAGGCCGAGGCGGGTGGATCACGAGGTCAGGAGATCAAGACCATCCTGGTTAACATGGTGAAACCCCATCTCTACTAAAAATACAAAAAATTAGCTGGGCGTGGTGGCTGGCGCCTGTTGTCTCAGCTACTACGGAGGCTGAGGCAGGAGAATGATGTGAACCCGGGAGGCGGAGCTTGTAGTGAGCCAAGATCGTGCCACTGCACTCCAGCCTGGGGACACAGCGAGACTCCGTCTCAAAAAAAAAAAAAAAGCATTTTAATTGATTTGGAAGTTGAGTATAAAATGTGACTTAAGGGCCAGGTATAGTGCCTGTAATCTCAGCACTTTGGGAGGCCGAGGCCAGTGGATCACTTGAGGCCAGGAGTTCGAGACTAGCCTGGCCGACATAATGAAACACCATCTCTACTAAAAATACAAAAATTAGCCAGGCATGGTGGTGCGTGCCAGTAGTCCCAGCTACTCGGGAGGCTGAGGCACAAGAATCGCTTGAACCCAGGAGGCAGAGGTTGCAGTGAGCCAAGATTGCACCATTGCACTCCACCCTGGGCGACAGAGCGAGACTGTCTCAAAAAAAAAAAAAAAGTGACTTAAGAGTCTAGCATGATTTTTTTTCCCATATAGGTAATTTTCTCAGCATCAATTATTCATTCATTCCCATTGGTCCATTGGTTTAGGTTCCTTCCTTTATTATACATATACTGTTTTGCCCAAGTATTTCTTTCATCAAAGCATTTTAACTGCTGTCACTTGATAATGCACTTTAATAATACAGCAAGTTCCCTTTGCTATGCCTTTTCTTAAAATTTTAGTGTCCTGACAAATTCTTGATTAACTGTAGCCTTTATTTTTCATATTCCTATAAAATACGTGAGATTTTGGTTGGGATAGCATTATGCCTATAAACTAATTTGGTAAAAATTTGCATCTTCCATCAGGTTTCTCATCCCATTTGTGCAAGTCTTCATTTAGATCAAGTTCTTCTCTAAGCTTTCTGTGTGGAGTTGGAAGATGAGTCTCATCTTGTGTCTGATTACACTGCTCAAAGGGTGCCATTCCAGTGCTTCTGGAGACCAGATTCCCATTTTGGTACAAAAGAAACCAACATGCAGAGTTGAAAAACTGCCCCAGTAGCATTTATTTCCCTAAAATCAGCTCCTCCCTGTCCTTCAGTATCTCCTTTTTTTTTTTTGTTTAAACTACATCAAGTTGAGTTTTTGCCACTGGTGACCATAGTCCTGATTAATTTTCAAATTGTTAAGAGGGAAAGGAATACTTTCTGATTAAAATAAGCAGTCTGTGCCCAATGTCATCTGCTTGCCCTCCACATCCAGACTGTGCCTGCTCCTTCTGGAAGGCTGACTTGTACTTACAGGGGGCTCCCTTGCTCTCTCGATTCCCCCCGGCTCCCTCCTTGAGACTCTGGGCTGGCTATGTCCTTCAGTCAACCGGACGTTCTCAATATGGCCTCCCTAATACACCTCCTTTTGGAGACTGGTAGCAGCTTCCATTCCATATGTTTTCTGCCTCAGGGGTGATGACAGTTTTGCTGCTACTAATACTGCATTAATCCTTGTGGTTCCTAACCTGCCCACCTCTTTGTAAATAAATATCCTTGATTTGCTTTTTTTTTTTTTTTTTTTTTTTTTACAGACAGGATCTCTCTCACGCTGTCGCCCAGGTTGGGGTGCAGTGGCACGATCATAGCTCACTGCAGTCTCGAACTCACGGGCTCAAGGGATCCTCCCACCTCGGCTTCCCAAGTAGCTAGGAGTACAGCACAGGCCACCATGCCCAGCAAATTTTGTATTTTTGCTAGAGATGAGGTCTTGCTATGCTGCCTATGCAGGTCTCAAACTCCTAGGCTCAGGCAATCTTTCCACCTTGGCTTCTCAAAGTGCTGGAATTACCAAGTGTGAGCCACTGCACGGCCTCTTGATTTATCTTAATTTGAGCATGCCATCTGCTTCCAGTTGAGACCCTGACTGATACTCATTATACCAACAGCTGTATCAGTAGAAAATACGAAACTCAAATTATCACATAAAAGTGACAGTTTATACAAAACATTTTCAGTGCTGTGTATACAAAACTTCAGCAATATATGCAACATTGTATTAAATGTAAAGTTACAAGACTATTAACTGTGGAGAGAGCATACCAAATCTTGGAAATATTGAAAACTCCAATTTTTTTTTTCCCCAGAGTTTCGTTCTGTCGCCCAGGCTGGAGTGCAGCAGTGTGATCTTGGCTCACTACAACCTCTGCCTCCCAGGTTATAGCAATTCTTGTGCCTCAATCTCCCAAGTAGCTTGAATTACAGGCGTGTGCCACCATGCCCGGCTAATTTTTGTATTTTTAATTGAGAGGGTTTTGCCATGTTGGCCAGGCTGCTCTCGAACTACTAACCTCAGGTGATTCGTCCACCTCAGCCTCCCAAAATGCTGGGATTACAGGCGTGAGCCACCACAACCGCCCCAAAACGAATCTTTTTTAAAAGAGTTTTTCAATGTCTATTTTTCCAATATTAGAAAACCATTTGTTGCAAAACTGTTGGACAGAATGTTCAATTAGCTGTTTTACTGCAATTCAATAATAATTTATGAGTTGAATTTTAAAATGTATAGGAAGGAGGCTGGGTGCAGTGGCTCATGCCTGTAATCCCAACACTTTGGGAGCCTGGTCTGGAGGATCGCTTGAGCCCAGGAGTTCAAGATAAGCCTGGGCAGCAAGACGAAACCCCATCTGTACAAAAATTAGCTGGGCATGGTGGTGCGTACCTGTGGTCCCAACTACTAAGGAGGCTGAGGTGGGATAACTGTTTGAGTCCAGGAGGTAGAAACTGCAGTGAACTGTGATTGCACCACTGCACTCCAATCTGGGTGACAGAATGAGACCCTGTCTCAAAAAAAAAAAAAAAAATTAGAAATAAGACTTAGTAAAACAATAAAAGCTAAATAGATAATATGTGAAATTTATCCAGTAGCAGGAATGGTCCCTGGGACCTTTAAGAAGCAGATGGCGGTATTCAATTTTAAGTTGCTTGCAGAGTCCTTGCTACCCCAAACCTTCCTGCAAATCAGCTACACATAACAGTGAGTCAGTGACCTTTAGGAAAGAAAAGGGATTGGGGTCACGGCCAGAGGTACAATGACAAGGTACAAAAAAGGATAGGGATGGATTTCATAACCTAGTTTAAACGCAGTGGGGAAATAAATTCAGGAAATAAATCAGGTAAGTAGGAGAAAAGTTCACCAAGTACTTCCAGAGATACTTGGAGAGACACTGGATTTCACAGGGACATGGCGTAGGGGTTCAATCCAGCTTCACTTCTATCTTAAAGGTCAAGTTAACGAGTAAGTTGGAGGACTTTGAAAATCCAAGTAAAAAATTGTCACTAGCCTGTGACAATAGGGATGAGAGAAATAAAAACTTCGCAGTTGGCCAAAAAGGTTGACAGTGATTCTAATAACTGAATTAAAGTGGTGTGGCCCTTAAAGTTTATCAAATTCCATTTATTCACTCATAATTGCACTATTTTCATGGAAAGTCTTAGTCTCCTAAAACATTGAGAGGATATACCATGGAACTAGATGGCAAACTTGGTTTGGTTGGTTTTTGTAATCTTTACCATTGCTAGAAAGTTAGAAAAGGGTGGCTTCACTTCAGCAGAAATTTTGAAAAATTCGTGGAACCAGAAGAAACCCAATCTAAAAGAAATACAAGAGAACATTTTCGCAGAGTTTTAAGTGCAATTTCAAAGAAAATTCAAACTTAGAATCAAATTCAAAGAGGAGGCAGCACCCCAAAGCAACATTTTTTGTTTTATTGAGGTATAATTTACATACAACAAAGCTCACCATTTTAAGTGTACCACTAGATGAGTTGTTGACAAATGTAGACAGCCATGAAACCACCATGAAACCAGAATCATAGAACATTTCCATCATTTCAGAAAATTCCATTATGCCCTTTTACAGTCAATCTCTTCCATTCACCCCTGACCTCTGTCAACCACTGAGTGTTTTCTGTCACTATAATTGTACATTTCTAGGGCTTTATATAAATGGAATCATATGTAGTCACTGTGTCTGATGTCTTTCGTTTAGCATAATGCTTTTGAGATCTTTTTATGGCTCAGTAATATTCCATTGTGTGGATGTGTACTACATCTTGGTTTTGTCCTTTACCAATTGATGGATGTTTAGGTTGTTACTAGTTTTAGGCTATCACAAATAAAGCTGCTATGAACATTCAAATACAAGTTTTTATTTTAAACATAGGTTTTAAATTCTCTTGGATAATTACCTATGAGTAGGATTACTGAGTTGTATGATACATGAATGCTTAACTTTCTAAGAAACTGATAACCTATTTTCCAAAGAAGCTGTACCCTTTCATACCCCTCCAGCAATGTATGAGAGTTCCAGCTGCTTCACATCCTTGCCAATACTTGGTATTGCCAGTCACTTTAATTGCAGCCATCCTGGTGCGTGTTAGTAGTACATCATTGTGGTTTTAGTGTGCATTTCCCTAATGACTAATAATGTTGAGTCTTTTCATAAGCTTATTTCAAATTCATATGTCTGCTTAGGTGGAATGTCTATTAAAAAGTCTTTTGCCCATTTTTTATATCAAGTTGCCATCTTACTGAGTTGTAATTTTTTCAGTATTCTGCATACAAGTCCTTTTAACAGATATGTTTTGCAAATATTTTTCTTCCAATCTGCAGCTTGCATTTTCATTTCTTTAATGGTTTTCATAAAAGAGAAAACATTTTTAATGTTGATAATTTAATTGGCAATGTTTTTCTTTTATGATTCATGCTTTTAGTGTCCTAAGAAAGTTTGCTTTATCCAAGTACAAAAAGATTTTCTCCTGTGTTTTCTTTAGAAGTTTTGTAATTCTAGCTCTTAAAATTTAGATCTATATTCCACTTCGAGATGATTTTTGTGTATGATATAAGGTAATGATCCAGGATTGTTCTGTTTGTTCTTATGGATATTCAATTGTTCGAGCACCAGTTGTTGGAAAGATTAGCTTACTCGTTGAATTTTCTTGGCCCCTGTTTTTTTTTGTTGTTTTTATTTTGTAGACGGAGTCTCGCTTTGTCGCCCAGCCTGGAGGGCAGTGGCGCGATCTCAGCTCACCGCAACCTCCGCCTCCCGGGTTCAAATGATTCTCCTGCCTCAGCCTCCCGAGTAGCTGGGACTACAGGCGCGTGCTACCACGCCTGGCTAATTTTTTGTATTTTTACTATTTCAAGACCTCTTCTGTTCCATTGATCTACTTGTCTGTCTTTATGTCAATTTCACATTGACTCGATTAGTGTATAGCAAGTCTTAAAACCAAGTAGTTTAAGTTCTTCAGCCTTGTTCTTTTTTAGGATTATTTTGGCTATTCAAATTTCCATATAAATTTTAGAATCAACTTGTCAATTTCTTCAAAAAAATCCTGCTAGTGATTTAGATTAGATTGCATTGAATTTGTAGTTCGATTTGGGAAGAACTGCTATTTTAACAATATTGAGTCTTCCAATCCAAGAATATGAATTTCTCTACATTTCTACATTTCTTTAGATCTTTTTTTCTCAGCAATGTTTTATAGTTCAGTGTGCAAATCTTGCATATTTTTGTTAAACTTGTCCTGTTTTATATCTTCAATGCAATTGTTTTAAGAGATACTGTTTTCTAATTTGTTTCCAATTTTTTATTACTAGCACATCAACTATAGATTTTAAATTGACCTTGTATCCTACAAACTTGCTAAGCTCAATATTAGTTCCAGTAGCTTTTTTCGTTAAGTCCAATGAAGACAGTTTTCAACAAAGATGAATAATCATGTCATCCAAGAATAAACAGGTTTACTTCCTTTTCAATCTGCCTTTTATTTCTTTTCTTATTATATTACCCTAACTAGAACCTGCAGTACTATGTTGAATAGAAGTGGTGGAAGCAGACATCCTTTCCTTGTTCCAAATCTTAAGGAGAAAGCATCAATCATTCACCATAAAGTCAGTTTGTGGCTGTTTCTATCTTCTGAAATAGATTATAGAGAATTGTTGTAATTTCTTCCTTAAATGTTTGGTGTAAAATTCACCAGTGAAACCATGGACCTGGTGCTTTTTGTTTTTGGAAGGCTATTATTTATTCAAGTTATTTAATAGATATAGGCCTATTCAGATTGTCCATTTCTTCTCGTGTGAGTTTTGGCAGATTGTGTCTTTCAAGGAATTGGTTTATTTCATCCAGGTTATCAAATTTGTGGACATAGAATTCATAGTATTCCTTTATTATCATTTTAATGTCCGTCGGATCTGTAGTAATGTTCCTTATTTCACTTTTGATATTAGTTATTTGCGTTCTCTTTTCTTGCCTGGTTAGAGGCTTATTGATTTTATCAATGTTTTCAAAGAACCAGCTTTTGTTTTCATTGATTTTTCTTTGTTGCTTTCCTGTTTTCAATTTCACAGGTTTCTGCTTTAATTTTTATTATTTCTTCTCTTCTGCTTACTTTGGATTTTCTTTTTATTTCTTTTTATTTATTTATTTTTGAGACACAGTCTCACTCTGTCGCCCAGGCTGGAGTGCAGTGGTGCGATCTCGGCTCACTGCAACCTCCGCCTCCTGGGTTGAAGCGATTCTCCTGCCTCAGCCTCCCGAGTAGCTGGGACTGCAGGCGCCCGCCACCACGCCCGGCTAATTTTTTGTATTTTTAGTAGAGACGGGGTTTCACCGTGTTAGCCAGGATGGTCTCGATCTCCTGACTCGCCATCTGCCCGCCTTGGCCTCCCAAACTGCTGGGATTACAGGCGTGAGCCGCCCAGCATCTTTTTTTTTTTTTTTTTTTTTTTGAGTCGGAGTCTTGCTCTGTCGCCCGGGCTGCAGTGCAGTGGCGCGATCTCAGTTCACTGCAAGCTCCACCTCCCGGGTTCAGGCAGTTCTGCCTCAGCCTCCCGAGTAGCCGGGACTACGGGCGCGCACCACCACGCCCTGCTAATTTTTGTTTTTAGTAGAGGCGGGATTTCGCCGTATTGGCCAGGCTGATTTCAAACGCCTGACCTCAGGTGATCCGCCCGCCTCGGCCTCCCGAAGTGCTGGGATTACAGGCTGAGGCACGGTACGGGGACCTCATCTGCATCAGTACGGGTGTAATCAATGATGACCTGCCTCTTAATTTATCAGGTGGCAAACTGAGGCTGTGGGCACTGAAAGAGACCTAGCATTTTCTAGGGCACCGCTCTCCTGGGTACGCTGGCGACAACCAGCGGCCTCGGCTTGGGAGCTGAGCCACTGGCCGGAATCTGCCGCTGAGCGAATGCACTCGCTCAGACCCGACTTCTCCCTCTAGGGCGCGGCTCCCGGGCAGGTCCCTTCACGAGTCTTCCATCCGAGCAGAGCAGGGTCCCGCGGAGGCGCCGACCGGGCGCGAGGCCTCCTGCCTGCCCAGGTTCCCCGGCGACCCTGAGCGAACCCTCTCGGGGTCAGCTCCGTCTAGGCTGAGAAGGGAACGGCGGAAGGCGGAGTGCGCCCCCGGGAGCCCGGAGCTGGGACTGCAGCTCCCATGGGGCCAAGTTCACGGGGTGCGGCCGCGCGGCCAATGAGCGCCCTCTATGCCCTGACGGTGCCCCGCCTCGCGGCGCTGCCGCGCTCCCGCCCTCCCGCCCTCCCGCCGCGCGCTCGGGATCCCGACCAGTCCTGACCGCACGGGGGCCGCGGCCACGGGGCGCAGGGGCCATGGTGCGCGGCAGGATCTCCCGGCTCTCGGTCCGGGACGTGCGCTTCCCCACGTCGCTTGGGGGCCACGGCGCGGACGCCATGGTAAGCGCGGACGCCATGGTAAGCGCGGACGCCATGGTAAGCGCGGACGCCATGGTAAGCGCGGACGCCATGGTAAGCGCGGACGCCATGGTAAGCGCGGACGCCATGGTAAGCGCGGACGCCATGGTAAGCGCGGACGCCATGGTACGCGCGGCTTGCGGCCCGGGTCCCTCCCGCCCCGCCGACTGCAGCTCTGCGGGCCCCGGGCAGCTTCCCGACTTCGAACCCATTGCTTCTGTAAAGTGGGAGGCGCGCCTGGGGGAGACACTCGCTTTTCATGCCTTGGAGCAATTGTATAAGTATCCAGAAACTTTCCACTCTCCTGGGTTTTTTCTTTGCTGGAGTTTAGAATATCCTGGTTTTACTTTTACGACTCACATTTTGCTGGAAATGGTAGAATGCATAATAGGCAATAGCAGCAAAATGATTTTGTTGGGTTCCCGCCAGTGGAAACCCTAGAGCACAGCGCTCGCTGGCTTCCTCTGTACCCTGAACGCGACGGGGTTGGCGCTGAGGGAGAACGGGAAGCCCGGGGCTGGGAGTTTTGAGTGGTGATCCCGCTTCCACAACTTGCTGTGTGACTTGGAGAAGTTCCAGACCTCTCTGGGTCTCTTGGACCCGTCTGTGTAATGAAGGTGTCACAGTCGGGTTGAGAAACCAAGCGCGTGCTAACTGCGTCACATGAGAGGGCGCTCTCGTGAAATTACCCGCAAACACGCTTAGAAAGGACTGATGCAAATGTCAGTTCGTCTTAAGAGATGTAATAAAGTAAGGGCAGGAACTCTGACTCCTACCTAAATATTGAAGGTCTTTTTTGCTTACTGAGGGTGTTAGAATGTCAGGCCTTCCCTCCCCTGCCCCCGTCTAGAGCGGTGTTTCCCAAATACAGTGGGTTCTGTGCAGGGTTTTCAGGGAGCCTGTTCCCCACTGGGTCCTCACTGCCCCTCGTAGTCCACTGATGAGATTGGCCGCGCTAGAAAAGCAGAGTTGTATGGGTATGTAGTGAATGTGTGAAAGTATGCTGGGAAGTGAGGAACGGCAATGTTAGGAAAATGGTTACCAGTAGGGAGGGAAGGAAATGGGGTCACGGAGGGGACCACGAGGTCTCTAATTCCCATTGTAATGTTTTACTTCCTAAATTGGGTGGATGGCAAGCTGGTGTCCATTACATTATCTATACTCTTTTTGTACCTGAAATGTTTTATAAAAATAGATCTCTCGTTAAAGTTATTAAATGCAAAACAATGTCCTTTTTGAGATTAAGTTCATCCTGCATTTTTAAATTTTTATTTTATTCTATTTTATGTTTTAAATTTATTTATTTATTTATTTTGAGGCAGGGTCTCTTATCTGTTGCCCAAGCTGGAGTGCAGTGGTACTATCATGGCTCACAGCAGCCTTGACCTCCCTGACTCAACCAATCCTCCCACCTCAGCCTCCCAAGTAGCTGGGACTACAGGTGTGCACCATGATGCCCAGCTACTTTCTGTATTTTTTGTAGAGACAGGGCCCAGGCTGTCATCCTCTTTAAAATCTTCATGTTTCCTTTCTTACATGATGTTGGTAAATAACTTAAACACCCAGCAGGCAATCCTTTATGGAACTCAAAATAAATGTTGGAAATTTTACTGGCTTATAGAATCCAAACACTCGATCTCATGCAACTGCCTTTGCCTCTGTGAAGCTTTAGCAGCTGTGGCTAAGTCACACAATCTTTCTAAGCCTAGGTTTCTCATCTGTAAAATGGGTATAATAATATTCACTTTATACATGTAAATGAGATACCTGTAAAGAGCCTGGCTCAGAGAAGGCCGTCAGTAAAGTTGGCTATAGGCCAGGCATGAGGGCTCACACCTCTAATCCTAAGTGGAGGCCTAGGCAGGGGGATCACTTGAGCCCAGGAATTCAATTACATGAGCTATGATCATGCCACTGCATTCCAGCCTGGGCACTGGATGACACAGTGAGACCCTGTTTCTAAAGAAAAAAGGAGGGGTGGCTGTAATTACTATTCACTCTGAGGAAACTGAAGCAGAAGGAATCCCTAATCTAGACTTGACTTTGAATTTGTGAAATGTTAAGACAGCCTGGTTTGGCTGAGCGTGGTGGTTCAAGCCTATAATCCCAGCACTTTGGAAGGCCAAGGCAGGTGGATCGCTTGAGCCCAGGAGTTCGAGACCAGCCTGAGCAACATAGTGAGACCTCGTCTCAACAAAAAAATACAAAAATTAGCTGGGCGTAGTTGCATGCACCTGTGGTCCCAGCCACTCAGGAGGCTGAGGTGGGAGGATCTCTTGAGTCCAGGAGGTCGAGGCTGCAGTGAGCTGTAATTGTGTCACTGCACTCCAGCCTGGGTGAGAGAGAGAGACCCTGTCTCAAAAGACAGCCTGGTTTACTGTAGAATAATTCAAGAAATGGAATTTGCCTCTGGGCCTGAGTGATGTCTAACACAGGGTAAGGAGACATTATCTAACACCTGTATTGCAAGCTCATAAATACTTAAGCATTTTATCTTGGGGAGATAGGGTGTATGTTGTGTGCCAGCTCTCAAGTGCCTTCTTATTAGAATGAGCTGTTTTGCAGTTCACCATGGAGATGGCTTCACATGCCCTCGAGGCATGCTGGACCATCAGCACTTAGCAAAGTGAGCCTCCCTGATCAGAAGTAGGATATTTTCAAGAAAGAGCAATAAAGCTGTCCTCAAAATCTGCTAAAGACTCCTGCTTTTTTTTTTTAGACAGAGTCTCGCTTGTTGCCCAGCCTGGAGTGCAGTGGTGCAATCTCATCTCACTGCAACCTCTGCCTCCCATATGCAAATGATTCTCGTACCTCAGCCTCTGGAGTAGCTGTGATTACAGGTGTGCACCACCACACCTGGCTAATTTTTGTATTTTTGGTAGAGACGGGGTTTCACCATGTTGTCCAGGCTGGTCTCGAACTCCTGAGCTCAGGTGATCCACCTGCCTCGGCCTCCCAAAGTGCCGGATTACAGGCATGAGCCACTACTCCGGGCTTACCTCCTTCTTAATCTGAAATCTACTTCTGTTCCTTTCTTCTCTGTGAATTGCCCTTGTTATTTCTCCTTCAGCTGTCCTTACCCTCAGATACGTTTTCCGCTGTCGGCTGCCTCTTCTTCGTGTGCTCTCTCCCCTCGTGGCCTCCTGCCTTTCTGACAGCTCCTTCTTCCTCCACTGGCCCCTTCTTCCCTCTCTGAGGCTCAGGCCTCAGTGTCTTTCCGGTCTCCCTACACACTCCCATGAAGACCCTCTCCGCATTCTGACTTCGGTGCCACCCTTTATGCCGGAGACTCCCAGATCTCATTTCCGGATCTGCCTCCTTAACTTATAGGTCTGGATACTTCCTGTTTGGTTTTTCACCTTCATGCTAAACGCAGTTTGTCTAAATCGGAAGTCAACTTCCATTCTCTGCCGCCCCTCCCTCCTGACCCATGTTGGATCATTCCGCTAATCACAGGGACCCAAAAGCTTCGAGTCACTTTTGGCTCATCTCGTCCTGTTGACCCTCATCTGAGGCTTCAGTGCAAGGTTTCCTTTTTCCATTGCTTCCTCTTCTTGGAACCCAGAAACTGCCGATGGGTCTTTAATTCTTGGAGTCTCCTTCTCAGCCTCATCGCTCAACTCCTTCAGGAACCCAATGGCTCAGCCAACCCAGGTGGGCACCAACACTTGAATACACTCCAGTCTCTCCCTCTTCTGACCCCTTTACTTTCTGCACTGCTGCTGCTGCTACCTTGCCTGAGATATTCCTCCCTCCCAGACTCTTCACTCCCCTTGCCACTGCTGAGGAGCTCCCCTTCCTTGACCGGCCAGCTCACATTCTGTCTTCATCATAAAGCGCTCTCCCTCTTCAAGAAGCACATTCAGCTAACAGCGCTCTCTGCCAGTCGTTCATAGTTTGCATCCCTCCCAGGCCTTAGCATTTTCTGCCTTATATTATTAAGGTTTTTTTTTAACCATGTCTTTTTATTTATTTATTTTAGAGATGGGGTCTCGCTTTGTTGCCCAGGCTAGTCTCGAACTCCTGGGCTCAAACAATCCTCCTGTCTTGGCCTCCCAAAGTGTTGGGATTACAGGTATGAGCCAGCATGCCCGTTCTATAAGCAGGTCTTCTCAAATGTAACCTCCTCAAGGGCAGACGTATCTGTAACCCCCTAGCAAGCTGCACCAGCTCTGACACGTACTTGATGCTCAGCGATGCATCACACTGATTTCCTGCCACTGGACTGTGATACCAGACTCAGGGCTCCCAGCCATCACATACAGCTCCCTCAGCCACGACACCCCAATACAGGGATTTAAAATCTGCCTTCATAATTTACTTGTGGCCGGGCGTGGTGGCTCACACCTGTAATCCTAGCACTTTGGGAGGCCGAGGCAAGTGGATCACCTGAGGTCAGGAGTTCAAGACCAGCCTGGCCAACATGGCAAAATCCCATCTTTACTAAAAAAAAAAAAAAAAAGCTGGTCATAGTGGTGGGTGCCTGTAATCCCAGCTACTTGGGAGGCTGAGGCAGAAGAATCGCTTGAATCCAGGAGGCAGAGGTTGCAGTGAGCCAAGATCATGCCACTGCACTCCAGCCTGGAGAACAGAGTGAGAGTCAGTCTCAAAAATAATAATAATAATAATAATAAAACATTATTTACTTGTGGTGTGACCTTTTGTAAATTACTAAAGCTCCTTAAAACTTCATTTCCTCTTTAATAAGGATAAGAGCACCTACTTTATAATATTGTTATAAGATTAAATTAAACCATGTGGAGCTCTTAGAATATAGTGTGTCTGGCACAATAAATATTATAGAATAATAACAGTAATAAATTTTCATAGCCTTATGCACAATTCTTCTTTATGAATGCATTCACATCTTCTGCCTGGCTTTTTGGAGTCTCCATTATTCCATGACATAGAACAAAACAAAAAATTAGTGAATTAATCTCGAAGCTTTACTTCTTCATTTTCCCCCACTGGTGTCTGAACTTTTGCCAATGTATTTTCAGCCCTGCTATAAACTGCTATAAGTGAGATCACTCCAATTTTATGCAACAGTTTTCTGAACCTTTGGCTTGTTCAATTTGAAGCTGCTTGTGAATGTAACTTTGTTCAAAAAGCTGACAGAGATAGCTGCGAGTGAAAACTCCTTGGCTTAAAATTGAGCCCCTTCCGGGCATGATGGCTCATGCCTGTAATCCCAGCACTTTAAGAGGCCCAAGCGGGTGGATCACTAGAGCTCTGGAGTTTGAGACCAGCCTGGGTAACATGCAAGACTCCATCTCTATTTTTTTATTTAAAAAATAAATAAGTAAATAAAATTGAGCCTCATTTTTTAACCTAATTGAAAATGGGTGATAAAAATGTATACATTGCGACCAGGTGCGGTGGCTCACACTTGTAATCCCAGCACTTTGGGAGGCCAAGGCAGGTGGATCACCTGAGGTCAGGAGTTCAAGACCAGCCTGGCCAACATGGTGAAACTTCGTCTCTATTAAAAATACAAAAATCAGCCAAGTGTGGTGGCACGTGCCTGTAATCCCAGCTACCCGGGAGGCTGAGGCAGGAGAATCGCTTGAACTTGGGAGGCTGCAGTTGCAGTGAGCTGAGATCGCACCATTGCACTCCTGCCTAGGTGACAGAGCAAGACTCTGTCTCAAAAAAGAAAAAAAAAAAAAATATATATATATATACATACATTGCTCTTGTTGAAACATTTTGGATCTTTCAGGAGGACATTCCTTTTCTCCATTCAGAGCCCTTTGTTTTCTTTGGGGTATAGCAACAGTTCCTTCTATGGGAGCTCTTGTGGCACGGCCCCTGTGGCATTGTCTGTCCTCATGTGACATCATTCTCATGGTTCTTTTCGGGTTTCTCACACTGGCATTGTTTCGGCGGGGAACTCTTCTCCTGCAGCACACGGACCCTGACTACTCGGCTGCCTATGTCGTCATAGAAACTGATGCAGAAGATGGAATCAAGGGGTGTGGAATTACCTTCACTCTGGGAAAAGGCACTGAAGTTGGTGAGTTGAAGATTCTCTCGAGGTTCCAGAATGCTTAATTTTCAGATGAGATTCTAATTTAGATTCTTAGATTCATTAGAATCTTGATTTAGATTGAGTTCTGATCTTGTTTTTATCTGTATTTACACTGCTCAAAGTGAGTAAAAAGTTTCATGGTTTGTTACTTGTTTCACTGGGAGAAATTTAAAAGTGACAGAATTTGGCCTCTCTCCTTGCAATCATCTCTAGCCTGTTAGAAAATCCTTGGCTGTTAGTCTGTTTCTCTGTGTCAAATGACAGCTACAAGGATGCTTTTCACCTGCCTTTCACCCGGGGCCACTGTCGAGCTTTGACAACCTGTAGTGGGCGAGTAACCAAGGGCAATGAGAGGGAGGAGACATGAGTTCCCATAGCAAAAAAGGCTCATTGTGATGTGCACAGCACGTCTACTCGCTTTTCAATATATATATGTATATATTTTTGAGACAGAGTCTCACTCTGTCGCCCAGGCTGGAGTGCAGTGGCACAATCTCAGCTCACTGCAACCTCTGCCTCCTGGGTTCAAGCAATTCTCCTGCCTCAGCCTCCCGAGAAGCTAGGATTACAGGCTCCCACCACCATGCCCAGCCAATTTTTGTATTTTTAGTAGAGACAGGGTTTCACCATGTTGACCAGGCTGGTCTCGAACTCCTGACCTCAAATGATCCGCCTGTCTCAGCCTCGCAAAGTGCTGGGATTACAGGTGTGAGCCATCACACCCGGCCTTTTCAAAATATTTCACACCAAATCGGTTTCCAGTTCACTATTTTCATGGCGAAAAGGGCTTTGGCCCCGCCCAATCTCGGAGGTCTCCCTTGGGGAAGAGCAGATTCTTTAAGATGCATACTGAGCCATGTATACGTCATTCTTTTTTTATTTGCATTTTCTATTTTCTTAAACAGAAGACACAGAACATAACTTTTTTCAGAGCTGGATGTGATCTCAAATGGTGATCTTGAGCCGTCTCATTTTTTAGAGAGAAGAAAACTGAGGCACAGACAGCTACCCAGCAAGTCATGGCAGAACCACCTGACTGCCCAGAGCACTTTCTCTTCAGAACTTTTAAATGCAACTCTTTTTGAATACATAATACTTACACATGGTACAAAATTCAAGAAGTCCAAAACAGTGGCCTTCGCCAGATCAATTTCAGTGGATTATTAGAGCCTGAAGCCAAATTATGATAGATTGAAGGGTAAGGGTCTAGAAGGAGGGAAAAGAGTTTCTCTAACTTCGGTGGTAGTGTGATACCTCTCCCTTGGATATTTGCACCATCAGCGCTCTCAGTAGTTGTAGAAAAAAATCTTGGCCCATTGAGAGATTTTAAATTGTTAAGCATATAAAAGAAGTGTGTGAGTTTGTGAGTGTGTGTATGTGCGAATGGCAAGGGAACCTTCCTTGAACTTTCAATGGACACTGCCCAGGTGGCTGCTGTTACTGCTCTTCACAGGGCTGGCGGTCAGTTGTCCAGCAAGTCAGTCCTTCTGCAGACTTCTGAGTGCTGCCATGTATCAGGCACCAAAGTAATTTTAAAAAGAGAAAGATAGGCCAGGCGTGGTGATTCAGGCCTGTAATCCCAGCACTTTGGGAGGCTGAGGCGGGCAGATTGCTTGAGTCAAGCAGTTCAAGACCAGCCTGGTCAACATGGTGAAACCCTGTCTTTACTAAAAATACAAAAATTACCTGGCCGTGGTGATGCATGGCTGTAATCTCAGCTACTCAGGAGGCTGAAGCACGAGAATTGCTTGAACCTGGGAGTTGGAGTTTGCAGTGAGCCGAGATTGCGCCGCTGCACTCCAGCCTGGGTGAAAAAGCGAGACTCCATCCCAAAAAAAAAAAGAAAAAAGATACAGAAGACAGAATCCCACATACAAGGAGCACACGAACTTATTGGGGAAGTAGACATAAAAGAAATGATCATAGTGCAGTCTGAGAATTACTGTTTTTTAAAACTATGTACAAGTTTTACAGAGAGAGGATATATTAGGCTGTTCTTTTTTTTTTTTTTTTTCTTTTCTTTTTGGAAACAAGAGTCTTGCTCTGTTGCCCAGCCTGGAGTGCAGTGGCGCAATCTCGCTCACTACAACCTCCACCTCCCGGGTTCAAGCAATTCTTATGCCTCAGCCTCCCGAGTAGCTGGGATTACAGGCACACACCACCACGCCCGGCTAGTTTTTATATTTTTAGTAAAGATGAGGTTTCACCATGTTTGGTCAGGCCGGTCTCCTGACTTCAAATGATCTGCCCACCTTGGCCTCTCAAAGTGCTAAGATTATAGGCATGAACCACCACTCTGAGCCAGGCTATTTTTGCATTGCTATAAAGGAGTACGAGAGACTGGATAATTTATAAAGAAAAAGAGGTTTAATTGCCTCATGGTTCTGCAGGTTTTACAGAAAGCATGATGCCAGCTACTCAGCTTCTAGGGAGGCTTCAGGACACTTACAATCATGGTAGAAGGTGAAGGGGGAGCAGGCACGTCCTATGTCGAAAGGATCAAGAGAAAGGGAATGGGGAGGTGCTACACACTTTTAAGTCACCAGATCTCACGAGAACTCACTCACTATCTCAAAGACAGTACCAATGGGATAGTGCTAAACCATTCAGGAGAAATCCACCTCCAAGATCTAATAATCACCTCCCACCAGGCCCCACCTCCAACACTGCGGATTACACTTCAACATGAAATTTGTGCAGAATGTCTAAACCATCTCAGGGGGTAACTTCACTCTGTCCAAAAGGCTCAGGGAAGGCTTCAGAGCAGAAGTAATGCTTTGAGGTGAGTCTCGAAGAGCAAACAGGAATTTGCCAGGCAGAGAAAGACCATGCTGTGAGTCAGTCCCGCTTTTCTCCATTAAGTAAACAATTTACTGTTAAAGTTTTCCCCAGAGTAGTAACCACTTACTAAGACAGAGCTGTGAGCTGTTTCTGCTTCTTCTGCAACTCTAATTGTCCCTTGTTTGTAAGTTGAGTACTTTATGAAGCCGCTGCCTTTCTCCATACTGCAAACCCTACAGCACAGCCCCCAAAGGTTGCATAAAACTCAGCGAGCTTACAAGATAATGTTAGGCCATTGGACCCACTCTCTGTTAACAGCCCAGACTTTAAACTTTGCTGACTTGGGCACACGTGGAGGGGCCCTGGGCACTAAGATAGATAAGAAGCCCTTCTGGGATGGGTGCTGAGCTCAGTGTTTAGGGCCTTCACTTCCCCTCTCCTCCTCCATTCCCAGCCCCACACCGCTGTCTTGGTGGATGTCTCAGGCACGGATAAATCAACTTCCATCTCTCCATGACTTTAATTAATGACTCTTTTGTGCTAAGGGTTTTGGCTTCCTCCTTTTTCAGACCACAACATGACAGAACCCATTTTAACTTTAACCTTGCTACATATTTCAGGTGACTCACTGCAGTCTCACTAAATGTGTTACACAGCACTCACACTAAAGATGAAAAATTCCATTAGCTCATCCTGGTTCTTCTGCTTACTTACCTAATCATCTGTTTATGATTTAAAAAAATAGGGTTACTGTGAAGAGAGTGCTTGTGTGTGAGACAGAGAGGGAGGGTTGTTTTTCAAATGTATAGAATATACCAATGTAGTTTTTGGTTGGGTATTTTTTTAAATCATGACTTTATTAAATTTACTTAATTAATATTCATTTTTATCCTTTTTTTATGTTTTTAAAGTTTTTATTATTTATTAATTTATTTGAGATAAGGTCTTGCTCTGTCACCCAGGCTGGAGTGCAGTGGTGCAATCACGGCTCATACAGCCTTGACCTTCCAGACTCAAATGATTGTCCCACCTCACCTTCCCGAGTAGCTGGGCCCACAGGCACAAGCCACCATGCCTAGCTAATGTTTCTTTTTTTTGAGAGACAGAGTCTCGCTCTGTTGCCCAGGCTGGAGTGGAGTGGCACATTCTTGGCTCACTGCAGCCTCCACCTCCAAGGTTCAAACGATTCTCCTGCC
Source organism: Homo sapiens (assembly GCF_000001405.40). NCBI lineage: Eukaryota > Metazoa > Chordata > Mammalia > Primates > Hominidae > Homo > Homo sapiens. The sequence continues at coordinate 702,477 of NC_000018.10, read as the reverse complement.
TCAGTTTCCCAAGTAGCTGGGACTACAGATGTGTGCCACCATGCCCAGCTAATTTTTGTATTTTTAGGAGAGACAGGGTTTCACTATATGTTGGCCAGGCTGGTCTCAAACTCCTGACCTCAGGTGATCCACCCACTTTGGCCTCCCAAAGTGGTAGGATTGCAGATGTAAGCCACCACACCTGACCTGGGTTTTTTTTTTTTTTTTTTTTTTGAGATGTAGTTTCGCTCTTGTTGCCCAGGCTGGAGTGCAGTAGCACAATCTCTGCTCACTGCAACAACAACCTCCCAGGTTCAAGCGATTCTCCTGCCTCAGCCTCCCAGGTAGCTGGGACTATAGGTGCCTGCCACCATGCTGGGCTGATTTTTGTATTTTTTGTAGAGACAGGATTTCATCATTTTGCCCAGACTGGTCTTGAACTCCTGAGCTCAAGCAATCCGCCTGCCTCAGCCTCCCAAAGTGACGGGATTGCAGGCATAAGCTATAAGCCACCATGCCTGGCCTGTTTCTGTTTTTATTTATTTATTTATTTATTTATCTATGTATTTATTTATTTTTGAGATAGAGTCCCACTCTGTTGCCCAGGCTGGAGTGCAGTGGTGTGATCTCGGCTCACTGCAACCTCTGCCTCCTAGGTTCAAGCAATTCTCCTGCCTCAGCCTCCCGAGTAGCTGGGATTACAGGTGCCCACTATCACGCCAGCTAATTTTTTTTTTTTTTTGAGATGGAGTCTCGCTCTGTCACCCAGGCTGGAGTACAGTGGCGCGATCTCAGCTCACTGCAAGCTCTGCTTCCTGGGTTCACGCCATTCTCCTGCCTCAGCCTCTCCAGTAGCTGGACTACAGGCACCTGCCACCACGCCCGGCTAATTTTTTTTTTATTTTTAGTAGAGATGGGGTTTCACCATGTTAGCCAGGATGGTCTCGAACTCCTGACCTCAGGTGATCCACCCGCCTTGACCTCCCAAAGTGCTGGGATTACAGGCGTGAGCCACCGTGGCCAGCCTTTTTTTTTTTTAAGACTTTATTTTTTTAGAGTAGTTTTAGGTTCACAGCAAAACTGAATGGAAGTTACAAAGATTTCCCACATACCCCTGTCCCCACACAGGCACAGCCTCCTTCATTATCAACATTCTGCCCAGAGTGGCCCACTTGGTACAACTGATGAACCTGCATTGGCACATCATGATCACCCAAAGTCTGTAGTTTACAATAGGGGTCACTCTTAGGTTTGGACACATGTATAATAATATGTACAATGTAGACTAAGTTAGTTTTTTAAAAAATAGAAAAAGATGTACAAAGAAAGAATTTTTAAATAGACAAAATTTTTAAAAATCCAGCCTTAAGAGTTTATGACACCACTCTTACTTCAGACACCCACAAGTCACCCACAGACTTTACTCAATGTCCTTCCAGTGCTAGAGGCTCCAGAGAATTGAAGTCCCTGAGCAGATAGAATCACAAGAGAAAACCCCCCGGGTTTAGTTGCCAAGAAGCTGCTTTCAAGGGCCTTTTTTTTCTTTTCCAAGTCAATTTCCTGCCACAGCCAAAATTTCTCTTGTTTTTTTTTTTTTTTTTTTTTTTTGAGGCAGAGTTTCGCTCTTGTCGCCCAGACTGGAGTGCGATGGCGTGATCTTGGCTGGCTCACTGCAACCTCTGCCTCCCAGGTTCAAGCGATTCTCATACCTCAGCCCCCACAAGTAGCTGGGATTACAGGCATGTGCCACCACACCCAGCTAATTTTTGTATTTTTAGTAGAGACAGGGTTTCACCATGTTGATCAGGTTGATCTCATACTCCTGACCTCAGGTGATCCGCCCGCCTCAGCCTCCCAAAGTGCTGGGATTACAGGCATGAGCCACCGTGCCTGGCCTCACAACCCAAATTTCTATTGAATGCGACAAATTCTAGTCTCCTGTTGAGCAAGAAAAATCCATACACTGTAGATGAATACATAAGTGCTGCTTGTGCACTCTGAGAGTCATAAAAATGAGATCATCCTTAGCTTTTGTTAAGTGCATTTGGTATTGTGACATGAACCAGAGGTATGCTTCAGTCAATGATTTATAGCAACAATCAAATCCTTGAGACGGTGGTTTGGTGTCGATAATAACGTACCTCACTGTGAGTCACTGACTTACTTCAGATTTTCTTTAATTCAAGAGCATCAACCTTCAAGAAGTGAGGAGGACTCTGTCTTCTCACAATTCTAGGGAATGAATGTCTGAACCAGAATGATTGTGTATCCCATTAACAAAAGCCCTAGAGAACCTGGAATGGCTGGTTCAGCCCTAAATGCTACATCTGACCTAAAGTGTGCAATCATCCGAGAGCTGTTTCACCCTTAGCCAGGCATGTGCTAAAAGCTTGGGGCATCACTTTCTTTCTTTTTCTTGAGATGGAGTTTCGCTCTTGTTGCCCAGGCTGGAGTGCAATGGCATGGTCTTGGCTCACTGCAACCTCCACCTCCTGGGTTCAAGTGATTCTCCTCCCTCCGCTTCCCAAGTAGCTGGGATTACAGGCACCTGCCACCATGCCCAGCTAATTTTTGTATTTTTAGTAGAGATGGGGTTTCACCATGTTGGCCAAGCTGGTCTCAAACTCTTGACCTCAGGCAATCCACCGGCCTTGGCCTCCCAAAGTGCTAGGATTACAGACGTGAGCCACCGCGCCCAGCCTGGGGCACCACTTTCAAACTGTCCTTCTCAAGATCTTATTGACAGTAAAACTGTACCCCTACAACTGTCCTATTAAATGACTAAAAACTTTTACTATTGAATCCACGGCAGCACCAAACAAATTAATCAAAACGTTTTGGAATACATTCCTTTCTTTGAAGCTAAGTTGATGGCTTGATTCAATTATTGTGTCCATTTACACAACGTAGGCTAAATGTTTCCTAGAATTGGCAAAGGATCAAAGGGTTACTTTACTTATTCATCATCTTAAATAACCCAAGAAAGCCTTTATATTATTATTATTATTATTATTATTATTTGAGACAGGGCCCAGCTCTGTCACCTAGGCTGGAGTGCAGTGGCACAATCTCAGCTCACTGCAACCTCTGCCTCCAAAGCTAAAGTGATCCTCCTACCTCAAGTGATCCTCCTACCTCAGCCTCCCGAGAGGCGGGGACCACAGGCGCACCACCGCAACCGGCTAATTTTTGTATTTTTTGTAGAGATGATGTCTTGCCACACTGCCCAGGCTGGTCTCAAATTCCTGAGCTCAAGTGATCCACCCACCTCAGCCTCCCAAAGTGCTGGCATTACAGGAGTGAGCGCCAGGTCCAAGAAATCCTTTCAAAGTAAAATACCACAGGACATGGTGGCTCACACCTGTAATCCCAACACTTCAGGAGGCCGAGGTGGGAGGATTGCTTGAGCCCAGAGTTCCAGAACCTCCCCACCCACTGCCCCATGCAACATAGCAAGACCTTGTCACTACAAAAAATTTAAAAATTAGCTGGTGTGGTGTTGCGTGTAGGTCCTAGCTACTCAGGAGGCTGAGACAAAAAGATTGCTTGAGGCTAGGCATTCAAGATTACAGTGAGGTGCTGGGTGCAGTGTCTCAGGCCTGTAATCCCAGCAATTTTGGTGGCCGAGGCAGGTGTATCACTTGAGCTCAGGAGCTCGAGACCAGCCTGGGAAGCATGGTGAAACCCTGTCTCTACCAAAAATACAAGAAATTAGCTGGGCATGGCAGCTCAAGCCTGTGGTCTCAGCTACTCAGGAGGCGGAGGTGGAAGGATCACTTGAGCCCAGGACGCAGAGATTGCAATGAGCCTAGATCCCGCCACTGCACTCCAGGCTGGGTGACAGAGTGAAACCCTGTCTCTAAAAAATAATAATTAAAGGTACCAAAAATAAATAATTGATGGTAATGCCGACCCAAATTAAATTTAACCTTCAAATTACTTATGAAAAATGTAGTATATCATAAGAAAGTCAATAGTAAGAAATTTCATGTTAAGACAGTGTTTTCATATATTTTAACATTTTACATATAAATAGTATGCTAATTGCAAATTCATTTTATTTAATGTTTAATAGTTTATGTTATGAATTCAAGGCATTTTCTATACTTGTCAATAATGAAAAGGCATTTCTCCTTTTAAAAATTCTATGAAGTCAGCCTTCTTATTCCTTAGGAACATGAACTAGTGTGGTTTGGTTTTGAATCTGATTGTTCAAACACTTTACAAAGTGAATAGGAAAATAATTTGGGAACATTTATATTTAAACTTGTCAATCTATGATTCTGTTTTTCATGTGACAGCCAATCACAATGTGTTCTCTACTCAGGAAGTTTAGCTCAGTATATGGATTAACACGTGTTCTACTTGTGTGATATTTCTTATGACAACCACAGAAAACATATGGGGCTGGGCACAGTGGCTTATGCCTGTAATCCCAGAACTTTGGGAGGCCAAGGCGGGTGGATCACTTGAGCGCAGTAATTTGACACCAGCCTGGGCAGCATGTCGAAACTGCGTCTCTACAAAAAATACCAAAATTAACCAGGTGTGGCGGCACATGCCTGTAATCCTAGCTTCTCGAGAAGCTGAGGTGGGAGGATTACCTGAGCCGGGGAGGTCAAGGTTGCGGTGAGCCGTGATAGTGCCACTGCACTCAAGCCTGGGTGACAGAGTGAGACCCTGCCTAAAAAAGAAAAGAAAAGAAAAGAAAACATATTTGATGCAATTTTAAAAAGAATATACCTTTGAGATAGAGTCTCACTCTTGTTGCCCAGGCTGGAGTGCAGTGGTGCAATCTCGGCTCACTGCAACCTCTGCCTCCTGGGTTCAAGCGATTCTCCTGCCTCAGCCTCCTGAGTAGCTGGGATTACAGGTGCGCACCACTGTGCCCTGCTAATTTTTGTATTTTCAGTAGAGACAGGGTTTTGCCATTTTGGCCAGACTGGTCTGGAGCTCCTCATCTCAAGTGGTCCTCCTGCCGTGGCCTCCCAAAGTGTTGAGATTACAGGCATGAGCCACCGCGCCTGGCCTAGATTTAATTTTTTCATAAAACTTTCACATTTGTTTGTTTGTGATGTTTTCAGGTGCTAATTTCTTGACCTAGTATAGAAGCATAAACAAGAGTTCAATCCTTTTTAAATAGTTGTCTGTGCTGTGAATGCCCTCGCCCACCATGTGCTCAACAAGGACCTCAAGGACATTGTTGGTGACTTCAGAGGCTTCTATAGGCAGCTCACAAGTGATGGGCAGCTCAGATGGGTAAGGGACCTATTTTGTAAAATGCTTACATAAGTAATATTACCAAGGTCTGAGATGTCCTTTGAGTGCAACGAATGTGAAAATAGAGATGGGTTTATTTATTTGTTTATTTATTTATTTTTTGAGATGGAGTCTCACTCTGTCACCCACGTTGGAGTGCAGTGATGCAATCTTGGCTCACTGCAACCTCCGCCTCCTGGGTTCAAACAGTTCTCCTGCTTCAGCCTCCTGAGTAGCTGGGACTACAGGCATGCACTAGCACACCTGGCTAATGTTTGTAATTTTAGTAGAGATGGGGTTTGACCACGTTGGCCAGGCTGGTCTCGAACTCCTGACCTCAAGTGATCCGCCTTCCTCAGCCTCCCAAAGTGCTGGGATTACAGGTGTGAGCCACCATGCCCATCCTAGAGATGTGTTTATAATTTTAAAGTAAAACATTTTATTCAGTTAAATTCAGGCTTGAGTCATTTAGATCATCAGTATTTTGAGGTAAACAACTCATTTCTGTAAGACTGATGATCTAAATGACTCAAGACTGAATTTAGCTGAATAAAATGTTCTACTAAGGAGATGAGGTCCTGAGATTTGGGTCCTAAGAGCTATCTCTTCTCTAAGGACCTCATCTCCTCCTCCCTGAATTGGAAAGTGCTCTAGAGGATAAAGTACTAAATGGGCAATCTCTTTATGGAGAAATAATGTGAGTAGTGTTAGAGATGTAAGAGAAGGTCAGGCCGGGCGCGGTGGCTCACTCCTGTAATCCCAGCACTTTGGGAGGCCAAGGCAGGCAGATCACGAGGTCAGGAGGTCGAGACCATCCTGGCTAACATGGTGAAACCCCGTCTCTACTAAAAATACAAAAAATTAGCCGGGCATGGTGGCGGGCGCCTATAGTCCCAGTTACTCAGGAGGCTGAGGCAGGAGAACGGCGTGAACCTGGGAGGCGGAGCTTGCAGTGAGCCGAGATCGCACCACTGCACTCCAGCCTGGGCAACAGAGTGAGACTCTGTCTCAAAACAAAAAAAAAAAAAAAAAAAAGAGAGAGATGTAAAAGAAGGTCATTAAAGAGAAAACATTAAGAGAAGAGCAAATTTAAAAAGATGGAAGACCATGGTACCTTTTATGTGTTTGGTATTTGAACTATAAATTCAAGGCATGAAAAAGTTAGGCTCTGGAGAAAGGATTCCAACACAATAAGGTGAATTCAATACCCTGACCTTTGCCTTTGTCCCGTGATACTGGATTTTGTCTTTTCCTAACCCGGCTTAGTCTCCCATCCATGCACTGAGAAGGGCACAAGAGAATGTACTTTCAATAGTGCCTGGGATTTCATCTTTTACTTTATACAGAGAATATTAAACTTACCTTGAAAGATGTCACCTTGAAGAAGTTCCCATTGGCTGAATCTGGGACAATTTGAACATCCAAATAAATATGATAGTAATGGCTTATAACCCATTGAATAAAATCCATGAGTCCATTCAGATAATGAACAATCAGCTGGGCACAGTAGCTCACGCCTATAATCCCAGCACCTTGGGGCTGAAGCAGGAGAATCACTTAAGGCCAGGAGTTCAAGACCAGCCTGGGCAGCATAGTTGAGACCCCCGTCTGTACTTTTTAAAAATAAAAATAATAAAATAAAAAATTTTTAAGGAGGTAATAAACAACAAGGTCAAGCCCATTACAGCTGATTAAAATCTAATAAATATAAAAGGAATGATAACATCAGAAAATCACCATAACTGTCATAGCTACAATTAATTGAGGCAAGAGTCATCAAGGGATGCCCAAATTTTGGGACAATAATAACCTCCTTACTTGGAAAATGAAATGGTAACTTCACAGTGGAGAAAGCAAATGGACACTAAGTTACCCAAGTGGTAAAAGTTAACAATCCTAATAATAAAACAAAATGACATAATCACTTATGTAGTATTGATGCCAAAAAATGTATTACCTGAATCTAGTCATGAAGGAACTCCAGATCAGCCCAGATTGAGGAATGCTGTACAAATCAAGTGGCCTGTACTCTTTTAAAATGCTAATAACATTTAAAAAAGAAGAAGAAAAATTATTCCAGGTAAAAAGAGACTAAAGAGGCATGGCGACTAAATGTAATACGTGATCCCAGATGGGATATGGATTAGGGTAAAATAAAATACATTATTGGAAAAAACTGGTGACATTTGATTATGGACTGGCCTTTAGACAGCAATATTCTATCAATGTTATATTCCCTGAGTGTGATTATTGTACTACGGTTATGTAAGAAAATATCCTTGTTTTCAGGAACTATACACTGATGTATTTAGGGTTAAGAGAGCATGATATTTGCAACTTTATTCAAATGGTTCAGAAAAAAGAAGTACATATGTGTGTGTGTTCATATGTATATACATACATATACTTAACATATATATAGAGAGAGAGAAAGAAGAGAGGAAAACACAGGTGTTTTTCCTGCTATTCTTAAAACTCTTCAATAGGTTAGCAACTGTTTTTTTTAAACTTAACCTTTAGGTGGGTTTCTATTGCTACCTTTTAATTCTTGAGATGTGTCCCTGGACGGAAGACCTAAATATCTTTCTCTCTCTCTCTTTTTTTTTTTTTTTGAGACAGAGTCTTGCTCTGTTGCCCAGGCTGGAGTGTAGTGGTGCGATCTTGGCTCACTGCAACCTCCGCCTTCTGGGTTCGAGAGATCCTCTTGCCTCAGCCTCCTGAGTAGGGACTACAGGCACAAACCACCACACCTGGCTCATTTCTCTGTTTTCAGTAGAGACGGGGTTTCACCATGTTGGCCAGGCTGGTCTTGGTCCCAAAGTCCTGGGTTTACAGGCATGAGCCATCACACCCAGCCCTCTTTTTCATTTCTAAAAAGTGCTTTTGTACTTTGCTTCCTAACCAGATTGGTCCAGAAAAGGGCGTGGTGCACCTGGCGACAGCGGCCGTCCTAAACGCGGTGTGGGACTTGTGGGCCAAGCAGGAGGGAAAGGTAACCCCTCTCACAAACGCTCAGGAGGCTCCTGGGAGCTGTACGACACTGACTTTCCCTACGCACAGAGGAAAGACAGACACACTGCAGCCCCCAAAAGGAAATACAGATAATTGCTTTGGTGTTTTTTTCTCCTCTGAGAGGTTTTGGCAGTAGGTAGGGAACTGCAGGAGGAGGAGAAAGAGGAGACAGGATGGCGGAAGGCGCAGGCAGCAGTAGAGGGGGGTGTGGGGACCTGGTGGCTGACAGCCAGCATTAGAGCTGCCAACGCGTTTACTGTCAGGAAAAAATGGGGACTTTACACATATGTCTTACAAATCCTTTCTTTTTTACTTCAAGCCTGTCTGGAAGTTACTTGTGGACATGGTGAGTAGCATTGTTAATGTTACAATTGTTTCTGTAAATGAAATGGATATCATTGATGACATGCCTTTTGATGATCAGTAAATATATTCAGGACTATCTGTTGATCACTATAGCGATGATAAAGCAAAAAGCCAATAAAATATGACATTCCTTTTCTGATATCTGACGTAACAGATGGCTGTGCTCATGCAGGCAGGGTGGCATGAGGGGAAGCAGTGAGGGGGTCCTGCCTCCCCCACTGTGCATGTGTAACACACGGTGCCAGTTCTCTGAGCCTCCATTGCCTGACTATGACAAGAGGATCATCCTAACTTCTCTAGGAACCTCACAAAATTAAAGATCAATGAGAAAAGCACCTCATAAACTCTGAAAAGCCAGATGTTATAATATTATGAAGATATTATCCAGGCCAGGCATGGTGGCTCAAGCCTGTAATCCCAATACTTTGGAAGGCTGGAGGATGGCTTGAGCCCAGGAGTTTCAGGCTGCAGTGAGCTATAATTGCACCACTGCACTCAGGTGACAGAGCAAGACCCTGTCTCAAAAAAAGAAAAAAGAAAAGATACTATCCAGTCACTTTGACACCAAGAATAAGATCAGGCCATTGTAGCCTCTACTGTACAATTCCAGCAGGGAAGGAGCTCAACACTGAATTCTAAAGCTATGCACTTGACTGTTTTCTTTCTCCTTGACCTTTTCATAGCAGGGGTGAACAACTGGATGCTGAGGAGGAAAAAACTGGGCAAATTAAAGGGGAATGAGCTTCAGACCCCATGCAGAGCTGGCTGTGAGTCCGGGTTTCACTGCTCACCAGCTGCATGACCTTGAGCATGTGACTTCCCCACTCTGAGCTGCGGTGGCCTCAGTGCAACACCTGGGTGGCGGTTAAAAACCTCGTGATCCACAAATGAAGGCCCTTGTTATTAGTTGGCAAAAAATTAAGGAAAAACAAAGAACACCATGGCCTTGAAGAGTGTTGGGCAGGAGACTGCTCCTCCTCCGGAGGAAAGTGAAGACAGGAGGCTGTCACATCGTCTCTGACATGGAGAGTGGCTTCCGGGCCATCCGTAGGGGAAGGACACAGAGCTCTTGAGCCCCCTTCTAGATTCAAGGTTGGCGTTTTACGGGGATGGAGGAGGTAGCCACCAAAAGGGAATGATTTGCAGGCCACCAGAAATGTGCCTGAGGTCCCACCTGTGGACCCTCCATTTTTGGATCCTGTTCCCTTTCAATGCCAGTACTCTTTTCTTTTTTCTTTTTTTCTTTCTTTCTTTTTTTTTTTTTTAGACGGAGTTTTCTTCTTGTTGCCCAGGCTACAGTACAGTGGCATGATCTCAGCTCACTGCAACTGATTCAAGCGATTCTCCTGTCTCAGCCTCCTGAGTAGCTGGGATTACAGGCACCCGCCACCATGCCCAGCTAATTTTTTGTATTTTTAGTGAAAACGGGGTTTCACCATGTTGGTCAGTCTGAGCTCGAACTCCGGACCTCAGGTGATCCACCCATCTCAGCCTCCCAAAGTGCTGGGATTACAGATGTGAGCCACCGAACCTGGCCCAGAACTCTTAGAAGTAGAATCTCAGGGTTGAAAGAGTTTTTAGGATTTTCGACAGTTATGGTAGAGTATTATTGGTCACTATAAGATGTTAGTGGGAATGGAACTACTGGCTGTTTTCCAACTGACTGTTCCGTCAGGGTGGGGAGAGGTCTCAGCACGAGGCCCCGCCGAAATGTTGGTAAGTGGTCAGCCAAGTGGGCCGCTCACTCCCGGTTCACCCACTGTGTTTCTGTCAGTGAAGCAAACATCCCCATTTGGCAGGAGAAGAAGCTGCCGGAGGTCACACTGCTAGTGATTGGTGGCCCAGGGGTAGGGCAGCCTTCTTTCCTCTGCAGTTCACTGCTCCAGAACCATCTCCAGCCTCATAGCTCACCGTGGACAGCCCTGCGGTGTGGCGCTGATGTACAGAGTGATGCCAGGCGTTCATCTCCCCACTGAGCTCCTGCTGAGTGTTTGCCTGGGGCCAGGTCCTCCTTCCGGGAAGTCATTTTAGCTGGAAAGAACAGGGTGGGGGCGGGTGGCAAGGGATCAGAGCATGAGCGTTTGAGGGCTTCGTCAGGGGCAGTGAGGAGCCTCTAAAGGACTCTACATTTAGGAATGACAGAGTCAAACAATTTAACAAAGCCCTAAAGGTCCCTGCCAGGAAAGAATGAGCCCCATGTATCACCATAAGCAACTTCTTAGAAACATAACCCACCCCTGTCATCCCAGCACTTTGGGAGGCCAAGGAGGGAGGATTGCTTGAAGCCAGGAGCTCAAGATCAACCTGGTCAACATAGTGAGACCCCATCTCTACAAAAATAAAAATAAATTAGCCGGGCATAGTGGCACATACCTGGAGTCCCAGCTACTCAGGAGGCTGAGGCAGGAGGATCACATAAGCCAGGGAGACTGAGGCTGCAGTGAGCTATGATGGCATCACTGCACTCCAGCCTGGGCAACAGAGTGAGACCTTGTCTCTAAAAAAAGAATAATAAATTTTAAAAAACAAAATATAACCCACCTTATAATTGATTCAGGCCTCTTCCCCTCCTGTCACGTTGCCAGGATCCCAGGATGCTGGTATCCTGCATAGATTTCAGGTACATCACTGATGTCCTGACTGAGGAGGATGCCCTAGGTGAGTTTGGAAGCTTTCTGGGATACACGACGTGCACACACAGTAGTGGCATGCTTTGTTTCCTAAAAGAGTGAGTGATGCTTTTTATTTCTTCCAGAAATACTGCAGAAAGGTCAAATTGGTAAAAAAGAAAGAGGTGGGTTGTAAGAAAATTTTCTTCATTGTTTTTGCTAACATTGTCCACTTTTGAGTGCCCCTGTCCTTTTGGGGTACACATTGTCTTCCCAAATGCCCTGTGCTGAGCAGCTAGGCCCTCAAATCAACATTCAAGTCTGCATGGTGAAGCCTGCTGGGTATGACCTCTGACTGCAGAGTTTGCTTCAGCCACTGCTGAAAGGAAGTTTGGCTTTAGGATTACACTGTAGGGAGAGCCCTGGGGGAGCAGGGCAGTCCGTGAGAGTATCCTGATCACCTGGGTTTGACATCCTAGTAATTTGTGGCTGGGTGTGTGTGTGCAGGGCCGGATCAGGAGAACAGCTGGACTCTCCAGGGGAAACAGCTTAGCTACAGGCACTTCCAATTCCGAAGGGCCCTGGAAAGTGCAAAATGTTGACGGCGCTGTGTTTTCACAGAGAAGCAAATGCTGGCACAAGGATACCCTGCTTACACGACATCGTGCGCCTGGCTGGGGTACTCAGATGACACGTTGAAGCAGGTGGGCATTTTAACCTGGCTTTGTAGACAGCTGAATGGGGAGAAACCAACCTGTTTTTCCTTCTGTCCTCATACCACTACTCTCAGTACCTCACTTCTGACACCAGATGTGTGTGGTTTTCCTTCTCACGCCAACCAGTTCTCCACTTCTCTGTGGACACCAACTGGGTGTCCTGCTATTTTACTCAATTCTGACAGCACATACCTGGAACTAGCCTCAGACCCCACAGGTTAAGGGCTCAGTCTTACAGGACTGCCCTATGGCAGATGCCAGTCACAAGTCCACGTTGTCACCTGTGCTTCTGACTGGCTTTGCCTCAGATTAGAGGTTCCCACAAACCCCGCTTTGAGTTGAATCATTTGGTGGAATGGCTCACGGAATTCAGGGAAACACTACTTATGTTTACTCATTTATTATAAAGGATGCAACTTAAGAACAGCCAAACTGAAGAGACACACAGGGCAAGGTGTGAGGAGGGGGTACAGAGCTTCCATGTCCCCTCCAGGTGAGCCACACTCCCAGTACCTCCACGTGTTCACCAACCTGGAAGCTCTCTGAACCCTGTTCCTTGGGGGTTTTATGGAGGCTTCAGTATTTAGATGTGATTCATTATTTGGCCATTGGCCATCAATTCAGCCTTCAGCCCCCTCGCCTCCCCAGCTATCTGGGAATAGGCTAAAGTTTCCAACCCCACAATCATGCCTTTCAGGTCTTTCTGGTCCCCAGCCCCGTCCTGAAGCTACGTAGGGGACCTCAGCAGGGCTCTCTCGTTCACGTACAAAAGACACTCCTATCACTCAGGAGATGCCAAGGGTTTTAGGGGCTGTGTGTTGTGTGTTAGGAAATAGGGGGGCAGCGATGGGGGCAGAGACAAAATATATATTCCTTCTTATGTCACATGGGCTTTTGATTCCAGCCTCTCTGGGAGAAATTTAATACTTTCCTGTTCACCTCTCTAAATCATTTTGGCTGAGGGCAGTGGCTCACGCCTATAATCCTAGCATTTTGGGAGGCTGAGGTGGGTGGATCACCTGAGGTCAGAAGTTCAAAACCAGCCTGGCCAACATGGTGAAACCCCGTCTCTACTAAAAATACAAAAAATTATCTGGGCGTGGTAATGCGTATCTGTAGTCCCAGCCACTCAGGAGGCTGAGGCAGGAGAATCACTTGAACCCAGGAGGCAGGGGTTGCAATGAGCCGAGATCACGCCACTGCCCTCCAACCTGGGTGACAGAACAAGAGTCCGTCTCAAAAAACAACAAAAAAATTATTTTGGATCCAAGCCCTCGTTCTGAAAGTACACAAGCAAATGCAAAGCCATTCATTTTGTGGACCGCAGGACTCTGTGACTTAGTGAGTCACCTTGGGCTCTGGAAGGTGACAGCCTAGGGTAAGATTCCTGGGCAGCACCAGCGGTAGACCCACTGCGAGATTGAGAAGTAATGCCTATTTCATGGGGTGGTTTTGAGGATTCAGATACATGCTGTAAGTTGCGTCATGCTCAAGGCACCATGGCTGGCACATGGCATGCAGTCGGCACATGGTGGATTTATTACTGTTTCTCCTTACACTGTGCCCACTTCTAGAGAGTGGAGAGAGAGGCTGGCTTCTGCATGTTACTCTTATATCCACTCATTCTATGGATGCCACAGAATATTCTAGCTTTAAAAAGAGAGAGATCAGTGCTATCTTCCCCTTCCGGGAAGGTTGTGACCATTAAAAAAATGGTTCCCATAGAGATGAGGAAAGAAAGTCACCCTACAAGTAAAAAGTGATCTCTGTCAGCCAGGCTGTTTCTGCTGTTAATTTCAACAACACATGGGTGTTACTCTGGTCTATGCTATAACCGTAATGCTTGTGAAACAGATCAGCAATGACTGACTTCCTGGTCAGACCAAGGGGCTCTCTCCAGTGTGTGACCCTGTGCTCCTTTCCCACAGCTCTGTGCCCAGGCGCTGAAGGATGGCTGGACCAGGTGAGTGTGATGATGGACCTGACTTTCCCAGTTGGCGGCAGGAGAGACTCAGGCAGTAAGTCTCTCCTGGCAGGGAGCCAAGGAGTAAAAGGCACCCACGGGCTAGGATCCCCCTGGCTCATAGGGATGCATAAGAGAAGTTTCCCCTTAGGCCAGGCTCTTTCTCTAAAGGCAGGATGTGAGTCCTCATTAGAATTATAGGCCATCAGAGTTGAAAGAGGCTTGGGAGATTGTTTATTTCGGGCACTAACCTAGAGTAGAAATCCAGTCTTTACTGTCAGTAACAGCGTTGATTCAGTTTCTGCATGAACATCTCCAGAGGCAGCGAGCTTAACTTGGTGAGGCACTTTCCATTCTTTGAGGGCTTTGAGTATTAGGTGGGTCTTTTCTTCTCTTTTTTTTTTTTGAGATGAAGTTTCACTCTCGTCACCCAGACTGGAGTGCAGTGGCGCAATCTCGGCTCAGTGCAAGCTCCACCTCCCGGATTCAAGCCATTCTCCTGCCTCAGCCTCCCTAGCAGCTGGGATTACAGACACCCGCCACCACACCTGGCTAATTTTTGTATTTTTAATAGAGACAGGGTTTCGCTATGTTGATCAGGCTGGTCCTGAACTCCTGACCTCAGGTGATCCGCCTGCCTCAGCCTCCCAAAGTGCTGGGATTATAGGCGTGAGCCACTGCACCCAGCCAGGTGGGTCTTTAATATCAGCAACCCTTTGCTTCCATGTAATTTCCAGCCAGAGGTCCCAGTTCCCAAGAGCCAGGCTGTTCCTCTTCCACTTGAGTGCCCTCCTCTCCCTCCAGGCCACCTCCTTTCCACACTGCTCATCTGCACTTCTCCCTTCTGACTCTCGCCTGTGCAGGTAAAGACCTCTGGCCATCCTAAGACCTTCTCTGGATGAACCTCGATGGTTGATGACCCTGCATCCTGAAACAGGGCAGGATGCAGAGGGACCATCATCTCTTTTGACCCAGTCACTGTGTGTCCCTCAGCACAGCTCACGGTGGCACTTTTTGCCTGTGACATGTCACCAGGCTTCCTATCTGACTTGCAGCCACTCTGGTCTCTGAGCCTCCTGCTACTCAGTGTGTCCTGTGGAGCAGGAGCTCCAGCATCACCTGGGAGCTTGTGAGAAATGCAGCCTGGGCCTCTCCCCAGACCCGCTGCCTGGGAATCTGCATTGGAACAAGATCCCCTAGTGATTCCTATGCGTTCTTAAGTTGGAGAGGCACTGAATTCTTGTTAATGCCTCAGCTAAATAAAGGCTTGAGGAGTGAGAACTTGAAGGAGGCAGCATGAAGCCGCGGAAAGAGGTGTTGGCATCTGATAGAACTGAAATCACATCTTGCCTTTTCCCCTCATCCGCTGCAAGTACTTGCTGTGTGATCAATTACTCAACCTCTCTGAACTTCATTTTCTCTCAGTAGAAATAATATGAGCTTTGGTCCTCCTCCAAGTTGCCATATCTCAGAAGGACCAGCACAGGGCAGGATTCAGAGCAGCTGCTGTAAGTGCTGTTTGCCCTCCCTCTGCATACCCGGGGGAGGCTGCAGCAGTGTATCTGGTGAGTCAGAGAAGGCTGTGGGGAGATTTAAAGGGTCTCTTCCCAGCACAGGAAGCCTGGCACCCAGAGCCTAAGGCCAGCCACCCTCTCTGGAGCATCACGGATCATGTAGTTGAAGCCTCCAGCTGGTACAGAAGAGAACAGCAGGTGCCTGAGAATGTGCGGCACTCTGCAAGCTGGGGCTCTTTGCAAAGCAGCAGGGGGACCTCAGCCAAGGAGGCGCACAGGGAGGGTAGGCTGCTGTTCGAGGGGGCAGATGCTGGCCTCCCCGTGGTGGTGTCCCCTCCTCCACCTGCCAGTGCCCACACTGAGGCCAGCAACACACTCTTCTGACAGCAGAGTCATAGGGTGTGGACATAGAGGCCCATGTCTCAAGAGAACAGCTGGACATCCACAGAGATTAAGGAGCTCCCTACAAGTGTCTGGATGTGGTGTAAAGGAGACCTCTGCACGGAGGCTCCAGCCGCACTCTGCTATTCCCTAGTTACCTGATCTCATCACTTTCCCTCCCGGAACCTCAGGCCCCTGCACTGCAGGGGACAGACCATCCCTGTGGCCTTCCTCTCACTGAGTTAATTCAAGACAAAGCTCTCCTTTGTAAACCAGACCCTTTCCATTCAGTCTATCACAGTGTGGCTTACTCGGCACCCCTTTTCAGCCCCGCTCTCCTCTTCAGTTCTCACTGTGGCTTTTTTGTTCTTAATTCCTTTTCATGGCCCGGCAAAAACGGAGTTAATTATATTAAAGACCTGACTTCCCTGTCTAGCTCCTTAACTCCAGGTCAGCAGATAATTGAGAGTCATTGCCCTGATACTGAATGAAGAGATAAAGTTCCCAGGTTTATTTCAAGTGACTTATCTGAAGATGAGGAAAGAGCAAGAGGTTACTAAAAAACATATCTGTGAATTGTTGACAGAGACGGTCACTTCTGCAGAAACTCCAGATGCCCTTGCCAAGTCCAGGTACAGGTCTAAACTAGCAAACCAAATGCATTTTCTAGGTTTAAAGTAAAGGTGGGTGCTGATCTCCAGGATGACATGCGAAGATGCCAAATCATCCGAGACATGATTGGACCGGAAAAGACTTTGGTAAATATCCTCTCACACCACTAAGAAGCAGTAGCCTTTGTCCAGGGCTAAATACAACTCGTTTCAAGATTAAAGAACATTGGGAATTTAAAAAGTTAATTGTCAGAGGAAGTACACTTCTGTGGTCTTGCAGTAGGCGAGCTCAAACAAAAATAAGCAAAGGGACTAATAGTTTTACGTTTTTTAATTCTGCAGAACTAGTTAAGTAAGTTTGGGGTTAAGGATCCTTTCTTACTAACACAGATGTACCTGAGCAAACAGTTTTCCCATTGGTGCTCTGGTGTGTCAATCATGTAATCTCCCCTCCTAGCTCCTCAGGTAGGAGGGTGTCAGGGGGCCATTACTGAAGAAATGTTGGAACTTCAGCTGAGATAAATGTAAGGATCAGTCATTTCTGATTTGTATTTTTATAAACCAGTTCTTACGTGTAAAATATTTTCATAAAGTCACAGTAAGATGTTTTTATGAGGCTTTGGAGGCTTTTTTGCATAAGTTAAAATAGAAATTTTGAGTTCTTGACCCAGGATCACTATTTATACATGAATTAATGCTGCTTTTTTTTTTTAATGAAGTCATCTGTATCCAAATAACTTATGATAAAAATTGATTCTGGGCTGGCCAGATGCTGTGGCTCATGCCTGTAATCCTAGCACTTTGGGATGCCTAGGTGAGTGGATTGCCGGAGCTCAGGAGTACAAGATCAGCCTGGCAACATGGAAAAACCCCATCTGTACCGAAAAATACAAGAAAAAAAAGTGTTAGCATTATATGGCTCATGCCTATAATCCTAACACTTTGGGAGGCTGAAGCAGGTGGATCACTTGAGGCCAGGAGTTTGGGACCAGCCTGGGCTACATAGCAAGACTCTCTCTCTAAAAGAAAGAAGAAAAAAAATTAACCAGGTGTGGTGGTGCATGTCTGTAATCCCTCCTACTTTGGAAGATGGGGCAAGAGGATCACTGAGCTCAGGAGTTGGAGGCTGCAGTGAGCTACAATAATACCACTGCACTCCAGCATGGGCAACAGAGTGAGATCCAGCCTCTTAAAAAAAAAAAATCCATTCTGAGCATACTGTCCTCTGGTTTTCATAGTGTCCTGGGAGAGAGCTCTTATCACTTAGCACATTCTGTAGAGATGTCCATTTCTCCAAGCACAATAAGATCAGGGATGAGGGGCTGTCCCTTAAGCTGGGCACAGCCATCACCTGGCTTCCAAGAAGGATAGTGGTACACAGAGAGCCAGGGCCTAGGAGGGAGAGGACTGGACTTGAACTCACCATTCACTAGATTTATTGTTCTTAAGCAAGTTACTGAATTTCTCTGCATGACAGTTTTCTTATTTGTAAAATGGGTTAATATGAACTGCCTCATGGGGTTATTATTATTATTTTTTGAGATAGGGTCTCACTCAGTCACCCAGGCTAGAGTACAGCAGCATGATCACACCTCACTGCAGCCTTGACCTCCCCTGGCTCAGGGGATCCTCCCACCTCAACCCCCTGAGTAGCTGGGACTACAAGTGAGAGCCACCACACCCAGCTAATTTTTGTATTTTTTGTAGAGAGAGGATTTTGCTATGTTGCCCAGCCTGGTCTTGAACTCCTGGGCTCAAGAAATCCACAGGCTGGGCCAGATGCAGTGGCTCATGGCTGTAATCCCAGCACTTTGGGAGGCCGAGGCGGGCGGATCACAAGGTCAGGAGATTGAGACCATCCTGGCTAACATGGTGAAACCCCGTCTCTACTAAAAATACAAAAAAAAATAGCCTGGTGTGGTGGTGGGCGCCTGTAGTCCCAGCTACTCGGGAGGCTGAGGCAGGAGAATGGCGTGAACCTGGGAGGCAGAGGTTGCAGTGAGCCGAGATAGCGCCACTGCACTCCAGCCTTGGTGACAGAGCGAGACTCTGTCTCAAAAAAAAAAAAGAAAAAGAAAAGAAATCCACGGGCTTCAGCCTCCCAGAGTGTTGAGATTACAGGCATGAGCCACCATGCCTGGCCAGTTATTATAAATATTAAATGGAACAAAATCCATAAAGTGCCTAGTGGAGTAGGTGTGCCATTATGGGAGAGTTAAGGCTACTTATTATTGTGCCAGACACACAGTGGGCAATAGTCAATAAATGACTATTGAACAAACAATGTTGATTGTGCATGATTCAGAATGTGACAAAATGGTTTCTACGAACAGAACCAACACTGCAAGACACATGTATTTGGGTGGCATCTAGATGGAGATTGGACCAGAGCCCAGGGCCAGCGAGCACTTCTCATGGCCCAGCCCAGGGCACTGCTGGACATCCAGTGGCTCCTCAAGCGATTCACGGCTCCTCCTAAAGACTGTACCTGGAGCCAGAGTCCCCGTCTCAGCAGCTGCTCTCTGGCTCTTTTTGTTAGGGCCGTGTGCTGGGCCTCAGCAGAGGCGTTAGGGGGTCTCACTCAGCTGTTGGTGGCACTGAGTGACAGCATTTCCTCCCTGGGAGCCGCAGCCCTGCTGTGAGGTTGGCTCAGGGCTGACCTCCCTGTGAAGAGTCT
The DNA here is from genome assembly GCF_000001405.40 of Homo sapiens. Taxonomy (NCBI): domain Eukaryota; kingdom Metazoa; phylum Chordata; class Mammalia; order Primates; family Hominidae; genus Homo; species Homo sapiens. Next base: position 683,390 of record NC_000018.10, on the reverse strand, counting down.
CTTTTTGCAGATGATGGATGCCAACCAGCGCTGGGATGTGCCTGAGGCGGTGGAGTGGATGTCCAAGCTGGCCAAGTTCAAGCCATTGTGGATTGAGGAGCCAACCTCCCCTGATGACATTCTGGGGCACGCCACCATTTCCAAGGTAGGAAAACGGCTGCTGCTGCTGTGGCAGCTTATTTTTCTGTTTAGTTTTCCAGAGTGCTGGGGACAGATCCTAAAATTTCTTCACTTGTTCCCTCTTGCATTTCCTGTTGAAGTAGCTGAAATAATTGTAATGTGTGACAAATACAGGGGTTACAGACCTGACATTCCTTTTTCTACTTCAGCTTATACTTTGCCCTTATTTCTGTTTGTTTTAGATAAAGTAAGCTGCTAAAAGTTGAAGGGCTACCAGCAATTTGAAGGTTAATAGACATGGTTCCTATGCTTTGTAAATACAGAAATGTGACAGCATTTTTTTTTTTTGTTTTTTGGTGGTTTTTTTTGTTTTGTTTTGTTTTGTTTTGAGATAGAGTCTTACTCTGTTGCCCAGGCTGGAGTGCAATGGCATGATCTCGGCTCACTGCAACCTCTGCCTCCCGAGTTCAAGCAATTCTTCTGCCTCAGCCTCCTGAGTAGCTGGGACTACAGATGTGTGCCACCATGCCTGGCTTTTTTTTTTTTTTTTTTTTTGGTATTTTTAGTAGAGATGAGGTTTCACCACATTGGCCAGGCCTGTCTCGAACTCCTGACCTCAGACCATCTGCCCGCCTTGGCCTCCCAAAGTGCTGGATTACAGGAGTGAGCCACCGCGCCCGGCCTTGTGTTTTCATCTGATAATTTTTTTTCTCCTACACGCTAACTGGTTTGGCACAGTCATGTGCCCCATAACAATGTTTCAGTCAGTGAAAGACTGCCTATATAATGGCGCAGTATATATAATCCCATAAGCTTATAATGGAGCTGAAAAACTCATTGCCCAGTGACGTTGTAGAGATTGTAATGTGGTGCAACGCATTACCTTTCCTATGTTTAAGTATGTTTAGATACTGGCCATTGTGTTCCAATTGCCTGCAGCGTTCAGAACAGTAGCATGCTGTACAGGTTTGTAGCCTGGGAGCAATAGGCCATGCCATATAGCCTAGGGCGTGTAGTAGTCTCTACCATCTAGGGTCATGGACGTACACTCTATGATGTTCACACAATGATGAAACAGCCCAACGGCACATTTCTCAGAGGGTAACCTTGTCATTCAGTGACACGACTGTACATTCATGTGGCTTATAGCCACATCCTGCCTGCCTAGGAACATTTTTTCCTGAGGTGACTTTGCATAGCTATACACTCCCCATTTTGTGTTGATCTTACACCTTTAACTCTGATGGAGCAGTCTTGGTTCCAGTTCTAGGAGGGACACCTTGATGCATCCCACATAAATTCATGGGTCGTACTGGAGGTGTGGAGTCGGGGACTCAGGGACCAGTTCTCTGTTTCTCTCAGCAAATCAGCACATGATCTACATTATGTGGGATACTCTGCCAAAGCCTGGGTTTCAGAAATGCCCTCCCCTTCCACATTGCAGCCTCGCTGGAGAGAACAGCCGAGATATGTGAAACAAAGACCGGAGGATACTGGGCCAGGGCACTGAATGCCAAGCACAGTAGAAAAGTTCATTGAGGAGAACGTTGGGTGTGGGCTGGGACGAGGGAGATGGCCAGAGCTGACTCCATAAGGAAAGCTAAGCCTCAGGTGAGGGAAGGGTGAGCAGGAGCCATGGAGCGACCACAGCCTTCATTATTTAAACAGAGCCCAAATTTTCTGAGGAATCATTCCACAATAGGAATCTCAGGTGAGGAGCCCCGGGGAAACAAGACTTTTCACCTTGGGTCCCACTTGCTTTTTCCTCCTTAGGGCTCTTTCAGGTTGGCTGTGCCCTGCTGAATGCCAGCTGGCCTAGCACCAACCTGATCTCTGCCTACCTGAGCATCTCACAGGAAGCTCCTCAGGGCTCTAACCCTCCCAGGTTTTGCTTACATGAGGGAGGCCATCCCCTTAGGAGTATCTGAGGAAGGAGCAGCTGCAGAGCCTGCAGGTCCAGGCGGGGGCAGTGGAGATGCCCCAGGGAGCACAGGGCACATGCCAGGGACAGGCTGCCACGTGGGGCTGGATTATGGGGTCTGTCCACTCAGAGGATGCAGCCAGTCAGAGTGAGCCACCGCAGCTTCTCCGATGAAAGAACGGCATAGTGGCCAGGCATAGTGGCTCACACCTGTAACCCCAGCACTTTGGGAGGCCGAGGTGGGTGGATCACCTGAGGTCAGGAGTTTGAGACCAGCCTGGCCAACATGGTGAAACCTCGTCTCTACTAAAAATACAAAAATTAGCTGGTCTCGATCTTCTGACCTCGTGATCCGCCCACCTATAGTCCCAGCTACTCGGAGAGGCTGAGGCAGGAGAATGGCGTGAACCCAGGAGGAGGAGCTTGCAGTGAGCCAAAATCGCACCACTGCACTCCAGCCTGGGTGACAGAGCGAGACTCCATCTCAGAAAAAAAAAAAAAATTAGCAGGGCGCGGTGATGTGTGCCTGTAATCCCAGCTACTCAGGAGGCTGAGGCAGGAGAATGGCTTGAGCCTGGGAAGTGGAGGTTACGGTAAGCCAAGTTTGCGCCATTGCACTCCAGCCTGGGCGACAGAGCAATACTCCATCTCAAAAAAAAAAAAAAAAAAAAAACACAACAGCATAGTGACAGCTGAAGCACAGATAATGTGACTGGTGGCTACATGTAGAGTCCATTGAGACAGAGGGTGTGTGGGAGGTGAGGAATGGGCAGGGAGAAACCCAGGCAGGGATGGGAGCGAGGAGGCTTTTCCAGGAATCTGAGAGAGATAAAGGGAGAGGGCAGCTTGAATAGAGCAGATTCAGGAAATATTGAAAAGGAGGAAAAACATTTGGCCCCTAGTCTGCCATATATGCTTAAAATGGTAGAACAAATAAGTCAAATGGCCTTTCCTCCTCCCCCTTCCTCCGTTTCTCCCTTTCTCTTCTCTTTGGAGATAAATAACCAAGAGTACTTAAATTAGAAATTTTAAGAAGCATAAAATGTTGGCTTGAAAAGGTGCCTTAGAGACCATCTGCTCAAACTAAGGCCTTCTGCAGATGAGGAGGCCGAGGCTTTGGGTGGCACAGGCGGGGCTTGCCCAAGGCCACACATCCCGTGAGATGCGGGGCCAGCACCGGAATCAGGGATACTTGGCTGCTGAGTGAAGGGATTTTTCTGCTGAGAAGTTGGCTTAGTCTGATTATTCAGATGCCTCCTCTGGCTCTGGAATCAGTGGAGTTCCAACCCAGTCTCTACCACTTTCTAGCTTTGTGATCCAGGAACAGTTCAAACCCGGCACACAGTTTTATCATTTTTTATAAAATGGGGATAACGCTGGCTCCTCTCCCATTGGATTGAGACCAGGAATCATTTAAGTCAGTGTTTTGCACAGCACCTGACAGGTACTCAGAGCTCCAAAAATGTTAGCTGTCAGTGTGATTACTATTACCCTAAGCAAAGGGAAGGGAAGCCAGGGAGGAACCAAGGCTACCTGTGCGGAGTAGCTGTGGAGTCGCAGTCACAGTAGAGGATGGATGGGAGCGCCCAGAGTCCAGGTGGCAGGTGACGGAGGTAGTGTTCAGGGGCCAGGTGAGAGGACAGAGAGCAGCAGGGCTGTGTTCAGGTGCAGAGTCCAGTACCTCACCAGGTGAGGACTCTACCAGGTGAGCAATGGTCTCAGCCTAACCTGCAGATTGAGGTCTGAGGCCACCCACTGAGCTGGAAGGAAGAGGATTTTTTTTTTTTTCATGGATTTTTCCTGCCTTAAGGAAGAGGATTTTGGAATCAACAAAGACATGAGGCCAGGTGCAGTGGCTCACACCTGTAATCCCAACACTTTGGGAGGCCGAGGCGGGAGGATCATCTGAGGTCAGGAGTTTGAGACCAGCCTGGCCAACATGGCAAAACCCTGACTCTATTAAAAATACAAAAATTAGCCAGCATGGTGGCGTGCACCTCTAATCCCAGCTACTCAGGAGGCTGAGGCACGAGAATCGCTTCAGCCTGGGGGGTGGAGGTTGCGGTGAGCTAAGATCATGCCACTGCACTCCAGCTTGGGTGACAGAGCAAGACTCGGTCTCAAAAAAAAAAAAAAAAAAAGATATGAGAGGGTTCTAGAAGGAGGTTTCTCAGGGAGGCAAGAAGAAGGGAATTGATGGAGTGATGACCCACAGGAAGGAGTCGTCCAAAGGTTGGACCCTGTGAGTCCACAATGAGCCACTCCGAATAGCCCTGTCCTTATGCCACTGCGCAGGCTGGAGAGGGAGGTGCTGTCCACGTTGGGAGGAGCGCAGCTGGAGCATGGGCCGGGACACCGCAGAAGGAGATCTGCAGAGCCCTGGTCAGGAACGGGGCTGGTGGTGGCAGCTCAGCAGTGCTCACCTTCTCCTCTGCAGATACACAGAGCCCTCCCGCACGCATGTGTTCCCCTGGACATCCTTTGCCAGTCTTGAGCCTTCACATGGCTTAACAGCAGGGCCGTTTCCTCCTTCAGCTATAAATGTTTTTAAACATTAGGAGTTGCAGTTCAAAACTTAGGAAAATAACACCAGGCTGCCTTCTATTTTATAGGCACTGGTCCCATTAGGAATTGGCATTGCCACAGGAGAACAGGTGAGTGACGCCCCCAACAGGTGGATGACGTCCCCTTGGGGTCAGTACACGCTGACCAGTGACCGAGGACACAGTTGTGTGTTAGGCTCCATCACCTGCTGTACTTTGAGTTGGGAAATTTTCATCATCTTAGAAACTGGGTCATTTTATCAGAGTCTAGAGTCAGATATAGAAAAAGTTTGTGGCTATTTCTCCAATTTATATGACTAAGGTCGGGTATCTTTTTCAAAGTGTCTAATTGAAATTGAAAAGGCAGCAATTTAAAGTTGCTATTGCAAGGGCAGAAAATGGTCTTAAGAAAGCCAGCTTTCAAATTGAATAAACATGACTGCGTTCACTTTTTGAGCTTATAAATGAAGCCCGAGTGCCTGCCAAAACCTGCTGCAGTCAGCCCACGAGCAGAGCAGCGTGAGGAGCTGATTCTCAGTTTTCCCGGCAAAAGGAGCAATACTGCTCTGCCGTGGTTCCGTGTTGTCATCTGTGCCACCTGCTCATCACTGTCACCGTATTTCATCCTGATGCTTCATCTCCCACTTATCAGTCGCTGTGACAGTCATTCCCTCATAAATGGCGAGCCAGTGTGATTTTGACCTGACTCACACTGTTGCATTAGCAGATTTGTAAAGAAGTGAGCACAAGGTCCCTGCCCACGCTATAAAAGCTCGCCTCATGCCCAGCGAGAACAAAGAAGAAATACAGTCTGGGCTTCCTGACGGCCACTGATGAATAATTATTGGCATAGAGTGGCTGCGTTGCCAGGTTTAGAGATCCTGAAGGCCAAGGCTGACTCTTCTGTTGGTGTTATTTTCAATTCTATTTCCAGTGCCACAATAGAGTGATATTTAAGCAACTCCTACAGGCGAAGGCCCTGCAGTTCCTCCAGATTGACAGTTGCAGACTGGGCAGTGTCAATGAGAACCTCTCAGTATTGCTGATGGCCAAAAAGTTTGAAAGTAAGCGTGCTGCAGCGGCTGCAGACCAGACCTTCATTTCCCCACTAATCAGACACCTCCCTTGATGGTTTGCAATTCACATGCATGGGAGTCTGTAGTTTGCCATTTCGATTTTTTTCTAACTCTCATTTAGCTTTAATCCGGGAATTTTTGATGATTTTCATCTTGGAATTTCCTTCCTAAATATTAATAAATGATTTAATCACCTGTGGGCAATAAGAAAAACCAGAAAGTTCCCTTTCACCCCTTCCTCTCCCTGCCCTACTCTTGGTATTAAATAGAAACGATTTCCTTTTAGTTCCTGTTTGCCCCCATGCTGGTGGAGTTGGCCTCTGTGAACTGGTGCAGCACCTGATTATATTTGACTACATATCAGTTTCTGCAAGCCTTGAAAATAGGTCAGTAATGTGGCATTAATACTTTCTGTTTCAGTAGGGTCCCTCAATCCAGGCCAGAGCTTGTAAATTCTGCCTTCATGACCAGAACACACTAAGACCTTGTCCGCTGGCATGTCCTATAACTCTCAGGCGGAGTTGGTTTTGCTTTCACAGAGACCCACCAATGAACGGTCATTTTGCCTCCTAAGATAGGGTCTGGTAGCTGACTCACTTTATTTTTTAAGTACATTGAAGGTAAGGCTTGCAGCCACACTACTCCCTTAACCAGCTCCTGTTTTCATCACGTGTATTCTGTACTTCTGTCCCATCTCCTCTTCCCAGTACTGGAGTCTTCCATGGTCTAGACACACATTTATTTCATCTTATTTCTCAGAACGCCCCAGGTGGGCTTTTAAATTAGGACAATCTCCTTCCAGTCATCTGCACACGTAGGGTTTTGCTTATTCCACTTTTCTTGTCTCCTGGAATTAAATGTCTCACAGAAAGATCACTGCAAGTATATAGCAAAGGCACAAAAGCATTCACTGGGAAAGGGAAACACCAAATTCAGGACTGTGAGTGATAAATGGGACCCTTGAGGGTACATAGGAGGCTTCAGTAATAATGGTAACCGTTTTTCTCTTCAGGGGGGTAGTGAGTAGACAGGTGCTGTCTTTTAATATAGCCGAACTATTTTATACTGTATTAGTCTATTCTTGCACTGCTATAAAGAAATACCTGAGACTGGGTAATTTATAAAGAAAAGAGGTTTAATTGGCTTACAGTTCTGCAGGCTGCACGGGAAGCATAGCGGCTTCTGCTCAGCTTCTGGAAACTTACAATCATGATGGAAGGTGAAGGGGGAACAAGCACTTCTTATGGCCAAGAGCAGGAGGAAGAGAGAGTGAGGGGGGAAGGTGCTACACACTTTTAAACAACAGATCTTGTGATAACTATCTCGAACAGCACCAAGGAACGGGTGCCAAACCATTCATGAAGGACCACTTCCCATGATCCAATCACCTCCCAGCAGGCCCTGCTGCCAACACTGGGGATTACAGTTCAACATGAGATTTGGGCAGGGACACAAATCCAAAACAAATCCAAACCATATCAGCCTGCCTGTCACAGCTGTTCAATAACAGGCGATGGAAGTCAGGCAGCAGAGCTCGGTCACTTGCCCCAAGCCTCAGAACTACAAAGTGGCTGACGCAGAACCTGAACACAGATTGACCTGATTCTAAATCCTCTGCTCTTCATCTAAATCATTTGTATAGCTGAAAGGAACCTCATTTGGTGATTTTATTTTTTGGGTGGGGAGTATGGAATGTATTTTATTGTTCTGCATCTGGGTTTGCTTCCTTAGATGTCTTGGTTCTTGGATGGAGGTGGGTGTGTCCCACCTCCCTCAGTTGTGGTCCCATGGACCTGTTCGGATTGTTTTCCAGGTACAAAGTGTACCGAGAAAGCCTCACAGTGCTAATGCTTCCTAGATGCCCAGCTGAGGCAGTGACAAAATGGCCCTCCCAACCCTACCTGCCAAAAAAACCCCAAGCCCCTGGCAGCTGCTGCAGCCATGTGAAAAAATACAAACGCTTCTTGAAAAATAGATCACAAAATGTGGTGATTTTAATCTATTCATCTGACTTTTGACCAGAGGAACCCAAATAATTCTGGATATTTACAGAGTCTGAATTGATCCCTTTTAAAGGGCACCACAAAACCTCTAGAGGGACTTCGTGTGTTCATGTCATCAAAGTCCCCACCTCACATTGCTATATTTTAGAAGAAAAGGACCTGAGGCACAGAGGTTTAGGGACTTGCCTAGAAACGCATGGTAACACAGCTAAGCCTTGGCCAACACTGTCAATTGAGTGGTACTCGCTCCTTCTGCTTTAAGTTAGCACCACGTGAATAATCTGACTTCAGGCATCATTGCCCCGATCTGATTCCCTCCTCCTAGGGTGTGTGAGTATGTTGACCACCTGCATGAGCATTTCAAGTATCCCGTGATGATCCAGCGGGCTTCCTACATGCCTCCCAAGGTAAGCTGTGGCCTGAGGGCCCCTGTAGAAGAGATGCTGCCAGCCACTGCCACGCCTGTCTCGTGAACTAGACTGTGGAGCACCAAGCTTTGACTCCTGTTTGTTTGCAATATCCACTAACAAACGGTTCTTCAGTTTGTCTGTATCAAAATCCTCAGGCCTGAGGGCCAGGGCTTGGAGGTTCAATTGCCTCTGACAAGGCTTCTGTAATACTAGCCTTTCCTCACTAGTGGAGATCTTAACATTTGCACTCCTTGTGCAAAAAAACCTGGCACCATCTAGCAAGTTAGTGACCTAAAAAGTTTGGACTACAATTGTGTGGCTGGGGCCATTTATTCTGATCATGTTCAAGAGATCATGGCTCATTTTCACCAACAGAGGTCAAACTATTATCAAAGAGTTTGATGAGTTAACTAACTCTGGCAAGTAGCCAGTAAAATATGTTCCTCTGCCCTATTATTTCCAACAGTCTCCAAACTTATTTTAAAAATATTAATTCAGGGCTGGGCATGGTGGCTTACGCCTGTAATCCCAACACTTTGGGAGGCTGAGGCAGGTGGATCATTTGAGGTCAGGTGTTTGAGACCAGCCTGGCCAACATGGTGAAACCCTGTCTCTACAAAAAATACAAAAAATTAGCCGGGCATGGTGGCAGGTGCCTGTGATCCCAGCTACATGGGAGGCTGAGGCAGGAGAATCACTTGAACCTGGGAGGTGGAGGTTGCAGTGAGCCAAGATTGCGCCACTGCACTGCAGCCTGGGCAACGGACAGTGACTCCATGTCAAAAAAAAAAAAATTAATTAATTGCCTCTGGCTTAGACGTAAAAGCATTTCTTGGAGCAGCATAAATGCATAAAATCTGTTTTTGTTCCAGGTGGTTGTTAACAGGACTCATTTTTTTGGTCTTTGATAGGATCCCGGCTACTCAACAGAAATGAAGGAGGAATCTGTAAAGAAACACCAGTATCCAGATGGTGAAGTTTGGAAGAAACTCCTTCCTGCTCAAGAAAATTAAGTGCTCAGCCCCAACAACTTTTTTCTTTCTGAAGTGAAAGGGCTTAAAATTTCTTGGAAATAGTTTTACAAAAATGGATTTAAAAAATCCTACCGATCAAGATGAGTTCAGCTAGAAGTCATACCACCCTCAGGAATCAGCTAAGTAATTATTACTTGATTCTTTTAGCAAATCAATGCACGTTATCCTACTTAATCCTTAAATAAGTTTAGATTTAACTAACCCAAAGTCCAGGAGGATGTTCTTACAAAAATAGCTATATCAAGGGCTGGCACCTAGACATTAAACTGTAATTTGAAAATAAGCAACATGTTGCATAACTTGTTGGAATAATTCCTTGTTCTGTTTAACACTTGTCATAAATTAGCAGAATAAAAATAGTCGTGCAACACCGGGGGTATCTGGTATGCAACGAAGGGAAAAATATTTCACTGATTAACCCCGAAGTGGTTTTGCATCTTTTCCTTGCTTAATCTAAGCATATTATTAGAGAAGTCACACCATGCTGAAGCTAATGAGGGCAAAATGGTAGTCCATAGATTATTTTAAAATAACCCTTTAAGGTTATAAAAGTTTAAAAAAAAAAAAAAAAAACTCTATCCTAAATGGTCATTATATTTTGAGGATAAGATGCAGTTAAAATGAGAAAAATAGGGCAAAATATATTCACTATTATTTCTAAAATATACTCTTTTAAGTAGCATCCAAACCAGAATACAGCACATGTTTACTTAAGGAGAGTTCTTTAATCTATTTTAGGAAGGAACTGAGCAGATAAGTGGCAGTACAGAATGAACAAAGCGTGGACGAATGCAGAACACTTCTTTATTATAGCAACATATAAAACAACTATAACTTTAAAGTTCATAACCACACTCTACATCATGATCGATGGTGTTACTCAGCTCCCTCAGATTTGAGGGAATAGCTTGTGAAATTCTTAAAATATTCTAAAAATATTCCAAAAATAGCTTGTGAAATTCACCAACCTTCTTTATAAGTACGTGGGATTGAAATGCACATACATGTTTTTGCTAAGAGCACATACATTTCATTCTCCTCACTTTGTTCATAACCTCAGCATTGTCAGATACCCTCAGTGAGTTAACTCAAAGCCTTTTATTATGGAAAGAACTGGCACAGTTACATTTGCCAGTGGCAACATCCTTAAAAATTAATAACTGATAGGTCACGGACAGATTTTTGACCTAGTTCCTTTTTCTTTTAGAGCAAAAAGAACTTTTACCTCGGCATCCAGCCCAACCCCTAAAGACTGACAATATCCTTCGAGCTCCTTTGAAAGCACCCTAAACAGCCATTTCCATTTTAATAGTTGGATGCGGATTGTACCCTTCAATCTGAAAGTCTTCAGCTTTGAAGTCATCAATTTTCTCAACTTTTCGAAGAATCCTGAGCTTTGGGAAAGGTCTGGGTTCTCGCTGAAGCTAAAAACAAAATAAGGCCATTATTTTGCCATAATTGTACGACCTGTTGTAATTGCTCCTCATGTCCGTGAAACAAGTACACAGGATGTGATCAACAAAGTTCTATTTTACAGGAGTATGATCCTGTCGATACCTTGCCGTAGGTTATGTAACATGATTGGAGCGCAACCAGCTGTTCTCTTGCACAGATCGAGAGTGAGGGGTATTTTGTGACATTACACAGCATCAGGAGCCTGGTGCCTCATCAGGTGTAAGTTCTTATAACCACTCTTGGCAAATTTATTAAAGACAGGAACACAGTCAATCTGTAACTCATAGTAGCTCTACGTTTACTTGAATTCCACAATCCCTAACCCATCTGTCCCTGGCAGAAAGAAGGAAAGATGACATGCATGGACAGTGAACAGAAAGGGATGAAAGCCAGGATTCCTGGGATGAACAGACAGTGGCAATTAGGATGTGAAGACAGGTCACAACCTATTACTATGTCTAAAAACGACCAGAGCAGAGAGCCAGAGAGAATAAGCCTGAAGTCACCTCCACTCAAAAGCAGCCAAACTCCCTCAAAGGAGTAACTTTTAAAACCTGGATCTAACCTGGAAGGGGCTAAAAAGTGTCTGGTTCTGAGTTTTTTTCCTTAAGGCTCATGAAGCAGATGAACTTACATTTTTATTGCCATTTCATATCAATTGTTGGCTGCTATAACTTAGGGATTTCAACAGACTTTTGAAGTTTGGACCTAAATATTGTACTTAATGTAAAATTAACAAAAAATATTTATGGCCAGGGTGGTGGCTTATGCCTGTAATTCCAGAATTTTCGGAGGCTGAGGCAGGTGGATCACTTGAAGTCAGGAGTTTGAGACTAGCCTGGCCAACATGATGAAACCCCATCTCTACTAATAATACAAAAATTAGCTGGGTGTGGTGGCATGTGCCTGTAATCCCAGCTACCTGGGAGGCTGAGGCAGAAGAATTGCTTGAACCCGGGAGGTGGAGGTTGCAGTGAGCTGAGATCGCACCACGGCACACTCCAGCCTGGCCGACAGAGAAAGACTCCATCTCAAAAAAAAAAGAAAAGGAAAAACATTTGCACTTCAATTCTCCTTCAAGTTAAAATGAGTTAAAATGCCCCCTTTTGGACAATCCCCTGGCTTGAATGTGGCTCTTCCCTCTCTGGTACTGGTGCTTAGTACCTCACAGCACCTGACATGTTAAGTGCCCATGGTTGCTGAGGCAGATGCCTGCCTTGTCCTGCCCACCTGCCCACCACTTCTCCCTAAACTGAAGCCCCACATTTGGAGCAGTCATCTTTATCTTGGACACAGCATTGAGCAGATGCCTGTTCCACAGTCAACCTTTTATCAAGAGAAGGTACCAAACCCAAAAGTATAACATCTAATTCTTACCTGAATTTTCAGTGGCTCGATGTGATTCAGGTAAATATGTGCATCTCCCAAAGTGTGTATAAAGTCACCTGGCTATAAACCCGGGGGAGAAAGCAGAACAGTATGTTAGTTTCAATTCTTTAAAACATCATTTAAAAACATTAGAATATGCAGACACCGCAAGGCTTTTTTTAAAAAAATAATTTAGTGTAGCTTTTCCATTTTTTTGTAGCAACAGCATCTTGTTATGTTGCCCAGGCTGGTATTGAACTCCAGACCTCAAGCAATTGCTCCTGTCTCAGTCTCCCAAAGTGCTGGGATTACAGGCATGAGCCACCATACCCAACCTCAGCATAGCTTTTGAGAAAATCCATAGAAGCTGTATCACAAACAACCTGTATAGATCTGTTAGTGCGTATACCACAGGGCCAGAAAACCTTCCAGAAGAGGAAGGTTTCAAAGTAAAAGCTGGTTCATTTCTTACTTACACATATCAAATTTAAAAGCTAATCAGAGACTAAACTCTGCAATTTGTTTTCCCATATTAAAGAACTGAAGAGCTCAGTGTGGTAGGCTGGCAAGTCACCCTTCCCGAGACAGCCCACCTTCAGGCCCGTGATGTGCGCAATCATGTACGTGAGCAGGGCGTAGCTGGCGATGTTGAAAGGCACACCGAGGCCCATGTCTCCCGATCTCTGGTACAGCTGGCAGGACAGCTCACTGTTCACCACATAGAACTGGCAGAGGGCATGGCATGGAGGCAGCGCCATCAGAGGAAGATCTGAGGAACCAGCAGAGGAAGATAAGGAGGGATGGTGGTTTGAAAGACCACAGCTAAAGGCAAAGTAAAACAGGAGAGAAACAGAAGCCAACTCATATGGTGGAGACCAGGAGAGAGAGCCACTGGGCTGCAGTGATGTCCATAACAGCCTCTGCAGCGATGGCACGGAGCTGAGGGAGACTATCCATCGGTGCAAGGTTTCTGCAGGTGTCCATTTACGGCTGAAGCAATGCTCTTCCATCAGAGCTGAAGGGATCTGGGCTACCTCGTGGCACCAGATTACAAATACAGCAGGAATAATTCTGTTTGCCACAGGAAACTGGTGCTTCTGGTACACCCTCCTATATTAAAAGTCTCTATTACATGGCCAGGCACAGTGGCTCATGCCTGAAATCCCAACACTGGGACGCCAGGGTGGGCAGATCACTTGAGGCCAACTTGAGTTCGAGACTAGCCTGGCCAACATAGTGAAACCCCGTCTCTGCTAAAAATACAAAAATTCGCGCGCCTGTGGTCCCAGCTCTGGGGCTGAGGAATGGGAACTCACTTGAACCTGGGAGATGGAGGTTGCCGTGAGCGGAGATCACACCACTGCACTCCAGCCTGGGCAACAGGGTGAGACTGTGTCTCAAAAAAAAAAAAAAAATAAGTCTCTATTACAGATGCAAGTATTTCACTCTAAGTACTTATGATATCCTGATAGAGTTTTGTTGTTGTTGTTGTTTTTAAATATTCAGGGTCTCACTCTGTTGCCCAGGCTGGAGTGCAATGGCGTGATCATGACTCACTACAGCCTCAAATTCCTGGGTTCAAATGATCCTCTCGCCTTGGCCTCTGGAGTTGTTGGAATTACAGGTGTGAGCCACCACACCTGGCTCTACACCCTGGTAGAGTTGAATTTTACAATATAATTGTTAAAAATGTTAGTGAGGTGGCAGCGAGCTGGAACTTCATCTGCTTCCATTTAAAATGTTAACATCTTACATGTAGTTTCTAGGCAATTTAAAACCCTTTTTGGTGTAAGAATGAGTATAAATACACAAATTAAGATCATCTGGTTGGGAGGCTGAGGCAGGCAGATCATCTGAGGTCAGGAGTTCAAGACCAGCCTGACCAACATGGTGAAACCCCGTCTCTACTAAAAATACAAAATTAGCCGGGCATGGTGGCACATGCCTGTAATCCCAGCTACTTGGGAGGCTGAGGCAGGAGAATCACTCGAACCCAGGAGGCAGAGGTTACAGTGAGCCAAGATCACGCCGTTGCATTCCAGCCTGGGCAACAGAGCAAAACTCTGTCTCAAAAAAAAAAAAAAAAAAAAAAAATCCTCTGGGCCCAACCTCATGATCTGAAGGTGAAAGTGCAGCAAAATGTGACTTGCCCAACGTCACACAATCAACCATGTGGCTGGGGGAAGTTCCCAGGGTCCTGCCTCCCTCAGGTGCCTCTGCACAAAACCAGATTGCTTCCCTCTAAGAGTATGGTTAGTATAAATGAAGACGACGGGGTTCTTTCAACCTCTTGGATTCCAAGCGCACATGATGATTCTTCTGTCGTCAGGGTTGGTTTTGATGGTGTCAATCACTCTTTGCAGTTGGTCAACTCCCTGTCCTGAATAATCTGTAGAATTGTCAAAAAGAGAGGACAGGTACATACATTAATCACACATGTCATGAGATGGCCTTAGAGGTCATCTATTACAGTCTCTTACCCAGGGTCCCCCCTTGACCCATGGCTACAAGACATCTGGTGCATCCTGCAAAGTTTGCAGATCTCGGTGGGTTGAGTTCAAGGCCCTGTCTGACTCCTGGCTCTGTCCTCTGGAGCCCTAACAAAGTCTTTTTCCTCTTCTACACAGTCCTTTGAATATTTGGTCTGTCATGGAGTCACCTCCTCCTGTTCCCCCCATAGCTAACCCTTTCCAATCTCAACAATCTTAATTTCTTCCAGTGCTCCTCGCAAACTTAGGCTCTAAACCCATCAGCGATTCTTGTCACAATTTCACTGACAAAATCTACTTTATCCTTGTCTCACAGAGAGTGTTGTATCTTATGTAGAATATAGTATTCCATATACTTTCCAACTAACAGAGGACCATGGATTCCTTTCTATCACCTCAGCAGCATGTTTCCAACACTTCCACCTAAAATTACTTTAGAGTTTAGCAGCTCAACACACGACTGACTTGGAAACATCAGGAAACCTCTGTAATGATTACACCACCTTGTACTTTGCTCCCATTTCTGGTCTCTGGATTTTAATCCCTTTCCTTCCTTCTGAGATGGAACTGGAAGCTGAGAAGTGATTTGTTAACTGAAGTGCAGAGCTTCATAATCTCCTTTGGTTAAATTTCTACCTATTAGTGTCAGACTATATTCTGGTTCAGTAGTTCTCAAAATTTTGGGAGGAAAGTCCTCTCATGGTCACTGTTCCGAAAAAGGTAACATCAAAGATTTTAAAAAGATGAACCTTGGTAGTGTAGTTCTGTAACTTGATTGTAGTGGTTACAAGAGTCTACACGTGCTAAAATTGCAAATACACACATACACAAGTGCACGTAAAACTAGCAAAATCTGACAACTCTGAGGAATGCACCAATGTGAATGTATACAGGATGTTACCCAAGATATTATCACTGGGGGAAACTGGGTAGTGTGTCCAGGGAAACTTTCTGTGCATTAAAAAAAAAAAAAAAAAAATTCCTGTGAATCTGTAAAACAAAATTAAAAACAAAAAGGGACAAACTTTCCTACTAAAATCCAACAGCTAAGCATTCATACCACTGTAAACTAAAACCATAATTTTATTAGGCCTTTTAAGCGACAAGAAATAATTGAATACTAGGCAGGATTTAAAGCATCATTAAGCCCGGGGACTGGCCTCACATCCTACGGACACCCTACAACTGAGGTGCAGGCAACGACCTGCAGAACACTTACCTGCACAAGTAACTTGGCCCACGCAGCAGCTTTTTTCATTGTGATAAAGTACACATAATATTAAACTTGCCATTTTTGTGTGCAATTCAGAAGCATTAAGCACGTTCCTGATGTTAGGCAACCATCACCATCACCCATCTCCATCACCATCACCATCACCATCACCATCACCATCACCATCTCCATCACCATCACCATCTCCATCACCATCACCATCACCATCTCCATCACCATCACCATCACCATCACCATCTCCATCACCATCACCATCACCATCACCATCACCATCTCCATCATCACCATCACCATCACCATCACCATCTCCATCACCATCACCATCACCATCACCATCACCATCTCCATCACCATCACCATCACCATCACCATCTCCATCACCATCACCATCTCCATCACCATCTCCATCACCATCACCATCTCCATCACCATCACCATCACCATCTCCATCACCATCCCATCACCATCACCATCTCCATCACCATCACCATCACCATCTCCATCTCCATCACCATCACCATCTCCATCACCATCACCATCACCATCTCCATCACCATCACCATCACCATCACCATCTCCATCACCATCACCATCACCATCACCATCTCCATCACCATCACCATCACCATCTCCATCTCCATCTCCATCACCATCACCATCTCCATCACCATCACCATCTCCATCTCCATCACCATCACCATCTCCATCACCATCTCCATCTCCATCACCATCACCATCTCCATCACCATCACCATCTCCATCTCCATCACCATCTCCATCTCCATCACCATCACCATCTCCATCACCATCACCATCTCCATCACCATCACCATCTCCATCACCATCTCCCGAACTTTTTCGTCATCCCTAACAAAACCTCTGTGCCCATTAAACATGAACTCCCCATTCCTCCCTGTTCCCCAGTCCCTGGAAACTAGCATTCCACTTTCTGCCTTTAAGAACTTGCCTATTCTAGGTCCACACAGCATTTTTAAACTTCCTGAAGTTGCTAACATTTAACAGATCTCATGACCGCACATAAAATATAGATTTTAGGCTTTTATTGAAGAATTCTGACATCACCAGGCCCAAATTCCTCCAGGTGGCTGGAGGTGAAATGTGACTGTCCCCTTAGATGAGACACCTGCTCTCCAGGTTGCTGGTCTCTGCCCAGCTAGTAAATTGCACACACAAACCCCACATTCCAAGGTGGCATCTGCTTTTCCTAGGGACAGGTGGGAGGGGCTGGGCTCTGTGACATCCAGTAAGAGGTGACACCAACAGTGACAGGAAAGTGGAAGTCCAGGAGTGAGATGTTTCATTCTTTCTCCACCTCTGCAGAGCTGGGAGTGGAGTGTGACCCTGGCACTGCGCTTCACAGCAGCGCCACCTACAGCACGCTGTGGCTCAGCCTCGAAAGGGAGATTAAAGCCACAACAAAGCAATGGGGGCATTTTGTCCCTTGTCCCACCGATGAACTTCCCATTCCCCAGCACGAACACCAACCATGCAGCTATCTGCCGATGACACAGTATGGAAAGTGCCAAGCGCCCAGTAAGTGCCAATCATCTGACCTACAAAGAGACTTAGACTCCCACACATTAATAATGGGAGACTTTAACACCCCACTGTCAACATTAGACAGATCAACGAGACAGAAAGTTAACAAGGATACCCAGGAATTGAACTCAGCTCTGCACTAAGCGGACCTAATAGACATCTACAGAACTCTCCACCCCAAATCAACAGAATATACATTTTTTTCAGCACCGCACCACACCTATTCCAAAATTGACCACATAGTTGGAAGTAAAGCTCTCCTCAGCAAATGTAAAAGAACAGAAATTATAACAAACTATCTCTCAGACCACAGTGCAATCAAACTAGAACTCAGAACTAAGAAACTCACTCAAAACTGCTCAACTACATGGAAACTGAACAACCTGCTCCGGAATGACTACTGGGTACATAACGAAATGAAGGCAGAAATAAAGATGTTCTTTGAAACCAACGAGAACAGAGACACAACATACCAGAATCTCTGGGACACATTCAAAGCAGTGTGTAGAGGGAAATTTATAGCACTAAATGCCCACAAGAGAAAGCAGGAAAGATCCAAAATTGACACCCTAACATCACAATTAAAAGAACTAGAAAAGCAAGAGCAAACACATTCAAAAGCTAGCAGAAGGCAAGAAATAACTAAAATCAGAGCAGAACTGAAGGAAATAGAGACACAAAAAACCCTTCAAAAAATTAATGAATCCAGGAGCTGGTTTTTTGAAAGGATCAACAAAATTTATAGACCGCTAGCAAGACTAATAAAGAAAAAGAGAAGAATCAAATAGACGCAATAAAAAATGATAAAGGGGATATCACCACCAATCCCACAGAAATACAAACTACCATCAGAGATTACTACAAACACCTCTACGCAAATAAACTAGAAAATCTAGAAGAAATGGATAAATTCCTTGACACATACACTCTCCCAAGACTAAACCAGGAAGAAGTTGAATCTCTGAATAGACCAATAACAGGAGCTGAAATTGTGGCAATAATCAATAGCTTACCAACCAAAAAGAGTCCAGGACCAGATGGATTCACAGCCGAATTCTACCAGAGGTACAAAGAGGAACTGGTACCATTCCTTCTGAAACTATTCCAATCAATAGAAAAAGAGGGAATCCTCCCTAACTCATTTTATGAAGCCAGCATCATCCTGATACCAAAGCTGGGCAGAGACACAACCAAAAAAGAGAATTTTAGACCAATATCCTTGATGAACATTGATGCAAAATTCCTCAATAAAATACTGGCAAACCGAATCCAGCAGCACATCAAAAAGCTTATCCACCATGATCATGTGGGCTTCATCCCTGGGATGCAAGGCTGGTTCAATATACACAAATCAATAAATGTAATCCAGCATATAAACAGATCCAAAGACAAAAACCACATGATTATCTCAATAGATGCAGAAAAGGCCTTTGACAAAATTCAACAACACATCATGCTAAAAACTCTCAATAAATTAGGTATTGATGGGACATATTTCAAAATAATAAGAGCTATCTATGACAAACCCACAGCCAATATCATACTGAATGGGCAAAAACTGGAAGCATTCCCTTTGAAAACTGGCACAAGACAGGGATGCCCTCTCTCACCACTCCTATTCAACATAGTGTTGGAAGTTCTGGCCAGGGCAATTAGGCAGGAGAAGGAAATAAAGGGTATTCAATTAGGAAAAGAGGAAGTCAAATTGTCCCTGTTTGCAGACGACATGATTGTATATCTAGAAAACCCCATTGTCTCAGCCCAAAATCTCCTTAAGCTGATAAGCAACTTCAGCAAAGTCTCAGGATATAAAATCAATCTGCAAAAATCACAAGCATTCTTATACACCAATAACAGACAAACAGAGAGCCAAATCATGAGTGAACTTCCACTCACAATTGCTTCAAAGAGAATAAAATACCTAGGAATCCACCTTAAAAGGGATGTGAAGGACCTCTTCAAGGAGAACTACAAACCACTGCTCAATGAAATAAAAGAGGATACAAAGAAATGGAAGACCATTCCATGCTCATGGGTAGGAAGAATCAATATCGTGAAAATGGCCATACTGCCCAAGGTAATTTATAGATTCAATGCCATCCCCATCAAGCTACCAATGACTTTCTTCACAGAATTGGAAAAAACTACTTTAAAGTTCATATGGAACCAAAAAAGAGCCCACATCGCCAAGTCAATCCTAAGCCAAAAGAACAAAGCTGGAGACATCACACTACCTGACTTCAAACTATACTACAAGGCTACAGTAACCAAAACAGTATGGTACTGGTACCAAAACAGACATATAGATCAATGGAACAGAACAGAGCCCTCAGAAATAACACCGCATATCTACAACTATCTGATCTTTGACAAACCTGAGAAAAACAAGCAATGGGGAAAGGATTCCCTATTTAATAAATGGTGCTGGGAAAACTGGCTAGCCATATGTAAAAAGCTGAAACTGGATCCCTTCCTTACACCTTATACAAAAATCAATTCAAGATGGATTAAAGACTTAAACGTTAGACCTAAAACCATAAAAACCCTAGAAGAAAACCTAGGCATTACCATTCAGGACATAGGCATGGGCAAGGACTTCATGTCTAAAACACCAAAAGCAATGGCAACAAAAGACAAAATTGACAAATGGGATCTAATTAAACTAAAGAGCTTCTGCACAGCAAAAGAAACTACCATCAGAGTGAACAGGCAACCCACAAAATGGGAGAAAATTTTTGCAACCTACTCATCTGACAAAGAGCTAATATCCAGAATCTACAATGAACTCAAACAAATTTATAAGAAAAAAACAAACAACCCCATCAAAAAGTGGGCGAAGGACATGAACAGACACTTCTCAAAAGAAGACATTTATGCAGCCAAAAAACACATGAAAAAATGCTCACCATCACTGGCCATCAGAGAAATGCAAATCAAAACCACAATGAGACACCATCTCACACCAGTTAGAATGGCAATCATTAAAAAGTCAGGAAACAACAGGTGCTGGAGAGGATGTGGAGAAATAGGAACACTTTTATACTGTTGGTGGGACTGTAAACTAGTTCAACCATTGTGGAAGTCAGTGTGGCGATTCCTCAGGGATCTAGAACTAGAAATACCATTTGACCCAGCCCTCCCATTACTGGGTATATACCCAAAGGACTATTAAATCATGCTGCTATAAAGACACATGCACACGTATGTTTATTGTGGCACTATTCACAATAGCAAAGACTTGGAACCAACCCAAATGTCCAACAATGATAGACTGGATTAAGAAAATGTGGCACATATACACCATGGAATACTATGCAGCCATAAAAAATGATGAGTTCATGTCCTTTGTAGGGACGTGGATGAAATTGGAAATCATCATTCTCAGTAAACTATCGCAAGAACAAAAAACCAAACACTGCATATTCTCACTCATAGGTGGGAATTGAACAACGAGAACATATGGACACAGGAAGGGGAACATCACACTCTGGGGACTGTTGTGGGGTGGGAGGAGGGGGGAGGGATAGCATTGGGAGATATACCTGATGCTAGATCATGAGTTAGTGGGTGCAGCGCACCAGCATGGCACATGTATACATATGTAACTAACCTGCACATTGTGCACATGTACCCTAAAACTTAAAGTATAATAATTAAAAAAAAAAAAAAAAAAGAGTGTGAAACGGCCTTCATGAGGCTTAATTGTGGCTTAACCTGGCACCACCCCTCACAAGGTCAAAGCTATACATCAGCTCCTGTGACATTGACTCATCCCCCAGACCTTATCTAAAACAACGGAGCAAACACATGCTAGGAAGGGCACCCGGGAAATGGAAGGCATTGTTCTATCTCCTCACCTGATTCCATATCTCTGTATTCTGCCCCAAAATGCCTCCACTGGAAGCCATAAACTGGGCCCAAGTCCCCTTCTTCTCTGGTGGAGAATCCCAGGCTGTCCAAAAAGTCTCGGGATCCATTGGCATCCCAGATTTTCACTCCCTTGGAAGACAGCTCTTTAGCATTTGTGGATCCCTGGAAGAGATGGGGAGAGCAGAGCAGGCATCCAGGTAAATCCTAAGCCATCTCAGTTGATCCCCCCGAGACACCACTTACAAGGGCCTCTGGCCCCTGCTGACTTGCTAGGAGGTGGGCACTTGACACCACCCATATGGAACCCATCCTTTTTTTTGTTTTTTGAGAGTTTCGCTCTTGTTGCCCAGGCTGGAGTGCAATGGCGCGATCGTGGCTCACGGCACCCTCCACCTCCCAGGTTCAAGCGATTCCCCTGCCTCAGCCTCCCGAGTAGCTGGGATTACAGGCATGCGCCACTACACCCAGCTAATTTTGTATTTTTAGTAGAGACAGTGTTTCTCCATGTTGGTCAGGCTGGCCTCGAACTCCTGACCTCAGGTGATCCGCCCACTTCGGCCTCCCGAAGTGCTGGGATTACAGGCGTGAGCCACCACACCCAGCTGCCCATCCTATCTTTAAGTAGGCTGGTCCCAGCCCAGATTCCTGAGGGCTTTAGGACAGTCTGATCCCTTCTTTGGAACCACCCTCCCAGATCTTTTCTTCCATTCCCCTCAACTAAGCTTTTTAGGCTAAACACCTCCAAGTGCTTTTAAGTATTCCACCGATCTGACAGTTTTATGTTTCTTAATGAAATGTGTTGTCTATATGTAATACCCCAAAATGAATTTAATGCCTACATGCAATCTGTTCAATGTATCTTCTACCTGGCATACAGGATATTCCTAATGATCAGACTAATCAGTATTTTACAGTGCAGGTGCCTCAACTCCTGTATTTGATCGAGTCACCAATGGAGTAACTCCAACTATCAAGGTGAGTCTGACATTCCTGGCAAGGATTCCTTAGAATCCTGAATTGAAGCATTAAGTTGAAACAGGGGAATGCATTTTATTTCTGAGTATCTTGCTTCCTCCCTTTCTATTGTTGAGTTTGTCCCGATTTTCTTTGATTGAGAAAGAATCAAAGAAATTTCCAACAAATCAAAGAAATTTCTCCAATTGAGAAATTTCCAACAAATCATTTCTCAATCTTTTACATATTGCTTCAAAAGTCTCTCCTTTTCATCCATTCAGACCAGGCTCTAGCCAGTTTAAGAATGTTGTCTTCTGAGGTTTCTGATGATATGTTTCAAATCCAAGGTTCATTGTTAGTCAAGATAGGCCAATACAGAACAAAATACCCCAAGAATACAGAGCTAAGGCAGACCTGGGGCTGGATCCAAATTGAAGCCCTTTCTAAAATGGGATAAGAGGGCTTGGGTCTGGCTTGCCCCAAGACCATACAAGCCATACCAAGTGCTCTATAGAAGGGATCCCAGCTTCTAGTATGGCCCAGACCTGAGCCCAGACCTCAGCCACCTTCCAAAAAGCACTGGTCAGAAAGAACATCGCTGGTTCTAGACCAGGACACGGAACACAGAGAAGCTTGGTCTGGGCTGCTGCCTGTCTTCACAGCACTCTGGCCCCGGCCTGAGGTACCTACTCAGCCCTCTGGAAGGGGTTCACCTTGTTACTGAAGAGACTCTTCTAGAATTTATATGAACATGGGAACACAGGTGGTATCTACATTTAGTGATCAATATATGTTGACTCCTACTATGTGGCAGGCTGTGTTTGAGGCCCTGGCGATACAACAGTGAACACGAGAAACAAATCCTCTGCCCTCATAAAGCTTACAGCACATTTCACTTTTACTACCTGCTGTCCCCCTTCTAACAGGGGAAGGGAAAGGCTGACATACATCAGATGGTGATGTTCGTCTATGGAGAAACACCAAGGAGGTTGGGGGAGAGTCACAGTTTTAAATCAGGAGGTCTAGGAAGGCTTGCCCGAGTGGAGTAGAGACTCAAAGGAAGAAGCCAAGTGTGGGGGAAGAAGGTTCCAGGGAGTGGGGATGTCCCGGTGTGCTCAAAAACTCACAAGAACAGCAGGGCTGGTGCAGAGAGCAGCAGCTAAGGTCAGAGCTGAAAAACGGACACCATAAGGACCGTGGCTCTTACTGAGTGAAATGGAGCCACTAAGGGCTTGAGGGTGAGGAATGATATGCTTTGACCTTTGGTGGTGTCTTTTTTTGTTTTTGACATGGGTTCTCCCTCTGTCGCCCAGGCTGGAGTACAGTGCCACGATCTCAGCTCACTACAACCTCCGCCTCGTGAGCAATTCTCATGCCTCAGCCTCCTGAGTAGCTAGGATTACAGACATGCACCAGCACACCTGGCTAATTTTTTGTGTTATTAGTAGAGACTGGGGTGTCGCCATGTTGGCCAGGCTGGTCTCA
Source organism: Homo sapiens (assembly GCF_000001405.40). NCBI lineage: Eukaryota > Metazoa > Chordata > Mammalia > Primates > Hominidae > Homo > Homo sapiens. The sequence continues at coordinate 659,868 of NC_000018.10, read as the reverse complement.
AATTCCTAACCTCAGGTGATCTGACTCAGCCTCCCAAAGTGGTGGGATTACAGGCGTGAGCCACCACACCTGGCTGCTTTGAGTTTTGAAAGGATCTCACTGGCTGCTGTGTTGAGAACAGACTACTGACTTCTAATAGCAGCGACTTCTTTACCTTGATAAACCACAGCAACTCCTCCAAAACACCCTTCCAGAACACACGTTTGGTTGTCAGCAGAGGGAATTCATCTGAAAAACAATTTGCCATACGGTTTCAAGATGGGAAGACAGATCATGCCATCCAACTTTCTTCAGGGAAGAAAACTGCCCTGGGACGTGAGGCCCTGGAGCATCCAGAAAGCCTAGACTCCCGCAAAGTGGGCCAGAGATCACGGTGGAGCTCCCAGGCTGCAAGTCCCATCAGTGGCCCGATTCAGGCTGAGACAGCACTTCTGTGCCCCGGTGACCAGTGGACACAGGAATTCCACACAGTGAGATGGTGGCGAGGGCAGGGATGAACATGTGGCAAAAGGGAGGAGCTATCATCCACTGCCCACTAGTGCTAATCCTGTCACAAAGGTGTGAAGACAACACCAAGCATGTGTCCCAGGAACAAAAAGGGAGGCATCAGAAGTGTCGAGCCACAGAGAAATGAAAGTGTAAAAACTTATCTTTAAATGCAGTCCTCGTTCATCCGCACTCGCTTGTGGTACAGTTTATATTCAGACAACAGAGAGATTTTTGCAAGCACCTGCTTTTATCAGAATTGCCTACTAAGCATTATTTTCTCCATTTTTAACATATAGGGAAGCTATATGAGAAGTAACTTGCTCAATGTCTAAGCAGAAAGGTGGGTTAAAAATGAGGTCTATGGCTCATCAAAGGCCCCTGGGCTTGGAGCTGCAGAAAAGTGGATCCCTCTCCTCAGACAAAACTCCCCACGCTGTCCCACGCCAATCAGCCACAGCAGCTGCTATGTATTCGTCTCTAGATGGGTCCGTGGGCCGGAGGGCTTTTCCGCTAGCTACAGTGAATCTGCTTCACCACGAATGGGTTTCCCCATTCAAAACCACCTCCACCCCTGTGTCAAGGCTGCGCTCCATTTATCTGAGCGGTCAAGGTCAGCCCCTGGCTCACACACCTTCGAGTCCCCTCCCCCGCGCAGCTGGCGCAGGATCCAGGACGGCAGGACGGTGTGGCCTTAGGGAGGGCCAACGGCTGCCTAACGTCCTGTGCCCACCCCGCCCCGCCCCACTGTCCCCTGAAAGCCTGGCGCCAATGACCCGCGAGACATTTTTTGCCTGGGGTGCTCCTGTCGGAAAGGAAAGAGGAAAGGACGACTAAGAACTTATACTCGAACTCCCGAATTTCTCTTTTCAAGGTTTAAGAGGAAAGCTGGTTCGTGGGGATTGGATGGGAGGCCACCAGGAAACCAAGTTCCCGCGCCAGCTTCAGTGCTCTCCTCTTCCCGCCGCCTTTGCCCCGCCCACATCACTTTCGCTCCAGTTTTTGAAAACGCTGCGAAGCGGAATGGTCCACAGGGGAAAACGGAGGAGGGGCCAAAGCCAGGACTTTGAGACCGGCGCGCGGTCAAGCCCAGGCAGCTCTCCCTAACCCTCCAGCACTGGGCAAACGCTGCCCGATGACGCCCGCCTCGGGGGCCACGGCATCACTGGGGCGACTGCGAGCCCGGCCGCGGAGCCGCTGGGACGCGGCTTACCTCCCGGCTGTCGCTGCTGTGTGTGTTGCCCGCGCCAGTCACGTCCCTAATGGGACCCTCCGTTTCGGCGTCTGTAAGGCGAGGAGGACGATGCGTCCCCTCCCTCGCAGGATTGAGGTTAGGACTAAACGGGGTCCGCAGCGCCCGGCAGCTCCCGAGCGCTCTCCCCAGCCGCGCCTCCCTCCTTCCCGCCACCCGTCCCGCAGGGGCCCGCGGCGTCACCTCTCAGGCTGTAGCGCGCCTGCATGCCGAATACCGACAGGGTGCCGGTGCCCGTGCGGTCGTCCTTCCTGACGCCGCAGCGGAGGATGTGTTGGATCTGCCCCAGGTACTGCAGCTCCCCGTGCGGCGGACGCGGCTCGGCGTCCCGCTCCTGTGCGGCGGGGGGCAAGGGCCGGCGCGGCAGCTCCGAGCCGGCCACAGGCATGGCGCGGCGGGCGGGGGACGGAGGCAGGCGAAGTGGCGCGGCGGGACGGAGGCAGGCCAAGTGGCGCGGCGGGACGGAGGCAGGCCAAGTGGCGCGGTGGCAGGACCCCTTCCGCGCGCCTTTTCCCGCGGCCGTCCCGCGCTCCGCCTCTTCCTGCTCGGCGGGGTCGCGGCGGCCCCCGCTCTAGAGAGCGTGCGCCAGGGGGAAACGCAGGAGCCACGGGTGTGGCACAGAACGGAGCCCAGGGCCACAGCTGAGAGTCTTAGGAAACCCGGGAACCTGGATGCAGGTGCGGTGGCTGGGAAGGACTGCGCCCTTTGGGAACCGTCTGGTCGACCGCGCCTTCTCTAAGCCAGCAGCACAGTTCCCACGTTTTCCTGCGGTCTTGTCAACAAAACTGCTGTTTGAGATCTGTTTCCTACAACTAATAAGGGATTTGCATTTCCATTTCTTCGTTCTCACTGAAGCAACCGAAGCAAGTGGTATAATGCAGCTTTTCTACTTGATTAAAAACCGCCAGGGCGCTGGACGCGGTGGCTCACGCCTGTAATCCTAGTACTTTGGGGGGCCGAGGCGGGTGGATCACCTGAGGTCAGGAGTTCAAGACCAGCCTGGACAACATGGTGAAACCCCCGTCTCTACTAAAAGTACAAAAATTAGCTGGGCGTGGTGGCTACTTGGGAGGCTGAGGCAGAAGAATTGCTTGAACCTGGGAGGCAGAGGTTGCAGTGAGCCAAGATCCGACCATTGTACTCCAGCCTGGGCGACAGAGCAAGACTGTCCCAAAAAAAAAAAAAAAAAAAAAAAAAAGACCGCCAGGGCTTTTCCGAGGTTTTTTGTTTGAGCCCTGGCGGTCTTTTTTTTTTTTTTTTGAGACAGAGTCTCGCTCTCTCACCCAGGCTGGAGTGCAATGGTGCGATCTCGGCTCACTGCAACCTCCGCCTCCTGGGTTCAAGCAATTCTGCTGCCTCAGCCTCTCGCGTAGCTGGGACTACAGGCGCCGCCACCACGCCCGGCTAATTTTTTTTTTTCATGTTTAGTAGAGACGGGGTTTCGCCATGTTAGCCAGGCTGGTCTCAAACTCCTGACCTCAGGTGATCCACCCACATTGGCCTCCCAAAGTGCTGGGATTACAGGCGTGAGCCACCGCACTCGGCCCCAAGTTTTTAATAGACCACATTTCCCAGTTTTACTGAATTGTTTATAACATTAACACTGGGGAGTGGGAACTGTTGATGAAAAGAGTTAAACTCTGTAAAATATCTGAAGAAATTTATTCTGAGCCAAATATGAGTGACCAATGGCCGGTGATAGAGCCCTCAGCAGATCCTGAGAACATGTCCCCAAGGTGGTTGGGCTACAACTTGATTTTTTATACATTTGGTTGAAAGAATTGTTATCTAAAGATCTGGAATCAATAGAGGGCTGGGCGCGGTGGCTCACGCCTGTAATCCCAGCACTTGGGAGGTCGAGGCGGGCAGATCACGAGGTCAGGAGATTGAGACCATCCTGGCCAACATAGTGAAACCCTCTCTACTGAAAATACAAAAATTAGTGGGGCGAGGTGGCACACGCCTGTAACCCCAGGTACTCAGGAGGCTGAGGTAGGAGAATCGCTTGAACCCAGGAGGCGGAGGTTGCTTGCAGTAGCTGAGAAAGCGCCACTGCACTCCAGTCTGGGTGACAGAGCCGTATGGGGAAAAAAAAAAAAAAGATTTGAATGAATAGAAAGGAATATCTGGGTTAAGATAAGGGGTTGTGGAGACCATGGATTCATCATGCAGATTAAACCTCCAGGTAGCAGGCTTTAGAGAGATAGATTGTAAATGTTTCTTGTCAGACTTAAAGAGTGTGTTCTACCTGTCTTGAGGCCTGTGTTGATGTCAATGCTGGTCAGCTGTGCCTAAATTCCAAACGGAGGAGGGAATAATGAGGCATGTCTGGCTCCCCTTCCCATCATGGCCTGAACTAGTTTTTGTGGTTAAATTTGGAATGCCTTTGACCCAGAGGAGTGGTCTTTTCAGATGGTTCTGGGCGTAGAATTTTATTTTTGGTTTACAGAACGATTTTATAATGAGTTTAAAATGCACTGATACATGTGTTGTACTTGCAAGCATCCTTTTACCTCAACGGTTGATTGAGTACAGAGGTGCTCTCAGCATTTTGGGTGGGACTTTTCTTAGCTGGACCGGTTTGTTCTGCACATTGCAGGGCTTTAGCAGGACTGTGGAAAGCCAACCATATGTTGGCATTCCCCCACCCCACACCAGCTGAAAACTGTCCCTACACGTTTCCCTACACGTTTCCGAGCACGAGGAAGATCCCAGGCTGAAAATATTCCAGATTATCCAGATGCACGTTATCTGTGTTTAATTTCCTTGTGTTATTCTTTTTCCTTTTTTTTTTTTTTTTTTTTTTTTGAGGTGGAATCTTGCTCTGTCCCTCAGGCTGCAGTGCAGTGGTGCTCAGCTCACTGCAAACTCCGCTGCATGGGTTCAAGCAATTCTGCCTCAGCCTCCCAAGTAGCTGGAACTATAGGCGCCTGCCACCATGCCCAGCTAATTTTTTTTTCTTTTTTTTTTTTTTTGCATTTTTAGGAGAGACAGGGTTTCACCATGTTGGTCAGGCTTGTCTCAGACTTCTGATCTGAAGTGATCTGCCCACCTCGGCCTCCCAAAGTGCTGGGATTAAAGGCGTGAGCCACCATGCCCAGCCTTACTTGTGTTATTTTTTAAAAACCTGATACATAATAATTGTGAGGTAGACAGGGCTTGACTCTGGAGGCAGGGCTCTGACATGGGACCAAATTGAGGAGTAGTCAAAACAAGGATGGGGCAGAAGTAGTTTTCCATAAGACGTGCCCACCAGTGTGCCATGTCAGTTTACGATTGTCATGGCAACATCCAGAGCTTACTGCCCCTTTCCATGGCAGTGAGCCGACAACCGGAAGTTACCACCCTTTTTCTAGACATTTCTGCATAATCTGCCCCTTAATTTGCATGTAATTGAAAGTAGGTTATAAATATCACTGCAGACCTGCCTTTAAGCTACTGCTGTCAGCACACTGCCTATAGGGTAGCTCTGCTCTACAGGGGCACTCAGGGAGCTGTTGCCATATCAGTAGAGCTTTTCTTCTACCAGGTAGCTCTTAAATTCTTTCCTGAGCAAAACCAAGAACCCTCCTGAGCTAAGCCCAATTCTGGGCTCACCTGCCCTGCATCAGTTGCACATCCTTGTGTGTTTTTTTTCTTTCTTTCTTTTTTTCTTTTCGACGGAGTCTCGCTCTGTCACCCAGGCTGGAGTGCAGTGGCAGAATCTCAGCTCACTGCAACCTCTGCCTCCCAGGCTCAAGCAATTCTCCTGCCTCAGCCTCCCGAGTAACTGGGATTACAGGCACCCATCACCATGCCCAGCTAGTTTTTGTATTTTTAGTAGAGATGGAGGTTCACCATGTTAGCCAGGCTGGTCTCGAACTCCTCACCTGAAGTAATCTGCCTGCCTCGAGCCTCCCAAAGTGCTGGGATACAGGCGTGAGCCACTGCACCCGGCCCCTTGTGTTATTTTGAGGCTGGTTTATTTGTTTCACCCAAATACCAGCTAAATCACATCTCAAGACTAGGCTCCTCTGCCCACATGGAGCTTCCACTTCTGCTGCCTTCCTTGAGTATCTTGGCTTGATAGTAAAGACAGAATGGTTCTTTTCAAAGTAGTTACTCCATAAATGTTGGTTAGAATGAATGGTTCTCTCAGACAAATTTCATTCATTCATTCATTAACACACATTTATATCATGGTGCCTTCCTCATGTCTACAAACAGCAAGACAGACAAGGCCCTTTTCTTCATAGAACTGATATTCTGGCAGTGACAAACACTACAAAAGTAACCAAACAAGACATCTGCAGATAGTGACAAGTGTGATGATAGTAAATTAATGGGTATAGCACTAAACAGTGATTGTGTAGAGGGTGCTTTAGATCTGATCACCAGGAGGCCTCATTGAGGAAGTCACATTTGAGCTGAGACCTGAATACTGGGAAGAAACCAGCAGGGGAAGATCTGGGGAAAGAACATTCCAATCAGCAGGTGCATTTATACCAGTAGGTGCCACAGTGCTTGCATCTATAAAAACATCCCCCAATAGGGACGGTCATGATGCTTAATCCTGTCTTGTTCTAGGAAGAAATAATAATTATTAGTGGATACGTTAACTTATTGGAGTATAAAAAGCTCTTCCTTCTCATTAAGAGATATATTTGTTTAAAATTTTACTTTTATATGTTTAGTAGTCATAGAAATTTGTAGTATATTTATGTTATTTTGATCAATTATGTACAAAAAATAATTATAATGATCACCCAATCTAGAATAAATATTTCATACCTAGAATTTGATGTCACAGGATGTTCTTAATTTTTAAAATTTAAAAATGATCAAAATTGTGTTGATCAACAAAAGATATTTAAGCATAAAAATATACTACATTAGGATAAAATTCTTAGGAATGTAGATTGAAATAAGAGTTTAGGGAGAAAATGTAATGAGATAAAATTTCTCATTGTTAAAGAAAAACTTGTATATTTGTTTAAATGGATGATGCTGGGTCAAATTGCGATGATATTTAGATTCCATTTGGTACATTTTAAAGAGGGATGACCTGCTAATCTTTACGATGCGTGGGAAAATAACAATTTGCTATTCTTTCAACTTATATAGAAAAATGACATGCAAGTATGTTGCAACTTTTTCAGTTTCCTTTGAGGAAGTATGAGAGCAAAAATATTTGAAAATTATTGGTCTAGAAAAACCTTCCCTTTACAAATTCAAACATGTAGGTAAACTTAGGTAAAGGAAAGCAGAAAATTAACGTTTTTGAGAGTCAATTATGAATCAGTTACTTGATAATATTATTTTTTATTGTTGCTACTACCATCTATCAATGAGTATCATGAGCCACACATTATGGATTAATGTAGTTCTCACAACTACTCTATAAAACACAAACTTTTACAGTAGTTTCCCCTTATCCACGGGGGATATGTTCCAAGACCCCCAGGGGATGTCTGAAACTGCAGATAGTACTGAACCTTATACATACCATGTTTTTTTCCTATACCTACATACCTATGATAAAGTTGAATTCATAAATTAGTCACAGGTAGAGATGAACAACAATAACTAATAATAAAATAGAACAATTATAACAGTATGCCGGCATCCCTATCTTGTGCTTTGGGGCCATAATTAAGTAAAGTAAGGGTTCCTTGAACACAGAAAGGGTTCCTAAGAGAACAATTTGGGGAATGTAGTCATCGTGGAGCCACTGGACAAAGGGAGCATTCACCTCCGGAGAGGAAGGGGTCAGGGACAGCATGAGATTTAATGGCATGCAATTGAAAACTTACTATGTATTTCTGGAATTTTCCACATAATATTTTAAAACCGCAGTTGATCTCGGGTAACTGAAAGCTTGGAAAGCAAAACCACAGATTAGTGGGGCACTAGTGTACTTTAATTACCTTATAGATGACACTGAGATTAAGGATCTTGGCCAAAGTGACACATCTGGAGAATATAGTAGCCAGGATGAAAATCCAGTTCAGCCTGCATGCAAAATCTTCTTTCCATTTAGCTGTTTTGAGCCTCACTTCCCCCACTCTCTTTCCACTCTATAAGCTTTTGATAGCTCATTGGATAGAAAATAGGTTCTCTTAATCACTTATTTTTTTGTCACCTTCACTAACAAATATTTAAAATCTATGGTTGAATAGACTGTATTTGAGATTTATTGCACACCGAAGAACCCAGGATTCTATTAGTTCCCTGCCAGGAGCAGTGGCTCATGCCTGTAATTACAGCACTTTTGGAGGCTGAGGCGGGCAGATTGCTTGAGCCTGGGAGTTTGAGACCAGCCTGGACAACATGGAGAAACCCCATCTCTACTAAAAAAATACAAAAATAGACGGGCATGGTAGTACCTGTAGTCCCAGCTACTCAGGAGGCTGAGGTGGGAGGATCACCTGAGCCAAGGAGGTCAGGCTTCAGTGAGCCCAGATCATGCCACTGCACTCCAGCCTGGGCAATAGAGTAAGACCCTGTCTCAAAAAAAAAATAACATAATTCTCATTTTTTATAGCCTTCAGTTATGATTTAGAAAAGGTTTATCTTCATTTGGAGTTAATTATATTCAATTGGCTGCCTCTGAACTCTAACTTTCTCTGACAAGCCTTTCTGTCAGATAGATCAAGACTGGGTGAAAAGTTCTTTAAAAGTTCAGAGTTCTCTCTCTTTCATTACGTTTCTTTTATATATTTATTTATTTATTTATTTATTAAAAAAGAGTCTCGCTCTGTTGCCCAGGCTGGAGTACAGTGGCACAATCTTGGCTCAGTGCAACCTCTGCCTCCCAGGTTCAAGCAATTCTCCCATCTCAGCCTCCTGAGTAGCTGGGATTACAGGCATGCGCCACCACACCTGGCCAATTTTTGTATTTTTAGTAGATACAGGTTTTCACCATGTTGGCCAGGCTGGTTTCGAACTCCTGTCCTCAGGTAATCCACCCACCTTGGCCTCCCAAAGTGCTGGGATTACAGGTGTGAGGCACCGTGCCTGGCCTACATTTCTTTTTATAATTTGTAATACTGACTGTATATACTCTCATTGTAATCCTTAGTGATATATACTGACACATAGCTCTCCTATTATTGTGTTGCACCAAGGTCCAAATTATGAGGTTGAGCGTCAGCCAGGAAAATCTTGTGTTTTCCATAAAATACGTATGTCAAAAGACAGCGCTGTTGTGCCAATTTTAAAAAGTAACTATGTAGCACACCCACGTTCAAAACAGCATTATTCACAATAGCCAAAAGATGGAAGCAACCCAAGTGTCCATCAATGGCTGAATGGATAAGCAAAACTAGGTAAATACATGCAAGAATATTAGCCTAAAAAAGGAAGTTCTGAGACATGCAACAACATGGATGAACCTTGAAAACATGGCACTAAGTGAAATAAACCAGTCACAAAAGGACACTGTGATTGCACCACTGCACTCCAGCCTGGGCGACAGAGTGAGACCCTGTCTTAGAAAACAAAAAACAAAACAAAACAAAGCAAAAGACAAATACTGTATGATTCCACCTACATGCAGTACCTAGAGTAGTCAAATTCATAGAAAGTACAGTCGTGGTTGCTACGGGCTGGGGGATGGGGAAAAGGGAAGTGAGTGCTTAACGAGTACAGAGTTTCAGTTTAGGAAGATAAAAAGGTTCTGAAGATGGACGGTGGTGATGGTTGCACAGCAACGTGAGTGTACTTAATGCCACAAATTGTGCACTTTAAAATGGTTAAAATGGTAAATTAATGCCATGTGTATTTTACCACAATTTAAAAAAAGACTATACAGAACCTATTGGTCTTTACAAAACAAAGCAATGAATCTTAGATTTTTTTCCAAAAAAGTCAATTATATATATTTTAAGTGCAAAAGCAAACTAAAGGAAGAACATTTTGTTAATTAGGAAGTGACATGTTTGTAGATGTGATAGAACATAGACACCTAGGTGATTTAGTATTTATTCAATATACAAAGAACTACTAATGTACCATGAAATGTAATACATATTACGTTTGATTTTTTAAGGAGGAATTTTCATTTTAACTCAATTTGAGTATTAATAGCTAAGCCATTCAACATAAGTAAACTAAGAGTACTTCATAGTATATAGCTAACATACTTTCCTGCAACTGTGTTTATTGCATTATCCTTTTTTATTTCAGGATTTCCAGGTCCCAGATGAAGAGATAATTCTACTTACTGGATATAGGATGCATTAGATCTTCTTACCTTAAAAAAAAAAAAAAAGGCAGCAATGATCAAAATACTAATAAATTACTCACAGACTCAGTGTATTTTTTCTTGGAGTAAAAGTCCAGGATGGGTAATAGAATACCTGCTGTTGGCTTTTGGAAAAATTGGTACTGTATGTAGCAAAATAATGTGAAACCCATATGCATGGATATTCTTAACAATTTGAAGAAATCGTCACAGCTTTCCTGGGTTGTTGAGCCTCTAAGATGGTCTTTTCCTCTGATGTGATAATAAAGTGTTTATTCTGAACTCTACATGCACGTAGTGTTTGGTCAGTAAACTTCTGTTACTCATGACTCATTACATTAGTCAACAAATTTTGTATATTTGCCTTTCACGATGATGATGATGGTAAGAGCCCATCTACAAAAGCTTATTAAAGACTCAGGATGTGCAAGATATTGTGTTACAGCCTGTGACTGTAGATCCCAGGGCCGGCAGCTATGAAACTTGGGGATGGGAAATAAAACACATTGCAAACCAATCAGGAACGTCCAGGCACTTAGGATGCTAGATAACTAGAAGAAAGTTCCAGAAGAGGGTTCTAAATATATATTTCACCTTATAAAATTGGAATTCATGTTTCAGTGAGCTGTATACCTGCAGCTAGGGCACCTAGCAAATGTTTACGTGATTGAAAATGCCAGGGTGATTCTTTTCTACCATCTTTTCCTGGTTTTTCCCTTAGTATCTTTCTCTTTAAACTTTGGCAGGTTTGGGACCCTGAATGCATTGATATAATCAGAAAATTGACAAAATTTTATCCATGATACCAAGTAAGGTGCACAAAAAAGAAATTCAGTCAGTAAACAAACTTGGAAAATGTTTATTCTCATGAATAATAAAAAACCATAAAAATTATAACAATAAGATAAAAATTTTCATTTATTACTGAAGATTTTAAAAATTGAAATGCCAGGCCAGGCAGTGGCTCATGCCTGTAATACCAGCCCTTGGGGAGGCTGAGGTGGAAGGATCACTTGAGGCCAGGAGTTTGAGACCAGCCCGGCCAACATGGTAAAAACACATCTCTACTAAAAAATACAAAAATTAGCCAAGTGTGGTGGTGCACACCTGTAATCCCAGCTACTTGGGAGGCTGAGGCATGAGAGTCGCTTGAACCTGGGAGGTGGAGGTTGCCGTGAGCCGAGATCATGCCACTGCAATCCTGCCTGGGCAACAGAGAGAGACTGTCTCAAAAAATTGAAATGCCAGTTAGCATTTGAGAAAGTGGTACTGCAGACATTGCTGTTATTAAATTTAGCTATATATAGCTATATATATATATATATCCAGAACAATAAGATGTTAATAACCTCTAAACAAGTAATTCTATTTCTTGGAATCTAAGAAAATAGGTAGAAAATGTGAATAAGGAAAACAAATGATAATAGTGGTTGTGTTAAGATGGTGGGATTATGGATAATTTTTGTCGTCTAAATGTTTGGTAGTTGTGATTTTGTTACTTTTAGAATTTTAAAACTACATAAAAAAGAAAAACATTAACATTGCCTGTGAAAAATCACTTCGTGTGCCTTGTTAGTAAATAATTTGCTTGATCTCCCAATTACTCAGTATCTTAATTCCCATTGCCATTGGAAGTCCCAACAACTGGGAAGAGATAGATGACTTTATGGGAAATACTTTGATTTGGCTACAAATGCATAGTCAGTACCCACTGGGGCACCAGCATGAGGCTTCCTTTCTCTAAAACCTATCGTGTCTCACCAGCGCTGTAGAGTGAACCTCAGACTCCACAGCCCAGCACTCAGAGCCCTGACCTCTTCCCACCTTTGCCTTCCACCTTCGCCTACTGTTACTCTTGTTGTAGTCTACTGATATTCATTTACACGTGTTTATTAATTAATTTATTCAACAAATATTGAGGGTTTGCCCTGTGCCAGGCAGAGTCCTAAGTCCCCACTGACAAAGAGAAGAGCAAAAACCCTAGAACGGTGGTACCCTCATGGACTGTAGGTCTCGGGATGGAGATGAACGTTCATAAAGAGTCACATGGGTAAATGTCAACTTACAAGAGTTGAGTGCTACATGGTGTTATGGTCATGTGTGAAAGGGGAGAGAGGGTATGTTGCCCCTAGTTTATGGGTAGAAGAGGGTATATTGCCCCTGAAGAAGTGACTATTTGAACTGAGATCTGTTGATGACTCAGTAACCTAAACAAAGGGGTACTACATGGGGACTGTCAACCAAGACTCTCCTCTCTCCTGGTCTAGAGGTAGACACACATGTCCCAGCTGGGCCAGCCAGATTCCTCCTGGCAAGTCACATCTTGAGCAGAGTGATCTGAGGACTAAAAACAACTGCAGCTGCTTCACCCTGAGCGCTGGGCCCTGAAGCAGCTGTCCATCGGTTTCCTCCTCCCAGACTCTAGACCTGACCCGTTTCTGCCTGGCTCTGGGCATAGACGTCCAGCTTCCCCTCTGACTCATGAGTCGGTATCCATCCATTTCTTTTAGCTGAGCTGGTCTTGGTTGCTTGCAACCAAAGAAAGAACTCAAACTCACAGAGGGCAGGTACCCTGGCACAGGGAAACTCAAAGGCCCCACAGTGGGAGGGGACCACTTTAGCAGGACTTCCCAGCACCCTCAGTACCTAGATGCTCTACTCTTTCTTGCCGTATTTTTAGCAGGACTTCCCAGCACCCTCAGTACCTAGATGCTCTACTCTTTCTTGCCGTATTTGCCCATGCCATCCCCCCTTTTGGAACAGTCTCCTCTCCAACCTATACACTTTGATTCTGCCTGTGTGTGTATCTACATTTATATATTTAATTAATTGATGTATTTTTAAGAAAGGGAGAGGAGGCCAGTGTGGTGGCTCATGCCTGTGATCCCAGCACTTTGGGAGGCCAAGGTGGGTGGATTACTTGAGGTCAGGAGTTCAAGACCAGCCTGGCCAACATGGTGAAACCCTGTCTCTACTAAAAAACACAAAAATTAGCCAGGCATGGTGGTGTGCGCCTGTAATCCCAGCTACTCAGGAGGCTGAGGCACAAGAATCATTTGAACCTGGGAGGCCGAGGTTGCAGTGAGCCGAGATCGTGCCACTGTACTCCAGTATGGGTGACAGAACAAGACTCTGTCTCAAAAAAAAAAAGAAAGAAAGAAAAAAGGAAAGAAAGGGAGAGGACAGAGTGGGAGGAGGGAGAAGAAAGAGGAAAAGAGAGGAGGAGAGGAAGAGAGGGGATAGAAGGACAGTGAGAAAGGGAATATACTGAGCTCAGAAGTATCTTCCCTACCAGAATGTGAACGACCCTCCCCTGAACTCCCAGAGCCCACTCCTGTGCACTCTCTAAATCTTGCCTTGCTTTATAGTGTGTGTGTGTGTGTGTGTGTGTGTGTGTGTGTGTGTGTGTCTATCTATCTGTCTTGTGCCCCTGTTGGATAGGAAGCTCCTTGGGGACAGGATCTTGTCAAATTTCTCATTTTCTCTTTCAGAGTACCAGTTCCCGTATCTAAACTTAGTAGATGCTAAAAAGATATTGGTTGGCTGACTGATACAACTAGAAAAAAAAAAAGGCCTCCAAAATTCAGAAGTAAAGGGAGAGGCAACAAATCCTGTCACATCTGGCTTAATTACACATTGATGGTGACCTACTAACAAGGTCTCATGAATAATTTAAAATGTAATTATTCTTTAAGGTTGATCATATTACCCAGATTTTTATATCTCGCATTTTTTGAGCAAATATCTTAACAGGAAGCCGTGCAGTGTGATGATGGAGTCGGAGAGAGAACTGGCTCCACATGCTGCTCTACCACCTCCGACCTGAGTAGTTCATTGGACCTTGGACACTGAGCCTCAGGATCTTTTTCTGAAAAATCATGATAATACTATTACCTCCAAGACTAGCTGATAATAAAGCTCTTGTTAAAGTAGTTAGCAAGTCATTATTTAAATTTTTTGAATATTTTTAACGTTTCATAAAATGTATTGAGTGTATTTAGTCATAATCTACTTAATCATTCTCTTGTTTTTACACATTAAGAGTATGTTTAACATATATATATATATATATATATATATATATATATATATATATTTTTTTTTTTTTTTTTTTAAACAGAGTCTCGCTCTGTCGCCCAGGCTGGAGTGCAGTGGCGCGATCTCTGCTCACTGCAAGCTCTGCCTCCCGGGTTCACGCCATTCTCCTGCCTCAGCCTCCCGAGTAGCTGGGACTACAGGCGCCCGCCACCACGCCCGGCTAATTTTTTTTATTTTAGTAGAGACGCAGTTTCTCCGTGTTATCCAGGATGGTCTCAATCTCCTGACCTCGTGATCCGCCCGCCTCAGCCTCCCAAAGTGCTGGGATTACAGGCATGAGCCACTGCGCCCGGCCAACATTTTAATATTTTAAATAATGCTGCAAATCTAGATCTTGGAGGGAGAACTTTTCATCAAATTTAGATTTATTCCTTAGGATTGATTTCGGAAGTGGAATTATTATATCAAAAGGAAATTTTATGGCTCTTCATATGCATAATCAAATAGCTTTCAAAAATGCAAAACCAATTATGTTCCCACCAATACATGATATATGAGAATTCCCATTTCATCACATTCCTATCAGGATTTCCTGGGTTTTTTTTTAATTTGCAAATCTGATAGGCAGAAAATGCCATCTTGTTTGTTTTCATGTCTTTATTAATGAGGTTAAACATGTTTTCCAGGTATTTGGAAACAAGTTTTGTTTTTCCCTTTTGAGAATTAACTATTCCTGTCAACAAGGCATTCCTAACCAGGCACTCTGCTTACCAGGTTTTAAAATGTTCCTTAAAATGCTGTAGAGCTTTTGCCACTACGTAGCCAATGAAGTTAGAACTCTCAGCACTTTCTTCAAGAGGGATCTTGAGTGTGAAATTAGAGGAAGGCAGAATGCTTAAGTCTGTCATCATTGTTTCATCTTGTTTGGAAATATTTCCTTCATGAATCCTTGGAACTACCTACAGAAGAAGGATTATACAGTAGAAGTTTACTAAATCCCAATACACATTCAATAGTAATTTAATACCACCTTAGTCAGGATAGGCTGGGTTGTGCTGAGGTAACAGATTAGTCCTGGCATTCCTAGGGCTTCATGCAACAAAGATTTATTTCTTGTTCATGTTATGTGTCCATTACAAGGGCTCCACACCAGTAAACACTGAGAAGCCTGGTAGGCAAAGGCACATTATCTCATAGCTGTAGCACATGATTTCAGGACTTTCTTTGTGCCCTCAGCAGAAAAAGAGAATAGATGAGCACACATAGGCTCTTCACTGTCTCAATCTACAAAGAACCCTTTTCAGTTTTGCTCACGCTTCACTGGCCAGAACTTGCCACATGGCAACGTTTAACCACAAGGGGAGCTGGAAAATATGAGAGAGGAGGTGGGATGTTTGCTGAGTATTACTGTCTGTGCCACAAACTTTATTGCATTGCACCAAGTTTTGTACTGAGTTTTCCTAGAAATTTACAATTTATGGTTGTAGGTGTGATTTTGGCAAGAATCAATGCAAAATTTATGTTACTCTTAATGAATAACATGTATGTTACTCTCTTAATGAATTCTCAAATGCACAGACTTTGATTTGAATCATTTAAATGGAACTGAACTGATACGCAACTTGATGTAACCTTAAGAGAATGATTTAAAAATTTTTCCCTTCTCTTTCTGTGAGTATAACATACATAAAAACTGCATAAAGTATTTATGTTTGGTTTAAATAATTGTAAAGTCAACACCCATGTAACTATTATACAACCAGGGACCACAACCGTTTTCACTTGCTGGAATTTGTATAT
The DNA here is from genome assembly GCF_000001405.40 of Homo sapiens. Classification (NCBI taxonomy): domain Eukaryota; kingdom Metazoa; phylum Chordata; class Mammalia; order Primates; family Hominidae; genus Homo; species Homo sapiens. The sequence continues at coordinate 644,068 of NC_000018.10, read as the reverse complement.
TTCTTTCATAAGGCTTCTCTTCAGCACTTGCTATTTTATGGGTTTGTACTTTTCTTTACATGGTGAAATAGGAGCTGTTTTGAGAAAAGTAACTTCACAGGCAGTTTAGCAAAGTGGTTACGTTCACTGATTCTAGAGAAATACTGCTTGAGTTTGAATTCTAGTTCTACCATTTACTAGCTGTGTGAGCTCAGACAAGTTGCTTAACCTCCTCTGTGCCTCATTTGAAAAACTGGGGAAAGAATTCTACTTCCTTTATAGGGTCATTGAGGGTATTAAATGATCTGATATATGGAAAAAGTTCTTAGAACATTGCCTGACACCCAGTAAATGCTCTTAAGTGGTAATAATTGTTATAAAAATGTATAATTGAAAACCATAATTTTATTTTATGTGGAGGTTTTTATATAGAAGTGCCTTTGTTATCAGCATAAAGAATTTTAGATAAATCTGTTATGTTACTCAAGAGACACTAGAATGGAAGTAAATCAAAGCACAGAATAGAAAATACTGACAATGGTAAAAACAACTAAATATTGACTGTAGATTTCTAAAGGTTGAAAGCACTGCTAAAATTTTTCTTCAAGTTTTATTCTTCAATACAAGACTTTTTCCTCGTTAAACTAAAAGTCTATATATGCGAGGATGATCAAATATATTGAATTATTTTACCTTCCTCAAGTGTAATCTAATAGAGTTATAGAATCAGAGAGCTGGCAGGGATTGGAACAGTGGCTTTCAAAACCCTTTGACTGTGGTCTGCAGTAATGAATACACTTGACATCATGATTCAAAACACACACGTATGTCTACATATGTGTATATATGTTTACACACATATACACATACAAAATGGAAATGAAATTCCATGATGTGCATATGACTTATGAAATGCAATGCATGCTAATATTTTCTACTTTGTCCTATTCTATTTTTTGTATGGTTTTTAATTTTGTTTTTTAATGAGCTTGCTGTGACTTTCTAAACTTATTTCTCAAATCAGGCATGATCCACAGCTTTGTAGTTTGAAAAAAGAGGGAAATGCTGGATTATAGAATGCCATAAGTCTAATTTCCTAGAAGCAGTGCCTGAGATTCTGACAGAAGTGGTTTATAAAGAATGCTCTCAGGTGCAACTTTTAAGGGGATGAGGAAAGCAAACTAGAGAAGTGAAAGAAGCTAAGCAAGGATATGGCTTCAGATGACTGTTAGCCTCAGCCTGATCCTGCAGGAAGCTCTGGGGCATAAGTGCTCCAAGGGCAATCTTTGGGAGAAAGTTTCAGAGATAAGCAGTTAGCAGCAGCACCAGCACCAGTGGGAGCTGGTAAAAGGGATCCCCAGGGATCTGGATAGGGCACCAACATAACCTAACATACTACACACAGAATATTGCATCTTCAATTGCTCTGCCCAGTAATTTTTGTATCCAAGTCTTTTTGGGAACCCCTCAAAACCAGCCTCATCAGGAATCACTAGCCTGGCGCATTTGTAGATTAAGGTAATGTGTGTGTGTTGGAGGGGGGATGTCTTAGGAAGAAAAGTCACTTGCATGTTATGCAAAAAGTTATTGACTGAATCTGGGAGTCATGGTATAGGTGGAATTTAAGATGGCAATATGTTTTTATTTTTGTTTTTTTTGAGACAGAGTCTCCTTCTGTCGCCCAGGCTGGAGTGCAGTGGCACGATCTCAGCTCACTGCAACCTCTGCCTTCCGGGTTCAAGTGATTCTCCTGCCTCAGCCTCCTGAGTAGCTGGGATTACAAGTGTGTGCCATCACACTTGGCTAATTTTTTATGTTTTTGGTAGAGACGGGGTTTCGCCACATTAGCCAGGCTGGTCTCAAACTCCTGACCTCAAGTGATCCACCCACCTCAGCCTCCCAAAGTGCTGGGATTACAGGCATAAGCCACTGCGCCCAGCTGGCAATGTATTTTTATGTGACGAGTAACATATAAATGTTTAATTCTCAAGATAACTCAGTGGCTTTATTGTGTCAGCAACTAATAAGAGCTATAATTTACAGAGCTCTTGTTTTGTATAAGAAATCTATACTAATCACTTTATAGGTGTACACGTTAAGATAGCTATGATTGTTACCATTTTACAGGTGGAACACTGAGGCCTAGAATGGTTGAGGTACTTTCCCAAGCTTACTCAGCTGGTAAGTTTCAGAGTCAAATTTTGAACTCAAATTGCTTTATTTGTAAGTCTTCTCTCCTAAAACCTACATTGGCCATATTTCTTCAAGGTTACCTCTATCAGTTATAGCCCTATAACTCTAAGCAGAAATAGCCATTTCTAGATTAGAAAGTATTTTGTGTTTTAAATTGATTTTCTTTATGGACTTTCTTGTTTTCTAAAGACCATGAACTACGTTAAATCAAGTCAGCCTGAAGGCAATCACAATGGAAATATGAATACCTCCTACAGCTTGTTTTCAAATTCAGACACAATTCATAAGTAAATTAACAGTGAAATCAAGGTATGCACGTGTCATTTCCGTATCTGCTCTTGGGTCTCTCCTTTACCTGTATTGAATTAAAGATGATCTCTGTTTCTGGGGCCTGGTTTGCCAGTTCAGACACCCAGCCAAATTGCCCTCTCATCTTCTCCACCAGATAGGCGGTGTCCTCCAAGTGCTTCCGGGTCATCTGGAGAATCTGGCCATACTGCTGATTGGATACATTGACCAACCTGATCGCCTCGTCTAATTCTGTGTGCAGAGCAGGTACATCAGGACAGTCTAGCAGAGAAGAAAGTAATGTGGAGAAGGAAAAAGTCCATGAAACTTGGAGGTGGGCAACATGGGCTTAAGTCCCAGCCCTTACATTCTCTATTTTCCCCTTTTGCCTGTGGTAGTTTTTAGTTATGCCTGTTGTTCTGGAGTAATTATTAATATCGTCTACATCTGTGTCAAACCAGATCCAGTTTAACTGTTAATTATATGGTTTTATGTAACAGAAACTGGGCTGGAGACAGAACTTTTGTTATAAATTCCACATGCCTACCACCTATATTAAGAAAAAATTTGCCAAAACAGATGAAGTCCCTACTATGCCCCTTCTACATCACATCCCATTTATCCCTTAAAAAGGACACTACTATTTGATTTTGGATGTATATGTCCAGTACCAGTAATTAGTATGGGAAAAGAGGAAAAGAACCACATATAGTGAAGCCGCTTTAAATTAAGACCAAAAGTGTATAGTAAATAGTGAAAAAAAAAAGATTTGTGATGTTTTGGAAAATATTTTATATTTATCAGTAATGAAATTATAATTATAGTTGTGTGCTTAGTATTAGAACAAAGTAAATCAAAGCTGATTGAAGAGACAAAATTATTATTTGATTAAAGGTATGAGATTTGTTTATAATAGCAAAACCTTGAAAGCAAATGTACTTCAGCTAGGGAATGAATAAATTGTGATATGCCTACATAGACCAACATACAACAGTGAATTAATGAACTAGAGCAGCATGCATTCACATGGCTAACCCTTGCAAACTACACTGAGTGAAAAGCCATATTGCAAAAGAATACATAAGTGATAATATTTATATTGTTAAAAAAGAAAAATTATCCAGAACTTGGAAATAAGGCAAAAAAAAAATGGCTGCATTTCCTTTTGTTTCTTTTTCTTTTTTCTTTTCTTTTTTTTCAAGACAGGTTCTCGCTCTGTTACCCAGGCTGGAGTGCAATGGCATGATCATAGCTCACTACAGCCTCGAACTCCTGGGCTCAAGTGGTATTTCCACCTTAGCCTCCTGAGTAGCTAGGACTACAGGCTCACACCACCATGCCCGGCTAATTTTTAATTTTTTTGTAGAGGCGGGTCTCACTATGCTGCCCAGGCTTGCGTGTCCTCTCAATGTCATACTAAATTATTGTCTAAGGGGTCCACCCAAAGATCACTTCAAGGTCTAGGGAAGAGATCCTTTGTTGGCTTTACTATTTACTGTTGATTAGGGCCAGACTCCATGAAATTACCCATAGATTATGGATTGAAAAGTGGCAAATGTTTGTCTAGTAGAGATGTAAATTATTTTGGTCTGATAGAAAAGATAATGGCAAGATTTACAGTTTAGTTGCCCTTTCGAATATTAACTAACATATCTAATTTCATAACCTTTCAGCATTCTGTCTCTGCTTGACTGTAAGCACTCCAGTCTCTCTTATACTTCTTTGACCCAGCTCTAACACCCTGCTGGTTCCTTCATTAATAAGTTACATAGTCAAATTAACATTTGACATGTGCCCATTTCTTTTTTCTTTTTCTTTTCTTTGTTTTTTTTGTTTGTTTGTTTGAGACAGAGTATCACTCTGTTACCCAGGCAGGAGTGCAGTGACACAATCTTGGCTCACTGCAACCTCTGCTTCCTGGGATCAAGTGATACTTGTGCCTCAGCCTCCCGAGTAGCTGGGACTACAGGCGCATGCCACCATGCCTGGCTAATTTTTGTAGTTTTAGTAGAGACGGGGTTTCACCATGCTGACCAGGCTGGTCTCGAACTCCTGGCCTTAAGTGATTGCCCGCCTTGGCCTCCCAAAGTGCTGGGATTACAGGCATGAGCCACCGCACCCAGCCAGACATGTGCCCGTTTCATGTTTGTATGAAGCTTTTTTTTTTTTTTTTTTTTTGAGATGGAGTCTCGCTCTGTCACCCAGGCTGGAGTGCAATGGTGCGATCTCGGCTCACTGCAACCTCTGCCTCCTGGGTTCAAACAATTCTCCTGCCTCAGCCTCCTGAGTAGCTGGGATTACAGGCACGCGCCACCATGACCAGCTAATATTTTTTTTTGTATTTTTAATAGAGATGGGGTTTCACCATGTTGGTCAGGCTGGTCTCGAACTCCTGACCTCGTGATCCGCCTGCCTTGGCCTCCCAAAATGCTGGGATTACAGGCATGAGCCACCACACCCGGCTGTATGAAGCATGTTTTTAAGTTTAAAAATTCTACATTGACAATGCAAAAATCGAAATGTAAAACATTGCTATGTATGATATCGGCATTTGTATATATTATATGTATATAGGCACATGATATGAGTAGGAAGAAATGCAAGGAAATAATTAATACTAAATTCAAAATAGCACTTTCCTTTTGAGGAGATAAAGTGAATGTGATGTGGATGGGAACACAGTGGGGCTTTATCTGTTTTGGTAATGTTCTATTTCTCAATCTAGGTGACTGAGAATTTTTTTTTTTTCCTGAGACAAAGTCTCGCTCTGTCACCTAGGCTGGAGTGCAGTTGCTTGATCTTGACCCACTGCAACCTCCGGCTTCTGGTTTCAAGCGATTCTCCTGCCTCAGCCTCCGGAGTAGCTGAGACTACAGGTGCGTACCACCACACCTGGCTAATTTTTATATTTTTAGTAGAGACGGGGTTTCACCATGTTGGCCAGGCTGGTCTCAAACTCCTAACCTCAAGTGATTCACCTGCCTCAGCCTCCCAAAGACCTGGAATTACAGGGATGAGCCACCATGGCTGGCCTATTACATCATTCTTTATATATTTATAATAAAAAGCAATTTATAATAACAGTTTTAAGCAGCATGGGAGCACATTAGGACATTCTTTACATTTTACCTTTGCAACACTAAACTTTCATTGAATTTGTACTGTATTATCTGATGTATACTGTGTCCATTATCTGGTGCATATTGATTATCAGGTGCATTTTAATGTATTATCTGATTTATTCTGTATTATCTTGTGACATTCAAGGATTATTAATAAACTATTTTAGCTGGGTAGAAAGAAATAGATGTTAATGATACATAGATGGGATGCTTGAGCAGGACTATTTTTGTAAGAGGTCAGTATATTAAGTGTCTATTTTTCTGTTATAAAAACCTATGCTTCTGTATATAACCTTGCAACTGTGACTTAAAAAACAAATATTTGAATAATGAGAATCATTGATATTTCAGACATTTTATTTAAACTTCTAAAGATGTGTACGAAGCAGATATATTATTTCCTCTTCCAAATGATAAAACAGGCTGAGAGAGTCCTCGAGTCAGCAGTTCAGGAGAGAGAGCACTCCTTTTTTATTTTTTTAAATTTTATTTATCTGTTTATTATTATTATTATTTTTTCAAGACAGAGTCTCGCTCTGAGGCCCAGGCTGGAGGCTTGATCTCAGCTCACTGCAACCTCTGCCTCCCAGGTTCAAGCAATTCTCTTGCCTCAGCCTCCTGAGTAGCTGGGATTACAGGTTCATACCACCATATCTGGCTAATTTTTGTATTTTTAGTAGAACGGGGTTTCGCCATGTTGGCCAGGCTGGTCTCAAACTCCTGACCGCAGGTGATCCGCCCGCCTCGGCCTTCCAGAGTGCTGGGATTACAGCCATGAGCAACTGCACCTGGCCAGGAGAAAGAGCACTCTCAACTGCTCTAGGTAACCCCGCGAAAAGGTCCAGTTTGTAATCAGAGCTACCTGGAGCAACGCTTTCCAAACGCTTTTCTGCCCAACAAGACATTCTAGATGTCAAAATTGTCTAATATACATTCTAAGGTGGGGTAGAGGTGTCCATGGCAGAAAATTTGCACAAGAGGGATGTGGAGAAGTAAACAAGTCCATTTGTATAATGGACTCTGCTTTCAAAAGAAGGGGGAGAAAAGACCAACTACTGAGGTCGGGAGAGGCTGACAGAGAATGAAGTGGAAGAGAGAGAGAAAGAACAATCCTTGTTCTTGTTCTGTGGCCCGTGTAACCTGACTTCCTCACTAGCCCAACTAACTTGAGAATTCAGTGTCAATAAGAACCCAGGCTGGAGGCCAGGGATGGTGGCTCAAGCCTGTAATCCCAGGACTTTGGGAGGCCGAGGCAGGTGGATCACAAGGTCAGGAGATCGAGACCATCCTGGCTAACACGGTGAAACCCCGTCTCTACTAAAAATACAAAAATTTAGCCGGGCATGGTGGCGGGCGCCTGTAGTCCCAGCTACTCAGGAGGCTGAGGCAGGAGAATGGCATGAACCCAGAAGGCGGAGGTTGCACTGAGCCAAGATTGTGCCACTGCCCTCCAGCCTGGGCGACGGAGCAAGACTCCGTCTCAAAAAAAACAAAAACAAAAACAAAACAAAACAAAAAAAACAAAGAACCCAGGCTGGTGATATTTAAAAAGGAGAAAGGGGCTGGGCATGGTGGCTCACGCCTGTAATCCCAGCACTTTGGGAGGCAGAGGCAGGCAAATCACTTGAGGTCAGGAGTTCGCCACCAGCCTAACCAACATGGTGAAACCCCATCTCTACTAAAAATACAACAAAGTAGCTGGGCATGGTGGCGGTTGCCTGTAATCCCAGCTACTCGAGAGGCTGAGGCAGGAGAATCACTTGAACCTGGGAAGTGGAGGTTGCAGTGAGCCGAGATCGTGCCATTGCACTCCAGCCTCGGCGACAGAGCGAGACTCTGGCACAAAAAAAAAAAAAAAAAAAGAGAGAAAGGGAGTGTTGTCGACTCTAAACAGGTTTACTAACCACTCGAATAATGATCTAATTTAATAGACTCTATTAAACTCATTTTTTTATTTAATTGAATAAAAAAATTAGAAAGGGAAACTTACTCCTTTCGAGTTGCAAAGCATATAGATGTTTAGAACCTCTGCAATGCATTAATTTGCACAATGGAAAGACATTTCATAATGGAGAATATTAATATGTAATTTACAGGCTCCTTGAGCAAGGTGATTAAATAAAAGTAATATGTTAAAAAGTCAAATTTTAAAGACGTCTAATAATTTTTAATATCATATATGCATACATGTACATATGGTCCCCAATTTACAATGGTTCAACTTATGATTTTTCAAACTTATGATGGGTTGTGACATAATCCTATCCTAAGTCAAGGAATATCTTATGTTTATGGTTAAGAGTTTGGAAAATACAGAAAGAAGTATTTTTAAAAATCATCTTTAATCTTAAAACCCAAAGGTAACCTTTATTAGTATTGTGGTGTATCTAATGATACTTTAAAAGCCAATATGTTTAGGATATTATGTTGTTTAACATTGTAACAATTTGTTGGCCAGGCGCGATGGCTCACACCTGTAATCCCAGCGCTTTGGGAGGCTGAGGTGGGAGGATCACGAGGTCAGGAGTTCGAGACCAGCCTGGCCAATATGGTGAAACCCCATCTCTACTAAAAATACAAAAATCAGCCAGGTATGGTGGCGCGTGCCTGTAATCCCAGCTACTCAGGAGGCTGAGGCAGCAGAATCGCTTGAACTCAGGAGGTAGAGGTTTCAGTGAGCGAAGATCGCGCCACTGCACTCCAGCCTGGGCGACAGAAACGGTTGTAACAATTCCATCCTCCCTTTTCTCTGAACGGCGCGATTTGTTGCAACTTGCTCACTGTTAGATTGAGGAGAGAAAGCCAAGGGAGGGGCAGGAGTTTCCACTGACCATGCTTTTTGTTCTTTGCGTTGATATAAATTACTCCAGTGGTCTTCACTGTGGGAAGTTAAGGGCAAAAGAGCTATTACTTGGTAGTAAATTATAATCTGAATTTTATAAATTCTGATTTATAAAAATCAGAATTATAATCTGATTTTTCTGAACTTCCTTTATAGCAGGGGTCCCCAACCCCTGGGCCACGGACCCATATCAGCCTGTAGCCTCTTAGGAACGGAGCTGTACAGCAGGAGGTGAGCGGCAGGTGAGCAAGCATGACTGCCTGAGCCCCGCCTGCTGTCAGATCAGCGGAGGCATTCCATTCTCACGGGAGCACAAACCCTATTGTGAACTGTGCATGCAAAGGGTCTAGGTTGAGCGCTCCTTAGGAGAATAATGCCTGATGATCATCCCCAAACGTGCCCCCTGCCCCACCATCTTTGGAAAAATTGTCTTCCAGGAATCTAGTCCCTGGTGCCAGAAGGCTGGGGACCACTGTTTTACAGAAGAATTTTGTTAGAACCCAAAGATTATCTTGGGTCCTTTATTTACAAATTACTCAACTGAGGCCTAGACAGCATAAATGACTTGCCCCAAATCTCTAGCTAGTGTTGTAGAATTTACTGACATGTTGATTTCTGTCCCTTCTGTATCTTCCAATTTCCTACTGTAAGCCATTAGTCACACTTTGAAAATTTCCTTCCCTTAGGGCTTTAGTGAGATAAAATGCAGAAGCATAGGAATCAAAAGCTCTTGTTTTATGTAAGAAAAGTTGTAATTTGGCCCTGGTGGGGTTGGAGGAGTGACTTTAGTCTGGAGAAGGGAAAGGGAATGAGGGGAGGGATGGAGGAAAGGGAGAATGATTTCCTTCCTGGGGAAGGAACTAGAAAGGGAGGGAAAAGGATTCCTGGGGCTTGGGAGGAGAAGCCACTTTCCCTATTTAAATGCTAATTAGTTCATTAACCCACCAATGGGAAAGAGCCAATGCCACTTTCAAAAAAATATTTCACTTGTCTAAACACTGATTTACAGAATGAAAGGTTTCTTTCATGGTTGGGGGCAGGGGTTCTTTTTGCTTGCGGTAAGAAGGAAGGAGTTGCGCTAATTTGCTCAAGGTTTTTCTTTTGCACACAATAGTGTTTGGTCATTAATCATAAAAAAAATCACAAGAACAATTAGGGAATTAAAGAAAGTGAAAGAATGACATACTTTGGAATAATAAAAGTTTATAAACCAGGCCAGGCACGGTGGTTCATGCCTGTAATCCCAGCACTTTGGGAGGCCGAGGTGGGCGGATCACAAGGTCAGGAGTTCGAGACCAGCCTGGCCAATATGGTGAAACCCTCGTCCCTACTAAAAATACAAAAAAAATTAGCCGGGCGTGGTGGCACATGCCTGTAATCCCAGCTACTTGGCAGGCTGAGGCAGGAGAATTGCTTGAACCCGAGAGGTGGAGGTTGCAGTGAGCCGAGATTGTGCCACTCCAGCCTGGGCAACAGAGCAAGACTCTGTCTCATAAAACAAACAAACAAAACACCAGTTTATAAACCTACATTGAACGCCCCCAGATGGAAATGAGCCTGCAAAAAAGTGCTTGGAGGAAAGCAAATGAATCCACTATGCTTGTGAGAATGAGATTTTGTCCTCTGTCCAGAATACTAAAGAAACCCTAAAAAATTGTTAGATGTGAGTTCTAAATTTCTTTCCAAAGAATCAGTATGTCAGTATGTTCAATTCTTTGCCTTCTACTTTTAAACTTAATTTCCTCGTAAAGCAACCTTTTTCGATTACACGCTCCACCCTGATTCATTCCGATTACACGCTCCGCCCTGATTCATTCCGATTACACGCTCCGCCCTGATTCATTCCGATTACATGCTCTGTCATAACCATTTTTCCCTCCAGACCACTCACCTCGTCACTCTCTTTAAATTAGCCAATGGGAATTAGTCTAGCCTGTGCGGTCTAACCCTAGCCAATAGGGGAACCACACAGCAGCAGGGGCCACGTGCGTTGTCAGGGTTAAGAACCCCTTCCCCTCCCTTGGCAAGTGCACGCTCACCATTGCTCCATCTGTAAGGGCGCACCCTTCTATAGAAGTAACTTTCCTTGCTGAGAATTAAAAAGAAAATTTTATATTCGAGTGCTATTTCTTTTGTGGCACCGAAACTTTATAACAAAATGTACCTGAGAACTTAAAGTAGAATAAAAAACAAAATAGCAATTATTTACCTTCAGATAGGTGAGCCTGACATTTTTGGCATTTTTCATGAAATTTGAAACATCTTGACAAATTCTGGTCAAGTTCCCCACACAGTCCTCTGTCCTGCCCAGGTAACATCTTTGAAATCAGGCCTCCGTGGTCAGGAGCTACAGGGAACATAACATTTACACGTTAGTGTCATAAGAGTTTGCACTTTGAAGAAGTGGAGACAATGCCGCAGCTTTTTCTTACCAGTGCTTTCAAAATCTTTTTCCTATATGTATGTATGTATTTAATTTATTTATTTTTGAGACAGAGTCTTGCTTGTTGCCCAGGCTAAAGTGCAGTGGCGGGATCTTGGCTCACTGCAACCTCTGCCTCCCGGGTTCAAGTGATTCTCCTGCCTCAGGCTCCCAAGTAGCTGGGATTACAGGTGAGAGCCACCAAGCCCAGCTAATCTTTGTACTTTTAGTAGAGATGGGGTTGCGCCATGTTGTCCAGGCCGGTTTCTTGAACTCCTGACCTCAAATGATCCACCCGCCTCGGCCTCCCAAAGTGCTGGGATTACAGGCATGAGCCACCGCCCCTGGCCCTTTTTCCTATATTTAGACACAGAAATGCACGTTGGTGCAATAATTTCCTGGGACAACTGAACAGCTATTAAAAATTGCACACTCTTGAATCCAAGAATCTCATTACTAGAAATTTATTAGTAGTATATACACACATATATTAATGCATGTAATTTTATTTTCTAGGAGGAGTCATGAAGAATTATTAATAACTATCTTTTAGAAGAGGGAGTTGATAAGGTAGGAGAGGGCAGCTTTCATTTATTTTGTTCTTTTATATATTTGATTACTTTAAAAATCATTTGTCTTATATCATTAGTATTTCTGATGTCAATAGGATTAAGTAAATAGGTGATTGTGAACCACTTTTTCTCTTGGACTTTTCTGTATTTTAAAAAACTCTTTAATAATTAATTTTTAAAGCTATAATTGGGAAGAAGTTTCAAAGATATTAGAAATGTCTGTTTCTTAAAGTGGGTGATAGGTGGTTATTTTATTACTATTCTTTTTTTGCATTTCTCATATATATGTATATATACACACACACACACACACACATATATATACACACATATGTGTGCGAGTATGTGTGTGTGGAGATGCATATACTGTTATGAACAGGGGGTCAAAGATTTAGGAAAATATCTAAAGCCAATCAAGTTTTGAGAAGTTTTTTCCCCTAGGAGAATTAACAATCCATATAAAAATGTGTAAAAGAGAAGTCTATCCAACAGAAAATTGGCGGTTCCCAATAGAGTGTTTGACATTAGGAAACATGTATTACTAATTTACAACCTGATGATTTTCTGTCATATTAAATCCTCAGCATTTAAAAATGAAACGTTTTATTTTGAGATAAATTGCAAAGTCCATAGTTTAAAAACAGTGAAGCACTGTTCGATAGAATGGCATGTAAGGCACCCATCCCCTTTGGTGACCAGAAAGTCAGTTTCTCCCAGCTGCTTTCCTGGACCCTCTTCTTTGCCCTGTATAGCCCCCTGTGAGAATTTCCAGTGTAGAATTAATTCCTGCTTTATGTAGTGTTTGCTTTCTTATCTTTTCCATTAGACTGTAAGCCTCTTGAGGGAAGGGACTTGGTCTTGCCATTTTAATCTTGTCATTCTTCCATACCTTCTTCTGCCATTTTACCCACAATATGGTGATGTAATTGTTCACTAATCTGTTTTCCTTTCTCTGGACTGAGCTCCTGGAAGTCAGAGGCTGTGTCATAATCATCATTTTATCTCTAGCATCTAGATTAATACCTGGTATGTACACCAAGGATGACAAATTCTAGGCCCATATGACACTAATTCCCCATCCTGCAGCCACAGCACAATCCATCACCTCGCTTAGTCTAGCCTTGACAGAACCTCAGAACCCTTCCAGGGAGCTACTTCCAGTGCAGTCACTGAGCTAAATCATCTACTCTCCCACCTGCCTGTCTGTTTCTCCCACGCGAAAATTAATGTTAACTAACACTCTCTAAGGCAGCATTAGAACCAGGTCTCCCGGCCCCCGCACGGGTCAAGCTACAGTAGAACTCAATCTCATCTGTTCCTTCCAGGGATTCATAAGGCAAATGAAGATAATTCCAAGAGCTACTTTCCTGGACCTATTCGCTTTCAACAGATTCAGGAACTGAGGTCCAGAAAGACCAAGGTAGGAAAGAAATATGAGAACAAAATGAACCTATACTCAACAAAAATAGCATTAATTATCAAGATATTTCTGATTCTTTTTATTTCCGCTCTCCTTTTCCTGGTGTTCATAATTCAGTGTTAGCTATTTTTCTAATTTTGGCCCTTTAAACAATCATGACCAATAAGGCCCATCCATGAAGGTTGCCACACGGAACTTGCTCAGTAAATGTTGGTCAGTTACTATTATTATTAGCTCTGCTACAGCTACCACAGATTCAGTGGCTTGAAACAGCACAAATTCATTATTGTTTGGTCTTTTAGGTCAGAAGTCTGAAGTGGGTCTCCCTAGGCTAAAATCAAGATGTCATCTGTCTCAAAAAAAAAAAAATGCAAAAATTAGCTGGGCGTGGTGGCACGTGCCTGTAGTCCCAGCTACTCAGGTGGCTGAGGCAGGAGAATCGCTTGAACCTAGGAGGCGGAGGTTGTACTGAGCCAAGATCGCACCACTGCACTCCAGCCTGAAGACAGAGCGAGACTCTGTCTCAAAAAAAAAAAAAAAAAAAAAAAAAAAAAAAAAGATGTCAGTAGGGCTAGTTTTTTGCGGAGGCTCTAGAGGAGAATTCATTTCTATACCATTTCCAGTTCCTCGAGGCCACCTACATTACTCGGCTCCTGGCCCCTTCCTCTGTCTTCAAGGTCGTCAAAGTCGAGCCAAGTCCTTCTCTTGTGGCTGCTACTATTAATTCTTTTCTGCCTCCTTCTTCCACTTTTAAGGACCCTGTGATTACATTGAATCCATCTGGATAATCCAGCATACTCTCTCTATTTTAAAATCAGTTGAGGCCGGGCATGATGGCTCATGCCTGTAATCCCAGCACTTTGGGAGGCCGAGGTGGGCGGATCATTTGAGGTCAGAAGTTCGAGACCAGCCTGGACAACATGGCGAAACCCTGCCTCTACTCAAAATACAAAAATTAGCCAGGTATGGTGGTGAGTGCCTGTAATCCCAGCTACTCGGGAGGCTGAGGCAGGAGAATCACTTAAACCCCGGAGGTGGAGGTTGCAGTGAGCCAAGATCATTCCACTGCACTCCAGCCTGGGTGACAGAGCAAGGCTCTGTCTCAAAAAATAAATAAATAAAAATAAAGTCAGTTGATTAACAAATTGATTTCCATCTGCATCCTTACTTTCCCTTTGCCACATAACATAAATTCACAGGTTCTGGGGATTAGGGTGGGGATATTTTGGGCAGTCATTATTTTGCCTACCACAAGGGGCAAAACTCAAAGTGTCAAGTCATTAGGCAGATTTTCTAGGGGCAGTAGGCTTATTCCTCACCAACTACCTGTCCAGAAAAGTGATGGAAACCACATTCAAGTGCTGTAGAGCGCCTGCCTGACTATTCTTGATAAACAGTCCACATTTGCTCATCTGGGAAGACAGTGTCTCCTCTGCGGTAGCTTCTGTGTACTGTCTGGCTAGGGGAGGGATACTGGAGAAAGAAGAGTACAATAGTGTAACACAGACTTTTTTGGTTGCTATTTTGTTTTTGTCTTTACTATTTGCATTCACAGGGGACCTTGGCTTTCCAGGTCATCACTGAGATGGAAGTGGCGCAGAGGGGCTGGGGAGGGTGCGTGTGAGGCAGCTGAGAGTAGGGCTGGCCCCCAGCTGTGTGAATGAGAAGGCAATGGTGGCAGACAGTGGAAACCTATGTTCGTAGCTGGTGTGTGGGAGGGGGTTACAGTGGTTGAAAAATTATCTAGATTGTGGCATGTCTGAATCACTACTGACAGTCCTGTGCACATGGGAATGTAACCAATGCTTGTGTAAGGCTGCTACACAACATGGAGGGGAGGAGCCCTTTTGTTCTAATGAACATATTCTCAGTGTTATTCCAAGACAGTTGATATCCATGTAAACAGTCAGGCTAAAATCACTTAATACCACCCAGCCTGGATAGATTTAGTCTACTCGCCTGGTGTTTATCCTGAATATTTGATGAATTTGGAACCTCAGAATGGACTACCAGACCAAATAATTGACTTATAAAAAAAGTCCACTGGACTCTGAAATAGAACCCAACAATTCCAGTAATGATGGCTGTTCTCTGTTCATGGAACGATGGCACCTGAAGGATGTAATGCACTGTTTCCTAGCTTCAGTTTCTGAAAGGTAAACCTCTCCTATGTAGAGGCCAGTTATGTAATGTCATGGCGATTTTGAGAATCTGATTCAGATGTTGCCAGCTACAGCTAATATAATTGAAAAATAGTCAGATAGGGTCAGGAGTGGTGGCTGGCTGGGTGTGGTGGCTGGCTGGGTGTGGTGGCTCATGCTTGTAATTCCAGCACTTTGGGAAGCCAAGGTGAGCAGATCACTTGAGGTCAGGAGTTCGAGACCAGCCTGGCCAACATGGTGAAACCCCTGTCTCTACTAAAAATACAAAAATTAGCCAGGCGTGGTGGCGGGCACCTGTAATCCCCACTACTCGGGAAGCTGAGGCAGGAGAATTGATTGAACCCAGGAGGCAGAGGTTGCAGTGAGCCGAGATCACACCAATACAGCCTGGACAACAGAGCAACACTCCATCTCAAAAAAAAAAAAAAAGAAAAAAGAAAAAGAAAAATAGATAGAAGGAGCCCATTTTATTTTTCATCTCAGAGGGGAGCAGCCTTCAACCTGGCTTAGGGGTCAATACAGTGACAAAGGAAATGCAGATCCTACACTTGACCCTCGTGGCAATTCTCATTCTCGAATGCGGTATCTAACTTACTCCATAGAAGCCCACAGAAGATATCTGCCGCCTTAAAACATAAAGCAGCATTGTGTCTCCAACATGGATGCCATGAGGCATGATTAGTGTTGGTAGAAGGCAATTCTTATCTAATATTTCTGTAGTTTGGGGTTTATGAGCATTTTTTGTGGTTTTATGCATACATTTTATGATTTAAGGAATGATTGTAGTGATTCAGAGGAGGGCACTAAATTGCTCTGGTTATATGTGAGAGTGGGCTTCTCAAACTGGGAGTTGAGGATTCCAGATCAATTTTAAAGAAGCTCTCTGATGCTTTAGCAGAATAGAGCTGAGCATCTACATGAGCTTTAATAAATGAGGGAAATGGCCATGCATGGTGGCTCACGCCTGCAATCCCAGCACTTTGGGAGGCCAAGGCGGGTGGATCACCTGAGGTCGGGAGTTTGAGACCAGCTTGGCCAAGATACTGACACCCCCGTCTCTACTAAAAATACAAAAAAATTAGCTGGGCGTGGTGGTGCACAACTGTAGTCCCAGCTACTTGGGAGGCTGAGGCAGGAGAATTGCTTGAACCTGGGAGGCAGAGGTTGCAGTGAGCCAAGATCACACCACTGTACTCCAGGCTGGGTGGCAGAGTGAGACTCCGTCACAAAATAAAATAAATAAAGAAATAATAAATGAGGGAACTGGTTTTTTTTTTTCAAGTTCTCAACCTATTAGCATTTTTTCTTTCTGCTTTGAAAATTTGCTCTAGAAAGAGTTCAGTTCTCAACGATGATGGAAGAGGGATGGTGTTTAGCAGACTTCAAAGCTTCTTTTAAGAGGCTCTGAAACATTTTCCATAAATTGTCTCTTCAAGAAATGCTATACAATGTGACTCAGAAATGTCTACCATTTCTGAAGCTAAACAAAACTTGACTTTAGTGTAAACCTCTAAGTAAAAGTAATCTTTTAATACTTGCCTTTGTCTTGTTTTGGTAAATCTTCTATTGCCTTCAGCATCTTAGTAATTGTTTCACTGACACTTTCATAAATAGAGACACTGAAATTACAAAACAGCTGGAAGAAGTTGGGAATGTCCCAACATTGCTCAAGATCTGCTTTTGTCATCGGCTCTTTAGAGAAAGCTGGAAAAAAGTAAGGCTCAGTTAGGTCTGTATCTGATATGAAATGTGATTGAAAAGTCTGGTCAAACTCTTGCTGCATCTGTCTGAAGACGTTAAAACTCCTGTTAAAGAGAGAATTCACATCCACAGTCAACTGGCTGAACACATCCTCCATTTGGGTCAATTGTGCATCTTCCTCAATGAGCTTTTCACTGATGGGGAGATCTTTTTCATTATCTTCATGGAAAGGAAATAGAAATTGATATATCTTCCTGAAAAACCGTTCAATCTGTGGAGTAGAGTAGGGGACAGAAATGGAATAAAAAATTATTTTCTTTCTCGACTCTTTCTTTCTTTTCTTTCTTTCTTTCTTTCTTTCCTTCCTTCCTTCCTTCCTTCCTTCCTTCCTTCCTTCCTTCCTTCCTTCCTTCCTTCCTTCCTTCTTTCCTTCTTTCCTTCTTTCTTTCTTTCTTTCTTTCTTTCTTTCTTTCTTTCTTTCTTTCTTTCTTTCTTTCTTTCTTATTTGAGATGGAGTCTTGCTCTGTCACTCAGGCTGGAGTGCAATGGCACCATCTCGGCTCACTGCAACCTCCGCCTCCTGGGTTCAAGTGATTCTTCTGTCTCAGCCTTCCGAGTAGCTGGGATTACAGTTGCACACCGCCATGCCTGGCTAATTTTTTTTGTATTTTAGTACAGACAGGGTTTTACCGTGTTGCCCAGGCTGGTCTCGAACTCCTGAGCTCAGGTAATCCACATGCCTTGGCCTCCCAAAGTGCTAGGATAACAGGGGTGAGCCACTGCACCCGGCCCTGGACCATTTCTTATTGCAAATTTTAAAGTCAACTTACAGTAGTCATTTCAAATCAAGAATAATTCTGGGCAAGCTAGTATGAGGCAATTAACTTTAAGATAATTTCTTAACCCTCTTATACCTGACTTTGCCTTTGCCTATGGAAACAGGATCTGAAATTTCTCCTGGTTTACATTGCCCACCAATAGCCTAAAAAGGTCAAGTTTTCACTTTGGGAGGCCAAGGTGTGTGGATCACCTGAGGTCACCAGCCTGGCCAACATGGTAAAACCCTGTCTCTACTAAAAATACAAAAATTAGCTAGGCGTGGTGGTGGGCGCCTGTAATCCCAGCTACTCAGGAGGCTGAGGCAGGAGAATCACTTGAACCCAGGAGGTGGAGGCTGCAGTAAGCCAAGATGGCACCACTGCCCTCTAGCCAGGGCAAAAGAGCCAGACCCTGTCTCATGAAAAAAAATAAAGAAAAGAATTTGGGTGGATTGTCTGCCTCTCCCTCTACCAGCTTCTGTTTACTTGACTCTTCATCCACAAAAACAAACCTTTAAAGCCCCAAGAAATGTTCATAAGATCACACAACTGACCCAGATGGGAATGGTCCCCATATCTCCTGACTTCCTGCTGGTGCTGATTACACCATATTCTGGTGTATTAGCAGGCGACAGTAGCTCTAAAAATAGAGCAGATGCAATTAATAGTGGAGGCAAATTAACTTGGCGCATTCATTATCTTAGTAGTTGCTCCCTTTGTAATTGAGTACGGCATTGCCAAGCCAGGAGCATACCCTAATTAGTATGTGCTCTAATATGGAGCGTGAAATTCCACTCAATTTTGTATTCAGCTCACTTCTTGAAGGGGGAGAAAAATCTAGCTTAATTGGAGCCGTTAGTGGGGCAGAGCTCATCCTATTCAGGTCACCACCCTCTGTGATCCCTCTGCTCAGAAGATAACCAAAGGGTACAAAAAAGAAAACATGCCAGTCCTACATACATGGGTAGGGCAAAAGGGGACATGAAGGGGTGTGTGTGTGTGTGTGTGTGTGTGTGTGTGTGTGTGTGTGTTATGCATAAGGAGGCAAGCATGTTGAAGGTAAGATTTGGGAGGCAGAGAGTATCTTTAAATATTTGGCCTCCAGAAGGAAAAATTAATGTGGATTGAAATCAGAGACTGCAATGCTATGATTCCAAATGCAATTTGGTAAACATTTACTGGATGCCACCAATGCATAAGTGAAGACAAATAAGATATGATCCCTGCCCTCAAAGAGCTTACTATCTAGTGGGAACATGTTCACAAATAACAAATACAAGGCAGAAAGCCAGGATATTTTAAGAGATGCATTCAGTGACCACTGAATGGGTGCTCTACCTTATAAATTGCGTATACACAGGTGATGGTATGTAAACATTAGTATTAGATTCTAGAAAGCAAAAGGCCCCTATCAGATCAGGCATCTCCGTTCTAAATATTAACATAAATTAATAAAAAAGTAAGCTGAAATAGGTGCCTCAAGAACTGTGAAATCTTGAGCTCTCTTTTTCTCTTACCTTATTTTTCACAGAGGACCAGCTAGGTTGGCAGGTTGTATAAATTCTCATGCAGTTATTTTCCAGGCAAGACCTGCATTCACCCCAGGAATCTGCCAAAGACTCCCGGCATAGCCTTTCTTCTTCCTCCAGATGTTCTTGAACTTCATTCAGAAGTTTCAGGGCCTCCTAGTTAAAAGTAGAAACAAAAGTCCAATTTCCATTTCATAATCTATGTGCACCTTAGTTGATTTCACCCTTTGAAATGTATACATTCTAAACTGCTTTTTCATTCTTTCTCCTTCAGGTGCCTCGCAGCTGTCAGATCTCCCCCAAAGCTTTCTGTTTAGTTTAAGAAAAGAGCACTGATTGATTCCTATTGAAGACTGTAAATCTTATTCATCTGTTCATTCATTTGTTCAATAAGTATTTACTGAGTGTTTGCTATGTGACAGACATTACTCTAGGTGTGGGTGACCTGACAATGAAGATGCCATCCCGATCTGGGAACAACTGTGATTTACCTATTTACCGGTAAGTCTGTCTTCAATTCTCATCCACTGGTGCATGGGGAAAGTGGGCTTTACAGTTTATAAAGCTGGTACATTTTAATTCTTTCATTTATGCTGTCTTTAATTGTTGTATATCCTTAAACATTGCAAGAAAGTACAATTCTTGTATGTCAAGTTAAATGTTCCCGTTGAGTTACATTGTAATTGCCGAGACGCAGGATGGCATCTCTGCAATTAGAATGTAATATAATAAATATATTTATATATAATGTAATATTAAATAAATATAAATGGGAATATAAACAAGCTTTGTTCTTCTTGTTTATATTCCCAGTGCTCCCCCTTGTGGTGCTTGCTGTACTTGGCCAAGTCCTGCTCTGGGTGGTGAGGAGCCCAGCAGCAGTGGCACCTGTCCCTGCGAGCCTCAGCCCTGCCCCTGGAGTGCCTCACGGGTCAGCACCATGGTGCAACAGACCTTTCTTCCTGTGCCCCTGCCCAAACCTCTGGCTTCCCTGCAAGTGTGGACTTCTGAACCCCAGCCCCCTCCATGCCGAGATATCGTGCAGGGGAATGAAGTGAGTATAGTGGATCTGGCCATAAGAAGACAGCCTCAGAGCTAATGGAAATGACCCTTTCCTGGAGTATTAAGCCCAAAGAATCACCTGGGCACTGACAATCTTCCACATCTTCTCTGCCTGGCTAGGATTTGTCAGTTGTCCTCATTGTAAAGTTTGGCTGCTAAGCCACGTAGCATTTGGTATGATCCACGTAAGAAAACTGCCAGGGCCCCAGCTTGCCAATATACATTTTGACCCAGACAGGAGTGTGTGTGTGTCCTTGGACTTTGTAGAACAATTTTGGAATCTTACATCTTTTTTTTTTTTTTTTTTTTTTTTTGAGACAGAGTCTGGCTGTGTCGCCCAGGCTGGAGTGCAGTGGTGCAATCTCAGCTCACTGCAACCTCCATCTCCCAGGTTTAAGAGATTCTCCTGCCTCAGCCTCCCCAGTAGCTGGGAGTACAGGTGCGTGCCACCATGCCGGGCTAATTTTTGTATGTTTAGTAGAGACGGAGTTTCACCATTTTGCCCAGGCTGATCTCGAACTCCTGGCCTCAAGTGATCTGCCCAGGTTGACCTCCCAAAGTGCTGGGATTGCAGGCATGAGCCACCTCACCTGGCTGAATCTTACATCTTAAAGTGGTTGTTTTTCGGCAGGGTGCAGTGGCTCACACCTGTAATTCCAGCATTTTGGGAGGCTGAGGCGGGTGGATCACCTGATGTCAGGAGTTTGAGAACAGCCTGGCCAACATAGTAAAACCCTGTCTCTGCTAGAAATACAAAAATTAGCTGGTCATGATGGTGGGTGCCTGTAATCCCAGCCACTTCAGAGGCTGAAGCAGGAGAATCGCTTGAACCCAGGAGGCGGAGGTTGCAGTGAGCCAAGATCGTGCCATTGTCCTTTAGCCTGGGCAACAAGAGTAAGACTCTGTCTCAAAAAAAAAAAAAAAGTTGTTTCTCCAAGGCAAGTAACAATACCTCCAGGATTTTCTCAATCAGTCCCAATTTTACATATTCTGCTCATTGTCCTCATAAGCCAAAATCCTAATATTCCCAATTCCAAACTACAGTGGCTGTGTACCCTTGGGCAAATTACTTAATACATATAAGCCTTAGTCTCCTCATTTGCAAATAAGAATAATAGGAATAACAGTATCTACTTCTCAAGGTCTTTGCATTAAATGAGCTAAACAAGCAAGGCATCTATTATTATACCTAGTATCCATTATCATAGGCAAGACATCTGTTATTATAACTAGTCCAGTATAATAACTAGTATCTCTCAGGCTTCCTTCCATTCACTGCCCAGAAGCAGGACAAAAAACAGTTACCAAATCACAGGTCCCAAGTTTTGGAAGTGAAACATTGCCATGGAAGAAGTAGACCTCTGTCTAGTAAACATTCCTAAGGAATATCCTATCGACGCCTTCCGTTTCCTGCTAGACATTGTACCAACTGGCAGATTCACGCTTATAACTCTATTCCTATAGATGACAGTTTATCAAAAGCGCTATATTAACCTGGCATTGAGCCAGGCATGGTGGCTAGTGCCTGTGATCCCAGCTACTCGGGAAGTGAGGCAGGAGGATCCCTTGAGCCCAGGAGTTCAAGACCAGCCTGAGCAACATAGCAAGACCCCATTTCATTAAAAACACATACAAATAAAACCTGATTTGGAGGTCAAGTCACTCTAACCTTCTCTAGGGTTTCCTACTTAATAAGTTTCAGATAGTCTCACTAAATATTAATAAGGAGGGGTGGAGGAAGGGGACAGTGAGGATGCTGGGTCACCACTGAGCAGTACTCTTGAGAATGGGTGGGGCTCAATACTGGGAGACTAGGGTTGCTAACACCATATTTGCCAATTCATAATTTGTCTAAACTGACCTTTATTCTAGGCTTTAAGTAATTTTAGGGAGGGATACTCAGGGTTAAACAGATTTTTTTTTTCCGATTAACTTTCTAATTGAGTGCCTCAAACTTAAGAGTATAATTCAATGAATTTTTGTACAATAAGATTTTTAAGAATAAACAAAAATTCTACTAGTTGCTTGGATTCTTCAGGGCCAGAAGTGAAATCCACATTTGCTTACTTGACCCACCCAAAGTGGAATATTCTTGTTAAAGCTGTATACCCTGTCCTCCTTGCCAGGAGGTTCAGGGAAGTGAGAAAAGCGGAAAATCACTGGGTCCCCCGTGCACACATCTGCTGACTTTATCTCAGTTCATTCATTACAGTGTTGGAGTAACATGTTAATTAACAAACATCTCAAACCCCAGTTTTCTTAGCTATAAAATGAAAGTAGTGGTTTACCCAGATGTTCAAAACATTCCATGTGATAATGTGTTTTGTGAAGAGTGTATGAGTGCTATCTAGTGTCTCTATTCCCAGATGGCCAGGCTCACAAGCCCACCAGGGAAGATCCCAGCTGGAGGGGCTTCCACATTTTCCTGATGAGGAGCTATTTTAGATTTCCTCAAAATCTTTTGATTGCTGCCAAAAGGGAGAAGGGTTTGCAGCTGCTGGTCAGGCATTCTCCTTTCCTTGCCAGAACCCTGACTGACTCAGGGCAGTAGGTGAGGCTGCAACATCAACCAGTCCGGTGACGCTGACACACAGCTTTGGGGTCAGCCTGTCACACTACCCGGCTCCAGTTGCTTAACGGACTCCCAGAGGCCATGATCCTCAGAAGTAAAAAGATGTAAGCAGCAATCTGGAATTCAGTGGCCCCCAACTTTATAGATAGAGGGATAGATAGAAAATATTAGAACTTCCACTTGTATTTTTAAATTAAAAATCTGACTGGGGTGGGGGGAATGGGGCATTGTTTAATATGTATAGACTTTCAGTTTTTGCAAGATGAAAATAATTCT
Source organism: Homo sapiens (assembly GCF_000001405.40). NCBI lineage: Eukaryota > Metazoa > Chordata > Mammalia > Primates > Hominidae > Homo > Homo sapiens. The sequence goes on along the minus strand of NC_000018.10, from coordinate 621,110 downwards.
GGAGATTGGTTGCACAACAGTATGAATGTATTTAACACTACTGAACGTTACACTTAAAAATGGTTATGATGGTAAATTTTGTTATATGTATTTTACAACTTAACATTTTTCAAAAAATAAAAATAAATTTAAAAAGTAATTTACTCTCAACATTAAAATTGAAAATATTTTCCAAATTATTTTTGTTACAGTTTTAATTTCCTCTTTGATTTAAGGGTAATGTTTGAAGATAACCTTTTTTAAAAAAGTCATTGTTTTGAGTGTGATGTTAATTATTAATGTCATTAAACTGCAAGCTATTCAATGTCTATAATTTAGAAATTTACTGAACTTTATACTGTGGCATATGAACAATTTTTTACATCTTCCAAAGACATTTGAATATAATATGTATTCTCCATTGATAAAATATGTAATTCAAGCTATAGCTGTTAAATAAAGCTATTTGAATTTGAAAAAGTGATTAGGCTGATGCATTATTGGATATACATGGTACTCTCTTGAGATGCATATGTCAGATACTGTGTGTGCCCAACTGTATGTGATGACCTTGGGGAAAAGGGGATCCTCTACATTCCAGAAGAATCAACTATAGTTCCCTTGCTCTGTTCACATGCACCCAATTGTAATGAGTTGCCATGTAAGAGAACTCAGGTAGACTGATGGATTTTATTATCTAGTTTTAACTAAAGTAACCTTCACTAAATGGACAGGAGGCTTAACAAGATTCTTGAAAAAAAAAAAAACTTGGCAGATTTTAAAAATGAATAATTTAAGCTCAAGCGGACCAAAAGCAAATGGCAGAGCTGACACTTGATCATTATGAGCTCTTTATTGGCCAAGTGACAAGGGAAAACTATGGTGATCTAATCAGATCTGGCAAGTCGGCTAAAAGTTTCAAAATATCTAGAAGATTATTTGAAATGTGGACTTATATCCACACTCGCTAATGATGAATCTCACCTTAAATACATATTGTGCCTTGAGATATCAATGGTAGCAATTCATGTATCTAATTCATAAGTAAATGAATATGCATATATTTAGGAGTGAGTGGTAACAAATTTTTTAGTCATAGGAATGAGAGACCAAAAATCTCTGGGCCAGGCACGGTGGTCCATGCCTGTAATTCCAGCACTTTGGGAGGCTGAGGCAGGTGGATCACTTGAGCCCCAGAGTTCGGGACCAGCCTGGCCAGCATGGTGAAACCCCGTCTCTTCTAAAAATACAAAAATTAGCCAGGCGTGGTGGTAGGAGCCTGTAATCCCAGCTACTAGGGAGGCTGAGACAGGAGAATCACCTGAACCCAGGAGGTGGAGGTTGCAATGAGCGGGATCAACTCCAGCCTGGGTGACAGAGCGAGACTCTGTCTCAAAAACAGAAACAAACAAAAAACAAAAAACAAAAACTCTGGAGACCACTGATCTAGTAAAAAAAAAAACTCTTCAAATACTTTTGACTCAATATCCTAACTCAGAAGAGACCAAGAATAATCTATTTTTGAGAAAGCAGCACTTAAACAGAGATGAATCCCCCAGATTCCGGGTTGGAGTCTTGCAGAAGCCTATCCTACACGAAATATGTTCTTCAAGGAAATCTGAAGCTTCCCTTAAACTTTTCCTCAAATAAAAGCAGCTACCCATGAAATTTATTACTAAGGAAAATAAGTAATTCATCAATCGCACTAACAAGTGCAGTATTTCTGGTCCAGATCTGTGTAAGAACAGACATTATTTTCAATGACTGTACCTGCTTTTCTTCTCTGCATTTCTTCAGGGTGCTCATTAGATTGGTGTGTTCCTTCTCTTTTCTTTCCATCATGATTTTCATTTGCTTAATACCAGTCAAAGCCTTCTTCACCTCTTCATCTGCATCTATCTCCCCCACCTCAGAAAAACCTAAAAGACATGTGGCAATTTTTTCTTTGAGATCTGATCAGATTACAAAACACCAAGTTCACCAACCTTTCATGTCTCCAAAAGAGAGGCTTAATTGTTCTCTTATAGGCTCATATTCTGAAAGCAGATCATAATGAATTAGCTGTCAGCTGCCACATGGACCCAGCTGCCACACGGACCATACCTTCTACTCCTCACTTGTGAGCGCCTAAACAAATAGAGTTCACTGAACCTCATTCTTGTCATCTTGCTCAGGCCCTGTTTTCATTTATCCATTTTTTTTCTTTCATTTAAGACTCAAGTGTGTTTATATTAGAGAAAATTTTGCATTTTCTTCATAATTTATATTAAGTGCCCAGCTGGGGACCTCAAACACAGTCAGCAATTTCTCTTTCTTTCAGCTTCAGTTACCTAATAAGGAGGCACGAGACCTAGAAAGTATCCCATGTAATACGAGCTTCCTTAATAACTCAATGGACGTGTCTTATACACCTTTAATAAGCCCTTAGTAAGTTTAAAATTCATTGTCATTCCCTGTTCAAAATAGCCAACGTGGCCTACTGAGGAGCTCATTCTTGACTCTGATTATTACAGACCCCAAATCAGCTGCATTTTAGCTAATTTGTTCTTCTATATATTAAGTACCCAAAGTATATATCACCAAGCAAAGTTGCAAGTTAATGGCCACAGAACAACCAGATTCAACGTAATTATAACCCATTCTTTCACTAGTTTAAGAACAATTGCACAGATTACTCTAATGGTTTAAATTTTTCAAATGCTAGAAAAGTATTTCACTGTTCATTAGAGCTGTGCTGAGATGACACCAACCATCTGGATGATACAAAAAAATGCAGTGAAAAAACTGGCAAGTTGTATCTACATGATACAAACATCTGGAAAGGTGAACGCCTGCAGAGACGTGATTGGAATTTTCTATTTTTACCCAGATGTTTGGCGTCAGGATGACCTGGTTTAAGCGCCTTGAGAACGTTTCACCGTGAAAACAGCGAATATGGTTATCTCTCAACTGCGACTCACTATAAACGCCAGCAGGACAACCAACATGCAAACAGGACACAGCACAGATAAGAAACCAAACGTACTCTTCAGGTTTTCACTGATAGCAGTTTTGTCCTTCCAAGTGGGTGCGCAGTGACTGTCTTTCAACCACAGCAGACACACAATAAACACCAAGAGTGGCGGCTTCATGTTCCCGCTGTTACTGCAAAGGAAAAATAAACCCGCATCAAATGTCTTCCATTTGGTTAGTTTCTGTTGGCATCAATTGAAAACACCTGGGGCTCCAAAGCATTTTTCTGTCAATTTTTCCTTATGACTTTAGACAACTTATGCTAATGTGCCTGAGACATAAGGAAGCTTGAAATGTAAGTTAAAAAAACAAACAAATTCTAGTCCCTATTTGGTTTAAACTCTTCACGACAGTTAAAAAAGCCCGCCATGTGAAGTACTTGAAACTCAATGCAATGGAGAGGATAGATCACATCCTCTCAGAGTCCAAGCTTCATTTTGTAAACATCTCGAAACACAGAATTAATTCGAATCTGTTAGAGGGATTTTTTTCCCTCCAAAATTCTTTTTTTTTTTTTTTTTTTTGAGACGGAGTTTTGCTCTTGTTGCCCAGGCTGGAGTGCAATGGCGTGATCTCGGCCCACCGCAACCTCCACCTCCCAGGTTCAAGTGATTCTCCTGCCTCAGCCTTCCCAAGTAGCTGGGATTATAGGCATGCGCCACCAAGCCCGGTTAATTTTGTATTTTTAGTAGAGATGGAGTTTCTCCATGTGGGTCAGGCTGGTCTCGAACTACTGACCTCAGGTGATCCGCCCCCCTCGGCCTCCCAAAGTGCTGGGATTACAGGCGTGAGCCACCACACCTGGCATTTCCCTCCAAAAGTCTATGTTCTCAAGTGAGTTTTTACCTACGTGGTTCGCTATTATTTTTAAAGAAAGCAAAACCAACCACACACATTTTTCTCATACTCCTTATAAAACCCATTATGCTATGTGAATAGTGCACAGTTAAAATTTTTTCTTCTCAGTTAATGAATTTCCCTTTGAGTTTAATTCGATACACATTAGTTATAAATATTCTAAATACAGAGGTTAAAACTTTACTAAGAAAAGTTAAATAAGTTAGAATAGTCGTATGCTTTAATAAAGTTAAAACTATAAAATAAGTTAGATTATTTTAACTCCCACAAAGGGGATATTTATCTGCTTTACGTATATTTACTATTTTAAAAAGAAAACAACCACAGAAACCTCCATTATTTGATCAACATTTGGAATGTCTTTTTAATACAGTCGTAAACTAGCAACTGTACTAGTAATTATGCAGTTATCACATTTTACATACATCATTTCAACTAACTCTTCTTCTATCATTACTCTATTTACAAAACAAAACTTATTAATATAGTGTATTTACCACTAACTTTGCAATATCTCCCCAGTGAAGTTGCCACCAGCTTCTGGAAGGACCTTCGTTTTTCTCTGCTTTAATTTTCATCCGTGTCAGGGATTTAGCTGTGTCCTATCAGTTTGATGACACAGTGTTTAATCCTATTAACCCAACATTTTGAGATTTACAACTATGATCTAAAATTTGGTACTGTTCAGAAGAAAACACTAGAGGGCAGGCTGTGTACACAATTGGCAACAGTGACCTTGGGCTACCTTCCTATATACAAATGTGTTTTGATAGGACTCATTAAAACCTTAAAAATATTTTTTTAATTTTCAATTTAAAATATGTAGTTTCCTATGTAAGCAAAATTAGTCTCTTAGATTGAAAATACTATAAGCCACAATGTGAAAGTGAGTAAACTCTTAGATAAAACAGTTCGAAAAGTGTATTTACACAGTCATGTGGCATCTTTGTTTGTTTGTTTTCTCGTTTGGCATTTTTTGACTGTTAGTATATGAAGCGATATAACCAACTAAAGTGATAAAGTCTAGCATATACATAATGCAATAGATAAGTATTTTAGACCCACCGTAATTTGCTACTTGATTAGCTGAACTGAAAATGTAGCCCTTAATGATTCATTTAAAAACAACTTAGACAGCTGTTAGTCATGATAGCCAACTCTGGAATCTACACGATGGGTCTCTCTGGCAACTGAAATCTCAAGATCACCTGCGCCCTGTTTGCAAGTTTTGAGAGACTAGCCAATCCATCCTTACTATGTACTCAGCACTTGTCCAAGCAGGTCAGACCTTGACAATTCTGAACTGGGCCACCTGCCTTTTAGGCGCCCTATGACGTTGGTCCTGGTCTCTGAGCAACATGCAGTCTGGAGTTTATCTTTGCTCTGCCTGGGCACAGAGAGTGACACACATTCAAGGCCCAGCCACACCCCATGTCAGCTGCCTTGATTACCCACTAATTCCCTCTTTTAGCTGGAAAACTCTTAGCTCTCTTGGAAAACAGATCAGCTCATAGCAAAACTCGAACTATTATTATTTTAAACAGCCTAATGTCACTTATGAGCAACTACAATCCACACCTATAAACAGATGTGTCCTATCCTGAAAGATGCATGGTTGGCCAATGGAAGAGGCAGCACTTTGGGTATTTTTCTCAGGAAGAGCAGAGCAGAGTCCTGGAAAAGTTGGTCATAGGAAATTGTCCAGCTTTTACCCTGACTCTGTGCACCATTGCTCATTAGTTTACCACTGTCCAAGTTTGGGCCCGTTTGACATCAAGGCTGGCATCTGCGTGTTCTTTTTCAACAGACCCAAATTTTGTTGAAAACGGAACCAGTTTTCAGGAAGCAAAACCAATCACACACATAGAAAGATGGCTTACTTCCTAGTAGCAGATTTTTTTCTTTAATCCATGTTCCTCCTTTAAGAGCAATTTCTCAGAACAGAACTTTATTGCTAACTAGTACTAATTACTTTGAAAATATCTCGAAGCTTCCAAAAAGGCTCTTCCTCTAATTACTTCATCTGTTTTCACAGCTGCCATTTTGTTCTTAAGATTAAGCAATACTTCATGTGAATCCGGTCACTTTCATAATTATGACATCATTATGCTCAAGATTTAAGGGGATTACAAAATATTGTAGATAGCTGCTTGATAATTAAGGAGATTTAGAAGCAAAGTCATCTTAATTAAGAAAGATGGCAAGAGGATGCATGTGGCATCAACTGGAAAATAGAGGAATCAGATGGATTTCAAAATGTCAGGTTTATTGTTGCTAAGTTCAGGCTTGGACAGAGCATCTTAGATGCATGGCCATAAAGGTCTTGCTAATATGTCACCCTTGAGTTAGACTTGCCCATCCTGCCACTGGCATAGCCAGACAACCTCTGGGCTTCCAACTGGGACATTTGGCCAGGAGCAGACTAGGAAGCCTATATACTGCTCAGGCTGTGTCTTATATAGAACCAGCTCCAGGATACAATGACAGTGGTCCCTGCAGTTATGTAACCTAAGAGTGCATGTGTCCTGTAGACACCAGCTAGGATTTGCTGTCCTGCACCAGTAAGGTCTCAAAAAGACAGAAAGAGGGCAAATCTCTAACGAGTTCTCCTCAACTGAGATCCACAGACTAAGAACATGAATCAAATAGCACTCTGCTTTGCAGGGTGAGAAATGGGAGGGTGAGAGGCCAGGGGTGTTAGCCTGGTAGAAGTCCTTCCACAGTCACAAGAGGCAGTCCTCCTCCTCTGGCCCACTGAAAAAAAGTTGAGGAGAATATGCATAAGAGAAGTAAAACAAAAGATAAAGTATAAGGATCTAAATAAATTATCCACGTAGAATATAATAGCAGCTGTCATCAGACTTATCCTTCCTTTCCTTCCTCTCTTCTTTTTCCTTCCTTCCTTCCTTCTTTCCTTCCTTCCTTCCCTCCCTTCCTTCCCTCCCTCCCTTCCTTCCTCCCTTCCTTCTTTCCTTATGTCCATTTATTCAGCCATTCATTTAATAAACTTAAAGAAAATTATTCACAATAATAAGCAAAATTTTAGAAGCAGAGTGTAAATCCTCAATTAAAAATTTCCTCCTTTGCAGGCAAAGGTTGGCTAACTCACTTGCTGGAAAGGACCGATGGACATAAAGATCACTGACTTAAGAGGTCAAATTGCATCAACTTCCTTGCCACACGATTGTCTCATGGTCCTGTCCACTTGGACCTCATCGTCCTCTCATAAAAAATGCAATTATTGGAAGAAATATTTCCAGCTGTTACTCCCAGCTCTGAAGTTCTGTGATTATTATTCACATATTCTCACCAAGCTCTCGTACATAGCTGGAATGTACGAAATGATTTGACATGACCTGTAAAATGAAGAATTACAGCTACTCTATCTTGCTTAGAGATTGCTGAGCAGGTCAAATTAGTTATTATAAATGAAAATGTTTTATTGAGCCACACAGAGTGCAATGTCATTGGAAGGTAGACCAATAACCTTTTTAAAAAATTCAGACTAGGCCAGGCACAGTGGCTCAGGCCTGTAATCCCAGCATTTTGGGAGGCTGAGGCAGACACATCACTTGGGTCAGGAGTTTGAGACCAGCCTGGTCAACATGGTGAAACCCCATCTCTACTAAAAATACAAAAATTAGCTGGGGGTGGTGGCAGGTGCCTGTAATCTTGGCTACTCGGGAGGCTGAGACAGGAGGATTGCTTAAACCTAGGAGGCGGAGGTTTCTGTGAGCTGAGATAGCGTCACTGCACTCCAGCCTGGGCAACAGAGCGAGACTCCATCTCAAAAAAAAAAAAAATTCAGACTAAACTAAAATTATTGCCAGGCACAGTGGCTCATGCCTGTAATCCCAACACTTTGGGAGGCCGAGGCAGGCAGATCACTTGGGTCAGGAGTTCAAGACCAGCCTGGCCAACATGGTGAAAGCCCATCTTTACTAAAAATACAAAAATTAGCTGGGTGTGGTGGCACGCACCTATAGTCCCAGCCACTCGAGAGGCTGAGGCAGGAGAATCGCTTGAACCTGGGAGGTAGAGGTTGCAGTGAGCTGAGATTGCAGCAGTGCACTCCAGTCTGGGCAACGAGAGCAAGACTCCATCTCAAAAAAAATACAATAAAATAATTGTTTTAGTTTCATATAACATAAGTAGCAAAAGTAGGCATTGAATCTAGACTTCAAATCCTTTCATGAAAAAGATCTAGTTTGAATACAAAATGAGAAAATTATATTCCACTTCACCATCATCATGAAGCCAGAATTTATCTGTTTAGATCAGCACTACACAAATTTAATTATTGATTAGGATGTATATAAATATCAAGTACATTTAAAATTTCCATTTTACCCAGAATAGTGCTTCTCTTGCTTCCAGCAAGTTCAACCCTTGGAATAGTTTATTCGGCAAATGTATCAGGCACTCATTACATTCTGCACCGGAGATACAGTGGTCTCTGCGTTGCAGGTGCCCACGCTGCGTTCCAAAGGGAGGGAACTGGACAATACACAAATAAATATAGAAGCCAGAATGTATAAAAGCATGACAACTGTTATGAAGAAAATTAAGTGGGAATGATGGGATAGCCAGTAACTTAGAAGGGGAGGAGCTACTTGAGGATAAGTGGCCGAGGAAGGCCTCTTTGAGGAGGAGACTTCTGATACAATCCCTGAAAGTAGAGCCAGCTACACAATTTTCAGGACCCAGTGCAAAATGAAAATACGGGCCCCGTGTTCAAAGAGTATTAAGAGTTTCAAGATGGCAACAATAGATCCAAACCGAGTACAGATCCCTTCTGAGCGAGGGGTGCACGTGGCACATGTGTGAAGCCGGCTGGCCTGAAAGACAAGGAGCACGCCTCTTCTGAGATCTGAGAGCAAGTGCAAGAGGAGTGGGAACAAACTTGGCCAAGTGTGGCAGAGTGCAGTGAGAGAAGAAGTGTGATATTGGCTGGAGATCAGAAATGTGCATATCCTGTAAGTAGGGCAGGGTAAAAAGTCAGAAATACATACATTTTTTGAAGCAAGACTGGATAATTGTGGAGGATTTCCCAAAGGGCAACAATAATGCACTGGTTTTAAAAGGCCACTGTTGTTGTCCTGAGAAGAATGGACTATGGGAAAGCAAGGTAGAAGGGAAGCCAGTTAGGAAGCTGTTTTAATCACCAGGAAAGAGATAATGGTGCCTCTTTGGAGAATGAGAAGTGGTGAGATTTGGAACTTATTTTGGAGATGGGACTGGACTGTGAGGTGAGGGGAAGTGCAGAATCAAAGGTGGCTGCTGGATTCTTGACTTGAGCTTTGGATGGGGGATGCCATTTTTTGAGATGAGAAAGGCCGGGGCAGAGTGTAGTGGGGGCCATTGGCTGGCACAGGCCTTTGCTCATGCTCCAGGAACCCCCTACCCAGTCCACCAGGGTCTAACTCTCACTACCAACAAGAATTTTTGTTGCTAAAGTCATCAAGAAGCCAATGATGACCAAATCCACCGGTGACTTTCTATCCTCTTTCTTACTTATTGTCCTTGTGGAATTGGATGAGCAACTGATTTTAAAGCATCTCTTTTTGTGTAAATGATGCCATTAGCTCTTGGTCCTCCTCTTACCTCTCCAACTTCTTTTATTTGTAGCAGGATGTGGTTACCTTTCCCTTAATTTTTAAATTTATTAAAAAATATTTTTGTCCCTAGAAACAGGGTCTTGATATGTTGCCCAGGCTAGAGTGCAGTGGCTATTCACAGGTGTAATCATAGTGCTCTATAGTCTCCAACTCCTGGGCTCAAGTGATCCTCCCGCCTCAGCCTCCTGAGTAGCTGGGATGACACGCTGGAGCCACCATGCCTGAGCCCTCCTAATCCTTTTAATTCTATCCCCTTCTCACTGGCAAAACAGGATGGGTTCTTCAACCTCTCGATCTTCTTTATTTTATCCATCCCAATCTGCCACAGAAAGAGGGTCTTTAAGGATAATAATGAAGCCCAATTATGCTATGAGAGGCAATCTGTACTACTAAAAAAAAAAAAAAAAAAGGTGGGGGGTGGGTTATCTTGTAGGTGCTCCTTTCTGAAAGATGCAAAGGTGCAGGTGAGCTGTAATAGGTGGCACAGGGCTCTCCCTGTGCTGGGCTGAGCCAGGGCCACAGAGGGAAGGGGAGTAGGAAAGGAAAGTGTGAGGGAGACCAGGAGGAAGGGAGCAAGGAGCATGGGAAGTGGACTTGGGACCGGCCAGAAGGTGATCTGGGAGGAGCAGCCAAGACGTAGGACAGGAGCCTCAGAATTCCAGGCAAATTTTTGATTAGCTGCTGGTAAGAGTGGGCTCACCCAACCCATGTTGGCTCCAGCAGCCAGGTTATGCATTCATCTCTTTTTTTAATGTTTAATTTTTATTTTTTTAGAGGCAAGGTCTCACCATGTTTCCCAGGCTGGTCTCGAACTCCTGGACTCAAGAGATCCTCCCACTTAGGCCTCTCAAGGTGTGGGGATTACAGGCGTGAGCCACCTCCCCCAGCCTTGGATTCATCTCTGTTACGGTATTTGCTGAGTGTCTACTACGTACTATGTGTCAGGCTCTGGTGTCAGACACATGACACCTGCTCAGTCTCATTCCTGACCCTTCTTCCTCTGTCCTCCGTCAGATGTTTCTCTTCCCTGGGGCTTTGTCCTGGGTGCTCTTATTTCTACTGCCTGAAACTCTCTTTCGATGAAGTTACCTGGAACCACAGACAGGCAAAGACAACCTTCTACCGGCTGTCTCTCTGTCGGCACAGCCCTCAGGGATTTCAGTTTCAACAGTTCCTAACCCAGCTTTTTCCCCTAAGCTCGCCCTGCCATATCTCCCTGTCACCAGATCCAGACATTTGGGAATCATCCCAGACTTCTCTGTCTCCTTCAATCCAGTGGCCAACCCAAGCAGACCGCCAGATGTATTGCATCTGGGCCCGTGCATTATAAAGGCCCACATGAATGGAAGACTATTGAGTCTTCGAAGTGCCGCGCTTTATTTTTGAGTAAGCTAAAGCAAATAGAAATCGGTAGACTAAACAAGCAAAATCATACATAATTAAATATCAAGTTTTTCTTTAAATTCTGGCCACATTATTATGACCCTGGCAAATGTGTTTTAATTTGGTTCTTGATCTGCATGACAGCAGGATGGGTAAAATACCATAAGTATTTGATAACATAGAGGAATGAATCGTTCTATCCCTTGTACAGTAACATTTAAGTCTCATCCTCTAATCCATAATTGGCCAAGTTGTTCCAAGTCCAAATTAATTAAGGAAATATAAACAGGAGCATATATATAGTATTGGAATATCTCACTTGTTTTGTTAAGTTTGTCCTGAGCAAATCGGATTTTCTTTTCAGCTTGAACACACTTAATGCAAAATCCAAAATCCAAAATGCTCCAAAATCTAACCTTTTTTTTTTTTTTTTTTTTGAGACAGAGTCTCGCTTTGTCACCCAGGCTGGAGTGCAATGGAGTGATCTCTGCTCTCTGCAACCTCTGCCTCCCAGGTTCAAGAGATTCTCCTGCCTCGGCCTCCCGAGTAGCTGGGATTACAAGCATGCACCAACATGCCAGGCTAACTTTTTTATTTTTAGTAGAGACAGGGTTTCACCATGTTGGCCAGGCTGGTTTTGAACTCCTGACCTCAAATGACCCACCTGCTTTGGCCTCCTAAAGTGATGGGATTGCAGCCATGAGCCACCATGCCTGGCCAATCTAAACTTTTTAAGCACAGAGAGACAAGTGGAAAATTCTACACTTAACCTCATGTGATGGGGTCACAGTCAAAATGCAGGCACATAATACACAATTTATTCCGTGTCCCCAAGGGAAAAAAAGGACCCTCCCAGCTCCTTTCTGCTGCAAAATAGCTTTTCTGAGCATGCCAGATATATATGTCATATTTTTTACTAAGTGCTCTTGTGTGAATAAGTGTAAGAAAATGATTGCTTGTCAGTAGCGTATAAATTCGGAATCAGGAATGAAAGACAACTACAGAGTGTCCTTGTGGGTGGCTGAGACAGGGACACCTTGCTTCCTGATGGTTCAATGTATACAAACTTTGTTTTATGTGGAAAATTATTAAAAATATTGTGTAAATTTACCTTCAGGCTACGTGTATAAGGTGTATATGAAACATAAATGAATTTTGTGTTTAGATGTAGGTTCTATCCCCAAGATATCTCATTGTGTATATGCAAATATTTCAAAATCCCAAAACATCCAGAACCTGAAACACTTTGGCGTCACGCATGTAAGATAAGGAATACTCAGCCTATATATGGAAAAAAGAATCCTTGTGTGCTGACTCTGTGGATTATTGGACGATAAAGAAAATAGATTTAGATTATTATAATGGTATTATAATGGTCAAGTAAATTATATGCATGTCTTATAAATAGATCAACAGGCCTTATGAAAACTCTTTGGTTATTGCCAGATTTTTATCTAAAAGGCAGTGAGAGACCCAGGCCAAAGGAGACAGATTGTCTGCCATGCTTGAAAGAACTATACTTATTTGTTTGTTTGTTTGTTTAGAGACAGAGTCTCACTCTGTTGCCCAGGCTGGAGTGTAGTAGTGAGATCATGGTTCACTGCAGCCTCGACCTCCTGGCCTCAAGTGATCCTCCCACCTCAGCCTCCTAAAGCACTGAGACTACAGGCATGAGCCACTGCACCTGGTGGACAAAGCTTTAATATTGAACCACTTGTTAGCCAAAATGTCACAGAAGTTGTTTGTTTGTTTGTTTGTTTTAATCAAAATTGTGAATTAATATGACTTTTCTTACAGTAGATGAAGTGAATAATTTTTAAAACTATGTGTCTGCATTAAAAAACAAAACAAACACCTCCCTGATCACCAAGATCGGATAATACCTAGGGGGTTTTTAGGCCTCTTCATTTGTCAGGGTTCTGGAATAAAACATAATTATTCTCACTTGGGTAAGGGGAGGAAACAATGATTCTGGAGCTCAGTGAGAGCCAGAGCGGGGACCGTGGTTGCCTTGTGGGAGCAGTAGCCTTCAAGGGGAACCCAGGAAACCAGCAGACTGAGACCCTGAGATGCCAACTCAGGGTCAACCTCCCAAAGGCACAGAGCAAGACAGGGAAGTGAGAGCACGGGCAGCCACAGACAGAGCACCCAGCACAGCCTCACTCTGCTTTAGTCTGGCATGCATCTGACGGTTCCCTGATGGTCACTAATGCTTTTTAGGTGGCGGGACGGCAGTTCATCCCTCTGCACTGTGCAACTGATGACTGCTCAGATACGTACAAAACTTTGAGGACTATATATAGCTGTTGACTTTTTTTTCACCCTAGATCCTAATTAATTACTACAAAGAGGCAATTGGGTGAAGTGCACAAATGGCACAGAAGAAGTTTTAGAGCCAGTGGTGGCAGTGTGTGCCTGTAATGTCATCCCAGCTACTCAAGGAGGCTGAGGTGGGAGGATCGCTTAACACCAGGAGTGGAGACCAGCCTGGGCAATATAGCAAGACCCCAATCTCTTGAAAATTTTTTAAAAAGACTGGGCACAGTAGTTCACTCCTATAATCCCAGCACTTTGGGACGCCAATGTGGGAGCATCACTGGAGCCCAGGAGTTTGAGACCAGCCTGGACACCAGGGTGAGACCCCGTCTCTACAAAAAAATTTTAAAAAATTAGCTAGGTGGTGGCATGCACCTGTAGTACCAGCTAAACAGGAGGCTAAGGCTCACTCGAACCCAGGAGATCAGGGCCGCACTGAATCGTGATTGCACCACTACACTCCAGCCCAGGCAACAGAGCTAGACCTTGTCTAAAACAAAATTATAAAATAAAATAGGCTGGGCGTAGTGGCTCACGCCTGTAATCCCAGCACTTTGGGAGGCCACGCCGGGTGGATCACTTGAGGTCAGGAGCTCGAGACCTGCCTGGCCAACATGGTGAAACCACATCTCTACTAAAAATACAAAAATTAGCCGGACGTAGGTGGTGCAAGCCTGTAATCCCAGCTAGTAGGGAGGCTGAGGCAAGAGAAACCCTTAAATCTGGGAGGCAGAAGTTGCAGTGAGCTGAGATCGTGTCACTGCATTCTGGCCTGGGTGACAGAGCTAGACTCTGTCTCTAAATAAATAAATAAATAAAAGATAGACGGGTATAGCGGTGCATACCTGTAGTCCCAGGTCCTCATGGGGCTGAGGTAGGAGGGTCACTTGAACCCAGGAATTTGAGGCTTCAGTGAGCTATGAACATGCCACTGAACTCCAGCCTGGCAACCGAGAGGGACGCAACTCTAAAGAAAAGAAAAGAAAAAAGAAAAGAAATTTTAGGGAGCCGCCTAAAATTATTACAAATATTCTATGAACACTGCAAAGTAGTGAGCACTGAGGGTGAACTGGCCTTGCCTTGTGGGGGGTGCTGGTGGGGGAAGGCAGATGCCCAAGAACATTCCTGCTCTAAACACTCCGGGAGAATCATATCTCACGTTTATTTTTGTTTGTGTGTATATGTTTGTTGTTTTACGTTTTATTATATAATCCTCTTTTTCTTTTCTTCTCCAAGCCTTTGATAAAATCTCTTTCATTTGAGAAGACTCCAATAGCCTTTTGGCTACACTGAAAGAAGCCGGTGGTTGTTCTGGGGCGAGCCCTGGGTGAGAAAGCCAGGCTTGATTACTGGGAAGCTGACTGATGTTTTGGCTTCTCCTGACCAGGGGTGAGGACAAGGAAGATGGGGTGGGTTGGGGGACAGCCAGAGTCTCAGAGCTGTGGGTTCCGGGACTTTGCAAAGAAATGTCATGAAGAAAGAACTCCGATTTGAACGGAAGCTGGACTTCCACGTTGTGGACGATGGGCTGGTCCTAAGAGGGAGGTGGCCAGTAGGTTCCCTCAGAGAAAGGTTGGTGACATGGAAAATCGTTTCCTGCCCTGTGCTGTTTTTCCCCTAGAGTCAGTGGTGGGGAGTTAGGAGTCAGGCTGTGCACATCTTGGAAAAGGGGGATTGAGGGACTGTGGCCGTCCTTCTCCCTGTTGTGGGTCTGCACTGTGGTGGTAGTGTCATGCCAAGAGAGGACCCTGACCTAGGAGCATGGGGAAGCCGTTCCCAGCCAGAGGCGCTAAATACCATCTGGGGGAGGGGTGTTCTTCCTGCCACCCTTAGGGGAGGACTTGCATATTCTTATTTGGTATATTCTTAAATATTCTTCCAGAGTGATCTTGGAAGGCAGAAAAACTAGGGAACATTTGGGTAACGTGTAAATTCATTAAAACATAGAATAAAAAAGAAAAGAAAAAACGACTACACTGGGGCTGGGTGTGGTGGCTCACGCCTGCAATCCCAGCACTTTGGGAGGCTGAGGAGGGTGGATTGCTTGAGGCCAGGCATTCAGGCAACATGGCAAAATCCCATCTCTACAAAAAATACAAAATTATCTGGACATGGTGGCGCACACCTGTAGTCCCAGCTACTCTGGAGGCTGAGTTGGGAGGATGGCTTGAACCTGGTAGGCGGAGGTTGCAGTGAGCCAAGATCGTACCACTGCACTCCAGCCTGGGTGACAGCGCAAGACCCTTTCTCAAAAATAAAACAAACAACAACAAAAAAACCACTATACTGGAATTACTCTAAAGTAGATGATACAAAATACCATGCATGTTTTCCTGATATGTATCCTTTATCATTTTCTTTTTTCTTTTTTTTTTTGAGACAAGGTCTCATTCTGTCACCTAGGATTTCCCACCCTAACTTCCCAAGTAGCTGGGACTACAGGCTTGGGCCACCACACCTGGCTAATTTTTGTATTTTTTGTACACACAGGGTTATACCATATTGCCCAGGCTGGTCTCAAATTCTTAGGCTCAAGCAATCCACCCACCTAGGCCTCCCAAAGTGCGGAGATTACAGGCGTGAGCCACCACACCCTGCCTCATTTTCATTTTTGACACTTTCCGTGACTGTACAGAATGTTCCTTCTTCAAATTAAAAGTAATTTAAAAACTATTTGAGGAATGCCATGATACAAGAATGCTTAATAGTAATAGCACATTGTAGAATAGGAGCCCAAACAACTAAAAACACAGAATTTTTAGAACAGCGATATCTTTTAAAATGTCAAATCAAAACAAACACCATTTTAAGTTTACTTAAATATTTAAAATGATTGTACTGAGAACCATTGTCTGTATGTCTTTAGTATTGTTGAAAGGAGTTAGCCAGCTTGCTTTAGGCAGAAAGTAAAGGAAGGGTCCCCGGAGAACCTCCAACCCATGTTTTGTGCAGATAAGGGAACGTGCACAGGGAGCTTGTCTAAACATGTCCCTAGTGGACGAAGGTCCCACATACGCACTGGGGGAGGGCGGTGGAGCCACCAGGAATTCATGCCTTATACGAACAGGGAACTCGGCCCCATCAGGTTTTATATAGAAGCCCTTGTATTCAACTACGAAGGGGCAACCAGCAACCTGCTTTCAGGACCCCACTCTTTCCTGAGAGCTTTCCTTTTTGCTTAATAAATTCTATGCCACTCATTCTTTGATGTCAGGGTACCTAGTTCTTCCTGGTCATAAGATAAGAACACAGACCTAACTGAGCTAAGGAGCAAAAAATTCTGCATCACTGTTGTCAAGTTTTACTTTAGATTTTAAGTTCATAGTTTATGTTAAATTACTGTTTTCATTTGAAAAGGATACTATTTGGTTATTAATAAAGTGTGTGTATGTATATATAGAAATATATGTATGAAACAAAATAAACTCTTTTTGTGGTACTTGCTGGCTGCACATTGCATTGAGGGTTACTTTTTACTACTTATGCCACTCTTCATCCCACATAGCTGATCACTAAATCCTATCCATTCTATTCCATTCATTCATACAAAAAGTATCCATTGTATATGAATCTTCATAGTAACTTTGTTCATAATAGCCCAAAACTGGAAACTTGGAAGCCACCCAAATGTCCTTCAATGGGTTGAATGTGATGAATAAACTCTAGCACCTCCAAGCCATGGAATACTACTCAGCAACTGGAAGGAGTGAAGTATTGATACACACAACTTGGATGAACTTCAAAGAAAGTATGAATGAAAAAGCTGGTGGAGGTGGTGGCTCATGCCTGTACTCCCAGCATTTTGGGAGGCCAAGGCGGTTGGATCACTTGAGCCCAGGAGTTCTAGACTAGCCTAGGCAAAATGGTGAAACCCCATCATTATAAAAATACAAAAAATTAGCCAGGTGAGGTGGCGTGTGTCTGTAGTCCCAGCTACTCAGGAGGCTGGGGTGGAAGGATCACCTGAGCCCAGGAGGTGGAGGCTGCAATGAGCCAAGATCACGACACTGCACTCCAGCCTGGGTGACAGAGTGAGATCCTGTCTTGCTCTGTTACCAATCCCAAAAGATACACACTGCATGTACCCATCTACAAAATGTTCGTGAAATAGAATAATTATAGAGATGAACAGATTAGTTGTTCCCAGGGGTTAATGATGGAGGAATGCGTGTGGCTATAAGGAGGTAACACCAGAAAATCTTCTGCTAATGGCTTGAATATCTTGATTGTGGTAGCAAAGCTTCACATATGATAAAATTACACAGAGCTATATGCATACACACACACGAGTGCATCTAATAACTGGTGAAATCTGAATAAGCTCTATGGGTTGTAGCAATGTCACTTGATTGTTTTCGATATTATAATATAGTTGCATAAGATGTTAATGATGGAGGAGGCTGGGTAAAGGGTGCATTGTTCTTCCCTACGCATTTCTTTGCAACCTCCTGTGAATCTATCATTATTTCAAAAAAAATTTTTTTAAGTATTTAGGAATTGTCTACACTGTGCTGTGCATTTTCTTCCTTTGTATTTGTCTCCTCATTTACCTCCCTACTTCTGCCCTGTTTTAGGCCCTTCCCACCTGTCTCTGACTTGTCTATTCTGTCTCAAATGTATCTTCCATGCTCCTATCAGAGGGATCTTTTAAACCAATGCTTCTTAAACTCTACCATACAAATGGGCCACCTGGGATCTTGTTAAAGTGCAGGTTCTGATTCAGTTTGTCTCGGGGACTTGGGATTCTGCATTTCTAACAAGTTCCCAGCTGATGCCAGTGTAGCTGGTCCTGGCTCATACTTTGAGTAGCAAGGATCTTAAGTAATTTTCTTTCATGGTATACCCATACTTAAATCCATCTAGTTGATTCTGATTGTTCACAGAATAAAGTTCAGTCAGAGCATGTACCTCTTTGCTCAAAAGTCTCTAATGACACCCCAGTGACCCTCAGAATAAAATCCAAATGCTTTACAATTACCTACAAGGTCCTGCAAGACCTTCCCCACCCTGAAACTCTCTGACCCCAGCTCCTATCACTCTCTCCTTTTCCACTCCACCTCTAGCTTCCAGATGTCCTAAATGCTAACACTGGCATGAATGCACAGTAGTTTATTTTCCCTCCTTGCTGTATATTGCCCCTTCTAGGTCTTTCTCCCCTTTGTTTCTTATCCTTCAGTGTTCAGCTCAAGATGCATTTACTTATCTCTGTTACATGGGCACTCTTGATGGTGCGAAAATGCGCCATTTATTGCCCCATTCTACTTGTGTATACCTCTATTATTACCTGTCTCTTCCTCTATTTCAATAATTTATTTTCCTATTGAATCAGGGTCTACACAGGAAACAGAAGGCACATCAGAGGAAATTATGAAAATAGCTTTATGCAGAAACTGTTTTCAGAAGTGGGCAGTTAAGGGAGTCTGTTATTGGATACAGGAACCCAGTGAGAGCCAGAGCCTTGGAGGAGGGAACTGCAATTGCAGAGGAACAGCCAGAGCTGCCACGCCAAAATGATGCCTCCCATTGGCTGAACTCAATCAGAAGCCACAGAGCAATGAGCCACAGTGATCCAGCCCCCCTTCCTGGAGGCAGGGAGAGGGGAAGAAATAGAGAATAGATCTGGAGGAGAGGGGGAGAACAGAGACCAACCAGCACACACTAAATCTCTGTACTAAATGAAAGGTTCCTGAGGGCAAGACCAATTCTCTTTCATCCCTGTAGCCCCACATGTAGCACAAGGTTTAGCCTAGAGTAAGTATTCAGTAAATCTTTGTGAAAGCAAACTACAATGTCAGGGCATGTATTGCATTTAACTTAGTATTTTAGGGAAGGCAGGCAGGAAGGCAAGCAAGTTGTTCATTACCTCTTTTAAATTTTTTTTTCTTTCATAGAGATGAGGTCTCGCTTTGTTGCCCAAGCTGGTCTTGAGCTCCTGGCCTCAAGTGGTCCTCCCACCTCAGCCTCCCAAAGTACTGGGATTCCAGGCATGAGCCACCACGCCTGACCCTGTCTGTTACCTATTTTGGCCAATTTTCATTTATGTTCACACAAGACTTTTTTATACTTTTCTTGGTATATCTAATTTATGTGTTCATTTATTTATGTATTTATTTATTTTTTATTATTTTTATTTTTTGAGATGGAGTCTCGCTGTGACACCCAGGCTGGAGTGCAGTGGCACGATCTCGTCCCACTGCAACCTCCGTCTCCTGGGTTCAAGCGATTCTCCTGCCTCAGCCTTCCAGGTAGCTGGGATTACAGGCATGTGCCACCACATCCAGCTAATTTTTTTTTTTTTTGAGATGGAGTCTCACTCTGTTGCCAGGCTGGAGTGCAGTGGTGTGATCTGGGCTCACTGCAACCTCCGACTCCCTGGTTCAAGCAGTTCTCCTGCCTCAACCTCCTGAGTACCTGGGATTACAGGCACACTTCACCACGCACAACTAATTTTTGTATTTTTAGTAGAGACAGGGCTTCATTCACCATATTGGCCAGGCTGGTCTCAAACTCCTGATCCCAAGGGATCCAACCACCTCAGCCTCCCAAAGTACTGGGATTACAGGTGTGAGCCACCGCGCCCGGCCAGTATATCTAAGTCAGATGACAACAGCACAAGAAGGACAGAATTCACTGGAAAGGTTCATTTTGATCATCCTATTTTGCTGAGTTCAGGCTAATATCTCCAGAAGTGACACAAACTTGGAAACAGAAATATCCATGTGGGGCTATCAGCACAAGATACAAAGCATGAAAACCACAAAATATTTCAATCAGTGATGCTCATCTATCAGTTGAACAATATCACCTCCAGAAAGTGGCATACATTAGACAATTAATAAAAGCTTCTTGACTGTCTAGAGTCAGGTAAGCCGAGGATATTTTTGAGGCACGAAGTAATCCAGATATTTTAATGAGACAGATGAGGCCATTGGGTAGGGTGATCAACCGTCCCAGTTTGCCTGGGACTGTCCTGGTTTTAGTACCCATTGTCCCTCAGCCTGGGAAACCCTGAGTCCTGGGTAAACAGGGACAGTTAGTCACCCTATGATTACAGCCAATTTTTTAAAATGTAGATTTTTATTTCTTATGATATAGCTTCAGTGAGAGGTATTATTCAAAGATGATTAAGCCATTACAGCTCTTGGACAGTTATCTTGCGTTTTGTAAAACTTGGAACT
This sequence comes from Homo sapiens, assembly GCF_000001405.40. Classification (NCBI taxonomy): domain Eukaryota; kingdom Metazoa; phylum Chordata; class Mammalia; order Primates; family Hominidae; genus Homo; species Homo sapiens. The sequence continues at coordinate 600,766 of NC_000018.10, read as the reverse complement.
GTCTCTAACTGGGATCTGGTGACTTCACTGATTATCCAATTAAGAAGTCCTAAGACAAACTTCACTGCCAGTATTCTATTAACCCCAGTCCTTATAAAACTACTTAATCTATTAATTCCTCAGGTGCACAATCAAAACGTACTCTAGCATATTTCTAGAAATAATAAGCCTCTCTTTCCACAAATTTCCTCAGGTTTCTGAGTGTATTTCCAAACACCTCGCCAAGCCTTCTTCTCTGTAAACTGCAAATCCCTTGTTCTAATATTCTACAAGAGAAATATACAGACACAACTACTGTACCACGGACCATTTCAAATCTCTGCATGTGCTAAGCGAGAAAATGGTTGAGAACAATAGAAGACTTTTTGCAGTAAGTCCTTATCCTCAAACTTTTGCCTGAACTGTAGAAACCTGATATGCAATAAATGTCCTGGTCTTGAGCCAGATAAACTCCATTACAGTGAGAAACATCATACAGAGACTGATTTATGTGTCCTTCATGTCTGTCCAGGAAATATTTAGCCAATATGTAGTATTTACAATGTATGAGAGATTTTAGGGAAAAAAAGGCAAATGGATTGTTCGAATCTTGGTAGGAAAGGCTAATGCTACTGAAGCAAATAAAAAATAAAAAATAAAACCCAACTGCTGAGTTCAGTCACAACATGCAAGTGATCATCCATCTAACAACAGTTTGCTTTTAGGAAGAATAGATAAACCAGTCACCAAAACTATCATCAGCCTATGTGATGTGCTACTAAGGGAAATAATTCAGTTCATACTTCGGGTTTAAATTATTATTAATTTTTTTTTTTTTTTGAGATGAAGTCTGGCTCTGTAGCCCAGACTGGAGTGCAGTGGCGCGATCTCGGCTCACTGCAAGCTCCGCCTCCCGGGTTCACACCATTCTCCTGCCTCAGCCTCCTGAGTAGCTGGGACTATGAGTAGCTGGGACTACAGGCGCCCGCCAACACACCCAGCTAATTTTTTGTATTTTTAGTAGAGATGGGGTTTCACCGCGTTAGCCAGGATGGTCTCAATCTCCTGACCTTGTGATCTACCCACCTCAGCTTCCCAAAGTGCTGGGATTACAGGCGTGAACCACCGCACCTGGCCAATTATTATTAATTTTTATCTTTATGACAGTCGTTGACATTTTGGGTAATAAAAATAAATCTGGTGATAAAAATAAATGATTAAAATAAGCAGTCTTAATCATTTGAAAATCAATTATTTCTAAAGTTTAAAAAATTACCTAAACATTTACAATCACCATCACCTGAAAAAGCTAATAATAATAATGAAAGCTATCTTTATTAAGCATCTTCTACTGTCCCAGGCACCACCATGTTAGAAATTTTCCATAGTGCCTCATTTAATCCTTTCAACCTTATGATATGAGTATTACCAATCCTGTTTCATAGATAAATAAGATAAGGATCATAGAGGTTAAGTAATTTGCTCACTATCACAATCTGGTAGACAACCGGAATTTTATCTAACCCAGGTCTCTGTTCTTTCCACAACATCACATAATTACCTTAAAAACAACAACAACAACATACACTTAAAGACATGTAAAAATACTATTCTGGTAACTATATTACTTTGCTTCTATGTAATTTCATTTTATTTTGAGAATTAAGAATGAAGTTAAATAAGAAACCTTATATGGCATTATAAAATCTACTATAATCATTCCTTTTATGTATTGTAGAGGTATTTGTATCTTTAGCGCTTGTTGAATGGTACTAGCTAATAATTGTACTCATTTCTCTAATTTGCTCACATATTTCAATCTCTGAAAAAGTTGCCAAAAGCTGTTAACAGACAACAATGGACATATTTTTAAAGTTTAGTAAATCAGAACAACATAGGCACATGCTAAAGATTAATTTGGAATCATTTACATATATGCCTTCTGAAAAAAAGAAAGAGGGGGTGCTTTTTTTTTAAGTCCGGAAAAAGGAATGCAACCTATTTCTTGCAAGGGCATATGAGTGGATCTCATATTCTCACACATGGCTTTGTTTTCAAATTCTTCAAAGTGCAGAAATTCTTTTAATTTAAAGGTGAGCCCATGGAAAATCTGGACCAGCTGTAGAAAACCATCCAAGAACTCAGTGCCACAGCCACTTTTTTGGTTGTGACACAAACCCCAGGGTGATCTGACCCTCTGCTCACCAGTGTTGTAAATTATCCAAGAGAGGTACTTCTGTTCCCACTGCTGCCTCCATGGAATTCATTGTCTCATTAGCTGATACTGCCTAGAGGATGTTAGAGAGGAACTCAGGCAGCCTTGAGACTCAAGAGAGACTCCAGGCTGTCGAAAGAAGGAAGACTCACAAAGCGTCTAAATTCAGACCCTTTACACTGGAGAGGAAGACTTGGGAAACAGCCACATCTCACTGTTTGAGGGACCTGGAAAAACAGATCATCGTGACTTTCTTCAAGGTCACGCAAAGTTTAAGTGATTTTTACTGTCCCACATTCCAGCATGTCCTCTTCTATGCATTCATTTCCCATGGTAGTTCATCATTCTCTATTTATGGCATTTTTATTAGGTAACAGTATCTCATCTCTTCCCGATAATTGTGCTGCTGCATATTTTTAGAAACTTTTCCACCCGCCATTGTCAGGGACTGAGGAGTTGCATTAATGTTGAGTTTGAAAATTCTGTTCTTGCATCAGGCAGGTAAAAGTGGCCTTATTAGTATTTCTGTTTTCAATGTCTGGAGAAAAGTCCCAGGGAGAGAAAAACAAGATAAAGCATCATGTTGTCCACTGGTAAAATCTGTACGTGGAAAGTAGGCTAAGCTAGAGTAATCGGTTTAAGGTAGCAGTTAATAGTGTCTGCAGCTCTTTACTTCGTTAACCTCAGTTAACCAGGACCTGGCACAATGGGGATTGAAATCAGGGGGCTTATCCACAGTTTCCTCAAATACTGATTTTATCAAGTTGGGCTGATAATTCCATAAACTGTATGAGCATTGATAGTTAGATGTGATCGTTTTCAGAGTGATTCTTTTTCTGCTTGGGTTTATTTATTTATTTATTTTGAGACAGAATCTCACTGTGTTGTCCAGGCTGGAGTGCAGTGGCGCAATCTCGGCTCACTGCAACCTCCGCCTCCCGGGTTCAAGCGATTCTCCTGCCTCAGCCTCCCAAGTAGATGGGATTACAAGCATGCACCACCACAATCGACTAATTTTTGTGTTTCACCATGCCGGCCAGGCTGGCCTCCAACTCCTGACCTCAAGTGATCGGCCCCCCTCGGCCTCCCAAAGTGTTGAGATTACAGGCGTGAGCCACCACACCCGGCTCCGCTTAGTTTTTGCCAGTAGTTTTGCAGGGATGGTGTGTCTCCCCGCCTCTACCTCCTCCTCCTGTTTTGAAAAAGAGAATAAACGTATTGGAACAGCCCAGGAGATTGCCTGAGTTTTGCTGGCAGCCTCTGAAGCAGCCCACAGTATTTCTACCTTCCCCGGCAAGAACAGTGGCTTTGTTCTGTCCGCGCCGGAGGGGCCGGGCGTCTGCGGAGCTCGGCCTTGGACTTGGGAGCGGCTTTCTCTGGCTCTCCGGAGAAATGGGCAAGAGCGGCGAGGAGAGAAATCTGGGGCCCGGAGGATGTTCTCACCTGTCATTCCTAAGATGCGCTTGAGTGCTGCCCCCTGGAGGCGTCTGTGCCACCGGCTGGAAGTCAGCCGAGGGCACAGGGTGTCAGCAACCTCCAGGGTGGAAACCAACCCCGCGGCCCGGGCCTGCAGGTGACGCAGGGTGGGCGGGGCCTGCAGACGCCGGGTGGGCGGGGCCTGCAGGTGACGCCGGGTGGGCGGGGCCTGCAGACGCCGGGTGGGCGGGGCCTGCAGGTGACGCCGGGTGGGCGGGGCCTGCAGACGCCGGGTGGGCGGGGCCTGCAGGTGACGCCGGGTGGGCGGGGCCTGCAGACGCCGGGTGGGCGGGACCTGCAGGTGACGCCGGGTGGGCGGGGCCTGCAGAGGACCTGCGCGTCCGGATCTGAAGCGAGCAGAGCCCTCTCTACTCCAGCTGAACGGTGATGGTCGTCAGGAAGGAATGTGGGCTCACTGTGGAAAGAACATTCAGTTTTTCAAAAGAAGACAGAAATAGGGATGCTTATGTGAAATTCCTGATTTTTCAAACTTGGCAACTTAATTCAGTTAAAAAAAAAAAAGCATTTCTATGGCAGGACCACGAGTCATAGGTAGAACGCCTTGTACACATTAGAAAGAGAGCCTCGCTCTGGGCAGATAAAGCAGGAGGGGAAAAAAGTAGTGGGTCAAAGGTGCCTCTGAGCAGTTGCTCCCCTGCCCGACTGCTGGGCTTAATGCGATGGTCATGGCTGGATGTCAGCCTCCCTGTGGGGACACTGACACAGCTGCAGCAGCCCTGAGAGAGTCGCCAAGTGGGCCTGCCCATGCCAGGTGCTGTCCTTGGGCCCCAGGTTCACAAACTCTGGATGCTGGAACAGGTAGCCAGAGAGGGCAGGAAAGGCAGTGCAACTTGCAAGTCTACCCTTGTTAAAGGGCCCTACAATTGTAAAATTTCATGCCCCCCATATCCCAAACATCCTCTCCGTATTCCTGGATGATGAACGTTGGCTTGGGAGGCATGTTTACTCTAGGCAATATTTTTCTGAGGTTATTATACTCTGTGTGTGAGGAAGATTCATCTATGTATCCACTTTATCTTTTGGGAGTACATTTCACCTGTTGTTATTTTTAACATCTTCCCTTGATTGACCTGCTCGTGCTGGACCTCTTTAAATTATTTCTAATTCTGACAACATCCTGACAAGGTAATATAATTCCACTTACTTTACAAATAAAGACACTGAGGCTTCAAGAAGTAATTTTTCCCCAGACCAGCTAGGAAATGGCTGTGCAGAGCTTCAAACCCAGGTCTGTCTTACTAGGAGGCTGATGACTTTGATACTTCTACCTGAGATGGCAAAGTCTGTGTCTCTTCTCCCTGACGTCATCTAATGAAGATCTATGCTGTCTGAGCACTTAATGCCTAAGAATCTTCCATTTGGTGCCTTCCCCTTTCCCCTTTTTATATCTTTATAAATTTAACAACAGCTCTTTTGTATAGCAAAGAATGCATCTTTGTGGCACATAACTTTAAAAATAATAACATCACCAGATGCACACATCCAAATGAGTGTGGGTTGCCTTGATGATTAGAGACGTATTCCAGTGAGGCTGTTGCCAGTCACCGTCTTTCTTGTGCTTCTTTTTTAAAGAAGTACCTTCAAAGCCAGTTTACAAAACATTCAAAGAAAGTAGCCTTCTCATTTAGGTGGCATTTACTGTTTTAAATCACGAACGAAAATATCCAGCTTCCCCAGCCGCTCTTTTCATCAGATTTGACCTCAAACAACTTCAGGCTAATTCAAAAAATGAAGCCCAGTCTCCATGGAGAAAGACTTGCCTCTGGAGAATGTTCAGAGGAATGTACTGGAGGTTTTTTGGTTGCCACCAAAATCGTAGTTCCAAAAATGTTCTGAGCCCAGTAGCACCATTGGTTAAGTATGTAACCTTTGAAGGGGACACATTTATTGACTGGGCAATTATCCCCTTAATTTACAGATAAATAACTGTAAAATAATTTGACAAATTGATCAAACTAAAGAGTTGGGGTGGTGGATAGTATATTGGCTTTGAGCCTGGATCCTGGAGCCAGAATGGGTTCCAATCTTTCCTTTACCACTTACTAGGTAGGTAATATTGCACAAATTACTCAATCTCTCCATGCCTTAGTTCCCTGTCTTGTAAAATAAAGATAATAATGGAATATGTAGAAGCTCCTAGACAGTGCATGGTACAGAATAAGTGTTATTTTAAGTGCAAATGTTAAAATCATATATGTCACTTTATAATACCATCTTGAATTATACATATATTAGGCAAGATTCCTAACAAAGCAGACACATTTCCCATAAGCAGTCATCATCAACTAGAGTAATAACATGTTCTTATGTAGGGAAAGTAATTTTGTGTGGTCGCTAACATCAAAATGAAATCTGCAACTCTCTATCGAAACACATCCTATTTCATTTTACATCATAGAGACTCATATTGAAGTGGAGTTGCCTAGTATGATATTACAACATCAATAGCCTGAAATATCTATGGCATTTTGGTAAAATATTCATCTAACCCATACCTCCATACCCTTAATGTCAGAACACAATCCTTAGGCAGGGCAGTCCATCTTTGGGCAGGTTTGGTTGTTGAAAAGTCTTCCTGAGACTAAGCTGAAATCTCTCCTTTATCATTCTCTCATAGAAACCCCTTGGAGCCCCATAGAAAAAGTCCTGTTTCTTTGGAGGTCACATGTCTCCAACTATTTTCTTTTTAGGAGAAACAGCCTTAGTTCCTTTAAACCATTTCTCTTTGGATATGGTTTTGTATCCTTTTGCCTTATTTATCTTGCTGGTCTCAACAGACTTTGATTTCCCCAATTTCTCTGCAAATGTACTATTCAGAGGTGAGCATGGGCCTCCAGATTATAGAGATGGGTGTCCCTCCTCATTCAGTGAATTATACTTTCATGAACGTAGCAAAGGAAAACATTCATTTTTATTTTATTTTAATTTTTATTTTGACAGCAGGCTGCACACTTACAAAAGTGCCAAAAGAAAAGACCCAATAGCCAAGAATCCTATATCCAGTGAGAATGTCCTCCAGGAACAAAGAGGGAAATAAAGACATTCACAGAGAAAAGAAAGCTAAGAGAATTTGTCACTAGGAGATCTACCCCAATAGAATGGCTAGGAAGTTCTCTAAACGAAAACAATAGAAGAAGGAACTATGGGGCATAAAGAGGGAAGAAACAACATGGTGAATGAAAATATGGGTCAATATAGTAAGCTTTCCTTTTTTTCTTGAGTTTTTGGAATTATTTGATAGCTAAATCAAAAATAACACTCATCCGGTTTAAAATGTATGTACAAGAAATACCTAAGACAATTATATTATAAATGAGGTAAAGGAATGTAGAGAGGAAACATTTCCATACTTTACTTGAACTGGTAAAATAATGATACCAATATACTGTGATAAGTTATGTACATATAATGAAATACTTAAAGTAACCCCTAAAAAAGCTATGCAAAGAGACACACTAAAAAACACTATAGGTAAATCAAAATGGAATGATTCAAAGTGTTCATTAGCCAATATGAAGCAGAAAAAAAGAAAACAGAGAAATTAAAAATTGAGAAAACATAGAGAAAGCAAAAACATAACAGATTCAAGCTCTTACATATCAACATTTACATTACATGCGAATGTCTATGTACACCAGTAGAAGACAAAGACTGAGTGGATTAAAAATATTAAACCAGGCACGGTGGCTCACACCTGTAATGCCAGCACTTTGGGAGGCCAAGGTGGGCTAATCGCTTGAGGTCGGGAGTTCGAGACCAGCCTGTCCATCATGGTTAAACCCCGTCTCTACTAAAAATACAAAAATTAGCTGGGCATGGTGGTGCGTGCCTGTAATCCCAGCTACTGGGGAGGCTGAGGCACGAGAATCACTTGAACCCAGGAGGCAGAGGTTGCAGTGAGCACTACTGTACTCCAGCCTGGGTGACAGAGTACACCATCTCAAAAAAATATATATATCTATGTACATATATGACCTACTACATGCTGTCTACAAGAAGCTCACTTCAAACATAATAATATAAGTAAGTTGAAAGTAAAAGAATAGAAAAAGATGTATCATGTAAACATTAATCAAAAGAAAGCAGAGTTGTCTATTTATATTGAGATAACATAGACTTCAGAGCAACCACAATTACCAGGGACAGAAAAAGACATTATATAATGTAAAAGGGTCAATCCACCAAGAAGTTATAGCAATCCTAAATTTGGTGCATAAATGTGTATGCACCAAACAACAGAGTTGTAAAATATGTGAAGAAAAAACTAATAGAACTGAAAGGAGAAATTGACAAATCCACAATTCACATTGCAGAGTTCAACACCTCTCTCTCTGAATAATTGACAGACTAAATAAATTTAAATCAGTAGGGTTATCGGAACCCTCAATGACATCATCAACCAACAGTATCTAATCACCGCTTATAGAACACTCCAAACATTCCACCAAACAGCAGATACGCTTTCTTTTCAAGCGCCCACATACATATGTGTGTATATATATATATATATATGCCAAGATAAACTGTATCCAGATCCATTAAACAAAGCTCAATAAATTTGAAAGAACTGAAACTGTACAGAGCATGCACTCTGACTACGATGGAATCAATGCAGAAAGATAAGAGGAAAATGTAAATACTCGGAAAATAACAACACAATTCTAAATAACAAATCAAAGAAGAGGCAGAGAAGGAAATTTTAAAAATACACTGAACTGAATAAAGATTTAAAAACAATATATTAATATTTGTCAGACATAGTTCAAGCAGTATGCAGTACTAAGAAGTAAATTTAGAATACTAAATGCATACATCAAAAAAGAAGAAAAGTCCCGAGTGAATAATGTAAGATTTCACATCGAATATGTAGAAAAAGAAAAGCAAAACAAACTCACAACCAACAGAAGGAGAGAAATAATAAACAGCAGAAATCAATGAAGTTGAAAACAGAAAAGCAGAAAATCCATGAAACAAAGAGCTGATTCTTTGGGGGAAAAAAGTCAACAAAATTGACAAACCTCTGGAAAGACTGACCAGAGAGAGAGAGAGAGAGAGAGAGAGAGAGAGAGAGAGAGAGAGAGAGAGAGAGAGAGAGAGAGAGAGCCAGTTACTAATACTAGGAATTAAACCAGGACTGTCACCATATACCATGTGAACATAAAAAAGATAACAAGGGAATACTACCAACAATACTACACAAATAAATTTTATACCTCAGATGAAATGGACCATATAAACTCATAAACCACAAACTATTGCAACTCATCCAGTATAAAATAGATAACTTGAATAGCTTATACCTATTAAGCAAATTGATTGTATAATTTAAAACTCCCCAAAAAGAAATCTTCAGCTGGGCGCGGTGGCTCATGCCTGTAATCCCAGCACTTTGAGAGGCCGAGGCGGGTGGATCACTTGAGGTCAGGAGTTCGAGACCAGTCTGGTCAACATGGTGAAACCCCGTCTCTACTAAAAATACAAAAAATTAGCCGGGCATGGTGGCGGGTGCCTGTAATCCCAGCTCCTCCAGAGGCTGAGTAAGGCAGGGGAATCACCTGAACGTGGGAGGCAGAGGTTGTAGTGAGCAGAGGTCACACCACTGCACTACAGCCTGGGCGACAAGAGTGAAATTCCATCTCAAAAAAAAAAGAAAAAAAAGTAATCTTCAAGCCCATACAGCTTCACTGAAGAATTCTAACGAAACTTTCAAGAAGAATTGACACCAATAATTCTTCCATAAAATACAAGAAGAGGGGCCAAGGTAGGTGAATTGCTTGAGATCCTCTGGGCAACATAGTGAGACCCCTCTCTACAAAAGAAAAATTTAAAAATTGGCCAGATGTGGTAGCCTGCCCCTGTACTGGGAAGGCTGAGGCAGGAAGATCACTTGAGCCTGGGAGTTTGAGGCTGCAGTGAGCCATGATCGTACCATTGTACTCCAGCCTGGGCAACAGCAAGACTGTCTCAAAAAAAAAAAAGAAATACAAGAAGAGGGCACACTTCCCAGTTCATTTTATGATGATAATATTACCTTAATACCAAATTAGTCGGGCGTGGTGGTGTGACCTGTAGTCCCAGCTACTCAGGAGCCTGAGGCAGGAGAATCGCTTAAACCTGGGAGGTGGAGGTTGCAGTGAGCCAAGATCGTGCCACTGCACTCCAGCCTGGGTGACAGAGCGAGACTCCATCTCAAAAAAAAAAAAAAAAAAAATTACCTTAATACCAAAACCAGACAGAGACATTGCAGGGGGGAAAAAAACCTACCAGCCCAGATCCCTCATGAACACAGATGCAAAAATCCTTAACAAAATATTAGCAAATAGAATTCAGCAATATAAAAAAAAGAATTATACATCATGACCAAATGGGGTTTATTCCAGGAATGCAGGCTGGTTCAATAATAGAAATCAATCAATGCAACCCACTGCAGTAACTAAAGAAGAAAAACCACATAATCATATCAATACATGCAAAAAAATTTGACAAAATTTAACACATTTATGATATAAATTCTCAGAAAAATTGGAATAAAGGGTAACTTCGTCAACTGGATAAAGATTTAAAACACCTACAGCTAACATTATGCTCAATGGTGAAAGACTGAATACTTTCCCCCCAAGATCAGCAACAAAGAAAGAATGTTCACTTTTACCACTCTTATTTTAATATAGTGCTGCAAGTTCTAGCCACTGCAATAAGGCAAGAAAAGGAAATAAGAAATACAGACTAGAAAAAGAAATAAAACTGTCCCTATGTGCAGATGACATGATTATGTATACAGAATATCCTAAGGGATGTATTTGAAAAATTCCTAGAACTAAGAAATGAATTCAGCAACATAATAGGAAAAAAGATACACAGGCAAACATCAATTATATTTCTATAAATGCAATGTACCATTGCTATATGCAATTGCTAATTGAAAATAATATGGGGTTGGGTTCAACATATAAAGAGCTTGGAAGTCATCACTTCTGTCTTCAAAACAAGAATTAAGTTGGACAAATTGAAAATCAATAACTCTTCTTAGATCCATTAGAGAACTGAGGCTATGGAACAAACTTCAGCAGACGCTTTGTGTGGAGGCCCTCACACTTTCCTGAGTTTTACCTCCAGGAACCCCACCAGACTCTCAGGGTGAAGATCAAGAGAAATCTCCTTGTGCTTCTGACAGGGAGAGAGGAAAAGTAGCAATTTTGAAACACCCCCAGAGCCCTCTGTTATCCTTAACAAAGCCAGACTGCAGGGAAACTATTTTACCACAGCTTGATAGACTGTGGTTTTACCAAAGCCTACCAACCTGGGGTAATGGATACCCCCAACTCCAGGCCACTCTAACATGCAGAAAGGGAAAGGGAAGTACTCAGGCTTATTAAAAGACTGAGACCTGATCACAGGACTGCTGAATACTTAAGCCCACCCTCCCACATTACCACCACACCCGTAAGGCTCCTGTATAATAAGAGGGGTTACAGCTAAAGAACTTCAAGCCTCACACCATATTCACGGAGACTCTGTGGAAACACAAACATAACAGGAGAGACAAAAACAAGGGCACCAGAGGAAATTTTAGCCTCTGGCACCAAAGTTACAGCAAAGAGTAAACACAGCCTAACTCCAAGCCAGATAAACATAAAACCTCATATTAAAGGCCTGTTTACCTCAATTACTTTTATCTGATACATCATGTCTTGTTTTCAACAAAAAATGATAAGGGACATCCTAAAAGGAAAAAACGCAGTCTGAGGAGACAAACCAAGCATAGATACAGACTCAAATATAACCGAGATTTTGGAATTATCAGGCTAGAATTGAAAATAACTAATTAATATGCTGAAGGCCCTAATGGAAAAAGTGGAAAATATGAGAGAACAAATGTGTATGTAAGCAGAGAGATGGAAACTCTAGGAAAGAATCAAAAGAAAATGCTAGAAATAAAAACCACTGTAACAGAAATGAGGAATTGTTGGGTATGATAGAATGGCGCATTTGTCCCACCTACTTGAAAGGCTGAGCTGAGAGGATAACTTGAGCCCAGGGGTTCTAGGCTAGCCTGAGCAACATAGTGAGAACTGGTCGAAAGAAAGAAGGAAGGAAAGAAAGAAAGAAAGAAAGAAAGGAAGGAAGGAAGGAAGGAAGGAAGGAAGGAAGGAAGGAAAAAGAAAGAAAAAGAAAGAAAGAAAGAAAGGAAGGAAGGAAGGAAGGAAGGAAGGAAAGAAAAAGAAAGAAAGAAAGAAAGAGAAAGAAAGAAAGAAAGAAAGGAAGGAAATAGAGAAAGAAAGAACGAAAGAGAGAAAGAAAGAGAGAAAGAGAGAGAGAGAAAGAAAGAAGGAGAGAGAAAGGCTTTGAAGGGCTTATTAATAGACTGAACAGAGCCAGAGGAAGAATCAGTGAGCTTGAATATCAATAGAAACTTCCAAAACTGAAATACAAAGAGAAGAAAGAATGAAAAAGAACAGAAAATGCAAGAATTGTGGGACAATTAAAAAAGGTCTGATATATGTGTGAGGGGGATACCAGAGAGAGAAGAAAAAAAGGAGCATAAACAGTGGGCAAAGGACACAAACAGACTTCATCAAAAGAAGACATACAAATGGCCAATGGGCATATGGAAAAACGCTTGACATCACTACTCATCAGGGAGATGCAAATCAAAACCACAATGAGATATCATCTTACCCTGGTTAGAAAGGCCATTATTATAAAGACAAAAATAATAGATGCTGGTGAGGATGCAGAAAAAAAAGGGAACTCATATACTATTGATGGGAATGTAAATTAATACAGCCATGATGGAAGAGTATGGAGGTTTCTCAAAAAACTTAAAATACATCTACCACATGATCCGGCAATCCCATTACTGGGTATTTATCCAAAGGAAAAGAAATCGGTATATTAAAGGGATACCTGCACCCCCATGTTTATTGCAGCACTATTCACAATAGCCAAGATATGGATCAACCTCAGTGTTCATCAATGTACAAATGGATAAAGTAAAATGTGGTCTATATAAACAATGGAACACTATTTGGCCATAAAAAGAAAAAGCAATGAAATCTTGTTATTTGCAGTGACCTGGATGGAATAAAAGGTCATTATCTTAAGTGAAATAAGCCAGACACGGCAAAACAAGTACTACATGTTCTCACTCATATGTGGGAGTTAAAAAGGCTGATCTCATGGAGGTAAAGAGTAGAATGATAGATACCCAAGGCTGGGAAAGGTATGTGGGTAGAGGGGATGAAGACAGGTTGGTTAATGGGTACAAACACCCAGTTAGACAGAAGGAATAAATCCTAGTGTTTGAGAGCAGAGCAGGGTGACTAGTTAACAACAAGGCATTGTATATTTCAAAATTGTTACAAGAGAGGACTTGAAAAGCTCCCAACACATAGAAACGATACATACTCAAGGTAATAGTCCAAACACCTTCACTAGATCATTTACACATTCTATGCAGGTAATGAAGTATCACATGTACCCCATAAATATGTAAAATACTATGTATCAATTAAAAAGTTGGCACAAGTTAAAAAAACACAAAGGAACAGAAGAAATATTTGAAGTAATAATGACTGAGAATTTTCCCAAATCAATTACAAGACACCATACCACAGACTTAGGGAGCTCAGACTACACCAGAAAGGATAAATAGCCCCAAGTCTATACATAATTATATCATATTCAAACTGTAGGAAATCAAAGACAAAGAGAAATTCTCGAAAGAAGCCAGAGGTATGAAACCACCTTACCTGCAGAGAAACAAGAATAAGAATTATATCATTATCTTCAGAACCACACAAGCAAGAAGAAAGTGGAGTGAAATATTTAAAGTATTGAAAGAAAAATACACTAACCTAGAATTCTCCCCGTGAAATTATCCTTTAAAAGTTAAGAAGGCTGAAGACCATCCTGGCCAACACGGTAAAACCTCGTCTCTACTAAAAATACAAAATTTAGCTAGGCATGGTGGCACACGCCTGTAACCACAGCTACTCAGATGGCTGAGGAATGAGGATCACTTGAACCTGGGAGGCAGAGTTTGCAGTGAGCCAAGATCAGGCCACTGCACTCCAGCCTGGACAACAGAGGGAGACTCTGTCTCCAAAAAAAAAAAAAAAAAGGTGAAGAAGAAACAAAGACTTTCTCAAACAAGCAAAAATTAGAGAATTTGTACCAGTAGACCTGCCTTGCAAGAAATGTTAAGAGAAGATCACTAAGAGTTGGATGTGAGGGCAATCTGGCTGCGACACTGTCACCCCATTGACTACCAGGGTTTATTCTGCTTGGCTGATCTAGCTGGCTAGGCGGGTGTCCCCTTCCTCCCTCACCACTCCATGTGCGTCCCTCCAGAAGCTGTGTGCTTGGTGGAAGAAGACGACCATCCTTGATAGACAAGGACCAGTCTTTGGTCAAGGGTATACGAGTAGCTGTGGTCCCCTGCTGGAACCTCCAAACAACCTCTCAAGAGTAAAGAAAAAGTATGTAGTTCAGAAATTCACATCTACTTAAAGAACAGCATTAGAGAAGGAATAAAGGCAAAATATAATCTTTTATTTTTTCTTATTTATAATTGAAAACAGTTTTCTCAACATAATAATAGCAAGTGGTGGCTCACGCCTATAATCCTAGCACTCCGGAAGGCCAAGGCGGGCAGATCACCTGAGGTCAGGAGTTCGAGACCAGACAGACTAATATGGCAAAAGACTGTCTCTACTAAAAATACAAAAATTAGCCAGGCGTGGTGGCGCATGCCTATAATCCCAGCTACTCTGGAGGCTGAGGCGGGAGAATCACTTGAAGCCGGGAGGCAGAGGTTGCAGTGAGCTGAGATCGTGCCACTGCACTCCAGCCTTGGCGACAGAGCGAGACTCTGTCTCAAAAAAAAAAAATAATAATAATGATAGCAATAATGTTTTCAGTGATTACAGACACCCTAGTGTTGGCACAATAGGAACATGAATGGAGCGCTCATTGTGGCAGAGATGGGGGCTGTACATGAGCCCAATAGCAGGGTCCCTCATTCATCAAGGATGATGAATGCAGAACAGCACCATCCCTCAAGGAGACCAGCCAGTCTCTTGATGTCAAGTGATCTACACTAGACTCCGTCTATCCTGGAAAGAGCAGGAACTCATCTTGACTGGGCTCAACGCTTATTTCAGTCATCGGTTGGCCTTTTCTGCTTGTAAAGCTTCAGCCAGAACATCTGAGTATTTATTCTATTGACACAAGATCCCACATGGCATCACATTGAACCAGAGGACCCATTTTACAAGAATGGAGGTGCAGCAGTGGGCACATGACCATGAAATCCACTGACCCTATAACACACTGACAGAGCAATGGGAAAGCCTCTGCAGCGCAGGCTCTGACATGATGACCAGTGAGAATGCAGTGCCCATTCTCCGGGATGCAGCATGTAATCCAAATGAATAACCAGTATATGGTGTGCTATCTCCTAGGTAGAACACATGGGTGCAGCAAATCAAGGGTGGAAACAGTTCTTACCATAATCCCAGTCATCTCCTTTTTAATTTCTGCTTTGGTTCCCACGACTTTGGACTCTGTGCATTTAAAGATCTTGGCCCCAGAGAGGGAATGCTTCTACCATAGGCACAGCAAGAGTCTTACTAAATTTCAAATGATGTGTTCTCACCCAACACAATGGGTTCCTTCTGAGAGAGCAGCAGTCAAGGAAAGGAGTCATCATACATGATTGTCCTGATCATCAGGAGGAGGTAGAGCTGCAGGAAAGGAGGAGAAGGGTATGTTTGGCACCCTGGTAATCACTCACCTGTCTCTCAGTGATCCTGCATTCAATTTTAACGTTTAAAAGGAATAAATGTGGCCAGATGCAGTGACTCAAGCCTGTAATCCCAGCACTTTGGGAAGCAGAGGTGGGAGGATAGCTTGAGCTTAGGAGTTCAAGCCCAGCCTGGGAAACATGGCAAAATCCCATTGCTACAAAAAAATAAAAAATAAAAAATATTAGCTGGGCATGGTGGCATGTGCCTGTAGTCCCAGCCACTTGGGAGGCAGAGGTGAGAAGATGGCTTGAGCTTGGGAGATCAAGGCTGCAGTGAGCTGAGGTTATGCCACTGCATTTCAGCCTGGGTGACAGAGCAAGACCCAGTCTCAAGAAAAAAAAGTGGGGGATGGCTGGGGAGGTAAGTGCAACAGCCACAGCCTGAGAAGGGCCTGGTAACTGGGAGCTCAGACCACTCAGGGATGAGGATCTGGATCATCCCACCAGGTGAGCCACCACTTCCATCCACAGAGGTGCCCACTAAGGGTTAGGGGAATCTAGGTCAGGTGGTTAAGGGAAATGAGGAGCACCATTTTTGTCCTCGACAGCAGCTGCTGTGGCAGGGGCTATAGTTTGTCCCTCTAACTTTCCTTTTACAAGTTTCCCTCGGGAAGACAGGTCCATCAGAATCCTGAATTAGCTTCACCCAGAAATTATATAGAAGCCAGTGGATCTGGCTGTGTGCGGTGGCTCACACCTGTAATCCCAGCACTTTGGGAGGCCAAAGCAGGCAGATCATGAGGTCAGGAGATCGAGACCAATCTGGCTAACACGGTAAAACCCCGTCTCTACTAAAAATACAAAAAATTAGCTGGGTGTGGTGGCACACATCTGTAGTCCCAGCTACTCAGGAGGTTCAAGAATTGCTTGAACCTGGGAGGCGGAGGTTGCAGCGAGCCGAGATCGTGCCACCGCACTCCAGCCTGGGTGACAGAGTGAGACTGTCTCAGAAAAGAAAAAAAAAAAAAAAGCCAGTGGAACTAAGTGGTGCAAGGGGTGGACTGTAGTGGAAGCCACAAGGTACTGCCCAGATTCCACCATCCGTACCCCTGCCCTTGGAGCCCCTGCCCTTAGAATTGAAGCCCTCATCCTCTCAGATGCTGGGAGTGTTGGCAGCTGACAGTTCATAGCTGGGTTCTCCTTCCCAGTGATTGCCCTTGGCTGAAGACATCCACCTTGCTCAAGGTCATCCCCCCTTCCTGGGGACTGCTCATGCCCAGTGACTGACAGTCAATGAGAAGTTTTAAAGCACAACTTCCTTGCCCCAGTTTGGAATGCCTTGGGATCAGCCATCCTAGGTCCAGAATTCACCATGGGACCAGCTGACACCTTTGTTGTGACTTGGTTACAGCCCAGCCTCTCTCTGCCCAGTCCTGGTTTCCTCCCTCCCCCACCTGGGTGATCTGAAAAGCACATTCAAATTAATTTTCTGCATACAAATCTCAGACTCAGAGTGCTTCCGATGGAAACCAACCTGCAACAATCCCAAGAGTTGGACCTATCCCTTTCTATGTCTTCTCATTTAAAACATTAAGATATCCTTAAGAAAAAAAAGTCCCTTTAATGTCCTCTGCTTATGTGGAGCATTAGCTTTCTTAATAATATATTAATACCTTATTACTGTTGTATTTTCATCCTTAGCCCTATGCTCTGCTTTTCATCTGTTACGTAGATCATTAGAAAGCAAGAGCTCTTCCATGAGGTCCATACACATCTCATGGGTTTCTTAAACATGAGTCCTGCTTTCTCTTTATTGGGACCATTTGTGATAGCCCCTTGAAAATTACATTTTTAGTTCTTCCCTTTTTTTTTTTTTTTTTAAACAAAGTCTTGCTCTGTCACCCAGGCTGGAGTACAGTGGCGTGATTTTGGCTCACTGCAACCTCCGCCTACCAGGTTCAAGTGATTGTCCTGCCTCAGCCTCCTGCATAGCTGGGATTACAGGTGGGCACCACAACGCCCTGCTGATTTTTGTAATTTGAGTAGAGACAGGGTTTTACTATGTTGCCCAGGCTGGTCTCCAACTCCTGACCTCAAGTGATCCACCAGCCTCGGCCTCCCAAAGTGCTGGGATTACAGGCGTGAGCCACCACACCTGGCCAGTTCTTCCCAATCTTCCCAATCTTCATAGCCGTGTTTCCTCATCTGCAAATAGGTGTCTGTAGATTTCCATTGAATTTTTTTGTGTTCTACTTTTGTAAAGACTAAGAGACATGGCTGACCCAGCCAATGTATGATTAACTTATCTTAAAATTCAAACGCCAGTTTAGACCTGTTCCACTAGACCCTCCTCCCCTTGTCCCCATATTCTCTAGAGTATTAGCCTATTGAGAAGCAGGAGAATGCACTATTGAGTGAATTGAGAGGTTCTTCCCTGGCAGTGAGTGGGATTCAGAAATATTCTGGGGCCCCCTTTCCTTTTTTGGAGCGGACCATGCCCTTAGGCCACCCCTTTAAGGCTATGCATGGTGTGTGGCCAGCCCAACCACTGGGCTTCAGCCTGGGTTCCTGGTTTTCTCTTCTATCATCTGCCGGGCCAGTAGCCAAGGCTGAGCCCAGTCCAGTTGGCTGAGACTCTGCTTCTCCTAGTTTCTGCCAACTTTCTTTGTTTCTGGTATTTCTACTTTAATTCATACGTTGATCCTTGGGCCAAGACTCTGGTCAACAGGATACCAGGAACTCTTGCTTCCCAGAATGCCCCCTCCTTCCCCTGCCCTCAGATCAGGCCCTTCATACTGATGTTGGCCCAAGTTGCACCTGTTCCCATCCTGACTGCACCTTAGTCCACACTAAGACCTTGAACCTGAACTGTTAGCATCTTGCAGCCTGGGTGAGTTCCCCTACCCTGTGCCAGGCACCTCAGCAAAATCCTCACAGTGAATGCTTCCATACCCATCACTTCAGCTAGTACTGCCGCTTTGACAAATTAGTCCCTGTTAATGAGAATTAAGCCCAGGGTAGTTTGTTCCCCTGATTAGATCCACACCCTCTGAAGGGTAAAATTGCTGGCAAAGCAAGTGAAATGTTCCCAGAATTTGAGCATTTATCTTAATGGGGCTTTGTATGAGGATTTAATTTAGGTTTAGTTGTGACCAAAATATCCTGCCTCTTTGTTTTGTTGCCTGTTATTAAAACATTAGTCAAAGCCTCCATCTCAGCAGATCTATTTGTTATTTTCCCACAATTACATTTTTAAAATTTTCTTTAACTTCAGATTTGTAGCTATGCAAAATGATGATATCTTACTCCAAAGCAAAAAATAATTTATAACAGAAAACAAGCAGTATTAACACATAAACAAGCCACAGTGGAGCAGTTTACTGGGATTTGTAAAATAGAGCACTACTGAAATGCCAGACACTCTGACATCAACTATATGTCAGAGGGGCTAAAAGTCAAGTACCAAGAACCAAGATGTTCTAAGGATTAGCAGGGAGAGTGTCTCATAATCAAGCAGTAATAAGATGACTAAGGTTATAATAGTCCAATAACTAAGATATTTGTTGCTATTTCCAAGGACTATAAGTAGCTTAAAATGTTATATTAAGGTATTTGTTATAATTTCCTAAACTAAGATCCTACATTTGTAAATATTTACTCAAAATCGTTTGTTAGCGTAACCTCTTAAGCAAATTATACTTTGCTTGGGCCAGTATTAGATTTTATTTTTATTCTGTAGCCCAGGTATACATACTAGCCCTAGATAAACCCATGGTGGACAATTTACACATGAACGAAGAATCATTTGCAGGTATAAAGCCAGTGAATAGTCAAAATTGCACAACGTACTACCACCCAAGCAAGTCTATTCTTTATAAGATTATCTGTCCTGAGCTCCGTAAGTTTGTAAGTGGCCACCCTGTTTTCCTTCAAACTGGTATTCAGCTAAGTGGACAGGCTAGGCAAATCTACTGGCAGATTCCATCTCATTATGCTGGAACAATGACTGGAATTTAAGGAATGATATATGAAGCAAGATAATTTAAGACCACCAAAGAAGTGACAAAGGGAACCACATTTTTGTGTGTCCCAGAAGCTGTCCTGCCTCCAGATCAACAGATGAACAGCAAGTTCAGCACAGGGCAAATGGAGGGCGCACTCAAACTTCAGGGCCCTTTGTTTAACCTCATGTGCTCCAGGTTGACTCTTGAGAATTAAAACCCAAAACTCACATTACAAGCATCTTTCAAATTCTATTATTGAACTAGAGATATGGAAATAGATCTAGACAAATTATGGGGGTGAGGGGGTGAAGAAGGGACAGGCAGCCGCTGTCCTCTAAGGTTTCACAAAATGGAAGCAGGCAACCCAGAGAGTCACTTTAGCTTCTGAACCGACTTCAGTAAAGGCTGGTCTTCTTCATGATCCGAAGGAACTCCTCCTCGTTCACTTCGCCGTCCCCATCCCGATCAGCTTCGTCGATCATCTCCTGCAGCTCCTCATCCGTGAGGTTCTCCCCCAGCTCGTTGGCCACACGCTTCAGGTTTTTGAACGAGATCTTCCCGGTCTCATCGTCATCAAAGAGCCTGAAGGCCTTCAGGATTTCTTCTTTGGTGTCCTTCTCGGACATCTTCTGCGTCATCACGGCCAGGAAGTCATTGAAGCTGATCTTCCCCGTGCCTTCCCTGTCCACCTCGGAGATCATTTTCTTCATCTCTTCCTTCCTGGGTTCGAAGCCCAGCGCTCTCATGGCCACCTTCAGCTCCTTCGCGTCGATGGTCCCACTTCCGTCCACGTCGAAGAGGTCAAATGCTTCCCGAACTTCTTGCTTCTGATCCTCAGTGAGCTCGGGCTTAGGTGCCACCTTTCTCTTTTGGCCGGTGGAGGCAGCGCTGGGCTTCTTGAAGCCGGAAGCCATCCTGCCGCTCTGGCCGCCGTGGTCCCAACGGCACCGCCCCGCGCTCTCATTCGGGCGCCCCCCGCCGGCGCGGCGCGGGACCACCCCTCGCTCACTGCCAACGCCCACGCCCGCTGGGGCCTGGAGCCGGCCCGGGGAACCTCTTCCTACGCCCTCCCATCTGCGGGATCTTGCTTAGGCGAGAATCCGCTGTCCCCTCGGGTCATTAACCGGTTTCCACGAGTTGACGCCTGAGCTGGCAAGAACAGCCTGTAGCCACAGTTGTCTTCTGTAATCCACTGGCGCTGGCAGTTCTTTCCAAGATATGTGCTAGCATCCATAAGACCCCAGTTTTATAGGTTTCTTTAGGGACTCTTCCTCTCTCTCTCTCTCTCTCTCCTCTCTCTCTTTTGACAGGAGTGCACTGGTGCCACTCAGCTTACTGCAGCCTCCACCTTCCAGGATCAAGTGATCCTCCCACCTCAGCCTCCATAGTAGCTGAGACTACAGGGCATGCCACCACACCCAGCTAAATTAAAAAAAAAAATTTTTTTTTTTATAGAGACAGAGTCTCACCATGTTGCCCAGGCTGGTCTGAAACTCCTGGGATCAAGGGATTTCCCGCCCCAGCCTCCCAAAGTGCTAGAATTACAGGCATGAGCTACCAAGCCGGGCCTCTCCTTTTTATACCATTTAAAAAACCCTCTTGTTCTAGCGGCAACACCCAATGAGGTGACAGGTCCTAAGGGTAAATTTAGGATAATCAAGATTGAGTGTGATCACTTGACATTCAATGTGGGGAAGGAGAAGGAAGAGAGAATATTAAAAGTCATACCATGTGTTCAACTTGACATAAATGGGAAACAGAGAAAATGGAAAAATTTATGTATAAAATGCGTAG
This sequence comes from Homo sapiens, assembly GCF_000001405.40. Lineage (NCBI taxonomy): Eukaryota > Metazoa > Chordata > Mammalia > Primates > Hominidae > Homo > Homo sapiens. The sequence continues at coordinate 579,528 of NC_000018.10, read as the reverse complement.
AAGTTTGTCTCCTGACATTACACTCAACAATAATACAATGTTTCTGGCATGTTCTCAAATATGAAATGTAATATCCAAATGTATGATTTACTTTCAGTGTTTCCATTTTACATACTCAGTATAATTGCACTTGAATAATGGTCATAATTTCATTCATGAGGCTTTTGATTTGGAGGGAGGGAAGTGGAAATACTACATTCTGGTATATTCTAGTATTTTCTTTTCTCTAACCTCCTAGCAGCACATTACTCTCCTTGCTTATCATCCAATCAGAGCTGTGCTGAAACCCACGCTCTGGTCGCCTTCCTTTGGCAATGGGCACAGGAGATGATGCAGGACATGTTGGGACTCAAAATTGCCTCCTGGGAATAAAGCGGTTCTCCTACAAACCAAAGAGCAAGAGGAAAATGGAAAAGAAAAAAAAAATTACCAAATAAGCCCACCAAGGAATTGCCTGTAGAATTACTTTGCATTCTTTTAAATAGTTACAGAAAAGAAAGCTGACTTATTTTTTTAGCATTCTCCCCCTGCCCCGCCCCCCCGCAATCAAATCTCAATCTATTAATATATCAATACCTTTTGTAACCTATGAAGGTTACAAAAGATGTCACTTTGAAGAGTTTGTGTTAAAGAGTTTTATGGCTGGGTGCAGTGGGTCACACCTGTAATCCCAGTAATTTGGGAGGCCAAGGCGGGAGGATCACCTGAGGTCAGGAGTTCAAGACCAGCCTGGCCAACAAGGTGAAACCCTGTCTCTATGAAAAATACGAAAATTAGCTGAGAGTTGCTGCGCACAACTGTAATCCCAGCTACTTGGGAGTATGAGGCACGGGAATCGCTTGAACCCAGGAGGCGGAGGTTGCAGTGAGCAGATATTGTGCCCCTGCACTCCACCCTAGGCAACAGAGTGAGATTCTGTCCCCAAAAAAACAAACAACAACAAAACAAAACAGTGCTGGATACAACACAGTAGGTAGGTTAATAAATATTCGTTGAATGAATGCATGACAATTAAGGTTGGTCCTAAAATACCTTCTGAATACAACAAGTGAAAACCCCAAAAGATTAAATGATGCCAGGAATGTTTTACAAACTGTTTTTTAAAATTAGTGGTCAGATATTGTTTACATGGCACATTTAATTAGCCATATATCACTACCTGCCCCAGTTCGATATGTGACTTAGTTGACAGAGAGCCTGGACACAGGGTTTCTTCTAAAGGCCAAGGAAACTTACATAGGACCTCCCCTCTCCTGCCTTCCAGTACTTGTTGTGGACAGTGTCAACTCAAGGCACACTGGCAGGCAGACACTACAGCTGCTGTTCTTCTAACACCGCAAATCCTTGTGACCTGCTTTTTTCCATGTCAGAAGCCTGGGATCTTATCCCAAGTCTATGCCTTATTATCTCTGTGACTTTGGAAAGTCACTTAAACCACCCAGAGTCATCGAAACACCTGCAAAGTAGGCATCATCATAAAGCTTCCCACTGCATTTTCAGTGGGAGAATGTACACAAAAGCTCCAGGAACAGTGCCCTAGTGGGGCCATACAGATCTGGGTAATTGTTAGTTGAATAAGAATTTTTCTCAGACATTGTACATTTCCTTTGGCACCCACCCTTCTGCCCAAATTCAAGCCAAGCTATGATGTGTTGGGAAAAACTGAAGTATGGAAGCTGCCTTATATAGAGCTACATTTGGGCCAAGCTGAACTAAAAGCAAAACGGTTGTCATGGTTTCCAGATGTGTGCAATCAACAGTTACAACAAAGGGCCACCAAGAGCTCCCTTCATAGAAACAGTGCCCATAGTCACAGTCAGCTCTTGGTGGGGAGTTACATTATGTTCAGAGTCCAAACTCTGACTTAAGAAGGGAAGGGAAACACATTTAATGTGTGCCTAGCTTTGGGCGTGCTTCTCATAGTTGTCATCTTATTTGATCCTTGCCATCATTTCCTATTTTGCAGATGAAAAAAATGAGGCCCAGGAGAGGCCTGTAACACATATTTAATGGTACATGGCCAATAAATGGTGGCTCTGGGATTTAAATCCTGGCCTGCTGAAGCTTTGTTCACTACATCATGCTGCCTTCTCCACAAGTTGATTCTATATTACCAAAATATAGAATCACTGGGAAGACATGATACAGATTTTGTTACAGTAGGTAGCTAGTCAGGCATGAGCGGGGCAGAGAAGGGCTCCCCTCCCAACCCGCCAGGAATGTCAGGTGATGATCAGGGGATGGTTTGGCAGTTGTCACACTGCCTCTCTAAAATGATCATTGATCATGGCCACAACAGGGAGAGGCAGTTTCCCAACAGATGAATACACTTGAAATTGGTAGTCGGCAGCTTCCAATAAGATCTCAGGAATTGGGCCAGTGGGCTTGAGCATGCGCATTAAGAGACAAAATGGCAGCGTATGACCTTCTAGGGGCGTTCCACTGGAAAAGGGGAAGAAAGCCTCAGGTGATCACGCATACAACTTCTTAAACACACTGCCCATGCTCACCTCCCAATCCCAAGCAGGGCACTATGCATGTGGGCGGTTCACCTTAAGAGAAGAATAAGGGAAAGGGGCACAAGATGCGGGAAGTAGGCCAGCGTATAAAATCCTAGGTTCAAGATCAAACGGGGCACTTGACCTCCAGGGCGTCCATTGGCTCTCTTCCAGGTGTACTTGTGAAGTGGCCTTGTTGCCTGGGGTGACACCCAAGGTTCTCGGTCTCACGGCCACGGAGGTAAAGGATGTGGAAACACACAAAGGGTGAGGTTTCGAGCAGAATTTTAATAGGTGAAAGAAGGAGAATAGCTCTCTGCCCCAGAGAAGGGTCCCGAGAAAAGGAGTTGCCGATCCGTGGTTAAATGCAGGGGGTTTTATAGATGAGCTAGTGGGGAGGCGGTGTCTGACCTACAAAGGGCATGAAAAACTGGTTAGGACCGGGTGTGCCATCTGCATAGGGCACGAATCTCTGGCAGCCCCCACCCCAGTCTTTTATTATGCCCGTGGCTAGATACTCCATGTTACTTCTTCCTTCCTTCCTTCCTTCCTTCCTTCCTTCCTTCCTTCCTTCCTTCCTTCCTCTCTCTCTCTCTCTTTCTTTCTTTTTTTGAGTAGGAGTCTCACTCTGTCACCCAGGCTGGAGTGCAGTGGTGAGATCTGGGCTCACTGCAACCTCCGCCTCCCAGGTTCAAGCGATTCTCCTGCTTCAGCCTCCTAAGTAGCTGGGATTACAGGTGTGCGTCACCACGCCCGGCTAATTTTTGTATTTTTAGTGGAGACGGGGTTTCACCATGTTGGTCAGGCTGGTCTCAAACTCCTGACCTTGTGATCCGCCTGCCTCGGCCTCCCAGAGTGCTGGGATTACAGGCGTGAGCCACCGGGCCCGGCCGCTTATTTCCTTCTTACTGTGCATGTGCTAAAAATAGAGGGGAGGTGGAGCCCCCAGGGTGGACATTCCTGGCCCCAGGTACCTCTTTCTAACTGTGCAGCTTCTGGCATCCCCTCGTGCAAGTTTCCAGCTTCCTTATCTATGTTTGCAGCCCGATCTCCCAGGCTGCTCTTTGTTAGAAAAGAAGGGATTTCTTGGGCTGTTCTTTGTTAGCAGGGAAGTTCTGCCGAGGACTCTTTTGCCCTCATTATCTGCTTAAAATAATTTCTGTCTCCAGTATCACTTGCCTTATGTTCCTGCTCTAAAGCGTTTTAATAAACGCTCTGAAACTTGCCTCAGTCTCTTTTTCTGCCGTATGACCCTGAGTTGAATTCTTTCTTCTGAGGATGTAGGAATTGAGGTTGCTGCAGACCCATACGGATTCTATTAAGGTAACTTGGATATTCGCTACTAGTGATACATTTTGGTGCCACGTGACTCGGATACCTTCTGCTGCTAACAATTTTCTTCCCTACACATAACAATAATTAAGCATCTTGCCTAGAAGGATTGAACAGGAATTTGTAGGATCTAAGACAGGGTCCCATTCTGGGGCGAGTCACTGAACCTGCAATATGCTTAGTATTTACATCTGTTCTTCCTCCATTCCACTTCACCCCATTCCCTGCTTTCAACTCTGTATATGAGCTGGGGAAAGCAATCTGGGCAAAATGCCTTTGCTTGGCATTAGTGAAAGTCTATACAAGGCATGTGAAAATCAGCTTTATTACTTTAAAAGTAATTTTTAAGTTCTAGTGAGACTGACATAAAATAAACGAGACATCCTAGAAAATCAGTGGAGATGGGCGGGTTTCTGTTTGTTTTTGGGTTTTTGGGGGGCCCTCAATTTTTTTTTTTTTTTGTACCACAATGTCCTAAGTATTATGCAAAATCAGTGATTGATTCTCTGAGAGGGGGAGAGGAGATGGTTGTTTAAGTCCAGTCATGGAGACTTAACAGCTGGAAGAGGGGAGAAAAGAAGCACTGGAATTCCACAACAGGGTCTGGAGTCCGTTGAGACCAAGAGAAAGGACTCACAGCTTGCTTATGCTGATTATTTGGTTTTCCATTTGACTTGCATGGCATGAAAAAGGTGCGGCTCAGGAGCCTTTTAAAGTTGCACTCAGCAAATTCAGCAAATTCCAGGTGCCACCCAAGGCAGAAAACATGCACAATACAGCTTCTTTACTGCTGCTTATTTACTTTCCAACAAATGCAGAACAGAGAAAATGTGAATGCTGGGTGCTGCTCCTACAAACCAGGATAACTGTGCTGGGGCTGTAGAGGGGGATCCCAAAACCATCACTAACAGAGCTGAATTATTTATTCTTAAATATGTGGAGCCAGTTACAAGAAATGGACTCAGCAGCAAAAGGTTTTACAGTCCCAGTGGTCTCTGAATGGGAATTTGAAGTCAAGTCCAGTGACTCAACCCAAGTCTTTTTGGCAAGTCCAGGAACACATTTAAGTGTCCAGCCAAGGGCTACATGATTCCTTATTCCATGAACACCCGAAATAAGAAAATACTCCTCTCAGATACAAAAGCAGACTTTTCTAAAAAGATTTGCCAGAATTTCACACGGTTTCTCAAACTTTCACCCAAATATTCCTAATAGCAAAGGAGAGTTGAAAGCTATCCCCTGAGATACAGGGAACTATTTGAAAGAAACCTGCAAAAAGCATCAAATGTCTTTATAATCCTGTGTTTCAGCTTTTTAAAAAGTGAATGTTGCTTTCTGTTTCATAGTGCATTTGCTGGTTCTATGATAGTTTTAAATGACTGACCATTCCAAAAAAGTACACATTGCTTATTTTATGACTTTAAATGGTCTCCAAGGACATGACCGGGGTTGCAGAACCTTATATGTTTTAGCAAACACGGATGTGGGATTTAATGTGGGGCTTGAGGTGAATAAAATAAAGATCTACAATGTTTCTCACCCCTACCCAACCCCTATCTGCTCCACTTATACCCCATTTGGGTTTGGGAGTCAAAGAAGGGAAAGGATGGAAAAGTGTGAGGAGGAAGGGAAGGAAGAATGAAACTCCAGGGCATTTTGAACTTGTTAGGTGGAGTAAAATTAAATGCATCCAGTGAAAGAATGACTGCCCTCTCCCCTTCTTTCCCAGATCCCAGATCAGCCCCCAATTAAGCATTGCTTTGATGGAAACAGGCTGAGAAAAGACAAGATCTATGTTGACATAAACTCCAAGCAGAACCTCATGGGGTTTGCAATTCGGCAGTTGTCCCACCCTGTAAGTGGTCTTCAGAGCGCCCACCAGGTGCAGGCATCCACAGAAAATGCAGAACCAGGAGGCCCAGGAGTGGCTTCATTGGATTTTTAAATCTCATTTTAAACCAATAGCTCATAGACTGAGCTATTGGTTACTCTTTGATCCACCTTTTCTTCTCCAAGGGCCCTGGAACGTCAGGATCTAAAGCTGGCTCTGAGGCTGTTAACTGAGAATTTTTCACTCACCAGAGGTTGAAAGGTCAGAAGCCCACAGTGGTGTTAGGTAACACAGAATAAGCCAAATGGGCTGCCTGTGAAGGGTGGATTTAGGGATTAACAGTGACCTGGAGAGTTTGTGCCCTTTTTAAAGACACTGACATTCAAATTTTAAAAAAAAGAAAGAAAGAAAGGAAAAAAAGAAAACTGTGCAGTTCCAAGAACACAGGTGAAGCAGAACTTGGCCTATAGGGTGCACATTATCCACCCAGCCCTTGCAGTGGCCACCTCTTCTGCTGAGGTTCAAGCAGTAAGGACACTTCTCAGAGAAAAGGACAGAGACAGAGGGAAGATGGATTTCTAGCCTAAAGCCCATCTGTGCCTAGTTACTTTAGCATAACTATCTTTACTAAAGGTTAGGTCACACCACAGGACCAGCCCACAGGGGAAAGTCAACTAATGAAGATGTGCAATTAACCTGTTTGATTTTTCTCCCCAAACCAGCTTGGAAGGAGAGAAGCCCACTCTGCCTGCCATGTCCTTATGTCCTTTCCACTGGGACCTCTTTGGGCCTAGCAGGCCTCTAGAATTGGCAGCAAGGCTGATCTAGGTCCAGTCTTAGAGGCCATCCATGAGGTTCAGTACATGGCACAGTGAGGGAACAGAACAGCTGGGGGCTAGGACTCTCTTCCATGCACTCCACAACAGTCTTGTTTCCAGAAGTCTGCTCCCAGCTCAGAGGGAATTGGAGAAGCCAAATGAAAGTGATGAGATGGGGGAGGAAACTTACACCTCTTGTGAAGAAAAGACTTGCATTTTTAAAAATTCGGAGAAGTGGATTTTAGATTAAAATCAGTTCTCTGACTGAAATATATGTTTAAAAACAAGTTCCTGAACTAAATTAGAGTTCTACTGCATTTCAAAGTCCAGCAGTTGTGTCAGCAAACAAAACATCAAAGGAAAGCAATAGGTCATTTCAGTCTCCTCTGAAGCAGCAACTAGAAATCCCTTTCTCAACAAGTAATCATATTACAGCCCCCTCCTGCTAAGCTCTAAGTAGGAAAGGGGGTGCAATTAGGCAGGAGGATGATGTCTCCCTCATCCTTTTGAGTTGGCAACTGACCACGCCCAGGGAGGTTTTTCATTTAGATGCTTCTTAAACATCTTTTGAAGCTCAGTGGGTTCACCACCCGAACGGAGGCCCTCTTAGTTTTCTTCATGTTCTGCATTTGCTCCTTTGCATCTACAAAGTCCTTCCCAAATTCCTTTGGTTTCTGGATCATTCTTATCTGAAATCCATGTTCTTTTACTTTGTTTCACGTGGCGCTGGTCAGGGCTTCCTTTGCCTTGAATGCCGCACAGGGGACTAAGCTTAGAATGGAAACTGGGTTATTTAGTTGTACTAATGTTTTCAATTACACCTCACGCAAAGTGTTTGCCTGCCAGGGTGATCTCAGACCCCATTGCATTACTATCGAGTCCATAGTTAATCTTAAAGCTCCCACAGCCTCTAAGAACAGATTTCATACAGGCACACTGAAAAAGAATATTTTACAGATAACATATGAGAATAAGGCAAGGGGGGAAAGAGGAGGCAAACTCACTCTCAAATGTAAACTCATGCATGAAACTCATCTACCGAGCTGGACTAAAAAGGGGGGATACATATCTCACAACAGAAGTGTCTTCGTGAACCCAAAATCATGAGTATGTAGTGAATCCGAAGAAAGTGGTAGACGTTCTTAGCCTCTCTTTCTGCTTTAAAACTGTGAGCATCTTTTAAAAATATTTATTTATATACTTTTAGAGACAGGGTCTCACTCTGTCACCCAGGCTAGAGTTCGGTGACACAGTCAGGGCTCACTGCAGCCTTGACTATCTGGACTCAAACGATCCTCCCGCTTCAGCCTCCTGAGTAGCTGGGACTATAGGCACATGCCATCATGCCCAGCTAATCATTTTTACTTTTATTTTTATTTTGAGACAGAGTTTTGCTCTTGTCACCCAGGCTGGAGTGCAATGGCGTGATCATGGGTCACTGCAACCTCCGTCTCCCGGGTTCAAGCGATTCTCCTGCCTCAGCCTGCCAAGTAGCTGGGATTACAGGCGCCTACCACCATGCCCGGCTAATTTTTGTATTTTTAATAGAGATGGGATTTCACCATGTTCGTCAGGCTGGTCTTGAACTCCCGACCTCAACCAGTTTGCCCACCTCAACCTCCCAAAGTGCTGGGATTACAGGCATGGGCCACCTCACCCGGCCTCAGCTAGTTATTTTTTAAAAATATTTATAGAGATGAGGTTTTGCTCTGTTGCCCAGGCTGGTCTCAAACTCCTGGCCTCCAGTGATCCTCTCATCTCAGCCTCCCAAAGTGCTGAGATTTCAGGCCTGAGCCACCGTACCTGGCTTAGAACTGTAAACATCTTAATTTCCCAACACAGTCAAATTTTAGAGACTAAAACATAAGCTATATATTTTATGCTCAGGTACTATTTAAGATAAAGAGTTACCTTAGAATTCCTGATTCATTAAGGGTGAATTATAATACACAAAAATAAAGAAGTTTAAATGTAGCGTGAGGGCACTCCAGGAATTTATCAGACTAGGATTAATGTCTAGATACATGGGATAAAATTAAGAATGTGTTCAGAAATTGTATCCCTGGTCTTAGGGAAAAGCAGCTCCCAGAGAGATGTCTGTCCTCTGATTCTCATCATTCCACTTCTACCAGAGCCTGTTAATACTCCAGTGAGGAGAAGGCAGGAATGTTGCAGCTACAGAGTCCATTTGAATCTGAGACGGGTTGTCCACATTATGTAGGTGGTATGTAAATACGTAGGTGGTGGCCATATGATCACGTGTACAGGGCAGACGAGTGGTGGGGGGCTTGAGTGTGGGCCCATAAGCCCTTTGTGGCTGCCTTTGAACACCAGCCTCCTCCTTCTGCTAGTTACTTGGCCACGGGCAAGCTGAACTTCAAATTCCTATACAACAAACAGAAGAATAATTAGCTCGTAGGGTTGTAGTGGTGATTAAAGGAGATTATCCATGTAAAGTGCTTTAATACTGTGCATGGCCCACAGTAAGTAAATGTAGTACTTTATGGTTTATAAAGCACTTCTATATACACATACACTCATTTAACATCTCCAAAAGCCTGTGAGGTAGGTTGTGTTATTCCCGTTTTATCAAGGAAGCACCTGAGGTCAGACAGTCTCAGCTGTTTCCTATTCACACAGAGAACAACACTGGTCTTCTGATCTTTTTATTTATTTTTGAGACAGAATCTTCCTCTGTTGCCCAGGCTGGAGTGCAGTGGCACAATCATGGCTCACTGCAGCCTCGATCTCCTGGGCTCAAGTGATCCTCCCACCTAAGCCTCCCAAGTAGCTGGGACTATAGGTATGAGCTACCACACTCAGCTGACTTTTTTATTTTTTGTAGAGATGGGGGTCTCACTATGTTGTCCAAGCTGGTCTCAAGTCTTGGGCTCAGTGATCCTCCTGCCTCAGCCTTCCAAAGTGCTGGGATTACAGGGTGAGCCACCATGCATGGCCAAGTCTTCTGATCTTGACGTCGTCCTCTTCCTTTAAGGCCCTCCCTTTAAGCACCAGGCAAGCAAACTATTTATTTTAGGTGTTCTAGCGTCCCAGAGAGTATCAAAGCTAAAACTTTCTTCAGTCAGATTTAGCATAATGAGTAAAGCAGGGACTTTTGAGTCAAACATGCCTGGGTTCAAATGCTAGCTCTGCATGTCTGCCAGTTTTGAGTTGGGCCACTTTGGTCAAGTTATCCCCCACTCCCTGTACCTACTTCCTCCTTCATAATGTGGCACAGATTTTTCTTCAAGTCAGTACATGCACGTTGAAGGAAAGCAGTTAACACAGTCCCTTTATATACCCTATTCAAGGCTCTGTCAAATTTAGTCACTTACTAGCTAAAAGTTTAATTATTCAGTGAGGGGTATATTTAGTGTTCTAAAGCTATATCAATTCTCCTTAATAACTGGTATGATACAATGACATAAAATAATCATATTTGTAAAAAAATTATCATCATTACGTTGCTTCAGCTTAAAATACAGTGTGCCAAGGCAAGAACGTGTATATTTTATTTTATTTATTTATTCCTTTGTTTTTTGCGGACGGAGTTTCACTCTTGTTGCCCAAGCTGGAGTGCAATGGCACGATCTCAGCTCACTGCAACCTCCACCTCCCAGGTTCAAGCAATTCTCCTGCTTCAGCCTCCTGAGTAGCTGGGATTACAGGTGCCCACCACTACGCCTGGCTAATTTTTGTATTTTTAGTAGAGACGGGGTTTCACCATGTTGACCAGGCTGGTCTCGAACTCCTGACCTCAAGTGATCCTCCCACCTTGGTCTCCCAAAGTGCTGGGATTACAGGCATGAGAAACCGTGCCTGGCCTAAGAATGTGTGTATTTCACAAAGTATTTGGAGGGGTTGTGTTTGGATGGCAACACCATCCAGTGAATTCAATAATTCAGTGCCAATCACAGACTGAGCCAAATAGAGGTGAAATTTTCAATGTGCTCATCATGTGGACCATGGCTTTGCTGCTTAGTAACACCTAAAATTTTTATTCACTGGTCTAAACAAGTCTCTCCAGTTTGATGTTTGCAGCTCATGATTATCAGATGTACTTTTTATTAGTTTACACAATAAGGGTTGCTTAAATGAAATAGATTTATTTCTCTCTTGTACAGCTCAAGTTCACATGGCTGCTCAGATATTTCCAGGATGCCAAGATTCTTCAGTATTATTGCCCCAGGCCTCCCAGATGGTTTGCCCTTGTCTACGTGGTCTAAGCCGGCTTACTACCACAGGCATCTTACCCAGCAGGAAGGGAAACTTCTTAAAGATGGCTTCAAATCCTGTCAGCCCCACCTAACTACTCGTGTGATGATCAGATCTGTGCAGACTTTGCCAGTTTGCACAATTGCAACCTGTTAGTACCTCACCTTGGCCCATGCCCCAAGCCTCTCAATTTCTGTTCTGGGGCATCTCAGGCATCATAGCAGTGTAGATTTAACACCTTGATCAATGACAGTCTAGTATCAGTGGATATTTCCCCCTTGTGTCTTCCCATCAGAAGGTCCTGTGGGATTGAGCACCAGTCACCCATAAGAGTGGCCAACTTAGTACCTCTTTCTTGCATTGACCTGGCCTCTTTCTTGCCACCCTCTCTATCCCTCACCCTTGCTCCCTGAGATCGTTTCCAAAATAAACCTGCAGTTGAGTTTTAGCTTTAGATTCTACTCTCAGGGGGACCTTGGCCAAGACAGGGGAATGCACAAGACTTTTATGTACCAAAAGTTGTCTTCATCCTTTCTGCTCACATTCCACTGGACACATGAAGCTGCAATGGGGGCTGAGCAGCGGATTTTTTATTCTGGAAACACTTGCTCTCAGTTAAAAAGTTCATTACTATGGATGAAGTCTCTGTGCATGCTTCATAAAATTTGAATTTGCACAACTAAATACATCATGGATAGGCTAGAGGTTATGACCACTGAACTAAGAGACCAGAGTTTTCATCCACACACTTCCACCCATTTTCCAGGTGAACTTAGGCAAGTTGCTAAGTCTTCGGGGCTTGAACTTCCTCATTTGTAATTGGTGATAATCATAACTTCTTTCTCTGAGTGACTGTGAGAAAAATTAGATTGCAGATGGGAAAGTGCTTTAAAACTTTTAAAATATGATGTTTTAGGTTGGTGCAAACGTAATTGCGGTTTTTTTTTTTTTTGCCGTTACTTTTAATTATTTTTGCACCAACCTAATAAATATAGGTTAGATCTAGTTACCGCCTGTATGAAAACAAGAAACCAGTTGTAGAACATTCGATTCCAGTTACTATATTACTGGTTACACCTACAGAGCACCATCCAGTTTATCCATAGGTGGATGAAACTGCCCAACTCGCCATCCCGAGAAACAACAATCAGCACCAGGTAAGCATTTTCCAACTTAAAAGGCTTTCATTGCATGGGTCTCTTGCACATCATCTCTCAACATTTCATCATTTCGTTACTATTTCCTTGTTTTCCAAAATGTTCTCCACCTCTGGAATTTATCCTTTTAAAAATAATCATAAAGAGAAGAAAGGGAGAAAAAAGTTACCCGTGGTACTCATTATATGAGCCCAAGGGACGAAACAGCATTCTCTCTCCCCATTAATAACCTAAACTTTCAAACATGTAGCCATGGTTAAGGATTCCTTCTGGACTATTTTAAGGAGCAAATTTATTAGTTCTATAGCATCTCATAATCCTGAGGTATTTAGGAAAACTACATTCTTTGGATTCTGAAACCCTGGCTGTTTCCCCAAGCTACTTCAAACAATGCAGCCTTTGCTGACGGGGCACTCCATGGGCCAGCAGTGTTGTTGAATTCTAAGTAAATAATCTTGAAACAAATCCATGGTTGACACACTGTCATATTATGTTTACTGCTCCAGAGGAGGGATTTATTCTGAGGATATTGAAAAACTCCATTGCTGTTTGGGGGAAGTGACAATTGGGATCACCCATAAATTAGGGTAATTGCCCTCTGTTCTGTACCGTAGATATGATCCAAAACATTGCACATGTACTATATCATATGTGAAATAGAACAGTGCTGGATAAAAATATACAATATTACTAAATAAAAACAGATGCCATGGATATGACAGATATTTAAATCGCCAAGTTTGGCTACAGCTAGCTTTGTTCTTCTTCTTGGATTAATAAGCATGGGAGCTCTAAACTGGAGGAGAAAAATGAACCAGTCCAACCACATCTTCCTTTTTAGCATAGGTTTCTTGATGTAGTTTTATAAATGATTAATATTTAATTTTATTTTTTGAGACACAGTCTCGCTGTCTTACACAGGCTGGAATGCAGTGGCACAATCTCGGCTCACTGCAACCCCTGCCTCCCAGGTTCAAGCGGTTCTCTTGCCTCAGCCTCTTGAGTAGCTAGGATTACAGGTGTGCGCCACCACGCCTGGCTAATTTTTTGTATTTTTCATAGAGACGGGGTTTCACCATGTTGGCCAGTCTGGTCTTGAACTCCTGACCTCAAGTAATCTGCCTGCCTCAGCCTCCCAAAGTGATGGGATTACAGGCATGAGCCACCGTGCCCAACTTAATGTTTAATGAGCCAGATCTCTCTTTCCCTGTAAGAAGGGGACTGGTATTACAGCTTTCTAAAACTCAGTACCTTCTCTCTCCTCTCCTTTTCGCTCCACCCTGGCTCACTCAGGGGTTGGTGTGACTTTGCCTCTGGTGGAGGTTGGTGAAAGCGGTCATTTAATATGAAGAGGGACCCATATACAGGGGAGGAAGGCATCAACTGCAGTCCTTTATTTCAGCAAAACTTGTCTAGGCTAATTTCATCTAAATCAGAGCAACACATAATTATGGAAAATTGAAAAGAACAAAACCAGGATTAAACTACAACATCCCCTTGCAAACATAATCGCCTTCCTCTGATACTTTCTACAGTCGTCGAAATAGCAAACATGTGCTTTTTGAGACCATTTTTCTATGTATAATGCTGGTCACAGAGATAGGAGAGAGAGAAAAAAAGAGTTCCTCCACAATTGTGATTGGAAGAGAACAATTTCCTTCATTTTCTGGCTCCAGTGAGTACCTCCTAACAGAGCTGAAAACTCATCTTCGGGTTCCTCTAGAAGAGGCTCCAGTGTTTAGCAGAGAAACAGTTCAGCAGGGTGGAAAGAGCCGGCCGTGTTGCAGGTACTTACAGGCCCCAGGACGATGCTGTGTAGCAGGGGACGAACAGCTCTGCTTGGCTTGCGGAGTCAGGGAGAAGCCTCCCTGGAGGAGGAGGACACTTGAGCCCATTCTGGCAAAATGACTATGAACTTGCCAAGAGAACAAGGAGTAGGGAGGAGCAGAAGGCTTTTAGGCAGAGGGAAGAACACATACAAAGGAGTAGAAGCCAGAATGGGAGCACGTTCAGAACTGCAGGGGTCTACTTGGCTAAGCATAGGAGGTGAGCCTGTGAACTTAGGGGGTGGAAGTTGGGGGTGGCCTGAGCCCTGTGAAGGGCTGCTGGGTACTCAGGTATGGTGGGCACTGGGTTGGCAGCTGCAAGCCATGGAAGTCCAGAGTCAGAGTCTTCAGAGGGCAGTCAGAGTCTCAGTCTTGGAGTTGGTCTTAGAAGGGGAGAGTCTGGTGATGGGGCTTCCTCTGTCATAGACCACGCAAGTTGGGTGGCTGATAGCCAATGTGGCACTACAGGATGGCCACAGTGTCCTGTTTGTGGGCTTCCTCTGGCCAGCCCAAGGGCTCAGGGCCACAGCACAGCCCTGAAGCTTCTCAGCAGCAGCAGCAGCAGCAGTGGGATGGACTCGTGCACAGCTCTAGAGCCATCCATGGCTGGCCTTCCAGATCCCACCTCCTCCCCCACCTCCCCTGCCAGCCTGGCTGGGTCTTTCGCGTTCTCATGCTTGCACATTTTATGTGTTCTGGCCAACTAGACTCTTCCCTGCATGTAAAAAGCTGGCGAGTTCCCCTTCATTTTGTTCCCCTTTCTTTTTTAATCTACTCTGTTTTATGCTTTATAGCAGGGAATGCTTAGCATTCAGATAACCTATAAATATCCTCACTTGTTCCAGTTATCTTCTGGTGAGCGTTCTCTACCCTTGTCCCCTCTTACCCCTCCTCCTCACACGTACACAACAGTAGGGAGAAGAGTACAAATGAACCCAGCTTCAGCAGTGACCAACTCACGGTCAATACGGTTGCATCATTATCTACCCCCGTCAGATTATTTGGAAGCAATTCCCAGACATTTCGTCTCCAAGTATTTCAGTGTATGGGAACAAGAAAGGATTGAGTCACATGCCAATTTGAAGTCCTTCCCACAGTCATACATGAAAGTATCATTTTTTTGTTCATGTCATCAAGGTGTTTTGTTCTCAGCAATTTATTGAAAGATCCTTTGCCACTTTAAAAATACATTCTAGGCCAGACACAGTGGCTCACACCTGTAATCCCAGCACTTTGGGAGGCCGAGGTGGGTGGATCACTTGAGATCAGGAGTTCGAGACCAGCCTGGCCAACATCTCTACTAAAAACTCCACCTCTACTAGAAATGCAAAAATTAGCTGATGTGGTGGTGCATGCCAGTAATCTCAGCTACTTGGAAGGCTGAGGCAGGAGAATCACTTGAACCCAGGAGGCAGAGGCTGCAGTGAGCCAAGATCGTGCCACTATACTCCAGCCTGGGCAAGAGTTTTTTTTTTTAAAAAAATGCATTCTACATGCAAAATGTGTATATAGCCAATACTATCAGAACTAAAAATATTTGAATAATATTTGAACAAACACCTGTATAACTATGATTGAGCTCAAAGGAGAGAGAGTGAGAGAGAATATTACCAGTATCTTTGAAGTCCATGTTTGCTTCCTCCCTCTCCCCACTCCAGTTATCCTCTATCCTGAAATTTGGGCTAAGCATTTCCCCCATACATATGTGAGTGTGTGCATGTGTGTGCATGTGTGCGCACACGCGCACGCACGGATTTATAAGTTTGGCCCTCTAAACAATATATTGCTTAGTTTTCCTGTTTGTGAGCTTTGTGTATAAATAGAATTACACTGAAATTGCCTTCTGTGACACTTTTGCATTTCAACATCATGTTTTCAAGCTTCATCCACATTGAGGCACATCTAGCTGTGGATTAGAGTATTGCATGATATGAATCCACTACTGCTTATTTCTCCATTCAATCGTTGATTGGCATTTAGTTTGTTTTTAGTATTTCCCCCCAACCTCCCAAATCCTCCTAAGAATATTATTTTACTTGTCTTCAGGACATACGCACAAGAATTTTCCCAAGGGTGGAACTGCTGTGTATATACACTTATCTTTACTAGGCGATGCGAAATTGTTTTCTCAAGTAATGTGTAATTTTACATCTCATTAGCTCTATATAACAGTTCCCACCATCACTGGTCTTGTCTGACTTTTAAATTTTCACTCTTTGGTAGATTTAATCTATTTTTCTTGAATGATGAGAGTAAACATCTTTCCATATGTTTACAGGCCATTCATGTTTCTCTTCTATGGATGTCTGTGTTTTTGCATTTTTCTATTTTTGTCTTTTTCTTGATGATTCATGGGAATCCTTTACATATTTTGGATATTAAAACCTTATCAGTGCATAGAATGTTGGCAGAAAAGGCTGCCAAGAATTCCTCTCATCCCTGCAGGTGCACGCCACCTGCCACCTTTCATCGTGAGGTGGGGTTATCGCACCTCCTCTTGGATTGGAGGTGGCCCTGTGCGTTGCTTTGATCAATAGAATATGGCAGAGATGCTGCATTATCTCCAGGCCAAAGCCTTAGAGGCCTTATGGTTTCCATTTCACCATCTTGGAAGTTAGCGGCTGTGCGAAAAGCTCCAGCTATCCTGATGGAGAGAGAGGCCACGCAGAGAGACTTTCCACAGGATGAGACATGGTATACAGAGAAAGAGAGGCCCAGGCAGCCCCTACTCATTCCAACCGCCTCAGCTGATGCTCTATCCATACAAATGAAACTGTCTTGGAAGCCTCAGCCAAACTCTCAGCTGGTTGCACCTGTGATCCCCACTTATGCTCCAGGAAAGAGAACTGCCCATTGATCTCAGCCCAATTTCCTGATTCAGAGACTCACAGGTAATAAAATAATTATTGTTTCCAGTCAGAAAATTTGTAGTTACACAACAATATAGAATAGAAACAATTCATCATATGTGCTCTAAAAATCTTGTTTCAAGGCATACCTTTTTTACTGTCTTTATAATACAGAAGGCCATGTTTCACTCTCTGAGATTTGTTACATGTGGTCAGTCGAGGCCCAAAAATATTTCAGTATTTTGAGAAAGAAAGAGAGATAGAGACCACATTCATATAACTTTTATAACAGTCTAATTGTTATATTATTCTTGTTAATCTCTTACTGTGCCTGATTTATAAATTAAACTTTATTACAAGTTTATATGTATAGGAACAACTATACATACAGTATATATAGGGTTGGGGACTATCTGTGGTTTCAGGCATCCACTGGGGGTCTTGGAGTGTCTCCCCAAGAGATAAGGGGGGACTACTGTATCTTTTGACTATCAAAAATTGTAACATATACAAGTGGTCCCCAACCTTTTTGGCACCAGGGATCGGTTTTGTGGAACACAATTTTTCCATTGACAGGCGGGGTGAGATGGGGGTGGTTTGGGGATGATTTAAGCACATTACATTTATTCCGCACCTTATTTCTATTATTATTACTTACTCACCATAATGTAGAATCAGTGGGAGCCCTGAGCTTGTTTTCCTGCAACTAGACAGTCCCATCTGGGAGTGAAGGGAGACAGTGACAGATCATCAGGCATTAGATTCTCATAAGGCACATGCAACCTAGATCCCTCGCATGCACAGTTCACATGGGGTTTGAGCTCCTATGAGAATCAAATGTCCAGGCTGATCTGACAGGAGGCAGAGTTCAGGTGGTAAAGCTCACTCACCCACCACTCACCTCCTGATGTGCAGCTGGGTTCCTGACAGGCCACGGACAGGTACTGGTTTGTGGCCTGGGGGTTGGGGACTGCTGACTTATACTGTAGTTGAATTCTTCAATATTTTATAGCTAGTGATTTTTATATCTTATTTGAGAAATCTGTCCCTACTTTAAGGTACTGTATACTAAAAGTTTAAAGGTTTTGCCTTTCACATTTAAGTCCCTTAATCTGTCTTGAATTGATAAATTCCTCAATTTACCTTGAATAGTGTAAGGTAGGGATACATTTTCATTTCTTTAAATATGGATAATTGCTTCAGCACCACAGGTTGAATGGTCTCATCAGTTTTCCATGTATGTTGATTCGGTTTGTCTGTCCCTACACGATTACTGCATCATTTAAATTAATACAGTAGCTATAGAATAATAAGTCTTGATACCTGGTAAGCACATCCTTCTCTTTTATTTTGCATGAATGTCTTTGCTATATTATTGAGTTTTTGGTCTTCCTTATAAATTTTAGAATCATCTTGACAAATTTCATGATAGACTGTTTTTGAGATTTTGATTGGATTTACATTGAATCGATAAATCGTTGGGATGAGGGGATTTGTGACTTTAAATATTGAGTCTTTATCTATAAATGTGCCATCTTTCTATTCTTGAAAAAGTTTTGGCTGGGCGTGGTGGCTCATGCCTATTATCCCAGCACTTTGGGAGGCCAAGGTGGGTGAATCACCTGAGGTCAGAAGTTCGAGACCAGCTTGGCCAACATGGTGAAACCCCATCTCTACTAAAAATACAAAAATTAGCCGAACATGGTGGCTGGCACCTGTAATCCCAGCTACTCAGGAGGCTGAGGCAGGAGAATCGCTTGAACCTGGAGACAGAGGTTGCAGCGAGCCAAGACCACGCCATTGCATTCTAGCCTGGGTGAC
Source organism: Homo sapiens (assembly GCF_000001405.40). NCBI lineage: Eukaryota > Metazoa > Chordata > Mammalia > Primates > Hominidae > Homo > Homo sapiens. The sequence goes on along the minus strand of NC_000018.10, from coordinate 561,181 downwards.
AAGAGATAAACTCCGTCTCAAAAAAAAAAGTTTTTTTTAATGCCTTCTTTAAAAAGTTTTATAATTTTTACATGTAAGTCTCATACATCTTTTGTTGGACTTACTCCTGGGTATTTTATATTTTTATTGCTAGTATTAAATTATTAATAAAATGTTCTTATTTGCATATTCTAATTGATAGTAGCTGGTGAAGAGAAAGGCAATTAACCTGGTATATTTATTTAGTATTTGGAAATTTTACTAATCTTATTTTAATTCTAATAATGTATAAGCTTCTTTGGGTCTTCTATGTGAACAAGTCTATCGTCTCTGAATGGTAGCTTTGTTTTACCCTTTCCAACCCTCTTAATTTTCCAAAAATTTAGTGTGCTGGCTGGGACCAGTTTTAGCGTTAAGGTTAAGCTGGTGTCATAATATGAATTAGGGATTTATAATTTGAAAATATTGTAAAGCTTGAAGTTATTTAACTCTTAGATGTCTGGTAATACTTAACAATAAAACAATGGGTCTCGTATTTTCTTTAAGGAAAGATTTTGAATTACTTCCATTTCTTTTATGAATTCGATTTCTTTAAATTTTTTTATGATTCAGTTTCTTTAATGTATATGAACCATTACGATTTTCCGTTTCTTGAATCAGTTTTTGTAATGTATAGTTTTCTAGTAAATTACGTATTTCATTTATGATTTTGAAATTTATTGGCATAAAGTTGTATATAGTATTATCACATACTATTGTAAATTTCTGCTATAATTACAGTTATGTCTTCTTTTCTATTTCTAATATAATTTATGGATACTTTATCTTGTTTTCTTGATCAGTCTTGCCAGATGTGACAATTTCATTAGTCTTTTGAGATAACCAGTTTCCGGCTTTGTTGGTCCTCTTTATTGAAGCATTTCCCCCATTAATTTCTGATCTCTTGATTGTTTTCCTCCGTTTACTTTCCTTTTTTCCCCGTTACTCTTTTTAACGTCTTAAGCAGCATGTTCAGTTCACAGAATTTCAGCCTTTATTCTTTTTTTTTTTTTTTTTTTTGAGACGGAGTCTCGCTCTGTCGCCCAGGCTGGAGTGCGGCGGCGCGATCTCGGCTCACTGCAAGCTCCGCCTCCCGGGTTCACGCCATTCCCCTGCCTCAGCCACCCGGCCTATTCTTTACTACTATGAGCATTTACGGCTAGCAAATTTTCAAGTATTTGAATATGTAATAGTTAATAATAAGTAGTAACATCTAATAATCTAAAACATTTATTTATGTTAAACAACCTTTGTTCTCACTTTACTGAGACATTAAATACTTCTTCGTATTTTAAAATCTTGGTTTAGGCCGGGCGCGGTGGCTCACGCCTGTCATCCCAGCACTTTGGGAGGCCGAGGCGGGCGGATCACGAGGTCAGGAGATCGAGACCATCCTGGCTAACACGGTGAAACCCCGTCTCTACTAAAAATACGAAAAATTAGCCGGGCGTGGTGGTGGGCGCCTGTAGTCCCAGCTACTCGGGTGGCCGAGGCAGGAGAATGGCGTGAACCCGGGAGGCGGAGCTTGCAGTGAGCTGAGATCGCGCCCCTGCACTCCAGCCTGGGGACACAGCGAGACTCCGTCTCAAAAAAATAAATAAATAAAAATAAAAAATAAAAAATAAAAATAAAAATAAAATCTTGGTTTAACAGTTTAACCCTCAAAGGGTTTGGTTCTCAGTTCAGTTTATTTCTATATACTTGATTTTAATGGCTATGATAGCAGAAAAAGATACTTCACAAAAAATATATACATACGAAGCTGAAAGATGTGCGTTGTTGGGTGCAGTTACAAATAATGGTGTGTGTGTATATATATATATATATATATATATATATACACACACACACACATATATATGTGTATATATACACACACACACACCATTACAAATAATGGTGTATATATATATATACCATTACAAATAACGGTGTGTGTGTGTGTGTGTGTGTGTGTATACATATATATATACCATTACAAATAATGGTGTGTATATATATCATTACAAATAATGGTGTGTATATATATATCATTACAAATAATGGTGTGTATATATACATATATATATATACACACACACCATTACAAATAATGGTGTGTATATATATATATGTGTGTGTGTGTGTGTGTGTGTGTATATATATATACCATTACAAATAATGTAATGGCATGTATATATATGTATATATATATATATATACCATTACAAATAATGGCATGTATATATGTATATACCATTACGAATAATGGCATGTGTGTATATATATATATACCATTACAAATAATGGTGTTTGGGCCGGGTGCGTGGCTCACGCCTGTAATCCCAGCACTTTGGGAGGCCGAGGCAGGCGGATCACGAGGTCAGGAGATCGAGACCACCCTGGCTAACATGGTGAAACCCTGTCTCTACTAAAAATTCAAAAATTAGCCGGGCGTGGTGGCGGGCGCCTGTAATCCCAGCTACTCGGGAGGCTGAGGCAGGAGAATGGTGTGAACCCGGGAGGCGGAGCTTGCAGTGAGCCGAGATTGCGCCACTGCACTCCAGCCTGGGCGACAGACTCCGCCTCAAAAAAAAAAAAAAAGAAAAAAGAAAAGAAAATTTTCATCTTCCCTGATGGGAGGATGCTGCTTTTTTATATTTTTGACAAATGGTTCAAAGTACACTGACATTCTCCATTTTGAAGAGTTGAAAAATAATCTTTTTTCAAGTCTAAGTAGGCAGATACAAGTGTTTTAACAGGTGAGGCACATCTTTCAGGCAAGAAAGTTACATAATAAGGGAAAGATATCTTTACATACTCTGCAGGGATCCTCTAGTCTCCAGTTTCTTATCTTTGACATAAGTCATTTTACTGTGTTTCAGTTCAACTGATACCTCCTAGTGCCTTATGGGTATTTTATTCCATTTACTCTTAGTGATAATTTTTTATGTCAAAGATTTAGACAGTGGATCATTTGAACACATTTATTGTTTTTATTATTATCGTATATTTGAAATACACAGGCAGGGGGGAAAATTGATAACCTGAACATCTACCATCCCTTTATTTTTGGCCCAGGTGGCATGAGCATTCACTGACATCCCTAGGTAACTGAGCTTTTTATTGTGACCACAGTGTAGGTTACACACAGTACACAGTAGGTGCTCAATAGGTACTATTTGTATGAATGAATGAACAAATGAACGACCTAAGTTTTTTGACTTCCATAGTTGGTGATCTGACATGTGGGACCACTTCTTATTTATCTCTGTATCCCAAGTGTCTAGTATAATGTTTGTACAGAGTAGGTGTTGTTAAATTTTTTTGGAAAAAAAGAAAAAAAAGACAATAGGAGGGAAGAAAAGGAGAAAAGAGGAGAGGGAAGAATTCTGTGTATTCTTATCTAGCTGTCTAAGTTAAAAAGAATACTTAGTGGTTTTGGCCAGTTCCACTTTGACCTCATTTAAAGCCTTTTCAGTGCTCATTTTGAACAAGAGCAGTCAGAAAAGATTCCAGGGATAGCAATTACCTCTCTATATGTGAAAATGTTTTCCCAAGGGATAGAAGAAATAGAGAATTCTATTTTCATAAATTCTCAAGGCTACTCCTAATTGCCTATGGATTGGAAAATAATCCTTTGTCTTTGATGTTATTCTTTTTTTTTTTTTTGACTAAGTCTCGCTGTTGTCGACCTGGGCTGGAGTGCAATGGTGCGATCTTGGCTCACTGCAACCTCTGCCTCCTGGGTTCCAGCAATTCTCCTGCCTCAGCCTCCCGAGTTGCTGAGATTACAGGCACCCGCCACCATGCCCGGCTCATTTTTGCATTTTTAGTGGAGACAGGGTTTCACCATGTTGGCCAGGCTGGTCTCGAGCTCCTGACCTCAAGTGATCCACCTGCCTCGGCCTCCCAAAGTGCCAGGATTACAGGTGTGAGCCACCATGCCCTGCAGATGTTATTCTTTAACTATCTTTTAAAAGATAAAAAGCCAGCAGAGGTCTGTGGCTGAATTGCATTCCTCCTACCTGAACCCTGGAAGTCTGTGGTGGTTTAGGATATAATAATACTTCAGTTTACTCAGAGGTGAAAGTGAATAAAGTATAGCAAACAGATGGCTGTTAATATTGCATGCAGCACTTTAAAAAATTTTTTTAAATTATTTAAAAAATGTTTGTGGGTACATGGTGTATATATTTATGGGGTATATGAGATGTTTTGATACAGGCATGCAGTGTGAAACAAGCACGTCATGGGGAATGGAGCATCCACCCCTTACACATTTATCTTTTGAGTTACAAGCAATCCAGTGACATTCTTTAAGTTATTTAAAAATATACAATTAAGACGGCGCTGCATGTTTATATGTGGGATACACATCCTCATGCTGATACTTTGCCTCATGCCAGGTTGTTTAATCAGTGGCTTTGACAGTTACACAGTTACCTGCAGTGAGACGCCAGTAATACTTATAGAAACCAACCCACCGTAAGCTCTTGCTGTGAAGGTATTTAAATAATTAAAAACATTCCTTTATCAAAGGAGTCTCCTTCTGACAGTGGAATCCATAACTTTTGCAGCTTTTCAAAACATTCAGATGAAAGAGATGGTTGTGTTTTGTGCAGCACCATCAATTTTTTTTTAATGAGACCAAACTTTGTTCAAAACTTCATGAATTAAGAATCTTAATAATTTTAGATTGGGGTACCCAGCTTCTCAGGAGGATATGTAAAGTCTTCTTCCAAGAGAAATGAATGCTATAACTGCTACATAAGGAGATGTTTGTATTTTTTTGTTTGGATCTTGACAGGCTGTTTTTGTTTACACAGGAAGTTGCAGCAGTTGGCTTCAGGCTCAAATCTCTGAAGATCAGTGAGGAGGGAAACAGAAGGGCCTGAATGCACGCGTGCACGCGCGCGTGCACACACACACACACACACAAACACACACACACACACACAATCATCAGGTCTTACTCATTGTAGAGGAAACACAAACAGCCTCAAGAAAGGCCCTGAGAGTTAAGACGGGACACATCTGGAGGGGAAGGTCAAGAGAGGACATGACGCCGAAGTTGGGGAAATATCACCCTCTGAGCATCATTTTATTATTAAAAAAATTTTTTAAAATGACAGCCCTATACAACAGCAATAGCTTCTGAGATTCAAGCTATTGAAATTCACCCAGACAGGTCCAGATGGTCTGAAGCCCTTTCAGAAGGAAAGGCCCTGCTGTGGGGTTTAGAGACGCTACTGATGAGATTAACATGCCTCCAAAGATATGAGAAGGAGCAGGCACCATCTCTGTTAACACTTTGTCGCTGGATTGTCACCCATGGTGAGAACTGGATGAAATGGAGAACAAGGAGTGTTGTTATGGTAACAGAAAGAGGAGGTCACCATCAAGGAACCCGGAGAAGAGAACCTCTGTCCAGCATACTGAGGAACTCCAGTTTGAGTGGCAAGTTGTTCCTGCCCCGGGCAAAATATCCAACTGGATGAAGATCTCAACTCTTTGCATTCTAATCTTCCATTCTCCAAGCAAAACTTATAAGGAAAGGCATGTCCTGGCCAGTGGGCCAAGTATTCCCCTCTCCACTGCAAACAGATCAGCACATAAATCAATTTTCTCAAGTTTGGACATTCCCCCAACTCCAATACTTCTGAGTGAACTGATCAGAGCAAGGTTTTGAACCCAAAGATGAAACCTGAGGCCCAGCTTCTAGGACTCAATGACTCCATGACCTCAGCTGTTCATAAGGCTCCAGCTGACCTGAAGGGATTCTGGGTCTGACTCCTGCCACCTTGAATGCCCAGGGAGGGACTAAGGGCCCATAGTATAAAGCCCCCTAGGTTGCTTCAGTTAGCAATCAGTTGTCCACTTTGTGCCTTTTCTGACCTTGCATTGCAGCTTTCAGCATTGGTACCATAGATGCCCCACCTTCGTTAGTCTGAATTCCTGCTCACCTTTATGGGGCACTGTACTGTCTGTGAAGCTTTTCACATTCATGATCTCATTTGACCAAAATAACAAGCTTGAGCAGTAGGTAGTATTACTGTCCCCATTTCATGAATGAGAAAAATGAGGCTCAGAGAAGCAAGGTGACTTATACATGATCACTTACCTGTACCAAGACATTCTTGCTTGATTTCTATATGACATGGTAGTTATATCCTTTAACCACTGATCCACAAACAATTTTTAGCCTCATATTCCTGTGAAAATGTTTCTGTATTCCAAACATAGGTAAGTTTATTCATCTATAAATTGTAAAATCTATGACAATGTTCGTATATTGAGTGCATTATAGAAGATACAATAAAACATGTTTTAAACAGATAAAAAAAATGAAATAAATGATGTTTTAAAGATAACTCTATTAATTAAAAATTATTTTTGCTTTTGCTTCAATTATAAGTAATGTTAATTTTTAGGGATGTGATAGTCAAAATGTCAGTATTTATGAAAATCTTGGTTTAATACTTTGTCATGTAATGATTTTCAAGTTTGGTCCTCAATTTAATATATTTTGATTTTTTTTTTAAACTTTTTTTTTTTTTTGAGACAGAGTCTCACTCCGTCACCCAGGCTGGAGTGCATGGGCACGATTTCGACTCACTGCAACCTCCGCCTCCCATGTTCAAGTGATTCTCCTGCCTCAGCCTTTTGAGTAGCTGGGATTATAGCTGCCACCATGTCGGGCTAATTTTTGTATTTTTAGTAGAGATGGGGTTTCACCATATTGGCCAGGCTGGTCTCGAACTCCTGACCTCAAGTGACCTGCCTGCGTTGGCCTCCCAAACTGCTGGGATTACATGCAAGAGTCACCACACCCAGCCTAAAAATAATATTTTTATTTTGGAATAATTTTAGATTTATAAAATGTTACAGGCTGAGCACAGTGGCTCATGCCTGCCAGAGTGCTGAGATTACAGCACTCTGGCAGGCCAAGGTAGGAGGATCACCTGAGTCTAAGAGTTCAAGACCAACCTAGGCAACATGTCCAGACCCTGTCTCTACCAAAAAAAAAAAAAAAAAAAAAATTGCCAGGCATGGTGGCACATGCCTGTAGTCCCAACTACATGGGAGGCTAAGGTGGGAGGATGGCTTCAGCCCAGGAGGTCGAGGCTGCAATGAGCCATGTTCACACCACTGCACCCCAGCCTGGGCAACAGAGCAACGTCCTATCTCAAAAACACAAAGAACTTGTAAAGATAGTACAGACTTGTGTATATACCACTCCCCTCGTTTCTCCATTGTTAACATCTTACATTACCATGGTACATTTGTCAAAACTAAGAAACTGACATTGTTGCATTATTTTCAGCTAAACTCCAGACTTATTTGGATTTCATCACTTTGTCATTAATGTCCTCTTTCTGTTCCAGGAAGCTACCAAGGGTCCTAAATTGCATTTAGCTGTCATGTCTCCTCAGTCCGCTCTGGTCTGTAAGTTTCTCAGTCTTCTCTTGTTATTTATGACCTTGGCAGTCTTGGGAAGTATTAGCCAAATATCCTGTAAAATGCTCTTCAATCTGTGTGTCTGTTATTTTTCTCATGATTATGGTTATTATTATTATTAATAATAATTTTTAAAGAATAAAGAATTTCTATTTAAAAATAGCACAGAGGTCAAGTGCCCCTCCCACTATGTCATATCAGGGGTACGTGATAGCCACGTGCTGTCATAGAGGATGTTAGCCGTCACTTGGTTAAGACATTATTTGTTGGGCTTCCTCACTGAGGAGCTGCTGTTTTCCCCTTTTGCTACCCTATTGTTTGGAAGCAAGTCGCTATGTGTAGCCCACTTTCATGGCAGGGGACAGGGAGTTGAGAATTAAGTTCTACCCCCTAGAGAAGGAGTATCTACATACATTGTTTGGAATTCTGTAAAGGTTTGTCTCTCCCTTTTTAAAAATTTATTTATCCAATCATTTATTTACGTTAGCATTGACTCATGAATATTTATTTGATAATTTGGGTTATAATCCTATACTACATTATTTATTCTTTTGCTCAAAATTTTCCAGCTTTGGCCATTGTAAATTCTTTTATTTTTTAATTAATTAATTAATTTATTTATTTATTTGCATTCATGAGATCCCTTCCCCTTGAATCTGAGTTGGGATTTTGTTTTTCTATAGGTTATTGGGGAACAGATGGTGTTTGGTTACATGAGTAATTTCTTTAGTGGTGATTTGTGAGACTTTGGTGCACCCATCAACTGAGCAGCATACACTGCACCCAATTTGTTGTCTTTTATCCCTCACTCATTTCCCACCCTTTCCCCCTGAATACCCCTGAGTTCCTGGCCATTGTGAATTCTTTTAGATTGGCTCCTGTGTCCCTTTGACTTGCTACCATCCTTTTGTGGTTTTGGGGGATGGTTTCTTGCTCTCAGGTATTACAAGATGCTTCTGGTTCATCTTGTATTTTCTCTGCCCCAGTCCTGGAATCAGCCATTTCTTCTAGGAGTCCTGGTTTCTTTAGTAGGAGAATGGTATTTAGAGACCAAGATCTAAGCACTGGGTATGTTCATTGCTATTGGGGTGTCATTTCTTCTAGCCTCATTCAGTGGACAGGATTAAGATAGGCATGTACACTAACTTATGTATTCACGTAACACTTGGTTTTTAATGGACTACATAGAAAAAGATTTCTTACAATGATAAATAGACACAAATAGAAGAATTGCATCATTGGCTAAACTTTCTGAAACATCATACTTAATTTTTAATTGGATCCAGCAGTTATGCAAAGCTCTTTTGGTCAAATTCAGCTAGTAAACTTTAATATTCCCTAATGTTAGTCAGCTGGATCTTGCAAGTTAATGAAAAAGTGTTGCATTTTTGTGTTGTGGATTTGAAACGATTGAAATTTTTAAAATAGAAGATTTGTTAAAGCTAGAAATTCTCTTCCCAAGTTTTTTAAATATGCAGATATTAGAGACTTTATAGATGTCACACACTATTTTTGACAACAAAACTCTATGATTGTGGAACTGTTACCATTCATCCAGTTTCATACTTTATAGCATTAATTCCATTCAGACAATATTTACTTTCTCACTCATTGTGAACATATCACCTTTATTGGGAAGTGATAGAGTAGGAGTGTTTATTTTTATATGCTTATTTATTTTTCATTGTCATAAACTATACATCACATAAAAGTTACTATTTTAATCATTTTTTAGTGTACAGTTAGGTGGCATTAAGTGTATTCATGTTGTACAGCCACCACCATCAGCCATCTTCAGAATGTTTTCATCCTGTAAACCCGAAACCCTATAGTTAAACAACAACTTCATGTTCCTCTCTCCACACAGCCCCTGGTAACCGCTATTCCACTTTCTGTTTCTATGAAGTTGACTACTCTAGGTACCTAATGTAAGAAATAGAATATTAATATAATCAGAAATCTTTATTTTTTCTTCTCACATACCAATGGACCCCTGCTCTAAACAACACAGGAAGTAGTGAGGGTTGAGGAGTCGTGAGGGGGGCCTGAATCCTATCTTTTGTTTGCATGTCCTGCCCTCTCCACATTTGACAGTTGTCTCTAACTACTCTGGGTGACAGAGTAGGTCCAGGCACCTCTCTCCTGAGTGCTCTGCTGTCTCCCTGGTTGGCTGTGCCACCGACTCCCATTAATCACTCAGGTTAACCCCTTAATATCTCAAGTCCTCAGCCCAAGACACCTGGCTGAGAGTTCATCCATTTTCTTTATTTTTTCATAAGCAAATACAGCAGAAGGCTCTGAGGTCCTGGGGCACCTCTGTCAGGACTTAGAGTAAAACTTTGCTCAGTGAAATTGCTCTGGCCAGGAGCAGTGACCCACACCTATAATCCCAGCACTTTGGGAGGCCGAGTGGGGTAGATTGCTTGAGCCCAGAAGTTCGAGACCTGCCTGGACAACATGGCCAAATCCCATTTTAAAATAATAATCATAATAAATTTTTAAAAAGAGAAAAAAATTGCTCCTGGGCTCAGGACCTCCTGCCATATTGAGAAACATTCAAAAATTGCTAAAAGTTCTTGAGATTAATTGATGTAGGTAGAAAAGTTCCTGCAGAGACCTAGATATCAGGACTTTGGCTGTCTATACATGTGACAAAATAATTACCAGCCATTCTCACTGCTTTCTTATGAAACTCATTAGCCATAATCTATGTAGAAAACTGCATGGTCTGTGTGTGCAGCTATGTATATGTGTTCAACTAAGAGTTAGAATTGGAACAGGCTTGGAATTATTCTGTTTTCATCCATCTAGACCTTCTTTTGCTTCATTCGAAAAGACAACCATATTTAGATAGTTTAGTGCAAGTACATTTATTTAAACTATCAAGCAACCCATTTATTCATGCTGGAGTTTCCTCAAGCACTCCTGATGTTTTTTTTTTTTTCTTTTTTCTTTTTTTGTGAGAGGGTCTGCCAGGACACAAATCAGCACCCATTTCCCCGCTAGATCAACACTGACACTCTTCCGGCTGAAAAAGAATTTTTTTTTTTTATTTCAACTTACTAATTTGGCAGAAACACCGTGCTTCCATGCCAATCCAAATAGAAAAGACAGAAGGGGGCATATGAAAAGGGGAAGGGGAGAAATGTTTTGTAATTAACCTAGATGTACATATTAGCACTTCATTTTTTACCCCGTAACAGCATTGTGCCCCACAAATGGATATATGGGGCTGCAATTGAAAAATGTAAGCCTTTCAGTATCATGAAAAAAAAACTAGTGAAGTAAAAGAAAGTATAAAAGAAGTTGGGATCTTCATCAGTGCTCTCTCCTACAAATGTGCTCCAGTGGATTAAATACTACATTGATTCACACAAATCTTTCTTATCAAGAACTTTTCTCAATAATAAAGCAGAATTTCCAAAACTGTTATTACCTATGTGCAAATGGTTTCCCCATGGTTTTTTCCAACAAAAGTAACCTCCAGCAATGTAAGGAAGATATCACAAGCACAGTCCTGCCTGCTGTTCACAGATTCAGCACTGGGCACATGCGCATGATGCACATAAGCAAAGAACTAGGAGATGGCCAAGGCAGGACAGTTGGTTTCAGGCTGGGGAGGAGGGAGCGTGCAAGGTGGGCTTGAAAAAAGGATGGTGAAGGGAGGGCATTCGAGGCTGAAGAAATGGTGCCTGTAATCCCAGAGCTTTGGGAGATCAAGGGAGGAGGATCACTTGAGCTCAGGAGTTTAAGAGCAGCCTGGGCAACATAGCGACGTCCCATCTCTACAAAAAAAAATGTTTAAATAGCCGTGCATAGGGCCGGGCACGGTGGCTCACACCTGTAATCCCAGCACTTTGGGAGGCCAAGGCAGGTGGATCACTTGAGGTCAGGAGTTCCAGACCAGCCTGGCCAACATGGTAAAACCTCCTCTCTACTAAAAATACAAAAATTAGCCAGGCAAAGTGGCTAATGCCTGTAATCCCAGCTACTTGGGAGGCTGAGGCAGGAGAATCGCTTAAACCCAGGAGGTGGAGGTTGCAGTGAGCCAAGATCGTGCCACTGCACTCTAGCCTGGGTGACAGAGTGAGACTCCATCTCAAAAAAAAAAAAGCCATGCATAGTGGTGCGCATCTGTAGTCCCAGCTACTCAGGAGGCTATGATGGGAGGATCCCTTGAGCCCAGGAGTTGGAGGCTGCAGTGAGCTATGTTCATGCCACTGTACTCCAGCCTGGGCAACAGAGTGAGACCCTGTCACTAAAAAAATAAAAAAAAAAGACTGAATAAATGGGTGGGGTAAAGGGGTATAGTGGGAGTGAGCAGAGAGTAGCACACACACCTGCCCAGGCTTCCTGCGATGTTGAGTACATTAAAAAGTCTCATAAGGATGGCTGGAACCAGAACGCAGCTGCCCTTGAGTGTGGGGGTAGGGAGTTTATGTTTCAAATGGTTGGCTGTGGGGGTCCATTATAGATTTTGAGTAGGGGAGTGAAAATATATTTCTGTTTCTAGGACTTTCTTCTTCAGTACTATGGCTCCTTGAGCACTGAGGATAGAAGGCCAGCCTGATGCGAATAACCTTAGGAAACTTCATATTAGTTTCACAGAGTCAGGTGAAGGCAAGGCAACATTCCAAGTTTAACTCTAAGAAGTATGTTCCGACAAAGCATTGCATGTAATACAACCCCATTCTCTAAATGTCCATTTCCAAATCTGCTCTCAGTTCATCTTCCCATTTGCATGAAAAGTCATGGGGGTCATTATCAAAGATATAGGAGGAGCAAACCTGTCAGCATGACCTTCTCCCCAGTTAGGAGATGTTTGTGTTTATAGGCATCACCAGTGATATGGTTTGGCTGTGTCCCCATCCAAATCTCAACTTGAATTGTATCTCCCAGAATTCCCATGTGTTGTGGGAGGGACCCAGGGAGAGGTAATTGAATCATGGGGGCTGGTCTTTCCCGTGCTATTCTTGTTATAGTTAATAAGTCTCACGAGATCTGATGGGTTTACCAGGAGTTTCAACTTTTGCTTCTTCCTCATTTTTCTCTTGCTGCTGCCGTGTAAGAAGTGGCTTTTGCCTCCCACCATGATTCTGAGGCCTCCCCAGCCATGTGGAACTGTAAGTGCAATTAAACCTCTTTTTGTTCCCAGTCTCAGGTGTGTCTTTATCAGCAGCGTGAAAGCGAACTAATACAGTAAATTAGTACCAGTAGAGTGGGGCAGTGCTGAAAAATACCCTAAAATATGGAAGCGACTTTGGAACTGGGTAACAGGCGGAGGTTGGAACAGTTTGGAAGGCTCAGAGGAAGACAGAAAAATGTAGGAAAGTTTGGAACCTCCTAGAGACTTGTTGAATGGCTTTGCCCAAAATGCTGATAGCAATATGGATAATAAGGTCCAGGCTGAGGTGGTCTCAGATGAAGATGAAGAATTTGTTGGGAACTGGAGCAAAGGTGACTCTTGTTATGTTTTAGCAAAGAGACTGGTGGCATTTTACCCCTGCCCTAGAGATTTGTGGAACTTTGAACTTAAGAAAGATGATTTAGGGAATCTGGCAGAAGAATTTTTTTTTTTTTTTGAGACAGAGTCTCTCTCTGTCACCCAGGCTGGAGTGCAGTGGCATGATCTTGGCTCACTGCAACCTCCGCCTCCCAGGTTCAAACAATTCTTCTGCCTCAGCCTTCTAAGTAGCTGGGACTATATGTGCCCGCCACCACGCCCAGCTAATTTTTGTATTTTTAGTAGAGACGGGGTTTCACCATATTGGCCAGGCTGGTCTCAAACTCCTGACCTCATGATCTGCCTGCCTCGGCCTCCCAAAGTGCTAGGATTACAGGCGTGTGAGCCACCACGCCCAGCCTCTGGCAGAAGAAGTTTCTAAGCAGCAAAGCATTCAAGAGGTGACTTGAGTTCTGTTAAAGGCATTCAGTTTTATAGGGTAAGCAGAACATAAAAGTTTGGAAAATTTGTAGCCTGACTATGCAATAGAAAAGAAAAACCCATTTTTCTGGGTAGAAATTCAAGCCAGCTGAAGAAATTTGCATAAGTAGCAAGGAACCTAATGTTAATCTTCAAGACCATGGGGAAAATGTCTTCAGACCATGTCAGAGACCTTCACAGCAGCCCCTCCCATCACAGTCCTGGAGGCCCAGGAGGAAAAAGTGGTTTTGTGAGCTGGGCCCAAGGACCCCATGCTGTGTGCACCCTAGGGACTTGGTGCCCTGCATCCCAATTGTTCCAGCTTTGGCTGAAAGGGCCCAACATAGGGAGTTGTGGCTTCAGAGAGTGGAAGCCCCAAACCTTGGCAGCTTCCACGTGTGTTGAGCTTGCAGGTGCACAGAAGTCAAGAATTGAGGTTTGGGAACCTCTGCCTAGATTTCAGAAGATGTATGGCAACTCCTGGATGTCCAGGCAAAAGTTTGCTGCAGGGGCAGGGCCCTCATAGAGAACCTCTGCTAGGGCAATGCAAGGGAAATGTGGGATCAGAGCCCACACACATAGCCCCTACTGGGTCACTGCCTAATGGAGCTGTGAGAAGAGGGTCACTGTCCTCCAGACCCCAGAATGGTAGATTCACTGACAGTTTGCACCATGTGCCTGGAAAAGCTGCAGACACTAAATGCCAGCCTGTGAAAGTAGCTGGGAGGGAGGCTGTACTCTGCAAAGCCACAGGAGTGGAGCTGCCCAAGACCATTGGAACCCACCTCTTGCATCAGCATGGCCCGGATATGAAACCTGGAGTCAAAAGAGATCATTTTGGACCTTAAAAATTTGTCTGCCCTGCTGGATTTTGGACTTGCATGGGCCCTGTAACCCCTTTGTTTGGCCAATTTCTCCAATTTGGAATGGCTGTGTTTACCCAATACCTGTATCCTCGTGTATCTAGGAAGTAACTAGCTTGCTTTTGATTTTACAGGCTCTTAGGTGGAAGGGACTTGCCTTGTCTCAGGTGAGACTTTGGACTGTGGACTTTTGGGTTAATGCTGAAATGAGTTAGGGCTTTGGGGGACTGTTGGGAAGGCATGATTTGTTTTGAAATGTGAGGACAAGAGATTTGGAGGGGCCAGGGATGGAATGATATGGTTTGGTTGTGTCCTTATCCAAATCTCAAATTGAATTGTATCTCCCAGAATTCCCACTTGTTGTGGAAGGCTCCCAGGGGGAGGTAATTGAATCATGGGGCCCTGTCTTTCCTGTGCTATTCTCGTTATAGTTAATAAGTTTCACGAGATCTGATGGGTTTATCAGGGGTTTCTGCTTTTGCTTCTTCCTCATTTTTCTCTTGTCGCCACCAGGTAAGAAGTGCCTTTTGCCTCCCACCATGATTCTGAGGCCTCCCCAGCCATATGGAACTGTAAGTCCAATGAAACTTCTTTTTATTCTCAGTTTCAGGTATGTCTTTATCAGCAGCATAAAAATGAACTAATGTTCAATTCTTGGGGGCTGTCAACTCCATGCTCTCACTTCACAAATATTGCCAAATCCCATTTGGAACCAAGTATCCTGAATATCTTGGCACCAAGGCCAATATATTATTTGTGTCCACACATTTCCCCTAATTTCAGCCTTGGTAGACAGGAAACCAACCAAAATTACATAAATGTGTCATATCAAGTAGGGAAATATGAAAGCAACAGTATTCAAAGACAAAATTGAATATGCCTCATCACCATTGCTTTGCCATTGATATTCCGGATATTGTGGTTGTCTTCTCAATATCCATTCCCATTTTTGTTGGTACTATCCTACTTTTAATTTAAACATCTATCCCAGCTGAATGCAAGGGTATGTGCTTTTGAGGAAACGGTGACAACCTTGCATTGAAGAATTGAGTGTGTGTCTCAGCAGTCACATAATGTTGCCTCTGACCACCATTCTTGGCCAAAGATTGTCATGTGACCCTATTTGCGATAGTAGGAAGCAAGGGAAGGTTTACTGGGGTTTTCAGAGAGAGCTTCTAGAAAAACCGCCTGGTATCAGCAAAATGGGAAAGCAAGGAGGAAACACAATTTGATGAGAAAAGGTCATTTTAGATATGATGACTTTTATTCTTCCTTTCAGTAAGTGTTGGGTGCCTATCATGTGCTGGACACCATGTTCCTGCTCTCAGGACACACAGACCAGTGAGGGAGACTAACATGTAAAGAGATAATAGCAATACAACCAGCAAGGGAAATTTACTGTGTTGTGTGCACAGGGTATTGTGAAAGGACCCGTAAGTGACAGGGTCAGGGAAAGTTTCTGCATCAGTTACCCCCTAGGAGGAACCCCAAAGTGGGGTGAGGTGGGAAGGGAAGAATGGGAATTGCGGGCACATGGGACTGCCCGAGCCAATGCATAAGGCACCCACCAGAGCCACATAAGGAGCTGAGATGTTGAGGAGAGGCTCTTACCCAAGCCTTCATCTGCAGGCACAAAGTGGAGCAGGGTGAGTGGTCACCCTTGGCAATGTGACCAACATAAGTGTGTGTGCTAATACCACTGACCCTTGAACAGGATGGGCCTGAACTGTGGAGGTCCACCTATATGTGGATTTTCTTCTGCCACTGCCACTCCTGAGACAGCAAGACCAACTCCTTGTTCTCCTCCTCCTCAGCCTACTCAATATGAAGACGACGAGAATGAAGACCTTTATGAGGGTCCACTTCCACTTAATGAGTAGTAAGGATATTTTCTCTTCCTTATGATTTTCTTAATCACATTTTCTTTTCTCTAGCTTACTTTATTGTACAAATACAGTATGTAATACATATACAAAGTATGTGTTAATAGACTGTTTATGTTATCGGTAAGGCTTCCATCAACTGTAGGCTATGAGTAGTTAAGTTTTGGGGAGTCAGAAGGTATACTCAAATTTTTTACTGTGCCGGGGGTCGGCGCCCCTAGTACCTGAGATGTTCAAGAGTCAACTGTAATTCCCACCTCCCAAATCACATGCTTTTCCTCTCAGGGAGAGGGAAGTATAGATGGAAGAATAGACACAGCTACTCTTTGTTGAGTTCCTACTACGTTTCAAGAACTGTCTTAGTGGCTGGGCACAGTGGCTTACGCCTGTAGTTCCAGCACTTCGGGAGGCTAAGGTGAGCAGATTGCTTGAAGTCAGAAGTTCAAGACCAGCCTGGGGAACATGGCAAAACCTCATCTCTACAAAAAATACAAAAATTAGCCAGGCATGGTGATGTGCACCTGTGGTCCCAGCTACATGTGAGGCTGAGGCAGGAGGATTGCTTGAGCCCAGGAGGACAAGGCTGCAGTGAGCCATGATTGGATCACTGCACTCCAGCCTGAGTGATAGAGCAAAACTCTGTCTCAAAAAGAAAAAGAAAAAGAAAAAGAACTGTTAGATGTTGTCTCAATAATCATAACAATTCTCATGCTAAAGAAGATACATTTGAAATTCTGATAGGTTCTATGATTTTCCTAAGGCATACAGCTAGCAAGTGGTGGAGCAGGGATTTTCAGATCATTCCGGCTCCAAAGCTCAAGTCTACACTTAATTTTGCTTATGTTGAATCAGCTTGAAACTTCAGTTTGAATGTAACCACTTGGTATTAATTAGAAAGAAGGAGAAATTGGCAAGTGGTATTTTAAAGGCTTTGAACCAGTCTCTGGAGAGCACATTAAATACTCAAAAGCAAAGCAAAAATGTATACTAATAAGATCACAGCCATTCAAAAGGCAATTGTTTGCCATAAGTTCCAAAAAGAATAAAAGGAGGGGAGCTCAGTTTCTCCAATTTTTCATGCCAAGGGCTCAGGTTCCAAGTTTCCCTCATGGCTCTTTCTTCACCTCTTCTCCTAACATGTTCCCCGTCACAGCTTCACTCCATAAGATGTAAGTGGTATTTATAGGAAATGCTGATCACTGCCAACAAGAGAATACTCGCATTAAACACAATTTAGAACAACCTTCTCTCCAGTTGTTTGTAATAACCTCTTGGAAGTTTGAAATTAAAATCTGTATCCCATCCAGCCTTTCTCCCCGCCTCTTCTATTACACTAAGCCAAGAGCTTGCCCTAAACATCCTTCAACTCCCTGGCCCACCACCCTGACGTGCTCTGTAGCTAATTATTTCAATCCCTAAATATTAGTCCTTTCTCTTGTCTCCTCTAGTGTCCTGGACATGATTCATCCTCCTGGGTATTTCATTATTTATGTCAATGAACATCTTTTTCCCTTGAACACACTCTTTCCCCTTTCCTTACCCTATCTTCTGTTAATATATTTTCAACAAAATATGTGTAGAATTTCTCTTTCTTCACAGGAAAAGATCCTAGTGTTGAGATAATCCAACCTTCTAATTCAAGAGACAAAGCCATTAAAACCCAGAGAGATTATGCAACTTATCTAAACTCACACAGCTAGAAAGAGGCTAAGTCAAATCAAGAAAGAAGGACCCTTAGGTTCTAGTTCAATACTTGTTTCAACACCCTGCACTACCACCGAGTCACAGCCACCCCAGCCACTTGGCAATTTGGTGTCAGATTGTGTCTGCCCAAGGCTGGGGGTATGTCCCATTTCATTTCTCAAGTGACATGTAACATAGTGGCACAGGTGCAGTTGTCTTAGTGGTTTGTCTTGTGGCCCAAATGCTGCATATGTACTCATTATTCTGCAATAAGGTTCTTAAAAGAGGTATCTTCCAAAAGCCTTCCCTCCAAGGCCATTTGCTGGTGTGTGCCATCCCTCCTCTAAGGAAGTTTTAAGGGGACAAGGCGAGAATTGTTAAGTCAAAGTATGTGAGGCTGGGTGGGCTGGGTGTGGCTTCTCAGAGGCAGGGCCCAGAATTGCTAAGCTTTGCAATTGTGCTACAGAGAATCTGGGGGGGTGTGACAAAGATGTTTTTCTTTGTTCCTATTGCCTTAAGGTTCTTTGGGACTATTGCTTTGCTAATGAACACAGCAAACTACACAGAAAAAGCAGCCATCAAAGCCAGAGTTTTCACTGTGGCATGTGGGTCTACAAAACAGCAGTCCTCATGCCCATTTGAGTCATTCATGTCTTGACATCTGCCAGTGTGGATATAATCATTGATTGTTCTTTTAAAGCCTGAAATGCTTGTAAGTACCAGGAAACAGAAGGTGAGCTTCTGGACATGAGTGGAAAAGCCCCGGCACCTGAGTTTGGTGGGACAGGACAATGTTTGACCCACTGCCCAGGACTGGCTTTGTGGGTGTGCAACTTGTGCTCGTTGTGATGCTCTGCTAGTGTTGTCTTGAAGTTTTTTATTTGTATTTAGTTTTTTATTTTATTTTATTTTTATTTTTATTTGAGACGGTCTTGCTCCGTCTTTTCTTTTCTTTTTTTTTTCTTCTTACGAGACGGAGTCTCTCTCTGTCTCCCAGGCTGGAGTGCAGTGGCACAATCTCTGTTCAGTGCAACCTCTGCCTCCCGGGTTCAAGCAATTCTTCTGCCTCAGCATCCCTAGTAGCTGGGATTACAGGCTCCCGCCACCACGCCCAGCTAATTTTTGTGTTTTTAGTAGAGACAGATTTCTCCACGTTGGCCAGGCTTGTCTTGAACTCCTGACCTCAAATGATCTGCCCACATTGGCCTCCCAAAGTGCTGGGATTACAGACGTGAGCCACCGTGCCCAGTCAATTCTTAATTTTTGAAATGGTTCTCCCATCTCATTTTGCAACAAGGCCCACAAATCATGTAGCCACTACCCTTCCCTCACCCTATTAACTCCCACATGGAGTTCCTTCTCTAAGCTAGGCTGAAAGAGCTATGATCTTTTCATTGCTGTTTCCCATCTGTGCCTAGAAAATTGTATATTGATTATCATTGGACCAAAACTTTTTTCTCCCTTATCAATGCCCAACTTTATGAGTGCTCAGAACTTAATTACAAACATCAATCTACCTGGAGAACTTGAATTTTATTTCTTAGCTTTTCCTAGCTCTAAGAGTCTATCATTCTAATTTTCTTCTGGCTTGGATGTTAATTAATTCTGTAACTAGGTTTTTCGTTTGTTTTTTTTTTTTTTTTAATTTTTTTTTTTTTATTATACTCTAAGTTTTAGGGTACATGTGCACATTGTGCAGGTTAGTTACATATGTATACATGTGCCATGCTGGTGCGCTGCACCCACTAACGTGTCATCTAGCATTAGGTATATCTCCCAATGCTATCCCTCCCCCCTCCCCCGACCCCACCACAGTCCCCAGAGTGTGATATTCCCCTTCCTGTGTCCATGTGATCTCATTGTTCAATTCCCACCTATGAGTGAGAATATGCGGTGTTTGGTTTTTTGTTCTTGCGATAGTTTACTGAGAATGATGGTTTCCAATTTCATCCACGTCCCTACAAAGGACATGAACTCATCATTTTTTATGGCTGCATAGTATTCCATGGTGTATATGTGCCACATTTTCTTAATCCAGTCTATCATTGTTGGACATTTGGGTTGGTTCCAAGTCTTTGCTATTGTGAATAGTGCCGCAATAAACATACGTGTGCATGTGTCTTTATAGCAGCATGATTTATAGTCCTTTGGGTATATACCCAGTAATGGGATGGCTGGGTCAAATGGTATTTCTAGTTCTAGATCCCTGAGGAATCGCCACACTGACTTCCACAATGGTTGAACTAGTTTACAGTCCCACCAACAGTGTAAAAGTGTTCCTATTTCTCCACATCCTCTCCAGCACCTGTTGTTTCCTGACTTTTTAATGATTGCCATTCTAACTGGTGTGAGATGATATCTCATAGTGGTTTTGATTTGCATTTCTCTTGATGGCCAGTGATGATGAGCATTTCTTCATGTGTTTTTTGGCTGCATAAATGTCTTCTTTTGAGAAGTGTCTGTTCATGTCCTTCGCCCACTTTTTGATGGGGTTGTTTGTTTTTTTCTTGTAAATTTGTTTGAGTTCATTGTAGATTCTGGATATTAGCCCTTTGTCAGATGAGTAGGTTGCGAAAATTTTCTCCCATTGTGTAGGTTGCCTGTTCACTCTGATGGTAGTTTCTTTTGCTGTGCAGAAGCTCTTTAGTTTAATTAGATCCCATTTGTCAATTTTGGCTTTTGTTGCCATTGCTTTTGGTGTTTTGGACATGAAGTCCTTGCCCACGCCTATGTCCTGAATGGTAATGCCTAGGTTTTCTTCTAGGGTTTTTATGGTTTTAGGTCTAACGTTTAAATCTTTAATCCATCTTGAATTGATTTTTGTATAAGGTGTAAGGAAGGGATCCAGTTTCAGCTTTCTACATATGGCTAGCCAGTTTTCCCAGCACCATTTATTAAATAGGGAATCCTTTCCCCATTGTTTGTTTTTCTCAGGTTTGTCAAAGATCAGATAGTTGTAGATATGCGGCATTATTTCTGAGGGCTCTGTTCTGTTCCATTGATCTATATCTCTGTTTTGGTACCAGTACCATGCTGTTTTGGTTACTGTAGCCTTGTAGTATAGTTTGAAGTCAGGTAGTGTGATGCCTCCAGCTTTGTTCTTTTGGCTTAGGATTGACTTGGCAATGCGGGCTCTTTTTTGGTTCCATATGAACTTTAAAGTAGTTTTTTCCAATTCTGTGAAGAAAGTCATTGGTAGCTTGATGGGGATGGCATTGAATCTGTAAATTACCTTGGGCAGTATGGCCATTTTCACAATATTGATTCTTCCTACCCATGAGCATGGAATGTTCTTCCATTTGTTTGTGTCCTCTTTTATTTCCTTGAGCAGTGGTTTGTAGTTCTCCTTGAAGAGGTCCTTCACATCCCTTGTAAGTTGGATTCCTAGGTATTTTATTCTCTTTGAAGCAATTGTGAATGGGAGTTCACTCATGATTTGGCTCTCTGTTTGTCTGTTGGTGTATAAGAATGCTTGTGATTTTTGTACATTGATTTTGTATCCTGAGACTTTGCTGAAGTTGCTTATCAGCTTAAGGAGATTTTGGGCTGAGACGATGGGGTTTTCTAGATAAACAATCATGTCGTCTGCAAACAGGGACAATTTGACTTCCTCTTTTCCTAATTGAATACCCTTTATTTCCTTCTCCTGCCTGATTGCCCTGGCCAGAACTTCCAACACTATGTTGAATAGGAGTGGTGAGAGAGGACATCCCTGTCTTGTGCCAGTTTTCAAAGGGAATGCTTCCAGTTTTTGCCCATTCAATATGATATTGGCTGTGGGTTTGTCATAGATAGCTCTTATTATTTTGAAATACGTCCCATCAATACCTAATTTATTGAGAGTTTTTAGCGTGAAGGGTTGTTGAATTTTGTCAAAGGCTTTTTCTGCATCTATTGAGATAATCATGTGGTTTTTGTCTTTGGCTCTGTTTATATGCTGGATTACATTTATTGATTTGTGTATATTGAACCAGCCTTGCATCCCAGGGATGAAGCCCACTTGATCATGGTGGATAAGCTTTTTGATGTGCTGCTGGATTCGGTTTGCCAGTATTTTATTGAGGATTTTTGCATCGATGTTCATCAAGGATATTGGTCTAAAATTCTCTTTTTTGGTTGTGTCTCTGCCCGGCTTTGGTATCAGAATGATGCTGGCCTCATAAAATGAGTTAGGGAGGATTCCCTCTTTTTCTATTGATTGGAATAGTTTCAGAAGGAATGGTACCAGTTCCTCCTTGTACCTCTGGTAGAATTCGGCTGTGAATCCATCTGGTCCTGGACTCTTTTTGGTTGGTAAACTATTGATTATTGCCACAGTTTCAGAGCCTGTTATTGGTCTATTCAGAGATTCAACTTCTTCCTGGTTTAGTCTTGGGAGAGTGTATGTGTCGAGGAATGTATCCATTTCTTCTAGATTTTCTAGTTTATTTGCGTAGAGGTGTTTGTAGTATTCTCTGATGGTAGTTTGTATTTCTGTGGGATTGGTGGTGATATCCCCTTTATCATTTTTTATTGTGTCTATTTGATTCTTCTCTCTTTTTTTCTTTATTAGTCTTGCTAGCGGTCTATCAATTTTGTTGATCCTTTCAAAAAACCAGCTCCTGGATTCATTGATTTTTTGAAGGGTTTTTTGTGTCTCTATTTCCTTCAGTTCTGCTCTGATTTTAGTTATTTCTTGCCTTCTGCTAGCTTTTGAATGAGTTTGCTCTTGCTTTTCTAGTTCTTTTAATTGTGATGTTAGGGTGTCAATTTTGGATCTTTCCTGCTTTCTCTTGTAGGCATTTAGTGCTATAAATTTCCCTCTACACACTGCTTTGAATGCATCCCAGAGATTCTGGTATGTGGTGTCTTTGTTCTCGTTGGTTTCAAAGAACATCTTTATTTCTGCCTTCATTTCGTTATGTACCCAGTAGTCATTCAGGAGCAGGTTGTTCAGTTTCCATGTAGTTGAGCGGCTTTGAGTGAGATTCTTAATCCTGAGTTCTAGTTTGATTGCACTGTGGTCTGAGAGATAGTTTGTTATAATTTCTGTTCTTTTACATTTGCTGAGGAGAGCTTTACTTCCAACTATGTGGTCAATTTTGGAATAGGTGTGGTGTGGTGCTGAAAAAAATGTATATTCTGTTGATTTGGGGTGGAGAGTTCTGTAGATGTCTATTAGGTCCGCTTGGTGCAGAGCTGAGTTCAATTCCTGGGTATCCTTGTTGACTTTCTGTCTCGTTGATCTGTCTAATGTTGACAGTGGGGTGTTAAAGTCTCCCATTATTAATGTGTGGGAGTCTAAGTCTCTTTGTAGGTCACTCAGGACTTGCTTTATGAATCTGGGTGCTCCTGTATTGGGTGCATAAATATTTAGGATAGTTAGCTCCTCTTGTTGAATTGATCCCTTTACCATTATGTAATGGCCTTCTTTGTCTCTTTTGATCTTTGTTGGTTTAAAGTCTGTTTTATCAGAGACTAGGATTGCAACCCCTGCCTTTTTTTGTTTTCCATTGGCTTGGTAGATCTTCCTCCATCCTTTTATTTTGAGCCTATGTGTGTCTCTGCACGTGAGATGGGTTTCCTGAATACAGCACACTGATGGGTCTTTACTCTTTATCCAACTTGCCAGTCTGTGTCTTTTAACTGCAGAATTTAGTCCATTTATATTTAAAGTTAATATTGTTATGTGTGAATTTGATCCTGTCATTATGATGTTAGCTGGTGATTTTGCTCATTAGTTGATGCAGTTTCTTCCTAGTCTTGATGGTCTTTACATTTTGGCATGATTTTGCAGTGGCTGGTACCGGTTGTTCCTTTCCATATTTAGCGCTTCCTTCAGGAGCTCTTTTAGGGCAGGCCTGGTGGTGACAAAATCTCTCAGCATTTGCTTGTCTATAAAGTATTTTATTTCTCCTTCACTTATGAAGCTTAGTTTGGCTGGATATGAAATTCTGGGTTGAAAATTCTTTTCTTTATGAATGTTGAATATTGGCCCCCACTCTCTTCTGGCTTGTAGGGTTTCTGCCGAGAGATCCGCTGTTAGTCTGATGGGCTTTCCTTTGAGGGTAACCCGACCTTTCTCTCTGGCTGCCCTTAACATTTTTTCCTTCATTTCAACTTTAAATCTGACAATTATGTGTCTTGGAGTTGCTCTTCTCGAGGAGTATCTTTGTGGCGTTCTCTGTATTTCCTGAATCTGAACGTTGGCCTGCCTTGCTAGATTGGGGAAGTTCTCCTGGATAATATTCTGCAGAGTGTTTTCCAACTTGGTTCCATTCTCCACATCACTTTCAGGTGCACCAATCAGACGTAGATTTGGTCTTTTCACATAGTCCCATATTTCTTGGAGGCTTTGCTCATTTCTTTTTATTCTTTTTTCTCTAAACTTCCCTTCTCGCTTCATTTCATTCATTTCATCTTCCATCGCTGATACCCTTTCTTCCAGTTGATCGCATCGGCTCCTGAGGCTTCTGCATTCTTCACGTAGTTCTCGAGCCTTGGTTTTCAGCTCCATCAGCTCCTTTAAGCACTTCTCTGTATTGGTTATTCTAGTTATACATTCTTCTAAATTTTTTTCAAAGTTTTCAACTTCTTTGCCTTTGGTTTGAATGTCCTCCCGTAGCTCAGAGTAATTTGATCGTCTGAAGCCTTCTTCTCTCAGCTCGTCAAAATCATTCTCCATCCAGCTTTGTTCCGTTG
This sequence comes from Homo sapiens, assembly GCF_000001405.40. Classification (NCBI taxonomy): domain Eukaryota; kingdom Metazoa; phylum Chordata; class Mammalia; order Primates; family Hominidae; genus Homo; species Homo sapiens. Next base: position 536,690 of record NC_000018.10, on the reverse strand, counting down.
CTGGTGAGGAACTGCGTTCCTTTGGAGGAGGAGAGGCGCTCTGTGTTTTAGAGTTTCCAGTTTTTCTGTTCTGTTTTTTCCCCATCTTTGTGGTTTTATCTACTTTTGGTCTTTGATGATGGTGATGTACAGATGGTTTTTCAGTGTGGATGTCCTTTCTGGTTGTTAGTTTTCCTTCTAACAGACAGGACCCTCAGCTGCAGATCTGTTGGAATACCCTGCCGTGTGAGGTGTCAGTGTGCCCCTGCTGGGGGGTGCCTCCCAGTTAGGCTGCTCAGGGGTCAGGGGTCAGGCACCCACTTGAGGAGGCAGTCTGCCCATTCTCAGATCTCCAGCTGCGTGCTGGGAGAACCACTGCTCTCTTCAAAGCTGTCAGACAGGGACACTTAAGTCTGCAGAGGTTACTGCTGTCTTTTTGTTTGTCTGTGCCCTGCCCCCAGAGGTGGAGCCTACAGAGGCAGGCAGGCCTCCTTGAGCTGTGGTGGGCTGCACCCAGTTGGAGCTTCCCAGCTGCTTTGTTTACCTAATCAAGCCTGGGCAATGGCGGGCGCCCCTCCCCCAGCCTCGTTGCCGCCTTGCAGTTTGATCTCAGACTGCTGTGCTAGCAATCAGCGAGACTCCGTGGGCGTGGGACCCTCCGAGCCAGGTGTGGGATATAGTCTCGTGGTGCGCCGTTTTTTAAGCCGGTCTGAAAAGCGCAATATTCGGGTGGGAGTGACCCGATTTTCCAGGTGCGTCCGTCACCCCTTTCTTTGACTCGGAAAGGGAACTCCCTGACCCCTTGCGCTTCCCGAGTGAGGCAATGCCTCGCCCTGCTTCGGCTCGTGCACGGTGCGCGCACCCACTGACCTGCGCCCACTGTCTGGCACTCCCTAGTGAGATGAACCGCGTACCTCAGATGGAAATGCAGAAATCACCGTCTTCTGCGTCGCTCACGCTGGGAGCTGTAGACCGGAGCTGTTCCTATTCGGCCATCTTGGCTCCTCCTCTGTTTGTTTGTTTTTTTGAGACAGAGTCTTGCTCTGTCACCCAGGCTGGAGTGCAGTGGTATGACCTCTGCTCACTGCAACCTCCACCCCCCAGGTTCAAGCAATTCTCCTGCCTCAGCCTCCCGAGTAGCTGGGATTACAGGCACATGCCACCATGCTTGGCTAATTTTTGTATTCTTAGTAGAGACGGGGTTTCACCATGTTGTCCAGGCTGGTCTCAAACTCTTGACCTTTTGATCCACCCCATGCCTCGGCCTCCCAAAGTGCTGGGATTACAGGTGTGAGCCACTGCACCCAGCCCTGTAACTAGGTTATTTATAGTAACTTCTCAAAATTACTTTTAGAAAGCTTGAGAGACAAGTTTCTTTCACTATAAATGAAAATTAAAACGTTTATAAGGTTGTTCCTAAGGAAGATGTTTAAAACTTTTTTCTAAAACATGAATAAAACGTCAGGGATTCTCAACCTGGGCAACATAGTGAGACCCTATCTCTACAAAAACTAAAAATGAAAATAAAAATTAGCCGGGAGTGGTGGCACATGCATGTAGTCCTAGCTACGCAGGAGGCTGAGGCGGGAGGATTGCTTGAGCTTGGGAGGTCGAGGCTGCAATGAGCCATGAAGGCACCACTGCACTCCAGCCTTGGCGACAGAGTGAGACTCTATCTTTTAAAATAACAAAAAACAGGCCAGGCATGGTGGCTCATGTCTGTAATCCCAGCACTTTGGGAGGCTGAGGTGGGTGGATCACCTGAGGTCAGGAGTTCGAGACCAGCCTGGCCAACATGGCAAAACCCTGTCTCTACTAAAAATTCAAAAATTAGCCGGACATGGTGGTGGGTACCTGTAATCCCAGCTACTCAGGAGGCTGAGGCAGGAGAATCACTTGAACCTGGGAGGCAAAGGTTGCAGTGAGCCAAGATTGCGCCATTGCACTCCAGCCTGGGCAACAAGAGTGAAACTTCGTCTCAAAAGGAAAAGAAAAAAAAAAAAAACAGGGAGTCATTTAAATTTCAGTTGGCCAATTATAAAATTTTTCTTCTAATTATTCGCTTTTGGACAATCTTTATGGATAAAAGAAAGTTATTAGGAATACTAAAGCTAATGGAACTAGTAATAGATAACATGCCTGGTGTATACATTAACAATCATTTAATGTTAATATTGTTAAGATTTTTATTAGTTATCTTTAAGTCTTTAGTAACAAGGAACTGAGTTGCCGGTAACTAATCTCATGACTGGATGGGACCCAAAACAAATAAAAGGTAAAAATAAGCAAGCCAACACAAGAGACGAAATGCTCTTGTATAATTCCCAGTAAGTCTCAACCTCAGGCTCTTCTAAAGCAGGAAAGAAGTTGAGTTACTTCCCTCTCACATAACCCTGTGTTCTTTTCTCAATTTTGGAAAATAAGTGGCTTCAATCATTCACTTTAAGTTAAATGTGCTCATCCCTTCAGTAAATGTTTATCTTGGACTCCAAGGAACAGATTGCTGAAGTAGGTGCCAGGTGAGCAGAGAGGGGACCAGCTTCATCCTTGCCTTTGGGCAGCTCATTCTCCAGGAGGGAAGACTGAAACGTACACTAGCACCTCATCCACCAGATTGCGAGCTTTAACCGAGATATAAGTGTCTTTTTTTTTTTTCTGAGAGAAGGTCTGGCTTTGTTACCCAGGCTGCAGTGCAGTGGCACGATTATAGCTCAGTGCAGCCTCAACCTCCCAAACTCAAACAATCCTCCCACCTCAGCCTCCTAAGTAGCTGGGACTACGGCATGTGCCACCACGCCCAGCTTGAATCTGTCTTAGGCCATCTTTGCCTAGCACATGACTAGCACAGTGGACATAACTCAGTGTTCAATAAACATTCCATAACTGACTAATTAAATAAATGCATGCTCATGAGTGGGGTACTAATCAGCTTCTCTTTTTCTCATAAATAAGAGCTCCCTTTAGACAGCACCAATCAAAATATTGAACAAACAGCTTTCCGGGGAAAAGGTGTTTTGGAGGAAACCATACAGGTCTATATGTCAGCCTACATCAATCTGATCTTCTATACTCCAACTTTTTCATATTGTCTTCAAATAGGAAAGGAGTCATAACTAATGACTTAGATGTTACTGAGGTTTTCTGTTAGTAACATAAAAAATCTGAGACAACCTTAATTCAACAACTCAGGATTGGCTACAGACAATACAGGGCACACCTACGGTGGAATCCTATGCACCTACTACAAATCCCATTATGGAAATAGATTTGTGGGTGTGGAAACATTTATGATATGTATAGCACTAAGTGGAAAAAACGCATGTTACAACCTAGGTCTCCTAACAGCTTTGAGTATCATTTGAATGCTATCACAATTGTGGATCTCAAGGAATCATGGACTCTGACAGATATTTCATGTCTTTGTTGGTGTTCCTGCCCTAGACTGCAACTGCTCGCTCTATCCTGAGTTTCAGGATGAGATTGATGATAAAACAGATGAAATACTTAGGCCCTAAAGACAGAGTACTAAATTTAAGAGGAGACTTTGGGTGAATGTATCCAGACTGGCCATGATGCTTCCAGGCTGAGCCAGGAAGCACCATCTGAGCAAATAGACTCTCCCAGAATCATTTTATGGCATTAACTTCACACTTAGGAGTTTATTACTTGAACCAGATCATTTCTGTTGCCATGCATAAATTTGTGTGTGCACCTTTGACCCTAAAATACAAGTGTGAGCATGCAATGGAAGACAGCAGTTGGCCCAAGACTCCAGAGTTCAAGCCCTGCCTCTGCCACTTAATAGACAGGTGGCCCAATGGAAGACACTCACTTTCTTAGCCTTATTGTTTGTATAAGTAATAATAGGAGTCATACATAGCCAGCTGGCCTAATGCCTAGGCTGAGTCCCATATGGGAAAGTGTGCTTCTACAGTGCAGACTTTATACATGTCTAAGGTGTTACTGTCATCAGATGGTGGTGGAGAATGTCTGGGTATTGGGAGCCCTGGTTTTAATTCCTACTTTAGTTGTATATCAACTGGAGACAATCACAAAAGCTCCTCAGGCCTGTTGACTCAATGGTCAAACGCAGAGATTTGCGTAGGGATTTGCTAGATATACTTCTGATATGAAAATTCTATTATGTTGGAAAATAATCTCTGATGTTTCACTCTTGTTTTTAGTTTTCTCATATAATAAAAGATTGAGTCTTGGATTTGGCTTTATGGAACTATATGTGAGCGTGCTTATGCAGAGGGGTTACTGGGGAGGAGGAGAGAGGAGAAGGGGAAATGGTCAAGAGGAAGGGGAGAGGAAATTGGAAAGAGGAAGAGGGATAAGATGTTACAACAGGCATTGTAGATTGGGAAAACAGACCACCTGGAACTGAAGGCCCCTGATTATGTGCTCTGAGGAAACAGGAGCCCAGGGACAGGGCGGATGTCGATGCTTTGACAAGCCCTGCTCTGGTCGTGAGTGAATCATCAGACTCACCTGCCTCCATCCCCAGCCCCACCCCACGCTGCTTCTGCTGTGCCAAGTATTCCTGATTTGGGTGTGGTCTTCTGCTTTCTCAACTTGTTTCTCTGAGAAAAATGACTTATCTAATTTAGGCACAATGACTTTGATAAGTGAAGAATTCCTTGGGAGTAATTACAGACAAATCCACATTAAACTATGGATAATTTTCTATTGAAATGGATTTCTTTCTACTGTTCTCAATTAAGATTCTGTCTTCTGGGACTCAGCTTCAAAGGTTGTATTTTTCTCCTTGTGGTTGCCAGAGACATTGTGTTACAATGACCATCTGGACACCAGAAGACCTGATTGCATCTAGCTCAGTCCTCCAGGCAAGACAGTAGGACAACAGAGATTGCATTATTTGGTCAAGGGAGGTCAGATATGTCAGGCAAGGCTAAAAATTTGACTTCTTAGCATTTTTTTGTTATTATTATTTTAATTGAGACAGAGTCTCGCTCTGTCACCCAAGCTAGAGTGCAGTGGTGCAGTCATTGCTCATGGCAACCTCAACCTCCTGGGCTCAAGCGATCCTCCCACCTCAGCCTCCTAAGAAGCTGGGACCACAGGTATGCACCACCATGCCCGGCTAGTTTTTGTATTTTTTTGTAGAGACAGGGTTTGCCATGTTGCCCATGCTGGTCTCGAAATCCTGGGCTCAAGCGATTCCCCTGCCTCGGTCTTCCAAAGTGCTAGGATTACAGGTGTGAGCCACTGCACCTGGCCTTATCAGCACTTCTTTTTGGTCTGAATCATTTTGGACAGTTAACTTAGTTCTCTGTTTCATCTTCTAAGACACATGTTCTGAGAAAAGAAATAAAGTCCCAAAATTAAATTTACAAAACATATCACTCTAGGGAGGTCCTTTCCATTTTTAAAAGGGAGAAAGCTGGAGATCCTGGAGGAATAGCTCCCAGGATTAAGTGCTGGGGAGGACCTTGCTTTTCAAGGGAGGATTTGGAAGTCCAGAGAGGTTGGGGGACTTGCCTACAGCCTTCGGTTTGCTCAAGGCCAAGCCAGCAAGCAGCATGACTCCCAGTATATTCTTTTTGTCTTAAATTTTTTTTTACCGTGAGAGACACATAAAATTTATTATCTTACCTTTTTTTTGTTTTGTTTTGTTTTTTGAGGCAGAATCTCACTCTGTCACCAGGCTGGAGTGCAGTGGTGTGATTTTTTGTTTGTTTGTTTTTGTTTTGAGACAGGGTCTTGCTCTGTCACCCAGACTAAAGTGCAGTGGCACAATCATAGCTCACTGCAGCCTCAAACCTCTGGGCTCAAGCAATTCTCCTGCCTCAGCCTCCCAAGTAGCTAGAGCTACTGGCGAGCAGCACTACATTCAGCTTTAACCTTTTTTAAGTGTACTGTTCAGTGGTATTAAATACACTCATGACGTGCAGCCATCACCGCAATCCATCGCCACAGCTCTTCATCTTGTAAAATTGCAACTCTGTGCCCATTAAACACTAACTCCACACTCTCTCCTCCTCGCCCTAGTCCCTGGCAACCATTCCACTTCCTGTCTCTATGAGTTTGATGACTCTAGGTACCTTCTGTAAATGGAACCATATAGTATTTGTCTTTCTGTGACTGGCTTTATTGCTTAGAATAATGTTCTCAGAGTTCACCCATGTTGTAAAATATCTCAGAATTTTCTTCCTTTTTAAGGCTGAATAATATTCCCTGGTATGTATAGATCATGTTTTGCTTATCCATTCATCAGATGAACACCTGGGTTGCTTCTGTGTTTTAGCTATGGTAGTAGCTCATTCTTTTTTCCTACCACATGGCAAAGCCTGTTGGGTTAAAAAGAATTTTGAGCCTGAAAACATAACACGTCACAGGTAGTGCTATGGAAAGACATCACCAAGTCAATCTGACTGCATCTAAACAAGCCTTTGTACTGAAGTCTGAAGAAATAAGCGCAAAAAGAGATAATCCAAAAGATACCCATTTCAAGAGAATGCAACCTCTAAGAACAGATTATTACCCTACAAAAGGACATCTATTGAAGAAGCTGCAAAATTGAGTGGTAAGGCCGGGTGTAGTGGCTCATGCCTGTAATCCCAGCACTGTGGGAGGCTAAGGCAGGCGGATCATCTGAGGTCAGAAGTTCGAGCCCAGCCTGGCCAACATGGCAAAACCCCATCTCTACTAAAAATACAAAAATTAGCCAGGCATGGTGGTGCACTTCTGTAGTCCCAGATACTAAGTAGACTGAGGCAGAAGAATCGCTTGAACCTAGGAGGTGGAGGTTGCAGTGAGCAGAGATTGCCCCACTGCCCTCCAGTCTGGGTGACAGAGTGAGACTCCGTCTCAAAAAAAAAAAATTTGAGTGGTAAAAAGTGTGAACTCCAATGGGATTTAAGTTCTGATCCTCTGTCATCCCATCAAATCCCTCAAGCCTTAGTGTCTACATCTCCAAAATGAGGGGAATAATAATATCTACCTTATTGGACCCGAGGTTAAATGACATTAAATACATGTAGAGTGTTTTGCATAGTGCCCGGCACATTATACATGCTTAATAGACATTCACTATTACTATAATTCTAGTTATTAATTTATAGGGTAACCAAATTTCTTCATTGCACAATTTTTCTTTATTTTTATTTTTTGAGACGGAGTTTCACGCTTGTTCACCCAGGATGGAGTGTAATGGTGCAATCTCGGCTCACCGCAACCCCGGCTTCCTGGGTTCAAGCCATTCTCCTGCCTCAGCCTCCCGAGTAGCTGGGACTACAGGCGCGCGCCACCTCGCCCGGCTAATTTTTTGTATTTTTAGTAGAGATGGGGCTTCACTGTGTTAGCCAGGATGGTCTCGATCTCCTGAGCTCGTGATCCACCCACCTTGGCCTCCCAAAGTGCTGGGATTACAGGCATGAGCCATCCCACCTGGCCAGAGCCCTTGATTTTGAAGCAAACTCCTGTCCCAACAGGAAGTTTCCTAAAATTTCACCTAGAGTAGAAACTGAACTTAGGGTTCAATCTGCCCTGGGCCTTTAGGAATCAGGAACGTGGTAATGAAGCAGCACTGTGGTCTGGGGTAAATACCTGAGATTCGTGGTCTCATGGCCACGGAAAACTAGGACGCCGGCACACAAAGAATGAGGTTCAGAGCAGAAGTTTAACAGGCAAAAGAAAGAGCTCTCTGAACAGAGAGGGGCCCTGGAGAAAATGGATTGCCACTTCTGCAGTGAAATGCAGGTTTTATAAATGAGCTTGAGGAGGCGGTGTCTGATTTACATAGGGCACAAAAGATTGGTTGGACCAGGTGTGCCATTTGCACAGCACGTGAAGAAGCTGGGCGTCCCACCCTAATCTCTTATTATTTATTTATTTATTTATTTATTTATTTATTTGAGACTGAGTTTCGCTCTTTTTGCCCAGGCTGGAGTGCAATGGCGTGATCTCTGCTCACTGCAACCTCCGCCTTCAGGGTTCAAGCAATTCTCCTGCCTCAGCCTCCCAAGTAGCTGGGATTACAGGCATGCACCACCACCCCGGCTAATTTTGTATTTTTAGCAGAGACGGGGTTTCTCCATGTTGGTCAGCCTGGTCTTGAACTCCCGACCTCAGGTGATCCACCAGCCTCAGCCTCCCAAAGTGCTGGGATTACAAGCATGAGCCACTGCACCAGGACCCCTAATCTCTTATTATGCAGATGAGTTCTCTACTTGGTAGATGCTATGTTACCTGGTTCTTTACTATACACGTGGTGACAAAGAAAAGGGAGGATGGAGCCTCCATGTTGAATATACCTGGCCCTCAGGTAGCCCTTTTTTATTGGCACAGCTGCTGGCATTTACCCATGCAAGCTTCCAGCTTGCTTATCTATGTCTGCAGTTCGATTTTTCAGGCTACTCTTTGTTAGAAAATAAATGATCCAGCAGCTGCTTTTTTTAAAAAAGGGAAATTCCGCAGAGGGCTCTGTTGCCCTTACTATCTGCCTAAATAATTTCTTTCTAGCTCCTGTATCAGTAACCCCTGTCTAAGAGGTAAGGGAGGGTAGTAAAGAACAACCTCATCGGTCTAGATATTCATGGGACTCATACCCCTCAAGAGGCCAACACTATCAATAACCATAACTAATTTGGGACTGCAGATTATTAGAGTGCACTGTTAGACAACAATAGAAGGCTTTAGTGGAGAGATCATTGAATAAGTCAGTAGTGTAGACACAGGCAGTTGAACTGATCACAAAGATGAGGCCCTTTAAAAAACATCTGAAAGACTGATACTTGACAATAGCAGGCATTTATTGAGAGATCACTGTGTTTTAAGTACCTTCCATAAATCATTTCATTTAATCATCACAACAGTTCTATAAGGGAGGTATTATTGCCCTGATTCTTTGATGAATGTGAAATTCAGAGAGTTTAAGCAAATTGTTCAATGTCACTCAGCTAAACAAATGGCATAGCAGGAATTCAAATTCACGTGCATGACTGCAAAGCCTATTCTCTGCACCCCTACACCAGAGGATCCACAGCTAGGGTCTCCAGCTGAGCATCCACAGTGTGATGGAATAACATGTCGATAGACTTATTCAAATAACAACTTTGTTGACAGCCAGGCAGCAGAATAGTGAGGTACTTGTACTTTAATCACTTCAAATGTGCCACCCCCAAATCTATATTCAGCAGTGTTCAGCAAACACAAAAAATTGAGAACCACCTCTATATGCTATGAACAACAACAAAAAACTCAGGTTACTCTCTTGGAAGATCCAGAAACTGCATTAACAGTTGCCAAAGGGAATTTCAACTAAATGAATATCTGTTCTTTAAAGAGGTCAGGAAATAAGATTAAGAACACTTACACATTCTTGAGATAGTCCTTGCTTGGTATGTTTTCTTAAGAACCAGTGTAATTTTACTTTATCAGGAAGATTATGGCTCTGTTGAAATACTGTTAAAGTGGCAGTATAAAGGTTTCAAATGTTTTTTTAGCAACGGTAAGTTTACTATATATAAAAACATGAATCAGGAAAGGAAGGAGGAGAAATGACTGTTTTTATGCCCTAAAAAAAAAAATCAGAAAAATTTTCAAACTTACTAATATTTCAATGAGACAACCATTTTCTTCTCTCTCTCTCTCTCTCTCACACACACACACACAAACACATACACAGGTATACACACAGAGGATCTTTGAAAATTCTTACTTGTAAAATATGAGTTACAGTGGGGAATAATGCACATTTAATTGGTGAAACTTACGTGACTCTCCTTTTTTTTTTTTTTTTAAGAGACAGAGTCTTACTCTGTGGCCCAGGCTGGAGTGCAGTGCTATGATCATAACTCACTGCAGCCTAAGTAGCCTACAGTGTAAGTCACTGTGCCTCACTCCTCTATTAAGCTTATAGTTTTGTAGCTGATATGGTTTAGATTTGTGTCCCCACCCAAATCTCATGTCGAACTGTAATCCCCAGTGCTGGAGGAGGGGGCCTGGAGGGAGGTGATTGGCTCATGGGGGTGGATTTTCCCCTTGTTCTCATGATAGTGAGTGAATTCTCCCGAGATGTGGTTGTTTGAAAGTGTATAGCACCTCCCTTCTTGCTCTCTCTCCGTCCTTCTCTGGCCACGTAAGACGCGCCCGCTTCCCCGTTGCCTTTTGTCATGATTGTAAGTTTCCTGAGTCGTCCCCAGCCCTGCTTCCTATACAGCTTCCAGAACTGTGCATCAATTAAACCTCTTTTCTTGATAAATTACCCAGTCTCAGGTAGTCCTTTATAGTGATGCGAGAACAGACTAATGCAGTAGCTATCATAGAACTAAAATTGTATTTAAGGCTCAAGATAAAAGCAACCAGAATTTAAATTTTATGATTAGAAAAAACTCTGTGCAGGCCGGGCACGGTGGCTCACGCCTGTAGTCCCAGCACTTTGGGAGGCCGAGGCGGGCGGATCACGAGGTCAGGAGATCGAGACCATCCTGGCTAACAAGGTGAAACTCCGTCTCTACTAAAAATACAAAAAAATTAGCCAGGCATGGTGGTGGGCGCCTGTAGTCCCAGCTACTCGGGAGGCTGCGGCAGGAGAATGGCGTGAACCCGGGAGGCGGAGTTTGCAGTCAGCTGAGATCGCACCACTGCACTCCAGCCTGGGTGACAGAGCGAGACTCTGTCTCAAAAAAAAAAAGAAAAGAAAAAACTCTGTGCATATATATGAGGATCAATAAAGTATGTCTAATGAGCACTACAATATTCAATATTACTCTTTTGAAAGAAAATGAATATTCACCATGAAGAATCAAATGAGATCTCAACTATCTTTGTGACTAACAGACAGAAAATGGTCAAAACAATTCATTTTGGCAATCCACACCAGCCAATTGCAGTTCACACTTTCTCATAATTTTCCCTGCCCAGCAAAGAAACTAGAGCACAGCTGTCCATAGACATGCTGTACCTACTTCCCACAAACCCCACAATGAGTCTCTGCAACTCAGAAAGCACAGGCAGGGTTAAAAGCAAACTGTCTGAGGTCAGATAGCCATGAGTTTGAATCCTGGTTCTGTCCCTGATCACTTGTGGTGCTTGGAGCAAGTTACTTAACTTCTCAGAGCTTGAGTTTCCTTATCTGTAAAATGGGGACGATCATAGTAACAACCATGTTCACAGGGCAGTCAGTGGAGTGTTTGCTCATGGGACATGATCAGTCAATGTTAGCTAGCGATCCTTACTACTCCCAGAGGGTGAGAACCTGGAAGGGTGTGTGTTTGATACATTTTTTTATTTTCCAAAGTACCCAGAGAAGGGCCTCAGCCACAGAAGGGGCTGTATAAAGGCTTACTGAATGAGTGCTGGCTGCCCTCTATAGCTTGCTGGTGGTAACCATAGACACAGTATAGATTGGATCTGAGCATGAGAAGGAAAGGGGTTTGGTTAAGGCCAGTTTGTCCTCCCTGACCTCCATTATAAGTGGGTTGGGGTTTGCTTTCCCTGGAAGATGGCTCATTTCCTTTCCATGGACTCACTTTGTAGTTGTTCACACTACTCTGACTCACGACTCATAAATCATAGACTCTACACGCGGGGACACCAGTTGTTTTTTGTTTTGTTTTGTTCGTTTTGTTTTGTTTTAAGAAACAGGGTCTTGCTCTGTCACCCAGGCAGGAGTGCAGTGGTGCAATCACAGCTGAGTGCAGTAGTGTGATCACAGCTCACTGCAGCCTTGAACTCCTGGGCTCAAGTGATCCTCCCACCTCAGCCTCCCAAGGAGCTGGGATTACAGGCATATGCCACCATACCTGACTAGTTTTTTGTTTGTTTGTTTGCTTGTTTTTTGTAGAGATAAGGGCTTGCTATGTTGCCCAGGGTGGTCTCAAACTCTTGGGCTCAAGCAATTCTCCTGCCTCAGCCTTCCAAAGTGCTGTGATTACATATGTGAGCCACTGCACCCAGCCCTCACTGGGTCTTATGTGTCTTTGGGGCCAACCTCTCACTAGCTTCAATGACCTATGAATAATTAACTGGGAAGCTCCCTCTTCCCCTTTAAAAAAAAAAAGTCTCTTGCTATAAATCTACCAAACATAGCTGGATAGATGCCCTCAAAATCCAAAGAGCTTGCTCACATACACAGACCTGTAAAAAAGAAAGCCAAATTCCAAAAATAATCTGCACAAACTGATTTTTATTTCCACTTTTTCTTTCCTTGAGCTCCAGTTTCACATTGCTGCCCTTCTTAGAAGCTAGTTCTCACTGGTCATTATAGAAATTATATGTCTGGTAAAATCATTACACATTTCATTTAGAAAGTGAGACGAAAAATACTTCCTTCTGAGGTGGTACAAGTTCCATTTACGGCCAAACATTGAGAGGCCAGCCTCGCTTCTCATAAAATCCAATCCTCTTTTTTCCTTAGATGACTTTTCCTCATTCTTCGGGATTTCATGTCAATGCCACTTCCTCCTGGAAGCCTTTTCTAATACATAAAAACTGCTAAGAGTCCTATGCATTGTCTTAGTCTCTTTACATGCATTATCTCATTTAATCCTGAAACTAACCTGAGGAGTAACTTGCTATCATTATCTCTATTTCATAGTTGAAGAGGCAGAGTACAGGGCCAGAAGGTAAGTTGGCAGAACTGGCATTCACACACAGGTGGTATGACTTCAGAGCTCTTACTCCTAAGTGCTACACTATCCTATTTTCCAAAGTACTACTTGCTCTCAAAGCACTCTTTTTCTTCTTTCTTTTTCTTTTTCTTCTATCACAGCACTTGTAGTAAACGTTAGTGGGGTTCTAGCCCATCCCCCATCTCCCGCCCCTTTCCTAACACCTTTCTATTTCAATCTGGTTACACAATCTCCACCCCTGGCCCTAAGGGTGAAACACATGATATAGGCTAAGCCCATCGACATATTTCCTCCCATTGTGCACAGTGATTGGTTGGGGTAGGGATATGCCCTAGGCTGACCCAATCAGAATTCATCTTGAGACTTTAGTCAGGATGCCGGGAATGGGAGGCAGATTCCTTATTCCTTGCTATATGTGAATCACATAGCTTTAGGAGTTGCTGCAGCCATCTTGGGATTATAGACAAATGTGATGACAAAAGAGCTTGTCATGGAACCAGAGCTGAGAAATAAAGAGAAAAAAGTGCTTGATCTTGTCACATGCTTTGAGCTGCCTGGAACAAATCTTCCTGAAGCCATCCTACGTGTGAACTTCACAGGTATATGTAAATTTCCTTTGTTGTTAACCCAGTTGGAATTGGGTGTTCTGTTTCTTGCACTCAGAAGCTTCTTAACTTACTAGCATTTACACATGGTATTTTTCTGGATTTTTTTTTTCCAGACAGAGTCTCACTCTGTGGCCCAGGCTGGGTTACAGTGGCACAATCTCATCCCACTGCAACGTCCACCTCCGGGGTTCAAGCCATTCTTCTGCCCCAGCCTCCGGAATAGCTGGGATTACAGGTGCCCACCACCATGCCTGGCTAATTTTTTGTATTTTAGTAGAGACGGGGTTTCACCATGTTGCCCAGGCTAGTCTCGAACTCCTGACCTCAAGTGATCCACCCGCCTCGGACTCCCAAAGTGCTAGGATTACAGGCGTGAGTCACTGCCCCCGGCCTTTTCTTGATTGTTTAATTGTTTTTTCTCCCCGGTAAACACTAAGATCCTTGAGGGTGGGAACCACCACTGTCTTGTCACAATTGTGTTCCCAGTGCTTGGTACCTGGTAGGGGTTGCATGAATATATGTCAAATGAGTGAAATGAATGAACGGCAGATTTTCTTGGGCGGTGAGTGACCTGAACCACACTTTCAGTTTGCTTAGATTTCATGTCATTTACAGGTGCTTGAAATCTCCAACTGGAACCTGAAAACTGTGGGGTAGCCAAACCAGGCAAAGAGATTGAAAGGAATTTTCCGATTTCCAAACTATTTCAGTTGTACTACATTAGCTAAGATCTCCATTGAATGGATTTTTAAATCCTTAAAACAAGAATACCACAAAGTCCAAACAACTGCAAATGAAAGACTCCCATTGGAATAAAACCATAATCAAGTACTTTAAACAAAAATATAAATACTACATTAAAATGTCTAAAGTAATTACGTACAATATAAACTTGCAGTAACATACCTTTTACCTGATGGTCTTCATCTGTGTTTTATCTTTAGCCGAAAAAAACAACAACAACAACAAAGAAAAAGCCCCCAAACCAGGATAAACTGGAAACATTTATTAAAGCAACCATCAATTTTACTGCCATCATATTTTGAGGCCTGAAACATCAAAGATTTACTGATGTTATCTATAAATAATAATTTTTACATGAGTTACAGTTAAACTATACATTCAAAGCATAACAATGGCAGGAGGAGCCTGGAAGAACTCTTACAGGTCATCCAGTCTAACTCCTTAATTTACCCAAGAGAAGACAGAAGACCTAGTGGAGGCCAGGCACGGTGGCTCACCCCTGTAATCCTAGCATTTTGGGAGGCTGAGGTGGGCAGATCACTTGAGGTCAGGAGTTCGAGACCAACCTGGCCAACATGGTGAAACCCCGTCTCCACTAAAACTACAAAAATTACCCAGGCATGGTGGCATGCACTGGTAGTCTCAGCTACTTGGGATGCTGAGGCAGGAGAATGGCTTGAACCTGGAAGGTGGAGGTTGCAGTGAGCCAAGACTGCGTCACTACACTCCAGCCTGAGCAACAGAGCGAGACTCTGTCTCCAAAAACAAAAACAAAAACAAACAAACAAACAAACAAACAAACAAAAACAACAGAAGACCTAGTGGGAAAGATTTACCTGTGTTTCATTCAACCTAACAATACAACAAGCGTTCACTGGGTCATGCTGTATGTGAGATTTGGTGTTAGATATTGAAAAATAAGGCCGGGCATGGTGGCTCACGCCTGTAATCCCAGCACTTTGAGAGGCCGAGGCGGGTGGATCACGAGGTCAGGAGATTGAGACCATCCTGGCTAACACAGTGAAACCCCATCTCCACTAAGAATACAAACAATTAGCTGGGTGTGGTGGTGGGCGCCTGTAGTCCCAGCTACTCGGGAGGCTGAGGCAGGAGAATCGCTTGAACCCAGGAGGCAGAGCCTTGCAGTGAGCTGAGATTGCGCCACTGCTCTCCAGCCAGGGCGACAAAGTGAGACTCTGTCTCAAAAAAAAAAAAAAAATAAACAAACAAACAAACAAAAAGAAAAAGAAAAGGATATAAAAAGATAGGTTACAACCTAGTTGGGAAAAGAAAGGTATGCAGACACATGCCGTGTAGTGTGATATATTCTATCATCGAGGTGTAAAATCAGATTCTTCAGGCCAGGCACAGTGGCTCATTCCTGTAATCCCACCACTTTGGGAGGCTGAAGCGGGCAGATAGCTTGAGCCCAGGAATTCAAGACCAGCCTAGGCAGCATGGTGAAACCCTGTCTCTACAAAAAATGCAAAAAAAAAAAAAAAAAAAAAGCCAGGCATGGTGGTGAGCGCCTGTAGTCCAAGCTGCCAGGGAGCCTCAGGTACGAGGATTACCTGAGCCTGGGAGGTTGAGGCTGCAGTGATCTGTGATGGCACAACTGCACTCCAGCCTGGGCAACAGAGCAAGACCCTGTCTCAAAAAATAAATAAATAATAAGTAAATAAAACAAAAAAGCAAATGAAGGATGAGGGATCAGTCAATTGGAGGCAGTTCATGGAAATTATTTTCTGAATAGGTGGTTTCTGAGTCTTGAACATTTGCCAGATGAGCCATGGGCAGGGGAGGAATGGGGACTAGAGCCAGAAACAGGCTGATAGAGCTCGGAAATTGTCAATAGATTTGTTTTGTTAAAGCCAAGGGCAAGATAGCCAGAGTTGAGGCTGAGAGAGAATCAGGCCACAACCGTGCCTGTCCTTCCCTCTATGCCACACAAAGGGCTTTGGACTTTTTCTGTAGCTGAGAACTTTCAGGCTGTGGACTCATAGAATAAGATGTGCATGAACTTACTTCACAGATGGGATGAACACGTGCGTGGAGGGGAGTTGGTGGTCAAATGGGATGCAGATACATATGGAAGGTGAGAGAAAAGAATAAATGAGGATTCTGACTTCAGCAAATGAAAAGAGGATGGGAATATTAACCAGAATACAGAATCCAGAAAGTAGTGGTTTTATGGAAAGACATGATTAGAATTTCAGTTTTGTTTTGAGTATATGAAATTCAAGTGTTTGGTGAACCTGCAAGTAGAAATTCCAGGGGAATTCTGGTTGGAATAGCATTGTGAGTTCATGAGTTCATGCAATACACTCCCCCTTTCCACCTGAAACACACAACCTGACGGCGAAAATATACTCAGAAAAACTGAAAAGACATTTACATCTCAGAAGGAAAGTGACTCACGCCTGTAATCCCAGCACTTTGGGAGGCCAAGGTGGGTGGATCACGAGATCAGGAGATCGAGACCATCCTGGCTAACACGGTGAAACCCCGTCTCTACTAAAAATACAAACAATTAGCCGGGTGTGGTGGCGGGCGCCTGTAGTCCCAGCTACTCAGGAGGCTGAGGCAGGAGAATGGCGTGAACCCGGGAGGCGGAGCTTGCAGTGAGCCGAGATTGTGCCCCTGCACTCCAGCCTGGGCGACAGAGTGAGACTCTGTCTCAAAAGAAAAAAAGCAAGGTGAACAGAGCATTGGACTACATACAGAAGAGAAAGACAAGCAAGACTGAAGCTGTGACCTGCTGCGTCCAGGTGTGGAACTAGGTGGACATGGAGTTGGTGTCCTGTGGGGTGATGAGGACTAAAAGAACCCTAGGCAAGGCAGAAACTAAGCGAGCCAAGCTGACCCTTACTCCTGCATCAATGGAAACTGAGAAAAGCTTCAAGCTTCAACCACCTGCCACCTGGGCCTCCACCTATGTGAGCTTCATACCTAGAGAGAGAGAAAGATGCAAACACAGCTCACACCCAGTACTTGGGCCAACACACACTCTGGCTGGAGGACTATTCCCTCTATAACCGGCGATAGGACATGAAGAATCCACGTAAGACTTAGCTCTGGACACAAGGCCCAGGAGGCCTGCAGGAAGGTTTCTGAAATGTACTAACAGGCAGTGATAAGCACAGAGAAGAGGAAACAAACAAAAACTCTCACATTCAAAATAAACCTGCAAACCAAATATCTCCAAACATGAAGAAAACTAAATAAAGTATAAGGCATTAGTTGGCTATGGCCACAACAACGCTGTGTAACAAAATTCAGAAGCTTCAACTGTTATAACTGTTTACTCTCAGGAACATGGGGCTGCTGGCAGGCTGTCACTTCGCTGGGTTTGGCTGGACTCCAGGCTTTAGCACAGCCTCTGGGCTGTAGGCCCTAGGCCCCAGGTTGGCTTCAATTCTGGCCCATGGGTGTCTGTCTCATCCCTCTGGGACCAAATGCTACCAGGCCACGTGGTCTGCTTCACATTTCTCATTCGGGGGCCCAGGCTCTGGGGACAGCAGTTGTTCATATCCCCCTCGTGACAGATCATCAGAGAACAGGAGGGAGAGCCCAACAGCAAGGCATATTTCACGTCGCTCCAAATAGGCCTGTGAGACAGAAGAAAACCAAGCTGTTTCCTCCTCTCTACTCTCACACAGTGACTCAACACTTTTGACACCAGATATGTGGGGGATTTTCCTCACACACCAAGCAACCAATTCTTCAGCAGATTCTCCAGCGGACACTAGCTAGGTTTCCTCTAATTTAATTCAATTCTGACATTTTCTACCAAGATAGCAATAGATCCCACGGGTTGGGGACTCAGTCCCGCAGGACTGCCCCCAACTTCAGAAGCCAATCGCAAGCCCCAGACGTAGCCAGTGCTTCTGACCTATCAGCTATAAATCAGGGTTCCCGTGCCCTCTTCCTCAGGTTTTATTAATTTGCTAGAGCTGCTTACAGAACTCGGGGAAACACTTTACTCACACTTACCAGTTTATTGTAAAGAATAGGACAAGGCTACAGATGAACAACCAGATGCAAGAGATTCACAGGGCAAGGCACGTGAGTAGGAGCCCGGAGCTTCCATGCCCTCTCCAGGGCACTGCCCTGCAGGAACCTCCAAATGTTCAGCTATCTGGAACCTCCCCCATCACGCATCCCCAACCCACCCGCTTTTTGGGTTTTTATGGAGGCGTCATCACCTAGGCACAATTGCTTAAATCATTGGCCACTGGTGATCAACTTAACCTTCAGCCCCTCTCGCCTGCCCAGAGATTGGAAGTAGGGCTCAATGTCCCAACCCTGTAATCCTGTCTTGGTCTTTCTGGTGACCAGCCCCTATCCTGAAGCTACCCAGGGGCCCCCAGCCACCAGTCATCTCATTTGCATACAAAAGATACTCTTATCACTCCAGAGATTCCAGGGATTTTAGCAGCTGTATGCTAGGAAACAGGATGAAGACCAAATGTGTATTTCACAATATCATGATGGTCAAAGCAAGTAATATGGACAAGCCCAAAGCCGAGAAGCAGGAAATGACTCCACCCAGCATGAGGCCAAAATAAAGGTGTGAAAATATACAGTCACTTGGAGCTTAGTGAAGGGGGTATGCTTTAAGAAACGCATCCTTGGGCCAGGTTCTGTGGCTCACGCCTGTAATCCCAGCACTTTGGGAGGCCGAGGTGGGTGGATCATGAGGTCAGGAGATCGAGACCATCCTGGCTAACACGGTGAAACCCTGTCTCCACTAAAAAATACAAAAAAATTAGCCGGGCATGGTGGCGGGCGCCTGTAGTCCCAGCTACTCGGGAGGCTGAGGCAGGAGAATGGCGTGAACCCGGGAGGCGGAGCTTGCAGTGAGCCGAGATTGCGCCACTGCACTCCAGCCTGGGCGACAAAGCGAGACTCCTTCTCAAAAAAAAAAAAAGAGACACATCCTTAGGAGATTTTGTCATTGTGAGGTCATCATAGAGTGTACTTACACAATTCTAGATGGTATAGCCTACTACACACACAGGCTATATGGTATAGCTTATGGTTCCCAGGTTACAAACCTGAACAGCATGTTACTGTACCGAATACTGTAGGCAATTTTAACACAGTGGTATTTGTATCTAAATATATCTAAAGACAGAAAAAGTTAAAAATATATAGAAGTATATATTTTTATACTTTCATACAATATAAAAGATTTTTTTTTAAATGGTACACCTGAATAGGTTACTTAACATGAATAAAGCTTGCAGGACTGGAAGTGGCTCTGGGTGAGTCAGTGAGTGAGTGGTGAGTGAATGTGAAAGCCTAGGACATTACTACATATTCCTGTAGACTTTATAAATATTGTATGCTTAGGCTACACTAAATTTATTTAAAATTTTTGTCTTTCTTCATAATAATAAGTTAACCTTAGTTTACTATAACTTTTTATAAAACTTTTTAATTGTTTTTAACTTTTTGACTCTTGTAAATCACTTGGCTTAAAACATAAATCTTGTACAGCTGTACACAAATATTTTCTTTTTATATCTCTATTCTATAGGCCTTTTTATATTTTTAAATTTTTATTTTGTTTACTTTTTAAGCTTTTTTGTTAAAAACAAAGACATACACACAGTCACGCAATACTTTTGACACCAGCTGTCAAAAGTGTAGCCTAGACCTACACAGGGTCAGGATCATCAATATTGTCTTCCATCTCCACATCTTGTCCCACTGGAAGGTCTGATTCATATCGGACTTTTCTTCAGCAACAATACATGTCAGAAGCTAAATGTGTTGCGAGGTAATAACTGGCAACTTAAAATTCTATACTTTGATAAGTGGAGACAGCAAATATCTAGCTGTTTTGCTTCTCTAGTGGGAGGATACATCTGCCTCTCATCAATACTCCTGTGATGGGAAATTACCAAAACATAGTAGGGGGATTCAGATGGTGGACATGTAATAGAAGCGAACAGGGGTCTGCTTGCCTGGCGCAGTAAAACCAGATATTCACACTGAGGCTGTGCAGCGGTAGAAGGAAAGGCATTTATTTGCAGGGGCTCTAAGCAAGGAGGACCAAACAGCTAATCCTCAAATCCTGACATTCCTGATGGCTTGGAGGTCAGGGTTTTTAAAGGCAGGGGTAAATTTCAGGAAAACAGCAGTTACAGACAAAATCGTACATCAGTACACGGAGGCTACACTTTGGTTTTGGCTTGAAAGGGCAGGATATCTTGAAGTAGGGACTTACAGGTCATAGATGCAAAGAGAGGAGACGTTTTATGCAAAAATTTAGGGTTGGCGGAAAAGAATGTTAGCTCTGGCTAATGGGTGTGACTCCCTCTAAGCCTCTCAGGAAAAATTTAGAACAAAGAATGGTGATTGGAGTTCAGTCCTCAGTTTCCCCTTATCTGAGGTCTCTGTGCCAGCAGATCCATTTGGTGGGGGTCTGGGTTTCTGTAAACAGCTCAGGGACATATGTTAAGATAAAATGTTATCTTTAGTTTCTATAGGGGAACCAACCATATCCTGACTCTAACTTCCTTGGCTATTGTTTCAGGCTACTATTCTTCTTGCTTATCAAGTTGTTTACTTCTCAAGGCTAGTTGGGTGCCTGGAATTTCCCTTCAAGGAACTCAAGATTTTCCTTTATTTCCCGGCTTGGAGGTCCGCAATCCCCTAAAAACGGGATTCCTGCTCCATCTCATATACTCCAGAACAAAAACAAATATCTACCACAATCCTTTGCTCCATCAACAAAAAAGTAAGCAAATTTACTCATCCGTATGAGTCAGCATTCATCTAAAACAAAGCAAAACCCTAGAGCAACACAGTAAAACCAAATAAATAAGGAAGAAAATAATAAAGATAAGAGCAGAAATAAAATAGAAAAACAAAACAAAATAAAAATACTATAGAGATGAGCAGGGCTGAAGGTGTGTCTTTGAAATGGCAAACCTCTAGCAGACGAAGTCAAATAATATCAGAAATAAGAAATATAAATACACAGATGAGGTTTTAAAAAAAATCGTAAGTGGGTACTGTGAACTTCATGCCAGTAAATTTGAAGAACTGGATGAAGGGGCATGGTTTTGAAATATCTAGTTAGCAACTGGATATTTGTGTCTGGAGCTCGGAAAAGCCCAGACAGGAAACAAAGGTGACCGGAAACGGGCAGTTATTCATTCAGGTCTGGGAGGCAGAAGTGATGGCAGGGTACGTAGGAGTGTCATGATTTTGAAGCGAGGCAGATAAAGAAAAGCCAGGAATGAAAACCCAAAATGAATAATCACAAAGTTCGTGGAGAAATCGGAGAAGCGCGACGACCCCTAACAGAGGGAGGGGAGAGCAGAAGCGGAGTGGTCAACTGGGAGACATTAAACGCGGCAAGGGAGGAGAGCGCAACGTGCCTGCGGGGCCGGGCGGCTCGGCGGCCGCGAATGACCTTCGGCGGAGCAGGGTCAGCGCCCCCGTGTGGCAGCGGGCGCGTGGCCGAGGTCCGAGGAGGGCCCGGAGGTCTGGCCGAGGTCCGAGGAGGGGCCCGGAGGTCTGGCCGAGGTCCGAGGAGGGGCCCGGAGGTCTGGCCGAGGTCCGAGGAGGGGCCCGGAGGTCTGGCCGAGGTCCGAGGAGGGGCCCGGAGGTCTGGCCGAGGTCCGAGGAGGGGTCCGGAGGTCTGGCCGAGGTCCGAGGAGGGGTCCGGAGGTCTGGCCGAGGTCCGAGGAGGGGTCCGGAGGTCTGGCCGAGGTCCGAGGAGGGGTCCGGAGGTCTGGCCGAGGTCCGAGGAGGGCCCGGAGGTCTGGCCGAGGTCCGAGGAGGGGTCCGGAGGTCTGGCCGAGGTCCGAGGAGGGGTCCGGAGGTCTGGCCGAGGTCCGAGGAGGGGTCCGGAGGTCTGGCCGAGGTCCGAGGAGGGCCCGGAGGTCTGGCCGAGGTCCGAGGAGGGGTCCGGAGGTCTGGCCGAGGTCCGAGGAGGGGTCCGGAGGTCTGGCCGAGGTCCGAGGAGGGGTCCGGAGGTCTGGCCGAGGTCCGAGGAGGGCCCGGAGGTCTGGCCGAGGTCCGAGGAGGGCCCGGAGGTCTGGCCGAGGTCCGAGGAGGGGTCCGGAGGTCTGGCCGAGGTCCGAGGAGGGGTCCGGAGGTCTGGCCGAGGTCCGAGGAGGGGTCCGGAGGTCTGGCCGAGGTCCGAGGAGGGGTCCGGAGGTCTGGCCGAGGTCCGAGGAGGGGTCTGGAGGTCTGGCCGAGGTCCGAGGAGGGTCCGGAGGTCTGAAAGCGCAGACTGCAGGGCAGACTACTGCAGGATCTAGGCGCTGACGAACAGGAAAGAGGGTGGGAAGTAAGAGAAGAACCTCCAGGGAGAGAGAGGGGGACACTGATAGATGGGGATGGCGTGTGAGCAGGGAGAGAGCTGGCGGGGAGCCCGGAATGGCAGACAAATGCCTCTTCCTATGAAAATAAGGGGAACCGGTGAGGCCAGGAGCTGAGAGAGATCTTTGCAGAGAGGGTGGAGTAGAGGCAGAGCGCAGGAACTTGCAGGGATTCCTGCTAGACAGCTTCTGTTTTCTTCTTCTTCCTTTTTTTTTTTTTTTTTGTGAGACGAAGTCTCGCTGTCCCCCAGGCTGGAGTGTGCAGTGGCGCGATCTCGACTCACTGCAACCGCCGCCTCCTGAGTTCAAGCGATTCTCCCGCCTCAGCCTCCCGAGTAGCTGGGGTTACAGGCGCGCGTCACCACGCCTGGCTGATTTTTGTATTTTTAGTAGAGACGGGGTTTCGCCATGTTGGCCGGGCTGGTCTCAAACTCCTGACCTCGGGTGATCCGCCCACCTCGGCCTCCCAAAGTGCTGTGGTTACAGGCGTGAGCCACCGCGCCCGGCAGATAACTTGTGCTTTCGCAGAGGAAGAATTGAGATCATTTGCGGAGAGTCTGAGGGTGGGGGTCGAGCAGGGCCCTCCATAATTCTGGAACACAGTCTGGGCTGACCATTTCCCCAGCAACCACTCCTAGACCAGGATTATTGAAGGACTGTTAGACGCCAGCTGACTCTGGAGGCTGCAGAGCTAGCTATGATCTGTGCTGGGACTAAAACCTGGGTTCTGACTTCTGGGTACGTTCCTTACAGCTCCTTAAAATCTAGGAATCTAAAGTTTTATAAAGATTGCATTAGCAGGGTCGGGCACGATGGCTCATGCCTATAATCCCAGCACTTTGGGAGGCAGAGGCGGGCAGATCGCTTGAGCCCAGGAGTTCGAGACCAGCCTGGCCAGCATGGTGAAACCCTGTCTCTACTGAAAATACAAAAATTAGACGGGTGTGGTGGTGGGAGCCTGTAATCCCAGCTACACGAGAGGCTGAGGCAAGAGAGTCGCTTGAACCCGGGAGGCAAAAGTTGCAGTGAGCTGAAATCACACCAGTGCACTCCAGCCTGGGCAACAGAGCGAGACTCTGTCTCAAAAAACAAAACAAGAGCAACAACAGAAAAAAAACAAAAAAAAATTCATTAGCCACACTTTCTCCATAGGAGATATTAAGTAGAACGTAAGAATGATCTTTCGGCTATCCGTATTTTTCTATTCCTGCAATTTATAAATCGTAAGTTTAATTATAAAATTTACATTCCTTCTTTTCAGTCTCAAGATTTTCATTCTGCTGAATAGTGTATAAAAATGCAATTGTTCCCTCTCCCTCTCCCCCTCCCTCTCCCTCTCCCTCTCCCTCTCCCTCTCCCTCTCCCTCTCCCTCTCCCTCTCCCTCCCCCTCCCCCCACGGTCTCCTTCCACGGTCTCCCTCTCAAGCCGAGCGGAAGCTGGACTGTGCTGCTGCCATCTCTGCTCACTGCAACCTCCCTGCCTGATTCTCCTGCCTCAGCCTGCCGAGTGCCTGCGATTGCAGGCGCGCGTCGCCACGCCTGACAGGTTTTCGTATTTTTTTGGTGGAGACGGGGTTTCGCTGTGTTGGCCGGGCTGGTCTCCAGCTCCTAACCGCGAGTGATCCGCCAGCCTTGGCCTCCCGAGGTGCCGGGATTGCAGACGGAGTCTGGTTCACTCAGTGCTCAATGGTGCCCAGGCTGGAGTGCAGTGGCATGATCTCGGCTCGCTACAGCCTCCATCTCCCAGCCGCCTGCCTTGGCCGCCCAAAGTGCCGAGATTGCAGCCTCTGCCCGGCCGCCACCCCGTCTGGGAAGTGAGGAGCGTCTCTGCCTGGCCGCCCATCGTCTGGGATGTGAGGAGCCCCTCTGCCTGGCTGCCCAGTCTGGAAAGTGAGGAGCGTCTCTTCCCCGCCGCCACCCCATCTAGGAAGTGAGGAGCGCCTCTGCCCGGCCGACCCGTCTGAGAAGTGAGGAAACCCTCTGCCTGGCAACCGCCCCGTCTGGGAAGTGAGGAGCGTCTCCGCCCGGCCAGCCGCCCCGTCCGGGAGGTGAGGGGCGCCTCTGCCCGGCCGACCCGTCTGAGAAGTGAGGAAACCCTCTGCCTGGCAACCGCCCCGTCTGGGAAGTGAGGAGCGTCTCCGCCCGGCCAGCCGCCCCGTCCGGGAGGTGAGGGGCGCCTCTGCCCGGCCGCCCCTACTGGGAAGTGAGGAGCCCCTCTGCCCGGCCACGGCCCCATCTGGGAGGTGTGCCCAGCGGCTCATTGGGGATGGGCCATGATGACAATGGCGGTTTTGTGGAATAGAAAGGCGGGAAGGGTGGGGAAAAAATTGAGAAATCGAATGGTTGCCGGGTCTGTGTGGATAGAGGTAGACATGGGAGACTTTTCATTTTGTTCTGTACTAAGAAAAATTCTTCTGCCTTGGGAAAAAAAAAAAAAATGCAATTGTTAGAAAATCATGTTCAATTTGAAATGGACTTGTTCTGGACACAATAGCAATCTTAATGGAGCCTTATTCTTGGCTATTATGGCTTTAGAAAAGGTGTGGGACCCATCTGGGCTGCAGCTTCCATTATATGGAATACTAAATATAATCATCATCCTTCACTATCCAGAGTGGATTGGTTCCAGGACACCACCTTATCATGGATCCTTATCATCAAAATCCATGATGCTCAAGTCTGTTATATAAAATTGTTTAGTGAAGTATCCTCCTGTATGCTTCATTTATATTTATTTATTTTTATGTGAGACAGGGTCTTGCTCTGTCACCCAGGCTGGAGTGCAGTGGTGCAATGTTGGCTCACTGCAACCTACGCCTTCTGGGCTCAGGCAATCCTCCTGCCTCAGCCTCATGAGTAATTGGACTACAGGTGCACACTATATACTTTAAATCATCTCTAGATTACTTATAATTCCTTATACAATGTAAATGCTATGTAAATAGTTGTTATACTGGCTTGTTTCGAGAACAATAACAAAAAAGTCTGTACAAATTTAGTACATTCAAAACCTTCTTTTTTTAAAAAATTTTTTTGATCTGTGATTGGTTGAATCCATGAATGTGGAACCCATGGATATGGAGGCCAACTGTATTTTTATTATATGTGATTGCAAAACAACAACTTTTAAAGTTTATAAAGCAGGCCAGGCGCGATGGCTCATGCCTGTAATCCCAGCACTTTGGGAGGCCAAGGCGGGCAGATCTCGCGGTCAGGAGTTCGAGACCAGCCTGATCAACATGGTGAAACCCTGTCTCTACTAAAAACACAAAAATTTGCCGGGCTTGGTGGTGCGTGCCTGTAATCCCAGCTACTCAGGAGGCTGAGGCAGAAGAATCACTTGAACATGGGAGGCGGAGATTGCAGTGAGCCGAGATCACGCCACTGCACTCCAGCCCGGGCAACAGAGCAAAAAAAAAAAAAGTTTATAATGCAAATAAACTTAATAGGTGATGTGAAAATTCACTACAGCATAGGAACAATCAACAATGAACACCTTTGAAATTTAGTAAAAAGTCTGCGAAATAAAAGATCATATTTAATAAATCATCTGTACTTCTAGTGCTCTTTATTTTTAATCTTTTAGAATATTGATATTCTTATGTGCTAAGAAAGCACATTCAAGAAAAATTTAAACTCAAAGTATATTGTATTGTCTCAATGAAAGATATAGATAACTAAAATGGAAAGAAGTATTGAATCTTGACCTTGAATAAAAAATGTAGTGTAAGTTATTTATAGGAGTCAAAAACTCTAATGAAAACTGCTAGTTATTTACAAGAAATAAAGAGTAAAGTAAAATTCTGCCAGTCTTCAAAGACTATAATATCAACAGATACTACCACATAGGAATGAAACCATACTGTGAAACCTCACCAATCTTGATACACTTATTTGGAATTTGTGACAATTTTGACAAAAGTTTAGCAAAAGTTTACCTTTTCACTATTATTAATCAAATTATAGAATAAACAATATTCATAAAGTTAATGTTTAAATTACTTTAGAGTACAAATTATGTTAAAATATCTTGAGCATACCATACTTAGTAACAATTTACAAGTGAATTATAAATATTTTAATCTATCCCATAAATCAGTTCTCTTTAGGAGATCTACTATTCTTGTACTTGTTTGTTCTTAAAAATAAAACTGTTTCTTTAAAGATATCACATCATTTAGAGTTTAATTTTACTAGGCTCTTCCCTACCTAATTGTTATTTCATATTAAAAAATTGGACAAAATTATTTTGCTTTTGTTCAGTTGTTCTCCCGTTTTACTTTAAAAAACAAAATACAAAAAGGGCCAGTCAAGGTGGCTTATGTCTGTAAGCCCAGCACTTTGGGAGACTGAGGGAGGACGATTTGAGACCAAGAGTTCAAGACCAGGGCAACATAGTGAGACTCCTTCTCTACTAAAAAAGAAATTTTAAATTAGCCAGCCATGTTGGTACATCCCTGTAGTCCTAACTACTTTAGAGGCTTAGGCAGGAGGATCCCTTGAACCCAGGAGATTGAGGCTGCAGCAAGCTGTGATAGAACCACTGCACTCCAGCCTGGGTGACAGAGCAAGACCCTGTGTCAAAAATAAAATGTAAATTTTAAAAAAGTAAAAATAGAAAAAATAAGTTATGATAAAATAGGTGCAATTTATTGAGCTTCTATTATTCTATTCATATTACTTATATTATTATTCTATTCATAAGTTACAGGCAATGTATGAGGCATTTTAAAACATTATCTCTAATCCCCCACCCCAGTTATTGCAAAATAGATATTATTGTGCTTATTTCTCAGATGAGGAAATTGATACTTAAAGAAGTAATTTCCCTGAGGTCCCAAATATTTTCTGAATCTGATAAATAAGATAATCCATATGAAGGGTCTAAAACATAGAAAGTACTCAATAAATGTCTACTGTTATTACTATTAAAAAGAGGCTCTTGGCCGGGCACGGTGGCTCACACCTGTAATCCCAGCACTTTGGGAGGCTGAGGTGGGCGGATCATGAGGTCAGGAGATCGAGACCAGCCTGGCCAACATGGTGAAACCTTGTCTCTACTAATAATACAAAAATTAGCCAGGCATGATGGTGCACACCTGCAATCCCAGCTACTCGGGAGTCTGAGGCAGGAGAATCGCTTGAACCGGGAGGTGGAGGTTGCAGTGAGCCGAGATCGCGCCATTGTACTCCAGCCTGGGTGACAAGAGCAAAACTCCATCTCCAAAATAATAATAATAATAATAATAATAAAAAATCTCTTGTTAAAGGTAGGTGAGAATTCAAGGACATAAAAAATAGCCCCTCTGTCTTTTGGGTCTGTTTCAGTTGCATATGAATATTCATTCATTTAACAAATATTTACCAAATGTTTCCTAGGAACCGGGAATGTTGGCACGAATATATGAACAAAGATGTATTAGCTAGTCCAATATTTTAAAAAGTGATCAGCCAAGTATCTCTCTCTCTCTCTTAAATATTTCTAAATTTCCAAATTTCACATTTTCTATGTGTTTATTCTGTACTCAAATGGCGTTTATATGTTTTTCATGTTAGAGGTTTTGAGCTGTGAAAGACCTTGGAAATTAGCCCCAAATCTTTCATTTTACAGGTGATAATAGTTAAGCCTAGAGCCATGAGAGGCCTGTGCTCCGTGGGACAGGAGGCTAAGAGCGGAACAGGGCCCACTGTTGGATGCTACTGATCACCAGACTGTGGCCTTTATACACATCAACTTGCTTCATCTCCACCAGAACAAATGAATGACAAAACCCGATGAAAGACAAAGCCAGAGTAAATCCCTTCTCATCTATGTCACGGCAAAAGATATAGTAACAGCAAAAACAAGCTCTAAAAACCTTGTTTGTAAAAGGTTTGGTAAAACTGTTTCTTTAAAGATATTCCATCATTTGGACTTTAATTTTGCTAGGCTCTCCCTACCCCACCAAATTGTTATTTCATATAAAATAATTGGACGAGGCCGGGCGCAGTGGCTCACGCCTGTAATCCCAGCACTTTGGGAGGCTGAGGCAGGCGGATCACCTGAGGTCAGGAGTTCGAGACCAGCCTGACCACCATGGAGAAACCCCACCTCTACTAAAAATACAAAATTAGTCGGGCCTGGTGACACACTTGTAATCCCAGCTACTCGGGAGGCTGAGGCAGGAGAATTGCTTGAACCGGGGAGGTGGAGGTTTCGGAGAGCCGAGATCGCTCCATTGCCCTCCAGCCTGGGTAACAAGAGCGAAACTCCTTCTCAGATAAATAAATAATTGGACAAAATTATCTCACCTTTGTTCAATTGGCTTTCTGTTCTACCTTAAAAAATAGAAATTAATTAATTAATTGTGATAAAAATAGCTGCATATTATTGAGCCTTTTTTGTATTGGTCAATAGCCTGAAATGTCCATATGTGATACAGCTGAAGCCTAATAGGAAAACAATTACTAACATTTCGGAGTTGGAACAGACCTGCTGGTCGTGACTCCAGTATTTGTACATCATGATGAGGAAATTGTGGCCAGAGATATTAGGACTTGTCCAAGTCTCCAAACTGAGACTCAAGGGCCATATTCCATTTTCCTCGGCTCATGGCTTTCCACTGAACTTCAAAAGAGGCTCCAGTACCAGTCCTAAGAATCATCAGTGGCCTTAGAATAGTCTGGAGGAATTACTTCAGACTGTTCCTCTGAACTGGGACACAGCAAATGGAATAAAATACTGGCTCCTAGGACAAACAGAGAAAGTAGCTCTCAATCACAGCCCTCTTTCAAAAACCTTTAGTTTAAAAACTAAAGAAATAGATACATGAAGTAGCCAAAGAACCATAAGCTTTTAAAAACTTAGAAGCCATTTCTTTATTTCAAAAAATTTTTCAGACAGTTCTCAAGCATAATCACATCTCAGAGGTTGTAGACATTGCACCTGGTACCCATCTCAACATCATTAATCTCTTTACCGGATATATACATATATATATATATATATATACACACACACACACACACATATACACACATATACATATACATATATATACACACACACACATATATACATATACATATACATATACATATACATATAACATTTTAGTGGATGCGACTAACAGCACCATGGCTACTCTGCCACACAAGGTTTATTCTTTTTCAAGTATGGAAGAGAATATCAAGTGACTGATTACCAAGCTGTAGAAGCCAATATCCTTTTCAAAAAACAAGATTGCTCTCTTGCCATACTCAAAGGCTTGACTTTCAGAGAATGGTGTATCATCCATTGGTGGTTAAAAATTGTGACAGAACCTTTCAGTCAGTCACAAAAAAATTTCCAAAGGGATGTCCCATACATTTTGCTACTGTTGCCCAGGCTGGAGTGCAGTGGCGCAATCACAGCTCACTGAAGCCTTGGACCATGTGGGCTCAGCTGATCCTCCCTCTTCAGCCTCCCATGTAGCTGGGACTACAGGCAGGTGCACGCCACTACGCCTGGCTAATTTTTTGCATTTTTTGTAGAGATGGGGTTTCACCATGTTGCTCAGGCTAGTCTCAAACTCTTGAGCTCAAGGGATCTGCCTGTCTTGGCCCGAAGTCCTGGGATTACAGATGTCAGCCACTAAGCTTTGCCACATTTTGCTACTCTTGCTCTGCATTTTTAAGGCACTTCCCTCCATTGTTAATTCATTTCCCTGTATTCGATCTTTGAATGTTAATTGTTAGAAGCTATTGTTACTAAGATAAAGAAGACATGGACCTTCTCTTAAGAAGCTCTTAGTCTATTGTGATGATTCTCCAAATTTAGTGAGCATGAAAATCATCTGAAGAGTGATATAAAACAGATCTGCACTTTATAAAATAACCCCGGGTCATTCTGATACAGGTGGTTCCCAGGCTCCATTTCTAAACCCACTGGTCTGGAGGGAGAGAAAGCATTTCCTTTGATCATTGGAATTCTAACCATCCTTCAGGGCCAGTCCCAGTGGAACTTTCCATGTTGACTTAGTCATCACCCATTTTCTTTCCTTCTCTAGCACTTAATCTGTGTCTTTCTCAGAACACTGAACACCCCTTCCCCAGTTTCTATCTTGTACTGTAGGTCCTTTCTAGAATGCCCTGTCTAAGCTACTGGTCTTCTGGATAGGTAATCTAGACTGTGTCTGATCCGACTTTGCATTCTCTGCAGCATGTGGCACAGTGCCCACATATACTTATTATATAAGTCATGCTTGTTGAATGAAGGGATCTGTCTCTAAATGGAGAGTTGTATTTTTAAAGTGGACCTGTGATATATAATAATGTATTGTGATCCTAAATGTCTCAAAATGGAGTCACTTATGACAAGTAACTCAACCCACAGTAAAATTGCCAACCCCTCAAAGTGATACGCATACGTATGGTGGATCGTGATGATAAGATAATACCTGCTGTGGCCAGGCACTACCCCACCAAGACCCAGCAAGAAAGGGAAGCCAAAAGGTGGCTGAGCTAATGACCATGAACTCTCCTGGGGAGGGCCATAAAACTGCAAAGAAACTAACCATGGCAAAGAAGCTTGAAGAAGCTCTGTCTGTGAGAACTCTGAAGCCTCCTTTAGTCTGGCAGTGGAAGCTCTGCTGGGTCCTCCCAGTAGAGGATTCACGTGGTTTCTTCCTCCTCTTTCTTATTATGACCTATGTGTGTTACATGTATTTGCATAGTTATTGGTGTATGAAAGCCTTGCAATAAACCTTTGAAAGCATTTAATTAGCCATTATTGAGTCATTGTGAAACCTCCCACAGTGTTAAAGTAAGCACAGCTAGGCTGACTGGAACCTGACATGATAACATGGATACATGTAGTGACACAGTGCAGGAAATAGGATGTTTTCAGAGGCAGAACACGAGGCACAAAGCCTCATAGATGGGAATAAGCCCATGACGTGTGGGGAGACACTAAATAGCCTGGCTGACAGGGAGCAAAAGATGCTGCATAAGGAGGGAAGAGACAGGAATGGGAAGGAGGTAGTGGTAACCATGAACGTTGCTGGAATATTCTGGCGGCCAGCTGGAGAGGAAGCTTAGGGAGTGTCAGAGATCAAGTGCAGTGATCCCAGCAGGCAGCACAAATGGACTGTGGCTCTCTCTCCTCCAGTATTCTGCCTTGCCTTGATCTCCCTGGACTCTCAGCTTCTCTTCTACCCAAGGTGCCCATCAGGCTCTGCCCAAGTTCCTTTTATCACAGGCTGGAAACTCTCTCAAGGCAGAAAGCTGGAGAAACTACAGCGTTCAGCTTGTTTGTTTCCCATCTCTCATCTGTCCTTCGTGGCTGCTCTGGCTGCTGTGTGTTGGAGCCTGGAGTGGAGAAGGTGCCAAGGTGGGCGTGGGGAGGCCCTTTGGAAGGTTAGTGCAGCAGCTCAGATGGGCTATGATGGCCTCTACATGGGGGATGCAGTGGAGATGGAGAGACAGAGAAGTTTGAGATGTATTTCTAAGGTAGAAGCAGGGCTTGGTGAGGATGTAGAGTTGAGGGAGAGGGAGGAGTCAAGGGTGATTGGGCTTTTTCATCAGTATAAAGGTGATACTAGCATGGGGCTGGGGTGAGGGGAAGATGAGATGATGCTTCCTCCAGATTCTGAAACTTTAGTCTGAATGCAAGGCCTGGCTGCTGCTTCTGGGGGTGGGGAAGCTTGCCTGTGACCTGGAGGACCTGCAGGCCATCTTTGAGTTCAAAGCATCTTCAGCTCCATGGCTCAGTCCTTTCCAATCACATTCTTCTCTTCTTTCCTTTTCCCTTCTTTTCTCCCTGATCCCCAGCTCAATTCTCAATTCCTCCCAGAGCTCTTGACCAGAGAAATCCTGATCAGCTGATGATCTGCATGTGACCATGACCTTCCGTCTTCATATCCTCCAGAGTGGGGCTCAGAGGAGGCTCCACACTGAGGACCTGTGGGGCCCAACTCACTCTGTGCTGAAGGTGACAGGGTGGGGGGAGGAAGGCACTCATCCAGGATTCCTTCTTTTTTTAGAGATGGGTTTCACTCTGTTGCCCAGGCTGGAGTACAGTGGCATGATCCTAGCTCACTGCAGCCTCAAACTCTTGGGCCTAAGCAATCCTCCTGCCTCAGCCTGATGAGTAGCTGGGACTACAGATGCATGCCACCACACCCAGCTGATTTTTAAATTTTTTGTCTCACTATGTTGCCCAGGCTGGTCTTGAATTCATGGCCTCAAGTGACCTTCCTTCCCTGGCTTCCCAAAGCCCCGGGATGAGCCACCGCACCTGGTCCCAGGACTGTTCCTTAAAATTATCCTTAGAAAAGTTGCTAAGCCTGTTTTCTCATCAGTAGATCTATGAATCTGGCTCATTATCACAGCTGACATCATAGCCTTAGGGGTTTCTTGTTTGTTTTTTACCTTATCATTCTTCTGTTTGAATTTTTTTATTGTAGTCAAATATATATATTTATCATCTTAGCTATTTTTCAGTGTATAGTTCAGTGGCTTTAAGTATATTCACATTGTTGTGCAACCATCACCACCATCCATCTCCAGAATTCTTTTCATCCTGCCAAATGGAATCTTTGTGCCTGTGAAACAACTCCCCATCCCCCCCCCGGCAACCACCATTCTACTTTCTATCCCTATGCATTTTACTCTCTCTCTCTCTCTCTTTTTTTTTTTTTTTTTTTGAGATGGAGTCTCACTCTGTCGCCCAGGCTGGAGTGCAGTGGCGCGATCTCGGCTCACTGCAACCTCTGCCTCCGGGTTCAAGCGATTCTTCCACCTCAGCCTCCCAAGTAGGTGGGACTACAGGTGCCAGCCACCATGCCTGGCTAATTTTCGTATATTTAGTAGAGACAGGGGTTTCAGTATGTTGGCGAGGCTGGTCTCAAACTCCCGACCTCGTGATTGACCTGCCTTGGCCTCCCAAACTGCTGGGATTACAGGCGTGAGCCACCACGTCTGGCGGCATTTTACTCTCTTTTATAAGTAGAATCATATTGGTCCTTTTGTGACTGGCTTATTTCACAAAGCATAATGCCTCAAGTTTTATCCGTGTTGTAGCATGTGTTAGAATTTCCTCCCTTTTAAAGACTGAATCATATTCCACTGTATGGCTATACCATATTTTGTTTATCCATTCATTCAACAGTGAACACTAGGTTGTTCCACCTTTTGGCTATTGTGAGTAATGTTGCTATGAGCCTGGATGTACATCTATTTGTTACCCTGCTTTCACCTCTTTTGGGTCCCAGAAATAGAATTCCTGGACTATATGGTAATTGTGTGTTTAATTTTTGGAGAAATCACCATACTGTTTTCCATAGTGGCTGTACCATTTTACATTCCCACCAGCAATGCACAAAAGTTCTAATTTCTCCGCATCCTCGCCAACACTTATTTTGTTTTGTTTTTTTTTTTAAATAGCCATCTTACTGGGTATGAAGTAGTAGCTCATTGCGGTTGATTCAAATTTCCCTGACAATTAGTGATTGAATATCCTTCATGTACTTATTGGCCATTATATGTCTTCTGTGGAGAAATGTCCATGTCAGTCCTTGGTTCATTTTCAAATTGGGTTGCCTGTTTTGTTGTTGTTGCTGAGGTGCAGGAATCCTTTATATATCCTGGATATTAATCCTGTATCAGATATAGGGCTTTTGCACATATTTTCTCCTATTCTGTGGGTTGGCTTTCCACTCTGTTTATACTGGCCTTTGAGGCACAAAAGTCTGATGAAGTACAATTTATCTATATTTTTTCTTTTGCTGCCTGTACTTTTGGTGTCATATTCATAATTTGGGTTTTAAAAACGATTTTTTTTTTTCGGCAGGGCGTGGTGGCTCACGCCTGTAATCCCAGCTCTTTGTGAGGCTGATGCCTGCGGATCGCTTGAGGTACGGTTTGCGAGCAGCCTGGCCACCATGGTGAAACCCCGTCTCTACTAAAAATACAAAAATTAGCTGGGCTTGGTGGCCCACCCCTGTAGTCCCAGCTACTTGGGAGGCTGAGGTGGGAGAATTGCTTGAATTCAGGAGGCAGAGGTTGTAGTGAGCCAAGATTGTGCCTGGGCGACAGAGTGAGATTCCGTCTCAAAAAAAAAAAAAAAAAAAAAGAAAGAAAGAAAAAAAAGAAAGCCGGGCGCGGTGGCTCACGCCTGTAACCCCAACACTTTGGGAGGCAGAGGTGGGCGGATCACGAGGTCAGGAGTTCGAGACCAGCCTGGCCAACATAGTGAAACCCCGTCTCTACTAAAAACACAAAAAAATTAGCTGGGCCTGGTGGCACACGCATGTAATCCCAGCTACTCGGGAGGCCGAGGCAGGAGAATCGCTTGAACCCGGGAGGTGGAGGTTGCAGTGAGCCGAGGTCACGCCATTGGTTAGTAAACTCCGGGCTGAAAATTCATATCCTAAGCTCCCTTCAGGGATCCCCATTTGCCCTGAAAGACAAGGCTGGTGCCCCAGTGAGATCTGAAACATGCTCCAGGACCAGGACCCTGTAGTTTCATCAACTGCAGACAGTGCGGGGGAAAAAGCATTTCGGTCTTTTCATTTGTTCGTCATGTTCAAGGTGCCCCCTTATGTTAAAAAATTAAAAAAAAAAAAAAAGAAAGAAAAAAGAAATCTCCTGGAACGGAGAATCTATGAAATGTTTCAATATGTATTCATTTTGGGGCACTACCTTTTACTAGAGCAAAGAATCCCCTACTTAGAGGGAACCAATGGATTGGTTACACCGTGTTACCAAGTCCTCAGGAGGGCAAACTGAAAAGCTGCAAGCACTGCCCGGCCAGTGTTCGATTGCTTTTGGTGGACTAGTGCGTCTGAGTAGCCATCTGTAATGTCAACATGTGGCAGAAAGTTTCTCCGCACCTCCCTCGCCCCAGCTCCACTCACCACTTAGTGTATGTTTTAAAGCAATAAAGCGATGGGTCTGCTTAGAGGGGGTTCTAAAGAGAAAGATAAACACGGGCTTTATTAAGTATACAGCAGGGCAATGTGACGGGCGACCACGAAGGGAACTCAGGGAGCCTCTCAGCAGCCCGGCCTCCTTTCGTAACAAAACTGGAGTCAACCCGATCATTTTAGGGGCGCTGGGTGGAAGGCTGGCTTTTCCAGCCAAGGCAGGATGTGCTGGCTTTTTCTCTGGAGGTGTCCAAGAGCGCAGAGAGAGTGTCTAATGGTGACTTCGGATTCTGGCCACTCGGGCTCTCCCTGGGTGACAGAGAGAGTGTTCCCTGCTGCTTGGTCTCCTTCAGGCGTCAACCAGCGCACGCACTTGGAAACTCTGAACCCGGAGGACGTTCTGTACCTCTCCATGCCCCAGAGCCGTTTGGGGAAGGGCCCACCTTACCCCCCGCCACCCCCGGGGCACAGCAGCTCCCCATCCTCTCGCCCAACACTTGCTAGGTAGTTTGGGGTGTAGAAGCGACCCCAGCAGCAGCGGCACCTTAGGTGCTCGCCGAAGGTGAACGCTGGACCGCCCCGGGAAGGGCTTTGCTCCCGACTTCATCCCGACGCTGGTGCAACGGGAAAAAGAGAGAGCCCGCGCGAGTGGGGCCAGGGCGCGCAGGAGAGGGCGGGCGAGAAAGTGCCCGGCGAGGGCAGGCGCGGGCCGAGGGCGGGGCGGGCGCGGGAGGGCGCGAGAGGGGCGTGGGCGCGGCCGCTCGCTCGGCCGGGTCGGGCCAGGGGGAGGGGCGCTGGGAGAGCGAGAGCGGCGCGCGCGGCAGCCCCGAGGCAGCAGAGCGCGGAGCCGGGAGCGCGGGGAGCGCGGGCCGGCGGCGGCGAGGGAGGACGGGGGCGCAGACGGCCGGCGCGCGGCGCGGCTACCATGGGCGTGCGGTGAGCAGCCGCTCGGGACGACTTCCTCGGCTGCGCGGCGCTCGCGCGGAGCTCCCCGGCCGGCGGTGCGTCCCCACGGTCACCATGAAAGGTAGGGCGGCGGCAGCTCCGCGGGGCTCTGGGCGGGGGGAACGGGCTTCGGGGCGCGCGGGAGGCCACGGAGGTGCCTCCCGCGCGAACCTTCCCTTGGGCTGCGGGCCCGGGGAGTCGGGGCTGCCAGGGCGCCGGGTTCGTGCGCGGACACTGGGGGCGCACCCGGCTCCCGGGTCAGGCGCGGCTGGAGACCTCGAGGTTGGGGTTTTGAAGCGCGCAAGTATTCCCCTCCCCATCGCGTCTTTGCAAGTAGTTTGAAGCCCTAAGTCGTTGTTTACGGATTCCCGTTTCCAACTTTTTAATTGAAAAAACCTGCCGAGGAGAGTGGAGGCATCGCCATCCCTCCCGGTCGCTTTTCCACGCCGCAGCGCTCCCCACGCTCGCCCAGTCCTCTCTCCTCCCGCCTCTAGCCGTTTCCCGGCCCGAGCGGTCCCCGCGCTGGCGGCCGGGTGTTTTCTCCGGGACTGGGGATGTTCTCCGTGCGCCCTCGCCACATCTGGCAATGATTAGGTGCCCGAGGAGTTCAGCTGGCTCGGGAAGTGCATTTGGCATCTTTCTCCATCAGATTCACCGACTGGAAAATAGTTGCCCTCGGTTCCGCGTCCCTTCCACGTGCCCGCCTTGGGGTGTGCCCACTGGTGTTTTGGGGTGACACACCTCAGCTGGTTAGTCGCCCCCTGCGCGGTGTCCTCTGCAGGCCGGTTTATGGAAGTGTCAGATGTTATCGTACTTTAGAAAGAAGCACGAGAAGGACTGCAGGGCAGCCTTCTGTTTAGTGGAAACACGGAGATTTGTCAGCGGAATCCTGATTTATGTATGAGATAAGTAACCGCAGCGGAGGCATCAAAGAGTCGTTCAGGAATGGGCCCGCGTGGTGTTTACACAAGGCTTCGTGTGAGAGTTGCTGGTTCTGTGCTAGGATAACACAGCCCTGCGTGGGTGCGAAATGCCATCTGACCGCGGTCACCCCGCTTCCAGCCGCCACAGACCTGGCGATGCAATCGCTTTGACTTCTAGGGTTGCCGTCCGAGGGAGGCGCCCGGGAAGCCCCAAGGCGCTTGGAAAGTAACTTTTGGCTCTGGAAAGTTTTTTTTCTGAAGGGCAGCTCCCGCGGAACTAACCGGAGCGATGATATCCTACCAATTCACTCCCTTTCCAAGGGCGTTAGGTGTCCACGTCGGGAGACCTCGGGAAGGGAGGTGACTGATGGCCAGGTGAAAAGTGGTCTGCCCCAGGGAAAAAGAAACAAAAGACACGATACAACTGCCTACCTAGAGAATTTCAAAATGCAGTGGCTTGCTTTCCTTCTGTCTCCATCTCAGTTTCTCTTCCCTCATTTACATTCTAGGAAATACACACATTCCTTAGCTGGCTCTGATTGAGGAGACTCCCTAGAAAGGAAAGAATTTCACATGGCTAAAAGTTATCTGGGGCTCAGTTATCATTTTAGCCAGAAGTGAATCTTCTCTGCTGGTCATTAAGACCAGTGGTTTTTAAAACTTGGGAAGATTAACCACCTACCCACTCCATCAGCTCCCACGTGGGTTCTTAAACCCTGAAACTTTTGTTATGCTTTTTACTGGGTAAAGGACCGCTATTGCACTTGAGACACTTTTCCACTTTACATTTGCACTGGAAAACATACCCAGAAGTCCTAAACACATTTTTGGAGAGATTTATGCTGCATTCTGGACCAGATGGTGGCCTACCCGCTGTGGTCTAGCGCTGCCCAGAAGCCCCATACACTTTCCGCCCCAGTCGGGGAGGTTGATGGAGGGACGGACTGGTGAATCCCCGGGTAGACTAATCATTTTGAAGCCCTCTTTTAAAAACGAAAATATTCCAGCGGGGCGCGGTGGCTCACACCTGTAATCCCAGCACTTTGGGAGGCCGAGGTGGGCAAGATCACTCGAAGTCAGGAGTTCGAGACCAGCCTGGCCAACATTGTGAAATCCTGTCTTTACTAAAAATACAAAAAATTAGCTGGGCGTGGTGGCAGGCACCTGTAATCCCAGCTACTTGAGAGGCTGAGGCAGGAGAATCACTTGAACCCAGGAGATGGAGGTTGCAGTGAGCCGAGATCGAGCCATTGCACTCCAGCCTGGGTGACAAGAGCGAGACTCCGTCTAAAAAAAAAAAAAAGAAAAAAAATATTCCATGAGAGTTTTGCCTACCAATTATTACCACGTAATCTGTATTTATTACATTTGTCTGAGTGGTGGGGTGGGGACGGGAGGGGCAGTAATAATTTTTTAGTACCTACTAAGTGCCAGCCACTGTACTATATACACTACAAACACATTGCAATTAATCCTCTCAACAGCCCTGAGAGTAGACATTTCAATCCTAACAGTATAGGTATGAAAACTGAGTCTAGAAGAAATAGGAACTGGCAACTAGGAGGATAGAGTAGGCATCTAAAGACAAGCCTTGTCAGTTACCCCGTGTGGCTTGGAAGGCCCTAAGACACCAAATAGATAACCTCTGGTGAAGATGACTGGAAAAAAAAGTGAATCTGAGACAACTAACTAGCCAAGTAACCCACAATTGGTGCTGTATCCAGGAAGAGGTGGAGCCAACCAGTTGCATGTGAGGCTTTGGAAGCCTAGACAAAAACGGAAAGCTGCTTTTACCAAGTGGAATTGTTTTGACCATTTGCCATAGGGAACCAACTAAAGATTTTCCCCGGGTTCCTGATTACATCAAATAGTTGTTAACTCCCCGTGCTTCAGAAAGCCAACATGATAGAAAGCAACGACAAGCCTTGTAAATTCTTAGAATAAACGTGTTAATCTAAAACATTCTTGGCCAGGTGCAGTGGCTCATGCCTGTAATCCCAGCACTTTGGGAGGCTGAGGCAGGCGGATCACCATATAGTGAAACCAGCCTGGCCAACATGTAATGAAACCCTGTCTCTACTAAAAAATACAAAAATTATCTGGGCCTGGTGGCGCATGCCTGTAGTCCCAGCTACTTGGGAAGCTGAGGCAGGAGAATAGCTTGAACCCGGGAGGTGGAGGTTGCAATGAGCCGAGATCGTGCCACTGCACTTCAGCGCAGGTGACAGAAGCAAGACTCTCTCAAACACACACACACACACACACACACACACACACACACACCCCATTCTTTAGCCAAATTGAAAATCAGTGGACACCATAGAAGTTAAAGAAGTTCATTTGCAAAAGCAAATATTCCTGTGCAAGTCAGATGCCTTTTTAGGGTACCAACGTGACTTTCTAATTCTGATATTTAAACCTGGATATGGCCTTTGTAGTGACCAGGCTCTTGGAGTGTAATCCTGCATCTGCCAGTCAGTCACAGCGCCACCTATCTGTTGCATTCAGCAAACATCCATTTCCTCCATCCCTGGAGTCACAAGTACCAAAATAATGACATCATTATATATTACCCAGAAGAAAATGACTTTCCCCGTTGCTGCAGTACTTGAAGTCTTCCAAACTGATTAAAACATGAAGTTTGTTTTAATTTATTTCCAATTTCATTTTCAATTAGCTGTACTACACCATCAATCTCATGGCTTTTTGGATACATATTCACATTCTTGACGAAGGAATCTGACTCCTCTAGAGTTACGTGTGTCGTTAACTAAATCACATTCTTGGTTCTTAAAGTTGGGGATATTGGTTAGTTTCAGTGCAGCAGCACTTGTTGCCTAAGAGACAACCAAAAACAGCTGCCACCACCCGGGACCACAGAGGTCCAAACCAGTGTTATAATTTAACACAGAGAGGAGGCTGGTGCCATGAAAACACAGTGTTCAGCTGCTTATTTTTGTACTTTTGTGCATAAATATTTCTGAAATACAGTTTGGCAATAATATATTTAAAATGCACTAGTAAGCAGTATACTTCTCCCAAAGTTTTTTGGGACTCACAGTCTTTTTGCTTTTTCAGTGTCTCTCTGAGATTTCTTGTTCTTAACTGGGATAAGCAAACAAGCCTATAAAGGCAATTGCATTTAACATTGAAAGAGTCATATTTTCTAAAGGAAAATGGAAACAAAATGAGGCCTTTTTCCCTTCACTGATTGGTAATAGGGGCTGCCCTTCTCTGGGAGGCAAATTTACAATCTAATTATACTTTTGACTTTTCATTAGTTTGGGAATGCTTGACATTCTTAATCTGAGGTTTAATTATTGCTAAGTATACATCTTCTCTGTGGTCTCCTATGCAATTTCCCACGGTTGTTCCAATGGCTCCAACCCTTTGCCATGTGGCTCATCCACTGATAATGGGGTGAATAGAAAAAGCTAGCCGATGATGGCTTTCAGGCTATGTCATAACAGAGTATCTCATTTTCCTACTAAATGCCTATTCTCATTATAATATTATTTCAAAACAACTCTTGCAACCGCTGCCAAATAAAGTTAAATGGACCTTGAAGTATTAGCTTTCAAATGGGAAAATGGACATTTAAATTTTGTGATAGAAAATATGTTTCACCCTGGGTAAAACCAGCATGTGGGTAATCTCTCAGGGAGGCCAGCCTAACACAGACTTCCCTTTAATAATAGCTAACATTTATTGAGCACCTGCCATGCCAGGCATTATCATTTCCTCCATTTTATGATAGGAAAACTTAGGTTCAGAGAGGTTGTGTTACTTGTCTAAGGGTACCCAGCTAGTTGGTGGCGGGGGGGATCAGTATTCAGGCTCAGACTGTCTGATTCCAGAATCACATGTGTAATCTCTAGCCCAGGCTCCCTCCTAGCTATGCCCTAATAATGCATTCAAGTCCTACATCTTTGTGAAGTCCTACTGTGTGCTGTCACGCTCCACTAGATACTGAGTGAGCAACGTAGACAAGGCGCTATCATCCGGACTTAGAACTGTAATGACCTAGCATCAAAGGTCTGAAGGATTGATGTGTTCTTCAGTCAGCCAGTGGAGGAGACGCTCTAAACTGGAGCTGTTGCAAAGATAAAGCAGATTTCAGGATTGCTTCCCTGTGTAGCTTATCTTCTGGGAGGTTTTGCTTACCGCTGATTGAATGAATGTGGATGGCCCACTGTAGCCACCAACTCTGAAAACGGCCCCTACACTCGTCTTGCTAACAGGTTTGCATTGAGAAAATGAAATATTGTCAGAAGTGCCATTTTCATGAACAGACTGTAACCACCGGTGAGTGATCAGTAAAAATAATGATACTACTAAGTATTTTAAACCAGGAACAGGGAAGTATAGACATTTTTCATAGAAGGTTCATTCTTTACTGCTGACAACAGAGTTTCTAACCACACCAACCATCCAAACCTTAAGGGAAGTAACTTCTTAGTCAAGCAGTGATTTGATTTCTTTTTCAGTGCATGACATTTGAAGAACCAAAACCAGCATCATACCTCAAAAAGGTCCTGCTGATTGCTTAAGGGTGTTTTGTAATTATACAGCAGTGAAAGCCAATATAAACATAAATTAGTAATCCCAAATTAAGATTCCAAAGAGATCCTAGGAGCTCTCTTAACTTCTGAATTTGTCATGAATATTCCATCAATACTCTTAAAAATAGAAAAGAAATGCATTTTTCAGCATGGGGGTTTTAAAATGAAATACACTTATTGGACTTGGATATATTAAACATGACTCCTTTATGCTTCCTGAATGATGGGATATCATACCTCAGTATCACGTGAGGTATTATTCACTAGCCTGTGACGTTGGATGTTTTACATTTGGTGTGAAAAACTCACTTGTCTCTGGCTCTGTGGAAGAAGCCACATTTCTTTTGCCCCAGTCATTTTCTTATGACAGAGAAATGTTAGGAAACTAGCTGATGTTTATAAAACAATTTATTATTCAAAGGCAAAACAGTCCTACTTTAAAGTAGATAATATATGCTTTAAAATATAACCATCTCATAAAATACAATTATGTTTAGTGATCCCAGGTGTTGAATCCAATCATTTCTGTGTGCTGGGCGAGGAGTGTGGGCTCTGAAACCAAGAGAGCCTGGGGACCTCAGGCAAGTCACTTAACCCCCTGGGGCCCCAGTTTCTTTATCAATGTGATGAGGGACAACAATGGCATCTACTTGATGTTGTTTAAGGATTAAATAGTTGTTTAGAATGGTGGCTAGTATGTAATAGGAACTCAAGTTGTTTTAGTAATTGTAATATTGTATTATAACCTGCTGCTTCCTCCCAGCAATAAGTTAATTGCCAATTATGAGCCATCTATGTTCATTTAATCAGTGATGTAGTTTAGACCATGAAGGCAAATGTTCAGTTCTGAAATGAAAGTAATTTTCAAATTGCAAATGTGTTAAAACAGACCTCAGGGATAGAAGGAGTGAGTTGTGCTCCACGTGGGGAAGTATTAGTATTGGTTGCATTCCAGCTGCCGTCACTGCTATCATCATAAAAAATGCAGGGATAATTCCCAAAGTGAAGTTTGTAATTGTAGTAATGAAACAGTTTTTCTATTTGTTATAGTAGTGGTAGAAAATTGATAAATATGTGTAAGTATATTTAGATTACCTAGGAGCACTGTTTTTTTTTTAGTACTATTGCTCACGTGCCTACTGATGACATGATATTTTTAAAGATCTGTGTTTCAAATCCAGTGTCCGGTTTTATCCAGTAAGGATATGACATCAAGGAATCACAACATTAAACAAGTTTGTCTCTAAATAAGTATTCGGACAGATGTATGTATAAGTATGTTTTTAAACCATATGATGTCATGTCTATTTCATCAGTAGTATTAGTTTTCCATTAAGCTGTCATATTTCTGTTTTATTATTTATAATTGGGCCACCAAGTTCTAACTAGCCTTCATTTATTCTTTAAACAAATATTTGGTATTAACTTTCTGTGTGCAAGGCCCTCTAGAAATGCCAAATAAAATGAATAAAATATAGCTTCTGTGCTCATGGAGCTTGCAGTCTGGTAGACAAGACAAGACTTATGCGTAAACAACTGGAATCCAAAGTAGAGAGTAGAACATGCCCTGTTTGAGGTTCAGATAATCTGGCTGAAGACAGGGACATTTTCATTTGCAGGAGAGATTTGAATTATAGTTCATATTTCAGATTACATTATATTTCATATCTTGAATTATATTTCATATTACATTAATAGGGCAAGCAACATTAAAGAAAAATGTCTTAAAAGAGAGGAGGGCTGAGCCTGATGACTCGTGCTTATAATTTCAGTGCTTTGGGAGGCCAAGATGGGAGGGTTGCTTGAGGCCAGGAGTTTGAGATCAGCCAGATCAACACAGCAAGATCCTGTCTCCACAGAAAATTTAATGGGTGCGGTGGTGAGTGGCTATAGTCCCAGCTACTTGGGAGACTGAGGTGGGAGGATCCCTTGAGCAGTGGCACAGTCTTGGCTCACTGTAACCTCTGTCTCTTGGGTTCGAGCGATTCTCCTGCCTCAGCCTCCCAAGTAGCTGGGACTGAGTACAGGTGCGTGCCACCATGGCCAACTAATTTTTGTATGTTTTGTAGAGACAGGGTTTTGCTATGTTGCTCAGGCTCGTCTCAAACTCCTAGCCTCAAGTGATCTGCCCGCCTCAGCCTCCAAAGTGCTGGGATTACAGGCATGAGCCACCGTGCCTGACCTGAAATCTCTTAAGTGTGACATTTCAGTGTGGGAGGTGAGAGGAAACCAAATTCAGAGTCTTCTTGAATTGTGTCTCTTAAACTCAAAACGTTGGTCCAACATTTGTAAATAATTATAGTATATTGCTTTGGCATAATTGTTTAGATAATCTAAACAACGTTAATGGATTTCAAAACAAAAAGACGTATCGGTGTTATTTTTAAACCAAAGACCTCTTTTTTTTTTTGTCTCCAGAGAAATGGACAGCATTAGTTTTTCTTGCCAAATCACCCATGTATTTGAGGCCCTGCCAAGGCCCTTATTCAATTTAAGGCAGAGATTCAAGGCCTCATTCTGACTCTCTTATTAACATGATTAAAATGACTGGATGAGAATTTTCCTCATAGAAGAAAGGGAAGTGCATCACCTCCACCATAATCACCTATGAATGATGAATGCAGATGTCAAGGTTTTGGATGTCGTACTTACTGATTACTTCTAAGTTCTTGCAGTTGGTGGCTGTGGGGAAATCTGATTTAGCCCCCACTGCCAACTTAGGGGTAAAAGTAACAAAAACACCCTTTCTCAGTTTTGTTAGACTGTAAAGGAAGGAATAGGGTACCCATGCCTCTTTATTCTAAAAGCAAGTATCTGCCATTTTTACAAGCATCAGAATTGCAAGTTGTGCCAGAAATTGGAGTCATTTTATGTCTATAATTTTGACTTTTGACTTGAAAAAACTGTGCAATTGAATCAAAAGTGATCCCATTGTTGCAAAACAAATTCAGTAAGCAGCTGAGTAATCAAAATGAATCTCCTGTGATACTTTAAAATAATCTACAAGTATTTAAACTGCTACAGATTCCTTCATCCATTTGGAGTGAAACAGTTGAATGGAAGGCCGATCTAATTACCCCCCTACAAAATATC
Organism: Homo sapiens; assembly: GCF_000001405.40. NCBI lineage: Eukaryota > Metazoa > Chordata > Mammalia > Primates > Hominidae > Homo > Homo sapiens. Next base: position 492,011 of record NC_000018.10, on the reverse strand, counting down.
CTGAACCTCAGATACTTTGTTACGCTGCATTGAGTTCATTCACCAGGAGAATACATAATAACTGTGTTCCAGAAATGCCAAGACTGGAAAAAGGAAACCATGCGGGGAGCCAGGTTTACATTTGTAAAGCTATAAAACCAGGGCAAATATTACCGATACTGTGCTTAGGGACATATCAAGATAAAAGGACACCTTTCTTCAGTTTTTACAGCCCAAAATACGTTAAGATAAATTTTCATCAATATCAACCAGGTACTTCAGTGCCAATTTGCTGAAGCCCAAATAGAACCTGCAGCACGCATTACTCTTTTGCTCATCAAGCTTTCCTGTTGGTCCTTCCCCCAAATAGTCACCTCAGAATGGAGTTTTGTGTCTTTTGAAGCCAGATGATTAAAGTTCTAGGATATTTATTTTGGACCTTAAGGCATAGTAGCTTTTACCACTGCCTCTGTCCTCTTACTTCAAAGAAAATTCATATTTATTAAGCAGATGGTATGTGTTGGATGTTTTCCATGTGTCAGTTCACATTTCCCTCCCCAAAATGTGTGAGATAGGAATCATTGGTTCCAGCTTATAGGAGACTGAGAGGCAGACATGAGCTTATTGCTATTACAAGGTGGAGCCAGTCTTCAAACCCAGGTCTTTGAATTTCAAAGCCCACACATTACCATTAATTCTATCAGCCTCTGGTGTTAGGAAAGAAGTCTTCCAGATATCACAGCAACATCAAGGGGACATTCCAAATATTTAGCAACCCAGGTGACACACTGTGGAAGCCACCATTCCCATATGAAAGCAACTCCTTGGAGCACTGGTCAGTGGAGAGTGACTGTAGACTCAGGGGTCCTGATGGCCCCAGGGATACAGGGGCAAGGACCTGCTACAGTGGGTGGTGGTGACAGTAGAAACAGGGACAGCTTGCAGAAATGCTCAGAGCAGAGGCCATTGTTCTTCAACCAGCTGGTTTGGAAGCACTTAAATATTTTAACAACCAGTGATACCATACCATTTTGTTCTAAGAGTAATGACAAATGTACAAGAGCTGGGAATGGACCCTGGTCTAAACACGATAGAGCAACCAATGGGTACTCATATGTAGACAGCGCCAGTGGGCCAGCATGGAAGAGAAGTCTAACTTCAGCCTAGTCCCTGTCCACGGTCCTTCAGGCTGGCTCCTAAAAATGTCTGCATTTGCTATGATGTTTGGTTTGGCATTTGTTGGAAACCTGCTTTGTGTCAAGTATTGAAGGCTCCAGCTTCAAACTGCGTCTTCTGTGGTTTCAGGTTGAACTCCACACTCTGGCTCTTTGGGGGCATTTTCTGGTTATCTGGTTATCAGTGCTGGTTATCTGTTGGACCTGAATGCTTTTATTTTTGTCTGTCTGACTTTTCCATTCATATAATCTTATTTTGCTTGTTTTACATTATTTCTTATCAAAGTTAGAGATGTACATAGTTTAAAGAGTCAGATAATGTCGTAGGTTTCCTGAAATTCCTGAAATTCTGAAAAACAGCAGTTTCCTACCCAGGCCACCTTCATTTCATTTTCCATTCCCCAGAGGTAACCTCTTGATAACTTTTTTTACCATTTTCTTGTGGCATTTACACCTCTTTCAGTTACCTGCTAATGCCTAAAAAACCATCCCGAAACCCTGTAGCTTAGAACAGCAGCTGGTTTTTTGCTCACAATTCTGCAATTCAGCCTGGACTGGACACGTGGCTGCCCTCAGGAGCCTGGAGAATTACTGGGGGTGGCCGGAATGGCTGAGGGCTCCCTGGCTGGTCTCACGTTTTCCCTGCTCTCATCCTCCAGTGATTCTCTCTCTCCAGGTGGCCTCTAGTTCAGCAGGGGAGGTGAACTTTTCACAGAGCCACTGGCTACCAAGAGTGTAGTCAGAAGCTGAAAGGCCTCTAAGGCCAGGGCCCTGGAGCCACCCACTCCCACTTCCGCCACATTCCATGGGACAGAGCAGGTCATGGGGCCTGCCCAGATTCCAGGGGAAGGAAGTGGACTTGCGCATGGAGGGCTGGAAGGAATTGCTGGTGGTCCTTTATGACGATGATCTGCCATGGCCCCCGTATCTCTCCGTGACATGCTTACAGTGCTCTTGCTTCACTTTTTTTTCATCTTAAGTATTATATACAGACTTCCTTTTATAGCAGAAGAGGGTTTTGTTCTCTTTCACCTTTTACCTTCCCCTAACAACCCTTGCAGGTATCTCCTGTTCCTGTCCACCTTTCTAATACAGTTACAGCGTAATCTCAGATCCACATTCAGTGTTGATATTATTGTGACAATGTCAGTGCGACTCACAGCTGAGTCATGTTTCTTGCATAGCTTTTTGTTTCCCCCCCACGAAGTTAATAATCCTCTTGCTATTTTAGCTCCTCATATATACATCATTATTCATCTCCCAAGTCCCTTCTACTTTCCCAAATCTCTCCTCTGTGTGTTCAAACATATTAGGAATTCTTTCATTTCTATCTTCTCGAAGAAATCTTTTCTGGAGCATTCTGACCAGCTGAGAGTTAGAGTTAGGTTAGGATATATACACACAGACACACCCAGACATGCACACACTCAGACACATGCACACACACTGGGTTTGTTGCTTATTTTAGTGCAGTGCATTCTCCAGTAACTTCCTGAGACAAGTGTGTGTGGGATGTACATTTTTGGGGATTCTGCTGGTCTGCAAAGGTCTTTATGTTACCCCCTCATTGAACTGAGAGCATTCTATATTGGAAATAATTTATCCTTAGAATTTCGAAAGCACTGCTGTATTTACTTTAGCTTCCAACTTTGCTGCTAAATGTGAAGCTGATCTTTTTTTCTTTGTAAAATTCTTATAAATGATCTGTTTTTTTCCTCTGTCTGGAAGCTTTTAGGCTTTTATTTTTGTCTTCAGTGTTCTGAAATTTTATGATGATGAGCCTTGGAGTGGCTGTCTTTCCTTTCTTTGTTCTAGGTAGTGATGGGCCCATTCATCCTGGAAACTCATGTCCTTCAATGCTGGGAAATGTGGTTCACTTACTCCTCCAGTGCTTCCCTCCCTCTGTTCTTTTTCCGGGAAACACCTGTTATATGAACATTGGACCCTCTAAATTGATTTTCTTTTCTTTTTTTTTTCTTTTTTTTGAAACAGAGTCTTGCTCTGTCGCCTAGGCTGGAGTGCAGTGACACAATCTCAGCTCATTGCAACCTCTGCCTCCCAGGTTCAAGCAATTCTCCTGCCTCAGCCTCCCGAGTAGCTGGTATTACAGGTGCACACCAGCACGCCCAGCGAATTTTTGTATTTTTAGTAGAGACGGGGTTTCACCATGTTGGCCAGGCTGGTCTTGAACTCCTGACCTCAGGTGATCCGCCTGCCTTGACCTCCCAAAGTGCTGGGATTATGGGCTGCAAAGTGATCCCAGTGAGCCACTGCACCTAGCCTCTAAATTGATTTTCTAATTTTTCCTTATTTTTACTTTTTTCTATTTATATGCCTTTATTCTACTTTCTGTAATATTTTGACTCCATCTTCCAGCCCTTCCATTGAGATTTATTTCTGTGATCATATTTTTTAATTTCCAAAAGTTCTTTCTTTTTCTCTTTTTTGAGATGGAGTCACGCTCTGTCACCCAGTCTGGAGAGCAGTGGTGCTATCTCAGATCACTGCAACTTCCGCCTCCCGGGTTCAAGTGATTCTCCTGCCTCAGCCTCCCTAGTAATTGGGATTACAGGTATGTATCACTATGCCCGGCTAATTTTTGTATTTTTAGTAGAGACGAGGTTTCACCATGTTGGCCAGGCTGGTCTCAAACTCATGACCTCAAGTGATCCACCTGCCTCAGCCTCCCAAAGTGCTGGGATTACAGGTGTCAGCCACCGTGCCCAGCCCTTTTTCTCTGGTGGTTGCTTTTTTATAGCATCCTGTTTTCCAGATATATTATTTTCTCTTATCTCTGTAAGTGTATTAATGGTATTTGTTTTTTTCTGAGGTATTAATTTTCCTGCATAATGTAGATTTCCTCTCAATTGCTTTATCTGGTTTCTTTATTTTCATCTTTGTCTTTTCATGTTAGAGGTTGTATCAGTTGTCTGATGACCCTCAACTGTCTTATTTAAGAGCAGAACATTACACAGGTCAATTGGAAACTTTTGTGCTGGTGGATTTTGTGAATTGTGACCATCACTCTAAGTTTACCTGGTTGGGCTGTTCCACTGGGAACCTCCTGGAATTAGAACCATTAGTTTATTTTTTTATTAGTTGGTCAAATTCCCCAGAGAAGAACCTTCTAATCTTTACCATGGAGGGGACTTTCTGGCTAAGTGGGAGAAGAGGACTCAGGGTCTGAGCATTCAGTTGGTAAACTTTTGCCTTTCCCCTGATTTCATTACAGTTCCTCTCATTTCCTGTTCCCGGTGTCCACTAGACAAGAGAACTTTTGTTTTAATGTTTCCAAGTAGTAAACCTTGAATCTTCTGCTGTGGTTAGGGAGGGGCAGTCACACAGCTCTTTGGGTGGGCAGCTCCAACTCCTTCTCTTTTTTTCACATACTATACAAATCATCCACTTAACGTGTACAATTCAATGTTTTTTTGTTATATTCACATATTTTTTATTCATCATTATAATCAATTTCAGAAGTTTCACCACCCTAAAAAGAAACCTCTACCCACTAACAGTCACTCCTCAGTTCCCCTCAAAACCACCAGCCCTAGGCAAACATTAATTGCTTTCTGAATCTAGACTTTGCTAATGTAAACATTTCATATAAATTGAATCACACAATGTGTGTGTGTTTTTTTTGTGACTGGCCTCTTTTACTTAGCATAATGTTTTTGAGATTTATCTGTATTGTAGTATGCATCAGTGCTTCATTTTTTATTGCTGAATAATATTCCACTGTATAGACATACCACAGTTTATCCATTTATCAGTCAGTGAACCTTTGGCTTGTCTCCCCCCCTTTTTTTGCTGTTATGAATAATGCTGCTACAAACATTCAGGTGCAGATTTTTGTATGGACATATGTTTTTATTTCTCGTAGGTATAAACCTAGGAGCAGAATTGCTGGATTGTATGGTAACTTTATGTTTAACTTTTTGAGAAACAGCCAGACTGTTTTCCATGGTGGCTGCACCATTTTACATTCCCACCAACAGCATATGAGGGTTCTGATTTCTCCCTATCTTTGCCAACACTTGTTGTCTATCTTTTTGGTTATAGCCAACTGCTTCTTAAACTTATGTTCCAACAGTCCTCCTATTTTAGCCTCACCTTTATTCCCAAATTCCTAAACCTGTTCAGGATTCTGCAATATCAATCATTGCCTCTTAGCTTTCCCGGCTGCTAGCACAGGCTTCAGTTTCATGAGTGTACGGGTCAGTCACCATCATGGTGTGGAACCCCTGAGTCCCACAGACCTGTGTCTTCCTCTTGATCTGGCCACTCATAAGCTGTGAGACCTTGGGTCAAATTAATGTAATTTCTCTGACCCTTGGTTTTCTCATCTGTAAAACAGAAACATAATAAAATGCAGCCAGGTGTGGTGGCTCACACCTGTAATCCCAGCACTTTGGGAGGCTGAGGCAGGCAGATCACTCGAGACCAGGAGTTTGAGGCCAGCCTGACCAACATGGCAAAACTCCATCTCTACTAAACATACAGAAATTAGGCAGGCATAATGGCGCAGGCCTGTAATCCCAGCTACTCTGAGGCTGAGGTGGGAGGATTGCTTGAACCTGGGAGGCAGAGGTTGCAGTGAGCTGAGATGGTTCCACTGCACTCCAGCCTGGATGACAGAGCAAGATTCTGTCTCAAAAAGAAAAGAAAAAGAGAAAGAAAGAAAGAAACATAGTAAAATGTGAAATAGCTGGCATACAGCAGGTACTAAGTATATTAGTCTCCTCTCTTCTGCAAACATGGTGAGTATGCAAAAAGGGAAAGACTTTATCTTTTTCCTTTAGGAATTCATGAACTAGTGGGAAAGAGAGTGACATGTATAACTCTAATTTCCTTAATTTTCAACAACTACTGTTCAGTGCCTATCATGCATCATAAATGTGTTAGTTGTTGAGGGTACAATGTGATGAGTTTCCTGTCTTTAAATGGCTTTCCATATGGAGGAGTCCGAACCAGAACTGGATATAAGGCAGATAGAGTTAAGTGCTGTCACACTGATACAAGGGAGCATACAAGAATGAGAGGTAAATTCTGACTGTAGTGCTAGTGCCCAACTTGGTCCACAGATTGACTGGAACATGTTAATGTGGATGACTCTCAGCTCTAAGCCAACAGAACCAAACTTCACTTGAACTCATGGTTCTCTGAAATAGCAAGGTGCAAAGAATAAATCAGCAGCCAAATTCTGTTCAACATTCTCTGTCATAAAATCTCTGGCCCCAATGTGGCTCTGTGCCAGTTACTGAGGAAAGTAGAAAAAGATAAATAAAAATCACATTTCAAAATAGGTAAGCAAAATATAACATAGCCTGTAGGATTAAAATGAAAATGCAAAAGTTCAGCTGTGGGAGCCAAGAAAATATGAGCTTAAGACAGAATAAATCTTAAACACTTTCTGTCATTTAATATGTTAAGGTTGCTTCTTCCCCGCAGACAGATGGCTGTCAGAAACAGGGATCAAGTTATGACCACTGCAGGACTTAGAGGTCTTAAATCTTAACCAAGTCCTTATTCATGTAGGAGTGTGGCAGTTGTGTGGCTATGACTGTCAGAGATAGACATTGGGAAGTATTAAGTTGCTAAAGAGACTGACCTCAGAAGAATCTCCTTATCTGAGTACATCACTTTTGCAGGCCCCGATACTGTAAAGACAATCTGGGATACAACACATTGAGCTTGGGTCTATATGGTGTGAGGAAAAGGTTTTGAGGACAGAATGTAGCATTGCACATTGTATCAGGCTATTTGTCTTCATGAAAACCTGCCTGTCAGCCCTTGTGGGCCCTAGCATAGCCTTCTGCCCTCTAGCATGTTTTAGTCAATGGGGACACTGACTACTCATTCTCTTTCCCGTGGCTATGGTTGCATGATGTAAATCATCTCCACAACCACAAGCCCCACCAGCTTTACCCTCTTCCTCTTCCTCAAGTCCCTAAACACCCAACTGTTCTATCAGCCTGAATCAGCTGTTTGCTAACTGAGCAGCTGGGAACATCTGGGAGTGGGCCTGGGGGAACACCTAAGCGAGTAAACTGTGCACCAAGCTTTTTCTGCCCTGAATCCACCCAACTCTTAAGGGTAGCAAAAGAGGATTCTAAAGTCAACTTTTGAAAACATTGACTAAAACAAAGTTAACCATTTTTTTTCTTCTCTTTGCATATCTCACAGTCTCTGGTGGTTCCAAAACCATTATGAATTTCCAAGAAAGGGATGTAATATGCAGTGTTTTCCAATCTCTATCCTCGCCCCCAAAAAACAAAAACATTGAGAGAGACTGATTTAAGGCACTTCTGTATAATTGCAGTCAGAAGTAATGTGTGGTAACTTAAACTTGTACCCCTCATGTCTCTTGTGATTTTCTCTCTAATTTTAGAGTTGGATGAGATAGAGACTATTTTATTCTTTTAGTGGCTGTTACAAGAATCCCTAATCCTTTTCGGATGAGGGTTAAGATGAGAAGCAGGGAACCCACCCTGTGCTTTATGATGGGTGGCCTGTGAGGCCTTTGTTTTCTTGAACTCCTCATGGGTTTGGACATGTTAATTTGGAGGTAGAAGCAGGACACAGCTAAATTGCTTTAATAACAAAAATATGTGAAATTTGAAGTTCCCAGGGAAATTTCAGGAAGGAGAGAGAAGTCAGTCAGACTAAATGCTGCATGGGAAAAAGATTAGAGAGGGAAACGAAAACAAACAAACAAACAAGCTAATGGTAGCCCTGCTGAAATGAAGCTTTTGGGGGAGAATAGACATGTCTAATGGGAAATTTGAAGCTGTTTGCTATCAAGGGTGCAGCATGAACCTCCCTTCTTGTTTCCACTGTGACATCTTCAATGATGTTTCTGTGGCCCACAGTGCCTAAGTGTGAGTGGATTCTGCTGCAGAGGTGGCACAGTGGTGGAAAGGATAGAGCTGGCCAAGGGCACGGATGTCTGGGTACCACTGATGCTGATATTCATGTCTCATCAACTCCGCTAGGCTGTAAGCATGTGTTTATTGAATGAATGAAAAAACAAACGAATGGATATCTAAGCAGACGCAGCAGGTCAGCGTTTCTCTTAAATGGAGAATAGACGAGGCTGCAGCCATTAACACGACAGATTACCACATCAAGCATTAATAGGACAGATTAGTAAGTAAAGCAGGAACAGAGCATGGACTTGATGTGTGTTTGTGGAGGTAGCCAATCACTGAATCAGAGAAAAAGATGCTGTTCTCTTGGTTGTAGGCAAGTTCTTCCATTCAGAAAGAATTAAAGCTTAAATCCCTGCCATAAGAAAACCACTTTGAGTATAAATACCTGGCCTTCTAGATTCCAAACCAAGATCTCTTCCCTTTCTGCAGAATAAGGAGACAATGGTGAAATACAAAGATATCACACCTCTCTGTTTTCTGTTAGAAATAACCACTGTCTCACATGTGATTTTTTTTTTTTTTTTTTGAGACGGAGTCCCACACTCTGTCGCTCAGGCTGGAGTGTAGTTGGCGTGATCTTGGCTCACTGCAAACTCCACCTCCTGGATTCAAGTGATTCTGCCTCAGCCTCCCAAGTAGCGGGGATTACAGGCACCTGCCACCACGCCCGGCTAATTTTTATATTTTTAGTAGAGATGGGGTTTCGCCATGTTGGCCAGGCTGGCCTCAAACTCCTGACCTCAGGTGATCCACCCGCCTCAACCTCCTAAAGTGCTGGGATTACAGGCATGAGCCACCACGCTACAGCATCACATGTGATTTTATAAATACATTGTAACAAACAAGTATTCTGAGCTTCACCACATTGTGTTTATAGATAGCATACATCTTGGGTTCTCCATAACATTTCAAGGTTCAGATATAGCTAGATCATGTCTCTTTTGGGGATTGAAAAAGACTATCACAGAGGCTTCATTTCCCCTATATGCCTCTCTTTCTTGAAAGCCAAGATTGGGTGGGCACGGTAGCTCACATCTGTAGTCCCAGCACTTTGGGAGGCCGAGGCGGGCGGATCACCTGAGGTCAGGAGTTCGAGACCAGCCTGCCCAACATGGTGAAACCCCATCTCTACTAAAAATACAAAGAATTAGCTGGGCGTGGTAGTGGGCGCCTGCAATCCCAGTTACTTGGGAGGCTGAGGCAGGAGAATCGCTTGAACCCAGGAGGCGGAGGTTGCAGTGAGCCAAGATCACACCACTGCACTCCAGCCTGGGCGACAAGAACAAAATTCTATCTCAAAAAACAAAAGAAAGTCAAGATAAAGGACCATGACTTACTCACCTCTGAAGCCACAGCCTGGCAGTCTCTGTCATGGTGAGTGCTAACAACATGCCTTTGAGCTGAGTTGCCTGTGAGAGAAAGTTGTGTGCTGGGGCAGTAATGGACCCAGTCAGACAGGGTCCCCTAGAAAGGCCTGGCTTTGGCACCTCTTACTTGTCATCAAAAAGTGTTGGCCGGGCACGGTGGCTCATGCCTGTAATCCCAGCACTTTGGGAGGCTGAGGTGGGTGGATCACCTAAGGTCAGGAGTTTGAGACCAGCCTGACCAATATGGTGAAACCTCATCTCTACTGAAATTACAAAAATTAGCGGAGGGTAGTGGCGGGTGCCTGTAATCCCAGCCTCAGAAGGCTGAGGCAGGAGAATCACTTGAACCCAGGAGGTGGAGGTTGCAGTGAGCCGAGATCGCGCCACTGCACTTCAGCCTGAGCAACAGAGCGATATTCCATCTCAAAAAAAAAAAAAAAGTGTTCCTCCTGGACAGTAGCCACTGGGGCCTACTTGTGGATGAAGGGTGAGAGGAGGATGGGAATTGAAAAACTACGTGTCGGGTGCTATGCTCACTACGTGGGTGATGAAAGAATCTGTCCACCAAACCCCCACAACCCACAATTTACCCATGTAGCAGACATGCACATGTACCCCCGGAACCTAAAATAAAATTTGGAAAGAAAAAAAAAAGTGTCCTTTAGTTGTGCAATTAATATGAAATTGTGTCTGCACAGTGCTTGCCCTTCCTGGACCTTTACCTGGCAGAACTGTAAATGAGCAGTTCTTTAGAGATGTAATAAGGAATCTCATGTCTACTTTAGGAATGAGATTTTAGGTCTTTTGGTAGAAAGGTTGGGTGATAAAACATCTCTCCCTCTCTTTTTTTTTTGGAGGTGTAGTTTCATTCTTGTTGCCCAGGCTGGAGTTCAATGGCACGATCTTAGCTCACTGCAACCTCAGCCTCCCAGGTTCAAGCGATTCTCCTACCTCAGCCTTTCAAGTAGCTGGGATTACAGGCACGTGCCACCACATCTGGCTAATTTTGTATTTTTAGTAGAGATGGGGTTTCACCATGTTGGCCAGGCTGGGCTCGAACTCCTGACCTCAGGTGATCTGCCCACCTTGGCCTCCCAAAGTCCTGGGATTACAGCCATGAGCCACTGCGCCCGGCCGACATCTCTCTTCTTTCCATGGTGGGTATGCATTTAGGAATTTCCACAGTAAGGCTGCCTTTTGAAACACATTTACTGCGAAACCATCGGTTGGTCCCAGTTACCCATCGGAAGGAGGGTGGGAAGGGTTTGGTTGTCACTGCAGGAGTTATGTCGGCTCCTGAGAGGCAACAGTTAGTGAAGGAGATGACCCCAGAGCCCAGACATTTAAAAACAGGGGCTTTAGGGTGAGTTGCCTAAAGATAACTTAACCCCTTTGGCGGTCGATTATTTCTGTGAGCAGAAAAAGTTTCTGTTCACAGGAAGCATGATGACAACAGTAAATTCACGCACACATGTGAGGAAGATATCAGAGAGAAACATTGAATTAGTGTAGCGTGGCAGGGAGTGGCCGGGTGGTCCAGAAAGGCATCTCGAAGGGTCGCACTTTAGCTAAGACCTGAATTCGAAGGAGTCACATTAGGAACAGAGGAAGTGCATCCCAAGCAGCAGGAGCAGCCAGGGTGGAGACCCCTGCCGCCTCTTCCAGAAAGCCTGGTGCGATCCACGAGCAGAAGGAAAGCTGCTGTGACAAGCAGGGGCGATGAAGCAGGTCGCATCCTGCCCCACCCTCTGCTTCTGTGCCCCTTGCCAGGATTAACATCGTGTCTCTTCTTCTCTCACAGACGACTTCGCAGAGGAGGAGGAGGTGCAATCCTTCGGTTACAAGCGGTTTGGTGAGTCCTAACAAAGCTGTGTTCCTTCTCAGTGGTCAACCTGGGATGCAGCCACGAACCCTCAGAGACCATTGGCAGGCCACTGGCAGGCCCTTCATGCACATGGGTGTTTGTGGCTCTGAGGTCCAATTTTGGTTGGAAAGTGAGTGTCTGTGTCCCAGGGGGAGGGTTTCTCACAATTCTGAGGGGCCATGGGACAGGAGCTGCACCCAGGCATGGGGAAGTGATGGGATGTTCATGGGTCTGCTGAATGGAAAAGAGACAGCCTACTAGACAAAGTGTAGCGGGAAAGGCAAATCTGTGACAAGACAACAGCAAAATACCTGAAATTTTTCAGTTTTGTTATTCAGAAAACGTCTTTGCTCAGGCCTTACACTCCTAACCCAGTGTTCATGGATGAGTGAGAGGGAGACTTCTTCCAAGAATCTGCCTGGACACAGGGGCTCTGTGGCAGGCTGGGGAATGGCCCCCAAAGGTGACAGCACCCTGAATCCTGAAACCTGAATGTTACCTTATGTGGCACAAAGGACTTTGTAGGTGTGATTAAGTTGAAGAGCTTGAGATGGGGAGATGATCCTGGGTTACCTGGGTGGGCCCTGAAAGCCATCACAAGCGTCCTTGTAAGAGAGAGGCAGAGGGAGATGTGACTGCAGAGAGAAGGTGATGTGAGGATGGAAGCAGAGATTTTTGTTATGTTCTCTGGTCAAGGAATATAGGTGGCCATTAGAAGCTAAAAATGCAAGGGCATTAATGGATTCTTCCTTCAGAGCCTCAGGAGGGAGAGCTGTATACTCCCCATATTTATATTTCAGCTGGCTGAAGGTGATTTTAGGCCGCTGGCCCCCAGAACTGTAAGAGGAGAAATCTGTATTGTTTAAGCCAGCACGTTCGTGGTAACCTTTTACAGCAGCCGCAGGAAACTCATACACACCCTCTGCCTCCCAGGCTGCTGCACCTGGTGCTCTTCTTTGCTTTGACCTTGCTTCTCTTTGACCTTGAAATGCCAGTGGTCATTGCAGAGTTTCAAAGGCAGCTCCAGGGATTGGAGGATTTTCCCAACAGCTTGTTTCTGTGCTTGGCCAGAGGAAATGGAGAAGGATAGAGGAGAAAAGAGTGTGTGTGAGTGAGTGTGTGTGTGCGTTTCTGTGTGTGTGTGAGAGAGAGAGAGAGAGAGAGAGAGTATGAAAATGAATGAATCTACTTCCTGTTGCTTAAAAAAAGTCCTGGCTGGACTTTGATTAGAATTAACAACCCCCAGCTGCTCTGCCTCCCGCGTTGCTTTAGCATTTTTCCTTCTGGACACACACGTCTGCATTACTTTCTGGGAAAACATATGACTTTAAAATAGGAATGCAGTGGCACCAAGCTCATCTCTCCTGCGTTGGTTCCCTGGCAGAGCGGCCCGCGTGCAGCCCCGTCGCCCCTCCTCCGTGCTCCTGTTCCCCATCTACACGATTCCATGTTTCTGCGATGAGACCATGGTCCTGTGTTCTTTCCCGGGGGGGACGCACTGAAGGCAGCAGTAGGAGTGAAGATGAAACCAAGAATTATAAAGGAAAACAAACAAAAAAACACAGAAAGATAGGAATCAAGAGGAAAACCAAACTTGTCAAAATAAGGCAAAATAAATGTGGAGATGCCTACATGTTTTGGCAATCAGTAGAAATATGAAGAACCAAGAGAGAAAGTCTCTTTAGAAAGGGTGACCTTGAGAGAAAATTTTTTATAAATTTCTCAGCCATATTACCAGTTGGATGGGTTGGGGATTTGGTGAAAAACACACAAAAAAGTACATTTATGCGTGGGAGTTGCAACGGATGACTCACAGGAGACATGGTAACCACTTACAAATATTAGAGAGCACAAACAGAGGCTGGAAGAGAGTGATGCCAAGCGGTACAAATAGAAGAGAAGGACGAAATTAAAATGGGAAACCTTGGAATAGTCTATGAAAGAGACATTCCTGATGCTGAGAATTCTTGGATTCAGCCTCTAGGCAAGGCGATGGATATCCAGCATAGGACCAGAGTAGATCTTTGCAGATGGAAGAGTCTTTGAGGTGTTTTTTGTGTTTTATTTTATTATTTTAGTTTTGAGACAGAGTCTTGCTCTGTCATTCAGGCTAGAGTGCAGTGGTGCAATCGTAGCTCACTGTAACCTTGAATTCCTGGGCTCAAGCAATCCTCCTGCCTCAGCCTCTCAAGTAGCTGGGCCTACGGGTATGTGCCACTATGTCCAGCTAATTTTTAAATTTTTTGTAGAGACAATGTCTTACTATCTTGCCCCAGCTGGTCTTGAACTCCTGGGCTTAAGCAATCCTCTAGCCTCAGCCTCCCAAAATGCTGAGATTACAGGCGTGAGCCACTGCACCCAACTTAGATGATTTAACTCTCCCTTTGTTTTCACCTATAAGGGAGCTGAGGCCCAGATAGATTAAGTCCTTGCTGAAGCAAGTTAGTTGGAGCTGGGGTTAGAAGATTCTGGATCTTCTAACTCTCAGGATAATGTCGTTTTGGGGAAGGGCTCAGCAGTGAAGTGAAGTGGAGCTGACCTTTCAACTTCTGTGTTGTGGAGGGGGACCCTGCAGCTCTGGAACCCTAAAGTGGACTGGACACCCAATCTGGTTCCACTGGGGAGGCCTCATCATGGTTATAGGGCTAGGACTCTGATTCTTTAGAAGGTAAATGAGTTTTCAGTTCCTAAGAAGTGGCCAGTTGAATCCAGCAGGACCCAAGAACCCATTTCTTCAGGCATGGTTAAACTTTAACCATTGAAGGAAGACCAAGTCCCTTCCATGCAGCAGGTTGATAGTAAGGTGGTAAGTGGAAGGTGTCCAGAGACATGTCAACCCTCTAGGTCCTGCCCCTAATCACTCCTGTGTCTTGAAACCAGCTACTTAAACTCAGTGGGTGTCAGATGCTGCCTCTGCCCAACCAGCAGGGGGACACCTGCCAACGTAGGTGAGTCTACCTCACAGGGCTTTGGTGAGGTTAAGAGAGATGTCAGATGGATGGACAAGTGCTTTGAAGTTACAACACTATAAAAACACAGGACTGTATTATCACTCTCCCGAGATTTGGGGCTGTTAGCACTCTCTCAATGTTTTGGTACAGCCACTGCAGAATATCAAAGTGTGACAGACCTGAAAACTTACTCCTGAAGAAATGTAAAGGTGTGATTTTCTTCTAAAGACGGTAACATTGTAGCCTTTTATAGTTGCAAAAATAGACTGGGTGACATAGAGGGTTTACTTATTGTTTAATTTTAGGTATATATTGCTTATGCAAGTATGATAAACACAACCCGAATTTAGACTACAGAAGAGCCCGAGGTCAGTTATTCACAGGGCAAAGGAGCCATTGTTTTAGCAAATCACTACTGGGTGGGCCTGTTTCTGAAGTTATTCATATAGAGAGTTATTATTCAGAGGTGTTTGCTACATAAAGTCAAGGCTGTTTACATAATAATATTGTGCTTTTTCAAATTTAGCATACTATTACAGTAAAGAGCAAAATGCACGATCTTCTGCAGTGATCTAGCATGGTATTGTATTTGGTGCAGTCACCCCTTGTTTACTCAGGGATTCATTATTGCATTTTAGTCTCAACCAGGTCTTCTGTTTTTCTTCAGTCTTTCCATATACCAAGCTTGTTCAGCCCCGTTCCCAAAGTTCTGGGCAGGTGTCTAAAGAGGAGATGGAGTTTGGTCTGATGGTTTTGTCACTTCTTTGCTCCTCTGACAAAAGCGTCAATGAGGGGAGACTTTGAAGGGTTAATTAAGTGAGCATTTTCAAGCTTTAATCAGGCTTTGAGGGTCAGCGTTTCTTGGCCTCAGTATGCAGAGCTAATTGGGACGTAACTATAGTTACAATTTGGCAGAGTTCATTTTCTGGGACATGAGGCACCAGTATATTTTTATTTTCCATAGATATGATATGTACTACCACGAAAGTGATATTTGTCTATTTATTTCCCAGTTACCTGTTTCATTAAAAGCATCACACGTGGCTCTAGAATCCTTTATTATTATGCTTAGCAGAAAGGGAAAGAGAGGCAGCACCACCTGCATGGCCTGGGCCCTCCCTCTGGAGCCTGCATTCTCCCTTTCTGCACTGGGGCGGGGGCGCTAGACTGACTTTGTTTCATTGATTGGTCGCAATGGGTTCTCTTCTGTTATTTTTGGAATCTGATCCGGTATGATAATAGACGTCCAAAGTTAGGATGATGGAGAAGCAAGAGATACATGGTTCAGCCTGTGAAAATCACGGGTGGAGTTAAGGGTTTCCAGTGAGCAACTGTGGGCAGCTGGGAACATTTGTTGTTTGTATTTGACAAACAAAGCTTTGACAGAATTGCTTCTTTGGGGCTCAGGCATAGGAATTATTAATAGCTATGAGAGTAAAAGATCTGAATAATGGCAAACTGTGAAACAGTAACAAGAAAGTAAAAGGAAGCATTCTCTATGGAGTAGATTCAAGTTTCTTTTTTTGGTAAAAACTAAGTGGGAGAGTTCTAAGGGGATTGCTGAAAAATTATTTAGGGGTTACAGTCCAAAACGGGGTATCAGATGTCTTTTCCTCTGAGATCAGTAAGTGTGTTCTTTGAAGCATGTCCTTGAATAGTTTTGTTTATCCACAACTTCACAGGTCTCTCTATAGCTATAGCTTCAAACAAGCCAGGCTTTAACTTTCCCCTTTCTTTCCTCAAAAAATAGTTGCAGATTAGCAAGTATATTTTTAACAGTTTGGCCCACACGGTGCCGAGCATGTCGAAGCAGCCTGAGAAATCTGTGTTGAAGGGAACCCAGCCCTGCCTCTCAGTGCCCCTGCCTCATGCCTTGCCATCACCGTTCCCTCCTTCCAAACCCAGCCTCCAAAGAGATAAACACATGGAACTTTAAATTCATGGCTCCAGTTAAATTATTGAGCTGTTTCTTGCCAAGAGGTTTAGAGAAACTAATGTCTAAAAGCATAGAGGACTACTGAGGCTTCTGAAAAATCACAGCACGGATATGCTTAACCGTATAGCCAGAAAGGAAGGTTCTTTCTGAGGCACATGGCGAGTGTCTGCTTTTAATGCCAAGAGATTGGAAGAGTTTACCAAGAGGATGCCAAACTCTCTTTGGGAAGCTGCTCAAGATAAACACTTGGATGCCTCTACTTCTTGTTGCTGGGCTTTTACGGGGCAGGCTGCCTGTCTCCCCTCTGCTGGGACTCTTCCTGGAAGCCTGGCTTCATCTTCTAATTTGGACAAGGTGTTGATTTGAAGCCATCTATCTCCGACAACAAGGAGGGCTCCAGGCATCCCTCTCACCGCAGCCCTGCAGAAAGCTGACCCATTCCCTGATGGGAATGCCAGGAATTTCCATCATTTCCTGTGGGGAACGACTGAGTAAGCACAGTGAGAGGCTGTCCTTCCAGAGGCACCTTTTCCAAACATTTCTAAGTGAGGCACAGGACTGACACTGGGAGGAAGGTGAAGGGCAAGGGAACAGTGGAACTCGGTGCTCCTGGTGGGGTTTCTTTGAAATGTCCAAAACCATTTGCATCAAGTTAAGGGGAGAGTTTCATTTATGTGGTTTTACAAATCCTAATTGAGTTGGTATTTCTGAATTTATTTATTTATTTATTTTTGAGACGGAGTTTAGCTCTTGTCGCCCAGGCTGGAGTGCAGTGGCGCGATCTCGGCTCACTGCAACCTCCGCCTCCCGGGTTCAAGTGATTCTCCTGCCTCAGCCTCCTGAGTAGCTGGGACTACAGGCGCCGCCACCGAGCCCAGCTAACTTTTTTGTATTTTTAGTAGAGACGGGGTTTTATCCTGTTGGCCAGGCTGGTCTTGAACTCCTGACCTTGGGTGATCCGCCTGCCTTGGCCTCCAAAACTGCAGGGATTACAGGCGTAGCCACCACCCCTGGCCTCTGATTTAATAAGAATTCGGTGTCAAAATGGCATGTGAGGAACTCAGTGCAAAAGAGATTCTCAGGCTGACAGAGCTGGAAGGGGAGTCACAGAGTAGCTCTTTATCTGGCCCCTGTATCCTCTGCTTCCAGGCAGGCAGGTGGAGCTCCTAAACGCCGAGAAAGGGAGTTCCTTGGCTGTCACTGCTTTTTATATAAACTGAGGAGATTTCATAATCTTTATCACCATACATGATAACCACAGGCTCCTTTGGCAACACCATGCACCTAGGTTTCCCTTCTTCCTGCCAAGAGGACTTCTCACTGGTTAGGTCAGACCCTCCTTGCCTTGTCTTTCCTGCCCATCAGTAAAAAAAAGATTCAACACCACATTCCATGTGATTATGATCTGTTTTAAACCATGTGAAGAGAAAGTCGTGTGAAAGAAACCATTAAACGCTCCTTCGTGGATATCTATTATGTGCCAGGTGATTTCCCACCCATTAGTTCATTGAATTCCCCCAGAAACCCTTTGAGGTGGGAATTATATGTGGTTTACAGGTGAGAGCCAAAGCTCCCAAGGTTGGTAGCATGGCCAATGTTGGAGTTAAGCCTGATTTCAGGCCTCAGTGTTCTTTCTGCTCTACTTGTGACTGGGAAGCTCACAGACACGGCCATACTCCAGCATCCCAAAATTTTTAATGGAAAAGCAAGTCATCATAAATGATCCTGCACTAAATCAGCAGCTGTTGATATGGTCTTATATTTCACAATTTCATAATATGTGTCATATTGAACACTGGAGCCCTGAATTTTCCACCATTTAAAGTATAACTCCTCCTCCCCACTCTCTCTGGTTTTCATTCACTTATGAATCCTGGTAGGGCTGTGGGAAGGAGAAGGGTGGGATAATTTGTTTTTCCAACAATTGGGTTGAAACTGAATGTGGTTTGTTTTTATTTTTGGAAAAGTTAAAGAAAAAAAAAATCTACTCAGCTCTGTTTTGGTTAAGACAGCATGAAGACATTTAGGTTGTTTCCAGTGTTTGTTGTTGAGGGGTAGAGTGGGAAAGAGTTTCCCTTTTGGTAGCAACTGCAAGCAACTTAAGACAGACAGACTCTGAAACGTTTCTTAAAAGATATGAGTTGAGGCCGGGCGCTGTGGCTTACGCCTGTAATCCCAGCACTTTGGGAGGCCGAGGCGGGTGGATCACCTGAGGTCAGGGGTTCGAGATTAGCCTGACCAATGTGGAGAAACCCTGTCTCTACTAAAAATACAAAATTAGCTGAGCGCTGTGGCACGCGCCTGTAATCCCAGCTTCTCGGGGAGGCTGAGGCAGGAGAATCACTTGAACCTGGGAGGCGGAGGTTGCAGTGAGCCGAGATCACGCCACTGAACTCCAGCCTGGGCAACAGAGCGAAACTCCGTTTCAAAAAAATAAAAAAAAGAGATTTGAGCTGTTCATTTGGAGGCCCCTTGGGAAGAGGAAAGCTGTCCTTGGGCCATGGATTTTGAGAAAAAACTACGATCCTCTGCAAAGTTGTGAACTGGAGTGATTCTTTTTCTCTCTCACGTTCTCCCTGGGGCCCTTTGTGTTCAGTCTACACTGTGGGCTTGCGGGGGAGGTGGTGCCCAGGAAGCAAGTCTTTCGAGTGAGACAGTCCTGATTCACATACTGGTTTTGTCTTTTACTAGCTAAGCCTCATTTTGTGTATCTGTGAAATGGGTATGACAAGTATATAGTGTGTATTCTTTGGAGGATTGATATTTTATTATTGATATTCTATATATTGATATTATAAAACCATAATATATATGGGGGCCAGGTATACAGTAGGTCTGCACTAAATTGTGGCTATTATTAAACTGCTGACTGCTCCCACCCCTCCCACTCTGCTCTTTCCTCTCTCCCAGGTGCTCCAGGTCTCCCCTTGTGAAGCCCAGCAGTCCTCATTCTCTCTGATCCTTCTCACCTTATTCCCTCCCTCCCTCAAAATCTTACTGCCCTCCCTCCTATATTCTGTGCCCTGCAGCAGCCTAGTAATTTGTTCAGGGAATTCCAAAGGAGTCTATTTTCTTTTCTTCTGTTGTTTTCCTTCTTCTTCTTCTTTTTTTTTTTTTTTTTTTTTTTTTGTCACAGGGCCTCACTCTGTCACCCAGGCTGGAGTGCAGTGGTGCCATCACTGCAGCCTTGACTTCTGGGCTTAGGCGATTCTCTCACCTCAGCCTCCCAAGTAGCTGGGACCACAAGCACATGCTACCACTCTAGGCCAATTTTTAAAAAAATTTTTTTCTGTAGAGATGGGGGTCTCATTATGTTTCCTAAGCTGGTTTCAAACTCCTGGCCTCAAATGACCATCGTGGCCCCAGCCTCCTAAAGTGCTGAGATTGCAGATGTGAGGCACCACGCCTGACCAGGAGTCTATTTTCTTGAAGGACATTTTAAAAAGTGGAAAGGGTTGGTGGCCATCAGTAAAGAATAATACTTTTAAGGAAGGTAGCATACTGAGGGGTTGGAGCAGCTTCCATGGAGAGCTGACCTGTCATCGTGGCTAAGAGAATGTATGCTGGAGCCAGACTGCCTGGGTTCAGTTTCCAGCTTTGCCAGTTACGAGTGAGTAGCCTTGGGCGACTTAGCCTCTCTGTGCCTGAGCGTCCTCCTCTAGAATACAGGGATAACTGTATTGTCTGCCTGTAGGGTTCTTGTGAGAACTAAATGAGTTAATACTCAGAGTAGTGCCTTGCACCTAGAATACGTACATAATCCATACAAGATGGATGTAATGTATGTATTATGAAAAGTAGCACAAATGGGCACAAGGTGGCTACAGTGTGTCCAGGCTTTGTTTCAGTGCCTTTTTTTTAGAGGCAAAGCAGCTTTCCCAGGGGCCTTCTGTCTACTTTCCCTGTCATCTCATTGACCAACGTTGAGTCACAAGTCCTTTTCGAAATTAGTTATGTACAAAGGGAATGGGCTGTCTCTGGTTGGCTTGGACTAATTACTTGGGGAGGAATGGTTGGTGAGGAATTAAGCACTTTAGCCACTATTATTACTTGTAACAATAATATCTATAATATATAATGTAATATCATTATATTTCAAATGTAATACTAAGTTATACAAAATTATTAAAAAGCAACAATTTATATTATTATTTATATAATCTGATATACTATTATTTATAATTTGTTTCACTTTTAAAATTATTTTATATAAACTTTAAAAATTCGATTTATTCATAAAATAATTACAAGTTTACTTCCTAATTGTAACTTTGCTATAAATGAAGCTACAAGGTGCTGTTCTAGTTTTTGACAGTTTATAAAAAGAGAAGACATCAAAAACAAGACATCAGCATAATAGAGAAGTGAATGAATGAACAAAAGTCATTTTGTTTTCTGGCTCAGTATTCTCTATAGTCTTAAGCAGATTTTGAAGAAAAAAAATTTGGAAGAGGAACTAAAAAAAAAAAGAAAAAAAATGAGAAAGTTCCAAATCTTAGTGAATACAGCTCTTGCCACAATGAAACATTGTGAAATTGGTCTCCTGGTCTGAGTCATCACTATAAACGCTTTCTGCTTCTTCTGATATTTTATTTTTATTCTTTTATAGGTTTTTGAATACTGACATTTGGCCGTGATTGACACATGCTCCTCTTTTTATACACTCTGGTAGTTGTATTTTTTTATAAGTGTGAATATTTCCATGCACAGATCAATTTCTTTCACATGTTGCAGAAGGTGCAGGAATTTAGACTTGTCAGGAAAACAAGAGAATCAAACTCAGAAGTCTGCAAAGGTTCTGGCAGAAATCCAGACTGCATTCTTATTCCCAAGGCCTGAAGATGCCCTGTAATCTCTAATATTTGAAATAACCTTTCTAACATGTCGTTCTCATTCTGTGAAACGGGAAAATATAAAAGTAAAATTATTGCTGACATGTAAGATCTCAAACCTTCAACCTAAGATCAGTATTTCCACAGCAGTTTAAATATGTAAGAAATAACTATATTGTTCCCCTTGTTAAAAGCATCTGGATGTTTAGTTCGTTGTTTTAGAGACAAGGTCTTACTCTGTCACTCAAGCTAGAGTTCAGTGGCATGATCATAGCTCACTGCAGCCTTGAACTCCTGGACTCAGGTGATTCTCCCACCTCAGCCTCCTGAGTAGCTAGGAATACAGGCGTATATCACCATGCCTGGTTAATTAAAAAAAAATTTTTTTTTTTTTAGAGACAGGGTCTTGCTACATTGCCCAGGCTGGTCTTAAATTCCTGGCCTCTGGGGTGGTGGCTCACACCTGTAATGCCAGCACTTTGGGAGGCCAAAGGGAGTGCATCACTTGAGGTCAGGAGTTTGAGACCACCCTGGCCAACATGGTGAAACCCCATCTCTATTAAAAACAAAAAAAAAATTAGCCGGGCATGGTGGTGGGCCCCTGTCATCCCAGCTGCTTGGGAGGCTGAGGCAGGAGAATTGCTTGAACCTGGGAGACGGAGGTTGCAGTGAACCAAGATTGCACCACTGCACTCCAGCCTGGGAGACCGAGCGAGACTCCGTCTCAAAAAAAAAAAAAAAAAAAAAAAAAAAAATTTCCTGGCCTCAAGTGATCCACCTACCTTGGCCTTCCAAAGTGTTGGGATTACTGGTATAAGCCATTGCACCCTGCCTGATAAAAAATATTAAGATATAATGATTGTCCCACCTCATGGTTTACATAGAAGTCTTATGATTGAATTGCTTTTGGAAATAATTGAGGGGAAATATGAATACTTATAATTCTGATACACATTCACCAAATGCCTTCCATATGCCATGAACTGTGGTACAAAGATGGATAAAACAAAATTCCCACTTGATCATTTTATTTGCCAACATCAATACTTATTAATTCATCTTGTTTCAATTTCTTGGAAAACAAAAGTTATAAAAAAAAAATCTTTATGGAAGTAAAAATTTTCTCCTAAAGATGTCCATGCTGGCAGTGAGGCCTCATCAAAGGCTTCCCAAACAGAGTCATAGAGTATATGTAGAATCAGAAGCTCCCACTTTGTGCTGAAAATGATAGGAAGTAGGGTGTCAGGGATCCACATATAAATTCTGCAGGTGTGAGTAAAAAACCAGTAAAACAGTTGGGGGCGGGGGAGTCCATTAGCCCAGGGAAGAAGTGAGTGCAACATTCATGGAAATTTGGGGAAGAGATGCAGGCCTTCAGCAGTTCCCTTTTCTTGGGAGATGTATGCACCTCATGAGGCTTGTTGAGAAATAGAAGCAAGCAGGACTCTTGGGAAAGGGTCATTCTTAGTCCTGCATATCAAAGTGATGTGACGTTTACTACCTATCCATAATGTGTTGGACACCATGGACAATAAAGAGGAGAGACGTGGCCTTTTGCCTCTGGGAATTTCACATGTAATAAAAAATAGATTTTTCAAACAGCGGTGTATTTGCATAAAAGAAAAATATCAGCCAACCTACAAACTGCCTCCTCTCTCACCCGCAGAATTTCCACAGGCACAATAGAGGGCACTACGTGCCAGATGTACTGTGAGCCCTCTCTTCCTTCTGTCTGGTGGTGTTCTAGGTTCAGTACTGGCAAAGCTTCAATGGTTTCCAAATAAGGTCGGGAACGCCCCTCTGCCCCCACCTCTTTCCGTCTGTGCAAGTGAAGAGAACTTGTATGAAGTCCCTTTCCTTTGTCCTGCAGAAAAGGTTGGGGATGAGGTATGAGAATCTGTTTTGATATAAACTCGTAAAAGAAGTTTGGAAGGCAGCATCCTTCCATGTGCTGCGCACGCCATCGGCCACAGCTGTTACTAAACTGCTGCCATGTGAAGCCACTCTGCTGATTAATAGCAGCTATGTTCACTTAAAGCACAATTCATAAAGAGTGTAATAATGTGGTTCAGAAACCTTTGCTATTTTTTCCACTCTTGATAGATTAAAATGTACCTCCGATAAACAGTGAAGTCCGTGAATAAGATCTCAGAGGGCCCAAATAACCTTAAGTAAATTTGCACCGCCAGTCTTTAAATTTTCTTGTTATGGAACGAGGGATAACAAGACTACCTATGTTTCAGGGACATTGTGAGGATGAACTAATGCAAGTGGAGTGCTTAGCACAATGCCTGGCACTTAAAAGGTACTCCATAAATGCTCATTATTTACTAAGAGAGAAAGACAAAGATGGGGAATTAAAGTTTACCAAAAAAAATGAGTTCAGCATTTCATTTGTGTCTCTCATATGTATATGTGAATATACACTCTGTGTGTGTGTGTGTGTTTGGCTATTTAAAGACTTCTGAATTGGAAGCATGGAGATCAGAATTATAGCCTTTCTTTTGCTATGCATTAACTAGCTATGTGAATTTTGCAAAATGATATAAACTCTCTGGGTCTCAAATAAGCCCTTCTGCAAAATAAAAGGGTTAGGGTAGATGATTTCAAAGGTTTCTTTAGGCTATACAGTGTTATGGGTTTGCATCTATGTAATGTGATTCAAGGTTCAAGAATCTATTCTGCTACTGCATTTGATTTTTTTTTTTTTTTTTGAGACGGAGTCTCACTCTGTCGCCCAGGCTGGAGTGCAATGGTGCGATCTCGGCTCACTGCAACCTCCGCCTACCGGGTTTAAGCGATTCTCCTGCCTCAGCCTCCCGAGCAGCTGGGACTACAGGCACATGACACCACAACCAGATAATTTTTGTATTTTTAGTGGAGATGGGGTTTCACCATATTGGCCAGGCTGGTCTCGAACTCCTGACCTCGTGATCCACCTGTCTCGGCCTCCCAAATTGCTGGAATTACAGGTGTGAGGCACTGCGCCCGGCCTGATTTTTAAAATATATTATTTTTTACTCTTCCTTATTCCAACAATTCAAAATAAATATTTTGTATCTTTATTATGGATCTATCTTCCCAGGTATCTGATGTAAAATTTAGTTGGCAAAAATTGTCAGATGGAAAACTTGTATTAATTTTGTTCACAAATCTTAGTAATCTCAAGACTGTTGGTTTTCCATTTGGCTGTAAGTTGTTTTCGTATAACTCTATGAGTATTGAAGCATTTTCTAGGCATGTTTTGAACGAACTCTGTTCCAGATCTCTAGACTCAAACATGGAAGATTCTTTTCCTTCCAAGCTTCATAAAAGCAGCTAATTATTCAAATGCAGGTGTCTGTAAATTTAATAGAAAGCATAATGTTTCCATTAACAATCTGAAGACAGTTGGCAGTTTCTCTCAATTCATTAATCTGTTTACATTTATCATATGAAATTTTTCTTGGTATTTCTCATGCTAATGAAAAACATATTGGACAAAAAACATAAACCCACCAGTTACCAACAGAGGAAAATCACTTTAGCTGTGCCCCTTCTTAAGAAGATGGCCCATTGGGAGCTGTGACTCCCTCATCTTTTCTGGTTAGTTTTCAAGTATTAGAATCCATATACACAAAAGGGTATCCAGTGGTCCTCTGTGTCTTGGGGCTTTTTTCCTTCCTCCAAGAGAGTGGTTCTGTAAAGTGGGAGCACATATATTTAACAAGCTTGTAAGTGAGTCGTTTTCCCAGCTGGGAAATCATGAGGTCAGTTCTCTCATTCTCTGCCTTTTTGGAAATAGTTAACCTCACTTTGAAAATTGAAGTCAGCATTAGAATGAAGGAAGGAAGAAAGGAAGGAAAGAGGGCAGGAAGGAAGGAAAGAAGGAATAGAAAGTGTATTAGAGTTTTTTATTTTCTATTTATAATTGCAAACACCTAGAAAGGGTGTATTCTGATAAATTGAAAGTCTTTTTCTTTTCCTTACTGACTACTTGGGTGGATATAGGTACACCCACAGCTGAGGAGAGCTGAAGATTTTGGAGTTCCTGAAGTACTAAAGGAGAGAAGAGATAGGGGAGGGGAGGAAAACAGGGCTGGACACGGTAGGAAGTTCTGCAGGCTTTGGGGTTGGGGATAAGGCCATCTTGTTCAGTTCTCAAGGGCCAGGGACTTAGGAATAAAAGAGTGAGCAGCTCCTTGCATACTTATAATTCCTTACTTTGTAAAAAACTGTATTTTTTTCCTGTTATATTGTAAGTTGAATGAGGACAGAGATGGTGTCTGTTTTGTTCACCACTGTACCTGGAACAATTCCTCAGCTCAACATATATTTGAGAAAGGAAGAGTAACAGGTTTGAGTGCTTAGAATGTGCTTTGCACTCAAGGTGCTTTCTTAAATCCTACCAAAGCTCCTCATCTAATAAGCCTGTCCCTGAAAGTGCCTGTGTGTGGGCTAAAAACATTTTCTATAGTTAGATTCTGGGGAGACAGAGCCTAGACCCCAAATCAAGCAGTAAGTCACAGCACACGGGCTGAAATTCAGGCAAAGCAGGAAACAGAGCACGGATAGTCTGCGAAAGGAAGGAGACAAACTGGAGCTGTTGGGAGAAGGCGGAGGGCCACGGAACTTCTAGTGTCAGGAGGAAAAGATTGAAGGAAGCACGTAACTGCTCTGAAGGTCCTGGAAGTCTCTAACTGGGGTTGGTCTATGTAACCATTTTTTAAAAATTTTTTATTTGTTTTTTGTTTTTTGAGACAAGGTCTCAATCTGTCGCCCAGGCTGGAGTGCAGTGGTGCGATCTCAGCTCACTGCAACCTCCACCTCCCGGGTTCAAGTGATTCTCCTGCCTCAGCCTCCCTAGTAGCTGGGACTACAGGCAACTGCCACTGTGCCCAGCTAAGTTTTTTATTTTTT
The DNA here is from genome assembly GCF_000001405.40 of Homo sapiens. Taxonomy (NCBI): domain Eukaryota; kingdom Metazoa; phylum Chordata; class Mammalia; order Primates; family Hominidae; genus Homo; species Homo sapiens. Next base: position 466,076 of record NC_000018.10, on the reverse strand, counting down.
ATTTTTTTTGAGACATGGTCTCACTCTGTCCCCAAGGCCGGAGTACAATGGTGCAATCTGTGCTTGCTGCAACCTCCACCTCCTGGGTTCAAGCAATTCTCCTGCCGCCCAAGTGGCTGGGACTACAGGTTTGTGCCCCCACGCCCGGCTAATGTTTATATTTTTTGGTAGAGACTGGGTTTTGCCATGTTGCCCAGGCTGGTCTCGAATTCCTGACCTCAAGTGATCCACCTGCTTCAGCCTCCCAAAGTGCTGGGATTACAGGTGTGAGCCACTGTGCCCGGCCATAGGTAACTATTTACTCCTTTAGAAAGACTGGGAAGGTCCTTTTGCTTCAAAATAGTACCCTTGCTTGAATTTATTTTATTTTTTGCTTAAAATTAATTAAGATAATAGGCCTCTTTTGAAGTATAAATACACTAGGAAATTTTAGAAATGATGATGGTTACTAATAGTCACCTGTACTTTAAGGTGGATTATTTAATCAGGTTACTTTCTTCCTGTAAAATCAAACTGAAATCAGTGAATTATTTTTAAGAGATTTGTATTTCAGAGAGATGAAAGGTTCAAGGAACTTTGGATCTTAGCACCTGAGACTGGGAAATAAAAATTTCAAGTGATGGGGCAGAAACTCAGAAAGGAGAATGTGAAACACAAACTTTTCATAATAATTTTGGCTGGGTGCAGTGGCTCATGCCTGTAATCCCAACACTTTGGGAGTCAGGGTGGGCGGATCACTTGAGGTCAGGAGTCTGAGACCAGCCTGGCCAACATTGTGAAACCCTGTCTCTACTAAAAATACAAAAATTATCCAGGTGTGGTGGTGCATGCCTGTAATCCCAGCTACTCGGGAGGCTGGGGCACGAGAATTGCTTGAACCTGGGAGGCAGAGGTTGCAGTGAGCTGAGATCCACCACTGCACTCCAGTCTGGGTGAGAGTGACACCCTTTCTCAAAAACAAAACAAAACATAATTAACAATTTTGTTTAAGTCTGTTCCCATCTCCCCTTTCTTCCCAGAAAGCAGGTAAGAAGGGGTCAACTTTAAAAAAGCTTGAGGGAGAATGTGATCCCAGGAGAAACTTCCTGTAAGTAGAGGTCCCCAGTGTGATGGGAGCGTCTAGAACCTGAGCTTTGGAGAGCCCAAGAGTGTGTCACCCCCAGCCTTGGTGCTGAGCACACCCCACTGGGCTTCCCCAACCAAGTTCTGTGAACCTGCTAACTCTCAATAGGAATAAGGAATGAGTTCTTTTCATTTGCCTGAGTCTTGGGCCTTACAATGAGAGTTCGTTGGATGAGATTGAACAGTATATGTTGTGTACCTGTTGTATTCTGGCCCTGATGCTGGACCCTGGGATTGAATTGCTAAGACATAGCACCAGTATTGATGGTGCTCCCAGTCTAGCCGGGGAGAAAAAAGATCAACGTATCTCTACTGTAGTTTGAGAAATGCTTGAAAGGAAATAGAGGATAGAGGAGCCAGATTCTGAAGTTATTAATTCTGCAGAAAGTGGGGGGAACCAGTGATTCAGAGAAAGCAGTAAAGAGGGATGACTGTTTAAGGGAGAGGCATTAAAATGAGGAAGTCCCCAGACAGTCAGTGGGAGAAAGTGCCTTAAGGCTGAGGAAACAGAATGAAGGTACACCAGTAGCAACGAGGAGCATTAGTGCCTGTCCCATGGGGAAATGGACTGCGGCCCATTCAAAGGAGGGAAGCACATATACATACACCCAGCTCTGGGATCCATTGTTAAGTGATAGACTGTCGCGAGATGCTGTGTTTATTAGGGATGCTGAGGAGGCTGCAGAATAGTGACTCATGACTTCTGCTCTCAAGGTTGCTACAGCCAAGTTAAGAGGACAAAAGTGACTCGCATGGAACAATAGCAGATAATACAAGTTAGTGTATCCGTGGAGGTTTGTGGTAAAGATGAGTCCAGACAAGAGGAAATTGGGAAAGGAAAAGGAGAAGCGCAGCAGCAGTGCGGGCCTCTAGTGAGCACACGCGGACAGGCAGGGATTAGCTCAGGGTGTGGGTGGGGATGGAGAGAAAGAACCAAGAAAGGGAACCAGTCAAAAACCTTCCTTCCTGGAGCTCGGGCTGGGGGTGGAGCTGTAGGGCATAGGGTGCAGGTGCAGGGAATGGGCCAGGCTAGTGAGCTAGAAAACAAGGCAAAAGAATTTCAACTTGAGTTGATTAAAATGCCTGGTCTCTGACAGCCTTTTCACGGAGCAGTCTAATTTACTACATGGTTTTATGTGAAAGAAGAGAAAGTGGAAATTGGGGGCTAGGGGAAGAGGGCTGTGGCTGTCACCGGTGAATAAGCTGGTGATGGACGTGTGACAACGGGAATGAAGTGAGAGAGAAGAAAGATACGAAAGACAAGACACTTTTATCTGTGACTCCGAGATGTCGCTGGCTCTGACTGTGTAACTGATAGCATCTGTCCACTGAGATCCGAAGGGTCAGGTGGGGAGAGAACAGAGCCGAGCCCCCGCTGTGCAGTCTCAGCGAACTCCCAGCCCCCACAGGAATCCCCACACTCATGTTTACGACACATGCTGCCACCTTTCATTGCATTGAGATGATTAAGCAACTAATTATTTTTCTCTCTGTGTGTGTGTGGTTTATTACTTTCTTGATTTTAATTGATATAGATCTTCTGAATTAGTTGGTTCTGGCCAAATGCAACAATTTATAGTTGGGTACAGATGCTAAGCACTTATTACTAAGCAACTATGGCTTCACCCGTGTGCCAGTATAATAATGGAGACATTTATGACTGGGGGGAAAATGAAACAATAAACCAAGGCTAAAACAAAACATTATGAAGGTAGTATGAAATGAAATGAAAATCAATGACTACTTTGCCAAGGGTAAGTAAATCACTTTCTAGAGGGGCTGATGCTGAAAGCCTGCAGAGGTTGGAAGCTTTTTCTGGGTACGAAGCCTAAGGAGGAGGCCAGTGGGAATGGCAGGATCAAGTGAACCCTCTCGGTTTCAGCCTGGGCTTCTTCAGAACCTGCCACCCTCTCCCTGACTCCCCCGCTTCTCCTGAGAGAACAGCTATCAGAAAACCTTGTTCTTCCATTGTTGCTGAGGAAGGCTTGAATCTGAGCTATTACACTTTATGTTTCTTAATAAACTCCAGCTGGGGAGAAATTAAACTGGGGCTACCCTACTTTGCCTTTTTCAAGTAAAAGAAACGTATAGGCTTCAACATTTCAACAATTGTCTGTCTTGGTAGAATGCTTATAAATCCATATCCATGTGGTCACATGCTCAACCTCATGATAAAATGGCAAGCCTGATCAAATGCATGTGGTGTGGGGTGACCTCACAGGCCAGGTGGGAGTCCTCCTCCGTTATTTTTAATAACAGCTTTATAGAGATATAATTTATGTATCATAAAATTCACCCATTTAAGGTGTACCAGTTCAGTAGTTTTTTGCAAATCCAGAGGTGTGCAACTACCACCATCAATTTAGAACATTTTCATCCATCCAGAAAGAACCCTTGTATCCATTAGCAGTCACTTTTCATTTCCCTCCAACTCCCTTTCACCCTTCCATCCTCAGCCACCACTAAGCTACTTTCTGGTTCTATGGATTTGCCTGTGCTGAACGTTTCATATCACTGGAATCACATAATATATTGTCTTTTGTGTCTGGCTTATGTCTTCAAGTTTCATCCATGTTGTGGCATGTAGCAGTACCTCATTTTTTAAAAATCCGGAATAATATTCCGTGACATGGACGGACCACATTTTACTTATCCATTTTCATCAATTGGTAGGCATTTGGGTAGTTTCTACTTTGTGGCTATTATAAATAATGCTGCTGTGAACTTTTGTGTGGGCTTGTGTTTTTAATTCTCTTGGGTATATACCTAGGAGCGGAATTGCTGAGGCACATGATAACTCTGTGTTTAATCTTTGGAGGAACTGCCTGAGTGTATCCCAAAGTGGTTCCACCACTTCATTATTAAGTATCCTCATTCCCTTCACCAAAAAAGGGAAAAAGACCAGCTTGAATTATTTTGCTGTAGTACTGGGATGATGTGTATTAACTAAAAAGAGATAGAATTGGAATGACCTAAGAGTGGTTTTAGATATGACGTCATTCATTTCCATCTCATTATCTGTACATCTCAATACACTTTGGTTTGCTACCATGTAGCCTGGATAACATTCTTATTCTTCCACCTTCCCTAAGTTCCTGTTATATGAGTACAGGGCAGTGCTGTACCTGAGCTTGCTAGTATGGTAGTCACAGGCTGCATGTGGCTACTGAGTACTCGAAAATGTGGCTACTTGAAATTGAGATATGCAGCAAGTCTCAACTCCACCCTGAAGTTGGAAGACAAGATGAAAGAAAAAAAAAATCTCTTAGCCGGGTACAGTGTCTCACATCTGTAATCCTAGTACTTTAGTAGGCCAAGGCAGGAGAATTGCTCAAGTTCAGGAATTCAAGACCAGTGTGGGCAACATAGTGAAATCCCATCTCAATTAAAAAATTAAAAAATTAGCTGGACATGGTGGTGTATGCCTGTGGTCCTGTCTACTCAGGAGGCTGAGGCAGGAGGACTGCTTGAGCCCAGGAGTTTGAGGCTGCAGTGAGCTATGATCAGGCCACTGCCTTCCAGCCTGAGCGACAGAGCAAGACCCAGTCTCTAAAAGATAAAAATTAAAATTTTTAAATTTTAAAAAAGAAAACCTCTCATAATAATTTTGTGTTGATTATATGTTGAGATAATAGTGTTTGGTGTCTATTGGGTTAAATAAAATATATTATTAAAAATCATTTCACCTGTTTCCTTTTACCTTTTAATATTGCTACTAGAAAAAATTTAAATTACACATGTGGCTTGCATTATATTTCTATTGGACAATGCTGTTATAGATGATTTTCAAGGCATGTTTTTTGAAGTACTGGAAAAATAAAATTAATCAGTCTAAACATCCTTTGGGTAAACTCAGCCGATTATTAGCAATTATTTTCATCACTGCAGAAAGACCAGGAATCCATTTGTTCCTTGAGTGAGAAGGTGAGTCAAAGACATGCCAGTCAGCTTTAAGCAGTGAGCCTTGACTGACCAACCAACCAACCTTCATTCAAAGTTAGCTCATCACACAAATAGAAACGTGACCATGAAGACATTAAAGCAAAGTCCTGTGATAATTGGATACGGCGCTTCTCTGACCCTCCGAGTGATATGTGCACCTAATAAGGGCTGGCCTGAGATAATGCCCATCTATGTTGTATAACCCAGGAGAGTGACCGGTAGACACTGCAGACCCAAAAAGGAAAGAAGAGAGGATGCACATAGCAGACTGTTGGGGGAGGTTGGTGACTGGGTCATCCTTCAGCTAATGTGTGAATATTACTTAATTCTAGAGAGTTGGCCCTGGGCTTCTCACGTGCCTTTTTGTTGCAGGTCAATGTTGAGGTTGTCAGGAAAGCTATATTGAAGGCATAACATACTTAGCAACTGTCTTTTGTAAAACACACGCAATGTACTGGTGTTTTTAATCTCAAATGTCTGGACATGAGGTTACTACTAGTGATATCATGATTCAAAACAGAGAACAGACCTGTATTTTGGCAGCATACTCAGGTAACATAATTTAGCTTGACTAAAGACCTTAAGACAGATAAATTCCTGCATTCTACTCCACGGGGAAGAAAACCTCTTCCCTTGGCTGAGGCTTTCACTGATGCGTAAAATGAAACTTGGGCTGGGGATGGGGGATTCAAAAGGTGACACAAAGTCCATAAAACCTTAGGCGTGTAGTAAATGAAGAATTCTGGTCTTTCTTGTGGCCCATTCCGAATGACCACGGAAGAAGAATAAAATTTAGGTACGAGCTGGCCCATATTTTATTCTTGGCCGACAGCAGGGGGACTCCACGTATGTTTGAATGAAGTCTCTTGTCAAAAACGTTCTTACTGTTTTACTGTGCTGCTTACTTGAGCTCACAGCCCGATCAAAATATCCGAGTCTATTTTCTTTTTTTTTTCTTTTTTCCTTTTTTTTCCTCTGATGAGTTCTTAAGTGAAGAATTCGGCAAGCTAATCAGTCATCACTCATCACTTGGCCATTTTAAAGGAGGAACCTCAGGGCAGTACCCCTGGGAAGTCCTGAGAGGTCATGATGGTTTACTGGAAAACAAGATAATTAAGAGACAACAATCTGATTAGCTAATATGTGTGTTGAACACATGTATTTTGTTGGATTCCTAGATTGGTTTCAGGGTTAACCGTATGAGCAATCATCTCCTTTGAGATGGTACTAAGCATCCATTTCTCTCCTGTACTCTCATAGCTGAGAGGCATGGGAGAGGCAGGAAATTCTGTCTTGGCCCTGGCTCTGCTTCCACCATTGAAGCTTCTGGAAGGTGCAGAAGGGTTAGACACAGGCATTGCGGTGTGCATAGGGCACCTGCTGCACCAGATGTGCAAAGAAAGCTGCGCTGGGGCCCCTTGATGTGGACCTGGCTTTAGTAGAGTTTTAGGGTAGACAAAAATGGTCATAAATGCCCCTCATATCTCCACTCGGGTTTTACATACGTCCCAATGAGGAAAGCTGTCTGATTTACAGTGTCACTTATAAATCCATTCCTTACCTGTGTGCCAGACATTGTGCATGCTAACTCTTCCAAGTGGTCATTCATTCAAAAGTAGACTTTTCTGATGGGCAGTGCTTAACTCCAAAGAAGACACAGCAAATGACCTTCCAGACTTATGGCAGATTGACATTGACTGGACAGTAAGTTTTGTTGGCATCTTTCAAATCTTAAGGAGATTTTCTCTGCCTGTACCTAAGAGCCATCCTGTCCTGAATCAATCCAGACCCCTCATTAGAGTCTGGGTGATCCAGCTGTAGCTACCTAGTTTTTCAGATAGCAAGTAAAAGTTATCTGAGTGCCAGGTCTGGTGGCTCATGCATGTAATCCCGGCTGCTAAAGAGGCCAAGGAGGGAGGATAGCTTGAGTCCAGGAGTTCGAGACCAGCCTGGACAACACAGGGAGACCTCTCCCAGCCCCCAGTCCCCATCTCTACAGAAAATAAAAAAATTAGCCTGGAATGGTGGAGCATGTCCGTGGTCCCAGCTACTTGAAAGGCTGAGGTGGGAAGATCACTTGAGCCTGGGAGGTCAAGGCTGCAATGAACCATGATCGTGCCACTGCACTCAGCCTGGGTGACAGAGCAAGACCCTGTCTCAAAAAGAAGTTATCTGAGTACCTCCTGTGCAAAATGAGAAGTTCACGAGGTGCAGTGGTGGACCAGAAATGAAACTGGGGAAAATGGCTTCACGTGGGAGAGAGAAGTCTTGAGGAGTGATCATATAGAGACAGAATCTGTGATCCTAAGGTCTGGAAGACGACAGTTTAGATGAAGAGGTCCAAAATAACAAGGGGCTTTTGAACAGGTGGTCTGTCCAGTAGTGGGAGAAGCTACCCCATCAGGGGGTCCTCAGCTCCTAGGTCTTGAGCTGCCACCGATTCACAGAAGCGAAGGCTGCCTTCAGAAAACGGGTCTGGACAACCAGGAACAGCAGTTTGCCAATGCCTGTGGCTAGAGGAGAGGGCCAACCTGGATCGTTCAGGTGCACTTCTCCTCTCCCCTCCTCAGCCCACCCACGTGTGTTCTCAGTTGTCTGGGTAAGTCAGCAAGCTCAGCTGGGGAAAAGACAGTTGCTCTGAATTACCAGAGATCTGTGTCTGTTCAAACACAGGATTAAATTCAGTAGCAGTTAAAATGATCCTTTTGCTTTCTTAACATGAGAAGCAAAAATATGTCCTTAGTGAGATGCTCCAAGGGTATGTTAGGAAATGAGTGCTAGAGTTTCCGGTCCCTGATGAGGTCCTCTGTGAGCATTCTTAAAAATACTCATGGAAAACAGTAAAAGAACTGCAAATGGGACAAAATCAGATCACAAGTGAGCTGAACGTTTTTCTCTTTTTCCAACTTTTGGACTTGAGGTTTATCTAACATTAGAGTCCTCCTCTTGCCTGAACTTTTCTGGCAGGGTATGGCCAGTCCCTTTGCCACAAAGAAAATGCAGTGCTTCTGGCGAACCACATCTTTGTGCAGTCATAGACATGTTTATGTAACTCAGAAGAACTTATATAAATTTCCAATTCTGCAAACTTACTGTAACTGTTGGAAAACTACCTATATCCTGCCAGTAAGATACGCCGTCTCCTCAATCGTAAGCACTAAACAGTCAAGGATCCAGCTTTTGTTGGCAGTCACTTTGAAAAATGCGCAATGAAGGAGGCTTGTTTTCATTCTACTCCGCTTGGTATAGAGTGCTGCAAAGAGCAAAAAGTCGGAAACAGCTGAGACATTTTGCAACTCTTGGGACTAGGAAGCCCTTCATGGAAGAGTCTAGTGAGCTTCATTTACACCTCATTTTAAGTAAATAAACACCAGGCTTTGTGGGCATCCATTTCGCAACTGCTCATCAAACTCCACCAAAAGATCGTTTACAGATTTTAACAGTTGTGTCCTCTTTTCGCAGAGATGGGGGAAGCTCTAATCAACATGATTTGGGTCCACTTTTGGGATATGTGTGCTTTGCTTCAATACTGTACTTGCCTTCATCAGCTCCAGCATGTGACATGGACATTCTTCAAGGCAGGGTTAAAAACATCTGCAGCCTAGAAATCAGCAGAGCTCCCCAGGGAGGGTGTTAAATCCAGAGTGTGCTGATCTGTTTCCTGTCTTTGTTATGATTTCTTCACTGTAACTGAATCTCCTTCGGCGCTGCAGTGCCTGGGTACTCTGTGCAGCTGTGTCAGCAGGCCGAGGACTGTTGGCTTAGGGGGCTCCGTTCCCATTTACACGGCTCGCGTCCATAATCCCAGTCAGGCCTGTTCGTTCACAGGGTAAGCTGCTCCTTGTCAGCAGATCGGCAGGCCTCACTGTGCAGCCATGCTGTTACATGTAATCTAATTAAGATTAATTAAGAGGAAGAGCAGTTACCTGGCTGCACTGATCCTTGCCAAGAGAAAACCCTCGGGAATGTGAACAAACCACCATCCTAACAAAATGCCGTGAAAATGCTGCGGAAAAGCAGTAAAATACTGTCTTTAAGACCTGCGAGCCGAGAAGTGGGAGGGCTGGCACTTCACCAAGGAGACAGAGTACGGGGCTCAGGGTCCTCAGGTATATAGGCATTCCTGCCTGGCTCTTCCTTACCACCCGGATTTTGTTTTTGCTTTCTGGGTAGAGCTCTGATGTTGCCAAACAGCCTGTGCTCCTCGTGAACAATCTCTCCAGACTCAAAATAGCGAGCAGCCAAGGGGCTGCCACTGCTTGCGGTCCACAGCTCAGTCAGCGGGCTGCTCTTTGTTGGAGAAGAAAATACGCCTTCTGGAAATCTTACAGGTTACATCGTTTATTCTCAAAACACAACATCAGCTGCCAGTGGGTTTCCAGTAAGCTGCAAGAGCATTTAACCCAAATGGGTTTGTGACCTTCCTAAGCGGAGGTGTGGGAAGGCTCTAGTGAAGTGTGGTGAACAGATCGTCGGTAACGCAGAAGTCATCCTGCTGTTCCGGCACTGGAGGCAGAGCCCGGCCAACTGAGTATTTCTCCAGAGGATGTTTCTGGGCGGCCTTTCCCTCCTTGTGTAAAGCGTCTCATCTGTGTGGGCCTGGTTTATGAGTACAAGTTGCTCACGGCACATGATTGGCCCTAACTCCCCAGTGCTTTCTGGCACTCTTAAACCAGCGAGGGGTTTGTGTTTTGTATGAAGGTTGTGGAACTAGAGACAGCATAGCACCAAGAACTATTTTTGGTCTTCATTGAGAACTCAGACTGGGCATAGTAGCTACAGTGTGCCTGTTGGGTTTTAATGCTGTCATGCCTACCTCTGTGAGACAGGATAAAGGTGGAAGTCAAATGTTTTTCTCCATTCTTTGCCTAAGATCAATTCAGAAAAGTAGTAAAATGCTCCATAGAAGGTACTGCAAGACCCTCTTAAACCAGCCAGCCTCCCACCACGTGCTTTGTCCTACCACCTGAGGGCTGACGTGGTCTGATTTCATACCCTGCCTGGGTTGTGCTTGATACACTTAACTATTGTGTCAGTTAAAGTGTGCTGTGCTGAGCACTATTTACAATAGCAAAGAACTATTTACAACCCAAATGCCCATGAATGGGCAAAGAAAATGTGCAAATGGGCAAAGAAAACGTGACACATATACACCACAGAATACTATGCAGCCGTAAAAAAGAATGAGATCATGTCTTTGCAGGGACATGGACGAAGCTGGAAGCCATCATTCTCAGCAAACTAACACAGGAACAGAAAACCAAACACTGCATGTTCTCACTCATAAGTGGGAGTTGAACAATGAGAACACATGGACACAGGGAGGGGAATGTCACACACCCAGGCCTGTCAGGGGAGGGGGGGGCAAAGGGAGGGGGAGCATTAGGACAAATACCTAATGCATGCAGGGCCTAAAACCTAGATGATGGGTTGATGGGTGCAGCAAACCACCATGGCACATGTATACCTATGTAACAAACCTGTACATTCTGCACATGTATCCCAGAACTTAAAGTAAAACACTGGCTAACATGGTGAAACCCCGTCTCTACTAAAAAATACAAAAAATTAGCCAGGCATGGTGGCGGGCACCTGTAGTCCCAGCTACTCAGGAGGTTGAGGCAGGAGAATGGCATGAACCCGGGAGGCGGAGCTTACAGTGAGCTGAGATTGTGCCACTGCACTCCAGCCTGGGTGACAGAGTGAAACTCTGTCTCAAAAAAAAAAAAAAAAAGCGTAAAATAAAACAAAACAAAAATAAATAAAGTATGCTGTGCTGTTTTTACCACATTATAGCATCACAATGCCTTTCATTTCTATTTATCTCCCAGTGTAACTTTCCGCTTAGCCACAATGCGGCCATGGAGCGGGAAGCAGTGATCTTTAGCCTTGTTTCTCTCTGGCCTTCTTGAAGGATGCTGTGGGTTTGTGCTAATAAAGGTGGCTCTACTGGTGAGGGGATGGGAATGTTTCTGGCAGGAGTAAAATCAGAAGCATCTGTGATCGTCAAGTATGATTTTGTCAACATGTGTCTTTCATTGAAAATAAAACTCAAAATTCTGAGTATAGGAAGCCCTTTCTAGCCAGTCCAAATGGCTCAACATTTATTTGTTCAGCTATTTATTGAGTATCTGTCATATGCCAGACTCTGTTTTAGGCTCTGGAAATAGTTGTAGAATGAGACAGAAAAGACCTGCCCTCATGGCAGATGAGAAGACAGGTAACAAACTAATCGAAAACCGTCATTCAAATAGTGATAAATGCTAGGGAGAGGACAAGGACAAGGGAGCAATAGAGAGGAGTGGCTATTCTGTTTTATTTATTTTTTTGGAGACAGAGTCTCACTTTTATCTCCCAGGCTGGAGTGCAATGACGTGATCTCGGCTCACTGCAACCTCCACCACCTGGGTTCAAGTGATTCTCCTGCCTCAGCCTCCCAAGTAGTGGGAATTACAGGCGCCTGCCACCACATCCAGCTAATTTTTGTATTTTTAGTAGAGATGGAGTTTCACCATGTTGGCCAGGCTGGTCTTGAACTCCTGACCTCAGGTGATTCACCTGCCTTGGCCTCCCAAAGAGCTGGGATTACAGGTGTGAGCCACCATGCCCGGCTGATGAGTGGCTGTGTTAGATAGGGTGGTTAGGAAAGGCCTCTGGGAGGAGGTCATGTGGGAGTGGGAACAAGAACAGAGTGAGGGAGGCTGTGATTTGGGAAGCGCATCGTAGCCTCATGGTGTGTGGGAAGTAAAAAGTCCCTCAGGTGGAAACAGCATGGAATGTTCTAGGAATAGAACTAAGCCAGCTGTAGCTACAATAGAGTGGCGGGGAGATGGAGGAGATGACGTCAAGAAATAGGGCTAGAATATGTTGAGACCAGGGGGCCCATGGGGAGGGCTTTGGAGTCTATGGAAAGCCTTCAGAGGGCTCAACTAGAGAACGGATATGTTTCATAACATAACCCACTCTGACTGCTGAAGTGCGGAAGCAGGGAGATCTGTAGGAGGTTGTGCCTCTAGACTAAATCAGAGGTGATGGTGTCTTTGATTAGAACACTGGTCCTGGAGATGCTGAGAAGTGATAAGATTTGGGATGTATGTTAGAGGCAGAGCTGACCAGGCTTGCTGATGTGGCTATCAGGGAAAGAGTGAGATTAAGGGTGACTTTTAGGTGCTTGAGCTAAGCATCTTGCTGAACAGGGGTACATTTATTGAAGGGAGGAGCAGATTTTGAATTTTGTCTTTATTATGTCAAGTTTGCGATGCTTATTATACATTCAGTGGAGCGTAATTGCATGAGTCTGGATCTGAGTCGAGAAGTTGTGGCTGCACATAAAAATTAGGAGTCTTTAGCATAGAGCCCAGGGACTGGATGAGACCACAGAAGAAGAGAGTATAGACAGGGAAGATAAGGGCTGAGGACTGAGCCCTGGGGCATTATTTAAGTTGAGAAGAGGAGGGAGAACTTAGCATTTAGCGCTGACAAATCCAAATCCTATGTGTCTGGTTCCCTCACTCCCAACCACACAGCTCTGTGTTCTGTCTCTGTCTCTGTGTCTCTCTCTGTATCTCTGCATGTGGGTAGCTGAGGGTGGGGATGCTGGTCAGGGGAAACTGGCTGATAATTTTCCTCTTCCTCCTCCTTCCTCATCCTTCTCATTTTCCAGTTTCTCTTCTCTCTTCCTTCTCCCTCTCATTTCTTTCTTGATTAATTCTTAAATTCTAGAAATCCCCAACCTGGCCAGGAGTGCCTCTTGTCCTTGTGTCTCCTAGCACGTTCCTATCTTTGGTGATCTCCAGAACAAGCCAGTGACACTGATCATACGATGCTAATTTAGAATTCTTGCTTGCTAAGTTCACTGACACATCTTAAGAGGGGAAGTTGGACTGGGGTGGAGAAAGAAGCAAAATAAACCACCAAACCCCAGAGACCTCTCTTTGTTGTTCAGAAGTTCTCCTGTGTATCAGAAGATGGACTTGGCAGTGTGTAATAAAAGATGACTCTGGTTTCCTGCTGGTTTTTAGGATGATGTCTTTTGGTTACATTCTTTCAACTTGTAAAATATTAACTTCCAATTCCCATGGGGGAGGACCCCTGAGTGGTGCTATTTCAGTGGGACAGAATCACAGCATTCTTTCCCACCTCCTTAGCTGCCCTGTGCTCCACTTGGAAGCACCTGTGGCCAAAGCTCATAGGCACTTGTGTGGCAGGAAGAACAGATGTGAAGTTCTGTGGAAAAGAAATACAACACAAATTGGCAGAACACAGTAACTTAAAAAATAAATCTGAAAGTCAGTCCTGGAGAGCCCATCTTTGGGTCCTGGCTTTGATTGGAAAGAGTTATGGTTTTGTTGGGGTAATAGCAGCTGATCTTTCGTCCTCCCACAGAATCCTGCCAGAGCCAACACTTGGAAGCACACAGCTAATGAGAGGATTTCTTCCAAGGTTCTTAACCAAATGCTCTTTGATAGTGGTGGTTGTGAGGCGGAGGAAGATGCTTCTGCTGAAGAGGGGGTTCCTAGAAGCAGCAACCAAAGCCCTTAAAAGAATCAACAGCGATCATTATATAGCCACCATTTAGTGAGAGCTTACCATATGCCAGGCACTGTGCTGTACTCCCCGTTTCATCTCAATTAATTCTTACTATAGCGCTATAAGAAAGTATCCCATTTTATCAGTGAGGAAACTGAGGCTTAAGGAGATTGTATAAATTGCCCAAAGTTATAGGCCCATAGATGGTAGAAGTTTGAAACCACATTTGCTTTCAGAACCCAAGCTCTTAATCTAAATCATATATTGAGCACAAGGTGCACAATTCAAGTTTTTTTCCAACACGGTGTATGTGAGTGATCATTGATGCCAATGAAATTTATTCACTCAACAATATCTATTCTGCTTAACACTAGATCACGCATAGTTGGGCATTTAAAGATATGTGACGCTATTCTTTTTCTCGAGCAAGTTACCATCTAGGTATGAGAAAAGGCTTCATCTTTAAAAAATAGAGAAGAGTTTAAGGCTGTATGTGATGAAGTGCCACAAAGTTCTCTGAAATGCCTTCCAGGCCTTCTCCCCATTATTTTGGATATTATTAATAATACTTGGCTCCTCTTTACTTACGTGAATTTCTGTAGGCACCTTGATTTCCTCCCCCTGGAAATGGTCTTTTCTTTTCTACCACATGGCCAGGCTGCAAATTTTCCAAACTTTTACACTCTGCTTCCCTTTTAAATATAAGTTTCAATTTCAGGTCATTTCTTTTTTTTTTTGAGATGGAGTCTCGCTTTGTTGTCCAGGCTGGAGTGCAGTGGCGTGATCTCGACTCACTGCAACCTCCGCCTCCCAGGTTCCAGCAATTCTCCTGCCTCAACCTCCTGAGTAGCTGGGACTACAGCCACCTGCCACCACTCCTGGCTAATTTTTGTATTTTTTAGTAGAGACGGGGTTTTATCATATCATCCAGGCTGGTCTTGAACTCCTGACCTTGTGATCCACCCACCTCGGCCTCCCAAAGTGCTGGGATTACAGGTATGAGCCACCGCGCCTGGCCTCAGATCATTTCTTTGCTCATGCATATGAATATAGGTTGTTAGAAGCAGCCAGGCCACATCATAAATGCTTTGCTGCTTTGAAGTTTCTTCCACCAGATACCCCAAATTTTCCAAACTTTTGGGCTCCGCTTCCCTTTTAAATATAAGCTCTAATTTCAGGTCATTTAGGTGGAAACGTCCAGCAGTCAGTAAGATGTGAATCTGAAGTTCATAGGAGGGGAAATGGTCATAACATATGTGAGAGTGAAAACCATGAGAATGGATGTGATCACTGACAGGGAGCAGGCAGGAGGCAGGAGCAGGAGTCAAGGACAGAGCCCTGGGGCATGCCTACTTGAAAGAGGTGTATGGAGGTGTGTATGTTCATTCATATGCTCACGCATATGAACATAGGCTGTTAGAAGCAACCAAGCCACATCTTGAATGTTTTGCTGCTTAGTAGTTTCTTCCACCAGATACCCTAAATCATCACTCTTAAGTGCAAAGTTCTACAGATCCCTAAAGCAGGGGCACAGTGTGGCCAGACTCTTTGCTAAAGCATGGAAAAAGTGGCCTTTACTCCAGTTCCCAATAAATTCCTTATTTGCATCTGAGACCTCCTCAGCCTGGCCTTCACTGTCCACATCACTATCAGCATTTTGGTCACAACGATTTAACAAGTCTATAGGAAGTTCCAAATTGTCCTTCATCTTGCTGTCTTCTTCTGAGCCCTCCACACTCCTCCAACCTCTGCCCATTACCCAGTTCCAAAGCTACTTTGATATTTTCAGATATCTTTGTAGCAATGCCCTACACCTCAGTACCAATTTTCTGTATTAGTTCTTGCACTACTATAAAGAAATACCTGAGACTAGGTAATTTATAAAGAAAAGAGGTTTAATTGGCTCACAGTTCTGCAGGCTGTACAGGAAGCATAGCAGCTTCTTCTAGGGAAGTCTCAGGAAACTTAAAATCATGGTAGAAGGTGAAGGGGAAGCAGGCACATCTTAATGGCCAGAGCAGGAGGAAGGTGGGGGAGATGCCACACACTTGTAAACCACCAGATCTCAGAAGAACTCACTCACAATACAGTGCCAAAGAGGGTTAGTGCTAAACCATCCATGAGAGCTCTGCCCTTATGATCCAGTCACTCCTCCCAGCAGGCCCCCCCTCAACATTGGGGATTACAAATCGACATGAGATTTGGCGGAGACACAGATCCCAAACCTTACCAATGACCCAGTGAAATAGGCGGAAAAGACATTTTCCGAGAGCTGGAAGGAGAACCAAAAGAGTGTGGTGTTATGGAAGCCGAGAGAGTTTTAAAAAAGAAAGTCCTTGTGTTTTCATCAGTAACTTTGTTGTGTATCAGTGTTTTCCCTTCATGTAACTTAAATGTCCACTAATGCAAGTGAAGGCAATCTATGCCTAATTTCTTCACTAAATATTCTACTAATAAATGATTTACTGACAAAATGAAATTATATAACTGAAAAGGTTTAAAAATGATAAGAAATATCCCAATGGAAGCTGTTTTTTAAATAATGTTATTACTGTCAGTAACAAAATTATGATGACACAGGTCCAACACCTTTTAAAAGAGAGGAGGTAAAAAGGAGAGTTGGATATGAAGAATCTCAGACTGCAGTGCAGCTCTGAGAAAGTCTCAGCCAGGTACATGGGTGCCCGGGAGCAGAGATTGCCTGTCAGAAGGGCCCCATGAGGGCAGAAGTGACCTGGCTCTCGTGTCCCTGCCATGATCAGTCATTGGCTGTAAGCAGACTCCGCCCGGACTGTGTGGCCTCGGCAGGAATCACGGTGGCAGATTGAGAGGGGCAGTGCTGGAGGCTGTCAGCTGGCTAGGCATCCCTTATTGCTGAATAGCTTACTGAGGGCGTACCTCCGTGGCTGCCTAGTGAGTCTCTTTCTGTAAAAGCAGTTCAGTGTGGGAGTCCCTGAGAGAGAGTTTGCTGCAGAAGCTTCATTACAGTGACCTATGAAGCAACTGACAGCTTTGCAGAGTTTGTTTCCATTATGTTGCAGGTCTCCTTCAAAACAAGTTTTGGCACTTTTGATGCCAACTAGAGTGTAAACTATATTTTAGAGCGACTAGTTTAGAGTGTAAACAACAGTAAGTGGAGCAGATTTCCTCTCAACTTAGCCTCAAAGATAACCTCTCACACTAGAGTTATTTTTTTACCTAATACTTCTTTTTTTCCTGGTTACTGAAATCATACACACTTACTATAACAATCTGTAGAAATGTGTAACTTAGAGAGTAAAAGTCTTCTATAATATTCTATCCCAAAATATAATCATTGTTTTAAAAAGGTATGTATTCTACCTTAAAGTCCACTTTTATTGTTATATTTTACTATAACATTCTAATTATAATATTTTATTATAATTTATAGGTTTCAGTATGATTTCAATGAAAGATGAATTCTGGCAAACAGTATTTATTCCCCTTTCCCCGCTGGGTGTCATTTCTTTGGGAATAGAAAAATGACCTTGTTTTGTGTATCTAGCCAACAATTCTTTTTAATATTTGTGAGTATACCAAATGTACAATATTCCTTCAACTGAAGTAACTTTTTAAAAGAAACTAGAATTTATTCCTCCGTATGCTTTATTTTCATGAGGTTTGGGTACAGTATAGTAAATTTAAAAATCTTTTGAACTCTTTAAAATGGTCTTTGTACCTATATAATAGAAAAGGATCTGTTCAAAAAAATTCTTGCCACAAATTCCTTTTGATCATTTTCATTTACTTAATTGCTCTAATTTATGCTTATTTTTGTCCACTGACAACCTAATTGGCCTCACAGACTTCTCATTTTATTCAAAGTCCACCAGCAGTTACTTCTTTTGAATACCACCTCCCCTTTGGACTCCACGGGAATTTGGACAATAATTGTGATGGGTTTGGCAGGGGCTTGGGGGTTGGGCTGCTCATATATTATGAAAAGCCTTAGTAGAGAAAAATTACATTTCAAGTTAATTTGTTTTTATATAACAGAGTCTGGGTCTAAGCTTTCCTTCACCACATACCCATTGAGGGTTTTAGGAAGTCAACATGTTTACACTGTATCTTAAGTCAAGGGTCCTGTTTTTATACAGGGTTTGCCAAACCAAGTTTACTACAGTGGTGTTCTGCCAGCACAAAGATTACAGGATCAGACTTTAGCGAACGCTCGTTTGCCAGAGTCATGTTTTATCTATTCAACCCCAACCACCCTGATTCATTTTGGAAAGTCTACTCTGTTTATCCCACGATGATGACAAAGTGGTTAAAAAAGAAGATTACTACAAAAAGTGATATTTTCAAGAGAGACACAAAGGCACTGATACAGACAGGCTTTAGAGAAAGACAAACTTTGTGGTACCACTTGGGTATTTGAAAGCAGCACAATTATTTTTTTTCAGTCACAGGGAGACAACATTTTCCCATTGAACTTTTTGGATACGTATTTTCACACACACTGTGCCCAAAAGTCAGATTCTCTCCTCCATCCCACCCCTAACCCAAATTACAATTTAATTTGACTGCTGGCTGTTTTTGAAAAGAATTCTGAAAGTGATTGACCGCTACCAAAGATGAAGATTGTAGTTTTTCTCCTGATATGATTATATTCTTGATATATTCTTGCTGTAGGGGACAAAAAGTGATCAATAGCTTTATGCTTAGTAAAATCAGAGAGGACAGGACTTGCAATTTAATGGTTTTACCTTTATGTTTACTACATATTAGCAAAGTATCTAAGCTCTGGAAACTGTGTCTCCCTGTAATGTTGTCAAGTATATGTGGAGAGGTGAATTTTACAGAAGGAGAAACTGGGATTATCCTATCCCGCTTTTTACAGTGGCTCATAAAGAGCAATGTACTAGATTCTCAGCACACACAGGTTATGGATTGCTGTTTTTCCTGGAGTGCCTGTATGGTGGATCTGTTTCACTTGGTCTGGCATGGGAGTCAAATTCTATTTGCAAAGCCCGACTGGGTGGCCTCTGCTCAGCACGCCAGGCAAGAGCTGTGGGTGAATTTCCAGAAGTGGCAGGCTGCTCCCCTCTCCCTCTACCTCCTTGAGAAACAGAGGAAGTTCATGCTGCCACAGGGGAAGTGGAAGGGATGTCCAATTGCCTCTGAGGAAGTCATATCCTGCTCAAGAAGCAAGATCTCTTCCCATGCGGGAAGGTGCCACTGACACAGTATCTCTTAGATGGCATAATCATAGATGACCTGAATTGTGTGTAGAAAAGGGAGTTTACTGGAAGATACTATTTTTGTTGGTTAACAAAGGGCTGTAAGCCAAGTAAAGCCTGAATGTATGTGTCATCTGCATAGTGTGAAGAGGCTTTCATAGGGAGAGATTCCACGTGTGACTATCTGACCTAAAGGCCATGTAATTCCCATGGTGAAGTCCCTCCCTCCAAGCACAGGAGCCAGAGGAGCCCTTAAACAGCCATCCTCTTGGACGTGGAAAGATAAACACTATAAATGATCAAGGATAACTGTTCAGGTGGTACTGACCACTCTAGGTAAACTGTTAAGAGTTGAACATAGAATTTTTTCAAAAGCCTGTTGATGTATTTATGTGCCTCAGGACCTTTAAATTCTGAAGATAAATGGATAGAATGATTCAGGATGATTTAGGGAGAAGGCAGATGGAAAATGGGAATGAAATACATGCCTTTTTGTTTTTAGGGGTGCTCAGTTATAAATATGAAAGGCTGAGAAAATGCTAATTGTACAGTAAGATCAACTGGACTTGTTTTAATAAGACAATAATTTGAAATTAGTAAACTATTTTATACAAATAGTGCTAAAACTTTGGAAGGTCCTCAACCTCCTGGGCTCGAGCAATTCTCCCACCTCAGCCTCCCAGGTGTGTGCTCCCATGCCTGGCTACTTAAACAAAAAAAAAAAAAAATTTTTTTTTTTTTTTTACAGAGATAGGGTCTTGCTATGTTGCCCAGGCTGGTCTTGAACTTCTGGGCTCAAGTAATCCTCCTGCTTTGGCCTCCCAAAGTGCTGGGATTACAGGTATGAGACACTGCGCCTGGCCCAAAGATGATTTTTATAGTAAAAAGTTAAATATCATAACAATCTGGCAGTTCCTCAAAATTGAGTATAAAATTTTCATATGACCCAGCAGTTTCACTCTTAGGGGTGTGTGTTTGTGTGTGTGTATGTACGTATGTACATATGCACACGTGCACACACACACACATATATATATACACCAAGGAGAAATTAAAACATATCCACATAAAAACTTGTACATCAATGTTCATAACAGCATTATTCATAAGAGTGAAAAAGTGAAAGCAACCCAAATGTCTACCAACTGGTAAATGATAAATAAAATGTAGAATATACATACAGTGGAGTATTAGTCATAAAAAAGGCAGTATTTGTACATGCTGCAACATGGGTGAACCTTAAAACTCTTATGCTGAGTGAAAGAAGCCAGGCACAAAAGGCCACATATTATGATTCCATTTATATGAAGTGTTCAGAACAGGCAAATCTGTAGGGACAAAAAGTAGATTAGGCTGGGCGCAGTGACTCATGCCTGTAATCCCTACACTTTGGGAGGCTGAGGCAGGCAGATCACTTGAGCTCAGGAGTTCGAGACCAGCCTGGGCAACATGGTGAAACCCCCTCTCTACAAAAAATAAAAAATTAGCCGGGTGTGGTTGTGCACACCCGTAATCCCAGCTACTCAGGAAGCTGAGGCAAAGGAATCACTTGAGCCCAGGTGGCGAAGGTTGCAGTGAGCCAAGATTGCACCACTGCAATCCAGCCTGAGTGACAGGAGTAAAACCTTGTCTCAAAAAAAAAAAAAAGTGGATTAGTGGTTTTCTGGGGGCTGGCAGAGGTATGGGATTTATTTTTGGTGTGATGAAAATATTCTAAAATTGGAAAATTGGTTATAGTGTTGGGTATACAAGTCTTTGAATATACTAAAAACCATTGAATTGTATACTTTAAATGGGCATATTGTACGGTGTGGGGATTATACCTTGATAAACTGTTGTGTTTAAAAACATAACAGATAACCGTCAGATCTGCCCCATCAGAATTTCATAATTTGGCATAATTGGGGCTCAAACAAATGAGGCCTTGTGTTGCAAATATAGGCAACATCTGCAAGTTACCAGGAGCAAAGTTGCGAAATGGTAGCTGTAACCTAGGAGAGATGGATAATGATTTTTCCAGGATGCTCTGAAATCCACACTAAATGGAATCTGCTGGTGCATACTTTATGCCACATTGAAAGAACAAGTGCATGTTATTGCACTCTCTGGCCCACATTTCAGTCAGTTCTCCGTATGAAAATTACTGCCCTGGTCAGATCTGATTACTTTATTATATGTTCACCCCAGAGTGCCAAACTTCATGTGGGAAAACCATTTTCAACAGGAAGAAATGAACTGTGAATATCCTAAGAAGAGGGCAACAAGTCATATTTGACCTTCGTTTAAAAATAATACGTAAGGAAAAATTTCTTAATAAATAGACATAGCTTAAAACATGAAACGTAAAAAACCAAGCATGTAGTAGTTTCCTAGATCTGGAAAAGCACTGCACACGTCAGTCATGCATACCCTTCGAAACTGCAATTACTATAGGTTTGAGACCCCATGGGATGATTGGAGGATATTGTTTCTGACAACTTAACATTTCTTGCCTTAAGATAATATGGAAATATCACGTCAATCCCATTTGTTTGCAGATACATCTTTTTTAAAATAAAAGTTGTTTTCACATTGGGGTTAGTTTTCTTGTTTTCGCGCCTATATTTTAACCTATTTTAACCTTTTCTCTCCCCTCCCTACCTCACCCCCACCTCCAAAAAATTAAACTCTTTCTCCATAAACAAAGCTGAGAGTGTCAGGATTGGAAGCCACTTCTGAGGATACCATTTCAAAATTATATTAATGTCATGAAAACTGCTTCTTATATTTTACATTGAAATGTGAATATGGGCTTGTATTTTCTATTTCCATGGTTATTCACAGTACTGATGGTATAGAATTTTTAGGTTTAACTTCAGTTATGTCATTGGTTTTACCTGCCACAGCATTTTCACTGGATCAGCCCCCAGATATGGATTCTAGACTCTATCCCAGTGATCTCCAAAGTATGGTATAAACATAGAATAAACAAAAATAAACATTTGTCTATTTTTTATCTGAAAAAGAGACAGTTAATTTATAATACTATTGAATGTATCAATCATCATAGTGTATGTTTATAATTTATAAATAAATATGTGCATTCCGAAGGATACTTGCTCATACTTGTTTCTGATGAGGTTGTTTCATGGAAAAGTTTGGAGATCTCTTGTGTTAGTCCATTCTTGCATTGCTGTAAAGAAATACCTGAGGCTGGGTAATTTATAAATAAAAGAGGTTTAATTGGCTCATGGTTGTACCGGCTGTACAGGAAGCATGGCACCGACAACACTCGGCTCCTGGAGAGGCCTCAGGGAGCTTTTACGATCATGGCAGAAGGTGAAGGGAGAGTAGGCACGTCATATGGTGAAAGCAGGAGCAAGATAGAGAGTGGGGAGGAGACTCCACACACTTTTAAATGACCAGATCTCATGAGAACTCACTATCAAGAAGACCAAGAAGAACAATAACACCAAGTCATTCAGAGATCCACCCCCATGATCCAAACACCTCCTACCAGGCCCCACCTCCACCACTGGGGACTACATTTCAACATGAGATTTGGGTGGGGACAAATATGCTAACTATATCAGCACGTTCCTTTATTCTTTGCTTTCTCCTTCCCATGCTAACAGAACCCTTCTCCTTAGGCTCCAGCCACATGGTAGATTTCCTCCGATTCTTGCTCCCCTTACCCTACACCATGAGACGGAGGGGATGCAGGCACATATCTAAAGCCAAGAGTACCTTAAAGTTCACAAACAAACACATGTTCCCATGAAAACCTGAACAGACAACCACACTTCCAGAACCAACTATTTTTAACCACCATTTAAATAGAAGGCCAAAGAAGATACTTAAACAAAAAGTTAAAGTCGTTTCACTTTACTAACCAAAAGACATGAAAGTGAGATACAAGATAATTGAGCTTCCTTCAGATTTGACCTTTGGTTTCTTTCAGCCATGAGGAAATGGATGTATCAATTTTTCCAGATTTGGAGATTTTGAACAATAACTCCAATCTGAAAATACCAAAAGTCAGCTAAATATCCCTCAAGTACATACTATGTTTTAGATACTGTGGGAAAATCAGAAAGGTATGTGTTTTTAAGAGCTTACAAAGCAATTGGAAAGAGAATATATACATACAGAATATGTATTTTTCATGTACCATATAATTCCGTATTAACTAATATATGTATAGAAAATTAATGAACAGTCAGGATTCTATATAAGACAGTCTTGACACATTAGTGAAAAGAGATGACTCCTGCTAGCAGGTGGCTGGACCAGATGAACACTGCAGTGACCTGCAGCTTTTATTTTATTTTATTTATTTTTTTGAGACAGAGTCTCGCTCTGTCGCCCAGGCTGGAGTGCAGTGGCGGGATCTCGGCTCACTGCAAGCTCCACCTCCCGGGTTCACGCCATTCTCCTGCCTCAGCCTCCTGAGTAGCTGGGACTACAGGCGCGTGCCGCCACGCCCGACCAATTTTTTGTGTTTTTAATAGAGACAGGGTTTCACCGTGTTAGCCAGGATGGTCTCGATCTCCTTACCTCGTGATCCGCCTGCCTTGGCCTCCCAAAGTACTGGGATTACAGGCGTGAGCCACTGCGCCCGGCTGACTTGCAGCTTTTAGACAGATGCCTGTAGGATTGTGCAGAAGAGCTGGTAGAAAGGTTCTAGGAGTTTGGAGAAAGAAGGGGTCACCCTGGGCTGGAATGCTGAGAGTTTCATAGGCAAGGGAAACTTGAACTCACATAGAAGCAGCAGTATGTGTAGAGAGCAATGGGCAGAAATACACAGAACTCAACAGCTGAACCTTCCTTACTGAGGGGGCTAAGTCTGAGCTTGGTGCTACGCATCAGCATGGGTTTTCTCCCTTGGGCCTCCCAACAGCTCCACTGGGCCAGGCTTCGCTGTTTACCCAAGGTCATGCCAGTCAAGTCCCAGAGGCAGGCTTGGGAGAGAAATCAGGGCTGAGGAGAAAGATTCAGATGCCCTCTAAATAGACATGACAATCAAACTTGAATTTATAAGTCATCTCTGAAGGAAATATTGTGGAGATGGAAAATCGGAGAGCCACAGTAGCCTTTATTTCACACCTCTGTAACTTCGTCTTTTCTCTCTGTGTCATTTTCTGACTCTTACTCCTCAAACATCCCCAGCATTAAGGAATACAACATCGGATACAGGCTCAGGAATCCCACCCATAACCTTCTCAGTCCCCACTGACAGTCATCAGAAGCTGTGTGTGTGTGTGTGTGTGTGTGTGTGTGTGTGTGTGTGTGTGTGTGTGTAGAGAGAGAGAGTCTCACTCTGTCACCCAGGCTAGAGTGTAGTAGCATGATCACGGCTCACTGCAGCCTCAAGCTCCCAGGCTGAGGTGATTCTCCCACCTCAGCCTCCCAAGTAGCTGGGATTGCAGGCAAGTGCCACCACACCTGGCTAATTTTTTGTATTTTTTTTGTAGAGGCAGGGTTTTGCCATGTTGCCCAGGCTGGTCTCAAACTCCTGAGCTCAAGCGATCTGCCCGTCTTGGCCTCCCAGAGAGCTGGGATTACAGGCGTGAGTCCACACTGTGCCTGGTCAGTTTCCTGTTGAATTGTGTACAGCTACAACTATATAAAGAAAAACATTGTTAGTATTTGTCCTAATGTAAATTTTTATTGGGGCATATTCACTAGTAAAAGGAAAATATGAGCATGAGGTAGAATAGACACCATTGTTGTACAAGCATATGGACAGCGTCCTCGTCAGATCCATCGCCGTGAATGCCCCAATCTAGAGTCTGTACGCTGCACAGTACAAGGCTGTGTCTGCGTTGCGCACCATTATGTACTCAGCATCACATAGTGTGATGAACAGTTTGAAAGAGCACTAAATGATTAAGCCCAGTGTTTCTCAAAGTGTGTTCCTTGAAGATAGTTTCCAAAGATGGTCCTTATAAAAGTGTCCCTTGAGCTCACATAAGCTGCAGAGCATAGTTTTCTATGAAGACGTACAGTCCGTATAGCACTTTATTTTTTTATTATTATTTATTTATTTATTTTTTGAGACAGAGTCTCGCTCTGTCGCCCAGGCTGGAGTGCAGTGGCACAATCTCGGCTCACTGCAAGCTCCGCCTCCCGGGTTCACGCCATTCTCCTGCCTCAGCCTCCCCAGCAGCTGGGACTACAGGCGCCCGCCACCACGCCTGGCCAATTTTTTGTATTTTTAGTAGAGACAGGGTTTCACTGTGTTAGCCAGGATGGTCTCCATCTCCTGGCCTTGTGATCCACCCGCCTCGGCCTCCCAAAGTGCTGGGATTACAGGCGTGAGCCACCACGCCCGGCCTGCATAGCCCTTTAAAACTAAGCCCCGCTGTAGGGAGCCTATTTATATCTCCGTCTAACATGACATTTCCCCAAATCATCTGTTATTGTGAGTATTTGAAACTTTCCAAAACTCAGGTATCCTATAGGTATGATGGGGCTGACAAAATCTGTTTATCTAACTCAAATGTTGGAAGAATCCAATGCATTAACATATGTGAAAATGCTTCAAGTATAACTCTATACAAATGTAAGGTATTAGTACTATTTCCTAATTGCAGTTGGCCCTCTGAATCAGTGGACGAGGAACCCATGGATACAGAAGACTGATAAGGGACTTGAGCATCTGTGGACTTTGGCATCCCAGGGCATCCTGGAATCCGTCCTGCACAGATACTGAGGGATGACTGTATTGTTGCTATATGTGCTATTCTCCAAACTCATGAATTTTTTCGGCTTTGTTGAGGTATAATTCACAAATAAAATTGTACATATTTAAAGTATACAATGTGCTGATTTATGTATACAATGTGAAATGGTTACCATAAATATTAACACATTTATCCCTTCACATAGTTACCTGTGTATGTGTGTGTGTGTGTGTGTGTGTATGTGTGTGTGTGTGTGTTGAGAACATTTCAGACCTACTTCTTTAGCAAATTTCAAGTATATACTATAGTATTATTAACTACAGTTACCATGCTATACATTATTAGATCCTCCGAACTTATTCATCTTATCACTGAAAGTTTGTACCCCTTTAACCAGCACCTCCCCATTCCCCATCCCATGTCGCAACTACTGTTCTACTTTCTGTTTCTGTAAGGTGTTTTTTTTTTAAAGATTCCACATATGGTGATACCATACAATATTCGTCTTCTCTGTCTGGCTTACTTCACTTAGCATAATATCCTCCAGTTTCATCCATGTTGTCACAAATAGCAGAATTTCCTTCTTTCTTATGGCTGAATAATATTCCAGTGTGTGTGTGTGTGTGCATTCATACACACAACATTTCATTTACCCACGAATGTGTCAATGGACATTTAGATTGTTTCTGTATCTTAGCTATTGTAAATAATGCTGCAATGAACATGGGAGTGCAGATACCTCTTTAAGATACTGATTTTGTTTCCTTTGGATATATACCCAGAAGTGAAATTGCTGGATCATATGGTAGTTCTGTTTTTACTTTTTTTGCAGATGCTTCATATTATTTTCCATAATGACTGCACCAAATTGCATTTCCTCCAACAATGTGTAAGGTTTTTTCTTTTCTCTACACCCTTGACGACATTTGTTATCTCCTGTCATTTTTATAACAGCCATTCTAACATGTGTGAGGTAACATTTCATTGTGGTTTTGGTTCCAAATAGATGAATTTTATGATATGTAAATTATATTTCAATAACCTTATTTTTAAAATTTTAAAATAAATTTTTTAAAATCTTATTTTAAAAATACATTGGAAAAGTGCAAAAAAAAAAAAGAATCTCTGCTTCTGGAGACCATAAGGTTTAGAAAATTTGGTTTGTTGTGTATATTAGTTAGGGTATAATTCTCTCTGTGTGTGTTCCAGGTTTCTCTCTCTTGCTGGCCTAGATACCTCTTTCCATTCATTTGTTCATTGGTTTATTCATTCATTCATCTGACCAGTACTGAGCACCAAAGATCGTATATCATTTTGGTTGGTACAGGCATGTGGACAGTGACTCTGAATAAAGCAAAGACTATTTTAAGGAGTTCACAGTTTTGAGAAAAGGCAGACCTGGAAACAAGTCACTCACTATAAAACAGTGAGGAATATACCATTGTGAAAGTTTGAACAAGGAACAATGGGATGAAGTTGATTTCTCAGAGCAAGGAAACTTGCCTCATCTACCTGGGAAGATCTTGCCTCATCTTCTTCTACTTTTAGAGGAAGGCAGAGAGAGAAGTTTGAGTGAGATCTTGAAAGTTTCCCAGGTAGATGAGGCATGTTAAGGGCAGCCACTTCCTCTCCAAAATCATTATTTCTGCTTCCTTTATTTATTATTCCTTCCTTTTAGTTGCCCCTTTAACTCCTCACCATCATGGCCTCGTCTCCTAACTTTAGCTCTGGTCTTCTTTCTTCTGTGGCTTTTGAGCATTTGTAAATGTAGGGTAATTGGGACTTTCCAAAATGAGTATTTTTTTTTTTTTTTTTGAGACAAGGTCTTATTCTGTCGCCCAGGCTGCAATGCAGTGGTGTGATCACTGCTCACTGTAGCCTTGACCTCAAGTGACCCTCCCTTCTCAGCTTCCCAAGTAGCTGGGACTACAGGCATGTGCCACCATGCCTGGCTAACTTTTTAATTATTTGTAGCAATGGGTCCCACTGTGTTGTCCAGTCTGGTCTTGAACTCCTGGCCTCAAGTGATCTCCTGCCTTGGCCTCCCAAAGTACTGGGATTGCAGGTGTGAACCACAGCACCCAGCTGGAATGAGGATTTTTGATCTTCCATTGTATCTCTAATATGTTGTCTTTTTTTATTAAGTGCAGCTAAACTTGACTTATAAATCTTTAAATTATTGAAATTAAAATGACAAATACTTCAGGTTTTAGTATGTTTAAAATTGATAAATATTAAGAGTTGGCAGAAATATAGAGTATATTAAAATTTGGAATGAATTTTAGCTCCATGATATGGTTCTACTTTATATTTGAGGCTAAGCTGTCAACTTCGAAGATAAGAGAAAAAGTGAATTTTTCTTCTCTCAGGCTGGGTTGTAATAGCATGAGGTTTATGCTGGCACTTTGACTTTACAACATCTGAAATCACTCATATCTACTTTTTTATATCCAATAGTATCTCTGTATGACCAAATTAATTCCTTTTTTACATTTTATTCAAGAATATGGCTTTTACATTACAACCTAGCACATAGTCATCTTACTCCTTTTATAATTTTTTATAGGTTAAACTCAAAATATATTCAGGAGTTCAGAGCTGAATTATAATTGACTATAAACACGTAACCTATGTATGTAGCCTATAAATTTCTAAAAAGTCTATTTCTTTGGAACTATGTGTGCTATGAGATGACAGATCAAAGCTTTAAATCCTGTTTTCCCGAGTCTAGTTTATTAGTTTGTCAGAGAAATATTAGGAATTTTTTTACACAATTTGTAGCTCAGTTTGTTAAATGAACTGATAGATGCGACAAAGCTTCGAAGAAAAGTGGCACCTGGGAGAGGCTCACTTAACGCAACCTATTGTCATTAGTATTCCTTCTCCAAAGACTTTTCATTTAACTCAAATATTGTCATGTGAAGTATCACCATCCGGGTTGACTCAAGCCACTTATCCAAATCAGAATAAAACTTTTTAGCCCTGGAGTCATTTCCTGTCCTTTCTAATCGTACTTAGGAATATCGTAAAGAGACATAACTCAACCAGCCATCAGCTGAGCAGATGACTGCAAGTTCGTCATTCTGTGTGTCTGCACATACCCCACCAGCTCAGCCAACACCGACATTAGAGCTATGATAGAAAGGAGACTATGGAAACAGACTTGAAAAAAAAAATCCATTTTAAGTGGAGAGTCATGGGACAGGTCACAGTGGGCAGGTGAAAGAATTTTAGAGAAATGAAAATGCTGTGCAGGTGGTCACCCTGAAGCTAATTTAACTTGGGTCATCTGTGATCTGTTCCAGCTGTGAACATGTGCCTGGTGGCCCAGCGTCCCAGATGTTCTTTCTCGGTCTTTATGTTGTATAGCCCATAAAATTAAAACAGGATTGGAGTTTAATTCTAGGCCTTCACAGTCCTATCATCAGTGTTCAGTGGAGCTATTTTCTGAAAATGTAGGGTCCTGGTAAGAGAGGCCTTGGTTGGGCCAAGACAGCCTACTGTCCCCTGTAATTTTTCCTCAATGACTTCTGCTTCCATCTCTCCACTGCCTCCTTCATACCAGTCTCCAATTTTATTCTGCTCAGAGAATTGCTTCTCACCTTGGAAGCTCCTAGCTCATGTAATTGTGTGTTATGAACTAGACATTTCTGAAAAGCACAAGTATTGTGCTACTCATCGTTTTATGGCAAAATCAATTAATTAACAGATATTTTTTGAGCAGGTGTTAAGTATTTCAATATTGGTAACTCTACCAGCCATGGGAGGTATACAAAGAAAATGTAAAACCTGGACCTTGGCCTCGAAACTTGGCAGCTGGTGGTAGAGGAAAGGAGAACACACAGAAGATCATCAGAGAGCAATACCCAACCCTTCCATCACTGTCGGGGAAAGCCATGCACCCCCTTGTGATGTCTCCTTCTGCTTGTGACTTTTGGTTCAGGTGACTCCCAGATAGATTGGAAGTAAGGCCTGCAAATCCTAATTAAACACAGAGGAGATCTGTGTAATATCTACACCAAATCTACCTTTATAACATAAAACTCCAAATCTAAATTCCAGAAAGCCACCCCTGTTTCCCCCCCCCCCCCCTTTTTTTTTTGAGATGGAGTCTCGCTGTTGTCACCTGGGCTGGAGTGCAATGGCATGATCTCTGCTCACTGCAACCTCCACCTCCCAGATTCCAGGAAATCTCCTGCCTCAGCCTCCGGACCATCTGGGATTAATTACATGTACCCGCCACCACACCTGGCTAATTTTCATATTTTTATTAGAGACGGGGTTTCACCATGTTGGTCAGGCTGGCCTCAAACGTGTGAGCTCAAGTGATCCACCCACCTTGGCCTTCCAAAGTGTTGGGATTACAGGCGTGAGCCACTGCGCCTGGCCCCGCTTTGCCCTTTATTGCCTGCAAAATAAAAAGACCTCTTTCTCTAGCTAGTTCCCTGGCAGAGTGGGGCCTATGTGAGCAGAATTTTAATCACTAACTAGAGCTCTTTCACTTGACCAAGAAGCAAGAAGCAAAGAGTTGATGGCTAACTGGAAGTTACTTGTTTTGTAGCAATAATGTGGCTGACATACTATGCCCATTAGTCACAGATTCTGACTTAAATTCTCTCCAGAGACAACTTTCATACACATGGAAGATGAAAGGGGAAAGGTGAACAGTTATTAAGGATACCTGACTGCCAGAAATGCCGTCTGAGTCTTTTACCATCCAAATTTCTGTTGTCATCAGAAATAAGAGTGTAAAGTTCCAGGAAATTCTTCAGGCTGACCCATCAATATAATAGTTATTATCTTTCTACACTTTTTGCATTTTGAAAACAAATGAACTTCTTCAACTTATGTGTAAAAGGCTACTCAATATAATGTTAATATTAAGATTTGGGATATCCAAGATTTTCTAAAAGTAGGTAGAGTTCTGAATGCTTTGTCCACCTCTGGATAGTCAGAAAAAGCCAGCGTATAAAAAGAGACTTCAAATGTGTATTAGCCAGATAGAGAGAGAGAGAGAGATTTGGATTTAACTTCTGATATGGTTTGGCTCTGTGTCCCCACCCAAATCTCATCTTGAATTATAATCCCCATAATCCCCACATGTCAAGGGTGGGACCAGCTGGAGGTAATTGAATCATGGGGGCGGTTTCCCCATGCTGTTCTTGTGATAATGAGTGCATCTCACGAGATCTGGTGGTTTTATAAGCATCTGGCATTTCCCCTGCTTGGACTCACTCCATCCTGCCACCTTTGAAGAAGGTGCCTGCCTCTTCTTTGCCTTCTGCCATGATTGTAAGTTTCCTGAGGCCTCCCCAGCAATGTGGAACTGTGAGTCAATTAAACCTCTTTCCTTTATAAATTACCCAGTCTTGGATATTTCTTCATAGCAGTGTGAGAATGGACTAATACAACTTCTTATCCTTCTTCAAATTGGAAGGTCAAGTCAGTTACATTTTTGTGAATATTAATAATGTGCAAGAGAGTGTGCTCGGTGCCAGAATCTTTAATAAACTCAGAGTCCAGCTAGGAAAGTATAAATGAAAAGAATTAAAATATCAGAATAGTTGCTAAATAAACACCAGAAAGCTGCTGGTCAAAGTCAGGAAAGTTGTTGTGATAACAGGCAAGGCTGAAAGGATGCATATTCCAAGCTGAGCAAATGTTGTGAGCATGGCCTCGAGGTGGGGCACTTCTGGGAATGGCAAGTGGTTTGGTTCAATGGAAGGATATGTGGCTAGCCAGGATGAGAAATGGAGCAGGAAAAAGTGGTTTAGGCTAAAATCAGAGGGGTGCATTGGGAATAATGTTTTCATTAAAAGCTATTTGAAGGAGTCTGTAAGGAAAAAAAGAGCCACTGTATGTTCAGCTGGGGAGAGTGAGCTTCAAATATGTGCTTTTGGGAAGATGATTTTGATGGCACTATGACCAGGGAAGTGATTGGAGAGAGGAGATATCTCAGGCAGGAATTTGAGTTTGACAGTGCATTGCATCACTCCAGGCAGGAGTTACTGGCAACCTGAGCTGATGAGGACAGTGACAAAGAACTGTCAGAAGGAAGAGTGGCCAAGAGAGGTTTTGCAGAGGAAGAATGGGCCAGATGTGACTGCTTATGCAATATAGTAATGGAAACATGGACTCCGAGCCAGATCTAGTTCATATGGAAGCAAAACATTAGCCCCAGTGATAGAGTTGTCATGAAAATACTGTGTGCTGCATTTATCTTTCTGGATTGTTATCAGTCATTATTACTTTGTATTTTTGAAAAATACCTGCAATTTTAAACATTGTGTATCTTCTTTTGTTTCTTGCATTTTCAAATGATGCTTTGAACCACTTTTTAATTGTTGGCATATGCACTTACTGTATTTTATTGTAAGTATAAAGCGTATATCCTAATAATTCTCCTTCCTTTTTCTCAGACAATGAGAATGACTTAATGGTTTGTGGATAATATTTCAGTAGTGTTACATTTTTAGTAATAATAGCAATGACCTCATATAAGCGTAATGACTCACCTAGGGTATGAGTATGATTTTTATAGTAGACTTTGCAGGGTATTTGGCTCTTCTCTTCTCTTTTCTCTCTCTTAATTATGTTTGGAAGATTATAAGCTGCTACAAGCAAATCTCTTCTTAGCCTTTTTTTTTTTTTTTTGAGGCAGGGTCTCACTTTGTCGCCCAGGCTGGGGTGCAGTGGTGCATTCTTGGCTCACTGCAGTCTCAACCTACTGGGCTCAAGCGATCCTCTTGCCTTAGCCTCCCAAGTAGCTGGGATTACAGGCACACACCACCTTGTGAGGCTAATTTCTGTACTTTTTGTAGAGACAGGGTTTCGCCATGTTCCCCAGGCTGGTCTCGAACTCCTGAGTCCACCCAGCTTGGCTTTCCAAAGTGCTGGGATTACAGGTGTGAGCCACTGTGCTGGGCCTCTTTTTAGCCTTTTAATAAGCAGGGCAGACTCTGGATTCAGGATGCGATGATCAGGTCTGGCTTAGGAAGCCTTTTTTGTCTTCTGTGAGAAACAACTCCTGGAGCTGATTGGCTTTTGGGCTGAGTAACAGCTTGATGTCAGGGCCTCCTGGGGAATGCAACATCTCCTAAGAAACCAATGGTCTAGTTGCCACAGGAGTCTCAGAGAAAAAACTGGCAGTAGTACTCAAATAGCCTTCAGACTATCTGAGGTTTCTCGGGACTTACCAGTCCTGCCTCAGATGAAGCCCCAGGCATCCTTGGTTTGGGGGTAGAAAACTAAAGGGCAGCCTTTCTAAAGTAACAACTTTCCAAGCGCAAGGATGGAGGTACTTTCCCCTAGGGTGGAGCAAAATTGATAGCAAGTGCTCAACCATTTTAATGATATGACTTGATCCTTTTTTCCCTCATAGGAAAAAAATGTAAGCTCAGACTGAAATAAGTGCTGCTTCTTATTTTCAGCCTCCGATTGGTGTGGTTCAGCATGTTAACTTGTTTGAAGGACTACCATGGGGAAACAGTCCATGAACTTAGAGAAATTAGGCAGAACTGAATGTTAAATTTGAAAATGATCTCAAGATAGTCAGTTCTGCTGTAATCCAATGTATTTCCTTCCTAACAATCATCACACTGTGCAAAATTATGCCATGAAAGCCACAGACTTACAGGAAAGGTGGAGTAACGGGCACAATACTCCAAAACTTCCTCAGTGACACATGTGAAAAAAGAGACAAGAACCTAATAAAACTGTCAGCACAGTTTAATGCATGTTAACTGGCTAAGAAATACATAAATACAAAATAAATATGGCACTTTACCTTGAAAGGTTTGCTTGGGGAGGTGAGCGCCGGAAGGGTTGCAGCTTGTGAGATTTTGTGAAGGGGTGCAAGGAAGGTTGTCCAAAATCAGATAGACAGTATATCAGATGTGGATGGGTGTGGCTCGCAGCACATGGTGAACTGAGGGAGCTGGTAGATTATTGAGGTGTGTGCATGTGTATTTTGTGGATTAGTCCAGCTGGAAGAAGTTTTCTGCATTCACTTAGTGTTTTTCACAAAAGAAATCACGTATAAGCAAAAATGCAAAATTCATGATACACCCAAATTTTTCCCTAATGTATCAATTAGGTTGGAATGAATTTGGATACAGCAGAACTGATTGCAGTCTTACCCCCTTAGTTTTTGTATAAAGAAATTGAGACCCAGTCAGACTAAATGAAGTTTTGTAGCCAGGTTAGTGGCTGAGCTGAGGATGGATTCCTAGACATCGGTTCCTTTTCTAGCGGGAGTGTCCACCATGCTCTGTTTCCTCTTTCGCTGTATTTTATAAATTCCTGCTATTTGCTGATGATAATATTGTTTTAGTACTTAAATATTTTAATGTAGGTCTCAGAGCTAGATCCTTAATGTAGATACCAGAACTTAATATTTGGAATCCAATAAATGTTTGTTAGTTAATGAATGAATTAATTAATGAAGGTGGTGAATGGACATAATCAAGTCCAGGTTCACTATGGATCCAGTTCCAGACCTAAGAGTGTAGACAAAAAGATGGAGAAGATGTGATGGCGTATTTAAAGTTAATGACAGCAGTGATCTTTCCATGTTCTATTCAAGCCTTCTTGGGTTGGATTTTAGTAAAATGATTTAGAGTGTGGGGGGCTTTGTGACAGACCACAGGCAAGTTATTTAACCTCTCTAGATAATATGGGATTTACCTCTTTGGGTTTTTGTAAGAGTTAGGGGAGATATACATATATAAAATCTCCTTAGCACAGTGCCTGGCACATGGCAAGAGTTCAATAAGTGGCTACACTTATTATTACTACTGCTGCTGCTACTACCACTTCTACTGCCGCTACTGCTTTCCCAACATACTATGTGTTGAAGGGAACCGAGGACCAGTAAATGTGGGGGAAGGAGCCCTGGCACTCCTCCTAGGCACTGGCCCAGTTTTCTTAACTGCTTATTGCTGGACCTCTCCACCCAGCTGTGTAACAGGACTTCAAACTCAACATGTCACACTCATTACCTTGCTTCCAGTGTGCTCCTCCTCATGCATTCACCACATTAATGCCATCCCTATTTGCCCAGACTAAACACCTCAGTCATCCTTTACTTGGCTGTCTTCTTCCACCTCCGCAGTCTATAGGTTATTCATTCATTCAGGTCTGGTTTTATTGATAACCAGTTGGGTCTCAGGCATCTGCCAACGTGCTTCAAGAAATAAACCTGAATGAGACATGATCCTTGTCCTGAGGAGTCTTTCAATATAAGGCAGAGATGCAAACTATGAAGACTCTGATCCAAACCCCACATCAGTAACCAATCATTATAAAATGTGTATAGGTTGGGCGTGGCAGCTCACACTTGTAATCCCAGCACTTTAGGAGGCCAGGGTGCAAGGATTGCTTGAGCCCAGGAGTTCAAGACCAGCCCGGGCAATATAACAAGACCTCGTCTCTACCAAAGGAAAAAAAAAAAAAATTAGCTGAGTGTGGTGGCACTTACCTATAGTCAGTCCCAGCTACTTGAGAGGCTGAGGTGGGAGGATTGCTTGAGCCCAGGAGGTCAAGGCTGTGGTGAGCCTTGATCATACCACTGCACTCCAGCCTGGGCAACAGAGTAAGAAAAAAATAAATAAAATAAAATAAAATGTGTGGGCCAGTGCAAGAGGCCACAGCCATAGTTCCTATATGTTGCCACTCACTTAAATGCAAAGTGGACATTGATTTTACAAGTAAAATTGATAAGTATAATCATGGAGTCATTCTATATTTCCAAAATTGTGGCCCCTTGGGTTAACAAAATATATTTGTTTAGGAAATTAGTTTTATTACTATATTTATTTTGTGTCCTAAAAAATGTTCTTTCATATGACCATGGCTTTACATTAAATGGTTTCCCTCTTCATTGGGATATACAGTATTTCAGCTGGATGTCTGTATGATGATTGTGGTGAAAGAAAAGTAGGTTGAAAATAAATTAAAATTGACTTTTCGGTTTAAAAAAGTGACTACTTTTTAGATAGTAGGCTGGATTTATAAATTTAGCTTAGCCCATTTATACTCAAATTCTTAG
This sequence comes from Homo sapiens, assembly GCF_000001405.40. Classification (NCBI taxonomy): domain Eukaryota; kingdom Metazoa; phylum Chordata; class Mammalia; order Primates; family Hominidae; genus Homo; species Homo sapiens. The sequence goes on along the minus strand of NC_000018.10, from coordinate 430,569 downwards.
CAGTTTTGCCTATACCAATAAATTCTTAGAGATTTTTATTCACTGGAAGTTTAAATTTACTGTATAAGTGAAAGGGAAAGACTATTTTTCAAAATGTACTACTAATAATTAGGAAAGAACTCTGGAAAAATATAATTTTCCAAAATAGAGGTAATTAATATGCAAAGTTATCTAGATATGGAGTATGCAGTTCTCCAAAGGATTTATTTGTTCTTTCTTCTAATTTTTTTTTTTTTGAAACAGAATCTCTCTCTGACACCCAGGCTGGAGTACAGTGGCATGATCTCAGCTCACTGCAACCTCTGCCTCCCAGGTTCAAGTGATTCTTGTGCCTCAGCCTCCCGAGTAGCTGGGACTACAGGTGCGCCACCACGCCTGGCTAATTTTTGTATTCAGTAGGGACAGGGTTTCACCATGATGGCCAGGCTGGTCTTGAACTCCTGGCCTCAAGCTATCTGCCTCTCAAAGTGCTGGGATTACAGACGTGAGCCACCACGCCCAGCCGGATTTATTTATTCTTTCAACAAATATTTATTGAGCAAATTCCATAGGCCAGGCCCTGTCCTGGGAGCTGGCGATGCAGAACTGAGCAAAACAGAGTCGCTATCCTAAGGCAGCTTACATTCTATTTGGAGAGACGGAAATTAACAATAGACCTGTGATACCAGGCAGTAATTAAAATAAGGGCAATAAAGATTAGAAAGCAAAGGGGGCGCTAGTTTGGGTAGATAGATGGATGAGGAATCTTTACGATCATAGGGCTGCATTTATGCTCACGTGGGCCTGGAATCAGCCATTCATATCCACATCTGTCATCATGCAGCTCTATGTTGTCTTTCTCTTTGGGGCCTGTTCTTTGCTAGCTTGTGTTGGTAAAGAATTACATGAGGCCAGGCACAGTGGCTCACACCTGTAATCCCAGAACTTTGGGAGGTTGACGGGGGCGGTTCGCTTGAGGTCAGCAGTTTGAGACCAGCCTGGCCAACATGGCAAATCCCTGTCTCTACTAAAAATACAAAAATTAGCCGGGCATGGTGGCAGGCACCTGTAATCCCAGTTACTCAGGAGGCTGAGGCAGGAGAATCACTTGAACCCGAGAAGCAGAGGTTGCAATGAGCCGAGATTGCACCATTGCACTCCAGCCTGGGCAACAAAGTGAGACACTGTCTTAAAAAAAAAAAGAAAGAAAAAAAGAATTACATGAAAAAAAATAGTTTGTGTTATTTACAATCAAATCAGCCAACTGTAGAGATTGTCTGGCATTGTACACATTGTTCTGATAACAGTTTAAATACTTTGAAATTTGCATCATTACCATGGGAGAGACAACGTGTTCTTGTTAAAAAAACAAATCAAAACAAAAAAAACATAAAAACACACACAGAGTAGATGATTAACTTACATCTCAATGTGAGCAAATTTTTAGTTTCAGGTTTTGTGACTTCATAATCTCTGGGGAATTTTCCTTCTTAATGTTTAGGAAAAAATCACTCCCTACTGCTTTTTAAAGAATTAAAAGTCTCACTTGTGTGTTAAGAATGTGCACTTAGGCCTGTTAAAAAATTATGATTACCCCCAAAATGGTGGGCTTGTATGACCTTTTACATTTTTAAAGTAAAGCCTTCCATCTGGTTAAAAAATACCTTTTATAAAAGCCCCTTTACGGTGTTTGTGTTCCTTAGTAAATGCTAGATTTGTTCCTTAGAAAATTTGCTCTTGAGCAAGTCTATTTTGACCTGATGTAATTGAATCCAAAGGGAGAAAAACATTAAATTAATGAAATTTTATTGAAAAGACATCTTATTTATATGTAATAGTTTGGTGTCTTAATTATTATTATTCTCCCAAGTTATATTATAGTTTTAAACTTAATTTTCAAAAAAAGACAACTTTCAGTCACCTAATTACATGCAATGCAGCTTCTTTTCAGAAGTAATACCTTATTTAAAGTAATTCTTTTATGATGAACTCCCAAAGACCTGTACCTAAACATAGCAGCTGAATATAATTTCTAATTAATGACTTTTTTAAGGCATAATAGCAGATGGTTGAGCCATCCATGGGGTGTGTTGTGGTCCATTTGTTTAGTCACCCAGTGAGTTACTTGAAATAATCACTTAGCACTACTTTTAACAAAAGGATCTGATTTTTCTGTTCTCATCTCACACCAAATGTAAATGAACTCTATGGGAACAAGGACTTTTTCTGTTTTAATCACTGCCATATTCCCAGTGCATAGAACAAGGCAAGGCCTGTGGTAAACACTGAATCAATATTGGGTAGAAAAAGCTCTTTTTTTTTTTTTTGAGACGGAGTTTCACTCTTTTTGCCCAGGCTGAAGTGCAGTGACAGGATCTCAGCTCACGCAACCTCCACCTCTTGGGTTCAAGTGATTCTCCTGCCTCAGCCTCCCGAGTAGCTGGGATTACAGGCACATACCACCATGCCCGGCTAATTTTATATTTTTAGTAGAGATGGGGTTTCACCATGTTGGCCAGGCTGGTCTCAAACTCCTGACCTCAGGTGATCTGCCTGCCTCATCCTCCCGAAGTGCTGGGATTACAGGCATGAGCCACCACGCCCGGCCAGGAAAAGCTCTTTAGGTAGGACTTCCCTGGGAGCAAATAACAGAGTGTGTAGAATTGCATGTTTTTAAACGATGATAAACACCAAAGGCAATGTTCTTCTTAAACATTGAAAGAGAAAGAGAACGCCCACCAGACACAGCCAGAAAAGAGAATATGGAATCTGGAGAGCACCCTGAGGTGGGCCTAGGGTCTCCTTCATCCTGGGATAGTGCTGGGTGTTTGGTAGGCCCCAAATAAATGTAGTCAATAGGTGCGCATTCGATTCAATTCAATGCACATTTGAGGACCGGTTATGAATTGTGCAAGTCACTAGAGAGAATACAACAATGAAGAAGACAAGGTCTTTTTCCTCAGAGGATTAAAGCCTCAGATTTTTTAGTCCCAGTAACAGAGTTTTACTTTTCTTTCAAGAGGGCTGCATCTCTGAACCACCGTCTAGGGACTCCAGTGAAGAAGCTCTAAAGAGCTAGGCCTGAGAAATCACCCAGGTCAGCTCTGCCCATCAAGCATGAGATGTAGAGCACACCTATCAACGTGGACTTGATGACCTCAGATTCTAAATGCTTCTTTACCCGTCTTGAAATGAGGATTTCTCTCCCTACGGCCCACATAGGACGCTCACCTCGCTTGCTGGGAGTCACCTTTGTTGGCATTGCTGGCGTAGCTGAATTTGGCGATGCTTTTGCTAACCGTGTTGTCTGCTGACTCATCTTTACTACACAGATGAGAACCAGAAAGGTTAAGTGGCTCGCCTCACATCATGCTGCTTGTCAGTAGCTGAGCCAGCCCCAGTATGCAAGTCTTCTAACTCAGAGGCCAGTGCTGTTTCCATGACACCCTCTTCCCTCAAGTCATCTGTGTGTGGGAGGCAGAAAATATTGAGTACACCCAAATTGCCTATCAGTGGAATGTTAGTCAGCATTGGAAATGAGACTGATTACAACTGCAGCCTGCCACGCACAGCCATCCCAGAGGGACACAAGTGTCTACCTTCTTCAGGGGTCTTGCAGCCCTAGGAAGTTATTTAGTTCCATATATTGCAGACCCTTAGGGAAAATAAATAGTGATGGCCTCAGAGAGAAGGGAGAGAAAATGATCCCTTCCCTTCCTGACTGTGGGATCTTGAGCAAGTTATCGAATCCTTCGGAACCTCTGTCTTTTCATCTCTAAAATGGCTACAAGAGTGCTTGCCTTATGATTGTTGAAAGAAATAAATGCACGTAAAGCCCTTAGTAAGGGCTTAGACTGAGTGCTTAATAAATGTTAGGTGTTATTAAAGAGTTATTATTTTTAAAGATAAAATCATGACTCATACCTATATCAAATGAACATGTGTCAAAGATTTATTTAACTGATTAATTAATGAGGGAATCAATAAGATGTTACAGCCAATTCACAGGAGAATTCAAAGAGCAGGTCCATATAGAAGCGGTCAGGAATGCTGAAGTGAATTTACCTAGTAGATGCAAAACTGGCTTCTTCCATAGAAAGGGAGGGAAAGCAACTGCGCTTCCACTGCACAAAATTTACTCATGTCTATGAGTAAAAATCACTTACATTGCTCTTCATTACCTACAACTTACACAGTAGTAAAATTGCTCGCAGACCCCAAAACATGCAGAGACCTCATAGAATCACATAACCTGGAAGGGTCTCCTAGGCAATGCCTAGTTTTCCATTGACAACACCCATTAATCATTCTGGTTCATTTCAACAATTTTCTCAATTACATCCTACACAGTGTGTATTATTGCTCGTTTCTTAATTACATCCTAGGAATGTTTTGAGAACCAATAAAATATGTGAAAAGTGCCATAGAAGCCATGATGCATTTTACAAATAGTAGTGGTAGTCTAAAAGAGAGGAGTGAGGCTGACCTGTCTGAATCCGACCTCTGATACTTTCCATGTGATCTTGGACAAGTCACTTAACATCCTGTGCCTCTGTTTTCTTAGCTGTAAGTCAATATATTTAAGATTCACTGCACAGGGTTGCTGTGAGGATTAGATGAGGTGATGTGGGAAAATATTTGGGAAAATGAAAAATGCTATACCAAGATGAGATGTGATTATGTTATGGCTCTCGGCTTAGCTTGGGGTTCATTTTTCTTTAAGAAGAGGAGGCTGTGGAACAAGAGATGGGGTGGTGAGTTCTTAAACTCACCAGGTCATTATTACTGCAAGCTGTAAATCACATAGAGATGTCTTTAACTCAGTAACAGTTATTTATGGTACTACTGTTAGTCCAAAAGCACTTCTCCAATATTCACTCACCCACATGCCCTCATGGCTCCAGAGAGGTTAGTGGTGCCAGCAATGGTGATGTTGATGACCGTGGGGGCTGTGTGTCTTTAATTAAACCTGTAAGGACTGTATTTTATTCTCCCCCACCTCTTCCCCCAGCGCTGTCATCCCAGAGTCTCTCCTGGTGATCATGTACAAAGAGACTCATTTCATCAGCCTGGGGGGACTCTCAGGAATTTGCAGGAATTGGGAAGGAAAAGCTCTGGCCCAGCACACTCCCCTCCTGGTCTAGTCTGCATTTGGTAATTGAGAAGGGATAGGAGGGTTTGGAGTGAGTCTAGGATGTGACACTGAAATCATGGAAAGGAGATGAAGAATGAGCCCTGGGTGGGAGGGGCAGCTGCCCAGCCTGGAAAAGAGCAAGGGTCGGGGGCATGACCCCGTGTGTAGGAAGATGCTTCCAGTAGGCCGGCTCTCCAACAAGGCTGGTGCAAGAGAAAGTAACTTCAACTGCAACTCACGGGTTTGAGTTATGGAGACTGAAGAGCTTTCTGCATACGTTGGTGAATACCATAGACACAATTAAGAAGGTTGCACTAAGTTCTTCTCTGGAGATTTTGAAGAATAAGAACAGATCTCTCCCAGTCTGAGAGGTTACAGATCATGCCTCCCTAGAGGCAATAGCCTGATTTGGATTTGAAGAAGGAAAAAAACCAAGTACAGGAAACCACACCTCTATTGTCCTGCCTTGCTTATTGTGAGTAAGGGAAGGCCGCCCGGCTCGCCTCCTCTCCCCCACACCCATGAGGTGACCCAGCACACCCTGCTCAGCTGTGACATGGCATTCACTCCTCTACCTCCTGGTTGTCGGCAGACTTACTGCTTCTCCTTAGACTGAGCTCTCCAAGGCAGAGCCTTGGTTTCTGCCTCTGTGTCCCCACATCCTGATGCAGGCCTGACACAGAGTAGGTCCAACATACTTGTTGAGCCAGTACATTGACGAGTGACTTATTGACCAGCTGAGGCCAGGTCAGCAGAAACCTCAGTGCCTGAGATGACAACATCAGAAGTCCTCTTGAAAAGCCAGTTTGGTAAGCCAACCTTTGGGCTTGAGCTCTGGTGAGCTATTCACCAGAAAATAGTAAAGGACACTGAATTTCAGTGTTCATAGTGAGACTATTTTCAGCTTTCTCAGAGACAGCATCTGTAAATAATCAGGCAGAAGCCTCTTATAAAACAACATAGGAAAAACCTCAAAGGCTATTCTAAGGCTGCACCATTTAAACAAGATTTTTAACCCATGGGGACGCCAAGATCAACATGGAGCTTCCTGCACATAAAAGTCTGGAATTTCATAGCAATGTGGGGGCAAAAGCTATGATAGCATTTCCCCCTTTCTAAATTATATACTGCTTAGTGTTAATGTGAGCAGAGGGCTGGATGGCGACGGGCTCGCAGCTTACGTAAGTCCCACTACGATCTTCATTCCTTCTGTAATGCAGGATCCATGGTGATGGAGGTTGGGGGAGTCACCAGGCTGGCTGCACTGATGTAAGGCGGAAGGGTCACTCCTAGGTCATGCCATGATTTAAGTCTTTGGTGTAATTTATAACAGGGCTTTCATTCCACATAGAAAAATGATCAGGGATGTTGGTTCTATAATTGTTTTCTCTCTCTAAAAGATGCTGTTCTGGAAACTCGGTTTAGTGGCAGCTATGAATGCTCATCTGTAGCACCTCCCTTTTCCCTCCCATTTGGAAGGAGCAAGAGACTGTCTTCTAGGATGAGAGAGATGAGAGAGATGGCATTAAAGCTTGACATCAGATGAGCCCTTCAGCTCTCTCAACCTGCATAATTCTCTTTTGGGAAGGAGAGACTGGTCTCCAAGCACTTCTTACACCTCCTCTGAACCAGGAACCATATCAGCACATTCTGACTGAGTTAACCTTAATTGTAAAAGACTGGGAAAAAAAAACAAAACAAAAAAAAACAAACAAAAAACAAAACCAGAAGTCGTTCTTACTATCAGACCAGCCCTGGGCGTGTGTGGTCAGTATGATAGGAAAGCTACTGAAAGTTCAGTCTGTTTCCCTTAAAATCTCATTTACTGGTTTCTCAAGTTACCTGAAATTTCTGCTAGAAAGAGTAATTTCTTAAGATTTTTCTAGGAAGGCATTCACTGATACTGGGAAGGCTAGTATTTGAACAACTATCATCATGGCACCTGATAGTTTATGCACTGTGAAGAAGAAAAAAATGATTTATAACCAAAAGGATTTTTGAGGCTATTTTGTTAAAAAAAAGAAGAAGAAGAATTTTATTTGGAAGAAAATAATACATATTTTAATTTTAATCCTGTGTATTCTAGACTTGAGGGAAATGTCACATCTTCATTTTTGTATTCCTAGTTAACACGATGTCCTGCACATGTTCTAGGCCAATAAATAATGGTTTTATTTTGTTTTGTTTTGAGATAGGATCTCACTCTCTTGTCCAGGCTGGAGTGCAGTGGCATGATCATGGCTCACTGCAGCCTTGACTTCCTGGGCTCAAGCAGTCCTCCCACCTCATCTTCCCAAGGAGCTAGGATTACAGGCATCAACATCACACCCAGCTAATTTTTTTGTTTTTTTAGAGATGGGGTCTCACTATGTTGTCCAGGCCAATCTTGAACTCTTGACCTCAAACGATCCTCCAACCTTGGCCTCCCAACGTATTAGGATTACAGGCGTAAGCCACTGTACCCAGCTCCAGTAAATATTGTTTTGAACAAATGAGTGGGAAACGTATTTACAGAGAAAGCTTCTTGGGCTGGCTGGCTGTGGGTCCAGTTGTGTCTTATTTCTAAAAACTAAGAAGTTTATATAAACAAAAAATCAAAGTAGGAATTTAAAGAGAGCATTAGTATAATTTTTAATAACTTACACGTTTTATCTCATGGGTTTCATAATGTGTATGAGCAAATAACCGGACTCGCCCCATACTTCCATATGTACATGCTTAGAATGTAATGCATAGGTTCTGTGTGTGTGCACGTATGCATCTATGTGTATGTATTTTGTAAATAATCTATAATAATCTATAAAATATATTTATAAAATAATCTATAAAAATATAAACTATTAACAGTAGTTACCTCTGGGGGGTAAAATTGGAAAAGGTAAAGGAAACTCACATTTTTACCTTATATATTGCTCCTTGTTTGAATTTTTCTTTTAATGAGTATGCATTTGTATATCTTGAGTTCTTAGCATATGGCCTGGCACTTAATAAACATTTTATTCAATGTTTAACAAATAGGGGAATCAGTCAATTGAGTGGCACAAAAATTATACTCAAACATTTGATTTTGAGAGGTTTAGGAGAGGAATGATGATAAAGAAATTGAACTGAGGGCTTAGGAAAGAGAGCATGGTCTGGATGTATTGCTAAAAGAGGCCGTCGGAAATAAAGGAATACTTTGGGGTTACCATTGCTAAACTGCGTATTTTCTACCCTTAAAGGTGCCCCAAGTTAGATACCTGTCTGGCAAATTACGTAGTCCTAATCATAGGTGTTCTTAAGGGTTTATGTCTTGACTGAAAAGGGACAAATCACCTGGCAAGGAGACCACTACCTAACCCTGGTGACTCTTACCTTACAGGGCTGGACAGACATGACAGTGTGAAAGGCCTTTGTACTCTCAGCCATGTGGCTTGCTGGACCATCTGAAGGCCTACTGAGACTGTCCTGGGAAGGGGACAGCAATCCAGTGACTCACCCAGCAGTAATTTGCCTGGGTTGACTGGATAGGCCTGTCCTGTAGATTGGTATCCAAAGATTAATATGATGGGTGAGAACTTTTAGCTCCAATCCAGCTGGTGTGACCCAAATGCATAAAACTCACTCTTGGCTTCTCATCGAGGAACTAAGTTGGAGATATTTTAAAATGCTTGAATGGCAGTTTGGAGTCTATTTGAAAACACTGGCAGGAATGTCTAGATAAGACTACCATCAGTGGTCAATCACTGGAATCACTGAAGTATTTCAACTGAGTGAAGGAAGTGCCACTCAGCTTCAGTCTGGGTGGCAGAGTCCTTTCAAATGTGGCTTCAGCACCGACTTTCTGTGCATTACTCATGCTGTGAAGTAGGTGATTTAAGCCACTGACTTTCTAAATTAAAGGCACAAAAAGGCAGACATGTAATTCTTTTAATTACACATTCATATTTCTCTTACATTCCTCTGAGTCGTTCATGTCTGCCTCCTGCCTCATCAGCCTACAAGCAGAAAACAAGCAACAGGGAATGTGGAAGATCTGTAAAGGGATGAAAAACCCAACTCACTTGTTTGTACTGTGGCTTTTCTCAAAGAAAAATAAAAGCACCGTGTCGGGAAACAGACAATGGGAGATCTGACTTCTACTGATCGTAGGGAATAGTGAAGTATTTCAAGATAGGAATGAGTCATACCTTTATACATTTTTTGCCATCTGCTCTCTATTAACATGGGCTATTAGTAAAACATATTTGGTTTATATCACCAGGCAAGGAGATTGCATTCATCTTGTTTTTCTATCAAAGTATATGCATATAACCTTAATATAGAGTTTTCACAACTTAGCAGTAGAGACAGGTTTTGTTTTCAGATGTGTAGCCCTGTACAAGTTAAAGCTGTGTGGCTTTGTTCACTGCCTTTATTAGGCTTTCCATGGGAAAGGCCAGGCAGGGCAGGGTAAACAGGTTAGGAACGGCTAGTTTGAATAATTTCCGATAGGTCTAAACTATAGATGTGGTCCCTAGTTGCTTGGTACCTGGCCCTGGGATGATTAGGAGAGAGGAGCATTGCTTCCTGGGTTCTATGGGCCAGGTAGAGGAGGTGTGGCTCTAGGTTGGTTAGTTTGCATAACAAAGGCATGCTCCTTTCTGGGCCCTTGGCTATCTTTGAGAATTACCTAGCCCTGGAGGGAGGTGTAGTCTCTCCCCAGCCTGAAAGGGTTTTTTTAAGGATGTTAAAACATCATCATAATATACAAAAAATAAGAAATATACACAAACAAATGAGTTTAACATTCGAATCTTTCTCAGTCACCTCTCTTGGAGTTGCAAAATCATTTGCCAAATCTGTTCTCATTTACACAGTCCTTAAGTTACTGTCCAGTCAGGCGTTTAACCTCTACCTTGAGGGAAAGATAATCCAGAACCCCCTTTGCTTTACCTAGAAAATTTTTTATCGCTTTTTAGAATTTTAGACTCTTTATGTTTCTGCTGTATTTATACAGAAGGCATTTAATCTACATATATTTTGTTGATTTATAAAACCCAGTGAGGCTTTTTTCCTTTTTGGTGTCCTTGGAAATACCGAGGCATCACCCCAGTTTGCCATGATTTCTCACTGCAGCTATAGCCAGAGGAAAATTTTTCCTGTTCTGAGACTGGAGCAATGTTGGGGCTGAAATTTCATTTTAGTGATACACGTGTTACATTGCCATCAAACATTTTATCATCTCATGTTTGGATGATTTTCCAGTTATCTATTGCATGAAACAAGGCATTTTAAAACTGAGTGTCTTAAAGCAATTGATTATTATTATTATTGCTCTGGTCCTGTGGGTCAGGAATTCAGACTGTACAGCAGACACAACTCTCCTCTGCGCCACAATCCAGGGTCTCAGCCGGCATGCCAGGCAGGGATGAGAGTTGGAATTGCTGGGGGCGGCCTGGCACTGTCTCCTCCTAGGCCCTCTCCAAGTAACCAGCTTGGGCTCCCTCCAGCATGGCAGCCTCAGGGCAGTCAGACATCTTGCAAGGGCTCCAAGAACAAATCTTCCAAGAGTCAGAAAGTGGAAGCTGCTGGTCTCTTAAGGCTTAGCTTGGAAATTGGCACGGCATTCTTTCTGCTGTATTCTGTTGGTTAAGTTTTCACAGAGATCACCCCCACCAACCCACTCTGCAGGTTCAAGGGGAGAGGACATAGATATCACCTCTTAATGAGGGGAATAGCAAAGAATGTGTGGTCATTGTTTATCTACCACAGATGACATATCAACAATCCCAGACATTCAGCACATCTACAAAAATTATTTTTATCTCACTCTGCATCTGCTTAAGAAGGTAGATATTCAACTGCAGTTCATTTCAGAGTTCTTCCTGTATAAAGACTGTTGACAGCAAATGTTTTGTTAGAAACGTTTTGATAGAAACATTTTGACTTCAAACTCAGATAATGACTCTGTATCATTTAAAATATATACAGGGCTGGGCACAGTGGCTCTCACCTGTAATCCAGCACTTTGGGAGGCCAAGGTGGGCAGATCACCTGAGGTCAGGAGTTTGAGACCAGCCTGACCAATATGGTGAAACCCCCTCTCTACTACAATTACAAAAATTAGCCTAGTGTGGTGGCATGCGCCTGTAGTCCCAGCTACTCAGGAGGCTGAGGCAGGAGAATTGCTTGAACCCAGGAGGCATAGGTTGCAGTGAGCCAAAATTGTGCCAATGCACAACAGTGCAACAGAGCAACAGAGCAAGACTCCATCTCAAAAATTAGAATAGAATAGAATAGAATAGAATAGAATAGAATAGAATAGAATAGAATAGAATAGAATAGAAGTATGATGCCTTACATTGATTGGATATTTTCCAGATAATTTTAAGATATATTAGCCAATCCCTACATCAGCTCTTTTCATTTTGTGGATGAGGAACCTGAGGATCTAAATGGTTAACTGACTTGTCCCAGATCACATGACTGACTACCAATGGGGGCAGAGGTGTTAAAGGAAAGGGGTCCTGATCCAGACCCCAAGACAGGGTTCTTGGATCTCGCACAAGAAAGAAATCAGGGCGAGTCCTCAGTGTAAAGTGAAAGCAAATTTATTAAGAAAGTAAAGGAATGAAAGAATGGCTACTGCATAGAGTAGCCCTGAGGGCTGCTGGTTGCCCATTTTTATGGTTATTTCTTGATGATATGCTCAACAAGGGGTGGATTATTCATGTCTCCCCTTTTTAGACCATATCTGGTAACTTCCTGATGTTGCCATGGCATCTGTAAACTGTCATGGCGCTGGTGGGAGTGTAGCAGTCAGGACGACCAGAGGTCACTCTCATCGCCATCTTGGTTTTGGTGGATTTTGGCCGGCTCCTTCACTGCAACCTGTTTTATCAGCAAGGTCTTCATGACCTGTATTTTGTGCTGACCTCCTATCTTATCCTGTGATTTAGAATGCCTTAACCATCTGGGAATGCAGCCCAGTAGGTTTCAGCCTCATTTTACCCAGCTCCTATTTAAGATGGAGTTGTTCTGGTTCACATGCCTCTGACAGAGACAGACCCAGGATTGAGTTAGTTTGTACTTTCACTGATAGTTTCCTTGAATTCCTTAATATAGGTAGAAGTAAACTGAAGACCATGGTAAGGACTTTTTAAAGAAATATCACCATTTGGGATATTTTATCTCTTAGAATGAAGAAAAGATCCTTTATTTTAGGCAAATACTTGGTGTTTATGTGGCTCTTAAACTTACAAAGTATCTCCATACCCATTATCTACTTTGCTCCACATGCTGATCCAATGAGAGAGATATTAATAACACTATTTTCAAATAGAGAAGCAGAGGTACAGAGAGGTTAAGCAAATCACTTAAGGGTCACACGGCTAACTGTAGAACTGGTGCCCAAGCCCAGAACTTTAAACTCTGAATCCTGCCATTTCTCACTGTGTTCTTCACCCCTCCCTCACCCTGGCTTCTTGGGCCTTAGAGCAGCCCACACATGGCTTAGCTGTGCGGGGCAGGGCCATCCTCCTCAGGGACAAAAATGGGAGGCCTCCGAGGACTGAATCGCCCAAAGTGGTTAGAGGAAGGCAAAAGTTTCAAGCCACCAGCAGCAACATTAGAAGAAATGGGGAACACTCTCTAATTGTGGACAGTTCCAATTTTGTCCGTCTCCAGGGAGAACTAATACTGTTACGATTTCTCCTGATGCATGTGAAATCAGTTGCTACAGCAATGACCAGTGTTTCTTGGAACTTGCTGACAGCAACAGGCCTCAGAAATGAAATTTCTGTTCTGTGTATCGTGTTTCTAACGCTGGCTCCACTATTTCAGCACCTCTACTGTGTCCACTTCCCATGATGATCTCTTCCTGCCCCTTCCTGCCCAGAAGGTAGGGCAAGATAAGTCTCTGCCCCAGTCACTAGACAGGCATGTTGATGATGGCCTTGGGAACTGTGGCTTGGCGGTGGTCCTTAGGGGAAGGGAACTTGTCTGTGTTGGTCACCACTATAACCTTTAGAACAATGCCTAGCTCAAGTGCTAAGAAAAAACACACATAGTCATGCACTGCATAATGATGTTTTGGTCAATGACAGACTGCATATGTGGTCCTGTAAGATTATGATGGCGTTGCCTTATACAGGTGTATCATTGTTTATCTTTTATATCATATTTTTATTGTACCTTTTCTATGTTTAGATATGCTCAGATACACAAATACTTAACATTGTGTTACAGTTGCTTACAGTATTCAGTACAGTAGCATGCTGTATAGGTTTGTAGCCTCGTAGCAATAGCCTAGCTGTGTAGTAGGCTATACATCTAGGTTTGTGTAAGTACACTCTGTGATGTTTGCATGATGATGAAATCACTTAACCATGCATTTCTCAGAACATCTCCCTATCATTAAGTGATGAATGAGTGTGTGTGTGTGTGTGTGTGTGTCTGGGTGCATGTGTGTGTATATATGTAAAGTTAATGAATGATTGCTAATTACTGCAGTTCTTTAAACCTGGTATACTTTCCCACACATCCATGCCCTTGCCCATGCTAGACCCTCTGCCTGGAATGCCCTTCCCTTCCTTCTTCCTTTTCTACCAACCCTCCGCCCCCACCCCCCACCGCCCCCACCTGTTAGCTTGCCAAGCTTCATCTCATGCTCTCCAGAGTGTAAGGCAAGATAGGTCTTCTAAATTTAATTATTATATTATATTTTAAAACTTTAAGTACAGAGACCTGAAGGACCTTAATCTTCCCTAGAGCTGGTGCCTTCCCCATGACCCCCAAAGGGAAGGATCTGAACAGTGTTTGTGCCGTGGCAGGGGCCCATGGCACCGCCCAGCATGGCGGTGGAGGAGTCCCAAAGCTTTATAATGTGAATGGAAACTTGGAGTTACCTCTTGCTCATAATGAAAGAGATTCCCTACCAGAGAGGAGGCACAGAAGCCATTTTCAATGAGTCATGGAATTCCTCTAGGATATAATAACAAGCCATTTAACCAAAATGTTGAGGGAGCAGTTAAAGAGACCCATAAGTCACAGAGAGCCTTGCATTGACTCCCATTATATCTCTCGTCAGCCTCTGACCTGATTCATCCTGCTTTTCATCCTTCCCTCTATATCAGATCATCTCATAATCCCCAGTTCTGTTGAGTGTTTCAGTCACCTCCAGCAGCCAGTGTGGGATCAGTTCTTCACTAGATCCCTGGCTGCTCTTTACTGTTTTCAGCTTGTTTTTTCTTTTTGATGAAACAATCCCCAAAATGAATTTTTTTGGGGGGGTGTCAACACTTGTAAAATGTCAGGTTTGCATTGTTATCTGTTAGATTTTTTGGTTTCTTTAATACAGCAGGAACTGGAGAATCTAGACAAAGAGGTTTAAAAGTTGAGTCATCTCCCCACAAATATTTCACCCACATCTACTAGCATGATGATAACTCAGTTAAAGGTTGTGAAAATCAGTAGTCTGACAAGGAACTAGTACTATTGATTATCATTTCTCATTATTTTTCTTCAGTCCAAACTTATTTTAAGCCAAACATATTCAACACCAAAGTATTGAGTAGTTGAAGAAAGGCAGATGTGCATTACAGTGTAATTAGGTTCATAAGTTACTATGACAGGCAACTGAATAAACCTCAGTGTTACTGCACATTTTGCCAGAAAAGTTGTGAAGCTATTTTTTCCACTTCTCTTAGATCCTGAAGAGCCACTTCCTTTTCTCTGCTGACACATACCTGCTTGCCCCAGTGCCTTGGAGGAACTTCCAAAGGTCTAAATGAAAAGCCTTTTAAATTTCTTAGAAGTCATGAAGTCATGACTTCGTACATACAGCCCAATGTGTGTAGATGACAAGAGGGGCAACTTTTACAAATTTAAGTCAATTTTATAGCCATCTGTTGTAGGGGATACAAATATTAGTCTATGACAGGTAAACAATTATAGTTCAGTAAGCCACAATAACAGCATCTTGTACAAAATGATGTGATGGTGCAGAGAAGCTCTTGAGGAGGGTGGTAAGGAGTTAGGCCTAACTTGCATCTAGAGACTGGAATTTATATCTGGGATGGAGTTAGCTTTGTAACGATTTAGGCGCTACCTCATCCCTAGGCCTAGGAGAAGAGATATCACAATGATACAAGGAAAAGGCAGCAGTAACTGAGGATAGAAAATCTAGGTAGGAGCCCTCGTTCTGCGGTTTGCTAGTTCCTGACTTCGAGTTGTCTGGTCACTTTAGTGAGGGGGTAGTTGCCTTATCTGTAAAATGGAAACGGCATTAATTCCCACATCACACAGAACTGTTGCTGCAATCAAATGAAATAATGTTAGTAAACTGCAAAGCTTCCTGCAAATGTTTGCCATTGCCTTGGCTCTCCAGTGTATGTAATGCTGGTGACATAAATAATAGCTTCATTCCGTGTTTGCACTGATGCATTTTGAATGTAACCTTTGAAAATTAGGATCCTCTTGTCTTTGGGACAGTAGTTTTATTAGGTGCAGAGAAGCATTTGAATATTCCAAGTGAAATATTAGGAAATAACTCCTGCAATCCTTCCTTGCTTTGCAGGTGATTGCACAGTTTTAAAAGGTGCTTGAAATCTCTTGGCCACACTCACAAATGTATTACTGGACCTTAATCAGCAGTTCTAGAGAAGCAGCACCTGTTTGCTGTGGTCTGCAGGCTGGGTGTCTGAGAACAAGCCTGTTTGGGGGTTAGAGGCCCAGCTTTATCCTTGGGCAAGTCACTTCATCTCTGGGCCGCCCTTTCCTAACTTCAGATTCAGAGGTCAAACCCACTGATAATTAAGGGCTCTTCTATCCTTAAAGATCTGTGTTTGCATAAGAGTTCGGTTTTGTTTTTTGTTTTTTGTTTGTTTGTTTGTTTTCTGAGACACAGTTTCACTCTTGTTGCCCAGGCTGGAGTGCAATGGCATGATCTCGGCTCACTGCAACCTCCGCCTCCCGGGTTCAAGTGATTCTCCTGCCTCAGCCTCCCAAGTAGCTAGGATTACAGGCATGTGCCACCATGCTCAGCTAATTTTGTATTTTTAGTAGAGTCGAGGTTTCACCATGTTGGTCAGGCTGGTCTCAAACTCCTGACCTCAGGTACCTCAGGTGATCCACCCGCCTCGGCCTCCCAAAGTGCTAGGATTACAGGTGTGAGCCACCGCGCCCGACCCAAGTTTGGTTTTTGTTCATTTATTTTGTTTTGCTTTTGCTTACTCTCTTTACCAATTTGCAAGTCACCCCTGAAGCTTCCCATTTGAAAATTAAATTTTATTTTGGAAATCATTGTAAATTCACATGCAGTTGCAAGAAATAATATGGAGTTCCTATGTACCCCTTACCCAGTTCCTCCCAGTGGTAACATCTTACAAAACTGTAGTACAGTATCACAACCAGAATATTGACACTGACAAAGTCAAGATACAAAAAATGCCTGTTATCACAAAGATTCCACATATTTTCTTCCCCTTTCCTCCACCTACTTCTTCATCACTGGCAACCACTAATATGTTCTCCATTTCTATAGTTTTGTCATTTCAAGAATGTTGTATCAATGGAATCATAGAGTATATAACCATTCATGATTGGTGTTCCCCAACCCCACTGAGCATAATTGTCTAGAGATTCATTAAGACTGTTGCATGTATTAGTACTTCATTCCTTTTTATTGGTGAGTAGTATTCCATCAGGTTATATGTACTGTATCATAGTTTATTTAGCTATTCACTGTCTAAGGACATCTGAATTATTTCCAGGTTGGGGGCATTATGAATAAAACTGCTGTAAACATTCACGTACAGATGCTTTTTTAAATTTTTTATAGAGATGGGGTCTCATTATGTTGCCTAGGCTGGTCTTGAGCTCCTGGCCTCAAACAGTTCTCCTGCCTTGGCCTCCGAAAGTGCTGGGATCGTAGCACTGTGCCTGACCAGTATGTACATATTTTTGTGTAAACATAAATCATCCTTCTCTAGAATAAGTGCCTAGAAGTGAAATTGCTGAGTCATATAGCCATTGTATGTTCCATTGTTTTAGAAACTGCCAAACTATTTTCCAGAGTGACTGTACCATTTTACATTCTCACCAGCAGCATATGAGTGATCTAGCTTTCTTACATCCTCTCCAGCATTTGTGGGGTCACCGTTTTTTATGTCAGCCATTCTGATAGATGTCTAGTGGTATGTCATTATGCCTTTGATTTACATTACCCTAATGGCTAGTGATGTTGAATATCTTTCTATGTGTTTATTTGCCATCCATCTGTCTTCTTCAGTCAAATGTCTCTTCATGTCTTCTGCCCATATTCAAATGAGATCATTTGTATTTTTGTCGTTCAGTTAATTCCTTTGATTAATGTTTGTGTGGTATACCTTCTTCTATCTTCTTACTTTCAACCTTCCTGTATGTTATATTTGAAATGAGTTTCTTGGAGACAGCGTATAATTGAGTCATATGTTTTTAATCAACTATGCTGTTCTCCATCTTTAAATCGTAATGCTTTAAATGTAATTATTGATATGTTAGGGCTTAGGTCTGCTCTTTTATTTTTTGTCATTGTTACCTGTTTTTTATAGCTCTGTTTTCATTTTTTTGCCTGCCAGTGGGTTATCTGAACAATTTTTAGGATTTTGTTTTGATATATCTATAGTGGTTTCTAGTGAGTCCCTTTGCATGACTTTTTTAGTGGTTGCTTTAGGTGCTGGATTATGTGTCTACATAACTTATCAAAGCCTACCTCTATTGTCATTTCGCTAGTTCTAGTGAAGTACGGAAACTTTACCTCCCTTTATCCTTTCCATTTATAATATGTTTGTCTTTAAATTTACCTATATACATTAAGAACCAGACCAGTTTTATAATTTTTGCCTTATCATCAAGCATAATTTAGAAAACTCAAGAGGAAGAGAAAAGGCTATTGCATTTACCTATATTTTTGTTTGCTTTGTTCTTCCTTCCTAATATTGAAGGTTTTGTTTTCTTTCTTTCTTTTTTTTTTTTCTGTTTAGAGCACTTTCTTTAGCTAATTTTTCAGATTAGGACTGTTGGAGATATCACTTAGTTTTCCTTCCTCTGAGAATGTCTTCCTTTCCCCTTTCATTTCTGAAGGATATTTTTGCTGGATATAGGACTCTGGGTTATCAGTTTTTTTCTTTCAGCACTTGAAAACTCTCTCACCTCTTCCTTCTGGCTTCCATATTTTCTGATGATAAAATCACCATCATTCAAATTGTCTTTCCAATATAAGTAAGGTGTTTTTTTATCTTGCTGCTTTTAAAATGTTTTCTTTGTCCTTTGTTTTTGGAAGTTTAATTAGGATGTGTCTTGATGTGTATTTTTTTGGCTTTATCCTGTTTGGAATTCACTCATCATCTGAATATGTAGGTTCATTTCTCTTGCCAAATTTGGGAAGTGTTCAGCCATTTTTTCTTCTATTACTTTTCTATCTGCTCCTCCTTTCTCCTCTCCTTCTAGGACACTTATGACATAAATGTTAGATTTTTTGTTATAGTCCACAAATCCCTGAGGCTCTGTTATTTGCTTTTCAATCTATATTCGCTCTGTTATTCAGATTGGTCATTTTTACTGTTTTGTTTTCCAGTTCACTGATTCTCTCCCTATTTTCTCTGTTCTTTGTTTTTGTTTTTTGTTTGTTTCTGGTTTTTGAGACAGGATTTCACTTTTTTGCCCAGGAACTACAGGTGCATGCCACTACGCCTGGCTAATCTTTGTATTTTTTTGTAGAGATGAGGTTTCACCATGTTTCCCAGGCATGTCTCAGATGTCTGGGCTCAAGCGATCCACCCATCTTGGTTTCCCAGAGTGCTGGAATTACAGGCGTGAGCCACTGTGCTCAGCCTGCTCTGTTCCAATGAGTTTGATTGATAAATAACTTTGGTTATTTATTTTTTAGTTCTAAATTTTCATCTGGTTCTTCTTTAGGTCATCTATTTCTTCTCTGAGATAGTCAGTTTCTTTTCCAAGGCTTTTTTTTCTCTTTGTTTGAAACATATTAATAATTGCTCATTGAAGTGATTTATCATGGCTGCTTTTTAATCTTTGTCAGGTAATCCTAAAATCTCTATCATCTCAGTCTTGGCATCTATTGATTGTCATTTTTCATTGCATTTAAGATCTTCCTGTCTCTTGATATGACAAGTGATTTCAGCTGAAACCAGGATATTTTAGTATTATGTTACTAGACTCTGAATCACATCAAAACCTTTTGTTTTAAGCTGGCTTTCTCTGGCAGGACTTCAGCAAGGGACGGGTAGGCATCACCTCATTACTGCTTAGGTGGATGCAGAAGTCCAGGTTTCTACTGGATCTCCATTGATACCTGAGTGGTATCATCATTATTATTGCTAATTATTAAGCATTATTGGTGGGAAGGGATAGAAATTCCAGCTCTCCGTGTGGTTCTTTTGATAGCGCAGTAGGGGTGGCTCCATTATGGGTAGGCAGTAGTAAAAATCCAGTCACTCTACTAAGCATTCTCTTACCCCACCCCAGTGGGGTACAGCCCAACAGGTGAGGAGAGTCTGGGTTCCCCACCCAGGCTTTGCTGGCATGGGTGGAGGTGGGGATTCTGTGGTTTTTGGCTGGTGTTGAGCATTTATTATTGAAAAGTTTTCTATTTTGCTAGGCTGCTTCATTCCTGAAGAGATGAGCTTTTTTCGGATATTTTTTTTTTGTCTGTGCTCTTTGGCATTTCCAGGTTGTTGTCTTCTTCACTATAAGTCTAGGATAGAAATAATTGCCTGGTGTGATGGCTCACGCCTGTAATCCCAGCACTTTGGGAGGCCAAGGCGGGCAGATCACCTGAGGTCAGGAGTTCGAGACCAGCCTGGGCAACATGGTGAAACGCCGTCTCTACTAAAAATACAAAAATACAGCATGCCTGTAATCCCAGCTACTCGGGTGGCTGAGGCAGGGGAATCACTTGAACCCAGGAGGTGGAGGTTGCATTGAGCTGAGATCATGCCACTGCACTTCAGCCTGGGCAACAAGAGCGGACTCCGTCTTAAAAAAAAAAAAAAGAAGAACAACTCAGCCATGTGTTGTTCTGTGAGTTCTGAGATCTCTAGCCAGGCTTCCTTTACTCCACCTTTCACAGTCTTCTTATGTTTGTTTCCTATCTGATGTCAGGATTTTAGTTATACTTGGCAGGAGAAGTGGGGAAAAGTGTGTCCACTTCATCTTCTACAAGTGGAAGTCCTGGAACTTTCATTTTTAGTTGACTTGGTTTTTCAAGCTCAATATTTTATGAACATGCTGCACCACTTAACAAAGCAGAAGGATACCAAACCACCTGCAGGAAACATTTGTTTCTAGGGTTTATGTGAAAGGAAAAGTGTCTACCATGTGCTTGGCACTTTATGCTTAATTTCACTTAATCCTCAGAAGAATGCTACAGGGAGGGTATTATTAACCCCGATTTACAGAGGTGAGAACTGAAGTTCAGAGAAATTAAGTAACTTGTTCCAGATCACACAGCTAGTAATTAGAAGATCTAGGTCTCGAAGCCAGTTTTGCCCACATTTTTCTCCCCGCCACATGCCTCAGTCAGCCCATTAGCGCAATGAGGACAGAGATGATCTTTCCTCCTTCTTGTGCTTATCTGTGCCTAGGAAATCCATGCAACTCCATGTCAGTTTTCAGGTAGGTGAAACATGCTCATATATGCATGGTATGTGTATAAGTGTAGGTATAACTGCATAATAACAAAGGAGCTCTATACTTACAGTGGGTAATTAATATCTATGGTATCAAAGTGAACAATTTCACAATGTTAACATGTTCTAGTATTATTGCTATATAAAGTGTGTTCATGATATAAGAGACTGATTTTCAATGATGAATAAATACCTACAAAATCATAAATAAAACAACTCATTGGTACTTTCTATAGGAATGCTTGCTTTTTTGGGAAAGTAGACATTTCTTTTATTTTTTTGAGACAGAGCTTTGCTCTTGTCGCCCAGGCTGGAGTACAGTGGTGTGATCTTGGCTCACTGCAACCTCCACCTCGTGGATTCTCCTGCCTCAGCCTCCCGAGTAGCTGGGATTACAGGCGTGCACCACCACACCCAGCTAATTTTTGTTTTATTAGTAGAGACGGGGTTTTGCCACAGTTTGGTCTCGAACTCCTGACCTCAGGTGATCTGCCCGCCTCGGCCTCCCGAAGTGGTTGGATTATAGGCGTGAGCCACCACGCCCGGCCTAGGAGACGTTTCTTTTACAGCCTAAACCATTTGCATGCAGAATAGCCAGATAATTTTCTTTTAGTTGTGAAAACTCATTGGTTCTGTTTAAGAGGAATAAGCTGATAATAAGTGTGGTACATGGCCAGATGCGGTGGCTCACACTTGTAATCCCAGCACTTTGGGAGGCTGAGGCAGGCGGATCACTTGAGGTCAGGAGTTTGAGACCAGCTTGACCAACATGGTGAAATCCTGTCTCTCCAAAAAAAAATACAAAATTTAGCTAGGCGTGGTGGTATGTGCCTGTAATACCAGCTACTCAGGAGTCTGAGGCATGAGAATCACTTGAACCCCAGAGGTGGAGGTTGCAGTGAGTCAAGATCGTGCCACTGCCCTCCAGCCTGGGCAGCAGAGCAAGACTATCTCAAAAAAATAAAAAATAAAAATTAAAAATTAAATAAGTATGGTACACAATCATTTCTGAATTAGGCAGTTCAATCCTATTTTAGTGTGAAATACATTATTATGGCAAAATTATTTCCTAAGGAGCTCTATCTATACACATTAATGAATTTAGACCTACTTCCTCTGTCTGAAATTTGACTTAAAGAAATAACCTTAAATCTTTTTCCTCCCATGCTTTTATTTTCCTGTCTTTTTTTTTTTTCCTTTTTCTCAATATTTGGTAATACTTGAATTCCCTGGAGGATTTCAACTTTGAGACCGCTATGAATAATTCAAGCTTAATCTTGCCTTCATTCCTTTCCAAGTTCAAAATCTGACATTTTTTTTTCTGTTTATGAACCACAGGAGTTTTTGTTATCATGATTGAAAAGACCACTAAAGGAGATGCAGTATGTGATGTATTATTTATTGAAAACACAGATGGGATTACATTTATGATGAGAATGTTTCTGATTCTTAAATTTAAGAATCTGATACCTGCTGAGTTAGGAAAAAGAGACTGACATTTGCAGGTATCAGGGGCCAGGCACTGTGCTGACCTTTTAATAACGTTTTCTCAGGTATCATTGTACCTAGTTTCCCAATTAGGAACCTGGAGTTTAGGGTTAAATAACTTGTGATAAGGCTGGGATTGAACCTAAAGCCCATGATCTTCCCAGGACACTGTCCTCACACCATGCTGAAAACCAAAGAAATTGACTTAACCTCTTGCATTCTGAATTAGAGTTATTAAAAATTCATTTCCTAGGTTAGTGCCAACTGGATTCCTTCTCTGCATGAGTCATATTCATCATTCATCCAGCCATTTATTATATTCCTTCTAGCCCAGGGTTTTGCAATTCTGACTATATATCCAGATCACCTGGGGAGCTTTTTAAAAATATAAATGTCAGGCCCCACTCCCCAGAGATTCTGATCATTGGCCTAGGGCGGGC
Source organism: Homo sapiens (assembly GCF_000001405.40). NCBI lineage: Eukaryota > Metazoa > Chordata > Mammalia > Primates > Hominidae > Homo > Homo sapiens. The sequence continues at coordinate 407,878 of NC_000018.10, read as the reverse complement.
TCCAGGCAGCTATTTTTAAAGTCCCTGAGTGATTCTGATGTGCAGCCAGGATTGATACATTGCAGTCTCATTGCAACCCCTCATCTCTGACATCACTCCCTGTGGGGTCCATTTTATGTGTTGACTTTACTGGTTGTGGGGTACCTAGGCATTCGGTCACACATTGTTGTGTGTCTGTGAGGATGTTTCTGGACAAGATTAACGTTCAGATTGGTAGTGTGAGTAAAGTTGGTTACCTTCCCTAATGCGGGTGGGTTTCATTCTGTCAACTGATGACCTGAATAAAACAAAAAGGCTGATTCTTCTCTGAATAAAAGGGAACTCTTCCTGCCTGACTGCCTTCAAAGCTGGGACATTATTTTTCTTTCTTTTTTATTTTCTCCTGCCTTCAGACTCAAATGGAAACATTGGCTCTTCTTGGGTTTTGAGCCTTGGCTTTCAGACTGAAACTAGCGCCATCAACTCTCCTGGGCCTCCAGCTTGCCGACTGCAGATCTTGGTACTTACCAGGCTTCGTAACTGCATGAGCCAATCCCTTATAATAAATCCCTTTCTGTATATACACTACCTATTGGTTCTGTTCCTCTGGAGATCACTGACTAATACACTTCCTTTTTAACTAAGACCTCTAGGCACTTTTGCTATCTCTGAGGTTTTTCATATTTTATATCCCTAGAGACAAAATCAAAGAAAATTTCTTTAAAATGGGGTTTAGATGGACATCTCTCTGAGGTTCCACCTCAACACTGACACAGGGCAGATGTGGCTCAGCCTCAGGAAGCTGAAATTCTCACCCCTGTGTTTCCCTCAGCCAGCGGAGGCCTTTCGACTGTGCCCATCTAGCAGAAGCAGCTGTGAGATCAGGGAACACAGGACCTTGCTAACAGACCCCAGGCTTGCTGAGTGGTCCAGTTGCAGGAAGAGCAGCCTAGGGAGTGAAGCTGCCTACTGCAAACTCACATTGTCCCGTCATCGCTCCTGAGGTCTGGGGTCAGTCCTCTCAGGGTGCTGGCCAGATGCCAAAGCTGAGCTTAGGACCTGGAGCCCAGCACCGAGTGAGGAGGTAATTACACAACGACACAAGAGAAAGACACACCAAAGTGGGGAGCAGACCAGTCCTGGAGAGCACTGAGGACCAGGCCAGTGCCTGACTCCAGTCCAGTTGTTACAGGAAAAGGGTCCCCATCCAGACCCTGAGAGAAGGTTCTTGGATCTCACACAAGAAAGAATTCAGAGTGAGTCCATAGAGTAAAGTGAAAGCATGTTTATTAGGAAAGTAAAGGAATAAAATAATGGCTACTTTATACACAAGGCAGCCCCGGGAGCTGCTGGTTGCCCTTTTTTTTTTTTTTTTTTTTTTTTTGAGACGGAGTCTCGCTCTGTCGTCCAGGCCGGACTGCGGACTGCAGTGGCGCAATCTCGGCTCACTGCAAGCTCCGCTTCCCGGGTTCACGCCATTCTCCTGCCTCAGCCTCCCGAGTAGCTGGGACTACAGGCGCCCGCCACCGCGCCTGGCTAATTTTTTGTATTTTTAGTAGAGACGGGGTTTCACCTTGTTAGCCAGGATGGTCTCGATCTCCTGACCTCATGATCCACCCGCCTCGGCCTCCCAAAGTGCTGGGATTACAGGCGTGAGCCACTGCGCCCGGCCTGGTTGCCCATTTTTATGGTTATTTTTTGATGATATGCTAAACAAGGGGTGGATTATTCATGTCTCCCCTTTTTAGACCCTATAGAGTAACTTCCTGATGTTGCCATGGCATCTGTAAACTGTCGTGGCACTGGTGGGAGTGTAGCAGTGAGGACGACCAGGGGTCACTCTCATTGCCATCTGTTTTTGGTGGGATTTAGCTGGCTACTTTACTGCAACCTGTATTATCAGCAAGGTCTTTATGACCTATATCTTGTGCTGACCTCTTATCTCATCCTGTGACTTAGAAGTCCTTAACCGTCAGGAATGCAGCCCAGTAGGTCTCAGCCTCATTTTACCCAGCCCTTTTCAAGAGGGAATTGCTCTGATTCACATGCCTCTGACACAGTGGGCAAGCAGATGAACGGCAGGCCAGGTGAAAAGGCCAGAAGCCCCATGGGTATGACCAGAAGAGAAAATGTTGGGATGGGGTGAGAGAGAGATGGGAAGGTAAGTCAGAAGTCTCTCCACTGTTGCATACCTATAACTTATTTGTGTTGACCACCAGCCATATGGCCATGAATGGATCAGCGTGATTGAAATACCTGTGTTGGAGCAGCTGATTTTTCATTCAGCTTATACAGCCCCACCCTACTGGGGGAACCTGCCCCCAATATTTCAACGTAGGTTCTATTTTCTATAAGTGTCAGCCGGCTGAGAAATAAAGAGAGACAGTACAAAGAGAGGAATTTTGCAGCTGGGCCACTGGCGGTGACATCACATATCGGTAGGATTGTGATGCCCGCCTGAGTCTCAGACCAGCAAGTTTTTATTAAGGGTTTCAAAAGGGGAGGGGCTGTAAGAACAGGGAGTAGGTACAAAGATCACACGCTTCAAAGGGCAAAAAGCAGAACTAATAAGCATCTAACAAAGATCACATGCTTCTGAGGGAACAGGACAAAGGGCAAAAGCAGAACTATTCATAAGGGTCCAACAAAGGTCACAGGGCAAAGGGCAAAAGCAGAACTACTAATAAGGGTCTATGTTCAGCGGTGCACGTATTGTCTTGATAAACATCTTAAATAACAGAAAACAGGGTTTGAGACAGAGAACTTGTCTGACCACAAATTTACCAGGGTGGAGTTTCCCAACCCTAGTAAGCCTGAGGGTACTGCAGGAGACCAGGGCACATCTCAGTCCTTATCTCAACCGCATCATACAGACATTCCCAGAGCAGCTGTTTATAGACCTCCCCCCAGGAATGCATTCCTTTCCCAGGGTATTAATATTAATATTCCTTGCTAGGAAAAGAATTTAGCATTTATAGGCTCTCTGCAAGAAGAAAAATAAGGCTCTTTTTGCCCAACCCCGCAGGCAGTCAGACCTTATGGTTGTCTTGCCTTGTTCCCTAAAAATCGCTGTTATTCTGTTCTTTTTCAAGGTGCACTGATTTCATATTGTTCAAACATACGTGTTTTACAATCAATTTGTACAGTTAACACAATTATCACAGTGGTCTTGAGGTGACGTACATCCTCAGCTTATGAAGATAACAGGATTAAGAGATTAAAGTAAAGACAGGCATAAGAAATTATAAAGGTATTATTTGGGAACTGATAAATGTCCATATTAAAATGAAATCTTCACAATTTATGTTCCTCTGCCACGGCTCCAGCTGGTCCCTCCGTTTGGGGTCCCTAACTTCCCACAACACCACCCTTCGTCCCACTTTAAATTCATGTGTGACTCCATCCTGTCTTTTGAATATTTTGCTTTATTCAGTAACACAAGTTCATGACTTGGTAAAAAAAGCCGCGGCTTACAACATCATAAGCTAGTTCCCCATAAATTGCTGCCACACTGATAATACCTTTAAACATAGGAAACAGCATTTTGGAATTCTGTGTTTTCAAGTAAATTTTAGTTCATTTTAGTGTCTTGCAAATAGCAGGCAGAGGAATGATACTCTTACCATTTGCTTTTTTTTTAAACCACATTTTCCCAAACTTTGAAAAACAATTGCTAATAAACAAACCAAGCCACAGGAATTATTTCAGTTCAAGAGAATAAACAGATTTCAAGAGATCAAAAGAAGTCACTGAAGTTCATCTAGCAATGCTTTCATTCCTATATTATACTCGCACATCGGCGACATGGTGTGTGAAGATAATGGCATCAGAATTTCCATTTCATGCTTAATTTTCTGATGGTTTTTGCTATCTTCATTTTACCTTAAAGAAGATAAATAAATAACCCAACCAACCAGGAATACATTTGGGGAAAAAGGAAGATGCCCAGGGTTATATATTGGAGTTCTTCCAATTCCAGAGCAGCAGAAGAAAGCCTCTTCCAATCCTTTGTTTGTGCCATAGGTATGAGAACAAATGGCAAGACATCCCTCTTCCACGTTGACTTGCCTTCAGGTGAATCTGAGGCTGCCCAGTGACCTGGCAAAATTGGCTATGGAGATATTGTAGACATTTTAGATTTGAAAAGATAACTTTTCTCTTACTTTTACCCAATTAGGACCATTTCCTCAACTCTGCACTTAGGTTACCTAATGGAGGTACAGCTTTAATAACCAATTCCATTTATCTTTTAGAAATTCTCAAAAGAAATAAGAAGGATGTGTCTTCAGTTAAAGCTGTCTTTCAAAAAGATAGAGAGCCATGGGTCACTGAAAGGAAAACAAGCCACCAGCAAAACACACGTTGTCTCACACGCTCTTCTGTCGTGAATAACAATGTGTAGTGTTAGTGTGAGCATACCCAGGCTGTCTGTATTCTGTGGGGTGAAGAGGAGCAAATGGGTGCTGCTGCCCTAGATTTTCCCACTCTAGGCATTAGAATCTTGTCTTTCCTAATGACCTACTGTTTACCCAGTTCATATATTTATAATGACACCTGCAAGGGTTTTCTTTCTTTCTTTTTTTCCAAACCCAGAGACTTTGAAGACAACAAAAGGATAACTTGGGTGATTGAAAACACACCCAATGGTAAGAACTCTATACAATTTGTGTTCATGTGTACATGTAACAAACCATGGAGAAAATCATGTAGGTCCTGAAATATGTTGCCAGTTCTGTCTCACTGAGGACTCAGCCGTAGCCAGAGGCTAAGTCCTTTGTATCATGATCCTGTCCCACTTGAGCCGGTTTGCACTTCTTACTTTGGGATCCTTAATACGCTGGCCATACATAGCTCTTAGTCTTTGGTTCTGAAGTCTAGTCCTTAAGAACTGAGTATTGAAAAGTCCTCTCAGTAGGATTAGCATTCTTCTGAGGCTAAGACTACAGCCAGGAAGTTGAAAACCCCTTTTGAAGGGCACGGTGACTTAACCCTTGAAGGAGAAGTGGCTGTGGATGGCTCATTGTCAGGAACAGGGACACTGACTCTTCCTGAGAGACGCTTCAGACCCTTCCCCAAAGTGGTAACTCAGGCCATGGCTTCTAATCACTTCATGCCCAATTTTATGTACTTCCTGCTTGTGTGCACACTCCTGCTGACCCACCAAGACCCACACGAGTCTGAAAGCAAGGAACAAACTTTCGCAGCAGTAGCGATAACTCTAATTCAGCTACTGCAAAGACCTTTTGTTAGGTGAAGGTGAAACACTTCACAAGGGAAGATTTCTGGATCTTTAGATCTCTGCTAGATTTCCCAGGTGCAGCAGAGGAGCCAAGAGACGTCCCCACCTCCCCACACTCTGGTCAGCCTTTGTGTCATCCGGCCATGCTTAACTATTAAAAGTACCCTCTTTCATACTGTTGTGTTGCCGTTTTACTCTGCCACCTTCTGCTAGGGCGTGGTGCTGAGGCAGGAGAATAGGGTCTGGAGGCAGGAAACCTGAGTTGCTGAGGCAACTCCCTTTTCAACCCCTCCTTTTTCTGCGTGGCATTTGGAAAATGAAAGTACCTCTGATTGGTCCCCTCCCACAACCAGACTGGTCATGGGCCTACTCTTCAGCCAGTCAGACTGGTTGTAGGCCAATAGAGGAACCAACGGGAAACCTCTAGAGGGTATATAAACCCCAGAAAATTCTGTAACCAGTGCTCCTGAGTCTCTTGCTTGGGCCAGGTCCCACCTTGTGGAGTGAACTTTCATTTCACAAAAATCTCTGCTTTGGCTGCTTTGCTTCTGTGTTTTGTCCAATTCTTTGTTCAAAACACCAAGAACCTAGACAACTACCCTCAACCGATAACAATGCTAAGTAGAATAGAATTGTGGAATCACACAAGCCTGGAAGGAGTTCTGAAGGTTAGTGCCTTAAAGTATATCACGTTTTCTGCTGTCTTAAAGTGGAGGCCCTTGTTGGACCCACATGTCAACTCCTCCAGAAGCCCTATGTCCCTTTCAGGCCCTCTCAGGTCCGCCAAGTTTCAGATCATCATGTAGCGTGGCCAGTGTGTTCAGCCTTTCTGTCCTTGAACCCTGAAGAGAGAGGGCTTGAAGCCTGCTATGAAGCCTCAATACATTGTACCCAGTACCATGTCCCCAAGAACTATACTAAAGCAAATTTTTGATTATACTCCCTCTAAGGTATTAAAGTATCTCCAAGGGATGATAACCCAACTTTGTAAGCAAAAACGTTGGGATACCAGGAGGATGCATTGTGAATCAAAGGCCAGAACACTGGCCCTCCCTGTTACACCTCAACGCTTCTAGTCCGAGGCAGTCGCTGAGCACTAAGGACAAGTCCTTGGTGACAATTAGAAGGATCTTTTCTGATGATAATAATTATACTTTCACAGGCAACTGAGAAGCCTTGGCTGTAACATTCTTGCAATTGGCCTTTTGAAATCCTGGTCTGTTTCCCTTGGAATACGGGTTGAATCCCTGTCAGGAAGCCAATGGTAACTGCATTTTCTTTAGTGGCAGTTACTGGAGATTTTACAGAGGAATTATTTAAAAGACCAGCCAGGACGAATGGCAACAGATCTGAAGAACTATAATGCAAATAAAAATATTTGACTTCACTCATGAATAACTGATTTTATATTCCTAAATACTAAGAAGGTTGTACAAGCCTCCGAATGCAGATAGTACCAAAAAGAACATAGGAGGCGTATTGGTGAGAATAGCTGGGTTTTGATCAGAACACATTCACATGGAAGACAAAGTCTACCTTCCACTCCACCCTTGCCTTCTCATGCTGTTATGAGATTGGTGTTTCCATGTGGATAAGTCACAAAGAAGAAAAAAGTTCCTTCACTGATCTAGTTGTAGTTTCACTAGGGATACAGAATGCATCTTCACAAAATGAAGGAGGAAAGTTTACTTTTCAGGAAGCTGGACCATATGTTCCCAGATGCTGCTTTGCTCCAAAATTCAGGGAAAGAAGGTTTAGGCTACTTCTTAAAACACACACACACACACACAAATTGTTATTTCTTGAAACAACAGCACACCCTCCAAAATAGTAAATGTTACCAGAACAATAATAAATAGTGGCACACATGCGCATCTTTAAAACAGCCAGTCACACCTTCCATTGCATAACCGACAGCCATGTGCTCAGGCATTTCTGTGATGATTGAAGACACATTCCAACAGTCATAAACATCCATCACAGATTCAAGTATGAGTTGCAGGATTCCAAAACCACAGGCTGCCAGTTTTTGGCCATTAGTGACATACCAAGTGTTACTGAGATCTCTGCGCAACCTCTGGGTTTGCACAATACGGCTGAAATGCTACTCAGTGGAAGAAAGTACTAGGGGTGAAATTACCCTTCAGAAGGTAATTCTGAAGAAATTCCTAATAAAGAAGAAAGGAAACATGCCGTTTAGAGCTAAAATTGCTTTACTGAAACACAGTCAAGTCATACATGAAATACAATGGCCTTTATGCTCAGTTCCCCTGCATGCCTTGGGCCCTCTTTTCCCTTAAGTTTTGTCATATGTTTAAGTATATATTACTGGTCATTCCAAGAGCTTGAACTATGACAGCCTGAAAGGATCTACTTATCCTATAAACTGTTGAACACAATTGGCATGAGTTGGACCAAATTTTGCTCCATTTTTTTAGAGCACACCTGGGCTTCATTGTCCAGTATCCAGAGATTATCCAGATTAGAATTTTTCAGGACCCTTTCCATCTCCTAGATCCCCCCGGCCGCTGTCTTCTTGCGGTCTCCTTCCTCTCTAGTGACACCAGCAGACCTGCACTGGAGATACAAATGGAGATGAAAGGGTTAACCATTTATACTAAGAGAAAGCTGGAAGTCCTTGCAAAAACTATGTCATGGGATTTTCTATACACTCCCAATAAATACAGCCTCTTCAGTCACTATCCCCCACCCGCCCCCACCACCCTTTAACAAGCGTTGTCTGAGGATCAAGCCAAAAACTGGGGGCTGTTAGAAGCTGGGCTAGTCCCAAGCAAACTGTGAAGCAGATGAAAATAAATTTGCCAAGTGCACCAGCATAGTCCTCACCACATATCTGCCCTCAGCCTCCTTCCTTCAGTGGTAGTCATGGAGATGGGGGAACGAGGGCATATTCCTTCCCAGCGCTCGGCATCCACCCCAAATTCCGCATCCCCGTTGAACTAACAACAGGTAACAGCACAAAGTAGGGTTCTTCCCCAAAGCGGCTGCATTTTAACTCAGATTAAAACTCAAGCAAATAACCTGCCAGGGAGACTTAGACAAAAGCTTCAGATGAGGGTGGAGACCATCTGTGCTCCATTCCCCAGCATATCCCCAGGGCCTGACACTTAGGAGGAGGTCAATAAATATTTGCTAAATGAATACATTAGTGAATGACACGGTAGGAAACAGCAGAGTGTGGCCTGCTCTTGGAGCTGGTTTGACAAGGAAGGATTCCAGCTATCAGGGAGTGGCTGGGCAGGGGCACAGAGCTGCGCGCTACACAGTGATGAGAACCCTTCCAAAAAGCCTCTCGTCTGGCCTGCTTTCCTGGCCCTTGCCACACACACAAGGTCTGTGGTGCTGGTGGTGCCCATTCCAGTAGTCTGAAGTTCATTCCATCAATAGCATCTTACGCTTAGCCTGAGACCCACGTAGCAGAAAAATCTCAACTTCAGACACCGCTGTGCGTTTTTTGGATAGTGTTTCAGATTGGGGTTTTTTTGTGTTGTTTTTGGTTCCTTTGCTTTTTAAACAGTTCCTTGAGCTGCTGACAGAGTAGCCCAGTGTACATGGGTGGTCCCAAAATGCTTTGCACTATTTGGACCTACTCTGTTGTATTACATGGGTAACAAGATCAGAGGAATTTGGATGTGTTTAGGTTAGGATTTAGATCTGGATACTACATATAGACCTGCTTTTAATTCCCTCTTTCCTTCTTGTATTATTTAAGTCCATGGACACTTAGAATCAATATATAAACATCTCCAAGAAGCACAAAAAGAAGCAGCATGTGGAACGTGAGGTCAAAGCTGTCAGCTCACATTTCCCCTCCCCAGAAAAGCCCGGAGATTTTGGAGTTCCTCAGTACATGTCTTCAGTTGGCTTCAATGTCAGTTTGCTTCTTGTTCTTTATATAATTGTTGACTTCTTTGAAGTTCATTATAGACATCACTAAGTCAGATAGTCCCACATTATAAGCAGACTCTTCTAATTCTTCTGCAGTGTGAATTTGCTTTTCCCATCTGTGAGATTTCCCTGTGACTGGCCCACTGACAGTCAGTTGCCTGCATCAGGGACCGCTGAGTGTACAGAGCTGCTTCTTTCCTTCAGAGGGAGGCTCAGACCTGGAGAGGGGACCACATTCAAAAGAGCCGATTGTTTTCAAGCATTGGAGAAGCAGCTCCAGAAAATCCTTGCCTGGCAACATTGGAGAAATGCGCTGATCTTGTGTTTTTACCATAGAAGTGGTTGGAAAGGGGAATTTGCTGCTGGTTCCTTTCATCTTGATGGTGGTTGCTTTTCTTGGATAAAGTCACAAAATTCTTCTGAAACTAGAAATTGTGACCCTTGATATTAAAAAGGTATATAAGGGCTCTAATTTTTTCAAACCTACTATGGGGTGACAAAATCCATTTACTGAAGGTATTAAGACTGCAGATAATATTTCTGCTGAATAAGAAGCAGTGTGGACTAATGGGAAGAGACACAACATATTCTTCTCCAGTTTCTCATAGTTTCGATGCTTTCTTGAAAGTGCCTGTGAGGCAAAGATGCATGAAGACATGTTCTGCTTTTTGCTGTTTTTTTGTGTTTTTTTGGTAACATAGAAAGTTAGGTCATAGACCTGGGCCATGGACCTGTGTAAGTATTTAAGACATTTGGACATATTTTGTATCTGTAACTTCCCTTCCCTTTTTAAAAAGTTCTCTAAACTAGAAATGGTGTAGATATGGAATCAACTGTGAAACTATCCTTCTCTGGCAGCTCCAAAATCCTTTACATTTTTTCCTGGCTGGGTGACACGATTTTAACCCTAACTGAATGGGCCAATCTTTGGCCTTTTCTACAAGTTCTCAAATTCAAGGGCAGAGAGTCTAGTGGACCTGGATACTTGTACCGGGTTAAATGGACTTATCAGTGAGGTATTATCTAGCTTTAACCTTCACAAGATGGACACATGGCTTAAAAAGCCTCCTCTGAAGAAACCATGGGTTAAAGATAGACTAATAACACAGGCCACCCAAAAAACCAAACTGACAAAAACAGCAAAGGTAGCACTTCTGCTCCCCTTCCCAAAAGCTCTTTGCCAGACACCATTACAAGAAAGAAAGACTGATGATCTGATGTGCCAAGCAGCTGGCCAAAACAAAGAAACAAAAAACCCTTCAAAATTATAAAAATCTAACTAGGACACAGGGATGAAAAATCTACATCTATAATTGTTATCATATATCTTACACTCAAAGTATATTTTGCGCCTTGGACTATTAAGTAATGATAATGGCCTGTGTAGATAATTTATTAGGTCCCAAATAAATAATGAATAAAATAGAGCATGGGGTGGGGGTGTATGTTCAAAATGCTTGGAACCTACTGCTTAGGGAATGTCATTGACTAAGGTTGATGTTCAAAAGTAGGGGTGGTGGCCTCAGAGGACAAACCTGCCTGCAAACAAAGTCTGAATGGATGATAGAAGCCACGGATAAGAGGGAAAGAACTTGGAGGACATACTGTACAAATCAGAAGGACAGGAAATCTCCTTGTCTTTCTATAGATACACAGAACTAAGGAAGGATCCAGGGAAAGTAGACACAAACTCAACAAAGCAACAAGGTCCATCCAAGATCTGGTTCCAGAGCTGACTGGGCATTCCAGGTCACTTGACAGATGGTGGTAGGAGATGCATTCGTGGGACCTGGGTGGTGTACATCACCCAGGCTGGCCTCTCCAACCTGCCCTCAGTGCAGTCCAACATTGAGAACACAGGCAAAGGTGGAGAGTGGGTTTTGACTCAAGCTTTTGGCCTCTTGCATTTAATCATCCAAGTGTGGCCTTTCCCAGTTAAGGCAAACAAACCTTAGAGTTCTCGTCACTTTTCAAGGTTTCTGGAAAGAAAAGGCCTATGAGCTCTTGCCAAGGCGGCTGCATTCAGTTGTCAGTTGTGCAGGTTTTGCTTTGCAGAAAGGCTTCCAGAAGGGCTGGTCCATCTGGAGGGGACACGTTTTTCTAACTCACACAAAGACATCTATGTTGACTGGCCTTGGCCAGGGCCTTGTGGTAAATTTTGGCAGAATAGAGCCAAAACCAGAAAAAGAGATTCAGTGGAGAAAACCCTAAATTGGATGAATTTTTACTTTTCAACCCATAATATGGCTTCTGTAGGCCCTGATGAAATCAGTACATGTTATTGGAGAAGCCACTGAGTAGGTTAGTAGGTTGTGTAAGTCCTGGCTAGTAGATTCGGTGTTGTTAGAGAAGCCACTTGGAGTCAGATTGGATGGTGGAGAGGAGCTGATGTGAAAATGTTTGCAATTACCAGGCTCTGAGACTGCAGGGATTTGGAGAAAAAGCACATCAGTTTTGTTTTGTGACCAGGACTTTTTGAGTTGTTGCACAAATGCTGTTTGTTTGCAGAAACTCAGGAGCCCTGTACTTCTTACTCATTACCTGCTGCCACTCTCCCAAACACACCGGTGTTGGGATCCTCCCCTTCCCCAACTGGCAAAGAAGGAAAGGGTTCTTTGTGACTCAGGCTAGGAAGTGACAGGAGAGCTCACTAGAGGCTGAGGGGTGCCATCTCCATTTACAAAGCTGATAGCAAAGTAATCAAACCTAGCAGCACCAAGAGCCTGGGGCAGCTCCTTGGCAGCGCTCTCCACCACATTGTGTGCTCTGGGTCGCACAGGGCCTGTAAATTGCACAGTAATGGCTGGGTCCACAGCAGGAATAAACATGTGCTTTGAATTTTCCAAATGAGTCAGACGCACGCTGCGAGATAAATGCTGATAGCAAGCAGATGTGACATGTGCTTTTCAAGAGGATGGATGGGGGGAATTGGGGATTGGCATCTTCTACACTCTTTGAGTCAATGGACTGACACCTAATGGGACCTGGTCTTTTAACAAGAAACATTGGGTGATGGGTGACATTTTCCCCACTTCTTTCTTTCCGTAAGAGGAATCTACATTTTAAGTCTCAAATGTAAACGTGCTCTGGTTCCAATTTGTCGGCTGACTCTAATCGCCTCGGAACTTATATAAACTCTAGGTGAGTAATTTCCCCAAGTACAGTACCCTCTTGGAATGCATGAGCTGTGAACTCAGATTAAACTTTTAACCTCACATTTTTCTGGGAAGGATTATTATCCCTGTTTCTATCGTTTGAAAAGGCCATCAGAAACTCCAAAAGGTCCAGTGCTCGCAGGGGTTGAGTTAGTACACTCTCTCAAGAGCCTGTCCCCTGTGCTGAGTATGCCTGGCCTCCCAAAAATGGGATGAGAGGGTCTGTTGTGCCAGAATTAAAACTACAAGGCACCAACTCTCTTGCCTTCCTCATAACACTCTCAACTAAATGTGCAGTTTGGAGGGCCCTGTGCCCTCCCAGCTCAACTGCAAAAGCCCTGAGTGTCTTTGCTGATGCATGCCATGTGCCAGTTGCCAAGCAACATACATAACACATTCATCAGCAGAGCGTGAGGTCTGAGTCCTAAATTTCTGCTGCATTCTTCCACACTTGGCTTTCATTCACCTTGTCTCCTTCCAGCAACTGGATCAACAGATGTTAGGCTTTCCCAGAGTGTTTGGCAGAACCAGTCCCAGATGCCAAGCTTGAAGATACAACATCTCTTTGCAACCTCTAATTCCTATCACTGTACTCATTAATCACTTGCTCAAACCTTTAACTGAGTCCATTAGGACTTCAATACCAGGTGTTTTTTTTGTTTTGTTTTGTTTTGTTTTTACTGAGTTGGCATCAACATGGAAACAAGTGGACTGGTGTATTCTCCCAGAAGCTTCTCATTATTTGTACTTAGTTTCTGTTTGATCACTACCAAGAGGCAGCTGGCATGGTGTCATGGGAAGAACAGTAGGCTTGGGAGTCAAGTGGCGCTTCTGCGGACAACTCATTATGGAGCCTTGGCCAAGTCAGTATTTTCGAAAGGGCCTCAGCTTCTTCTTTTATAAAGTGAAGATATTGGACTCAGTGGTCCTCCCGTTGAAACAATAATAATCCCATTAGTTTTACTATGCAGTTTCAAAGAAAAGCAGACACCAAAGCAAGAAGCAAAAATGGGAAACCTTCAAGGTCAAAAGTTTCAGTTCACTGTATTGAATGTTGCTCTGCAATGTCTTTCGAATATGTTTTGATACAACATTCTGCTGTAAACACCATGATGCCATTTTCATGTGGTATTACATCACCCAATGGATATTTTTGGATTCTTAAACGAGAAACCCACTGTTCTAGCACTAGAAGAACAAGGGAGGCTGTGATAGCATCATTCCCACTTCCAGCCCCCTCTGGGGTTAGAAAATGGATCAAATAATTGGTTGCTGATCTTAAATTTCCTCAGCATTCATGTGTGTTTACACCCACACTGACCCCAGTACCAGGTTGCCTCCCACCCTCCTTTCTGGACTCCTGTCCTCTGTCCTATGGAACGACAAAACAGAATTGGGCACAATTTTCTCTATTTCTGACTTTACTCAATTGCTTTTCTGGTGTTGGCCTCATCAATGGACAAGCTGCTGGAAGTTGACTGAGTATAAAATGCTATAAGGGAAACATTGTAGGAAAAAAAGCATCCCATTATTCCTGTCTCCAAAAGCAAGATTGGAGATTGGGGTCTTCTCTAAGACAGACGCCACCACCTGCACCCGGGACCTCCAGCAACCACCTCCACAAAGCCTATGTAAACAGTGTAATGTGTTTTGATATTAACCTTGTAACAAACATCTTAAGTTTCCTTCATGTTGGTGCTGGAACAGGAGTGTTCAATTACTCACTAATTTTGTAGACATTTGTTGAACATCTATTAGGCATCTGGAACTGAGGATACAAAGATAAACGTACATGGCATTGCCTGAAAGGAATTTATGATCTAGCAAAGGGCACAGACGTGTATATAGTCTGCTGGAATATATTATGATAAGTGCTACACTGGTGGTGTGGATGAAAGGCCACACGGGCACAGATAGGAGCTATGAGTTCCGCCAGGATTTCACTTATCTAAAAGACAGGCAAAGGGTATTCCAGGCAGAGGAACATGCGTAGGCAGACGCAGGGCAACATGAAAGTGCATGGCAGATTCAAGGAATGTTGCAGGTCGGTGTGATGGGATCATAGATTCATGGTAGAGAGTGGCTTGTTTATATACAGTTTATGTACAGTTGTTAGAGGTGGGAAGAAGATTTGACTCCGAGCTCCCTAGATACCAAAGAAAAAAGGGAAATATGAAATTTGCTGTGCCTCCGAGCTCCCTAGATACCAAAGAAAAAAGGGAAATATGAAATTTGCTGTGCCTACATGAGAAAAGCCAAATGCTCGAGAGAAACAGGCTTCTTCTGGAATTAAGAGCCAAGGGACACTTCTCTGTTGATTCTCTTCAGAGGCTCAAGATGGGATACAGTGGAAATATCTTCAACAATATCCCCGCACTAGCAATTTTTATAAGACTGTTTCTTGTAATGTCCCTCAGTGCGAGCCAATGGCATCTTGCCAAAGTGTAATTCAGTAAAAGCAGCTCTACATGGGACCAGAACAATTCAGCCTAAGCCTGCTGTTTTTTGATGGTTTGGCTTGATGTGTGAATACAACTTAGGGTATCTAGAGGAATGGATGTTCTTCATATCTTTCAGGCAATCATCCATGAATATTATTTCTTACAACAGGGCTCTTAAAAAGCATTAGGTAGCAGGCAATGAACTTGAGCTTCTATTCATTGGTGAAGACCTCAAGAACAAAGGAGTCTGAACATTGGGTTATGTAACAAAGAAAAGAATCTTTTCCAAAGATGTTTAGTCATGGAAGAGAAGTAACCGGTCATTCTGGACTAAGTGCAGTCCAATGGCTCAGCTCAAACCGGCCTGCATTAGGGCTAGGTTGTTAAGTAAAGTTTCCTGCCCTGACAGCACATGTCTTGCTGTGAACTCTAGGCTGGAAGTGGGCCCATAAAAGGCCCTCACATTTTAGGAGTAAAACTGTGGGCTAAGCACCTTTTGAGATTTGGCCCTTTTTCCTTAGTAGCTGAAGTAATTGTGTGATGCACAAACCTGGGTCCAGAAAGCTGGGACAAGGGTGTGGCATTTCACCAAATAGCATCTGAAATGGGGGCTAAAAGAGAGTGTAAGTTTCGCCAAATACCAAATCCTACATATTTATATAACATGGTATAATTTATAAACTATATTCCCATCCAGTATGTAATTTAAATTGCATAAAAACCTTGTACAGGAGTCGTGTGATTATCACATTATAGATGGGAAAACTAAGGCTTGATCAAGTTAGCATGGATGTTCGGTGACAAAACCAGAATTGTAACCCAGGTCTTTTGATTTTAGTGCAGTTATTTTTTACCTTTCAAGGTTCAGGCGAGTTATCCAGAAGAGTAGTGAATTGTAGGTAATGATAGCCATGCCCAGCAGGTACCAAGCTACAGTAGCACAAGTTGAAAAATTACAAACACTGTAGGTAGGGAAGGCTTTCTGCAGTTAACTTAGAAAAAAGCATCCATTTGATTGGCAAGAATGCTCCAAGGATGCTCTTTGTTCACGGAGAGACAGGCACAGTCTGGTTCCTGGATCCCATGAATGGCCCCAGGTATACACTGGCTAGTAGAGACAATCCAAAGATTTGTTCTTTCCACCCTTTATTTACCAAACATGCAAAGTATGATGCCACGTATGAATTGTGGATGAGGATATTCTCAGCAGAATGCGAGATTATTTTCACAATCATTGTAGGAACTTTAAATAATCTTACCTGTTGATATTCAATAGCCAGATCTTCCCAAAAGTCCTTACTCATTGTAAATAATAAGGATAAACTTGAACTCTAGGTTTTAAAGATTGCCTTTCTGAGTGCTATACTTAAGTAAAAATAACTATTGCCACCTCCTGCCAACATTTTCATTAAACATCTAAAAAATAACTTGGTGTGTGGTGGAGAATTGGTGGATATAGACTGTTTTCTCTGGTTCCCCCTGAAAATACCAAGATGGGAGATAAATTCAGACATTGATAGCTCTGCTGCCACAGTGCACTAAATTATAAACTAGTGTCCCAAAAGACAGGATTCTCCTCCCAATCAACAAGAGTACTTATAACCAGAGAGCCATAGGTGCTCAGTATAGAACCAAAACAACAACAACAACAAAAACCCCCAATTTATAGTCAGGGAGGAGATTCCGGACCTCAGTACCATAGGTGGACCTGGTACCACAACACATGTGTATTCGCTGAAGAACTGAGACACTTTGATGCAATTATTTGCCAAAGGTTTCAAAAAGCAATCCACCCCCAAATTGTGGAGGGTAAAATGTTCTTTCCTGTTCTCTTCTCTGTTTGCGCACACACAGTACCACTCACCGCATTCCAGTTGGCACCTGCACACACTCCTAAAATAAGAGAATGTGTAATCTCCTGAGTCTCTTTTGGCTCAAAGCATTGAGAGTTTTCAGAGACTGGGTCTACAAGATGCAGGAAGCTACACACCAATAGCCCTCCTCACGTTAAGGCGATAGGAATAAGACCCCCTGACAGCCAAATCTGAGACTTTGGTTTAGAAAACCCATCATTTAGAAATGGCTTTGTAATAAAACCGGAAATTCAGGTTTTTGTAAAAAAAGTAATAGAAAAAAAGAGCGGACCAGTTCCCCATGGGCACACAGCTGCCCACAGCTGCTGCCTGGTTACTTCCTGACAGACATGGGTTTGCTGCTATGGGAACGATGTCTGTCCCACAGGCAAGGAGTGTCCCTGTGCCCGTGTGCTTGCTGCTAAACAGTGACAAGGACATTAGGAAAACAGGGCCTTCTTAACTCTTGAGGATGACAGTGCATGCACCAAAGAAACCAAAGGAGCCGTTGCCTCTGCTATCATTTTTCTTCTTTTTTTTTCGGAGACGGAGTCTCACTTTGTGGCCCAGGCTGGAGTGCAGTGACACAATCTCGGCTCACTGCAACCTCCCCCTCCCAGGTTCAAGCAATTCTCCTGCCTCATCCTCCCGAGTAGCTGGGACTACAGGCACACACCGGCATGCCTGGCTAATTTTCGTATTTTTAGTAGAGATGGATTTTACCCTGTTGGCCAGTCTGGTCTCGAACTCCCGACCTCGGGTGATCTGCCCACCTTGCCTCCCAAAGTGCTGGGATTACAGGCATGAACCACTGTGCCTGACCCTCTGTTATCTTTTTAATCTTTTAACACAGAAATAGTTATTTGCTGAATGATCCTTAGCCCATTGAACTGGTTTAATGGAACATACAGCAACAACAGAAAGCTAAGTCCCAGACAGTAGTTTCTGCTTTGGAAGAGTGTAACTCAAGTTTGTCATCCTGCCTCTTTTTCAGAAATAGCTCGAAGGAGGAGAGGTATGGCCCATCTTTTTGCTTTTATAGCAAATCAACATTTGGGCAGCACGATGGCCTCCCTTCCCAGGTTTTAGGAACACCTGAGGCCTGTTCTTGGGAAGTGCAGCTGTGATTGGTGGGGACCTAGCCCCCTGCTGGGCAAAGCACTTCTAGGTCCTGGGAACTGCCTCGGTTGAGATGGCACTGTGAAATAAGTCTCAGTGTGTTTGCTCAATGCTTTGTGTTTTGTTTATTTATGCTTTAATATTAAAGAAAAAATTCCATCAGAACCTTATCTTTAGCCTTAGATTAGAACAAAAATTAGAACAAAAGTCACTCATCAGAAAGCTACAGATGTAGTTTGTAAATCCCTCACTGGAAAATGAATTTGCCTTTGTGGCCAGATCTGTGAGTGTGGTTTGACCACGAGAAAGCCGCTAATGTTTGTTGGTTGGGCTCAGAGACTACTAGCAACTTTTCAGAAGTACTCTTCTGAGTTCTGCAGGCTTGAGTCTGTGGGTGGTACCGAGTAAGCCTGATTCTCTCAGGGAGTAGGGGAAAGAGAGGGATTATTCTGAATTAGTGGAGAAAGTCCGGGGATGACCTTATTTGTGAGTTTGTGGCTGGATTTAAGAAGTCCAAAAGGGGCTTGTTGTTACAGTATCTTGGAGAGTTTTCATTTCAGTATATATAGTGCTATATCTTTTTTTAAAAAAATTGCTGCACAGTGGGCTGGGCTCGGTGGCTCATGCATAGTAATCTCAGCACTTTGGGAGGCCGAGGTGGGCGGACCATGAGGTCAGGAGATCAAGACCATCCTGGTTAACATGGCGAAACCCCGTCTCTACTAAAAATACAAAAAATTAGCCGAGCATGGTGGCGGGCGCCTGTAGTCCCAGCTACTCGGAAGGCTGAGGCAGGAGAATGACTTGAACCTGGGAGGCGGAGCTTGCAGTGAGCCGAGATCGCAGAGCTTGCAGTGAACCTAGATCGTGCCACTATGCTCCAGCCTGGGCGACAGAGCAAGACTCCATCTCCAAAAAAAAAAAAAAAATTGCTGCACAGTATTCTATATCATGGCCGTGTGTGTGTGTGTGTGTCTGTGTGTGTGTGTAATGGACATTTATTTTTTTATATCCCCTACTTTTCAAAAATTATTTTCTAATTCTGCCTGAAATAACTTCCTTTGCAAAATTACTTTAGCTGAATGCTATCAATTATAAATCCAATTGTATCAACAAGCTCATCTTTTCCATTGTTAATATTATTCACTGAATTGTGAATAATGTAACTGGGCTGCTTTCCTTCCCACACCTGATGTAGACACTCCACAGGAGAGGGAGTGTTGTTATAGGAGGAAGAAGTACTTGGAGAGAACTGGAGAAGGGCACCATGTGAGCACACTTGGACACAAGGAGAGAGGGTTCCAGAGAAGGAAGAGCAGTGCAGAGTTGGAGGCAGGAAGACCCTAAGATCCACCTCTTCATTGCCAGGATTACCTTCAGTTGTTTCTTCAACCTCATCTCTGTTTAGTCCATTTCTGTGACATGCCAGCTCTGGGACCTGGGTGGCCACAGGTAGCTCATGAAATGACTTAAGCATTATTAAAACTGGAGTTTACCCAGGAGGCTGAGGTGGGAGTGAGCTGAGTTCGTGCCATGCACTCCTGCTTGGGCAACAGAGCAAGACCCTGTCTCAAAAAAACAAAATGAAACAAAAAATCCTGGAGTTTACAAACATCACTGATGTGTGGTTGGCATTTGGAGAGACCCATGCGCATACAGAAACTTGACAAGTGAATCGTTTCATAAAGAGGCTGATAGATGATCAGGTTAGCTGCTACTTTAAAGCCAGTGAGCATGTGCAGTAACCATGGTGCCACGTTAATTAAGACTAATGGCCAAAGGAGCCATTGCAGATGATCCAATTAGGCGGATTTAGTTAGAGATTATACGGATAACTCTGACTGAAACATCAATCTAGGCCTCTATTTCAAATGAGGTGGTATTTGACTATAATAAAATAGTATACTAAGTAGCTGATGTGTCTTGCAATTGTGGAAGTTGAGGGCTACTAACAGCCTTAAATATTAATATTTAAGCTTGATTTTCTTTCAAGAACCAATTATGTAGATGGTTTATTACCAAGTTCTTTTTGTTCCTTACCCCTCCTGCTGTCTAGTTGGGGCTGTTTTACAGTTCATTAGCCCCTTGACAAGAAGGTAGAAATGAAAGAAGGTGCAGCTTACATCTGTCTGCCTACTAGCCAATTCCGTAAACTGTTTTGCGGGGAAGATACTGAAACTATAGGCCAAAACGGACTTTGTGTTCCCTTCCCCATGCATTAATTTTTCCTAGATCCCAAGTATTGGAGAGAGCTAGCAATTGGCTGAACTGACAATTTCTCAGTTGCATAAAAAGTAATCAGTGGAATTTTGCTTAATGTGGTCCCAGTTTTGTCGTACATAAGGAAAAATATTCTGATAAGCCCCACAAGCTAGTGAAGCGTCTTAAAATTACACACTGGGTTATACAGTGATTACACTCATCAAAATGATTTTTTGCCTAACTTTAAATTCTCTCAACAAAGATCCCAAATTTTCCTAGCGTACATATTTATTTTTAAGAGTTATGAAAATACACAGCCGTATATGGTTGTATCTGAATCCATGTTGCCGTGAGAGACTGAGCAGTTCTCAAGTATTAAGTGAGAAATCATCGCAGAAGGATTGCACTATGTCATTGACGCCTTCAAACATGTCCACCATATTTTACTGGTGGAAATTTCATCATTAGGCTTAAATTGGAAGCCACTGATTCTCTGCCATTAAAAAAAAAATGGAGTTCTAGCCATTAAGTATGATTTTCGTTTAATTTTTTTGATGGGGAGATGAGAAAGAAGGAATGAAAGTATAAAGAAAAGGGAAAAGGCTAGTAGAGGGTGCTGTCGTCTGCTAATTTTTTGCTTTCTCTAAAGCGCTTCTGCTCACTGCCATATGGTAAATTCCTCAGTGAATTATTCAGGGTCTTGTCCTGATGCAAAAGACACTTTAAAAAAAAGCAGAACATTCTTTATCCCTCTTGGAAAAAGAAATAACAAATAATTAAGGCCACAGCGCTCAGGGACCCAAGTTTATTGGCAATAAAAGGTAGCTGTGCTGACAACGCTACCAATTAATCTGCCAAAAGCGAGCTCAGTGGTGTTGCCATAAAGATCATGTGTTGGAAAACAGGACTGGAGACATCCAGGGATCTATATAAAGCATAGACAACAGTCTTAGCGATCATGGGGCAGCAATGTGGGCACCCTACCTTCAGCAGATATGGTAGCGGTCTGCGTTCTTTCTGTAACAAAACTCCTCACTACGTGGAGAACCCCTCAATCCCAAGTCAGCTGTACACCTGGCCTCTTCAGAAGCTATGTGTGCCCAGAAGGTGCTGGTGGGAACAGAAAAAAAAAATTGAAATCAAATTTTATTTTTTGAGACCTATGGAAACTAGGTTGCTTATACTTGAGGAATATTTGAGGAAGTATAAGCAACTTAGTTTCCGTAAGTGAGAAAACTGAGGCTCTCAGCTTCCAAATTCAGGTCTGCCTGGTTCCCATATCCATTCTTTTCCTGTAATATATGTTTCCAGATGAAGCATCAAGAAATGTTCTAAACCTGGCTGCTATGAATGTGTGGTGTGACCTTGAGCAAGTCACCTAACTTCTCTGAGCCTTGGGTTTGTATCTGAAGGGTGAGAGGTTAGAGACTCTGAGGTCTCCAATGGCAGTGCTTCTCCAATGTTAATGGACATAGGAATCACCTGGGGATCTTGTTAAAATGCAGATTCTGATTCAGTAGGTCTGGGGACAGGCTTGAGGTTGTACATCTGAGAATATTCCAGATAATGCTGATGCCACTAGTCCACAGACAGTACTTTGAGTAGCAAGGTCTTGTAGCATTATCATTCTAGGGTTCCAAGATGGCAGTGACCACGTTTTAGTCTTCCAGTCACCCCTGCCTGCCCATGTATGGTTACAACATGACTTGTACAGTTGGTGCTCAACAATGTTCAATACATTGGATTTAGGTAGTAAAGAATAAGTAGTTCAAAGGGACATAATCTAAGGGAAGTTTGTAGCTCAGGAAGCTCAATAATTCTGTAATTTCCTGAAGGCACCATCCCTCAAGGGTCAAACTGAAGCCTAGCCTTCTCCCCCACCCACAAAAGGTACCCTGATAATCCTAACTTTTCCCACAGTGGATTTATCCACCCCTACTGTATCCCCAGCTCACTCTGACTGACTTAATCTGAAATCAGATCAACCTTAAAGGACATCTGGTAAATGCCATTAGGTAGCACTTTACTCTCCCAAAGATTTTATTTTGTAGATTAAATCACATCTCCCCTAGATACATTCTGACATATAAAGTTTCTTCCTCCATTCTGACACCCCTCTTTGTTCTGGTAACCAGTATCAGCATTTTACTAATTTTCTGTGGTATTTCCATCCTTTCTTCCATGTATGTACTTTGCTGTTCTTAGAATGGTTGCAGAGGCCAGAAGCCAGATTTTCATTATCTCTATGGGGAAACATTCCATAAACTCAAGACAAAAAATATACCATGAATTGAAAAAACGGAAATAATTAGCCACTAAAATCTCTTTTCTTTCTGTCTTTAAAAAAATTTCCATTTTTGGCCAGGCACGGTGGCTCATGCCTGTAATCCCAGCACTTTGGGAGGCCAAGATGGGTGGATCACGAGGTCAGGAGTTCGAGACCAGCCTAACCAACATGGTGAAACCCCATTTCTACTAAAAATACAAAAATTAGCTTGGTGTGGTGGTGTGTGCCTGTAATCCCAGCTACTCAGGAAGCTGAGGCAGGAGAATCGCTTGAGCCCGGGAGGTGGAGGTTGCAGTGAGCCGAGATCGCACCACTGAACGCCAGCCTGGGCAACAGAGCGAGACTCTGTCTCAAAAAAAAAAAAAAAAAAAAAAAAAATCCCATTTTAAACCACTTGTTTAGAGTTGGGTCTAATTAGAGTACTTTAGAAATAAAGGCTATGTTGTGCCTGTAAAGAAGTGGATGCTATTTTTTTAACCTGATCTTTCTTATAATGCCCAAAAGGACAACACTACGTATTTTCATATGACTGTCAAGGGACAGAGTCAGTTCCAACTATTTGACCTAGATAAACAGATTACCATTCACTTCATCTGAAAGTACAGGGATAATTAACTTGGACAACCATGTAAACAGCAGGGGTCTCCTCCAGAGTTCTGCCTTCTTAAATCAGCAGATATCCTTCTAGAGAGCTGCCACAGCAAGGCCATTTACTGTGATTGCGTTTTATTGCTGTATTTTAAGTTGTTCTCATGAACTGTATGGTGATATGGAAAGAACTTCTAGGCATTTCAGTCTTCTTAGGCTTATTCCTATGTCCCAGCCTATCTGTGCTTATCCATTTGGTAAGGTTTATGATGGATTTGTTCTCCTGAGTTCAACAAAATGTTTTTATTCCTTCTGCAAAGTTGGTAATTAGTCCATGACAAACCATTGAGCCCCTAGAATCAAAGACACCTGGAATCACAGTTACACAGGACCTTAAAGGTCATGGAGTCCAGTTCCCTGTGTCTTGTGCCGACCTCCTTCTACAGAATCTCTGACCAACGGGGTTTCACTCTAGCTTACGTGCACAGCATTCAGCAGTAGGTTGCACATTCTTTTAACTGTGCCTCCTACTCCCTGCTCAAAGAGTTCTCTTTTTAGGTTGAGCTGAAATTCAATTTTCTCTAGTTCCCACCTTTAATAGCAATGCAGGGAAAACAAAATAACTTCCTCTTACACGTGGCAGTCCTTCATCTATCTGCAGGTAACAACCACACCTCCCTGAGCCTCCTGTTCTTCATGTCCTTTTCCAGCTGTCTTTATGTCAAACATTAGACTCCTCTCTATCCTGGTCACACTCCAGCCTTCCTCAAGTTAGTGGCCCGGAATGGGTACCATCCTCCAGGTGAGGTGGACTAGCATTCTGGAGCAGTTGTTCTCAACCTTGGCTGCACACTGCGATCCGCTGGATGCATGCCTGGGACCCACAAGCAGAGACCCTGATATAACAGACCTGGAATGTGGTCTAAGCATCAAGATTTATAAAAGCTTCTTGGGTATGTCGATTGTAGCCAAGATTCAGAACCACTGATGTGGTTTGTCTGTGTCCCCACCCAAATCTCATCTTGAATTGTAGCTCCCATAATTCCCACATGTTGTAGGAGGGACCCAGTGGGAGATAATTGGATCATGGGGGCGGTTTCCCCGATACTGTTCTCATGGAAATGAATAAGTCTCATGAAATCTGATGGTTTTATAAGGGGAAACCCCTTTTTGCTTGGTTCTCATTCTCTCTTTGCCTGCCACCATGTAAGATGTGACTTTGCTCCTCCTTCACTTTCTGCCATGATTGTGAGGTCTCCCCAGCCATGTGGAACTGTGAGTCAATTATACCTCTTTCCTTTCTTTCCTTTATAAATTATCCAGTCTCGGGTATGTCTGTATTAGCAGCCTGAGAATGGACTAATACAACCACTGTTCTGGATTCTTTACTAATCAGAGGCGTTGATGGATACCCAGGTAGAGTGTGGAGAAGGAGTGGGTAGGGGGCAGTTAGGGGAGATGGGAGGTTACAACCTATTGTTGAATGGATAGATCTCTCCGTAAGCTAAAACTCATGGTTGTTTCTTGGTTTTTAGTTTTTATCTTGATTTTTGTTTTACGTTTATACAAAACCAATATAATCGTAACTTAAGTTCCACAGCTAGGGTAGCTAAACTCATCTTTTATCATGTTTCTGGCAGGTATTATTGTATTTTGTCCTCTGGGACTTTATGATGAGACATACGGGGAGTTGGGCACATACATCTCCCTCCTGAGACCTCACTCCCTCCTCACCTCCATCTCATTGCATATTAACAGCACCAAATCACTGACTCATACTGAATAGGCTACTCACTCAAACTCTTACTCATGCTACTACTAAGCCATTACTCTCGTCTTATGTTCTGGCAATTTTAATTTAAAAAATTAAATTAAATTATGTTCTGGCTTTTTTAATTTAAAAAATTCACCTTTAATTCTGATAAAGGCCCAAATGAGAGGATATGGGTTGGGTATGCCACAAGAATGAACTTCCCAGTCCTGGACTCCAGATTAGACAGACTTGCCCACACAGTACAGGCAGTCCTGGAAAATGACAGAGTCCCGTTGGGGGAATTGCGTTGTAAAATGGACAGCATGGAGGTGCAGGCCAGAATGCATGCTCTTTGCCTGTAGATGACACCCCAAAAAATCATTGCATTTTTAAAGGATTCTGAATGATCACAACACACAAAAAAAGAAATGATAAATGTCTGAGGTGATGCTCAATACTATAATTTGATCATTACACAATGTATACATGGATAGAAACATCACATTGTGCTCATGAATATGTACAATTATTATGTGTCACTTAAAACAAAATTTAAAAATAACATTTGCTTGAATCAGCAAAAAGGAGAAAAGAAGCAGGCACTTACTATACACTGGCCCACTTTGTGCCACCTATACTGTATTCACTGTAAATGCATAATTTCATTTAATCTATACAATAATCCTATAATGTGGCTGTAATGATGCCCATACTACACATTAAGAAACCAGGGCTCGGGGGGATTAGTGCTAATAAGTGGAGTGTCCAGATAGAAACTTGAGCCTAAGGTAAGCAGGGACTTCATTCCTGTTGAATTTCATTATATTGGGTTTGCTCCAGAGTTCCAGCCTTTCAAAGTCGTTTTCAATCCTGTTTTTTCAGGTCATGTATTTGCGAGGTTAGGAAAACCTACTCTGTTGTGATGAGATGCAGAACACTTAGAAGACACTCTTCTTGCCTACAAGTAAATTTACTATATAAAGTAGTAAGACCACATATCTGTGAAGCTAATTATATTCTTGATTCTGGGCATGAAAAGCAGAAAGAAAAAGGGATTTTTTTTCCATCTGTATCTGATTTATACAGGGACTCCCTAACTTAACACAGGAAGGGTGAATTATTAGGCAGATTTTGATAATTTAAAGACACAGTTTGCCCTAGAAATAATGTTTTTCACTGGTAATCAGATCATCTGGCCATCTGCAATGCCTGTTTGACCCACAGTATACCTGGTATGTGCTAGTAAAAATACTGTTCCAACTCCGCCATGGGTGTGTTGCAGATGACTATAGCAGGGCAGGTCCTAGTAATGCTTCTGTCTCCCCCATGGTTGCAGTAAGTCTTTTTTTTAAGTCTGTAAGAGATCACAGATCTGCTTACTTGTTTAACATGCCCCAATAATGAGTTCTTGGCATTTGTAAATCCAGTCATTATTTTCCTGATGAGAGGTGAGCTTTTTAAAAAAAAAATCCTTCAGCAACTTGCTTTATTTTACTTGAAACTATGTATATCATAGGGATATATCTCCATGCTACTGCATATGAATTTATTGTTTTATCTACTGCACAGAATTTCAGACCATGATGCCCCGTGATTTATACAATAATTTCCCTTTGGATGGACATTAAAAGTTTCCATTTTTTCCTTCATGACAAGTAATGTTTTAGTGAATATTCTCATTCATATACCTTTGTACTGTTGGAATATTTCAGAAGAATTTATTTCTATAACTGAAATTGACATATCAAAGAATATATACACTTAAAATTTTGGTTGCCCTCCAAAAAGGTTATAACAACTTATATTCCCACCAAAATGTGTGGTAAATAGGGATTATCATTTTGTTTTCATTGGCATTTCCTTTATTATTATTATTTTAATTGACACATAATACTTTTACTTATTGATGGGGTACAGTGTGATATTTTGATACATGTATGCAGTGTATAATGATCAAATCATGGTAATTAGCATATTCATCACCTCAAGTATTTATCATTTCTTTATGTTGACGTGAACAGAAACCACATCAAATTTTAGAACTGCAGAACCCTTGAGATTTCAATATCCCTCTTCTCTCCTGCCAGTTTCATGCCAGACATTGAAAACTTGGGTTTTAGAGCAGAAGTATGTCTCAATACAATTGACTCTTGCAGAAACTCCTTCCTATGTAAATAGCCATTTCTGCACTTTTCTTCACCTGCCTTGCAATGCAAGGAGTTCCTTCCAGTACTTACCTTGCTTTCTCTGAGCCTGGTTCTGTTTGCTTTGACATTTATAGAAGGCTCAACTTCTTCTCTCAGCACTTTTGACATTCTGTGGCTCTTTGGGAAAGGGTTCATAAAAAATGGAATTAACATCTATGGAAATAATATATGGCTCTCCAGATAGAACCACTCATCAGGGGCCGGTTGCCTAGGGAACTGGAAGAGAACCATGTGGGAGGCTCCACACAAGACCCTGTACCTCTTTCTTTCTGCCGTCTCTCACTTTTGTCTACTCTACGTTCTCATGCAAACTTACGTACTCTGCCTGAGTTGAAAGCTGAGGCCTGTGCAGATGAGGTCTCTAAGAACGTAAAGACATTCCCAAATTTCAAACTTGATTTCTGATGTACAGCTCACTTCTTTCCGTCACATCCATATTATCACTGGGGCATGATCAGAAACTTCATGGCAGGGGCCCACCTGGAACCCACACCCCTAGAGATGCAGGAGAAGACATCCTGCAAGCGTGTGTGTGTGAGTGTGTGTATGTGAGTGTGTGTAATTAAATGTGTGTACATGTGGAATTCAAATGAATGCTGCATTAATCATCGACACAAATTTGGGGTACTTCCTGTGTTAGGCACCGTTGATGAAAAGATACCATTCTTGTCCCTATTACAATGACTGATGATTAGCATGATGGGATGGCATTCAAGTGCAGTAGGTGTTTAGAAGAGGGAACCCCTGAGAACTCACACTTCACAGAGGAGTGTGAGTTTTGAGATGGGTTATAGAGGAAGAGTACAATTTAGCCAGGCAAGGAGGTAGGGGAAAGTGTACCAGTCAGAGGGAAAAGCATATTACACAAGGGAGGGAAGAGCCAGCATAATGTGCTCTGCAAGCTGCCAGTACTCTGAAGCTGCACTGAGGAATGCGGAAAGATGACGGTAAAGAGTAAGCTAGTGGTTCCATCATGAAGGCCTCATATGCCATGCTATGAATTTTGTTTTATACTCTAGGCAAAGGGAAACTACTGAAAAATTTCAGGCTGTTGAAAAGACACTGCCGGACCTATTGGGCACCAATGCTGAGGCATATGTGCTAAAAATAATGCAAATCAGAGGGAAGTAGGATTCTTTCTTCATCATTGGAAAAAAAAAATAAAGCTCTTACCTCAGCTTTGGGTAGAAATCTTTGCTTTCCTCCGGAAATACAGCTTCATCTTCTCCTTTGTGGTTTTTGTGCTGGTGCTTTCTTAATCTGGTCTTGCAAGCAAAGCTACCAGATGGCTTTCGTCCTGCGCACTGTCCCAGCCATGCTCACATGTCGGGTTGATGAATGAACTCCTCCCTTATTCATCTGACCTTTGCATCACCACCTTCCTGACTGGGCAACTTCGGCTTTCTCGACCGAACCATCATGCATGAAGATTTGCAAGCCCCTGTGGGAGCAGACCACTTTACTCTAAATCACTTGTCAGAAGCACCGAGAGGCCACTACTTAGTGGAACAATAGAAACAGTTTTTATATTTTGGGCTTTGACTGGAATAAATTGTGATCACACTGAAGTTAGGTCTTTCTCTCTACTCTTTGTTCCTTTTACTTCTTCCTTTTTCCCTTTGTCATTCTCCTCTATTTTCTTCACTTTTCCAAAACTTTTAGTTGCATGGACCTGCTTTGGAGTAAACAGACCTTTCTGCTTGTTAGAACTTTTTCTCCCGGCTGGGTGCAGTGGGTCACATTTGTAATCCCGGCATTTTGGGAGACCGAGATGGGAGGATTGCTTGAGTCTAGGAGTTTGAGACCAGCCTGGGTAATATAGTGAGACCCCATCTGTACAAAAAATAAAAAAATAAATTAGCTGGATATGGTGGCATGTGCCTGTGGTCCCAGCTACTTGGGAGGCTGAGGTGGGAGGACCACTTGAGCCTAGGAGGTCAAGGCTTCAGTGAGCTGTGATCACTCCTCCGTACTCCAGCCTAGGTGACAGAGCAAGACCCTGTCTCAAAGAAAAAAAAAAACAAAAACAAAACCTTCTTTTCCTAATAAAAGGAGATAAAAAGATTGCACCATCCCTCCAGCCTTAGTCGACCAGAGTGCACCCTGCGTTGGGGAGGGCATGGTTGCCAGAAACCACCCTGTGCATTTCCACCGGCGTGGCTCAATCCTCACCCAAGGCCATTCAGGATTATGGCTGGCAGTTTGGGTGTGAAGTTCTTGAGGGCACTGGTGGAAAGAAAGAACTGGGAAGAAAAAGAACTGCTGAGAATGAGGGGGATGGCAGAGCAAAGCAGGTACTTGGGGAAAAGAAGGAAGGAGATGTAAGAATGGAGGGGAGAACAATCTAGGAATAGAAAGGAAAAGGGGAAATAAATTGGGAAGAAGTACACCATGTAGAGAAGAAGGGTCTTGAAAGGACAAGATAAAACATGGTTCTCCTAGTAGACCCTTTGGCACTGATGGAGACCTCACGGAGAGCACAATAGGCTATGGGTAAGGAGCTAGATATCTACCTACAACTTTTACTAGCAATTGCCAAGAAATGGATTGCAAAGTCCTCCTGATAAGGCCCTGGAGGTCGAGAATTGGGTGCTGTTTGCTTCATTCTTTCTCCCTCAGTGGCCACACCCTGTGGGCCTCTGTGTTGGCTGAAAAACCCGTGCCAATTGCATCGGACGTTTCAGTTCACCGAAACACAAAAGAATGGAAGAATAGTCTCCATGTCCTGGCCGCTGTTCCTTGCAGCTATTTTCCCTAAACAGTGGAGCAACTTAAAATAGCCATCCTTCTGTCTACTTTTATTTATGACGGTTTTTGTGTTTAATTCACAACTTCTTCTGATGTGCCCTCAGCTCTGTGCAGCCTGGCCAGCGCTGTGCAGGGTGCCCTCCAGGAAGAGCGCCAGGCAGTTGAAAACTTCTGCCAACACTGGGAAATGTGTTGGCTGCCCGGGAGATTCCACCCACAAGTAACTGCAGTGGTATTTTTTTAAATGTCTCTGTTGGGGCACAGGCAGGACTGAGTCTCAACTGGGCAGCAGCAGGGGGTATCCTTTCTCATTGATCAGTGCCAGAGCGTTTGTTAAATTTTTGGATTATCACCCGTGGATAGTGGGTTAGGGCTGAAGATGTGCACAATTCTATATTCTCTTTTTGGTTGAGTTGGTATTTGGGATGTGGGTTGTTTCAATGTCCAGATGAAACCACAGCTTTCTCAGTGGGGAAGGAGTTAAAGCCCCAACCCGCCCCGCCACCCTATTTCCCCCAGCCCCACTCCTCACCAGGTTCCAGCCCAGGAGTGAGTGCTTCCTAAGCACCCAGCTGGTGGTGTCCTTCTGATCCAGGCCCTGTCTTTCTTGGGCCGCTCATCAGCTTTTGTCTCTTTGGATGGCAAGTGCTCCAAGCTCAGGCTCTGAATAGACAAAGGATTAAAAGCTTTGGAAATAAAAAATAGGTCTTCAAAGCTGCCAGCAATGGCCAAGGATTCCCTCCAGTGCAGCAGGGTCCAACAACCCAGCCCAGCGCACTTCTCCCAAATGTTTTGGGAGGCTCCTTTCCTTTGAGCAACAAGGCCTGTGTTGTCTGTGGGTCTCATACTTGGAGGCCGAAGAATAAGCATTGCTGGAAGGGGCGAGAAAGGTGGCTTCTGTGCTGCCCAAGACACCGCAGATTGCAGGGGATACGCCTGTAACTGGCATATCCCAGCGCACACTGTTAGATCTAGCCAGGGAATGCAAGCTTGCTGGGGGTTCCAGTCCTAATTCCTACGGGTTCTTTATGAGTTTCAGGCGGCAGCCTGACCAATGGGCATCAGACCCCTCGGGCTCACACGTGCCGGGAGCATCATGCTGCTGGTTTCTCTTCTGCCATCTGGAAGCCATTTGCATTGAAATGGTTTCAGCCGCTTGCTGAGCACTGGGTTTTACAGGAGTCACAGCACAGGGCAGCCCAGGTCCCAGGAGCCAAGAGCCTTCACTTCCTGTAGGATTTCCAGTTTAAAACCCACTGAAGCTCTGCCCTCCAGGGCACCACCAGGTCCTCCGTCCCCTCTTCCCTTTCCTCCCCTTTTGGACCCCAAGAGCAATGACACGTGCAGGGGAACCCTGACATCTATCCTTCTTCTATTTCTTACCAACTTTGTAGGTTGGAAGGGAAGGGGTGCAGAAAAGTCCCTTTATAAAAAACGCTTCAGGCAAGAGCTCGTACTTTACATTCTCTGCTGCATGCATTTTGTAAAATGCAGTATCTCAGGAGAGCTCTGAGGACTCACACTCAAGCCTCTAGCCATCTAATTTCATGATAATCATAGGTGCCTGTTACCGTGCCTGACACTGTGCTAGGGTCTCTATTTGCCTTACTCTAATCCTTAGAATAACCCTGCAGAGAAAGACGAGAGTCTTGGGTTAAGCAGCTAATAAAAGAAATGTAGGATTCTCATCAAGGTCTTTGCCATTCCAAAGCTCTTTCTGCTCTAGAAACTCGTGTCCCCATTTAGGCCTAAGCAGGGTGGGAGCTCCCCAAGGACAGAGAAGCAAAGGAAGAACAAACATCTGCAGTTCACACTAGATAGTCCAGTCATGGGTTTTTTAAGGAAGCAAAATGATCTTTTGAAAGGAAACTCATGCAGTCTGTCCGCTTCTTGCCAACTCTACTACAGTGCAACGTGCCAAAAACAGCCAAACCTTGTTTGAGGTATGAAAGCAGCTGTTATAATAAACTCCTCTGCTCTACCTCTTTTCCTGTTATGGTGGAATGGCTGTTTAAAGTAAATGTCTCCAATCCATGGATTTTCTGGGGTCATGAAAACATTGTTTAATTGGCAGACTGTATTACATTTTTTGGTGAAGTTAGGAAGTAAACAGAATGCCACACGCCATGTTAGATCCATGCAGTGTAAAGGTCTGTAAGGAAACGGTCCCTGGATTCTGGAGCCATTATTCCCCACTTCCCACCCCCTGGGGTGGACCAGCCTTCTCAGGTTTTGAGGTTGTTCCAGAAAGAATGGATTTCTGCCTCTCTTCTATCCCAGGACTTCCAAAGCAGAGCAAGGGGAAATTAGTGCACGGAATGGAGTCGATCTGGGTTTGAATCCTCTCTCTGCCAGTCACTAATGTGGAACTTCAGGTAAATTACTCTGAGCCTCCATCTTGGAATCTGTAAGATGGATATGGTAATAACTACCCAATTGCCTTCATCATAAAATTTAAAACAAAATCAAAATTATAACATATATTGCTGTAGTTCTTAGTATAGACCCTGTGCCGTTCAGGTGTTTTACAGGCATTAATTCATTTAATCTCCTCAACGACTTTATGAGGCAGATACTGTTCTAACCATCTTCTAGCCTCTGGGGAGACAATGGGCAGTTCAACCAACAAAGATCTCTGCCTGCATGGAACTCACATTCTTGTTAGGGAGGCCAACAGATAAGTAAAATACATAAGTAAATGAAATGGTGATAAGTGCTATGAAGAAAAATAAACAGAGCTAAGTGTGGTCGTGCACGCCTGTGGTCCTACCTACTCAGGAGGCTGAGGTGGGAGGCTCGCTTGAGCCCAGGAGTTTGAGGCTGCAGTGAGCTATGAGTGCACCTAGGAATAGCCACTGCACTCCAGCCTGGGCAACATAATGAGACTCCATAGCTAAATAAATACATAAAATAAACAAGAAAGGGAGATGGAGGCATGGGGGAGGAGGATTGCATTTTTCAAAAGAATGGTCAGGGAAGGCCTCTCTGAGAAGATGATGTTTTTAAGTAAAAACCCGAAAAAAGGGAGAAAGCCATGAGGGTACCCACAGGAGAGTGTCCTAGGCAGAGGAAACGGCCCATGCAAAGGCCTTGTGGTGGCAGGCCTGGTGTGTTCGAGGCCTGGTGAGGAGGCCAGCATGGCTGGAGTCGAAACAGCAAGGCAGGCAGCTTTGGAGGCAGACAGTGTAGGGCCTCATGAACCTCAGCTCTTTCTCTCAGGAGAGGAGAAGCTCCCAGAAGAGCTTGAGCAGAGGAGGGACTTGACCCAGATGAAACTAGGTGTGAGGAAGGACACTTCTATTTGTGCACTGCAGCTGCTGCTCCTGCTGCTGGTTCCCATGAGAACAGTTGCCAACTTTTCCAGACTAAGTAGGACACTTCTTAATGGGACATCTGGGCCTCCACTGTCGACATTGTACTTGTTGATTTTAACAACAGATGAACTTTCCCCAACTTCCCATGTATCTGTGTCCAGCCTCCTCCCTCCTTTTGGGTGGTTCTGTCCTTTGCCACTGCTCTGCACTGGATCGTCTTGATGATGCTACTTAACTGGCTACATAGACAGCTGCGGTCTGAACTCACCATGCATAACGTGTTGCTGTCTTGAGTTAGTTATTGGGGCCAGTGGCTCACAGATAAGTATTGCTTGGGCCAGGAAACCACAAGAATGAATGGGGAAGAAGGGTGAGGGAAATGTTTATAAACAGAATTGCCCCCTCAGTGGAGACTATGAAGCCTATTAGTATAACAAGCCGCCCCAAAACTTGCTAGTCTATACAAATTCTGGTGGGAAAAATTAGGATATCCTCATACTTCCTATGGGAGGCCAGGTATCACAAGTTCCGAGCCTCAGGCCTACAGGTGGTTTCTAGAGCCCATGGATCTCCTGAAATCATGCCCAAACATATGCCTGTGGGTGATTTTCAGGGGCGAGGTCATAGTTTCCATGTGGCTTGTTCTTTGAATGGCTTGAATGGCTTGATTGCAATTGCAGGTCATACTTTCAACACTGGCTGGTGTGTTACTGTATGTGCAAACGTGAAAAAATGTATGTATTTCAAAACAGAGTTTAAAAGGATCTTTTAATTCCCTAATATTAAAAGTCCATAATATCTGTATTTGACAAATATGGTGTTATCAGTATAGAAAGATAAATTATGGTCTCTTAGAAATTAAGGGATGTGTTTTTGAGGACATCGAGGTGTACTGTCTCCCAAGCTCTGTTTGCCGCTTTTCTCAATGGCTTTAAATCATCAGGAATTCACTCTCTGTATTAGATCATTTATTCTCATATGCCGCTCGCTGCCTTTGAAATACCTCCAATTCTAGCAATGGTTTACAGACATGCACAAGAGCCAAGTGGCTTAAAGCAACACCCTAGGACTTAGGTGTTTGGAAGCCCCTTATCCCCTGGAGTCATTTGTGGAACAGGGCCTGCATGCAAGAGGAGGCCCAAGCTCAGAAATGAGCAAAGAGCATGACTTAACAGGGAGGTTGTAGCGTCTTCACAGCAGAGTACAGTGAATAGAATTACATGTTCCTCAAGTCCCATTGGCTCATATTGGCATCATTCGGTACTGGACACAGGGTGTGCACCAAGTATATCTGTGAGTCAATGCTCACCTGCAGATGTACCACGAAGCATACCAGACAGAATTCTTGGGGGGAGGTGGGGGGCTGCTGCTTCTCCCAGGCCCTGGGGTTCTATCACAATATTTGATTCTACCCGGTTCAGATAAGCCCTTACGGGGATTCTTAGCTGGGACTTACAGAAATTGACAACGAGATTTGTTAGGAATGACTGATCCCATGCCCTGGAATGTAAGCCATGCACAGTTTATGGTACATAATTATATACAATAAACTATAAAGGACATACAGTGGATTTTGATATCAGGTTCCAGTTCCTCCTCACTGAGGAATTAGTACAAACCCTTCATCTGTGTGGCTAAGGAAATAGTTCTGGTCCTGCCCGAATCCGTTTCCATGTGTCCACATGGCCCTTTTTCCCCACCATGTACTTCTGACGGGAGAGGTCTGCTCCTTACATTAGGATCGAAAGCCTCGTGGGAGAAGTTGCAAGGTGTTCCCTTTCCAGCGGTCACTGTGGAGGAAAAAAGGATAACCGTATGACTGTCAGAGACGTGATCAAATAGGATGAGCTTACATTGGATAAGTAGACAAAATACAAAATCAGCAATAAGATTATGACACAGAAATCTGTGTATTTGTTCCTCAATTGCATACAAATTTCCCATTTTTCATCAAGATGGAAATTGAATAAGAGGAAAACTAAGAGGCTCTTATCACAGATGAGCTTGTGTTCCAGTTCACCATGGCTACCATCAGAGTTTTGTCCTGGTCACAGGCAGCTGTAGTCTGTGTTACTCTCTAACTAGAATACACACATCCCTCAGAGGGATTCATTGCCTTTTGCCACAGAGCTGTAGTCTCTGTTTCCTTTGAAGATGGGGGGAAGGTTTAACACATTTGTCCAGAAGCACTCTTCTGCTGGAATATGGGACTACATGTGGATCCCCTCTTCCTGAGTCATCATGACACTTCCTGTGTCACAGCGTTAAATGTCCCCTTGGCAGAATGTTCTAGGTACACCCTTGAATTACTAAATGTTCTATTTTGTGTGAATCATATTATCCTGTGTCAGTTAAACAACACTCTTTTGGGCGGGCATGGTGGCTCATGTTGTAATCCCAGCACTTTGGGAGGCCGAGGCAGGTGGATCGCTTGAGCTCAGGAGTTTGAGACCAGCCGGGGCAATATGGTGAAACCCCATTTCTACAAAAAATACAAAAATTAGCTGGGCCTGGTGGTGCACACATGTAGTCCCAGCTACTGAGGAGGCTACGGTGGGAGAATTGCTTGAGCCCAGGAGTTTGAGGCTGCAGTGAGCCAAGATCACGCCACTGCACTCTAGCCTGGGTGACAGAGCAAGACCCTGTCTCAAAAAACAAACAAACAAAAAACACTCTTTCAGTTATACCCTCCAAAATGATATGGGAAATTATTTTGCCCCTACTTCTGCACCAACTTCAAGGGTTTGGATTGCCTGCTCCCAGCTTTGTCTCAGTGACTTCAGGACTCTGGTGCTTGATTTAATAGAAATGAGACAATACAATAAAAATTAATGGAACCAGTTTGGTCTTTTCAATCTATTACCTATTTTGTGTTTCGAGAGGGGAATTGAGACTGGAGGAGAACTGTGGAATGCATTTACCAAAGAAGGCTTTCACTGTCTAAACGTAGTGTCCCTGAATGGGGGGAGGTGGGATAGGCGGGTGGGGTCGTAGTGTCTGGTTCACAGTGTTGGTACTGCACAAAGGCACCTGAGGGAAGAATGAGAGCAGAAGTCCAGCTCCACTCTGCAGACCAAGTGTGCAGATATAAAACCTTTGCAGGAATCACCACAGTGCCTGCATCAGAACTCACGTACTTGATCGATTCTGCCCTGGATATCCAAGTAATGTTACTGCTGTGCCGATGACTGCTGTGCAGATGTTAGTTTCATACCGCAGTTTGTTTCCCCTCACTCTCTTGAACCTGTTCTTTATTAGGAACAGAAAGAGTTTGTGTCCTCTCTAGGTCCCAGTGAGCAAAGCACAGATCCTTTGCCTCAGGCTCTCGCAGCTTGTCAGGACACAAGTTACCCGCTGGCAGGGACATTCCTACAATCAACTGTCACAAGGCCTGTTACTGCTTATTTTCATTTCCCTGTTGCCGCAGCTCCCCTTTCTCCTGTTCTGTCTAGATAATCAGAAGATTTTCTTCTCTTTCTTTAAAAAAAAATTGTTTCTATCCCCTACTCTGTGATCCTTTCCATCCTACCCTAGGCCTGTGCAGCAGAAACCTTTGAAAGAAGGGGTCCTCCCTGCACCCCAGGGCCCTCCTGGAGTCCTGGCTTTTCCAGCTCCACTTGGATAAACATTTCTCTTCCGTGATTTGTGCCCAGTTGCGGCGTGTCTGGGAAGTGAGCAGGAGTAGAAACAGATGGATCTTCCACGGGCTCAAAGTCAAGAAGATTGACTTCTATGCAGTAGTCCTCTGGATAAAGCTTAGTAAACATATAATCACACCATCATCTGGGGCTCTGTATACCCTAGTAAATGAGTGCTTCTAATTTTATAAGCACTGTCATTACCACAGTTCTACATGAGATTTTTCCTTTGACTGTAGTATATGTTCTTTTGCTTTACTAGGTGTTGTTTATTAGGTGTTGTTTCCCCCAAGTACTGTAGAAAGTGACAGATTGTTTCAGGGCAACCAGTAGGTTGTATTTACAGGTGGTTGGCTGTCTTGACCAGCTTTGCTGCAATAACATAACTGCTTTCCAGCAGGAAGGAACATTGCATAGTAGTGAGGGCTGTGAAGTCCAGACTTCATTGTATTCTTCATTTAGGAACGAACATTTTCTGAATCACTGAATCCTTCTTTTTCAGTTCCTCTTCAGGTCTGTGCATAATGGGAAGGTGATGAATGAGCCCTGTCTTGGTGCATGACAAAGATGCAAAAATGGCATTCCTAGTCCATCATCAGCAGGACCTGAGCTTCTAGTTGCTTTTCCAGAGTAGGGTTGAGAGGCCTGGCTGCCCCAGGCAGGAAGAGCTCTGGCTAGGCACCATTTAGAAGGGGTATGCCTCCTAGATCCATCAAGCTGAGACCATCCCTGGGATCCCGTTGTGTGGTGGACCTCTCAAGACAAGTATCTCTTCTTAATGGAAGGGTCTCTCTTACCACAGGCTGTTTTAAAGAATAATAAGCAATGAACTCACAGTGTGTTCTAAACCGCATGCAGTGTACTGGGAGTTTATGTAAACAAATATATGCTGCAAATTAAAAATAAAATGTATGAGTGAATCCCTAGTGGGTGATTCTGGTACTAATTCCAAATTCCATATTCACCGGGGAAGTGGGGAACACCTTCAGCAAAGTGCGGATTGGACAGTGTTGTTAAGTCCTCACCCAAAGCCGCTTCTTCTTTAAGCCCGTTTAACCAGTTTACAACTGTAATTAGGAGCTGTTTGGCCATCGGGGAAATAAAATTCGTTTCTTTGGGCATGAAATACAATGAAGTGATTATACCATAAAAATTTCATATCATATGAAATTATATATGTATTTTCTGCATCTCTGATCTCCATTATTCACTTGTTTCCAGAGCTGGTGTGCTCCTGGTCACATTTTCTGATTCTCTGCTGTAAGAGCTGAAGTTCAAAAGGCCTTCTGCCTGCACTGTGAATGGCTCAGCTGGTAGAATCTGATTTTTTCCTATTTTGATTTCTGAGTCTGCTGCTTTTACAGTCATTTATGCATCTCATGAATGTAATGAAGTGTTGCTTTCCTCTGAACTCTTGTATTTTTTTCTGCCTTGTAGGTCGGGTTTTAATCCCTGCATGATTTTGAGAGGTAAACAGAATATCTTCCAGATCGGGGTTGCTCTTCATAATCCTTTCCTCGGTGGTGATTCCTCCATCTGAATCCAAATGTGTCCTCCATAGCTGCCTGTCCTAGGCTGATTCACCAGGGCTCCACATCTTGACTTTGCTATGCCACCTCATTTCCACGTGAGAAGGAAGTGCACGTTCAGGGTGGTTGGTCAGAGTTAAGTCAGCCTGTATCCGTGGGGTGAAATTAACAGACATGTGGGAATTGAACCTTAAACATTCTCAGTTTCACTAGGAACCTAAAATTATAATCACGCCACAGAGATTGTAAATTTGAAATTTACCTTGTTTCCATGGAAATTTTGAATTCAAAACATTTAATGTGTAAAATATCACTAGTAAGAGGGCACATAGCATTGGGAGATATACCTAATGCTAGATGACACGTTAGTGGGTGCAGCGCACCAGCATGGCACATGTATACATATGTAACTAACCTGCACAATGTGCACATGTACCCTAAAACTTAAAGTATAATAAAAAAAAAAAACATTATTCCAAAAAAAAATAAAAATAAAAATAAAAATAAAAATAAAAAAAAATAAAAAAAAAAAGATCTGTATCACCTCCGGGGAAGGAAAGGAACGATGCTTCATGTCCAAGCTTGGTGGTGCCAGTGATCCTGAACTTCTCAAGTAATTAGTCTATATGGACAGATTAGTTCTTTACTTGTTTAAATGCAATGGATCAGTTGCATTAAGTGGTATGTGCTCTTTACTTGTTTAAATGCAATGGATCAGTTGCATTAAGTGGTATGTGCATTGAGTGGTAGGCTGGCAAATGGTAAGGGCGCTGAGTGGAATGCTGGCAAATGTTTAACAGCCGGCTCTCCAGAAGGCAAAAGCCCTGATTTGGAGCTTTTTGCTGATTTCAATGGTGTGAATACTTCCAGCATGACCAATTTCATGCTACCAATATAAAGTCACTGAACATAGAGTTGTGAAGAGATAACAACAATTGGGGGTCACCAGTCAGTATAAGCTGGCTCCAGTCACGCCCATGATAAACCCATGGGAAATTGTGATTTTTGAATTTTTTTTGTTTTGTTTTTGTGTTTTGTTTTGTTTTGTTTTTGAGACGGAGTCTCGCTCTGTTGCCCAGGCTGGAGTGCAGTGACGTGATCTCGGCTCACTGCAAGCTCCGCCTCCCGGGTTCACGCCATTCTCCTGCCTCAGCCTCAGAAGTAGCTGGGACTACAGGCGCCCGCCACCACGCCCGGCTAATTTTTTTGTATTTTTTAGTGGAGACGGGGTTTCACCATGTTAGCCAGGCTGGTCTCGATCTCCTGACCTCATGATCCGCCCACCTTGGCCTCCCAAAGTTCTGGGATTACAGGCCTGAGCCACCGCGCCCGGCCTTGTTTTGTTTTTGACAGTCTCTGTCTATCACCCAGGCTGGAGAGTACTGGTGGGATTTCGGCTCACTGCAACCTCTGCCTCCCAGGATCGAGCGATTCTTCTGCCTCAGCCACCCAAGTAGCTGGGACTACAGGCATGTGCCACTATGCTCAGCTAATTTTTTGTGTTTTTAGTAGAGATAAGGTTTTACCATATTGGCCAGGCTGGTCTCAAACTCCTGACCTCAAGTGATCCACCCACCTTGGCCTCCCAAAATGTTGGGATTA
Source organism: Homo sapiens (assembly GCF_000001405.40). NCBI lineage: Eukaryota > Metazoa > Chordata > Mammalia > Primates > Hominidae > Homo > Homo sapiens. The sequence continues at coordinate 368,315 of NC_000018.10, read as the reverse complement.
CAGACATGAGCCACTGTGCCTGGTGATTTTGAATTTTGCTTTAGAAATCCTTTTCTACAAACATCTCTAGTGTCTGAAGAAAGTCACTTTGTGTGTGTGTGTACAAACGTATGTTCCCATCTAGTTATTTCAGTTTTAAACAATTTTCTAAATTTAACTGTCATTTCTAAACTCCATATAAAGGCATGGAAAATTAAATAAGCCTACATGTTCCCATTTATTTTATATGCCATAATTCATTGCATGCCTTCTGACTTTTTGTTTAATGGTTTTTCATTTTTATTTCCAGTTTCATTGCTTTGACTTCCAAAAGTATAGCTGTCTGCCCCATGAAAATATTTCTCTCCCCATCCCCCTTTGTCTAGTTTTGTTTTGTTTTGTTTTGTTTTGGTAGAGACAGCATCTCACTGTGTTGCCCTGGCCAGTCTTGAACTCGTGGCCTCAGGGATCCTCTTGCCTCACCCTCCCAAAGTGCTGGGATTACAGGCATGGGCCACGACACCAGGCCTTTGTCCAGTTTTAATAACAAGTATGTGGCTAGTGACAGGGATGGTCGTCATTCCGTCTGGGGCCACTCTCCCCTCACAGGCGTCGTGGGCCAATACTCTATTAAAATAGGTCCCTCCCAGTTCCCTCCTTGTTTTGCCAACTTTTCCTCATTTGGATCATTTCAAGTCGATTGACTCATTTCTCATTAGGTTCAAGACTGAGGCCACATTCAATGTGGAACAGAATGACTGTTTTAAAACAGCAGTGGTGAAGTCTCCTGCTCTGTCTTGGCTTCGTTCCCTTAATTTTAAGTGTCTTCGACTATCATCTTCACTTGAAGAAAGTAAAAAACACATGTTTTTGAGGAACGAGGAATGTCTGTCAGGTTGATTGATGTTTTCATTTACATTGAAGTCCACTTTTTTTCCCCATCAAAACACTAGTTTTGGTGGTTAAAAAAAAAATCAAATCGGTATGTGAGGGAGAGTGGATGTAGGCATGTCTTTGCCAGCACCTGCTCAGCAGCATAATTTTCACATGCCCCGACACTGTGTCGTTGACAAACAGCAAATATCTTGTCATTAACTGAGATTTGTCCTGCTCAGCGCTGTTCCCCCTCGTCATTATATTAGTCCTTCAGCTGCCCCCAAATGACACTTTGTAAAGCAGCCACACTCAAGGCAAGTGTTGGATTGCAGGTTTACAGTTCTCATCTTGGCCCTATCACATGGAGTTTTGAAAGTGCCGAGACCCACAAAATGGAGAAATGCTGTAGGGTCTTGGGACTCACTTCAGTCTGGGCAGGGGTCTGAAGGCATGTTTTGCATTCCTTTCATCATAACCTTCATTCCACCCTCTACCTCCAGCGGGTTTGAGGCTGCGGCTCCCTGTGGCATCAGCCTTGGCTGTGTGGGAGGAAAGGGCTCTCATCAGTGTCAGTGTTTTAACTGTCAGGCCCCTGAGCTGTGCCCCTCTCCCAGGACATCCATACCCCGGCCCACAGGACAGTGAGATCAGCAAATCACCTAGAAGACTGGAGACAAAGGTGGGAGAGGAGATTGTGAAATCCCTTGCACCTGACAGCAGATTCCAATTTGGGGGCAGGGAGATTGCTCCTGGAAGCGAGGGCCCACTTCCCACTGCCCGGATCTGTACTCCAGTCATGCCTTTGTTAAGCCGCAGGATGTGCCGAGTACTAGCGGGTGCTCCTTTGCTTAGGGAAATGCAAACGCAACACAGCAGAAAAACAAAACCCTCATGCCTGTACAAGGAGGTAGCTATGAAGATCATGGGGAGTGTGGATGTGTGCAGTATCAACTACACAGGTGCTTAGGGATTCAAGGCAAATTAGGAAAGGGTGCATTGAGGAGGAAATCTGTGAGTAAGCACAAAGGAAGTTAGTTAGTAGGGAAGAGCGTTTCAGGGAAGAGAAGGGCAAATCTCACAGCCCAGAGGGGAAATGAGCAGAGCCCTGTCAGAGACCATAGCTATGCAGGTGCCTGGGGTCCTTCCCATGCTCCCTCAAACTCTTGCTCAAATGTTACTCTGCGGAGAGGGCTCCAGACACACCATACTTAAAATTGACATCTACGTCCCCCGCTACATGCCCTTCGCTCAGTGCTTGCCTTGTTTTTACTATAGCATTCATCACCTTCTGTCATATGAAGACATCCTCCCACTGGAATATAAGTTCCAGAAGGCAGAGATAGATTTTTGTCTGTTGTGTTCACCAGTATAACTACTGCCTGCTACTTACACCTTGAAGAAATGAATAAACAGGATGTAGCAAGAATGGAATGTGGTGATGTGGGCAGAATTCTGGGGTCGAAGGAACTCCAGCTGGAAGGTAGAAAACCCGAGCCCTAAAGCCAGCCTGGCTGTGTATAAACTTGGGGTGGGGGGAGTAGGAGAGAGGAGTGGAGTTCCTTGGGCCTCAGTTTCTTCACTGGTGAGATGCATATTAGCCAAGATGACAGCCAGCGCCCCTCCCGGCCTCAAGATTCTGAGTGCCAACATGGTCAGAGGGTGCGGGAGCAACTGGAGAATCACTGTGGATTCCTGAACCACAGGGTCAAGGAGGTATTGGTAAGAAAAAAATATTTTTTGCCAGTGTATTCCAGATAATTTTTTTTTAGAGGGAGGCTAAGAGGCTAGAGGTAAATAAATTTTTTAATCGCCATCTGATAAACCCTCCTGTCACCTTCTTCCTTGCCTCTGTCTTACCTTGCCCAGCTCCTGCAAGCTTGAGCCACAAGCAGTTTTTTGGCTCTGTAGATGAAGGAGCCATTGAAGACTGGCTTTTGGGGTTCATTTCAAGCATACTAGAACTTCAAAAGAAAACCATGGGGTGACCAATTTATTTGGTTTCAAGCTTAAACTGATCAAGGCTCCTGCATATCCCATAGTTTGCTTTGAAATTATAAAGGTACCTTCTTTCCCTGGCCCATCTCACTCCAAAAACTCCCTCAGCATTGGGAGATATTCCCCTGAGGGGCTAACATGCCTTACCAGCCAAACCTTCAAGCCACTCTTGACCTCTCCTAGAGAGAATGAGCATTTATTTAGGGCAGAATTTACTTGCTGCTTAAGTATGTCACCACAGTCTAATAAAGGAGAAATTATAGCCGGCAGAAGCATCAGGCCTGTAAGTTAGTTAACCCACCGGAGACTACATTTTATTGCTTATTTCTGAGAAAGGCTTATCTATCAACATGTGAAAGGATGTTTCCGCACCCCTTTATTTTGACAGAATACTTCTACTGGTATGTCTAACTGGTCCGTTTTCTAGATTATCTCGTTGGGCATCCTTTATCTTGCTTTGTTTTGTTTTTCACTTCTGGAGATGAATAAGCTTGGAGAAGCAACACACAAAAGATTTGGGTTCAACTCCCAGCTCAGCTACTCACTGGCTTGGGTACTCACCCTCTTTGACCTCCCCACTTTCCTAAAATCTGTAAAATTAGGGTCAGAATTCCTACTCTGCAGGGTTGTTAAAGACATTATAAGTAACCAGGAGAGGGTTCCTGGCCCATATCAGGTCCTCAGTAATAGCCTTCATCCTCAGCAATTCCTCTTCACATTCACAGCAATAGCAAACTCTCACCCACTCAAGAAATGTCTCATGGCCTTCCTCAATTACCTGTCAGAGTCAGTGTCTGGCTCAATTCTACAGCAGATTGATGACCCAAGCTAGAGCTGCATTTTCATGAGTCCTTTTAATGAAAAGATTCAGCACTTAATCCCAGAAGGACATTGTATGGTAGTGCCAGATAATGAAGTAGTCAGGCTGCTGAAATGTTGACAGTTCACTCTGTGCCCATAGAATAAAATGTATAGGAATAGAGCCAAGAGGAAGGGGCCAGCTAGGAGAGACAACTGTAAGAGATGTGATGGTTGAGCTCCCCAGTGAGCAAGGATTCCTCTCCTTGGAATTGAAAGCATTTGTGGACAGTTCATCTAATAAAGGATTTCTTATAAAAACCACAAAGAGAAAATAATGGCGTTCTTTTGAGACACTATATATTCTGGCAGACACTGCATACTCTGAGTGGGACCGTTACATCTGGCTTTTGCCTACGACAATTCTTTTTTAGTAGGCAGGGTATAAATTATAAATTTTAAATAAATAATGCATAATCTTAAAAAAAACAATAAAACCAAACCAGAACTGACTGCCTTTTCTTTTTATACACATGAAAAAATTTCAATGAAAACAAACTATACCCTTGGTAAATGCACAGAATTTGAATGTAAGTTCAGCATGAACGTCGAAGAGTTCATGCTGTCATAAAACTCTCTTCTAAGTAACTTTTCCGGTTTGAACACATCTTTATGAATACAGAGCTGCTGTGAGGCTTCACTTATTTTGCACAGAAAGTGATTTCATTTCCAATTCTTGTCCTGCTTCCGTTTTCATGGCTATCCACATCGTTAGGAAACTTGGCATAGTAAGGTGTCCAGGGCTGGGATTTGTATTTGGGGAACTAAATTACTCACTAATAAAAAAAATTTTTTTTACTAATTCCATATTTCATCATTTAGTAAATAGCCTTCATCATAAGGAAAAGCTAGTTATTTCGGTGGATAAAGTGTTTTATGTATTTAACTTTTGTTCCAGTGATATTGCGTAACATTCAAGCAACTAACCGGGTTGTTAACTCTTATTGTTTTGTTGCTTTTGGGGCCATTTTAATTATAGGAATTTATTTGAATCATCCGTTTTACTGTTAGAGCCAAATCATTCTTATGGGTTTATGGGAATCTATACCACCAGGCAGTAGATTAATAACTGTAAAAAAACCACATGAAAAGTTCACTGCGAATCTCAGATCAAAACTTGTGGTTTTCTGGATTTTGCAATTGACCCTTTTTAAAGCTTCTCTTTGGTAACATGATCTTTATGGCAACACCACTGAGCTATAGACACTTGTGATCATGAAAATAGCCCAGAAGTGTCCCACACTCACCCACAGTGCCGGCCTCCACCTACCAAGGAAGGGGATGGATCTGCAATGTATCCATTTTAACACACAAGCCCACCTTCAGTGATATACATGGCAAAAAAATATGAGAGTGAAGGAGACTCTTTTTTTTTCTGCAAAAAGATCGGAAAAACAGACTGGATTGAGACTGGACCACAGCACTTGGGAGGGCTCTTTATGGAGAACCACAGCAGAAAGGAATTCTCTTTGCTGGTGAATTCTTCTGGCCCTTTGCACTGTCATTCCTGGAGCGTTTCAATTATTCCCCCAACCAGCAAACGGCTCACTGATCAGCAGCCCCCATTCCCCCCCTGCCAGCTTCTTACTTGAAATGTGTTGTTGGAACCAGGGCAGCCCAGGGGACTTTGAGTTTGGGCACTGGGGACCAAATTGTCAGCCTATTCTGAACTTCCATGGAATACTCAAGGAGTTAACCAGAGCGATTTTGGCTTCACTGGGCCCCCACACTTTTTTGTATAACAAAGACTCGGACACTGGAAAATACATTCAAAACATGAGCCAAGAGTGGAGTTCAGCGGGAGATAGTTCAAGAGGGAAAAGCAGCGGAAAGGCATGCACCCTTCAGGTCCTTGCTGCCTGTAGGCCTCTGAATTTCAAATGTGCTATTGGCGCCAGGTTCTTTGGCACGCTGGATCTCTTAATGGTGAGGGGCAGCACTGCTTCACTTCCTGAACTGAAATCTCTCCTCTGCAGCACTCTGTATATCAGTCCCCAGCCCTTCCTTCCCTGCCCACCCCCACCCCGCCATGGGAACAAAGTCCCCAGGCTCTGGAAAGTAATGCTAAGAAAACAAACACTACAAAGGCTGGTAACAGGGGGATATCTCTCTTGAATGTTATTTTGTAACCATCTAGGTTCAAGGAGGAGGGGGTGCCCCAGCTACAGGAGCCAGCAGGGTCCCTTTGTAGTAGGCATCCGTGTGTTTGGCCAGATGTCCTCCCAGCGGAGGGCAGAGAGGAAGATAAAACAGAATTCTTATTAAAAAGAAGTCAGGGGAGGGGGAAAACAAGACAGAGAAAGCGTGTCAAGTGGAAAGGGAGGCCAGGCAGTGCCATCTGATATTGATTAAATGCTGATAGAGTCAGCAGTGAGAAATGCACACGGTGAGGAAGTGCCCCAGCTCTTTGGAATGTGAACCAGTGACAGCTGTCCGGGCTTGGATCTGCACGAATACCACATGCACCAGATGCCTGGCGGCCACAGGGCTAGCTCACGGGGAAGGATGGGAGGGAAAGATGAGTGTGCTGGAGTCAGGACCTGTGGCTTCTGATCCTGCTTCCCCTCTCTGGGCCTCTCTTTTCCCATCAATGACACAATGACGCTTGACCTCTGCACAACCTTCTAGCTCCCAGATTGTGTCATCTACTATAATCTCTGCTCTAACCAAATCTTCTGAGGCTCTCTTAGTGGAATGTAAGAAATCATCCTGAAGAGGCATAAGAAGCTCACCCAGCATGGTCCAAAAATCCAAAAGGAATAAACCCGCCCATCAGCCATGGGAGTGCCACCCAGTCCTTCAGCGGGAGGTCAGGCCAGCACCCCGTGTCTGTCGCCCTTCTGTGCTTCACAGTTGCCACCAAAGCAAGTTCATGGTTTCTCAGCATGGAATGTGGCGTGTCTGTGGGTCTACCTATATGTTCCTTTCTCTAAATTTCAAAAATATTTTCACCCTTATTGGATGTAAAGAGTCTTTTTTCATTTTATACCATCAGATTACAGAGAGCTTATGCGCTGGTCCGTGTGTGTGGTGGGCTGGGGAGAGTGTGGGTGTGTGTGTTCATGCGCGCATCCTTTAGTTAAGAGTGCCTTCTTGAAAGCTTGTTGTTTTGTTTTTTTCCTTTTTAGCAAATGTCATGAGGACAGTGGTATTTTAATAAAGGGTGAGGCTAGATTCCAGTGGGAATGGAAGAGGAAGCTTCCACTGAGATGAAAAGATCTCACACTAGGGTGGTGGCAGGGGAAATGGAGAGGAAACGATGACTAGAGAGAGGGACCATGGCCTAGTGGAGAGATCGTGGCATCTAGAGTCTGACACAGGTTGGAGTCCTGACTGCAACATTGTATAGAGTGTCAGTTCAGCTCTCACCAAGATGCCCCCTTGCAGTCCTTTTATGGATTAGAGATGCTGTGTGTAAGGGATCTAGCTCAGAACCTGGCACACTGTAGGCAGTAAGTGAACATCAATAAGCTGTAGATGATGATGATCATGATGAAAAATAGCCCACAAGGCCTGTGACTGAATTGGAGAATAAGTACAAGAGAAGAAATGATGGTGTCTTTGAGTTTAACCACCTGAGGGATTGGGATAGAAATAGTAGTTGAGTTGAGTACAATAAGAAAAGTTGGGTGGAAGTTGGAGATCTGGTTTGGCAGGGCTAGAACTGAAGTCAGTTTTAGACATAAGAGACGGTGCTGAGACATACAGGTGGCTATAAGGAAGTAAGACAGAAAGGAAGGGGAGGGGAAAAATGGAAAAATTATAATAAACAAGTTTATTTACTCTAGGTCTGTTTGATCAGTGAGTCTAATTTTACAAGCTTCACCTTCAAGGGATTGGTTAACCAAAGGTCAATCCATCATGACCAGCTTCTAAACTAAATCCTTGCTCCTCGAAGTGTGGTCCTCAGACCAGTTGCCACCTAGGCCTTGCAGAAATGTAGAATCTTAGCTCCTCCCTCAGACCCACTGAATCGGAACCTGCATTTCAACAATGTGATGTGTAAGCACTTTAAAGTTTGAGAAGCATTGTTCCTGAGTGTGGTCCACAGACCGCAGCATCAGCATCAGCATCAGCATCAGCATCACCTGGGAACTTCTTAGAAATCCAAATTCTTGGCCAGGCGTGGTGGCTCACACCTATACTCCCAGCACTTTGGGAGGCTGAGGCGGCGAGGTGGGTGGATCACTTGAGGTCAGGAGTTTGTGACCAGCCTGGCCAACATGGTGAAACCCCGTTTCTACTAAAAATACAAAAAGTAGCCGTGTGTGGTCGTGGGCACCTGTAATCCCAGCTACTCGGGAGGCTGAGGCAGGAGAATCACTTGAACCCGGGAGGCAGAGGTTGCAGTGAGCCGAGATCGTGCCACTGCACTCCAGCCTGGGCAACAGAGCAAAACTCCATCTCAAAAAAGAAAAAAAAAAAAAAAGAAATCCAAATTCTCAGGTCCCTTCTCAGACCTCCTGAATTAGAAACAGTGTGTTTTAATGACTGCTTCAAGTGACTCTCATGCACCCCAAAGTTTGAGAAGCACTGCTCTAAGTCATGAAATTGACAGATGCACCTCCTCCCTTTGTGTCTACAGCCAGAGGGATGTGCTGAACACCAGAGGGATTGGTTGAGCCCTGAAAGCTAAATTTAAGTCATTGTTATATGCTGTTTCTCTCATCATTTTGCATTAAACACAGCTGAAGAACTCTTTTCACTGAAGAAGGGCACTATGCGTAAAATTACAAACCAAAGGAGAGAAACTTCAACTGTGGCTTAATCCTCATGACTTACCCATCAAAAGTTATTGAGCACAGTTATAGATCAGTCCTTTATGTGCTGTTGCTCCTGGGGGACGCTATTAGTAAGACACACATAGGGAAACAGGTCAGGAAAACAGGGAATCTCCTGATATTCCTTACAATGTGATTTTCACATTAAAACATCCACAGTCTTTGTCTTGTGTGTGTTTCTAATCTATCAGATGGAAATTCTCTTTTTAAAGGTTTCTGGAGTCACTTGCAGCATTGATGCTGGTTGACCACTCAGACAAGAATGTTTTTCAAAAACGACCTTTTAGCAGTAAAAATTTACCTCCTCTCATCAAAAGTGTCTGGTTTTTCTATTTGTTCTACAGTCATTATTCAAATCGCTGTGATAACTAATATAAGGGTCACTGTCTGTTTCTTGTATACATGTAATATGCAAAATTTGTTATATATTGGGCAGTTAATTATAAGATTACTTGTATTTTCTGCCATAGGTTATAATACATTACAACCAGTGGCATGCCGGTAAACTAGTTGTTTGCGGCCAGGGAATGGGGGCCATCCTAATTCGCGGTGTTTGCCAATTTCTATGGTGTAAATACTCCCTGCAGGGCTGATTTCAAGCTACCAACAGTTTCACAACCAGCTCTCAAAGTTCTTACAAATTTAACAGTTGGCTCTTACAAGCCAGTAGGAACCAACTTCAGCATGCCACTGAAACAAACATCAAGGGACCAATCAATAGGATTTTTTTGTTGTATTTGAATTGCTGTAGGCCTAACAGTGTCTGAAATAAGTAAATTTGAATGTTTAAATATTTTGTCATACAGAGATTTTTATTGAAATTATCATCGTAATTATCATAATGGAATTTGATTTGAAACTACAGTCATGTGCCACGTAACGTTTCAGTCAACAATGGACTGCATAGATGATGGCAGTCCCATAAGATTATAAAACTGTATTTTTATTGTACCTTTTCTATGTTTAGATACACAAATACTTACCATTGTGTTAAAGTTGCCAGAAATAAAGTTGCCTGTCAGTACAGTAACATGCTGTACAGGTTTGAGCCTAGGAGCAACAGGCCATACCATGTAGCCTAGGTGTGTAGTAGTCTATACCAGAGGTCCCCAACCCCCAGGGCCATGGACCAGTTACCTGTTAGGAACTGGACTGCATAGCAGGAGGTGAGCAGTGGGCGAGTGAGTGAAGCATCATCTGTATTTACATCCATTTCCCATCACTTGCATGACCACCTGAGCTCCGCCTCCTGTCAGATCAGTGGCAGCATTAGATTCTCAAAGAAGCGCGAATCCTGTTGTGAACTGTGCATGTGAGGGATCTAGGTTGTGCGCTCCTTATAAGAATCTAATGCCTGTGATCTGTCACTGTCTCCCATCGCACCCATACGGGACCATCTATTTCCAGGAAAACAAGCTCAGGGCTCCCACTGTTTCTACATTATGGTGAGTTGTATAATTATTTCATTATATATTACAATGTAATAATAATAGAGATAAAGTACACAATAAATGGAATGCATTTGAATCATCCCGAAACCATCCCTACCCCTACTCTGGTCCATGGAAAAATTGGGGAAGAAGATGGGGACCGCTGGTCTATACCATCTAGGACTGTGTAAGTACACTCTAGGACAGTGGTCCCCTACCTTTTTGGAACCAGGGACCAGTTTCATGGAAGATAATTTTTCCATGGATGGACAGGGGGCGGGAGATGGTTTCAGGATGAAACTGCTCCACCTGAGATCATCAGGCATTAGTCAGATTCTCATAAGGAGCATGCAACCTAGATCCCTCGCATGTGCAGTTCACAATAGGGTTCACGCTCCTAAGAGAATCTAATGCTGCCACTGATCTGACAGGAGACAGAGCTCAGGTGGTCATGCTGGCTCACCTGCCACTCAACTCCTGCTGTGCAGCCGGTTCCTAACAGGCCACCAGACTGGTACCAGTCCATGGCCCGGGAATTAGGGATCCCTGCTCCAGGATGTTCACACAGTGATGAAATTGCCTAATGATGCCATTCTCAGAATGTATCCCCATTAACTGATGCATGACTGTATTCTATGAAACAAAGTTATGTGCTATTTTTAAGTCATATTAAATACAGCTATAACAATAGAATGGTAATATTGAAGTGCTTATGTTGCTCAAGCAGTGTGTTTACTGTCAAAATAGTTCTCATAGTATAGTAAGGCATTTGTAAAAATTATTCTTAGTCCCAATATTTGAACCTAAATGCAAAAAGATAAATTTTAAAATGACATCTTTGCTTACTGTTATTAAAATTTGACTTCTCTTACAGGTATTCAGGAAGGAACACAATGTACCAAATGTAAAAATAACTGGGCACTGAAGTTTTCTATCATATTATTATACATTTTGTGTGCCTTGCTAACAATCACAGTAGCCATTTTGGGATATAAAGGTAAGCATGCTTTCTTTTTTTTCTTCCAAATAACAAGTGTTCCTTCATTAATTTAAGCATGAGAAAACTCATATTTGCAAATACGAAGTATTTCATTCATACAACTCAGATGCAAAATAACAACATGATAAACTTCATCTCTGTATCTTAAACTTACAGCTATGAGATCTGAAAGGGGGGACATAGTAATTCCTTTTGACTCATTTCAGCAATAATCAGCGTCCTCTCTGAGAGTTATAAAGTTTTTTTTCCCTTGTTGCTTTTTTCTACCTATTTCTAGCTACTCCTTCTTCCTCTATTTTTTTTTCTTTCGTCCTATCTCTTGGAGGCTTTATGGAAACCCTGGAGTCAGCACACAGGAAAACTATATTGACAGAGAATAAGCAAAACACAAGATCTCCAGAGATACAACATACTTCACCCAGGGATCGGCCAACTAATTCCCTTTTTTCTCTGCAGCACATTCACTGTGGTCACTGTTGTTTATATAGCTCTATAAAAATACTGCCCTGTAGAAATTAAGCACAGAGGCAGCACTACCACCTCACCCTACTTTATAGGATGTTGGGCCTAAACATATCTGGTTTAGGGTAAGGGCAGGATTTTTGCCTGAATCCTCCAGACTTGCAGACACAGTAAGTTCCCCATGCACCTTTCAGAGACCATAGGTAGAAGGTGTCGTGATTCAGAATCACAAAACTACATAAGCCCTTTTCTAGAAAACAGCCAGGGAAACCTTCTTTAAAAGACACGTGAGGCAAACACGGCCATTTGGTTTCAGAACAGAGGCAGACGTGGAGTCTGTGGATCATCAGGTCTTCCCTCTGCTGTGTGGCCCACAGACTGACCCAGGAAAAGAAAGACTCCAAGTGAATTCCCTCCAACTGGTCATTCCTCCCACCTCTCTCCCAGCATGTAGCAGTTTCCTGAGAAAGCACAGTGTGTATTGGAATGAGATGGGTGTCAGGGCCAGACAGTCCAAGTTCAAGCCTTGATCCTACCATTTTTAATACAATTGTGAATGTTCAGTAAGTGCTTGCTACTGTGCCAGGGGTCATGCTATGTCTTCTGCATGGCTCCATACCCAGGTGTGAATCATAGCCTCTTAGAGCTTCTGATTTCTTATCTGCAAAATGGCAGTAATAATGCTACTTGTCAAGGTGTTTGGGATGAGCAAAGATGATGTAATTGAAGAATCTCTCCTATAGCTGGTCCCAGGAAATCATATCTGTATCTCTCTGTTCCTTGCTTCTTCCTAGCCACATTACACAGCACTAGCAGTTAGAATGGCAAAACCTGTCAAACATCCTCAGTACAGTCGGGACTTTTAGTCCCATCTCTAAGGCCATATACGTGGAAAATAATGTGCATCATTGAGTGTGTTGGCTGATTAGTTTGGACAATGGAAATCTGGAAAACTACCAGGTCGTTCTATCCATTTGTGATGAGTTAGACTGTGATCTAACCCAGAGCATCTTAAGTTTTTAGATGAAGCAGCAAACAGAGTAAGTGATTAAGGAAGGCTATTAAATCATGATTAGCGCTGGGCAGAGGTGGGGTGGGAAGCTGATGAGAGAAAGGAGGGTTTTCCATGTCCCAGGTAATCCGGACTATCTCTCTTCCTTTTGTTTAGATTATTTAGGTCATTACTCACTTCTCCATGACTTTTCCTAGTGAGCCAAGATAAAGGAGAAGCTTGAAATCAGCCATTTAATAAGTACTTTTAAGCCTCAGTACTGTGTAATCACATTTACTGCTAAAAGAGAGATGAGAGTGGTTTGGCAAATATATAACATGTTGTAATTTTTACCTGTGCTAGGAAATAAAGTCTGGGACATTTATGCATTCAGAATTATACAAAAAGAGTCAAAGAAGAGGCTTTTTTTCTCCTTTCTTTTTTTTCTGTTTGTTTGTTAAGGTACAGATATTTCCTCCCTTTTTATCCATGGAAAGCCCTTCCTGGCTCTGGCGTGTTGTGCGTGTGCTGGTCCATTTGCCCACAGCACCTTTTCTCTGCTCTCCAGCTAAAGTGCCTCCCTCCCACCCTTCATGTCTCATGTAGACACATGGCAGCTCCCGAAAGCTGAATTAGGCCCCTTCCTGTTTGTTCCCATAGCACCCAGCATTTACTCTTAGCCCCTGTCACACTGTGTCATTAGAGTCAGTGGACTTGTCTGTGTCACCACCCAAACTACGAGTTTCCATGAAGACAAGAGACTACCTTTTATTTATTATATCTCCCACCAGCACCTAGTCTCATGATATTTAACCATTGCCCAGGAAAGTTCACTGAATGAATTAATGGGAGGATGGATGGATGGATGGATGGATGGATGGATGGATGGATGGATGCATGGATGGATTGATGGATTGTGCATTAGGGCTGCCTTCCAGGAAGGCAAACAGCAGATGCTCAGGGACCTCTAAGCCAATCTGCATCTAGGGGATAGCTGCCCCTAAAAGCCCTGCCTGGAAACCTAATGTTTTGGAGATTGGCTTGGCCTGCTCTGTGGGGGCAGTCTCACCAAGATGAAGGAAGAAGAGATAATGGGGAGCAAGTACAAGGGGAAACGAGATGATGTCTTGCCCCTCTTTTCTTTCCTTCAGTGCCCCCCTCCTTCAGGCCTCCACTGACCAAAAAAAAGATAATACAACATGCACTTTTGCTTTCCAAACACACCATTAATGAACTAAAATGTTGATATTTTCCAGATGTGCTTTCTCTTTACTCACACAGTGACTCCTCTTTCTTGCTGGTAAGATTCTAGTGACCCAATGTTGTAAGAGGCAGAAAGATAAAACCCAGTTCTCCCTTCACACATTCCCCCTTTGAAGTCTAGAGAAACTCTCTCCGTTACAAAAGAAAGAAAGAAAAGAATATTCAATGAAAGAAACACAATAAGGCATTCCTCTGAAGGAGAAATCGAAAGGAAAGGAGTAAAAACTTTTATTTATCAGAGCTGGCAAAGGCAACTTCATACTGTTTTGCTCAAAATTGTTCTTTTCTTCTTTCATGTCACTTACATAGCCACAAGTTAGAATACAATGAGCTTCCATCAAGAGAATTTGCTGAAGAAGCCAGAGAATCGCTCAGTCACCCAGACAGGGTCTGTGCAGTGGTCGTGACTGTGAGGCGTATCAGCCACTTTGCAGAAAACATGTTCTTGGACAGTTGAGCTTGGTACATCCTCTGCCCCGGGCTTTTTATCATTAGTCAACAGAGCTTCCATAGCAGGAGTCATCTCTTAAGTTCAATGTGTCATGTTTCTTCCAGAATATTTCCTGAACAGGAAAATCCTACTCCATTATCCTTTCCAACAGGCAACCTTCTAAAGGTAATTAGGAAAAAGAAAAAAGACAGAAATCTGAATCTTTCTCAATAAGGATCTCCTTTAATTCAACATTCCTAGTCACTGGTAGTCTACTTTGCTGCTAAGCTGGGTCAGTGTAGCAGTTTACAACTGGATTACTATTTAGGCTTTCAAAATACACATCAAATCACACTGGAGAGCGCTTTAGGATCCAGGATAACACCCTACAATCAGATTTTCTGTATTTCTGTAAGGAAACCTAAAATGGTGTTCAAGGTAGAAATGCCTTTATTAAATTCCAGAGGAGTGTAACTAATGTTACTGGGAAGCCCCAGGTCCCAGAGAGAGGAAGTATTTATCCCACAGTGCCATGATCAGTCTGGTACAAAAACGTGTGAGCACCAGCTAGGAGCTCTGTGCTCTGTCCTCAGGGCCGAGACCATGGCCTGTGTCTCTTGAATCCTCAATGTCTAGCACTATGCCACCTACATGGCAGATACTTGGTAAATGTCTGGTGATGTTAACTTTAAAGAGAATATAAACAGAAATAATTCTTCCCCTTAAGGGATTCTTTATTGGAGGAAACCAGATTTAGGAAAAAGAAATACCAAAAGAGAGGTGATACGGAGTCATAGAAAGAGCATGGATTTTGGAGTTAAACCTTCCAGCCTGGTATCCCACATAGTCACTGACAAGCTGTGTGACTTTTTAGCAAGTTACTGAACATCTGTGAGCCTCAATCTCTTCATCTACAAAACAGCAGTTGGAAGGATTAACTGCAGTGATGGTGTAGTGCATCCGGCAAAGAGCAGGCACTCGATAAATAGAGGCTATTATTATTATCATTCAAATAAAGATCGAGTTGGTGTGCAGTGGAATCAACTTGTAGGTGTGGCTGAGTACAATGGGGTAGTGAGGTGTGGAGCGGACCTTCAAGGAGAAGTGGAGTCAAGACGAGGGAAGAAGAAGTTAGTGGCCCAGGCCAAGGGATGATACCGAAGTGCTTTTATAAAAAAGGTTTTATTGTCAGAGTATCCTAGAGAATTATACTTTGGATACTTGAAGAGGGACAGATCTTCAGGTATAATACCTGAAACACCAATATTCTGTAGAAAAATTCTACCTTAAGAAACAATTCCCAATACAGGAGAGCCTATGAGAAACCAGACTGCTGGTCACCCTTCTGTGTATCCTGCTCATTTTTCTCATGTGAGAATGGTCTGCAAACTGAGGTCTATGTCTATAGACTGGGAATTTCCAGGGTAATACAGGATGGCTCTGCGACTGTATTCCTGATTGAGAATTGGTGCTAATAAATTCAGAATAAAAGTCAATGAAAGTGCTGTGTGCTGTTACAGCAAGGGTAAGTTCTGGATCTCCACCAGTCTGGTATTTTTATGCAGTAGCAGGTTCCAGCATTGCAATCCTAACATTTCCAGCTTTATACCAGATCCTATTGTTAAACAAAGACACACACCCCCCAGTGCATGTAAACTGTTCATTAGCACTTGTGGGCAGGGAAAATAGTTTCCTTTTGCTGCACAGAAGAAAACGTCGACAGATTTTTTTTGTTCTTTTTTTTAATGAATGTATTTATCCCTTTTGTATTTATTCTACACAAACCTGAGTTATCTGTCCATGACAGTTCTCTGTTTTTCAAAACTAAAATGGAAGAAAAAGTAGAAAGGGTAGAAAATGACTGACTGTCAGCATATTTGAAGGTTTCTTTGGCTTCCAGGAAAGAAGGGCAGGACTTGAGATCCTGCATGTGGTTTGAGGACAGACCGAGGCATATGTTTTGATTTGAGGATCAAAACTGAACCTAAACCTGTAAACATTCTGTATTTTAGTTCTTAAAAATTAGCTTTGCTAAAAACACATATGCAACATTTTATTCTTGAGAGTTTCCAGGGATTTAGGAGTATGTGTACCTATGAAGCAACCCTAAGGTACAGATTATTAGAACTGCATCTCTCTGTCTATGTAGTAATTTTAAAAATAATAATTACTCAGCGAAATGTCATACTCACTGCCAATGCTCAGGCTTCCCTGGGTTGGTTGGGAAACACGTGTTTGCTTGCCCTGTAGCTCAGCCGGCAGATTGCTACTTATTTAAATAAATCCCTCATTCCTGTAATCCTAGCACTTTGGGAGGCCAAGGTGGGCAGATCATCTGAGGTCAGGAGTTCGAGACCAGCCTGGCCAACATAGAGAAACCCCATCTCTACTAAAAATACAAAAATTGACGAGTTAATGGGTGCAGCACACGAACATGGCACATGTATACGTATGTAACAAACCTGCACGTTGTGCACATGTACCCTAAAACTTAAAGTATAATAAAAATACAAAAATTAGCCGGGCGTGGTAACAGGCTCCTGTAATCCCAGCTACTCGGGAGGCTGAAGCAGGAGAATCACTTGAACCTGGGAGGCGGAGGTTGCAGTCAGCTAAGATCATTCCATTGTACTCCAACCTGGGCAACAAGAGTGAAACTCCGTCTAATAAAAAATTAAATAAATAAATGACATAATAAATATATATTCATTGACTACCTACAAAGTGCCACACACTGAGCTAAGAGGAAGAGATGGAATTGAATGTAAATTTTCCTGCCCTAAAGGATATAATAGTAGATAAGTCATGACAGCACAGTGCAGTGAGTCCCATAATAGAGAAAGGACTACTTGCCAGGGGAATTCTGCAAGGTGCACCTCGGCAAAGGGTTCCCACAGGAAGTGACAAGCAGAGTCTTGAAGAGCAAATAGGACTTAGCTCAGTAAAAAAAAAAAACAGGGAAGAACATTCTAGGTAGAGAGAACACATGGAAAGGCTCGTGTGAGAGAGTGTTTGTCGCAGTGCACACATTTCATTATGACCAGACGGTAGAAGCTTGAGGGAAAACAGTGAGCTTCTCCAGGGACAATTCCAGGATCCAAGGAGCCAGTTCACTTTGGGTCACACAAACACATGGGAACTTACTACTTCTTCCTGAGAGGAGCCAGGAGAATCTCACACAGTCATGCGTGGGTAGAACATGTGATGAATACAATAAATTAGATCCGTTGGCTCATAATTGATATATAAAGCATGTTCTCATTTTTTGAAGTCTTTTTTTTTTTTTTTTTTGAGACAGAGTCTCGCTCTGTTGCCCAGGCTGGAGTGCAATGGCGTGATCTCGGCTCACTGCAACCTCCACTTCCCAGGTTCAAGCAATTCTCCTGGTTCCACCTCCCAGGTTCAAGCAATTCTCCTGCCTCAGCCTCCTAAGTAGCTGAGGTTACAGGCGTGTACCACCACAACCGGCTAATTTTTGTATTTTTAGTAGAGATGGGGTTTCACCATGTTGGCCAGGCTGGTCTTGAACTCCTGAGCTCAAATGATCCACCCACCCCAGCCTCCCAAAGTGTTGGAATTACGGGCGTGAGCCACCATGCCCGGTCTGAAGTCTTTTTTTTTAAGCTATTGATACTAAGAAGGACAGTCAGACTTGATCCCAAGCTGCTAGAAGCTGTATCTCACATAAATCACTTTTGGAGAAACATCCTCTTATTTAACATTTTAGAAACGTGTACTTGAATTCATAACTGTAGAGAATTACTGCCTTCTGAAAATGAATAAGAACTGAAGCTTTTATTTAGTGTGGCTGTATTAGTCCGTTCCCATGCTGCTGATAAAGACATACCCGAGACTGGGAAGAACAAGAGGTTTAACTGGAATTACAGTTCCACATGGCTGGGGAGGCCTCAGAATCATGGTGGGAGGCAAAAGGCACTTCTTACACGGCAGCAGCAAGAGAAAGTGAGAAAGATGAAAAAGTGGAAACCCATCAGATCTCGTGAGACTTATTCACTACCATGAGAACAGTATGGGGGAAACCGCCCCCATGATTCAAATTATCTCCCACTGGGTCCTTCCCACAACACATGTAAATTCTGGGAGATATAATTCAAGATGAGATTTGGGCGAGAATACAGCCAAACTGTATCATTCCACCCCTGGCCCCTGCCAAATCTCATGTCCTCACGTTTCAAAACAAATCATGCCTTCCCAACAGTCCCACAAAGTTTTAACTCATTTCAGCATTAACCCTAAAGTCTGCAGTCCAAAGTCCCATCTGAGACAAGGCAAGTCCCTTCCGCCTATGAGCCTGTAAAATCAAAAGCAAGCTAGTTACTTCCTAGATACAATGAGGGTTACAGGTATTGGGTAAATATAGCCTTTCCAAATGGGAGAAATTGGCCAAAACAGAGGGGTTACAGGCCCCATGCAAGTTCAAAGTCAGCAGGGCAGTCAAATTTTAAAGCTCCACAATTATCTCCTTTGACTCCAGGTCGCACATCCCGGTCATGCTGACGCAAGAGGTGGGTTCCCATGGTCTTGGGCAGCTCCACCCCTGTGGCTTTGCAGGGTACAGCCTCTCTCCCTGCTGCTTTCATGGCTGGTGTTGAGCATCTGTGGCTTTTCCAGGTGAACGGTGCAAACTGTCAGTGGATCTACCCTTCTGGGGTCTGGAGGACGGTGGCCCTCTTCTCACAGCTCCACTAGGCAGTGCCCCAGTAGGGACTCTGTGTGGGGGCTCCGACACCACATTTCCCTTCCACACTGCCCTAGCAGAGGTTCTTCATGCACATCCCACCCGTGCAGCAAACCTCTCCCTGGGTATCCAAGAGTTCCCATACATCCTCTGAAATCCAGGCGGAGGTTCCCAAACCTCAATTATTGATTTCTGTGCACTCACAGGCTCAACAACACATGAAAGCTGCCAAGGCTTGAGACTTGCACCCTCTGAAGCCACGGCCCCAGCTCCACATTGGCCCCTTTCAGCCATGGCTGGAGTGGCTGGGAAGCAGGGCACCAAGTCCCTAGGCTGCACACAGCATGGGGACCCTGGGCCTGGCCCACGAAACCATTTTCTCCTGGGCCTCCAGGCCAGTGATGGAAAGGGCTGCCAGGAAGGCTCTGACATGCCCTGAAGACATTTTCCCCATTGTCTTGGGGGTTAACATTTGGGACGGCAAGAGAAAATTAGAAAGATGCAAAAGTGGAAACCCCTGATAAGACCATCAGATCTTGTGAGACTTATTCACTACCACCAGAACAGTATAGGGGAAACCACCCCCATTATTCAAATTATCTCCCACCAAGTCCCTCCCACAACACATGGGAATTAGGGGAGTATAATTCAAGGTGAGATTTGGGTGGGGACACAGCCAAACCCTATCAGTGGCATTACTTTCCCTATCATATGCAATCAAGAAAATACTACCAAAAAATACTTCTTGGCAAATCATTGTTTGGAAACACCACTCAGGCATCTACTTGAGAACTGACAAACTACAGAATCAGTTGTCACTAACAAAAAGCAGATTTTCAGGGCCTTGTGGTGGAACTCATAACAGAAAGTGGCAGACACTCTTGACTTTGCAACCTTTCTATGCCGATTTTGTGTATAGAATTGAGCTGGGTTTTCCTTGCCAATGGAATCCTCTTCTAGGTAAATGAGTCCCACCTGCCAAGAATGTTAGGGAAGCTGATGAGTGACAACATTTTGTAAATTATCACAGTGTGCCTTGCCTTCATCTATGGAAATTAATATAGGAAATAGCAGATTAGGGACTTCTAAAATGCATGAAAATTTTTAAATTAGTTCCAAATGATTTCTGAAACATCCAAGGCATTACAGAATCATAAGAATAGTTAAGAACATACAATTCTCAACTAAGTAAATTGTACCCCTGGGTTTTGTGACAAGTAAGTTATTTTTCCAAAAAGATGGCTTTTCTTTCCTATATTTGATTTCAGTTACACTGTTTTCGTTCAATCTGTTTCCTTTGTTCCATAATGAAATGATCTCTTGTTTTGAAACTGAAAAATAAAATATGAGCAGATATGTATACTAATGCATCATTTTCCAAATCTTAGTTGTAGAGAAAATGGACAATGTCACAGGTGGCATGGAAACATCTCGCCAAACCTATGATGACAAGCTCACAGCAGTGGAAAGTGACCTGAAAAAATTAGGTAATCTGTGACAAGACTAAACCATGAAATCCCCTGACTCTACATAAATGACCACAGCTTCTTAGAATGATGTTGCTATAAACTCCCCATTCACCCGGAAGGACATTCAATTTTTGTGTTGCATGTTGAGTCTCCCCTCATGATTTAATTCAAATGCTTAAATTTTAAAGTTAAGGGTCAGTTTTGGAATTAAGTCCTGCCAAGAAAACTATTATGTGCCAAATAATATCTGAAGATCAATCCTGACTGAAAAAAAACACAAATACCCTTTATTAAAAACTGTCACATAAATAGGAATTTACTGAGCATTTTTGAAATACTTTAAACTACATAGAATTGTAGAAATTAAGTTATAAA
Organism: Homo sapiens; assembly: GCF_000001405.40. NCBI lineage: Eukaryota > Metazoa > Chordata > Mammalia > Primates > Hominidae > Homo > Homo sapiens. The sequence goes on along the minus strand of NC_000018.10, from coordinate 347,707 downwards.
GTGAAAGATCCTAGCATATTCTATTCCTTGATTTTTGCTTTCATTAAAAAAAAATTTGGGAAATTTAAAAGGTTAGTTTCTTCTTGACAGCCTGCCCACTGCCCTAAAATCTAGTAAATTCCCCCTCCCTCTTTGAGAAAAATGTTCAGCCAAGTTTGTCATTCCTAGTTCTGAGCTTCTTTTCCGATTCCCCAGGACCCAGTTTTAATAGATATGTACATTTTACTAATGCAGAGCTGTCCGCTTATACTGCCAATTTTGCATCTAAAATACAGTGCATACCGATTAAGTGTGTTCGGGATCTTTGGCCTTGCCTGAACACTTCTCCATACCACCAATATAAGTCACAGATATTTCTTATTCCAGGTGACCAAACTGGGAAGAAAGCTATCAGCACCAACTCAGAACTCTCCACCTTCAGATCAGACATTCTAGATCTCCGTCAGCAACTTCGTGAGATTACAGAAAAAACCAGCAAGAACAAGGATACGCTGGAGAAGTTACAGGCGAGCGGGGATGCTCTGGTGGACAGGCAGAGTCAATTGAAAGAAACTTTGGAGAATAACTCTTTCCTCATCACCACTGTAAACAAAACCCTCCAGGCGTATAATGGCTATGTCACGAATCTGCAGCAAGATACCAGCGTGCTCCAGGGCAATCTGCAGAACCAAATGTATTCTCATAATGTGGTCATCATGAACCTCAACAACCTGAACCTGACCCAGGTGCAGCAGAGGAACCTCATCACGAATCTGCAGCGGTCTGTGGATGACACAAGCCAGGCTATCCAGCGAATCAAGAACGACTTTCAAAATCTGCAGCAGGTTTTTCTTCAAGCCAAGAAGGACACGGATTGGCTGAAGGAGAAAGTGCAGAGCTTGCAGACGCTGGCTGCCAACAACTCTGCGTTGGCCAAAGCCAACAACGACACCCTGGAGGATATGAACAGCCAGCTCAACTCATTCACAGGTCAGATGGAGAACATCACCACTATCTCTCAAGCCAACGAGCAGAACCTGAAAGACCTGCAGGACTTACACAAAGATGCAGAGAATAGAACAGCCATCAAGTTCAACCAACTGGAGGAACGCTTCCAGCTCTTTGAGACGGATATTGTGAACATCATTAGCAATATCAGTTACACAGCCCACCACCTGCGGACGCTGACCAGCAATCTAAATGAAGTCAGGACCACTTGCACAGATACCCTTACCAAACACACAGATGATCTGACCTCCTTGAATAATACCCTGGCCAACATCCGTTTGGATTCTGTTTCTCTCAGGATGCAACAAGATTTGATGAGGTCGAGGTTAGACACTGAAGTAGCCAACTTATCAGTGATTATGGAAGAAATGAAGCTAGTAGACTCCAAGCATGGTCAGCTCATCAAGAATTTTACAATACTACAAGGTAAGTCAAAATTCTGAATTTGTATTTGTATTAGTTGTTTATTGCTGCATAACAAGTTACTCTAAAACTTGGCAATTTAAAACAATAAATATTCATCATCTCATAGTTTTTGTGGACCAGGAATTCAAGAGCAGCTTAGCTAGATGGTCCTGACTCACTGTTTTTCATGAGGTTGTGTCAAGATCTCAGCCAGAGCTGCAGTCATCTGAAGGCTTGACTGTGGCTGGAGGGTCTGCTACTTAAGTGGCCTGTTCACATAGCTCTTGGCAGGAGGCCTCAGTTCCTTGCTGTGTGAAATTGCTTGAGTGTCCTCACAATGTGGCAGCTGGCTGCTGCCAGAACAAGGAATTCAAGAGAGAGAACAAGAAGGAAGATACCATGACATACTAGCCTCAGAAGCCACACACCATCACATCCACTTCATTCTGTTTCTTAGAAATAAGTCACTAAGTCCAGCCCACACTCAATGCAAGTGGAATTAAGTTCCACATCTTGAAAAGAAGTGTAACTAAGAATCTGTGGACAGTACTTAAAGGGACTCCATTAATTATTTGTTGAGTGAAAGGTTGGTTAATTTGAATTTTCTTGGTCCTTGAGCTATTTCAATGCAATATAAATCAAGCTCCTCTGAAAGCAAGATCAAGTCTTTTGGGTCACAAAGCTACCATTAAGGGAGTTACATGTCATGAGTAGATGAATGGTTGGCCATCACAGTAACACAGAGGTCACAGTAAGGTCACAGAGGAAGGAAACGATGTGTCTTGCTTATAAAATCTGAGTTTTGGTAGGTGTGCTGGCTCATGCCTGTAATCTTAACACTTTCGGAGGCTGAGGTGGGAGGATCGCTTGAGACCAGGAGTTTGAGACCAGCCTGGGCAACATAGCAATATCCCATCTCCTAAATAAACAAATAAATGAATGAATACATACGTATAATCTGAATTTTACTGTTATCCAGATCATCCATATAAATTAAAAGTCCTTGACTCAGACTAAGTCCACAGTTGAAGAATTGTAGCATCATATATTAACAGTATTTTCCAGTCACAAACTATTTTCACAGGTTTTAAGTTGAAAGTACTGGTGGAAGATGCTGTGCTCAGCAGTCTGGGGTATACAAATGAAACCAACGGTCCTCACCCTTAGGGAGTTTAACATAAAGAGAATTTCAGGGCATCAGAAGATGGGCTGTAAGCAAACATTCAAGGGGAAGGGATTACACAAGGGCCTGAGTCACTAGGGGCCACCTTGGGGTATGTCCCCCACACTGGTCTAATAATCAAGGGTAAAGAGTGGTAGTTAATAAGCCCCTGTGAGGCTGAAGGCAGATCCGGATAGCAGATGGCAGGACTCTGTTCAATAGCTTTGTCAGTGACTAGCATGGATGACCTGCTAAAGCAATGCTTGTGTGACTTGAAACTGTATATGCCAGCCAGTGGCTGATAGACTCATAATCCACAATGATCTAGAGAGGCCAGGATAGTATCAAGATGTCAATCAAATGAAGTAGATAGGAATACATGTAAAATCCTGCTCATAAATGGATGAGACAAAACAGATAAATGTTGATGGGAAGGCATGGCTGGAAGGAAGTGTGCATGAAGCATGGGGATTTTAGTTGACTGGAAGCAGTGAAATATGTCTTCCAGGGAAGGGAATGTGTTCCTTGACTGTGGACTGTGTTAAGAAAAAGGGAAGTAACATCTGACTCTGTTCAGTATGCCAAGACCACCTCTGGAAGATAATGTTTACTTTGAGTAGCCCCTTTCAAAAGAGACATTCCCAGACCAGCATGCTCAGAAAAGCAACATCAGAATGATAGGGGCTAGAAACCACGTACTGTGAGGAAGGGTTGAGGACCTGGGAGCTTTCACCCCTAGGAGAGCCTGTTCAGTGGAGAACAAGACAGCCATCTGCACTTATTTAAAGTTGCTCTGTCTGAGGAATGCCACTGGGTGAAACAAGACTAGTGGGTGTTCACTAAGGGAAGATCAATTTTGGTTTTACAGAATGTTCCTCATAAAATGGGTATTAGCTGAAAATATAATGGCTCCCCTACTCAATCAGGATGCCCCAGCTCTGGAGGGGCTGGACAGTTGCAGGTCAGGGATATGGTAGGTGTGAGTCTTACTCTGAAAAAGGGGTAGCCCTTCAAATGATTTAAAAAAAAATTCTTAGACAATCTTATCATGGTATTCTGGATATTTTCTAGTTATTAATTTTATAGTTTTATTATTTCATTAATTTAATTGTTACCTTGTCTTCAGTTATTTAGTTTATAGACAGCGTGGCTTATCAGCCAAGTAAGGACATGAAAAGCTAGTATTTGAAGGTGAGACCCTGAGTGTTTAAGTTAATGTTTCTATTGTTAGGATTCTTTTATCAGCTAGTATTGAAAGTGAATGTACTGAGCACTTTTCACCAACGTCCCAATGAATCCTGACAGCAGCTCTATGAAGCAGCTACTTACAATGTCATCGCCAGTTTATAGACGAGGAAATTAAGGCTTAGAAGGTTTGAGTAACTTGCTGAGGTTTACACAAGTAAAAAGTAGCTCAGTGGAATCCGAGCCCAGGCCGTCTGGTGCCAAACCTGATGCCATTAACTCCAAGGATAGTCACCGAAAGTGTGTGCCCCTCCCTACGGTACCCGGTCACCCCAGAGAGAGCCTAGAAGGTCAGGGAGTTGGGATTTTATTCTAAGCGTGAGGGGGAGGTTTTAAGCAAGGTGTTGAGATGATCTGCTTTATATTTTCACAAGGTCACTCTGGGGGCTGCGAGGAGAATAGAGAGCAGGGAGGGGTCACCGAGAGCACGGACCAGCTGTTGGTGACTTGGCCTAGAATGCTGGCAGTGGAGAAGGGAGAAGTGGGTACCCTCATTCAGGAGGAGAGTTGGAGATAGAATCAAGGGCATCCCTTTCCTTGCCCTGACAACAGGGACCCCAGCTTTAGGAGGTCCCGGCCGGCCTCCCCCACCTGAGCCTTGCTGAGGTGAGGAGTCCTCGGCCTCAAGGTGCTGTGAGTATTCAGAGCCCACACCAACCCCTGCTTGTCCATGTTTGTGCCCAGGACCCTGGAATTCCCTACCCAATGTGCCCAGAAGCAAAGGGGCAGCCAAGAGGCACTTGTGTGTTGTAGGGATTGGGGGTGATGTAGACAGAAATTGAACACATGGTAGGGGGTTGGTGTGAGTGTCTGGACGAGACTGGCAGGCAGGACCTGCTGATGGATTGGCTGTGGGGAGTGAGTGAAAGAGAGGAACAGGATGTTTCCTAAGTCTCTAGCATGAGCAGTGAGGTGGATGGTGATACAGACTGGGGAGCTGCAGAAAAAGAGGCCCATGTAGACACGTTAACAGGATGATGTCTATTATAATAGAATGAGGTTTCCGACTCATGGAAAAGCATATGTGATAAAGAAAATCTCAATTCTGAAATCAGGCTCCAAGGTGTTTCAGAGACACTATCACATTTATCACTGGTCTTGTTGTTCACTGCACTTTCTGTGAGTTGATCTGAGAAGCTTCCCAAGCCAACCAAGCTGCTCCCTTTCTATTCATTCTATTCCACTGCCTCCAGACCAGCAATGCCCAGCAGGTATTCTAAGGGAACGAGAGACTGAGGGGAAGAAGGAACTCCATTTCTGAATGCAAGTGTTTTCTTCCACACCTTTTCTCTCTAGCACCTTTCCCTTTCTGTACATGCAGATCTCATCCCAGAGGATGAAGGGCAGATGGATAAAGCAGGATGGATTAACGTTGGCTTATGTGGGGCTGGCATCTGCAAGATTCAAAATAATCTGATGCTTTCCGGAAAATTCCTGTTGACTCGCACTTGATGAACCCCAGTGCTCACTGTCCAGTTCAGCCATATAGACATTTGCCGCATTAGGAATTGGGAGCTGAAGCTGACTGACTGTGCCGAAGGCAGATGATAGTGTAGAGATAGATGTTCACAGTATCTCTACATCCATCAACCAAGAAGCCTTGTTAAGAAAACCTTATTTTTTGGGAGTTTGCAACCAGCCTGACCAACATGGAGAAACCCCATCTCTACTTAAAAATATAAAATTAACCGGGCGTGGTGGCACATGCCCGTAATCCCAGCTACTTGGGAGGCTGAGGCAGGGGAATCACTTGAACCTGGGAGTTGGAGGTTGTGGTGAGCTGAGATCTCACCATTGCACTCTAGCCTGGGCAACAAGAGTGAAACTCCGTCTCAAGAAAAAAAAGAAAAAAGAAAACCTTATTTTTTGATAAAAATCATATAAAGATTTTTATTCTAATTATGTACACAGAAGACTTCTCACACATGCTTCTAGGTACAAAGATCACTCCACCTCCTGGGCTGTTCCTCTGCAAGCTAAGGAAAGCATCAGTTGCATCCTTCCTGTACAATCAGACATCTTCCCTCTCTGCTCTTCCGAGAGTCATCAGATTTAATGAGTGAGAACAAGAGCTCTGGAATCAGACAGAGCTGGATTCATGTACCAAGTTCCTCATCCTCTCAGTGCCTCTGTTTCCTCATCTGTGTGTACCTTTTAGAGTTATGAGGATCCAAAGATGTAATATAAAGAAAGTACTTAATGCAGTGTCTAGAGTGGGGTCAGCATAACACCCAAATGTAAATAAGGTCACTTCCTTCAAAGCTTTCCCTTCTGCTGCAGCTGTAGCCAGTACATTACAGTGGAAAACAAAACAGCTTCATATGCACAAAGAATAAAATCACACAGGTGGGGTTAAGGATGATTTGAGTCTAAAAGTGCTTACTGCTGGATTTCTAGTGCCCAGCCTTAGAGATGAATCAGACCCCAGGATGCTGACATCTAGCTAGCTTTCACTCATTTTCTCAGTCCACATTTCTGGGGTGTCTATGCTATGCCAATCACGCTGCTAAGCACTTGGATAAATTATCAGCTTTCATTGTTACAACTCTTTAAGGGAGGAGTTATTGACATTCCCCATTTGCGGGGGAGGGAACTGAGACGCAGAGAGCCTGAGTAACTTACCCAAGGCCAAACAACTAGTAAATGGCAGACAGTGCCAAACTCAGGTCTGTCTAGTTGCAAATTCATGCTTCCACCATGAATAGATGACATGTTTGGGGAGGTGGAAATGACAGAGAGTTTACTGACAGCAGAGCAATTGGTTAAAGTTTCAATAGGGATTGACATTTCAGCTGAAACTTGAAAGGTGCACATGAAGGTTGACGGGACAGGGGACAGTGCAATGTGGGTCAGGCAGGGGCCTCAGTTCCTCCCATTGCCAACCACTCCCTCATGCTACACTTCCCCAAACAAGACGGCATGACTGGAGATCCTGGAGAGCATCCATTAACAGGCTCAGAAGCAGACCATGGACAATTGGCAAGAAACAGTGGTTAAATACACCCTCCTCTGTGGACAAGGTGCTTCCAAGGCTTTCCAAAAGCCCAACTGTATTTCTTTTTAATCTGTACATTCCTTTTCACCTCAGTGAAGCGCAATGACTTTTTCCTATGGTAGGCATTTAATAAATATTTGATTAAGTGCATTCAAAGTAGATTTTTAAATGAGAAGAAAAACGTATCAGATTGTATCACTGTTTTTCCTCTACCTTGTCTATCTTCCAATCTTACCACCAGTGGGTCTTAACATTGAGTCTCTAAGATTTTGGATGGCAGTAAGAATTAAAGTGGTTTCTCTTCCTTTTGTTAAGCACCGGGAGTTTTGTTGGAAAACACATTTGAAACTTCTCTTGGGTAGGAAACTGGGCTGGGCACTTCTCAGGCCTACAGTTTGGTTTGCCAAAGCACAAACAGCACAGTGATTTAAAGTCTTCCATCCTCTTTGAACTGCTTATTTAGAAAATTCAGGTTTTCAAGGCTCCCAGAACCGTGGGCCTGGGGACCGTGGGGTAGAGGTGTCACTGACAGCACAAACCCCGGGCTGCTTGGAGCTCTGGTATTGTTCATATTCAGGCATCTCTGGAGCTTGTGACAGCTTTACCAGCCGCGTGGGTATCCTGGCATTTCAGAAACCCGAGCCAGTGAGCCACCCGTACTTGGCCTTGACATTGAGTTAAAATTTCAGTCAGTTTGAAAGCAAACCTCAAATGTCCTTCCACGTAGGACATCACATGTGTTTCCACATGCGGCGTTGCTGTTTTCTCAACTCTGAATTCAAGTTGTTGCTGCACAAGCTCATAAACACTCTGTTCTTTTTGTTTTTTTTTTTTTTTTTGCTTTCAGGCACTAAGGGTAGCTTCTATTTTATTTCATTATTTCATTTTATTTTCACCTTGACAGCTGCCCAATAAAAGATTCAAGTGCAACCTCAAAGCCTGAGATCATCCAGATGCTAATCAGCAGTGCCAGCATCCCGGGTCCTAGAGGAAAACCAACCCTGGCATTAATAATCTACTTTTTTATGAGGAGCCAGTATTGACTTTTTAAATGGCTTTAGCTCTTCTTCTCAATGATTTTTTTAAAGGAAAAAAAATCCAGGAAATTTCTAGCCTGTCTTAATGAGCCAAAGTAGATTATGTGAATCTCCTGATCTATAAGACACATAGAATATGTTTTGACCTAACCCAGCATCTGAGGGCAGAGAGTGCCAGCTCCTTTGTGGTTTTTGGAAGGCTGGGGCAGCTGTAATGGAAGACACCAATCACAGTGGGCTTGCCAGTTTAGCCACAGCCAGGAATATTAAGCCTTATCTGATTAAGAGAAAGACAGGTAACCTATTTAGGATAGATGTAGTACTTCGGATGGGGAAATTTGCTGGGAAGTCAATCACAAGTAGAACTGGAGATCTTTATCAACGGCAAAAACGTGCATTTCCCCCCGATATTTACTCCCTTCCTTCACAAGATCTGGAGATTAGCACCTGCTGAAATCTTGTGCTGTCTGTGGGATCCACGTTTGAGGTCATTCTTCACGTAAGCCACAACTTACACATTGACTGGGTGGGGAGATTCAATAGCCACTTCCAGTCCAGAGGAAAATAGCTGAACACCATAAACTACCCTACCCCAGAAAGAAATAGGATGAATGAAAAGCTGTCACCCCAGGTGAGGGAGGCCTTGGATTCATGTCAGGAGAGGAAGGGAGAGTTGTATCTTTGGAACTCTGTCACAAGCTAGAAGAAGGTGTTCTGGAAGAAATACAGCTCCCCCCACCAGCAGTCTGTCTGAGCAGACACAAGCCTGTGATCAGTCCCTCTTTCATGGTCACAGGTAAACTCATTTCCCATAACTTGCAAGGATAGCACCAACCCCAGATGTGAGTGATGGAGAAACACAAATTATCAGCAAAAAAAAAAAAAAAAAAAATTAAGACAATAAGGCTAAAGATTATTTCTTAAAACACTTGAATTTCCCAATATGCCATCTTCATTATTTGGATTTCCTAAAGTTCAACACAGAACATAAGTAAAACAGAAATAGTTGAGAAAAAAGTTTATTTTAATTTTGCAGTTACTCCACATACACTAGAATTTTTTGTTTTGTTTTGGCCTAAATTGTCAGTATTTTTTCCCTAGAACTATCCATAATGCTACGTCCATTGTGGCGGAACATACGTGACACCTTCACCACTATTCATCTCTGGGATGCTATTTCCCAACTACACAGAGGCACTAAGTTACTTTTTTAAAGGAGATAGATCTGGCAGCAAAAAGTCTACCTTCCCGATCTTTACTAAATGGCATAGGCTATTTAGGTGAGCCAGACCAGGTTAGGCAGAAAAAAAAGTCCAACTGTGGATGTGGAGACCCACTGGATTAATTCATGAGGGTCAGTAGCAAGGAAAGATGGATCTCCTTATGATTATTTCGTAGTGGCAGTCACAGCCCACCTGATACAGAGATTATAAGATGCGGGGCACCAGGCAGGTCACCCTTCCCCAAAAACCTGTCCCTACTGATCTCACCTGGGGCACAAATTGTGAGCGTTAGAGTGCTGGACTTTTTAACCATGATGCGCATGTATTTGATAAACACTTGCTTAATAGTGACTGTGAGCCAGACCCTACAAGGGGCTAGACATGGAGAAGGGTCTTGAGTAGAACAAACAAGGACTAAAAGATTAGAGAAGAAGAGAAAACTTCCATCTGAAGTGGCCTGGGAGGATGCCAGGAATTTTGCAGAAGGACATGGGCAGAGGAAATTGTCGGAGAAGAGATGTGTGGAAAATACAGAGGAGGATGGAATAAACACAGGCGAGACTAGGTTGGGAGGAGCCTTCATGCCAGACTGATCAGGTGGGGCTGCATATTCTTGAGCAAGTGGAGATCAGAGCTGGGCTTAAGGAAGACAAAAGTCAGAGTGGAATGAATGGAGAGGAATCACAGGTAGGAAGATCAATTAAGAAGTTACTGTGAACACCTTCCAAAAAAGACAGAGAGAGGTGGGAAGAAGAGAGCCCACACTAGGGTCATGACCAGGGTCAGGGCGAGGAAAAGAGGGTTGTGGCAATGTGGTGGGAGAAGGGATGATGGAAGGAGAACACGCACAGCAAAGAGACAAGAAGTTCAGCTGTAGACACGCAGGTTAGAGGTGCTGGCGGAACCTGAGAAAATGGACCCTTCACTAGCGGGTGCAAATAAGGACCCAGAGCCCAGGGTTGCTGAAGACAAGGAGGAGTCAACAGGAGCTGTGGGCAGAGGTCAGTGACATGGGTCTAGGTAGAAGTGAGTTCATCCCTAAGTCTTCTAAAGTCTCCCATTTATGGAGCAGATAACACTAGAAAGAATGCATTTAGGCCAGTCCTTGCCATTAGCGTAAACTCTCTTTACCACTGGAAGAGGGTCCTGCTTATAAATCTGTGAGCAAGATATGGGTAGCCTTACGTAAGCAAATTAAGTCCAGAGCCTAAGCTTCTGCTAAGAGAGAACACAGACGGATTGGCTTGACTGGGAGCCATGGATATTAGGGTACAGAAGACATCCATCAAGACCTGGGTTGGGAAGGAGACAGGGAGATCCCCCTACAGAGGTAGGAAGGTCCTGTCCTCAGACCAATGGGAGAGGGAGGCCAAGGAGCAGGAGGGATAAAGGAACTTAGGGTAGATCTGCCATCCATCCTCCATTGCTCCAGCACTTCTATCCTTCTAACTTTAGAGGCTTTCTGCTTCTGTAGAAAAAGTAAGGCCAGGCACAGTGGCTCACACCTGTAATCCCAGCACTTGGAGAGTCCGATGGGGGAGGATCGCTTGAAGCCAGGAATTCGAGGTCAGCCTTGGCAACACAGTGAGAGCCCTATCTCTACAAAAACATTAAAAATTAAAAAAAAAAAAAGCAGGCAATGTGGCACAAGCCTCTAGTCCCAGCTACATGGGAGGAAGCTGAGGTTGGAGGATTGCTTCAGCCCAAGAGTGCAAAGTTGCAGTGAGCTATGATCATGCCACTCTCCTCCAGCCTGGGTGACAGAGTGAGACTGTCTCTAAAAAAAAAGAGTGAGACTCTGTCTCTAAAAAAAGAGAGAGAGAGATTAAGTGTGGCCTTTTACTTATTCATGCAGAATTGTGAGATTTCAGAAACTCTAAGATTCATTCATTTCAACATCAGAAGACCTGAGTTCATGCCCCAGCTCCACTACTAGATTGTGACTGACCATGTCTTACTCTCCTTGGTATCTGTTCCTAGTAGCTAAGTATCCTCGAACAAATAGTTTGGCATCTCTGGCCCTACATGTCCTCATTTATGCAATGAGAATTCTACCGCACAGGCAAGGTCAGGTGGCATAATGTATGTGAAAGTACCCTGAAAATTGTCATTCACTATACAGTTCCTGGTAGGAGATTATTTGTGTGAAATTTCCTGTTACCCCTGAGAAATTAAAGAAAGAAAAACAATCCTGTGTTACATGGGCCTCTTTGTGGGATAATGGGGATGAGCAGTATTCGCTTTTCTTCCCAATTAGATGGTCCACATACCTTTTTTCTCTAGCCTACCTTCCTTATGTGTATTATTAGACTTACAAACCCACCCAGAGAGTTTGGACACCTGTCCACAATGGGCAGCAAAGTCCCACCAGGCTTTCCCACAGAGACCTCCCGTCCCTCTGAGCTGGCCCATGGGTGAGTGAGGCCCAGCCCTAAGGACAGCAGCACCCCCACAGCTTTGGTGGACAGCACAGGCATGCCAGCTGGGGTACAACAGAGAGGAAGCTTACAGGGAAGTTATAGGCTTGGTTATGGGGAGAGAATTAATACATCAATCTCCTTCAGTTCTTTATCCCACAATACCTTAACACGGTGCTTGTCATATAAGCCTTTAATAAATATTTACCAAATTAAGGACAAGAGGAAATAAGTAAGAGGAAATCCTGATCCTGGTCTACACAACTTTCCTGCTGATGACAACACAGGCCCAGGTGACTAAGAGAACCCAGTTTAATCATGTGAGTCACTGTGAAGAATAAGCCCCTGGCTGTCAGTGTCACCATGAAGGACATCAGTGGGGCACTAAAACGTTGTGCACTGTTACAATACATTCTAAAAGCTTGAAGAAGAAGGGTGAGCTTACTGAAGAACACACAGTATATTGGCTTGCTTGGGCTGCCATATACACAGTACACAGTACACGGACTGGGAGGCTTAAACAACAGACATTTCTTTCCTTACGGTTCTGGAGGCCGCAAGTCCAAGATCAAGGTGTCAGCAGTGTTGTTTCCTCCGAGGCCTCCCTCCTTGGTTTGCAGGAGTCCATCTTCTCCCTGTGCCCTCAAGCGATCTTTCCTCTATGTGTCTGTGACCTAATCCCCTCTTCTTTAAGTACACCAGTCCTATTGGATTAGGGTCACTCATGTCACCTCGTTTTAACTCGATGACCTCTGTAAAGGCCGTGTCTCTTAATAAGTCCCATCCTGAGGTGCTGGGGGTTAGGACTTCAGCATAAGAATTTGGAGGAGGACATAATTTAGCCCATAACAGTCTACAGTAGTATGATAAACAGATGGTCTTTCCCTGCTGTATATACTTTGTATGCTAGGTTTTTTTAATTTGGAGATTTTATAAGAAGAAAAATTATTCATAACTATCATTCACAGTGGATTTCATGTTGACACCTTTTTCTTTTATGCTTTAGGTCCACCGGGCCCCAGGGGTCCAAGAGGTGACAGAGGATCCCAGGGACCCCCTGGCCCAACTGGCAACAAGGGACAGAAAGGAGAGAAGGGGGAGCCTGGACCACCTGGCCCTGCGGGTGAGAGAGGCCCAATTGGACCAGCTGGTCCCCCCGGAGAGCGTGGCGGCAAAGGATCTAAAGGCTCCCAGGGCCCCAAAGGCTCCCGTGGTTCCCCTGGGAAGCCCGGCCCTCAGGGCTCCAGTGGGGACCCAGGCCCCCCGGGCCCACCAGGCAAAGAGGGACTCCCCGGCCCTCAGGGCCCTCCTGGCTTCCAGGGACTTCAGGGCACCGTTGGGGAGCCTGGGGTGCCTGGACCTCGGGGACTGCCAGGCTTGCCTGGGGTACCAGGCATGCCAGGCCCCAAGGGCCCCCCCGGCCCTCCTGGCCCATCAGGAGCGGTGGTGCCCCTGGCCCTGCAGAATGAGCCAACCCCAGCACCGGAGGACAATGGTAAGTCCAAGCCCTCCCTCCAGCCAGGGGGACAGGGCAGTGCATGTGCTTGAGACTGAGCCAACCCCCAGTGTGTGGCCCCACCCATGTTATTTTTGTTTTTGTTTTTGTTTTGAGACAGGGTCTCACTCTGTTGCCCAGGCTGGAGTGCAGTGGCGTGATCTCGGCTCACTGCAACCTCCACATCCCGGGTTCAAGTGATTCTCCTGCCTTAGCCTCCCAGGTAGCTGGGACTACAAGCGTGTGCCCCCACAGCCAGCTAATTTTTGTATTTTTAGTAGAGAGGGGGTTTCACCGTGTTGGCCAGGCTGGTCTCAAACTCCTGGCCTCAAGTGATCCACCTACCTTAGTCTCCCAAAGTGCTGGGATTACAGGTGTGAGCCACCACGTCTTGTCCCCCGCTGCATATTATTTAACAGCAAAGGCATCATAGGGGCTGGCACAGGAGCCCTGCTGCCAGAACAGGCCTCCATACCAGGCATGTGTTTCTCTCTAAACGCCATTGGGTTCTCTAGTGCTCATTTGTTTTATGTATTATGTGTGTATGTATGGGACAGGGTCTCACTCTGTCACCCAGGCTGGAATGACGAAGTGAAGTAGTGCAAACATAGCTCACTGCAGCTTTGACCTCCTGGGCTTAGGTGATCTTCCCACTCAGACTCCTGCGTAGCTGGGACCACAGGGGTATGCCACCACACCTGGCTAATTTTTTATTTTCCTTTTTGTAGAGACAGGGTCTTGCTATGTTGCCCAGGCTGGTCTTGAACTCCTGGCCTCAAGCAACCCTCCTGCCTCAGTCTTGCAAAGTGCTGGGATTCCAGGTGGGAGCCACTGCACCTGGCTCTTGCACTTGTTTATTTATAGGAGCCAGCCCTCAGAAGACAAACACAATGCAAAACATTTCCTTCAGGGAAGCCTGCTGGCCGCCCTGAGCGCTCTTCCCTCGTTTTACATCCTCACTCTGGAGATAGATGGGCTCCCTCGGTTAGCTCCATCAACATGTGGATGGAACCCTCTGCTATTGATGACTACATTTAATTTCTTTTTGAGAAAGGTGTTAGATGTTACGGTGCCTTCTAGTCTTTTGATAATTAAACCTTTGGCAAAACTCGAATGTTTGGTTAGCAACCAAGCCTATTTTTCTCTCCTTTGACCCAACCGCTATTCTACTTGATTTTGGTCGGTGAGGCCCGGGTTATTTTTGTTGATCCGTGAGCCCAGTTTTGGTGCTGGGTTCTCACATCCAAGTGTTCCTGGGTTCCGTATGATTCCAGACTGACGCTGAACATCTGTGCCTGCCCTGCTTCTTGTTGTTGCTTCTGTTATTTCTGTCATTGTGAAGACGGATCCAGACACAGAAGAACAAAGACCCAGTCAAAGATCTTTTCCAGATTATGTGGTTTTGGCTTGTGCTCTGCAGTCCACTTTGGGTCATGCTTGCTGCGAGCACGTCCGTGAACGTCAGCTGTGGGCCTCGTGCAGGGACGCTCAGGCTGCTCCCAGCGGGACCACAGTTTTGGCCTCTGAAACACAGCTGAAGAAAGGCAGAGTGCTTTCTGTGATCTTTTAATCAATGTTTTCCACTTTTGCATTCCTAGGCTGCCCGCCTCACTGGAAGAACTTCACAGACAAATGCTACTATTTTTCAGTTGAGAAAGAAATTTTTGAGGATGCAAAGCTTTTCTGTGAAGACAAGTCTTCACATCTTGTTTTCATAAACACTAGAGAGGAACAGGTATGCCTGCCACATACTTGGTTGGGGAAAACTATAATTTAAGGATAGTTTACATCTGGAAATTGCAGGCTTGTTGGGGATTCAGAGATATCACGAATTCCTAGTCACGTAAACATGGGAGGCAACATTACAGAGATTTGGGTTTCATCCAGTGGCTAGAAGCATTCGTGGCATTGGAATTGTATCTTCATGATTCTTCCTGGAAGATATTGCCTATCAAGCCTGGAGATGTGTGGCTCCTTCTGGTGGCTGTTGAAATAATTATAATGCAGAGAAGCTTGAGGGCTGCCACCAGGCACCTGTGGGGACAGAGAGAGGCATGAACACTGTAGGGATGGAGTGGGGTGCAAGGGACCACGCATGGCTCCAGAGGAGTCAGGAAGAGCGAAGAAGGCTGAGGAGGCAGAGCCCACGCATGCTAATGCTAGTGTCCACTCATTAGACCCTCTATATGCCAGGCACCGTGAGAGGCATTTGCTCCCTTGAACCTCACAGCAACCCTAGAACATAGGTATTATTATTACCCTCATTTGACGGCTAGGAAAACTGAGGCCCGGCAAGGTTTATGCAGACTGAGACCAAAACTGCAGCCCATCTAGCAACAATGCAGCGCTTTCTTTGATACCACACCAATTCCAGTGGCCTCCTCCCTTCTCCCTAAGTTATCTCCAGCAGACACAATCCTGTAAACAGATGTTTCCTGTAGTAACTGACTGGAATGAGCACACGGCAGACAGTGACCAAGCACCTGGGCTTTAGAATACACAGACCAGGGCCCAAGCCCAGCTCAGCTACTTCTCATGTTTGTTCAGTGGGTTGTTATAAAAGCTTGGAGACACACTGCGTGCAACACACTGCACGTGGGGCCCAGCCCAGAGGAAGTGCCCAAGAATATCATGACTATTCCTATGATTAGGACATGGGAGAAATGGGTGGGTGGTAGGAGGAAGTGGGACCAATGGACATTCACTGGGTTGTCTGAGTGATTTAGAGGAAGAGCCTCACTTTAACATCCGTTGTAAACTTGTAAGAGGAAAAAAGTCAAAGCCCCCCAAACAGCACAAAACAAAGCAAGTAGCAAGAAAAAAGCAGAAAGCAAAAGCAGGCTACACATTCTGACAACCATCCTCTTTTAAATTGTCCTTTTTTCTAAATGTTAAATAAAAGAAAAAGGCCTGAGACATCTGTTCTGAAAAATAGTCACGCACCACCCCTGCTTTGTTTTTCAGCAATGGATAAAAAAACAGATGGTAGGGAGAGAGAGCCACTGGATCGGCCTCACAGACTCAGAGCGTGAAAATGAATGGAAGTGGCTGGATGGGACATCTCCAGACTACAAGTAAGTACTCAGAAGCTTCCAGATTGGTGGTCAGGCTCTCACTGTTCTGTTGTCACTTCTTGCCCGACTCCCAACAGTTTCTTCCTTAATGACCTCGTGTCCTAGACGCTCCTCCCAAACCGGGGCTCCTGGTACCAGTTGCATATTTCCCCTGGGGAAATCGTGGTTGACAGTTGATACGCTGTCAAATAAGGCTTTCCTTTCTTCTTTTCATGGAGTGAATTTTTTTTCATTTCTAAGAAAAAAATCATGAAACTCATAAAACCACACAGCATAATACTTCTGGCCAAGTCATTTTCTTTAAATGCTATGGGAAAAGATGATGAAGCCCAGGCAACCTCAGGCATGTTCAGCGTTCGCCCCAGGCGTGTTTCCAAGGACTGGGGAGCTCCCTTCAGGATCACACTGTGGGTGCCCCTGACCCCTAGTTGGGCTTCTAGGCAGAGTGTGATTAGAAACTACAAATGAGTAATTTTCCTGGCTGGGCACAGTGGCTCACGCCTGTAATCCCGGCACTTTGGGAGGCTGAGGTGTGCGGATCACTTGAAGTCTGGAGTTCGAGACCAGCCTGGCCAACATGGTGAAACCTCGTCTCTACTAAAAAAACAAAAAAAACAAAAATTAGCCGGATATGGTGGCGCATGCGGGTGATGCCAGCTACTCGGGAGGCTGAGGCAGAAGAATTGCTTAAACCCAGGAGGCGGAGGTTGTAGCAAGCCGAGATGGCGCCACTGCACTCCAGCCTGGGCCACAGAGCAAGACTCTATCTCAAAAAAGAAAAAAAAAAAAAAAAACTACAAATGTGTGATTTTCCTACTCATAGTAAGTTAAAATACACTATAAACAAAGTTGCATTTGCGGGATAACCATCCCCTAGAGGTTTGAAGATTCCCCATAAGTTCCATGTGACCTAAGTTCTATGAAAGGAGCAACAAAGAATAGAATCACTTTGAGGTACCTTCTTGGATAACCTAGAAGTCTCCAGGGCCTCATCCTACCCTAGGGGGTGTTAGCTCCTTCCCTAATTCTACCCAAAGATCTAACAATGACTGTATTGCATCAGTTTGATTATCACATCTCCATACTCTGGCTTTGCCTCTGACGGGTGTGAAAATTGCAAGGAACTGTAACAAATGAAGCAGAATTTATAAAAAAAATAAAATTAAAAAAAAAAAAAACCCTCTGAGTAACCTTTAGTTTGCTGGGGACGGAGAGGCCAGACCCTGCAGGGCTCCACCAGGCACAGGAGCATCACCGCATTGGAAGCACCTTCTGAGAGCACTAGGCAAAGTCCACGGTGTGGCCTCTGGGGCTGTCCCAGGAGAGGAGAAAACAAGGGTGTTTCAGGCCTAAGAGAGTCTCATGGGCATGGAGGCCTAGCCCTGTATCAGCTGAGCAGCAGGGAGGAGGGTCAGAGGTGATGGAGAAGCCAGATCGAGTTTTTTAAATGTCCCTATGTGCGTGTGCATGTGCATTTGGATAAACAGGCTCTTTTGTACTTTCAAATTCTCCATGTGAGTAGGATCAGAGGATAAAGGAGGAAACCAGAATAAGGCCATCTCTCTTTTGTTTTTATTTGTTTGTTTTTAAGGGACAAGGTCTCACTCTGTTGCCCAGGCTGAAGGGCAGTGGCACGATCATGGCTCACTGCAGCCTCTTATCTCCCCAGCTCAAGCGATCCTCCCACCTCAGACTCCCAAGTCCCTGGAATCACAGGTGCACATCACCACACCCGGCTAATTTTTAAAGTTTTTGGATAGACGTGGTCCACTATGTTGCTCTGGTTGGTCTCAAACTCCTAGCCTCAAGTGATCCTCCCACCTTGGCCTCGCAAAGCACTGGGATCAGAGGTATGAGCCACCGCACCTAGCCAGGCCAGCTCTTTATAAAAAATAAACATGTGGCGAAATATTGATTTGGAACATTAGAAGATTTTAGGTCTGCTCTGAAGGTGAGCCTCAGACTGCCCTTAAGGGCAAGTGGATATCTGCTGCAGGCCTGTCAGAGACTCGTCGGCTCCTCTGCGCCTGTCCTGGGGAGAGGAAGGGGTACCCCCTGGCATAATCTGGCACTTGAGACTTTGCCTGATGAGCCAAGGAAAGTGCCCAACACAGCAGGGACACACTTTAGGAGACTCAAAACAGTTGCAGGAATCACCATCTAAAACAGTAGCTGTAGAAGGTTGGAGCTGGGGATGGGATGGGAGACAGAGACTGTTTTTTAAAAAAGACAAAATTCTGCTTTTTTGACAGCCAAGAGCGCCGGGGTCTTTTTTTTAAGAGAGTTGGGAGAAGCTGAAACAAAAAATCATCTTCTCCACATTTTTCACTGCCGTAAATGCACAAAGGTCTGGGTTAGACTCACTAAGAAATTCAATCTTAAGCCTTTCCCCAAGAAAAAAACTGGATTGGCCCATATGGAATGGATTGAGCTGGAACATTACTGTCTATGCCAGCTCTCCCAATGTGAAATTTTTCTCCTCTTCCCTGGGGTCCAGCAAGAATTACATGATCTGGATGGAGCGCACCCGCTTGGTACCCAGGACCTGAGAAGAATGACGTCACCAGACACCTTACTGGGCACCCAGTCCCCAACCACAGCCATTTTGGAGCCTCCCAAATCCTCAGCTTCTGCACCCCAGCCACCACACAGGCTGTGCTTCTCGTTTTCCACCCAAAGGAATACATAGGAACATAAAAATCCCCAGGATCAAATTTTAAAAGCAAGAATAAGTTAGACAGGCGTGTTATGAGGTCTCAATAACCAAAGGCTAATTTAATTTGACATGTAATAATAAACATTGCACAAACTAGAAAGAAAGCCAGTGCAGCCGAGGGAGGGAGTGCATCAGCTAGATGCTAGAGGGATCTAGCATCAGCAAGATCGGGGTTCTGGGCCTTGACCCAGCAACACTCAAAGCTGCAAGGCCTCGTGTGAGTTGCTCAACTCTGCAAAACCTCCATGTCCCCATTTATAAGATGAATTTTCCAAAATACCTATGTCAGTATTGTGAAAATAAAGTGTGATAGCTGTATGCAAAGCATTTAGTCGAGGGCTTGGCACATAGGAAGTGCTCAAGAAATAGTACCTGCTGGTATTGGTATATTATTGCTATTATCATCATAATTATTATCATATTAGTTAGCAGTTGCAGATAAATACTACATAGAATGTATATATTTTACAGTATCCTGATTGGGATGTCCACACAGTGTCTCACTCAAGTCCCACAACAGGTGTGTGAAGAAGACAAGAAAAACGTTCTCTGCATGGCCTGGGAATGGGGACTGGGCTTCAGGCTCTCAAGGGTCTCCTACCAGCATAAACCGCCCCAAATATGTCTCCTCCTAGTCAGACTCACTTTTACTCTCCTTGTCTTTGCATCTGTGGCCTCCAAGGATTGGCCCATCCACCTCCCTTTCCCCTGCCGCCAGCAGTGATTTCTGGAACAGATCATCGCAGGAGACGATTATGAACAATTATTCACCAACAAATTGGATGACCTAGAAGAATGGATAAATTCCTAGAAACCTACAGCCTACCAAGACTGGATCCAGAAGAAATAGAAAGCGTAGGCTGAGGTGGGAGTATCATTTGAGGCCAGGAGTTCAAGACCAGCCTGAGCAATAGAGCAAGACCCCATCTCTTAAAAAAACGAGGAAAAAAAAAGGAAGAAATAGCCTGGCCAGCCTAATAACAAAGAAGGAGATTGAAGTAGCAATCAGAAACCTCCCAGAAAGATAAGCCCAGGACCAGATGGCTTCACAGCCAAATTCTACCAAACATTCAAAGAAGAGTTAGCACCAGTTCTTCTTAAACTCTTCCAAAAAATAGAAGCCGATGGGCCTGGCACCGTCCCATCCCTTGCCCAGGCTAGGAAGAATTAAGTACCACTGCTTTCCCCTTATTCTTTTCTCCCAACACGCGTGAAATCCTTTTAAAACAGTTTGCAGGTTTTGTGGTTACTGTTAAAGAGCAAATAGACGAGGGATAAAAGGCTCTCTCCTCTGCGTCTCGGCCTCACCTCATTTTTCATGCTGAGACCTGGTTGAGAAAGAGAGTGCTGGAACAGACAGAAGGCAATAGTGACATGGAACAGAAGCCAAAGGCTTAGGGGACACACAGATTGAGCTCAGGCTTATTTCCCATGAAACACTCAACCTGACTTGCTGAATCTTATGGCTCTTTCTGCACCGCAGCAGGACAGGACCAGCTGAGGGGAAAGGGTGGCGTGAGATGCCACCTGCAATGGCCCGGACAGTTCCAAGGATGGGTCCCCAGATGCTTTGGATCCACACACCAATACAATTTCAAAAGAAAGACTGGCAGGGCCAACACAGATCAGCAGGATTTTATTTGCCAATTAAGGACAAGGCTTTTAGAAAGTACCAATCAGCAAATCTCAGCATTAAAAAAAATAATAATAAACCTATAATTATTTCCAAGAAGAGATGGCTGGCCATCTTACATTCACACACACACACATTGTCCTTATTCTTCTCATTTCACCAGGTCCTGTGAAAACTTCATTCTTGGCCAACACCCAGCCCCTGACTGGAGATTAGAGTCCATTGGCCCACAGTCTCATGATAACATTTGATGGATTATCTTGAAGTGTCTGCCATGAGCCAGCCTCTGTGCTGGCCTGCAGGATCTTTTCTGGAGTGTGGGGGCAGCAGTATGAGTGAGCAGTCGTCATTGGGATCATGTTTTAAAAAGGCAGGTTTCCAGGGCCATGTCACAGTCAATAGAACATAGCAACCCTAACTGTGGATACAGCAAAGAACAGGCCTTCAAAGGAGATTTCAACATTCCCCTCTCAATTACTGATGGAAAAATTGATAGGGATATAGTAGACACAATCAACTGACTTGACTTAATTGATATTTGTGGGATGTTTTACCCAACATCTGCAAATACATATTCTTTTCAGGTGCATGTGGTACATTCACCAAGATGAACTATATTCTGGGCCATAAAATACGTCTCAATAAATTTAAAAAAAAGCCAAAACTATCAGGCCAGGCATGGTGGCTCACGCCTGTAATCCCAACACTTTGGGGGGCCAAGGCAGGTGGATCACCTGAGGCCAAGAGTTCGAGACCATCCAGGCCGACATGGTGAAACCCCGTCTCTACTAAAAGTAAAAGACATTAGCCAGGTGTGGTGGCGGATGCCTGTAATCCCAGCTACTCGGGAGGCTGAGGCAGGAGAATTGCTTGGACCCGGGAGGTGGAGGTTGCAGTGAGCTGACATCGCACCACAGCACTCCAGCCTGGGTGACAGAGCGAGACTCCATCTCAAAAAAAACAAAAACAAAAAGGAACTAGAACTATATAGAGTATGTTTTCTGACCAAAATAATTAAATTAGACATAGATAGAAAAATGTCTGTAAAATCCCAATTATTTTAAACCACACATTTCTAAATAACCCATGGGTCAAAGAGAAAAATCACAAAGGAAATCTGAAAATGTTTCAAAGAAGATGAAAACATATCAAGATCTGTGGGATGCAGCTAAAATAGTATTTAGAAAGGGACACTTATAGTTTTAAATTACATATATTAGAAACCTTGTTTAAAGGTTGAAAATCAATGATCTAAGCTTCCACTTTACCAGGGTAGAAAAAGAAGAACAAATTAATCCCTAAGTAAGTCAAAGGAAGGAAAGCAGTGAAATAGAAAGACCAACAGTAGAAAGGATCTATAAAACCAGGAACATGTCAAAGTTGATCTTTTCCTTTGGGAGGCGAAGGCGGGAGGATTGCTTGAGCCTAGGAGTTCGAGACCGGCCTGAGCAACATAGCAAGACCCCATCTCTACAAAAAACTTAAAAATTAGCTGGGTGTGCTGGTGTGCATCTGTGGTCCCAGGTATTCAGGAAGCTGAGGTGAGAGGATCACTTGAGCTTGGGAGGTTGAGGCTGCAGTGAGCTGTGATGACACCTCTGCATTCCAGCCTTGGCTTTTTTTCTTTTTTCTTTTTTCCGAGACAGAACAAGACTCTGTCTCAAAAAAAAAAAAAAAAAAAAAAAAAAAAAGGCTGATCCTTTTACTCTTGGTGTAATGAGTATAGGTGTAAGCATGTGATTGGGAGACTGTCATTGTTAATGGAGGCTGCCTGCTAGACCTGCGGGA
The DNA here is from genome assembly GCF_000001405.40 of Homo sapiens. Taxonomy (NCBI): domain Eukaryota; kingdom Metazoa; phylum Chordata; class Mammalia; order Primates; family Hominidae; genus Homo; species Homo sapiens. Next base: position 325,530 of record NC_000018.10, on the reverse strand, counting down.
GCCGGACACATACGGGACCTGGGTACTTGCCCACCTGCTCAGAGCAGAATGCTAAGGGAGGTTGTTAAGGCCTCTCTTGCCTACCCTGCTTGCAGTTGCCCACCTTAGATCACCAGAGATGTGACAGTCTTCCTGAGAATCTCCCCAAACGCACTAGAAGCTCTTCTGTTCCTCTGTCCACGGGACCTCATTTGGTGGGAGTGTGCTGTCACACTACGAGTCACAGCTTTCATCTTGGCATCACAAAGATAAAATGTGGTGCCTTTCTGTCTATGCAGACTGCTCCGTATAATATCATACATTGTGTTTTCAGTTTTTTGTGTTTTATTTTTTATTTTTTAAGATGGTCTCATTCTGTTGTCCAGGCTGGAGTGCAGTGGCACAATCACAGCTCACTGCAGCCTCAACCTCCGAGGCTCAAGTGATCCTCCTACTTTAGTCTCCTGAGTAGCTGGGACTTCTGGCATCAGCTACCATACCTGGCTAATTTATTTTAAATTTTTTATAGAGATGGTGGTCTCACTGTGTTGCCCAGGCAGGTCTTGAACTCCTGGCCTCGAGTGATCCTCCTGCCTTAGCCTCCTGAAGTGCTGGGATTACAGTGTGAGCCACTGCGCTAGGCTGAATTAGAAGATGTTAAAGGTTCTGTTCCAGGCTCTTTCATTCTATGGTCCTATATTCTAAATCCTATTTTTTTCTTTTGAGATGGAGACTCGCTTTGTCACCCAGGATGGAGTACAGTGGCATGATCTTGGGTCACTACAACCTTCACCTCCTGGCTTCAAGCGATTCTCGTGCCTCAGACTCCTGAGTAGCTGGGACTCCGGGCACCTGCCACCAGGCCCGGCTAATTTTTGTATTTTTAGTAGAGATGGGGTTTCGCCATGTTGGCCAGACTGGTCTTGAACTCCTGACCTCAGGTGATCCACCCACCTCGGCCTCCCAAAGTGCTGGGATTACAGGTGTGAGCCACCATGCCCAGCCTCTAAATCCTATTCTAAGTATCTTATATTTAGATATATATATTTGATGTGTGTGTGTGTGTTTCCAGCTTACTGGAGCAATCAGTCCAAGCATTTCCAAGATTCCTGGTGTTTTCAGAGTGTGATGTCCAAGTATATGTATGTGCTGCTACCGCTCACTTCTGTGACATGTGTATGATAATGTAGAATTCAGGGCTTTGAGCCCCAGACTTCAGCCATTCATCTTGCCAGAATCTACCTGTGAATGAGGTTAAGCACTATTTAAGCTGACATTCTTCTCCAAAATATATACATTTTGCTTATTTGACACGTTACGTTCTATATTATTATAAACATGCAGACTGAGGGGTTTTGCCACAAATCACTCCATGTGATTTTAGCTTTGCCAAAGAGATGCTTTGAGACTCTGGGTGGTCAGCCCACAGAATAAATTGTCCCTTCAGTCTGGCTTCAGGCTACCCACTTTCCACCCATTCTGGCCTACTGCAGTCACCTCCGCTTATGGCCACAGAACTGCATTCTGCTTTTAGTCCTAAGGAAAGCCTTGAGTACTGTATGTGAAGAATTCCAGTGACCTGGAAAAACAAATGGAGAAAGGCGATAAAGATTATCTCCTTTCTTATCACTCAGTTATTTCTCTGCCTGGTTGATACATCCTTTTTATTTATTTAACTTAAAATGACTTAAAAGGAAACGCAAGGGGAAAATATTAAGCAGGACTTCTAAGCCCAAAGAAGTCATATTTATATAATTTCCCAATTAACTGAGAAGTCAAGAATATCAAATATCCTATCATTATACATTCAGGAATCATAGATCTCAAATTTTATAAACAAAAATGGAATCAAACCCCCCATATTACTGGCAGAAATGAACGAAATGTATGTCCACAAGATTAAACTGCTCAGGCATTGTTGACATCTCCAGAAGAATCTCACAAGGTGAAAAGAGTTACACAAAAAACCAAATGTGAAAGTAAACTACTTTTCTTTCCAACTTCATCTCTATCTGGCGTCAGGCTGAGATTGTCACAGGCTGAGATTTTGAACTCATTGTGACTCATCTGTTATGTAAGCTGTAAGAGTTGGGACTTTGTCTCTTCTCTGCACTGCTATGTTGCCATCACCCAGATGATACCTGGCTCATAGCAGGAGTGCTATGGATGCCTGGTGTGAGTGAGTGAGTGAGACTATTTTCTAACTCTCCCTTCTAAGTAGCATCCCATTTTTACTCTCACCAATCGATGGTTTCCTCTGAATTCTCTTTCATCACTAGGTTTATTTAATTGAGGCCACTCAATGTATATATATATATGTATTTTTGAGATGGAGCCTCGCTCTGTCACCCAGGCTGGAGTGCAGTGGCATGATCTTGGCTCACTGCAAACCTCCACCTCCTGGATTCAAGCAATTCTCCTGCTTCAGCCTCCCAAGTAGCTGGGACTACAGGTGCCTGCCACCATGCCCAGCTAATTTTTGTATTTTTAGTAGAGACAGGGTTTCGCCATGTTGGCCAGGCTGGTCTCGAACTCCTGACCTCAGGTGATCCATCTGCCTCAGCCCCCCAAAACGCTGGGATTACAGGCATGAGCCACTACGCCCGGCCTTCATACTCATTTTTTTTAAATCCCAAAATACACATTTGGTGTGGGGGAGTCAGTTCTACCCTGTCCCCACCCTTTGACTAAACTTCAACTGTCCTTTCCCGCTGCCTCTGGTTTTGCGGGTGTTATTGTCCAAAGATACAGGGCCATACAGGCTGTCTCCTCGGGTGACCCGAGGACACCCTGTGGCCAGTGCGGTAATGAGTCATTGTTTATAGGAAGCACCCTCCGCTGCAGATGTTCTTCCAGACCCTCCACATGAGGCAGGCTTGTCCTCTCAGGCAGCAGCCACAAGCTTCTGTGCATGAATCTGCTTCTTAGACAAGATTGAACCTTCAAGGGGTGAGTCTGGAAGCACACCTGATTTATTCGTGGAAACGTAATCAAGAACTGTTATCCATGGCAAGGTGCTGTTCTGAGCAGCAGCATCCAAGTTAAGAAGCCCCATGTGAACTCATCCTAAAGAAAACTTGTTTTTAAGAATCTCTCTCCCAAAAAAGGGAGTGAAATGTAGGAGTCATTTTCAGTAAGATTAAGTTACTATTTCTTTCTAAAGCAATCAACCTTCTACAACTCACCCAGACAATCATAACCAGTTATTTGTAATTGTAGGTTCTTGTAAATGTATATCAAAAGTCTTTCACTTTCTCTTCCTGGCTCTTGGACTTGTTAGAGGCAAGATATTGAAATGTACAAGGTCCCTCTGGGTTCTCACAAGATCATGTGTGCGTGTGTGTGTGTGTGTGTGTGTATCATGTCCTCATAATGAATAGATATTCACACACATATATACACTCATGCCCAGAAGTCAGCATTCCAGTACACATTAGAAAGTTATTCATCTAACTGTCCCAAAGCAAGATTCGCTCCCTCTGCATTCTGATGAACCAGCCTAGTGAGTTTGGTTCATGGTAGCAAAGATCACAAGCGCGCAGGGAGATGCCGCATTATGCATTACTCTGCAAAACAGCTGCTCCTTTCTCTGAATAAGAGCATGTACTGATTTTTAAACTGCATTTTCATTCCAGGATAAATGACATGCTTCAATTTTGTTTTTTTATATTCTCTGCTGCTCTTGAGTAAAGAAAAGCTCTGCATTACTGTGCAAATAACATTCAATTTCTGTTTTGCTAAAAGAAATTGGAAAGCTGGACAGCCGGATAACTGGGGTCATGGCCATGGGCCAGGAGAAGACTGTGCTGGGTTGATTTATGCTGGGCAGTGGAACGATTTCCAATGTGAAGACGTCAATAACTTCATTTGCGAAAAAGACAGGGAGACAGGTGAGCAGTAGATGGGATTTAAGAGGGAGCTGCCAGCTTATGTCCTATGAAAGGGTGAGGGGTGGTGAGTACAAGGGCCCTGAATGCAGGCACTGCAATTAGGTTTCAGCCCTGGTTATGCCATTTATTAACTGGGCAGGTGATTAACCTCAGGGAAATAGTAATAGCATCTTCTTCACGAGGTTGTGAAGATTTAAATAAGTTAATAAATGTGCCTCACATGTAGGAAGTACTCAACGAATGCTAAACTAACTGACCCACATAAGTATCTTATATTGTGAGTTAATTGTTCTTTAAAATATAGCACCAGCCAGGCACGGTGGCTCACGCCTGTAATCCCAGCACTTTGGGAGGTGGAGGCGGGCAGATCACCTGATGTTGGGAGTTTGAGACCAGTCTGGCCAACACGGAGAAACCCCATCTCTACTAAAAATACAAAATTAGCCGGGCATGGTGGCGCATGCCTGTAATCCCAGCTACTCAGGAGGCTGAGGCAGGAGAATAGCTTGAACCCAGGAGGCAGAGGTTGTGGGGAGCCGAGATCGCACCATTGCACTCCAGCCTGGGAAACAACAGCGAAACTCCATCTCAAAAAAGAAAAGAGATATAGCACCAATGTTAGTTCTTTTCCGTAGACATCCATACACAGCTAATCCAGGTGGCCAAGCGTTCAATTCCACGTGTATCTATTGAGCATCTACTATAGGCCAGATCCTGTGATACATAATAGAGGGAGATGGTCTGTGCTGCTTATCAGCTCATAAGCCAAAGCAGCTTTTGGAGATTTTCTTGACTTCAAAGGCTATGTATCTAAAGCTTCATTTAACACACGACCCTCTTTGGAATGTGGCATCTTAGTTTTCTTCACCAGAATGAGATTAAAAGTTTGTGATAGGGGACAGAGGAAATGGGGAATGAATGCTAATGGGTATGGGGTTTCTTTTTGGGGTGATGGAAATGTTCTAAAATTAGATTAGATTGGTTCTAAATTGCATAACTTTGTGACTATACCAAAGACCACTGAATTATATGCTTTAAATGGGTGAATTATACAATTTGTCAATTATATTTCAATAAAGCTGTTCATATAAAAACAAAAACCTCAAATATATTTTGGTCAAACTATTTTTGGAAGTAACTGGGGCATAAATTATCCGTATTGCCATTCAACAGACAGTTACTGAGCACCTTTGATGTGTCAGGCATTGGTCCAAGTGCTAGGGACCTTAAGACACATAGGAACTCACAGCTGGGTCAGTTGAGGGGGAAAAACACAGATATCTAAACAAGGGATTATAATTGATGGTGACAAGTAACTCAGATTTGTCTTTTGTATGCTTTGTTTGGCCATTTGGGATTTGAGTAGGGACCAGGCTTTCCCAGAATAGGCTTTTCAAAATGAAACTTGGCTTTTCAAAATGAAACTTATCTTTTCATCCAAATAAGATCTTCTAGACATTTCTTTGAAAATATAAGCATTGTTGAATGATGTATTTTAGACACTGTCCTATAAAAATACACGTTCCCTTTTTTTGAATTGCACATTAACTTTATTATTTAAGAAAAACTAATGCCCATTCTTATTTCTCTCTTTTAGTACTGTCATCTGCATTATAACGGACTGTGATGGGATCACATGAGCAAATTTTCAGCTCTCAAAGGCAAAGGACACTCCTTTCTAATTGCATCACCTTCTCATCAGATTGAAAAAAAAAAAGCACTGAAAACCAATTACTGAAAAAAAATTGACAGCTAGTGTTTTTTACCATCCGTCATTACCCAAAGACTTGGGAACTAAAATGTTCCCCAGGGTGATATGCTGATTTTCATTGTGCACATGGACTGAATCACATAGATTCTCCTCCGTCAGTAACCGTGCGATTATACAAATTATGTCTTCCAAAGTATGGAACACTCCAATCAGAAAAAGGTTATCATTGGTCGTTGAGTTATGGGAAGAACTTAAGCATATACTGTGTAAACAGTGCCATACATTTCTAAAATCCCAAGTGTAGGAAAAATATGCAGACATACAGATATATAGGCCAACTATTAGTAATAATATGAAATATACTTAAAGAGCTTTTAAAACTTTGTATTTTTGTACAAAATATTTGTCTTTTACAATTTTTTTCCTTTTTTTTTTTTTGTCATTTTACCGACATAATACATGGAGCCAAAGAAAACAATAATGGTACTAATAAAAACTCCTAGGGTTTCCTGTCAGATTTAATTCTACCCAGTGGCAAAGAATTTTTTCAATTGTGGCTTTAAAAAAATAATTAAATATACATGTGTATATATATATATATATATATATTTTTTTTTTTTTTTTTTTTTAATGTTTCATTTCCTCAGAGGAACCAATCACTTGGAATGTCTAGAAATATCCTTGCAGATTTTGCCAGTGTCAATCAAGCCTGCACACATGCACAGTGAAGCGGGCTGTGCCTGCCTTGAGCCCATCACCAGCCAACATTCTTGACGTGTGCCTGACCAGACACAGAAGAAATGGGCAACTCAAGACGTGCTTCCACTTCATTTTGGTGGAGTCGGGAGGTGTGGGGGATGGAGAGGCATCTGTTGGGAAGGGCACTGAATCTGGCCTATCTGGAAGGCCCTGTGTCATGGCTGAGCTATGACTGTACTTGGCATCAGATCCCTACAGAGCCAACATTAACTGTCAGGAACGTATGGCGTCACATCAGCCAAAGGCAGAGATGCTAGAAAGATGGGAACCGGCTACGTGTTACCTGGAAAGTTTGTTTTCTTAAGTCATATTCCAAAAACATAACTCCAAGGCATACGCATGATAAAATGCAAGAATAAACTTTTGGCCACTTTGTGGAACTCTTAAAAGAACCTTTCCAGCCGGGCGCAGTGGCTCATGCCTGTAATCCCAGCACTTTGGGAGGCCGAGGCAGGCAGATGACTTGAGGTCAGGAGTTCGAGACCAGCCTGGCCAACGTGGCAAAACCCCATCTCTACTAAAAATAAGAAAATTAGCCGGGTGTAGTGGCACATGCCTGTAATCCCAGCTACTCAGGAGGCTGAGGCAGGAGAATCGCTTGAGCCCAGGAGGCAGAGATTGCAGTGAGCCAAGATCGCACCACTGCACTCCAGCCTCGGTGACAGAGCAAGACTCCATCTCAAAAAAAAAAAAAAAAAAAAAACCTTTCCTCTGAGCCCATCTTCCTTTCGCTCCTTGACTTTCCTTGACTTGCTGTTGGAAAGTCTAATATGAAAAGGGCTGAAACTAGGCATTAAATATAACTGATGCTCAAAGGTAAGATTTCCATCCAACAGATTCCTTCTCCCTCCCAAGGGTCTTCCCAGGCAGTGCTGCTACTTATCCCAAATAAAATGGTAAAAGAATAAAGACAGCCGGGCGCGGTGGCTCACGCCTGTAATCCCAGCACTTTGGGAGGCCGAGGCGGACGGATCACAAGGTCAGGAGATCGAGACCATCCTGGCTAACACGGTGAAACCCCGTCTCTACTAAAAATACAAAAAAAAAATTAGCCGGGCGCGGTGGCGGGCGCCTGTAGTCCCAGCTACTCGGGAGGCTGAGGCAGGAGAATGGCGTGAACCCAGGAAGCGGAGCTTGCAGTGAGCCGAGATCGCGCCACTGCACTCCAGCCTGGGCGACAGAGCGAGACTCATCTCAAAAAGAAAAAAAAAAAAGAATAAAGACAGAGTTTGACTTTCCCACCTGCGAACAAGTGGACTGTACTGCTTTGCCCACAGTCTCCATTCCCCATTCATGCTGTTTTCACAGCCCAGTAATGGCCAACTGCTCAGCACCTGTGTGCCCTGCTGTCAGGCAGGTGGGACCCACAGTCCTCTGGGCCTAAACTGCTGAAGCCTGCACCACAAGGCGGGCACGGCATTCCAACACCTCTTCAGGCTCAACAGCCTTTAGAGGCTACACTGAGTCCTCTTTTTCATGCTCTTCCTGGTTTTCAAGTGTCAATTAAAATTTGTCTTCAGAAGAAACTTGAAAATAAGTATCTGATGCCGTCATCAGGATAGACTAGTATTAGCTTTCGCAGCTGAAGTTATTGCTCTCCCAGCCCTAATAATAACTTACCAAGTGCTTATTATTTATCAGGCACTGGTCCAAGTCCTTCAATCAGATTGTCTCACCTGATCCTCCCAACAGCCCTAGGAAGCAGGTCTTACTACACTCCCCATTTCACAGGGACTGGGGCTTGGGGAGGTGATGCGGTTTCCTGGGTCACTCCATTACTGAGTAGTGAGACAGGATTCAGACGCAAGCTTTGAAAATGTTCTAATTTTCTTTAGAAGGAAGGGCCCTTCTTAATAGCACACTGAATAAAATCAAATGAATAATCACACATTACAAGATGCCTCCTATACGTCTCTATATTTAGCTACTTACATACCAGGTTTCTTTTTTGTTTGTTTTTGTTTTTAAGACAGAGTCTCGCTCTGTCACCCAGGCTGGAGTGCGGTGGCGCGATCTCGGCTCACTGCAATCTCTGCCTCCCAGGTTCAAGCGACTCTCCCGCCTCAGCCTCTGCAGTAGCTTAGGGACTACAGGTGCGTGCCACCATGCCAGGCTAATTTTTGTGTTTTTAGTAGAGACACGGTTTCGCCATTTTGGCCAGGCTGGTCTCAAACTCCTGACCTCAGGTGATCCACCCGCCTTGGCCTCCCAAAGTGCTGGGATTACAGGTGTGAGCCACCGTGCCCGGCCTACACACCAGCTTTCTATTCACCTACACACAACTGATGCTCTTTTGGAGTGGAGAGTTTTAGTAAAATATGATGGGGTCTTCAGGCACCTGAGTTGCTACTTACTACTATGAGAAGATAGAAAATGTTTTTTCCTCTAAACAGCTTTTGAAAGAATGAATGCACAACAAGGCAAAAAATAAAAACTTTCTTTTCCTTTTCTACGATCAATGTTCAACAACTCGTTCCTTCCAATTTGTAACAGAGTTGAAGCTGAAACAGACAAAAAATAGTAATAGCTGCTCCCATTTAAAGAAAAATGCTTGAGGAAACAGCTGTATAAATCAAGAAACAATACCAAGCAGATGACGAAACTGATCTCTTCTTGAGAACGTAAGCATGTTAGCTCATTCGTGACTCAAAGTCATGTAATAATAGTTGACATATACCACTTTTCACATACATTATCGCTTCCAGTCTTCACGCACATCTATTGTTCCTGCTTGAGAAATGAGGAAACTGAGGCTCAGGTTGAAGACTTGCCCATGGCTCACGTATCTGTCACAGTCACTTTCCAAAAAGCAAATCTGATCAGGTTCCCCACTCAGGTCCCCAAATCTGAATCCATCCTACCTCTCACCCTCGGCTTAAAATCTTCCAAACAATCCTGGTTGGGCTCAGGACATACCTGCAGGGGCCGTAAGGCACTTGGTACCTGGTTCCCAACTCCAAGTCTAGCCTTCTTTCCAGGTGGGACCCATCACCCATGCCCTGGCACTAGCACAGCCAGACTATGCACCTGCACCTTCCACTAGCCTCTTTATCACCTCCATACTCCCCCTGGGTTTTCTTTCCCTGCCTCCTTTACCTGGAAAACACCTCCTTTAAGATTCAGCTCAAGCATCACTTCTTATCTGAATCCTTTCCCAACAAACCACACCTGGAGGTAGAACTGGCTCCTGCACCAAGTGCTCTGGGTAATAAAAGAGAAAACCCCTTCACTGTGTTAGATAATCTACAGGTTAGCTGAAAAGCCTAAAACTTAATGAATTAAGACAGAGGCCAGGCATGGTGGCTTATGCCTGTAATCCTAGCACTTTGGGAGGCCAAGGTGGGAGGATGGCTCAGGCCCAGGAATTCAAGGCCAGCCTGGCCATCATGGTGAAACCCCATCTCTACAAAAAATACAAAAGTTAGCTGGGTGTGGTGGTGCTTGCCTGTAGTCCCAGCTACTGGGGAGGCTGAGGTGGGAGGAACACTTGAGCCTGGGAGGTCAAGGCTGCAGTGAGCTGAGATTGTGCCACTGAGCTCCAGTCTGGGTGACAGAGTCAAGACCTTTTCGAAAAAAATATTAAAAGCCAGGCGTGGTGGCTCACACTGATAATCCCAGTACTTTGGGAAGCCAAGGCGGGTGGATCATGGTGAAACCCTGTCTCTACTGGAAAAAAAAAAAATTAGCTGGGCGTGGTGGCAGGCACCTGTAATCCCAGCCACTTGGGAGGCTGAGGCACAAAAACTGCTTGAACCTGGGAGGCGGAGGTTACAGTGAGCTGAGCTCGCGCCATTGCACTCCAGACTGGGTGACAGAGCAATACTCCATCTCAAAAATAAATAAAATAATAAATAAATAAATAGAGAAGCCAAACAGGAGAAGTGAAGGAATTCATGATGTTGCTAATAGTTGGTGCGTGTGTGTGTGTGTGTGTGTGTGTGTGTGTGTGTGTGTGTGTGAATGGAAGATTGAGTAAAGGAATCACATGGTAAACCAGACTCATTCTCTTCATTCTCTTTACCAAAATATGGCCCTGAGTCAGGGAAACGTTTTGGAACCCGTCCTAAATGGCAGTGTGATGGGGCATCTCATTTCTTAGTCATACTCAACAGTTTTAGAAGTACAAGCAAATTTTTCAGTCTTTCTAAGAATCTGTTTCTTTGTGCAATAACTTCATTTTTCTCAGAAGAATCCCTTAAGGGCATGGCATCATATTTATTTTCTAAGTCACAAGGCAGATGTTGACAATATTTTGTTTCACTCTTTCATCCTTCCTCTCCTACATACCCCTGTTCAAATAAGTATGTAGCATGCACAGGTTATGCCAGGTGAGCAGAAGGCCAGAGGGAAGCAGACCTATGAAAACCAACTTTAATTTCTCAGAGGTTTTGAGTGGTTTTCACATTTTTTCAGTGAATGAGTATATGAATGAATGATCTCCAGCCAGCCCTGCCTTCATAGCCGGGATTGTATCCCAGCCTCCAGCCTCCTCCAAGGACTTACTAGCCTTGAGTTTGCAAAGCAAGGATCACCGTGCAACTTGGGGAGGGGGTCAGCTGCCAGGGCGGGGGCTCCTTCTGACAATTCATCCAGACAGGTGATTAAATGAGCTTAACCAAGGGGTCTCCATTTAGTCCTCTGGGCCAGGGATGGAGAATTGTCCATTGGCTGGTCTTCTAACATTTGGTGCCAGAGGTTTCTATATTCTTTAATCATCACTCATTGCCTCTACCCCACTAAATCATGCCTGGAAGCTTCAGGGAGTTGTAAGATTCTTAAAATCAATTCCTATGCCATGGAGCAAAGGAGCTGGATCAGGCATGACATAAATAAGTACGAAGTGCTGGCTCTGGAATAGCTATTATAACACCTACTGTGGTTAGGAAGTTGACCTATATTATCTCCAGCTCCTATCCAGGGAAACTGAAAATCAGGCTGGTTAAATAGTTTTCCCAAGAGGTGGGATTTGAACCCATTGTCTCCTGGCTTCCTCTCTGTCATGCTGTCTTCTGTGTTTTAACACTGATCTTATTGACTGCCTGGGCTTTGTGCATTGTATTCTGTTCTTCTTGGCCACAGGAAACAGACCAGCCACCAAGAATACCCTCTTTGTGAAAGAACCAGGGAGGTGTAGGAATCCTGATTTGCACACTTTAGATAAATGCACTGACCAATCCCTTCCTTGTCAATGAGCAAAGACTGATTTTGGCCTCCAATGCTATGGTTGTCAGAGAGATCTAATTTGGAGAAAACACCCTAGATTCTAGAGTCACTGAGCCTCTCACAGAGTCCTCTACTTTAATTAGTGTTGAATGAATGGAGCATGGGCTTTGGAGCCAAACAGGCCCAGGTTTCAATCCTGCTCTCTACTTTCTTTTTTTATGTATTTATTTATTTTTTTGAGACAAGAGTTTCACTCTTGTTGCCCAGGCTGGAGTGCAATGGCACGATCTCAGCTCACCGCAACCTCCACCTCCCAGGTTCAAGCGATTCTCCTGCTTCAGCCTCCTGAGTAGCTGGGATTACAGGCATGCGCTACCACGCCCAGCTAATTTTGTATTTTTAGTAGAGATGGGGTTTCTCCATGTTGGTCAGGCTGGACTCAAACTCCCGATATCAGGTGATCCGCCCGCCTCGGCCTCCCAAAGTGCTGGGATTACAGGCATGAGCCACCGTGCCTGGCCTCAGTCCTGCTCTCTACTTTCTAGAAGTGAGACGTATTCAAACAAATGGCAGATAGCTCTTTCCCTCCTCTTTCCTCTTACGCCAGGTCCCTTGCCCACAAAAAGAACAAGTCCTGGCATTGCTTGTCCTGATAGCATTAAGGAAGTTTGCTTTGACAGTTTTCTCACTGAGAATGCTTCCTTTCCAAATATTGGAGAGGGATGACATGGGAAAAAAACTAAAATTATGGTATCTCTGCACCTTTAGGCCAGTAAATGCTGGGAAAAAAATGAAGTCGTACCTCTTTGTGTGTCATCTCTTCTTTGGGTATGAGTGTAGAAGTTCCTATCAATTTGTATTAAATATAGATTTGGCTGCTGAAATAAAGACCCAAAGTGATAGCAGGTGAATAAGATAGATGCATCTCTCCCTGGCCCTAATTTTACGTATGCAACTAGCCCAGGGAGCCGCACTGTGACTATCTCGTTGTCCTGCAGTCTCTCAGCCAGTGCCCTCGTTTGCATTGTCCAAAAGGGCTCAGCACCACATCCACAGTCCAGGCAGTGGGCTTAAGAGAGGGGTGATGAAATGAAATTTCTCCCTTTAAGGGCAGAATTTGCATTCGTCATTTCCACTCACATCTCTTTAACCAGAACGTAGTCACATAGCCTCACCTAGTTGCAAGGGAGGCTGAGAAATACAGTCTTTAGCTGGGAATTACAGTTAGATGCCAAGCTAAAAATTCCATGCCTATGCAAGGAAGGAAGAATGGATATGGGTGGAGAGGAGCATAAATGGCATTTGCACCATTCACAGCTGCCCTCCTGAATCCGCCTCCTATGGGACAGATTTTCCACCTTGCCCTCCTGTGGAGACTTCAGTGGATTTAATTACTGGCTCCATTCTTCACAGCTCCCCATATCTACCCTCTTTGCCATGTAACCTGGCAGCTCCCCCTCTCTATGGGAGGAGTGTACTTTCCTGCCCTTTGACTTGGGCTCAGTCACGCGCCTTGCTTTGGCCAATGTTGGTGGATGTGATACAGCCAAAGCCTTGGAAAGCACCAGGGTCACTGGGCTTGCCCTCTTGCATATCTGCCATCACCGTGCAGAGTTCCCCTGGCCTTCGCCTCTGTTCCTGTGGCCAGGGCCCTAGAGTGAACACACCTGGAACAAAGCTGCCCCAGCCAAACAGACCTGTGATGAGAAGCAGAGCCAGCCCAACCTTCAGAGCCTGCAGCAAAGCAGTCCCACCAAGCCCAGCTGAGATCAGTCAACCCAGACTGTGAGAATAAATGCTTAATGCTGTATATATATATATCCCATGGAGATTTGGGTTGTTCATTACACAGCATCATTGGGGCAACAGCTAACATACGGGTCCTTGGGCCCTAACCTAGCAGCTGTCTATGTGGCTCTTTTCTATTTGTCCCTTCAGATCCCATCTCCACACTTTTCCACCATTCTCTGGGCTTCAGGGAGATAGATATTTACAGGTTCCCTTGGCTTCTGGCAACCAGTTGTGTTTGGACAATGAGAGGCACTGGCAGGAGAAAGTGAAGTTGAGGTGTTTATTTCCCTGGTTTCCTCTCTGAAGGTCACCAGGAATAGATTTTATCTCTCTGCCAAAGGCCATATCTCCCATCAGTTGGTCCAGCACTCTCTCCTGCCAGTGCCACTGCATGCCCAGGCTGGAGTGTGGTGGCATGATCTCGATTCACTGTAACCTCGACCTGTTGCACTCAAGGTATCCTCCCACCTCAACCTCTCAAGTAGCTGGGACTACAGGCGCTCACGACCATGCCTGGTTAATTTTTATATTTTTTTAGAGGCAGGGTTTTACCATTTTGCCCAGGCTGATCTCGAACTCGTGGGCTCAAGCAATCTGCCCATCTTGGCCTCCCAAAGTGCTTGGATTACAAGTGCGAGCCACCACACCAGCCTCGTCCGGCTCTCTGTCCAGCTCCAGGAGTAGCAACCTCCTCTTGCCCCTAGTGATACTCTCAGCTGCCATTAGCCAAAGATCCTGCACTATCCTTTGTTGTTTTCCCTAAGGCCTGCCCACATCTTTGTCAATTGCCCCTTTATTAAACTCTCCTCAATTACCCAGCCTGAGTGTGCCATCTTTTTCTTGTGGAAACCTGATTAACACCCCCACCTCTTGACCGCACCCACTTTCATGGCTTGAGGGCCTCTGCTCATCCTATTCCTGGCCTGCACTTTACCACATAATGCATCCCCTTCTTTTCATGGGTGCAAACATGAGTCCCCTTTCAGGGCACAGCCCATATCCCCCCCTTCCTCCATATTCTCCATCTCCCAGCAAGCCTCTCCTAAGATCCACTGCCTGCACCACACCATCAAGGCTTTGTTTCATACAAAAGTACAGCAGTCTCTGAATTGCTCAGGGGGCCCTGGGAAGACTGTGAAGGTGCCACAGTGAATGGGAGGAGAGTATTTGCAGAGCAGGTGGAATTCTGGATCACTAGTCAGAAGGACTACATATGTATGTCATATGTGTGATTTCACTTCAGGTTCACTGTTTCTAAAGAGTTTGAAAATGTTGATGCAGTACACTAGTCTTCAACTTTGTATGGATATAAATCTAATCTACCCAAAATGAATAAAACAAATTTAAATATCTCTCAAATCAAGGAATTTTTGTTCTCCCTTTATTATAAGGCATAGAATAGGGGCCAATGAAGGATAGAAGGATGGATGGATGGAGGGAAGGATGGATGGATGCATGGATGAATGAATGCATAGATGGATGGATGGATGGATCCATGGATGAATGGATGGATGGATGCAGGGATGCATGAATGAATGAATGGGGGGACTTGGTCCTCACCATAAGCAGTTTCTCCATAGCTTCTTCCCCCTCCTCATGGTCTGTAGGAATATGTCATTTTGATTCCCCACAAATCATACTGGAAGCATCTCTCCTGGCACCTTGACCAAACTCTGAAAGGCCAAGTAAAAGGGACTGAAGGTCAGAAGGATGTGGGACAGGTTGGCTGGATTCAGCCCCACTAGGCAGCTCCAGATCCCGCTTACTGAGATATGAGAGGAAAGTGGCACAAGAGAAATGGCACAGAAGTCTGATGCTTTGGGAAATCCTACTCAAACATAGAAAGCAAGAGTCCTCAATGGACCTGCAAACATGTTTTGTTAAATCTATAATTTCTGCCCTCCTCAAAAAAAAAAAGATTTCCTACCTTCAACCTTTCACTATGATGTTCATAGATAGTAAAATGAATGAAATATCCATTTTTCTCTTGCTTAGTCAGCATATATAATTACCACATTTTAAGTGCTGTAGCATTAACACCACCTGGTTTTTTGTTTGTTTGTTTGTCTGTTGGCTTGTTCATTTGTTTAGAGATGAATCTCACTATGTTGCTCAGGCCAGCCTCAAACTCCAGGGCTCAAGCAATCCTCCCACCTCACCTCCCAAGTAGCTGGGACTACAGGCACAAGCCACTGCACTTGTCTTTTATCTGGTTTTTGTTTTTTGTTTTTTTTTTTGTTTTTTTGATGGTGCTAGCTAATAACTTTTTTAAAAGTCAACTTTTAGGTTCAAGGGGTACATGTGCAGGTCTGTT
The DNA here is from genome assembly GCF_000001405.40 of Homo sapiens. NCBI lineage: Eukaryota > Metazoa > Chordata > Mammalia > Primates > Hominidae > Homo > Homo sapiens. Next base: position 309,923 of record NC_000018.10, on the reverse strand, counting down.
ACATAGGTAAATTACATGTCACAGGAGTTTAGTGTTGCAATAATTTTGTCACTCAGGTATTGAGTATAGTACTCGATAGTTTTTCAACCCTCACCCCACTCCTCTCCTCCCACCTCAGGTAGGCCCCGGTGTCTACGGTTCCCATCTTTGCGTCCAGGTGTACTCAGTGTTTAGCTCCTTCTTATAAGTGAGAACATGCAGTATTTGGTTTTCTGTTCCTGCATTAATTTGCTTAGGATAATGGCCTCCAGCAGCATTGCTGCAAAGGACATGATTTTGGGCCTTTTGATGGCTGTGTAGTATTCTCAGGTGTATATGTACCACATTTTCTTTATCCAGTCCACTGTTGATGGGCATCTAGGTTGATTCTGTCTTTGCTATGTCTTTGCTAATACCTCATTTCTAAATAATTATTTTTTGTGCTTTTATTTGCAGAATACGATGTGAAAAGAAGCTGTTGTTTCTCCAAATATATGGTTTGGGGTTCATTTTATAAAGTACTCTGGATTTCAGGTCCTATAAGATGCCACTTAATTGAAGCTTTGCAAAGAAATAATTATTTTACACCAGAACTTCACCTGTTTCAACCCTGTACCTACAACCTCCCTGGGCGAAGGTTACTGAGAGTCCTAATGACCAGCACCTTCATGGAGACCTTGGTGTTTCTTCAAAAAAGAAAAAAAAAGCCTAGAAAAAGAAAGGTAGATGACAGATAGAGACAGACAGAGAGAGACTGGGGACCAACTAGGAGCACAACTGTTACTTTTCAACCCAGAGTCCATTTGAACAAGTCCTTCTTTCAGTGCAGAAAGCACTGCCCTGCCCCCGAAATCCACTCAGGTTCTCCCCTGAACCCCAAGCCTGAGGTTTAGATTTTGACGGATTAGGAAGAGCTGACTCCGCAGCACACACTTTTTTTAGGGTATGAAAAAATCACCTGCTCAAGATCCTCTTTGCTCACTTTTCAACTCTGTGGTCATAATGTTTGAAAATTAATGTATAGAGCCCTGGAAATTATTTTTTCCTGTTTTCATTTTCCTTCCCAGCCAGCAAGGTCCCATGCATTGCATTTTCCAGAGTCTGCGTAAGAAGTGGCTCCTTGGTCAGCTGGCCCTGGTGTCTGGCATTGCGGTTTTCCTCCGCCTGTGGAGACAGTTTTCCTCCCTCTGAAATTCAGCTCACTGATGGGCACCTGCCACAACAGGCACTTAATTTAATTACCTCATTAAAGACCCTATCTCCAAATACAGTCATATTCTGAGGCATTAGGGGTTAGGACTTCAACATAGGAATGCTGGGGGACACAATCCAGCCCATAACACCCTCCATGCCTCCTTCACTCGCAGTAAATGTCTATTTCTCCTGTTTTATTAAAAAGGTTGAGGCCAATGAAATGTGCTCTTCAAACTCCTTCCCGCCCACTTTAATATCTATCTGTATTAGTCTGTTCTCACAAGGCTAATAAAGACATACCCGAGACTGGGTAATTTATAAAGGAAAGAGGTTTAATGGACTCACAGTTCCACATGGCTGGGGAGACCTCACAATCATGGTGGAATGCAAAGGAGAAACAAAGTCATGTCTTACATAGCAGCAGGCAACAGAGCATGTGCAGGGGAACTGCCCTTTATAAAACCATCAGATCTCGTGAGATGTATGCACTGTCACGAGAACAGCATGGGAAAGACTCACCCCATGATTCAATTATTACCTCCCACTAGGTTCCTCCCACAACATGTGGGAATCATGGGGGCTACAACTCAAGGTGAGATTTGGGTGGAGACACAGCCAAACTATATCGATATCTGTGCCTTTACCTATTTATCCCTTCTTCATTGGTGAAGAAGCTTCTCTCACCTGGGCCACAGAACTCCCCTCCAGCTGTGTCCCCCATTCCCTCCATGCCTGTTCCCAGAACCAGAACTAACTCACTGCACCTGCACCGCTGGAAGGTGCCGCCCCTTTCCTCCCTCAGAGAACAGGCCATTCCAGGGAGCCCTCTCTTGCATTCTCAGCCTCTTCTCTGCTGCTTGTTCCTTCCCTTCCCCTCAGTTCCTCTCATTCCAAAAAAGAATTGTTTTAGTAAAAAGAAAACTGTAAAAAAGAATTTTCTTTTTCTCTTTTAAATTGCCACCTTTTCTGCCCCCTTCCTGTCACTGGCACACTTCTTAAAAGAATGGTCCACACCTGCAAGCACCCGTCCCCTTCTGCCTTCACACTCCTTTACGCCTTGCAGATCTGGCTCCCACGGCCCTCCTAAAAAGGGGCTCTCTACGGTCACTGGTGACCACCTGAGGTTTTGTGGGGATTCAATTAGAAAATGCAGGTAACACATTTGGAGTCCAGTATCAGGCCCATGGAGGTGATCCCCGTTGTCACTTCGGCGCTGTGATCCTGGCCTGCAGTGCTTTCTCCTGTAACACTGACTGTAATTTTGTGCCTTCAGGGGACAGGGCCACCTCCACTACAGAAAGAGCCCAAATGTTCAGGACAGAGCTCCTCAGAGCCCAAGGTATGTGCCAAAAGGCTCTTCCTGGATGAATTATCTGATTGACGGGACCGGGGCTAGCCCAAAGAAACAGAAGCAAATGGCCACAGACACAGCTCTGCCTTCATCCTTCAAATCCACTCTCTCCACACACACCTACACACACATCTCTTTTTTTCTCACTCGGTTGCCCCTTCTTTGTGGTATTCTGAAGCATTAAGAGGTCCATTGTCACTTCCATTGACTTGTTACTCCTTTCCTCTACACGCAAAGTCAGCTCTGTCCCCCCGCTTCTCCTACTATCTCTGTCTTTCTAGGACAGACTTCCTATCCTTTTTCCTGTCAATGGAGGAAAATGACAAGACAAGTATCAATCATTTTAGAAGATTCATTTGCAAAAGTTAAGGACACACCTGGGAGACAGGTCTATGTCTTTTTCCAAAGATGATTTTGAGGGCTCCAAATTTAAAGGGGAAAGGGCAGGGACATTGAGAAGCACGCAGTTTTCACATAAAAAGGGCAGAGGAATAGTGTGGGGACTCTGCATTTTGCATAAGACAACACAGACAAAATGGGGTAGGGAACAATCAGATATGCATTTGTGTCTGGCAGTCAGAGTGACTGCACCTGTGAAGATAAGCTATCAATCTGCGTTTCCATGGTGAAGTTTTAACAGCTCACCAGGAATTTCCTTATGAGCAAAATATGGGGCAGGCTGGTAGTTTTCATCTTGTAGCCATCTTGTTTAGGAACCAGAAGGAGGAGGCAGGTGTGTGTGACCCACTTCCCAGCTCGACTTTTCCCTTTCGCTAAATGATTTTGGGGTCCCCAAATTTAATTTCCTTTCACATTCCCAAGGCCAGCTATTCTCCATTTTCCCAGAAAAGCACTTTTTGTGTATTTCCATACTCAAGGGAGCTGGGAACTTCATACAATAACTGAAGTTTCAGACAGTCCTGGAGAAAAAAAAAAAAAAGCAGGGGAACAAACTGGGACCTCCTTCTAATAGCAGGTGGTCTGGGGTCTGTAGAGGGCCAAGAATTCCGGAATTTCTATATCCCTGATTGGCTTCCTCAGGTGGAATACCCCTCATCCACACCTCCACCCAATGAAATCTGGCCCTCCTTACAAATTCTGCCTCAATGCTACATCCTCCATGAAGACACCAACCAGAACAACTTTTTAAACTCTCTCATGCGTCCTTTGTTCCTCTGAAGGCACTGACCCTCTGCCGGGATTTTTGAGTTCCCGGAGTATTTGTCTACCCCTCCCCTCACAAGGCAATAGGCATCTCTTGAGGCTGTAGCTAGGTCTCTTTCTTTTCTTACTTTTTTTCCCTTCTCATCCTTCATCTGCAGAAAAGGACTATTTTACATTTTTTCATCACCTGGCCCAGCGCCTTATACATGAAATGCACCCAATAAATAGGAATCGGATTGAATTAAAAAACAAACAGAATCCTGGCCGGGTGCGGTGGCTCACGCCTGTAATCCCAGCATTTTGGGAGGCCGAGGTGAGTGGATCATGAGGTCAGGAGATTGAGACCATCCTGGCTAACATGGTGAAACCCCGTCTCTACTAAAAATACAAAAAAATTAGCCAGGCGTGGTGGCGGGCACCTGTAGTCCCAGCAACTCAAGAGGCTGAGGCAGGAGAATGGCGTGAACCCAGGAGGCGGAGCTTGCAGTGAGTCGAGATCGCGCCACTGCACTCCAGCCTGGGCAACAGAGCGAGACTCCTTCTCAAAAAAAAAAAAAAAGAAAGAAAAAAAGAAAACAAATAAACAAACAGAATCCTAAACTGATCTATATTTAATCTGATCTCAAGCTTGTCATATTTGTTTCTAGAAGAAATGAAACAAACAACCAAGGGTTTGTCACCACAGGAGAAGGTGACAGGCTGCCTCTCCCAGCCAAGGATGCGCCATTCTTGGCAGAGCTGCTGTTTGAGAGTATGCGTGACATTGTCGTCTTTTGTCAGACACACTGGTTCCAGTCGCATGACTGATGGCAGCCACTCTGCCCTCTGCCCAGCCCTGTCTCAGCTCCTTATGTAGTTAGTATGAGACTATAAAGCCGTGCAAAACTCAGGAGAGCCTAGAGGTGGCATGAGGCACATCAGTGAGTCACTTGTGTGGACAGAGCTCTGTGTGGCCGTTTTCCTTGGAAACTTGGCTATCGCAGGGCATTTAGGAGGCAGTTCCAGAAAGAAAAAAAAAAATCTGTCATCCAAGACAAAGACAGCAGCTAGCCCTCCTGGGGTAAGACAGCAGAGACTGCTCAAAACCACTTACACAGCTGGGGAGGGCTTGCAAACTGATGCCACTTATTTAGAAAATAAAAGAGAAACCCCAGATACCCTTAGACTGTCTCCAGGGCCAGAGACAGCATTGCCTGGCTCCCCACAGAGCAGCTCAGGAGAATTCAAGTCTTATGGAGAAGGCTCGCATCCCAGATGGCTGCAGAGTGGTAGCCTAGTGCTCTGGTCTAAGTGCTTATATCCCCCCCAAATTCATATGAGGAAATCCTGGCCCCTAGGGTGATGGTATTAGGAGATGGGGTTTTTGGGAGGTGATTAGGTATGGAGTGGAGCTCTTATGAATGGGATTAGCACCCTTATAAGAAGAGACATGAGCGGGGCTAACTTTCTCTCTCTCTCTCTGTCTCTCTCTCTCTTTCTCTCTCTGTGCCCTGTGAGGACACGGCAAGCAGGAGCCATCTATGAACTAGGAAGCAGGCCCTCACCAGATACTAAATCTGCCAGCATCTTGGTTCTTCACTTCCCAGCCTCCAGAAATGTGAGAAATAAATGTCTTGTTTACAGGCCACTCAGTTTATAGCAGTTTGTTATAGCAGCACCCCGAATGGACTAAGACACCCGGCAATGGCTGAGGGAGTGCCCTGGTCAGATGAACTTCAGGGCAGTCTCACAGAACCATAAGCCAAAGGTGCCTGTGAGCCCCTCAAGGAACAGGAAAGTGACTGAACACAAGCCACAATACCAAAGAAGCCAGGGCTAGAGATAAGAAGAGTGTGTGATCTTCACAAACATGATAGGAAACCCAAGAGGACCATGAGGACCAGAAAAGACAGCTCTCAACAGAACTCAGCAAAGGCAGAGGTCAGCGTGCAGCTGAACGCCTCTCATCGCAGGATGATACACATGCCAACCTCCTAGAAACCTAGAACATCCTAGGGGAGGGGAAGGAGGGGGAGAAGGAAGATCTTGCATTAATTGAGTTTGAAACTGTAGGAATCATATTTAGATCCAGAAGGGACTGAGTTACTTTGAATTGATGAAATTAAATTTTCTGCTCCCTGTGGAAATTGGGAAGTCAGTACTCAAGAAACTGACATATACGAGAAGCTGAATGGGCTAACTGTAAAATTAAATACATGTACTAAATATAAAATGAATGTACTAATACCTGTCTCACAGAATTCTTGCAAATTTCATTTCATTAATGTAGGAAAAGCACCTAGCACAGCATCTGGCTCCTAAAATGCAAGCTGCAGTCTTGGTTTCCTTCCTTTCCTTGTCATTCTATCTTTCAAGTCCCTGGTGCAGCTTAGGAAATAACAGCTTTTAGTCAGCCCAGACACCTAATAATATGGCCCAGATGAATGGCTGAGCAGTTTTATGGATAGACAAAAGAGTGGCCGCTCCTTAAAGAGGAGGTTAGCTCCACCCATAGGAAAGATGAGACCCTGAGAAGAGAGCAAGGAAGAAGCTGTGTTTTTTAAAGAGTTGGGCTGAGGAGTTTGAGACCAGCCTGGGCAACAAGGTGAGACTCCACCGCTACCAAAAATTAAACTTAAAAAAATTAGCTGGTTGTGGTGGTGCACAACTATGGGCCCAGCTACAAGGGAGGCTAAGGCATGAAGATTGCTTGAGCCCAGCAGGTCGAGGCTGCAATGAACAGTGTTCTCACCACTGCACTCCAGCCTGAGTGACACCAGCAAGACTCTGTCTAAAAAAAAAAAAAAAAAAAAAGAGTTGGGCTGACGAGCAACTCCTTAATCCCACCTAGGGACTTTGTAGTCTGCGAATCAATACAGTGGCTAAATTATTAAATGTCCTCCCTAGCACTGTATTTGGAAGAAATCTCAAGAGAAAGGTTATTTCTTTCCATGCTCATACTAGACTGGGGATCATCATCCTACAGTCCACAGGCCAAATACAGCCCACTGTCTGTTTTTATAAATAAAGTTTTATTGGAACACAGCTGTGTTCATTGTGTACTGTCTATGGCTGCTTTTGAACTACAATGGCAGAGCTGAATAGTTGCAACAGAAACCATAATGGCCTGCAAAGCTGAAAATATTCACTATCTGTCCCTTTGCAGAAAAAGTTTGCCAATACTTACAGTAGACATATAATTTATTCTTCTATAGTGCTTAGAAATTATTTCACAGAGCTGGGTGTGGTGGCTCATGCTTGTAATCCCAGCACTTTGGGAGGCCAAGGCGGGTGGATCACTTGAGGTCAGGAGTTCGAGACCAGCCTGGCCAACATGGTGAAACCCTGTCTCTACTAAAAATGCAAAATTAGCTGGGTGTAGCGGCACGTGCCTGTAATCCCAGCTACTCGGGAGGCTGAGGCAGGGGAATTGCTTGAACCTGGGAGGTGGAGGTTGCAGTGAGCTGAGATCGCACCACTGCACTCCAGCCTGAGTGACAAGAGTAAAACTCCACCTCAAAAAAAAAAAAAGAAAGAAAGAAACTATTTCACACATATAATTTTATCTATTTAGGGCCAAATACCTCTATGGATTAAGATATTTTATCAGTCCTATTATTATTATGTTGCTATTATGCTTCTACTTTACAAAATGAGGACCCTGGGGCTCAGAGTGTTAATGGACTTGCTGCTGGGTAGCAGAGCCCTAAACCTAGTCCTATCTCCATTCCACTATTTTCCCACTCTCCTTACAATATAATAATAATATAATTGGGAGTCATAATGTGACCTACCGTTTCAGGGCACACAGAATCATCTTAATTAGCTTTAAAAGCAAAGTGGTACCTTCAAAACCACTCTTGTAAGACGTCACCAAAAATAGCACCACTGGTCAGAAATGTTCCTTTGGCTCAGTGTTAGAAGTCCACACCCAGCCCAAGGCCACATCAAGTTTCCTGCCTATGGAAATGAGGTTAGCAGCGAGCCTGAAGTCACGTCACGTGGCATGTGCCCTGTGTCACAAAAGCAATATTTACATCATCCTAGAAGCAGAGGCATTTTATAAAAGTAGCACATCAAGTCATGATTGTCAAAAAGTTAAAAACATAATTTTCATGCCAGGCATGGTGGCTTGCACCCGTAATCCCGGCTCTCAGGAGGAGGTTGAGGCAGGAAGATGGGTTGAGGCCAAGAGTCCGAGACCAGTGTGAGCAACACAGTGAGTCCCCATCTCTAAAAATAATTTTAAAAAACATATTTTCCTACACATATACAATGGGTACATGTTATTAATGATGGAGCTAGCAGGATGGAAAACCTGGTTTAAAGTAAACAGGACATGGACATCCACGTCTTACAGAGTCAGGATATAGATAATGAAAAAACGGTTATAGGCATGAATGTTTGTAGCAGCTTTATTCATAATGCCAAAAACTGGAAACAACAATATGTTTTTCAATAGGTGAATGGATAAACTAACTGTGGTATACCTGTCAATGGAATGTAATTTGGCAACAAAAAGAAATGAGATATCAAGCCACAAAAAGCTAGGACATAACCTTAAATGCACATTGCTAACGGAAAGAAGCCAGTCTGAAAAGGCTACATACTGTATAATTCCAATTATGTAACATTCTGGAAAAGACAAGACTATGGAGACAATAAGATGATCAGGACCAGGTATGGTGGCTTATGCCTATAATCCCAGCACTGTGGGAGGCTGAGGTGGGAGAACTGCCTATTTAAAAATTATGTTTTTAACTTTTTGACAATCATGACTTGATGTGCTACTTTTATAAAATGCTTCTGCCTCTAGGATGATGTAAATATTGCTTTTGTGACATAGGCCAGGAGTGTGAGACCAGCCTTAGCAATGTAGGGACATAAAAAGATTCTATCTCTAGCAAAAACTAAAAACAAACAAACAAAAAAAGATTAGTAGTTGCCAGGAAGGAAAAGGGAGGGGAGGGGAGAGGGGTGACTATGTGGCACACAGGAGATTTTTAGGACAGTAAAACGGTATGGGAATTGTGATGATAGATGCACGATGTTTTACATTTGTCAAAACCCATAGAACTTTACAGCACAAAGAGTGAACTTTAACGTTTAAAAATTTTTAAAAAATCATTTAAGAGGTCAAAGGATCCCAAGAAGAAATGCAGTCTGTAACATGAGAATCTAACTATATTACAAATGTACGAAACAACCTCACTGAAGAGGGTGGGGGGAAATGTGCTGACCTAGTAACTCTGGAAATGAGTGAGGTCTGCAAGACGAAAGGCAAAAGGACCTGCACACCACCACTGTCCCCTGATTAATGAAGTGGTTTCTCATGGGGCACAGATGAACAATTCTGCTGCTGCTATACATGTTTACTGGAATTGATCAATTAAATAAATGGATGGCAGATGCAGGGGGCAGTGTCTCACTCTTGGAGTGAGACTTAAGGATAAGCTAGAAGGAGGCTAGAAAGATCCATGCAGTCGTGGATTTGACTTGGAGATATCAGTATGAACTCATGTTTGGCTTCATATAGATACAGATGTTATGTATGCATAGATATGTGTGTATATATATATGAGTTAACATACATAAATATATTTCTGTGCTCTGTTCACTGCAAGCCCAAGAGAAAAAATACCCCAGTATCAACAAATAAACCCAATATGCAGCATCCATGAGTCCACAGTGTTAAAATAAATGATTGAATAATTTATTAAGTGGAGGAGAAGAGACAACTCTCCCATGAAGAAGAATTCCAAATGATTTATGTAGCTACTCCATCCTCAAGGATGGGGAGTACAACTCCTCACTCCTTAGGTGTGGGCTGCAGATAACTTCTTTCCAAAGAGCACAGCATGGAAAGGAAGAGGAAGAGTGAGTTTGCGGTGGAGAAACCTGACAAACGCTACCTTAGCCCGGTGATGAAGATCAACATCTCTACTAAAAATACAAAATTAGCTGGGCGTGGTGGTGCATGCCTGTAATCCCAGCTACTCGGGAGGCAGAGGCAGGAGAATCACTTGAACCTGGGAGGCAGAGGTTGCGGTGAGCTGAGACTGCACCATTGCACTCCAGCCTGGGCAGCAAGAGCGAAATTCTGTCTCCAAAAAAAAAAACAAAAGCAAAAACAAACAAACAAAAAACCACTAAGGAAAACTTTGGTTAATAATGATGTATCAATATCAGTTCACTCATTATAACATGTATCATGCTAATGTAAGATGTTCATAATAGGGAAAACTGAGTGCAGGGTATAAGGAAACCCTCAGTACAATCTTCTCAATTTTTCTGTACATCTAAAACTGTTATAGAAAAATAAAGTATATATTAAAAAAATAAAGATTCTTAGAATAAGACCACTAAATTAGATACAAAATTGTCCCACAGGGCAATGGAGTCATAACCTTTGGAATTATATTTTTAGCCAAAGAGAAGTTAACTGCCCCTCTGCCAGACAAAAATCATTTGCAGCTTACCAATTACCTTCATTAACATCTAACTTTATAGTGTTTGAGCCACAATCAATATAGTCATCAAAGTTACATTCCCCTGGAGGTTCAGATGGCCCTTGGATGGGCTGGTGGGTCAACACTGCAGGGTGACATATGCACACATCTATGGTCATCCTTTTACCTAATTTTTGGATAACTTTATCTAAACAAACATAACTCATCACCCTTGTGCTTCTTTCTTCACAGAAGCCATCAGGACTAGCCAGACCCATGGTTCTTAACTGGTAGGTCTCATGTAGCACTGTGGCATCCCACAAACCCATTGCTAACATGCAGCCAAATTTCTATCATGGTATACATTTCATTTTTGGTACAGCTAGAATTCTTACTGTTGCAGACATATTCAAAAGATGAAACACAAAGGTGAGAAGGCTGTGAAGAGGGATATAGAGCTATATGCAACTCTCTGTAATTGTAGGAGCAAAATGTATTTTTTATTTTTATTTTTATAGATTTAAGGGGTATGAGTGTAGTTTTGTTACATAGATATATCATGTAGTGGTGAGGTCTGGGCTTTTTGTGTACCCATCACCTGAATAGTGTACATTGTCCCCAGTGGGTACTGTTTTCATCCCCTAACCCCTTCCCGCCTTTTGGAGTCTATTATTCCACTCTCTATGTCCATGCGTACTAATTATTTAGCTCTCACTTATGAGTGAGAAGATGTGATATTTGACTTTATGTCTCTGAGTGATTTCACTTAGGATATCGGCCTCCGGCTCCATCCATGTTGCTGCAAAAGACGTGATTGTATTCTTTTTTATGACTGAGCAGTATTTCATGGTGTATATGTGCCACACAAAATGTATATTTTTATTGGGCCAGTACCAAAGTTGAATTTTATACTTATTTAAGCATGTCATTGAAAGGTCAAGGCAGTGAAAAGCTCTTCTCAAACACCTTCGGCCTGAAAAAATGCCAGGTGAATGAGGCAATAACTGTGGATGCTTTTATAGACAGCATGAGAAAGTGTTAAACCCTAATAGTGATGGCGTGGTAATTACTGCTTACTCATTTACTGTGGTTTTGGGTATTTCATTCTCTTCAGGTATGCCACCAAAAATTTTAGGATTTGAGAATGGGCTGGAGACCTATGAGTTGAGAATCATTGAGCCAAACCACTAGTATGTCAAGACTAAGAGGAAGCAATATTATGGGAATTGAGTGAAAGGCTGATAGATTTTATGACCCTATCTGCAAAGTTTCTGCTTTCATGATCAGGAGCTAGGCAAAAACACTTCTGGGCCCATCCAGGCCATTTCAAGAAATAGCTCATAAGTTGAGAATTCATCTCCAACCAACTGATCTCAGAAGAGAGAAATGAAGGGGTGGAGGGAAAGCAATGTTTCATCTCACTGAGCCTTAGACCACTGTCAACACTGTAATTATATTACGTGCACTGGCTATTTTGGTCATTTATTGAAATAAGGTACATGGGATAATTTAAAAACTAAATTCAGTCAGTCACTTCCAAAAACATCCAGCTGGTTTGTGTGTGCAGCAATAAAGTGTGAAAGTGACATTGCATTCAAATTGTAGCCATGTGTGACTTGGCTTTTTTATTTGAGAGAAAGAAAATGGCTAGGCCCAAAGGCTTGTATTTCTCTGTGTCACTCTGACTTGCAGGAATAATGAATTCCTGCTTGTGACACAGTGTCTTGAGGAAGCAAGGAGAGAGGTGGTTTGGTGCACTTCCAAAGTTGTGTGTGAGCCTTCACCACAAGAACCCTGGTTCTGTGGGAAGGACACGCAGAGCACCTTGCTGAAGCAGGAGCTGGGAGTGCCACACATTCGCATGCAGACTCCCCTGAGATCCCGAAGCACTTCTCAAACATGAATTAACTTGAGCACTTTCACTGCAGGGCACTGTGCACAGTTACTCATTCAGGTATTCATCAAAGATTCACACAGTCAACAACACAGGGCCCCCCCATTATGTTCCAGATGTTGTGCCAGGTGAGGGGGCCATTCTTGAGTTCCCTGGAAAGCAGATCCCAAGATAGATAAACCTTCACTTCCCTCCCTCACCACCATTCTTGATTTCACTCACCATTGGCCGGCACTCTGGGGAGTCCAGGCTGCCTGACTGATGGGCAGACCCAGAACTTCAGCACTGAGTCCTTGGCTGCCTCGGCCTGGCCTCATCGAGCCACAGCTATTGCACTTTCCCATTTCCTGTTATCCCCTGAGCATGGAAGAACCAAGAGATGCCCCACTGAGTCCCCCAGGTTCCAGTCACACTCCATGATGTCAGAGCAGCCCTAGCTCCTCTTGGTAATTAGGGTCAATTTCACCTGTCAATGTAGTAATTCTTTTCTTTGCCAGTTTGTTCACTGACATTGAATAGCTTCAAAGGACCTGGCAGTAGTCACGGCTTCAAGTTCAACGACTGCCTGGTTTCCCCTGTGAGAACCAGAGCCATGAATATGGCAGAACCTAAAGCCGTAAGCTTGAGAAGCAGTGATTGTAAAGGAATCCAAAGCTACTTCTACTCCCCAGCTCCTGTACCTGTGAGTTCTAGTTATCAGGAACATAGCACCATAGCCACTGTTTTCATGCATATACTACCTGCTGGAGAACAGTGCCCTAATCCTACAGGCTATTGCCCCAAAGCTAGCACCCTACCTGAGCCTTCAAATAATCTTTCCACTCTCCTGTTAGACTAGCTACTTCCAGTTGATCCAATAACTGATAAGAGCAGTGGATCTCATGACCATGTGCCCATTGCTACAATCGGGTATTCTGTAAGTGCTGGGATGGGTGCTAACCGAGACATATGGGCAGCATAGGTAATCGATTCTGATAAAGACAAAGTGAAATTGAAATCAATCTGCTACCAAGTGGCTGGTCTGGTCTCCTTAAGAAATGGTGTCATGGTGAAGGCTCAGCATTAGCTGTCCACATCCACAAAAGGAGACATCCTGTCCACTTTATTGTTCAGAGCTTCCTCTATAGTGGGAGCTCCCTGGTGGGCATTAATTTAATCTAAGTTACAAAGATACACATACTTTGTGTCTGCAACTGTAGGTTCATCCTCATGCTTCTCCCTTACATTTTCTTTTCACGGACCTTCCTATCTGGTTCCTTCTGGGCCCTGACCACTTAAGCAGCCAAGCCATTCATCCTTGCCCCAGAGTCCATGCCAATCTGTTCTCAGGCCATTTCTCCCTGTTTATAAAGTGAACCACCAAGTGTACAGCTTACATTTCTGCCCATGTTCCTTAGGGCCACCCCAAGAGGGACTATATTGTAGCAGCAGTCCATTTTCAGCAAGCACCAAGACCCTGTGATCTTTCTCTTTCACCCTGCTGGTAAGTGGTAGGTAGCTGGTTAATTCTCCTGCCGTGGTAAGTTCAGGGCAGATATGTGATGTGAGACTCTTTGGTACTTAAGTTTGTGCGTTTCCTTGGCAACTTACCCTGGGAGTAATGCGAGGCTGTGGAATCCATAGTTTCTCCCATAAGCTCTTTGCCCAGTGGGTGGTCACTCCTACTCTAGTGACTGGCCAGAACATGACACCCTCTATGGAGCAGATCAGAAAAAATGCCTATAGTGCCAGATCCCACTCTGCCTAGTTTTCAGGTGCACACTTTAGGCTGTGGCTGTTATTGCCCATTTGGAAGCCACTGCTATAGAAGAATGAAAAACCACAATTTGGATTGGGCCAATCCTGGCTCACAAATTGTGTTCCAGCCAGCTGAGACACTGGCATCTCCTAGGAGAAGAGAAAAGTTAAGAAATCTGCAAGAGGTCTGCCTTGTGTTGATTTTTCCAGGGATTTAGAAGTTGCTGGATGCTTCAAAGTATTGAGTGACTAATTTCCCTTCCTTTTTTCTAAAATCTCACATGGTGAGCATTTGTTTCCTGAAAACCTGCCAAAACAATAATTTTTTTCAGAGGTGGCATATTATTTTAAAATGTAAAATGAAGTCCTGATAGCAAATATTATCAATATAGGTACTTGAATCTGCATATAGCAACTTAAGAAGTATTGCCTTCTTTTGGTTTAGGGGCTTGGGGGAGAGAGAGAGAGAGAGAGAGAGAGAGAGAACTTGCAATGTTTCCGAAGTTCTTATATTTCTGAAATTCAGGCTTGCTTATGAGATGAGAACAGTCAATCCAGGACAGTTGGCAACTCCAGGTAAAAATGAGCCTATGATTTTCTTTTAGTTGTGTTATTACACCTCTTGAGCCAGGGTTGCAAACTGGCTGTGTCCTGGAGAAAGAAGAGAACTGGACACCACCCACACCTTCCTTTAGGGAGGCCTCCAGACAGCCTGGAGCAGGGCCATGCTGGAACTGACCATGCCGGGCCTCCCTGAGCTGTCCTGAATCACAGTAGTACCCTCCAAACCAATGTTCACATAAGTCTACTCTGCACAGGCCTGTCTAGGTGCAGATGCAGATTTGCTACATGGGTGCCTGTCCATGTCATAAGAAGTTAGCCAGGAGGATGGTGATAAAACAGTATGGGAAACCACTACCTGTTCTTGCCATTTAGTAAAGGTGTAGGGGGAAGGACTTAAAATTCTTCTATTGGGTACTGTGGTGTGTTCACTAGCTGGGTGATGGGATCAACGAAGCCCAAACCTCAGCATCATGCAATATACCCTTGTAACAAACCTGCACATGTGCTCCCTGAATCTAGAATAAAAATAAAAGGTATGAAAAGAAAAAAAAAGAAGTAAATGTGCACTTAATCTGGAATTTTAAAACATTTTCCAAAAATAATCACAAATCTTATTTTAAAAGAAACTGTAAATGCCTTGTGTATTATGAAATTTCTTTGATTAATAAGTCATGTTATTTATGAACTTTTGCAGGATCAACCTTTCAACCTACTGTACAAATTACCAATTGATCATTTGGGAAAGGAACCAAAGGAAGTCCTTTTCATCACACTAATGCAAAAAGACACACAAAGCATGACCCAGATATTAAAGAGGGGTCAGCACTTTTAGCGGATGCCATTCATGGTTGAACCGAGGAGGCTGCTGTCTGGGAGCCTTAAAAACAAAGAAAATGATGAAGGAAAGGTCGGGGAAAATACTGGCCAGGGTGAGACACAATGGTGAGATCAGGAGGATCTGAAAGGGGTCTGACTTCAATAAAAAGACAAGATGTAGAAGGATCCCATTTTTCTAGCTTCTTCCCCACTCTCCTAAAAATTTGAATCCAAATAGACAGCATCCGTGATTGCAATGTATGTACCCTTTCCATCATGGTTCCATCAATTAGAAGAAGAAGGCAGTAATTAGGATGATACTAGTTGCTATAACAAACAGACCCTTATAATAGTATATAAGGTTCAAAGACAAATAGAAGTTTACTTCTTGCCCTAATTCAGTGTGAGGTAGATATTCCTAGTTGCTTGACAGCTCTCTTCCACATAGTGATTCAGGAACCCAGGTTCTGTCATTTCTCAGGGCTTTGTCATCTTCTGCATCAAGAATCTAGAAAGAGAATGAGGATGAAGAGGGCATATGTGCCTCTTTAAAACCCTGGCTCAAAAGTGACATATAAAAAGCTTCTACTGACAAACCATTGGCTAGAACTCATTTATGTGCTATGCCTACCTGCAAGGGTGCTAGAAATGTAGTCTAGCTACATGCCCAAGAAAAAGAAGGAATAGATTTTTTGGTGAACAGGTAACCAGCTGCTTAGAAGCAGATGAATGCTTTATTCATGTCTGCGTGAATACCTCCTGCTGCACGTTGCAGCGTTTGTGGTAAGTAAACATTAGTGAAATAAAGGAACACTTGAATGACTACTGAAGTCATAGTAATAATAATTATAAAAGCAGTTATTGGGAGCAGATCATACGCACCATTCTAAGTCATTTTCACATATTATCTTACTTAATCCTCAAAATTTTGTGTTGTTTTACAAGTGAGGAAACATGCACAGAGAGATTAAGCAACTCACTGAAAATCATAGTGCTGGTAAGTAGCAAAGCTGGATTTTGAGTCCAGATTTCTTATTCTTATCCACTATGTTTTGCTGCCTCCCAGAGTGTAACTTTTAATCACAACTTTTATTCATGCTCACAAGAAACCAGCTTTTAGAATGCTATAACCCAAAGTTTCGCATAATGTAGTGTAGTGTTTCTCAGATTGGATTCATGGGTGGAGCCCATTGAGATCACTACGACAGTTCTTACGTTTTGGATTTCCATTGCAATGATAACCTTTAAAACAAAACCATGGAAGGTATGAATCCCAGCGTGCACATCTATATATGTAAATACATAATTTTCTATAATTAAACTTAATTTCTAATTTTGAGTCTACCATTCTACCAGGAGGACAGGCAACTTAACCTCAGGTCTCTTTCTTCCCCTCACCCCACATCTCCAGGGTTTTGTCCCAATTTCATGGCCTTTCACAGAGCTCAACACCAAAGGACGTGGGGGTGTGGTGTGGGAGGGATGACATCTGTCTAAACAAGTGGCCCCTGAGATGTGGCCCTCCAACCTCAGCCTAGTGCCTCCCGCTGACCAAATCTAAGCAGAAGCCAAAAGGCAAGAGGGCCCAATTATGCAATTCATACAGGTCAGCCCTCAGGGGCACAGATAAGGGTGGAGATGCAGAGTAGGTGTGGAGGCAGGAATGGAAGATAACCAACACACTGAAGAAGGGTGTACTCTGAAATGCCCCTATCATCTGGAAATTTAGGGAACACAAACCAAGAAGCTTGCGAGCAACAGCTGCTTTTCTTTTTTCTTTCCTTCTTTTTTTTAATTACTTTTATTTATTTATTTTTTGAGATGGGGTCTCGCTCTGTCACCCAGGCTGGAGTACAGTGTCGTGATCTCGGTTCACTGCAATCTCCACCTCTGGGCTTAAGCCGTCCTCCTGCCTCAGCCTGCCAAGTAGCTGGGACTTCAGGGGCATACCACAATGCCTGGCTAGTTTTTGTGTTTTTTTTTGTAGAGACGGGGGTTTTGCCATGTTGCCCAAGCTGGTCTTGAACTCCTGGGCTCAAATGATCTGTCCACCTTGGCCTCCCAAAGTGCTGGGATTACAGGTGTGAGCCACCGTGCCCAGCCCAGTTGCTGCTTTTCTGACCAATCACATCTCTCCAACAAGGTCATCAGCATAGAACCCAAGCACCTGCTTGAGTGGCTGGGGCAGGAAGAAAGGGAAGAGCTGTAGAAGAAAATCACAGAGAGAAATCAATCAATAATTAATTTCTCAGAACACTGTATCAGCAATATTAACACATTGTTTAAGCCTCTGGATGACCATCTGACAATGTTACTGCCCCCCAGAGTTCAGGGCTTGCATTTGCCTATAACAATGTACTAGAACCAAGTATTTCTTCATTCATCAACTCCTACAGTCAGGAAATATTTACTGAACACCTTCTATGTGCCACGCACTATTATAGATACTAAGAAAACGACAGTGAAAAAGACAGACAAACGACCCACCCTCAAGGAGTAGACATTCCAGTAACATAATTCTATTTTTATTACCATGCACTAATGAAACAAGACCAGAGGTGGTGTTAAAAGAAAAACTTCAGCCAAATTAAATTTAAAGGAGTTTCATTGAACAATGAATGATTCGCCAATCAGGCAGCCCCCAGAATCACAACAGACTCAGACCAGGGGTGCCTCATGGTCAGAACAGATTTATAGACACAAAAAAGTAAAGTGACATACAGGAATCGGCAGTGAGGTACAGAAAAAGCTGGATTGGTTACAGGTTGGCGTTTACTTTGTTTGAACACAGTTTGAACACTCAGCAGCGTATGACTGGTTGAAGCACAGCCGCTGGGATTGGCCGAGACTCATCTATTGTTACAGGCACATACTCCTAAATTAGGTTTTTAATCTTGTCTACTAATTAATTACGTTAGGTTAGGTTGCAGTTCATCCACAAGGACTCAAATATAGAAGTATGGAGTCCTTCTCAGGCCATATTTAGTTTGCTTTAACAATGGATTTCATAATAAAATAATCATCTGAGTCCAGCAGAGGCTAAATTTTATCACGATGTGCTGTAAAAATCTTGGATTTTTCACAGTAGTTCAAAGAGAAAATAATAACGTCAAAATGGAATCATCCCACAGCAGATAGAAATGCCAAGCCGTAGAGAACAGCTTTAAACTTTAAACATTAAAAGTGATGGCGAAAACCGCAATTACTTTTGCATCAATCTAATATATTGCGAGCCTCCATTTCATTTCAACAAAATGATATTCATTGCCCATTAGTAACGTTAATTTGAATTTTGAATTTTATT
The DNA here is from genome assembly GCF_000001405.40 of Homo sapiens. NCBI lineage: Eukaryota > Metazoa > Chordata > Mammalia > Primates > Hominidae > Homo > Homo sapiens. The sequence continues at coordinate 291,492 of NC_000018.10, read as the reverse complement.
GATGCTTTGTTCCCATTTAATTTGTATACTTAGATTTAGTTCTGTGGTTTTATAAATGCCATAGGCATGAGATGTTTACATCTAGTTTTATGCTTGTTTATTTAAGAAACATAAAATAATTTTAGTCAACAGAAGGGGTCTGTGGAAATGTCTTCCTTTAAAACAAAATTTATACCTCATCCAAATTTGGAAAACCCTGGGGTAGTACGATCAGCCTTGATCTTATTCAAATCCCAGCTTCCTCACTTACCACCAGTTTATTCAATCTCTATCAGTATCTATTTCATCCTCTATATAATGGAGATATTAATACATTATAGGGATTGTGCTGGCAATTGAATGAGAAAAGGCATGTGAAAAAGTTGTCTGGGGCCAGGCCCAGTGGCTCATGCCTGTAATCCCAGCCCTTTGGGAGTCCAAGGCGGGCAGATCATGAGGTCAGGAGTTAGAGACCAGCCTCGCCAACATGGTGAAACCCCATCTCTACTAAAAAATACAAAAATTAGCTGGGCATGGTGGCGTGCACCTATAATCCCAGCTACTCGGGAGGCTGAGGCAGGAGAATTACTTGAACCCAGGAGGCGGAGGTTGCAGTTAGCCAAGATCTCATTGTATTCCAGCCTGGGCGACAGAGCAAGACTCTGTCTCGAAAAAAAAAAGAGTTGTCTGGTACTTGGCACATCCTCGGTAAAAGCTGATTTACATTCTTTCTGATAACATTTTCAAAATGAATGATAAAAAGAAAATACTTGAAATGGGAACTAATAAGGCCATATCTTTAAAAAAGTCTTCTCAGGAAAATGGAACCATAATTTAGCCTGGAAATTTCCAGAGTCTCAGCACCTAGAAAACTGATATACATGCAAATAAAAGAAAAAAGGAGGAAGAAGCAATAGCTAAATAAGAAAGGCAATATTCATGCTACAAATCTAAGTGAAAGTCTAGCTCCAGTTTTGTGGGGTTTGTTTGTTTGTTTGTTTGTTTGTTTTTACTTTAAGTTCCGGGATACATGTGCAGAATGTGCAGGTTTGTTACATGGGTATACATGTGCCATGGTGGTTTGCTGTACCTATCAACCTGTCATCTAGGTTTTAAGCCCCGCATGCATTAGGTATTTGTCCTAATGCTCCCCCTCCTCTTGCCCCCCACCCCGACAGGCCTCTGTGTGTGATGTTCCCCTCCCTGTGTCCAAGAATTCTAACTGTTCACCTCCCACTTATGAGTGAGAACATCTGGTGTTTGGTTTTCTGTTCCTGTGTTAGTTTGCTGAGAATGATGATTTCCAGCTTCATCCGTGTCCCTGCAAGGGACATGATCTCATTCTTTTTTATGGCTGCATAGTATTCCACGGTGTATAGGTGCCACATTTTCTTTATCCAGCCTATCAGTGATGGGCATTTGGGTTGGTTCCAAGTCTTTGCTATTGTAAATAGTGCTGCAATAAACATACGTGTGCATGTGTCTTTATAGTAGAATGATTTATAATCCTTTGGGTATATACCCAGTAATGGGATTGCTGGGTCAAATGATATTTCTGGTTCTAGATCCTTGAGGAATCGCCACAGTTTCCACAATGGTTGAACTAATTTACACTCCCATCAACAGTGTAAAAGCATTCCTATTTCTCCACAGCCTCGCCAGCCTAGCTCCAGTTTTTTTTTTTTTTTTTTGAGATGGAGTCTTGATCTGTTGCCCAGGCTGGAGTGCAGTGGCATGATCTCTGCTCACTGCAAGCTCCGCCTCCTGGGTTCACGCCATTCTCCTGCCTCAGCCTCCCAAGTAACTGGGACTACAGGCGCCCGCCACCATGCCTGGCTAATTTTTTGTATTTTTAGTAGAGATGGGGTTTCACCGTGTTAGCCAGGATGGTCTCGATCTCCTGACCTCGTGATCCACCCGCCTCGGCCTCCCAAAGTGCTGAGATTACAGGCGTGAGCCACCACGCCCGGCCTGTTGCCCCTTACTTTCAAAGCCCTTTTGGTCTTTATGTCTGCAAGGGCTTAAAGTTCATTTCAAATCTTGCCTTTAAATATGGCTCCTATTTGATTTGTTAACCCAAGTAATGGCTTTGTCTGTTCTCTTGGCCCTGTAACTCTCTTTAACTTGGAAACTTCAGTTACTACTTTAATCAGCATTTTCTCTCTCCTAGTGACTTTAACCCTCAGTTAAGAGAGATGGACTTATTTTGCTCCTCTTGGAAAGAAGAATCACTTCCTTATTGGGGTTCAACCTAAAAATGGACTTCCACATTGCTTAGGGTAATGGTTCTTTTAGTGTAACATCGGCAATTCCCTCTCCAATCCTCTGCCCCACTCCCACACACACATTTTAAGAAAAACTTCTCAAGACTCTGACTCTGTAACTGAGAGCAGGGGCAATGAACAGAACTGAATGGATCAGGGAGGGATAACTACAGCTTAATTTAAGAAGAGGCTTTTTTTTAGATGGAGTCTCCCTCCCTCTGTCACCCAGGCTGGAGTGCAGTGGCATGATCTCAGCTCACTGCAACCTCTGCCTCCCAGGTTCAAGCGATGCTCCCGTTTCCACCTCCCAAGTAGCTATGATTATAGGCACCACCATGCCTGGCTAATTTTTGTATTTTTAGTAAAGACAGGGTTTTACCATGTTGGCAATAGCTGGTCTCGAATTCCTGACCTTAAGTGATCTGCCCACCTCGGACTCCCAAAGCGCTGGGATTACAGGTGTGAGCCACCATGACTGGCCTAAGCTGAGTCTTAAATAAAGGAGGATTTGACCAGTTACAGGAGAGGAGAAAGACATTCCAAGAAGAAGCAAAAACATATGCAAAAGTTATTAGGTATGAAAGGAACTGAGAGTAGCTGAGACTGACTGGTGAGTAAATGGGTGTGAGGAGAGGAAAGATGAGAAAAGTATAATATAGTCACGTGTTGCTTAGCAATGAGGATGCGTTCTGAGAAATGCACTGTTATGTGATGTTGTTGTGCAAATATCCTAGAGCATACTTATACAAATCTAGATGGTAGAGCCTACTGTACATGTAGGCTATATAGAATAGCCTATGACTACAGCATGCTACTGTACTGAATACCATAGGCAATTGTAACACAATGGTAAGTGTACATCTCAACCTATCTAAATATAGAAAAGGTATAGTAAAAGTATGGTATAATAATGTTATGGGACCATCATATATTACACATATACAAAATATACATATCTGCATATCATTGCACAGCAAATGACTGTATATAGTTATGACTTTGGAGCAGTACACACCCAAGTGCAAATCCCAGTTTGTGCAGAGATATTTTAAATTCTGAGTCTTAGTTTCCCAATTTGCAAACAGTATCTTTAAAAACAAGGAATAAATGAGATCATGTATATAAAATATGAAACATAATGATGGCATGTGATGTGTGCTTAGCATATAGTAACTTATTAATATGAATATATATATTTTTAAATTGAGACAGGATCTCACCCTGTCATCCAGGCTGGAGTGAAGTGGTGCAACCATTGCTCACTGCAGCCTCAAACTCCTGGGCTCAAGCGATCCTCCTGCCTCAGCCTCCTAAGCAGCTGTGACTACAAGCAGGCACCACCATGCCTGGCTAATTTTAAAAAAGTTTTTTTGTAGAGACAGGGTCTTACTATTTGCCCAGGCTAGTCTCAAACTCCTGGCCTCAAGCAATCCTCCCACCTCCCAAAGCATTGGAATTACAGATATAAGCCACCATGCTGGGCTAATATGAATATAAGACTGAACGGTTAGGCACGGGTGATTTATAAACAGTTTTGAACACAGAATTAACTAGGTCTTGAAAGCCATTTGGAACCACTGAAGGATTTTCAGCTGGGGAATAGATTGATCAGGTTTATTTTCATTAGGGAAGACATTCAACTACAAGGCAGTGAGCTAAACACTATGGGAAAGATGTTTGAATCAAAATGCTATTTTTTTTTTTAGATGGAGTCTCGCTCTGTCACCCAGGCTGGAGTACAGTGGCACGATCTCGGCTCACTGCAACCTCCACCTCCCAGGTTCAAGAGACTCTCCTGCCTCAGCCTCCTGAGTAGCTGGGACTACAGGTGCATGCCACCATGCCCGGCTAGTTTTTGTATTTTTAGTAGAGACGGGGTTTCACCATGTTGGCCAGGCTGGTCTCCAACTCCTGACCTAGGGTGATCCACCCACCTTGGCCTCCCAAATTGCTGGGATTACAGGCGTAAGCCACCACACCCGGCCTCAAAATGCTATCTTAAACTCCCGGTGTATAATTTGTTGCCATCAGTGCTGAAAATCTAGTATAGGTCTGGTGCTAACTTCAAAACAGGAAACTATTCATTTCTTTCCACTTTTTTACAAAGTGGGTGGAATCTGGTGTTGGGTCAAAAAACAGTGTAGTGGAAAATCTAACCAGAACCAAGTGTCAGATCTCTCTTCCAGCCCTGAGGGCAAAGTGCTTCATTTTCCTCTTAGAGGTGTTAATAAAAAAATACACGCTAAAGGTCACAAAACCTTGTGAAATAATCACAGTTGAGTAATTCCCCCGATGCAGATGTGTACCACTTATTTTCTAAACTGACATAAACAGCTATTAGAAAAGAAACAGCTTGAAAGAAAAACACCACCAAAGTCCAGATGAGCCTTCCTGACATCTGCAGCATAGAGATGCTGAGTGGCTCGAAACTAATGAAAATGAAGTACAGTATTCTAACACAACACTTGCTGTGACAGTAACTTACTTAAAATTTCCATTGACTAAGATAGTTGAAGGTCAGTGTCAGAATCCACTCCAGACAGTAATACATCTAAATACAAAAAGTTTGTGTGTGTCTGTGTTTTCCCACTATACTACTTTGAAGGAAATATTTCCATGCAAACGCTGTCCTCATGTGGTCGGAACCAGTTACTTCAAAGAAGATATTCCAGTGGAATATAAAATAATTTGTGTTACTATGGAAAGAGACTAAGTTAAATTATCATATTTTAATGGGTAAAAAAAAAGGAGGTTCATCTCCAAAATGCTTTTTCCTTGGCAATCCCCAGAACTTTCTCTCTTTCTCTTGTGGCTTTCCCATTAAAATCAATTTTGCTGATTATATTCCTGTTGAAAATTATGAAAGTAAAACATGATCACTGCAACCAGTGAGACTTGTTTGTTCTTTCATTTTCACTGCCTGACACACTTATCAAATAAATGTTTTAAAATTTATTCATCGATTCATTGATTGACACTTGGCATTTCCAATTCTGTGGCATTGTCAATGATACTGCAATAAACATTTTTCTATGTCTCTGTGTATACACGGTTGTACATGCGTAAGAAATCCTCTTGTGTTCACACCTAGAAAATTCAGGGTGGAAGGGTATTACATCTTCAGCCTTACTAGAATGTGAGATTCTTCCCCAAAATGGTTGTACCAAATTACATTTCCATCAGCTGAGTACACTCGCTCAACTTCCTCACTCACATTCATCATGTTTTTTAACTTGTGTCAATCTGCGAGATGAGAAAACGATGTCTCAGTGTTGTTTTATGCATTTCCCTGATTACTTGTGAGGGGTTAAGCAGTTTTTCATGTTTCCTCTTCTCTATCAATTTCCTGTTTATGTCTTTTGTCATTTTAACTGGGTTATTTGCCATTTTCTTACCGATTTATAAAAGTTTTTAATATATTGTAGACACTAATCACTAGTTATATATGCTGCAAGTATCTTCTACCACTCTAAGTCTCATCTTTCACTTTTATTATACTGTCTTTTGATAGGTTAATGTTAATTTCAATGTAGCCAAGATTATCAATCTTTTCCTTTTTGGTTGATGTTTTTTGTATTTTGTGAGATCTCTCCCTACTCCAAGATAATTAAGATATATTCTAAACAATTTAGTTTTGCATTTCATACTATGTCTTTAATCCACTTGGAATTTTTTTGTATGATACAAGGGATCAAATTTTATTTTATTTATTTATTTACTTATTTTGAGATGGAGTTTCACTCTTGTCAGCTAGGCTGGAGTGCAGTGGCGCGATCTTGGCTCTCTACAACCTCTGCCTCCCGGGTTCAAGCGATTCTCCTGTCTCAGCCTCCAGAGTAGCTGGGATTACAGGTGCCCGCCACCACGCCCGGCTAATTTTTGTATTTCTAGTAGAGACGAGGTTTCACCGTGTTAGCCAGGCTGGTCTCAAACTCCTGACCTCAGGTGATCCACCCACCTCGGCCTCCCAAAAATGCTGGTATTACAGGCGTGAGCCACCACGCTCGGCCTCATTTTATTTTTTAACAATTGTTCCAGGGTGATTCATCGAACAATTTCCCATTTCCCTATTGACTGCTTTACAACGGGATACAATGAAACATAGGTGAAGTTTCTCTATATACGTGTGGGTCCCTTTAGGGGCTCCCTGTTCTCTTCCTTTAGTCTGTCTATCCCTAAACCATTACTATGGCATCTCAATTACTATAGCTAAGAAATTTACATTAAGTAGGGTGAGTTTTAATTTTGATGAAGTCCAATACACCAATTGTTTTTCTTTTACGGTAAATGAACTTTGCGTTATATCTAAGCAATCTTTGCCTAACAGGCATTCACGAAGGCATTCTATTTTCTCTCCTAAAGCATCACAGTTTTAGCTTTCATATGAATGTGTATAATTGAATAAAAAAAGTAATTTTTGTGTATGACAAAAGTTAGGGTTGAGGTTCATTTTTTTTCACCATGTGAATATTCAGTTCCTCCAGCACCATTTACAGGCATACCTCAGAGACTCTGAGGGTTCAGATCCAGACCACCACAATAAAGTGAATGTTGCAATAAAGCAAGCCATACTATTTTTTTGGTTTCCCAGTGCATATCTAAAATTTATGTTTATACTATACTGCGGTCTATTTAGTGTGCAGTAGCATTAAGTCTTAAAAACCAATGTACATACCTTAATTTAAAAATGCATTATGCCAGGCACAGTGGCTCACATCTGTAATCCCAGCACTTTGGGAGGCCGAGGCCAGTAGATCGCTTAAGTCCAGGAGTTTAAGACCAGCCTGGGTGACATGGTGAGACCCTGTCTCTTCAAAAAACAAAAAAATTAGCCGGGTGTGGTGGCTCATGCCTGTGGTCCAAGCTACTCAGGAGGCTGAGGTGGGAGGATCACTTGAGCCCGGGAGGCAGAGGTTGCAGTGAGCCGAAATCACACCACTGTACTCTAGCCTGGGTGACAGAGCGAGGCCCTGCCTCAAAAATAAAAACCAAAAATCAAAAAAACTTCTTTATTGCTAAAAAAATACAGTCATTATCTTTTGCTGGTGGAGAGTCTTGTCTTTTTTTTTTTTAGATGGAGTCTCACTTCTTTGCCCAGGCTGGAGTGCAGTGGCACAATGTTAGCTCACTGCAACCTCCACCTCCCGGGTTCAAGCAGTTCTCCTGCCTCAGCCTCCCCAGTAGGTGGGATTATAGGCATGTGCCACCACGCCCGGCTAATTTTGGTATTTTTAGTAGAGATGGGGTTTTGCCCTGTTGGCCAGGCTGGTCTCGAACTCCTGACCTCAAGTGATCCACTCGCCTTGGCCTCCCAAAGTGCTGGGATTACAGGGATAAGCCACTGTGCCCAGCTGAGAGTTGTCTTAATGTTGATGGTGCTGATTGACCAGGGTAGTGGTTGCTGAAGGCTGGGGGAGCTATGGCAGTTTCTTAAGACAGCAATGAAGTTTACATCAATTGACTCTTCTGTCACAAATGGTTTCATTGTAGCATGTGATGCTATTTGATAGCATTTTACTCACAGTAGAACTTCTTTCAAAGTTAGAGTCAGTCCTCTCACAAACCCTGCTGCCCACTGCTTTACCAATTAAGTCTATATAATATTCTAAATTCTTCATTGCGATTCAATGTTTTCAACAATGTTCACAGCAACTTCACCAGGAAGAGTCCACCTCAAGAAATCACTTTCTTTGCTGATCCATGAGAAGCAACCCCACATGCACTCAAGTTTGATCATGAAATTGCAGCAATTCAGTCATATCTTCAGGATCCTCTTCTAATTCTAGTTCTCTTGCTATTTCTACCACATCTGCAATGACTTCCTCCACTGAAGTCTTAACCCCTCAAAGTCATCCATGAGGGTTGGGATCTAATTCTTCCAAATTCCTATTAATGTTGATATTTTGACCTCCTCCAGTGAATCACAAATATTCTTTTTAATTTTTTTTTTTTTTTTGAGATGGAGTTTCGCTCTTGTTGCTCAGGCTGGAGTGCAATGGCGTGATCTCGGCTCACTGCAACCTCCACCTCCTGGGTTCAAGTGATTCTCTTGCCTCAGCCTCCCGAGTAGCTGGGATTACAGGCATGCGCCACCACTCCGGCTAATTTTGTATTTTTAGTAGAGACGGGGTTTCTCCATGTTAGTCAGGCTGGTCTTGAACTCCCAACCTCAGGTGATCCACCCGCCTCAGCCTCCCAAAGTGCTGGTATTACAGGCGTGAGCCACTGCACCTGGCTAAAATTTTTTTATTTTTGTTTTTGTAGCGATGGGAGTCCCACTATGTTGCCCAGGTTGGTCTTGAACTACTGGGCTCAAGTGTCCTTCCGCCTCAGCCTCCCAAAGTGCTGGGATTACAGGTGTGAGCCTCTGTGTCTGGTGCACAAATGTTCCAAATGGTATCTAGAATAGGAAATTCTTTCCAGAAGGTGTTTTATTTACTCTGCCCAGATTCATTGAGGAATCACTATCTATAGCAGCTATAACCTTACTAAATGTAATTTTTTTCACAAAATGTAATTCTTAAATAATAAGACTTGGAAATTACTCCTTGATCCATGGGCTGCAAAATGAATGTTGTGTTAACATAAAAACATTTTAATCAACTTGTATATCTTCATCAGAGCTCTGGGGCAACTAGGTGCATTGTCAATGCACAGTAATATTTTAAAGAAATCTTTTTTCTGAGCAGTACATCTCAACAATGAGCTTAAAATGTTCAGTAAACCATGCTGCGAACAGATGTGCTGTCATCCAGGCAAAGACAGAGTAGACTCACATAATTCTTAAAGGCTCTAAGATTCTCAGAGTGGTAAATGAGCATTGGCTTCATCTTAAAGTCACCAGCCGCATTAGCCCCTACCAAGAGAGTCAGCCTGTCCTTTGAAGCCAAGCATTGATATCTCTCTGGCTGTGAAAGTCCTAGACGGCATCTTTTCCAAATATCAGGCTGTCTTGTCTCCTTCATCAATGATCTTAGCTAGATCTTCTGGATAACTTGCTGTAACTTCCATCAGCACTTTCTGCTTCACTTTGCATTTTTATGGTATGGAGATGGCTTCTTTTCTTAAATCTTATGAACCAACCTCTACTAGCTTCAAACTTTTCTTCTGCAGCTTCCTTACTTCTCTCAGCTTTCATAGAATTGAAGAGCATTAGGGCCTTATTACATATTAGGCTTTGGCTTAAGGGAATGTTGCGGAGAGTTTGATATTCAATCCAGACCACTCCAACTTTCTCCATATCAGCAATAAGTCTGTTTCACTTTCTTATCATTCATGTGTTTACTAGAGTAGCACTTTTAACTTCCTTCAAGAACTTTCACCAGCCTGTGCAACATAGTGGGACCCAATCTCTGCAAACAATTTAAGAATTAGCCAGGCATGGTAGGGTGCACCTGTGGTCCCAGTTTCTTAGGAGGCGGAGGTAGGAGGATGGCTTGAGCCTGGGAGGTCGAGGCTGTAGTGAGCCATGATCATGCCATTGTATTCTACCCTGAGTGACAGAGTGAGACCCTGTCTGAAAAAAAAAAAAAGCAAAAATTTTAAAAGAAAGAAAGAAAAAAAAGAACTTTTCCTTTGCATTCACAACTTGGCTGTTTAGCACAAGAGACATAGCTTGTGGCCTGTTTCAGCTTTTGACATGCCTTCCTCACTAAGCTTAATCATTCCTTGCTTTTGATTTAAAGTGAGGACATCCGACCCAGCTTGGTGGCTCACACCTGTAATGCCAGCGCTTTGGGAGACTGAGGCAGGAGAATCACTTGAGGCCAGGAGTTCAGGCTGAAGTGAACTATGATTATGCCACTGTTACTCCACCCTGGGCAACAGAGTGAGACCCTATTTCAAAAAATATATCTAAAGTAAGAGATGTGCAACTCTTCCTTTCACTTGAACATGTAGAGGTCATTACAGGGTTATTAGCTTCCTTTCAATATTGTCTTGTCTCAGGGAATAGGGAGGCCCAAGGAGATGAACAGAGACAAGGAAACGGCAGTAGGTGCAGCAGTCAATGGAGCAGTCCGAAGACACACAACTTTTGCTGATTAAGTTCGCTGTCTTATATGGGTGCAATTCATGACACCCCAAAACAATTATAATAGCAACGTCAAGGATCCCTAATCACAGATCACTATAACAGATATAATACCAAAAAGTTTGAAATATAGAGAGAATTACAAAAATGTGACACAGAGACACAAAGTGAGCACATGATGTTGGGAAAATGGTACCAATGGACTTGCTCAACACAGAGTTGCCATGAACAGTCAACTTGCAGAAAAAACAAACAAACAAAAGAAACAGGCCAGATGCAGTGGTTCATGCCTGTATTCACAGCACTTTGGGAGGCCAGGGTGGGAGGATTGCTTGAGCCCAGGAGTTCAAGACCACCCTGGTCACCATGGTGAAACCCCATCTCTACAAAAAATACAAAAATTAGGTGGATGTGGTGGCATGAACTTCAGCTACTCGGGAAGTTGAAGTAGGAGGATCACCTGAGCCTTTGGGAGGTTGACTCTGCAGTGAGCTGTGACTGTGCCACTGCACTCCAGCCTGGGTGACAAAGTGAGACCCTGTCTCAAACACCCCCACCAAAAAAAAAAAAAAACCCACAACAACAACAAAAATACAATATCGCAATAAAGCAAAACACAGTAAAACAAGGCATGCCTGTATTACATAGATCTTCATTTTCTATATTGGATTCTATTTTCACTTTTGTCAAAAACCAAATAACCAACAGTCTGCATCTGTTTTTGCATACTCTGTTCTGTTCCTTTGGTCTACTTTTCTGCCCTTATGACACTATTTCATTACCTTAATTACAGTAGCTTTATAAAGTCTCAAAATCTGGTAGTGTAATTCCTCTATTATTCTTCGAGATTATTTTAGCTATTAAAATTCCTTTGCATGTCTGTGTAAATTTTAGAATCGCGCTACTCAATTGTTACAAAAAGTATGCTGGGAGTTTTACTAAGAGTGTGTTGAATCTATGACCAATTTGGGGAGAATTGATATGTTTATAATATTTAATCTTCAAAACCATTAAGATGATTTGTCTGTTCAAAGACAAACCATTAAGACAGTGTGTCTCACCAGGCTTGAAATTTCTCCTATAAAGAAGAAATATTTTATCTTCTTTATCTCAGCAATAATTTAAAATTCTTGTACATCTTTTAGGAAATTCATTATTAGGTACTTGAGGTTTATACAATGGTAAACAGTGTGATTTTTAATATTATTTTCCAAATTTTTAGAATTACTATGTAGAAATAAAAATATAGATTGATCTTATTTTATAATCTTGCTATATTAACTTATTCATACTGAGTTATATATCTTTATTATTATTTTTTTTGAGACAGAGTCTCTGTCACCAGACTGGAGTGCAGTGGCACGATCTTGGCTCACTGCAACCTCCACCTCCCGGGTTCAAGCGATTCTCCTGCCTCAGCCTCCCGAGTAGCTGGGATTACAGACATGCGCCCCCCATGCCCAGCTAATTTTTATGTTTTTAGTAGAGACAGGGTTTCACCATGTTGGCCAGGATGGTCTTGATCTCCTGACCTCAAGATCCTCCCACCTCGGTCCCTCAAAGTGCTGGGATTACAGGTGAGAGTCACTGCACCCGGCCTATATACCTTTATTATCTTTTAATTTTCTATGTAAATAATCATGTCATCTGCAAATAAAGATGCTGTACTTGTGCCTTTTCAATCCTGTGCCTTTTGTTGCCTTTTAAAATCTTAATTCAATGGCTAAGACCTTCATTATAATGTTGAATAAAACTGGGTGAACGTGGACATCATCTTGTTCTAGGCTTTTTAGGGGCAACGATTTTAATATTTCACTATCATGATGTTAGATAAAGATTTTTAAAGACATCTTTTATCAGACTGAAAATTTCCCATCTATTTCTAGTTGGCTGAGTTTTTAAAAATCGTGAATAGACATTGAATTTCATCACCTTTCCTGCATTTATTAAGATGCTTATATTTATATTTTTCTCCTTTATTCTGATAACAGTGAATGATATAGACTGACTCCAGATGTTAAATCAAGCCTATATTCCTGGAATAAACCTTACTTGGTCATGATATACTATCCTTTTCAAATTTTATTGGATTTCTGTTTTTTTAGGTTTTTAAGACAGAGTCTTGATCTGTCACCCAGGCTGGAGTGCAAGGGCATCATCTTGGCTCACTGCAACCTTTGCCTCCTAGGTTCAAGCAATTCTTGTGTTTCTGCCTCCCGAGTAGCTGGGATTACAGGTGCAAGCCACCACGCCCAGCTAATTTTTGTATTTTTAGTAGAGATGGAGTTTCACCATGTTGGCCAGGCTGGTCTCAAACTCCTGACCTCAAGTGATCCACCCGCCTTGGCTTCCCAATATGCTGGGATTACAGGCATAAGCCACCGTGCCCAGCCAGGACTTCCTTTTTTCTTTTGGGACTTTTATACCTAAGTTCATAAGGGATATTTATCTGTAATTTTATTTTCTTGTAATGTACTTTTAAGGTTGCGATATCAGAGTTATGCTAGGTTCACAAAACAAGTTGGTAGATGGTTTCTCACTGTTTATTCTCTAAAGACCTTGTGTAAGATTGGTATCATTTCTTCCTTAAATGTATGGTAGAATTTACCAACGCAGCCATCTAGACCTAAAGTTTGCTCTGGAGAAAGCTTTTGATTACCAATTGCATTTCTTTAACAGATATAGGACTATTCATATTTTCTATTTTTTCTTTGTCAGTTTTAGTAACTTGTGTTTTACAAAAATTTTCTGTCTTCTAAATTTTCCAATTTATGGGCCTAAAGTTTTTCATAATAACCTATTATTATTATTATTATTGAGAAAGGGTCTTGCTCTGGAGTGCAGTGGCACTATTGTAGCTCCCTGCAGCCTCCAACTCCTGGGCTCAAGCAATCCTCCCGACTCAACTTCCCAAGTAGCTGGGACAACAGGTGTGTGCCACCATGCCTGGCTAATTTTTTTAATTAATTTTTTTGTAGAGATAGGGCCTCCCTGTGTTGCCCAGGATGGTCTCAAACTCCTGAGCTCAAGTGATCCTCTTGCCTCAGCCTCTCAAAGTACTGGGATTACAGGTGTGAGCCACCATTCCTGGCATATCATATTATCTTTTTAATGCCTGTAGGATCTGTAACAATGTCCCTTTTTCATTTCTGATATTGATAATTTTGCTCCTCTATTTTATTCTTGATTATATTGCTAAAGGTTAATTTATTAATCTTTTCAAAAAACCAACTTTTGGTTTTGTTCATTTTGTCTATTATTTGTTTTCTATTCTGTTGTCCTTATATTTATTATTTACTTGTCTACTTTCTTAGGGTTTCATTTGCTCTTCTTTTGCTCACTTCTTGAGATGGACATTTACTAAATTGATTTTAACCTTTCTTCTAATATATGCATCCAAGGTATACAAATTATACTACAAAATAAAATATGGTAAAGCTATAGATTTTGCTCAGTCATTGCTCTAGCTGCATCCACAAATACTACTAAGTTTCTGGGTTTGTTTGTTTGGTTTTTGATGTTTTGAGACAGGGTCTGGCTCTGTTACCCAGGCTGGAGTGCAACGGCATGATCTTGGCTCACTGCAACCTTCAACTCCCAGAATAAAATCATCGTCCCACCTCAGCCTTCCAAGTAGCTGAGATTACAGTCTCATGCCATCACGCCCAGCTAATTTTTGTATTTTTGGTAGAGACGGGATTTCACCGTGCGGCCCAGGCTGGTCTTGAACTCCTGGGCCCAAGTGATCTGCCTGCCTCAGTTTCCCAAAGTGCTAGGATTACAGGCGTGAGCCACTGCACCCAGTCATATTGGTAAGTTATCATTATCATTACCATCAGTATACAATATTTTCTAAATTCCCTGGTGATTTCTTCTTTGACCTATGCTCTTTCAGGATTTTGTTGCTTAATTCCCAAATAGTTGATTTTTCTAGATATCCTTTGTTTTTCATTTCTAAATTCCATTATTGTAAGAGAACGAATTCTGTATCATTTTAATCCTTTGGTTGTTTTGAGACTCACATTATGACCAAGCATATGGTCTATTTTGGTGAATGATCCATGTGTACTTGAAAAATTCATTCTGCATTTGTTGGGTGTACTGTTTTAGAAATATCAATTATGTCAAGTTTGAAAATAGCGTTCAAATATTGTATGTTTTTATATATGTTCTATCAAATACTGAGAGAAATGTATTAAGATCTCCAACTATAATTATAGATTTCTCTATCCTTTCAGTTCTGCCAATTTTTGCTTCATATGAGGTTTTGTTTTTAAATAGATCCATGTTTAGGACTGTTATGTTTTCCTGATTAGATTATTGTTTAATTATTAAGAAATTAGCTTCTTTACTTCTGATAATACTCTTCATCTAGAAGGCTGCTTTTTCCTCAATATAGTAATACTGTATTTCTCATGATTAGTGTTTGCTTATTTTTCCATTCTTTTACTTTAAGCCTATTCTTATTTTTAAAGTGTATTCTTTTGAACAGTTGGTAGTTGAAACTTGTTTTCTCTTTTTTCTTTTTCTTTCTTTATTTTTTGAGACAGGGTCTTCCTCTGTCACCCAGGCTGGTGTGCAATGGCACCACGGTAGCTCACTGCAGCCTCGAACTCCTGGGCCCAAGCAGTCCTCTCACGTCAGCTTCCCAATTGGCTAGAACTGCAGTGGCACACCACCATGCCTGGCTGATTTTTATTGTTTAAGCCAGGCTGATCTCAAGCAATCCTCTTGCCTCAGCCTCCCAAAGTTCTAGGATTACAGGCATACCTGGCCAGAGGCTTGTTTTCTTAATCCAGACTGATAGTATATGATTTTTATTTGATATTTAGTCTATGTACATTTTAATAAACATTTTATTGTGGAATAACATTGTATGTACAGAAAAGATGCAAAAATACTACAGAGAGGTCCTGAATACCCCTCACCCATTCTCTACAAATGTTAATATCTTATATAACCATAGTACATTCATCAACACTAAAAAACCAAAACTAGCACATTACAATCAAATAAATTCCAGACTTTATTTGGGTGTCACCAGTTTTTCCATTAATGTCCTTTTTCTGTTCCAGAATCCTATTCAGGATTCCATATTGCATTTATTTTTTATTCCACCAATTTTATTATTATTCTACCATTTACTTTTAATGCAATTACTGATACGGATAGGTTTAAGTCTGTCAGCATGCTATTTGTTTTCTACTTGTCCCATCTTATCTTGTTCCTCCTTTCCTGACATCTTTTGGTTAATCAAGTATTTTTTAGTATTCTGTTTTATCTAGAGACTTGCCTGTGCTACTATATCTTCCTGGCCCTCATTGACAAATTCTCCCTGGTGGCCCCCACTGAGCATCCAGACACCAAAGACAAAGATATTTTTTAAATGTTGCTCTGCTCCCCCCACAGGGCTCAACACTCAAGTTTCAAGGCTGCCTCTCCCCACTGAAGACTGGCTTGCTGGCGGCAGTGGAAGGAAGGGGAACCGAAGACAGGAGGACATGGCTGGCCAGGCCAGCTCTGGCTGTAACAACTGTCATGTGACAGACCAAGCAATATCAAAGAACTAGAGTTCTCAGAGCAAGAAATGTCACTGGAGCAAGAACTAGCAGAGGGAGTCACAGATAGGGAACACCCAATAGTGAGTTGTGAAACTTTTTTCAGTTTCTACACTATCAATAATAATAATAAAAAATCCACTATACTAAATTATCTTTCTGGTTCTTTTAAATTAAAATATTATATAATCATTGTCATATAATGAGGTGATCAAAGAATATGCAGCCAAAAATGTTGGGGGAGGCCAAGTGCAGTGGCTCATGCCTGCAATCTCAGCATTTTGAGAGTCCAAGTTGGGAGGATCACTTGGCCCAGGAGTTTGAGACTAGCCTGGGCTACGTGGTGAGGCCCCATCTCTTAAAAAAAACAAAATGTTGGGAGAAAGTACTACAGAGAGATATCAGGCAGTTAATGTTATTCTGGATTTTATAACATTTGTGACATCCATAATGTATCACCATTTCTATTGTCATTCCAAATCAATATTCACTTTCATTTTGTATTCGTAATTTTTAATTATTCTTCTTAAAGACCCCCCCTTCCCAAATTGTGTGAACATCAGCCTAGATCGACCTTTGCTTTATGTCTGATTTTGTTTCTACCATTCTAATTTATAAAATATATACATGCATATATGTACAGTACTTACACATATTTTCACATTCTCCTTCTCTCTCTCTCCCACACACACACAAACACACACACACACAGAGAGAAAGAGAGATTTATTTTGTAGTCTGCTTTTTGTTCTAACTCTTGTTATATGAGCTACTTTTTTTTCATTTTCTCCAGTGAGCTTGGGGTGTACATATTATTTTGGATTCTACTAATGATTACCTTTTATGTTCTTAAGAAATATATCCTTAAACCTCTATTTTTTTAATTAGCCAAGACCCAATAAAGCAGTTTATTTTGGCTTTCCTTATTTAAGAGTATGATAACAATTCAGCCATTTTTCTGCCTTATATTGTACATCTCCTGGCCCTCGTTCACATCCTCTGGACCCAGTTTTACTGTAACCACTGCTATGGCAACGAGCTCCACACAGGTGAAACTGACAGCACTTCACTTCAGCTGCATCAATTTTTTTCTGCCTCAGGGCGTCTCTAATATCGTGCCATTGCCTAGAACACCTGAGGGAACCCTCCATTCAGTTACACGTGCATGACAGCAACATCCCATGCGTCAGCCATGCATGAAGGGGGTTGGAAGTCAATGAACACGCCCACACCTGTTCTGTCACAAGAATGGAGCGGGGTTGTGGGGGCAGGGGGTAGGGGTGAAGGGCAAGGGAGGAGTGAGAAATGTGCTGAGCAGTCCCCCAGTCCCTGCTATGAGGACTCAACAATCTTAGCCTTCCTTATGATCATCAACATTTAATGAAAAAGCACCAGTCCTGTGAGGGAAATCACGCTCCACAGAGTGGAAGCAAGGAGACCAGTGAAAGCAAATGATCCTCCACTGTTCATGCAAAACAATTAAGAACTTCTCAAAATCTTTTCTGTGTTCAACTAGATTCCAGATGGCTACTGTGTGCCGAGTGAACTTCCAGACTTGCGAAGTCCTGACCCACGTGGCCCTGCCGCCAGCTTCAATCCGCACAGCCCTCCATTTTGCTAACTGTCCTCCAGTCACACAGGCCTCCTGTCAGTTCCCAAGTAGGTGGACCTCCTTCCTAACATGAGCCATCGCACATGCTGCTCCTTCAACCTGGAGCGCTCATCCTTGCCTTCCCTTGCCAAACCCCCTTCCCATAAAATGATTATACAACTAATTCCTTTACATCTTTATGTTTTTGCTTAAATATCACTTCCTCACAGAGGCCTTTCCTAACAACCCTATTTAAAGTTAAATACTACCCAAGTATTCTCTACCTTAGTCTCTCATTTCTTTGACTTTGAGTGTTGCTGAGGCTAGGTTACTTAAGCACTTCGCCTCGGTTTTATCATCTGTAAAATGGGAATAAAGGATACCTACCTCATAAGGCTGAAAAGAAGATTAAATGAATAGCACTTAGAATTCAAGCACACAACAGTACTCAGTAGATGCTACCATTTACCACATAGTAAAATTCTTTTATATTTTTATTTATTTAAAAAACCTTGGCCAGCCACGGTGGCTCACACCTGTAATCCCAGCACTTTGAAAGGCTGAGGTGGGCGGATCACTTGGGGCCAGGAGTTTGAGACCAGCCTGGCCAACATGGCGAAACCCCATCTCTACTAAAAATACAAAAATTAGCTGGGCATGGTGCTGTGTGCCGGTAGTCCCAGCTATTCAGGAGGCTGAGGCACGAGAATCACTTGAACCCGGGAGGCCAAGGTTGCAGTGAGCCAAGATCATACCACTGCACTCCAGCCTGGGCGACAGAGCGAGACTCCGTCTCAAAAATAAATAAATAAATAACCCTGCTCCCACACAGAATAAAGGCCTCATTAGGGTAGTAACTCTTCTTTGTTCACAGTGCTAGGTTCACATATATTTGTTGAGAATAAACAAAGAAAATATTTTCTGAATACAAATAAAAAATTACTACATGATTAGTATCTTAGGGCAGTGTGGTGGCCATGATAATGCTCTACTCAGATCTTCAGCTGCGGGGACCACAGTTGACTGACAGCTCAAGCTGCTACCCTCTGGATCAACCACCACATTTGCACCAAGGCCATGCTTTCTGAGGGTCCCAGTCAATGAATGAGGATGGCAAAGGTACTAGTACAGGCCCATTCTGACAAACTGCAGGACTCTTTGCAAAGCCAACCCTTTCTTGGAATTGCACTGTACCCAGAAACTTCTTACCCAATCCACATTCCTTCCTTTTCTCCTCCTGTGAGTGTCAGACCTGCACTGCTGTCTGCAAGTTCTCCCTCCCTGCTCTTGCTCTCTCCTTAGTAAATCTCTTGCACATCCAATGTATGGTGTAATGTATCTGTGTCTGCTTCTATGTAGACCCAAACGAACACAATCCGGATCTTCAGAAGCAAATCCTGAGGTGATAATTCATAAGCAAATGATTTGTTAAGATAATACTCTCAGGGAGAGAGAAAAACAGGACAGGAAAGGGGAACAAGCCAAACAATGGTAGAATTTCAGGCAAATCCCTTGACTAACCCTGCAGGGAAGCTTGGCATGCCCGGGCAAAAACTGACCCACTATTCCATCTCTCACCTTGAATTATGCTCATTATGTGGTCCAACTGAGCCCACCAAACAGGATTTTACAATATATGCTAGATAATGATATATACAGTACCTGCAATATAATAAAATAGTGCTACATATATATTTCAATAATATTATACCTTTGCCTGGCAGATAGTAAGCACTCAATATATTGAACAAACAGTACAATATCAACAATATAAAATGCTTGAAAATTGCCACTATGCTATAAAAATACAGCCTCCCTACATAGCTTTCATGAAAATTACTCTTTTTCCAAGAAAATTTAAGCTCTAGAGTATAAAGGGCCGTCCTTTTCCTTTTTTTTTTTGAGATAGAGTCACACTCTGTCACCCAGGCTAGAGTGCAGTAGCACGATCTCTGCTCACTGAAACCTCCACCTCCCACGTTCCAGCGCTTCTCCTGCCTCAGCCTTCTGGGTAGCTAGGATTACAGGCGCGGCCAACACACCCAGCTAATTTTTTGTATTTTTAGTAGAGATAGGGTTACACCATCTTGGTCAGGCTGGTCTCAAACTCCTGGCCTCAAGTGATCCACCCACCTTGGCCTCCCAAAGTGCTGGGATTACAGGTGTGACTCACTGTGCCCGGCCATTTTTTTCATTTTTATTCTTCTCAGTTCCATTCCTCTCACAATGCAGGAGTCTCATTCTTTTTATTCAACTTTGCCACTCAAACATCAGTTCCCTTTAAATAAATATAATTATTTCAATCCACTTAAACTACAAATGAGAGAAAGGGAGAGATGGCTGGGGCCCAAATGCTGAAAAAGGCAAACCTGCAATCCAACATCCTAATGTGGCCGACCAGTAAGCATGGAGCAAAAAGCTTCCTTCTGCCTAGACAATAGTCAGGATAAGAACTAGAAGAAAAGCAGATTAAACTGCATCCTTAGTCCTTTCCTCCCAGATCTTACCATTCCAATGGTAAACTGAACTCAAGTAAGGCCACACTAAGGAAAAAAAAGAGGAATGAAGATGTGAATGCCTAGAACTGATCTAAACCATCCATCCTAGATTCTCCCATGCAAGTTATTTCCTAACAGAGAGGCAGTCCTTCGTCCATCTTACTTCACCAGCTAGCATGAGGAAAAACAGGTGCTCAGTAAATATAAGTGAAAAGGTTACATGTTCCTGGATGTCTGCCCTCTGGATGTTATTACCCACTTAAAAACAAACAAACAAACAAACAAAAAAACAAAAAACAAAAAACTCTTTTTTTTTTTTTTTTTTTTTGAGATGGAGTTTTGCTCTTGTTGCCCAGGCTGGAGTGCAATGGCAGGATCTTGGCTCGCTGAAACCTCCGCCTCCCGGGTTCAAGCGATTCTCCTGACTCAGCCTCCCGAGTAGCTGGGATTACAGGTGCCTGCCACCATGCCTGGCTGATTTTTGTATTTTTAGTAGAGATGGGGTTTCACCATATTGGCCAGGCTGGTCTCAAACTCCCGACCTCAGGTGATCCAGCTGGCTCGGCCTCCCAAAGTAGTGGGATTACAGGCGTGAGCCACCGCACCGGGCCTATGTTTTGTTATTAATGACACTATGGTCCTCGCCCTTATCCAATTGTAAGGAAATAATTTCTGAAACATTGAATAGGCCCATGGTAAAGATTCAAGAGTTAAGACTTAAGAAAAATACAGGCTTTGGGATGACAGCTAGGCTCAAATTCCAAACTTAGCTTTCTCTAGCCATGTGACTTACAGCCAATGAGGCTGTATACTCATTAATATATAACTAAGTAAAAAATTGTTGTAAGGACTAGAAGCAATATAAGAAAAGTGCCAGGTCAGGCACAGTGGCTCATGCCTGTAATCCCAGCACTTTGGGAGGCCGAGGCAGGACCACTTGAGCCCAGGAATTCAAGACCAGCCTAGGCAACATAGCAAAACCCTGTCTTACAAAAATAAAAAAATTAGCTGAGCTTGGTGGCACATGCCTCTAGTCCCAGCTACTTGGGAAATGGAGGCAGGAGGATCATTTGAGCCCAGGAGTTTGAGGATACAGTCAGCTATGATCAAACCACTACACTCCAGTCTGGATGACAGAATGAGACCCTGTCTCTTAAGAAAAGAAAAAAATGTACTTGCCTCTGAGGTCTTAGTTGTGTTCCAGATGGTTAATAGTCATCTGTAATATGATAATCCTATTACAACAATTAGTATCAGATAAACAAAGTATAATTCTGAATTAAATCATTTTTATTTTGCCAATTTGTAAATTTAATGTATACAACCAAACCTGAATGATCTTGCTGATTCTTAAAAAGCCTGTAACATTTCAGGTAGTCATTATTGTTCACAATTCCCACTTAGGAGTAAGATTCTGCAGTTATCTTTTCCTTAGCTTCCTGTATTCTTATTGTGCATGTTAACTAAAAAATCATAAGATCTATAGATTTAGAAAAGGAGAGACTTTGTTTCTTATAAGGAGTTACAGCCTGCAAGGTGGCCATTCTGCAGGCTGGGAAGCATGCCTCCAGCCAAGACCACATACAGACACTTCAGAGGAGGAGTTGGAGTAGGAACTTTATGCTTAACTGGTTGGCTAAACATACATATTCAACAAGTTAGAGGAGCGGCTATGAATATTCATGAAAGTGGTCTTGACACATGCATATTAAACAAATATGCATGTTTAACAGACAATCCATGTTCACTTTGGGGTGGAGACTTAACATTTAAATGTATTTACAGTTTGGTCCTATACATCAAAATATCTTTTCAGGAAGTTACGTAAGCATGCAATCACTACAAATTGGCCAGAACAAGTCCATGGTCAGTGACCTTCTTATCAGGAGAAAGTAACTGAAATCAATAAAAGCTGTAGTTACGGCTGGTGGGAGAGGGTTGTTAGTGTCTGGTGGTCGATGAACTGCAAATTGTTTTAATACTGTGAGGCCAGCGCTTGTTTAGCTGCTAAAGAAAAACCTTGAAGCATAGTGAGAACATAGTTTATTTTTCAAGCGTAGGGATGCATGACTTTTAACCCTTGCTTGGCATGGGCTTAGGTCCTGTTTATACTTTGGTATCTTATTGCCATGGAGTCAATTCCGTCAGTCCTATCATCTCCGTTTTTTTTTTTGAAACAGAGTTTCACTCTTGTCGCCCAGGCTGGAGTGCAATGGCACGATCTCCGCTCACTGCAACCTCCGCCTGCCGGGTTCAAACCATTCTCCTGCCTCGGCCTCCTGAGTAGCTGGGATTACAGGTGCGTGCCACCACGCCCGGCTAATTTTTGTATTTTTAGTAGAGACAGCGTTTCACCATGTTTGCCATACCTCAGGTGATCCACTCCTGACCTCAGGTGACCCACCTGCTTCGGCGTCCCAAAGTGCTGGGATTACAGGCGTAAGCCACCGCGCCTGGCCTCTATTTTAACTTTATGGCCAGTCAGCTATCTCCTCTAAATCACAAAAGGGAGAGGGTATAACCAGGTCCGTCTGACCTCCCATCCCGTTATGACTGGGAACTCAGTTGTTAAGATTTTGCTGGTGTCCCCTTGGCCTCACGGGGGTCTGTTCAGTTGTTGGGGGGCTTAGGATTTTAAATTTACAGACTTCGAAGAAGGGAACAAGATACACGTGTGAGGGAATAAGAGGAAGTTACCCGAGTCTGAGTCAGTGCTTCCTTCTCCACCGTGTAACTCCAACTTAGAGTTACTGCCACTCGGCTTCTATCGGCCACGTCTCTCCTGGGAAGGCAGGCAAGGGACGAAATGGAGGGAGACAAGGTTTTCGCTAGGGAAGCCTCGGCCCAGGACGCAGCGCCACCCGTTTTCCAATCAGCGCCGGGCACTGCATTCCTCCTAGGTCTCTTTCTTTCAGTAGAGACCTTTTAATAATAAATACTACTTACATTGCTTTACAGTTCACACTTGCGGTCATTATTTCAGTGGAGCTTTTCAACAGCTCTGTGAGACAGGTATTATTTCTATTTCGGAGCAGAGAGAACAGCGCCCTTGAGCCACAGGGCTCATACATCCGGAGCCTATCACCACTCCGCATCTTAAGCTCCCGGGATGACCGCGGACTGGCGGCCCAGGACCACTGCTCCAGCTGTTTCCCCAGGTAATCCACCTGCCTTGGGTTACCTTTTAGCGCGGCCCAGTTAGCCGCAACCAGCCACCATTTACCCGCTTTCCCCAAACCAGGAAAACCACAGAAACGCATGTGCGCGGCCAGTCTCTTCCACGCCCGGGAACGCAGAGCTTACAGACCAAGGCCGCCCAAGTCCCCTCACCCCAAAGGCTACCCAAGAACCCCGAGTAGGCTGTTTGGCTGACTCAGGCGCCCAACGCCCACCCGAACTGAGTCGCTAGGGAAACTCCCAACTGCCAGCTCGCCCGACCGGTGTTCACAGGCCACTCTAGCCGGGCTCAGAGAGACCGCAGTCTCGTTGCTCCTGGCTTGACGTCATCGGCAGGCGCCGCAGCGCAGTGGCGGGCACGCGCAGCCGAGAAGATGTCTCCGACGCCGCCGCTCTTCAGTTTGCCCGAAGCGCGGACGCGGTTTACGGTGAGCTGTAGAGGGGAGGGTGCAGGCCTGACCCGGCGCTATGCTTTGTCCTCTTCTCCCTGAAATTACTCGAATTTTGCCCTGGGGTAAAGTGAGACAGAGGTGTGTCCGCCTCAGCGTCCGCTCCGGGCCCCGTCGGAGGTTGAGGGGTAGGGAAAGACGCACTACCCGCCTCTTCTTTGTGGGCTGGGCCGTCCGCCTCCGCCCACCCTCCAGCGGGTCCCCGGACTGCGTGCTGGGCGCCTCGGCTCCCCGCTTGGAGTGCCCACCTGCAGACTACTGCTGGTTGGGTCCATCCTCTCAGCTCGTTTAGTGGGGCAGGTGTCTCGAGAAGGGGAAGGGGAGCTGCTGAAGGGGGAGGGTGGGAGTGGTTTCAGTCCAAAGACCTGGCTCCCGCCCTAGCCTTCTGAGCTACCAAGTGCTTGTTCCCGCCGTCTCTTCACCACCCCTTAACCCACCGTGTCTAACTCCTAAGCGATCGATGAGATCCTAAGCGGGAAAAGGCAGATAGATCACCTTGGGAAGGGTAACCAGATGCTATTTTATTCTTGCTCAATGTGGAAGGGTGGTTTTGAGCATTTGGGAAACACTTGACAGATCACTTTCTCATTTAACTATTAGAGTAACACTGTGAAGTAGGCTAAGTTGGTTATTCCTGGTACATGAGGTAGAAGCTGACACCCCCCAAAAAGTTGTGACTTCAGTGGTTTTTCTGACTTTAGACACTCTGTTCTTTTTATGTTGCTCGTCACAGCAACGTAAGTATGAAGAACACTTTTAAGTTGCCTGACTCTATTCGTCTCTAGCATTTGCACCAACATTTCTCAGATATTCGGCTGTGTTTTGGTAGTTATAGGGATGCCAGGATGAAAATTGTGTGAAAGAAAAATTCATCCTTTGTAGTAAGTAGTTTTCTTGTTTGCAGGGTTATATATATATATATATACATATATATACGTATACGTATAATATATATATACACACACACACAGTGTGAGGTTTTTTTTAAATGGATTATATTTTGTGTATGTCATCATAATCATTTTCTTTGTGTGCGTTTTGCTGCAATCTCTGGTGCTTTGAAAGCCTGCTAAGAGTAACTGTTAGGACTATCCAAGATCATATTGGCGGCCGGGCGCAGTGGCTCACGCCTGTAAATGCAGTACTTCGGGAGGCCGAGGCGGGCGGATCACCTGAGGTCAAGAGTTCAAGGCCAGCCTGGCCAACATGGCAAAGCCCCGTCTCTACTAAAAATACGAAAATTAGCCAGGCGTGGTGGTGGGCGCTGTAATCCCATCTACTTGGGAGGCTGAGGCAGGAGAATCGCTTGAACCCGGACAGCGGAGGTTGCAGTGAGCCAAGATCATGCCAGTGCACAACACCTGGGCAACAGAGGGAGACTCCATCTCAAAAAAAAAAAAAAAAATCATACTAGCCCTGAAAAGGACCATGAAATTGGAGATCATCTAGTTCAGTGTTTCTCAAGCTTCTTGTGAAATGCAGATTCTTGTTCAGTAAGTGTGGAAGGGAGCCTGAGATTTTGCATTTCTACCAGCTTCCTAGGTGATGCCACTGTAGCTGCTGCTGGTAGTAAAAATCTACAAAAACCCTCTTATTTAACTGGTGACGAAAATGAAGCACAAAGAGATAAAGGAACAGGCCCCAAATTACTCAGCCTGTTAGTGGCAGAGCAAGGAATGGACACATTTAGGATAGATCTAATTCCTGTGAGGTAATAAGATGACTTTCTAAGTGTATGTGAGTGTTCATAGAATGAATGCCTTTTGCAATATTTTTGTCTTTAAGTTATGATTACTTTAAAACAATCTACAGATTGTCAGCATGGTTTTATTGAGTGCTACGTGTCAGGGACTGAACAAGATACCTCCAGGAGGCGAGACCTGACATGGGTGTGGGAGAATGGATAGAATTTGGATGAGCAGGTAGGAAGAGCAACATGAATGTGTGAATACAGTAGAATGAGTTTGATATAAAGTGATGAAAAATGGCTAGACTTTAGTGCAAAGTATGTGTTAGGGAGTATTGGGAATTAAGTTTGGGTAAATTGGGATAACATTATCAAGGACCTTGAGGGATCTATGAAGCTTCAAAACTAAAACGGGCAAATAAGGAGCCATATGGAGATTTTTTTTTTTTGTAAGCACAATACTCATGAATGTGATATTTAAAGAGACAGAAATATCACCTAGAATGAAAAAGTCCAGCAAGGAAGCTCTTGCCAGATTTAAAGTGATGAGGATCCGTATCATGAAGTAGCATTGGAATAAGGATTACTGAGAGAATGACTGATAGGTAATTTTTCCCAGGTATAAGCATTTTTTAGTTAGTAAGATACACTATCAATGAACGATATATTTTTCAGCAAATAATAAGCAAAATCTTTACAATTATTTGCCATTTTAATTTTTTTTTAGAAGTCTACCAGAGAGGCCTTGAACAACAAAAACATCAAGCCATTGTTAAGTACCTTCAGCCAGGTACCTGGCAGGTAAGGCATTGATATCTATGAAAAATACTTGCCTCAATCTTTATACATACCCTGAGCTGTTTGAAAAATGAGGATGTCTTTTGTTTTTAATAGTGAAAATGAAAAAAAATGTACCCTTGACCAAGCTTTCAGAGGTATTCTAGAAGAAGAAATTGTAAGTATGTTTTTCCATTGTTAAAATTTTACTGACAAATTAATAAACCATGTTATTTAAAAATTGCTTTTTTTCTTAGAATGGATATTTAAACATCTTTTTTTAGAGTAACCTTTCTGCTTTGTAAAAGTTGACTTGATGACTATACGATTTCTCTAAGGATTTTGATAGCACAGGTACATTTTAAGGGTTTGGTTTAATAAATGACAAGAGCCCTCTCCAAGTGAGATAAGAAAAGTTGACATGAGGTCTTAGGAAGAACTAGAGGTGAAGGTGGGCTCTCTCACTTTCCTGTATAAGCAGTGATACATCCTGTAGTGGCGCAAAAGGTCTAGTCCAAGAATATTTAGCTTAGGAGCTGGGATTCCATTCCCTCATTTTCCTCTGGCATCCTCCTCATCAGTAAACTTACATAAATAACTGAGGGCTCTCCAACTTCGGTAGAGAAGTCTAACCATGAAAAATCTGAATTTGTTTACCAATAATGGGGCACCTGAATGAAAGGAAAAGTTTCAACAGTTTATTCTTGGTCAAGCAAAGGTTGGGTCCCCAAAAGCTAGATTCCCTTCTATTGGCCATAGTACAATGTCCCTTTCTCTCAGACAAGTCTGATTAAAAAATGATTCTTTCCTTTTCTTCAGACTTAGTCACTTTTCCATTGTGAGGCATTGGGCAAGTTCTTTTCCTTTTCTGTGCTTCAGTTTCTTTTGTGAGAGGGGAAATACCGTTCTTTCAGTGTTGTTGTGTGTAAAACAGCACTTAATGAACACTCAGTAAATGCTGGTTATTATGATTTTATAGAACCTAAGCACTGTCTTCCTTCTATTAAAACCACCCCTCAGACACATGGGTGTATTAGTAGTTAATTCTCATAGCCCTGCCTTTGCCCTGTGCCACTGGCTGAGTTATGGCTTCAGCACTTCTGTCCTTGATTAGCTTATAGCCTTCATCTTGCTAATATAACCATTTTCTTGAGACCATTGGATTTTGAGTGAGTTGCCTGTTACTTGACATACTTCTACGACTATTGATTCTATATGTTACTGTTAAATTTTGGTAACTTCATATTAGAAAATATTGTTTTCTATAAGAAATATTGTATTCCATATTTCTGATAGTCAATTTAATATCAGAGTACATGTTTTTACTGTTAATCGAGTTTAGTCTGAACTCTTGCCCCTAAATTAAATTGTTTCTCCTCTGTTGGTAGATAAATCATTCATCATGTGAAAACGTTTTAGCTATTATTTCTCTTGCTATTGGGGGAGTAACTGAAGGTAAGTATGGTTCCGTTTTGTTTTGTTTAAAGTAATCTTGGACATGACATGCTTTATTTAAAACGTCTTCTCCCCATACTTCTCCACCTATCTGATTTTGTTTATTCTTCAAGTTCTGCCTGACTCCCAACTTTGCCAAGAAGTCCCAGTTGAATTAGTTCACTCTTATTTCTCATCTCTATTATGCAGTGCACATTTTGGCACTTCCTTTGTTCTCCAGTTGTTTTGTTCATTCAGTAAATTTTCATTGAGCATCTACTATGTGCCTGGTACTGAGCTAGGACCTGGAGATTCAATGGTGAATAAAACATATTCCCCTGCTTATGTGGAGCTAATGGAAGAAACAGATGTATGCATGCCTTACTATGGTGTAAGTACTATGGTCGAAGTGGGAATGAAGTGTAGTTAGAGGGAATAGAGCCAACATGGCTCTCTAAACTTCAGTCTAAAGGAGTCAGGAGAGGTTTTAGAAAAGAACATGAGAACTAGAATGTGAGGTATGAAGAATTTGTTAGACATACTAAGAAAGGAATAGCTAGAGAATTGTGTACAGCAGGAGGAGGAGAGGACAATGAGAATGATGAGGAAAGAAGCAGGTTAGGTCCATTTATAAAGGGCACTGGGTGCCATACTAAAGAGCAGCTGCAGGCCGGGCGCGGTGGCTCACGCCTGTAATCCCAGCACTTTGGGAGGCTGAGACGGGCGGATCATGAGGTCAGGAGATCGAGACCATCCTGGCTAACACGATGAAACCCCGTCTCTACTAAAAATAAAAAAATTAGCCGGGCGCGGTGTCGGGCGCCTGTAGTCCCAGCTACTCAGGAGGCCGAGGCAGGAGAATGGTGTGAACCCGGGAGGCGGAGCTTGCAGTGAGCTGAGCTCGAGCCACTGCACTCCAGCCTGGGCAACAGAGCAAGACTCCATCTCAAAAAAAAAGAGCAGCTGCAGATGAATGATTCCATTTGAAGTGACTGCTGGCAGGAAAACTGGGCAGGAGCCTGTTAAAATGGCTGTGTGTGATAGCTTTAGAAGACTTCGGGTAAACAATGCACATAGTACACAGAGCCTAACACAAAATAGGAGCTCGTTAAATATATGCAGAAAGAAGAAATAAAAAATTAGTTTATCAGCATTCTTCTTTAACCAATTTGGTTAAAATACTCATTTGATTAATTCAAATAATATATGTGAAAACTCCTTTTTAATCTGTAAAGCATTATTCACATTATGTGTTATTTTGATGCTTCTATAAAAACTGGCACACACCTCCCAGTATAGGGGCAAACTATTTTATGAACTTAAGTTCATAAATTCACTTTGTTAAATGTTTATACAAGCTGCCTAATCATTCATTCATTAGGCATAGTTAGCTGAGTCCCACAATGTAATATTCCTTGTCTAGTTTCAGTCAAACAGTGTTCAGTGTGTCCTGAGTTCATTGATTACCTTTATACATTATTCTTGCACAGCTGGTGATGTTTTTAATGAAGAAGTTGTACAAAGTCTAGTCTATACTTGGAACTTTTGAGAAGGATAAGGACTTAAGAGCTTAAACTGTAAAGGCATAGTGCATTTTTATTTTAGGGATAATTTTTCTTTTTGAGACAGACTATAATTGGTTATGTGACATGTTTTTAAATTATCCATAAATATATTTTGTTAAATTCAATTTGGCCGATATTTATTGAGCTTCTATTCAGTGTGAGATGCTACTGGTTAAAGCATACAAAAATGCCTAACCTTAAAAAGCTCATAGTCTACATTCAAAGGTGACTAGTTAGGATGTGCTAAATGCTACAGTATATTTATGTAGAGTGTGCTTCAAAAGCATAGATGAAGTAGCCTGCTTCAGGATATCAGAGTTATTTAGATGAGCTGACATTCACTCTATGCTTAGAAAGATGGAGTTGAAATTTACCATGTGGTAAAGAGGAGGAAGAGTATGCAGAAAACAACATTGTGAACAAAACCATGGAAGGATGAACATGGCATGGTGTTTGGGAACTGGGGAGTGGGAACTAGAAAGGGATGTCTGTGGCCCAGGTAAGGGTAAGGAGAGAGATTGGTGTGGAAGCTGGGACACAGGTTGTGAAAGCTCTTGGGGGAATCACACTATAACCCAATGGTTCCCAGACTTGCTGGCTCATCAGAACCACCAGTGAATCTATTTTTAGATGAGATTCCCAAACCTTGCTTAGTTCTACTGACTCAGAATTTTGGCAGTAGAATCTAGAAAAAGTTCTATAATTATTAAATGTGAGTTAACTTATTCCAGGCTATACTGCAACTAAGGGCAGAAAATATGCTTCTCAAATCTCTTGGATGTGCAGGGTATATAATATCATTGAATCTAAGTATTGTTAGGGACTTTAGAGGTCACCTAGTCCAGTCTCATCTCTGGCCTAGACTGCTTCTCTGCTGTAACATCCCTGGTGGGTGGTCATTCAGCCTCTGCTGAATCATGCTCATTAGTGGAGCTCACTGTTTGAGTCCTGTTAGACAAATGTGGTTATTGGTGTGTTCCCTTGTATTGAGTTGAAATCTGCTGTTTTATTTCACCCACTGCTTCTAGGCAATATCCCTCACGTCGCATTCCAGATATGATCTTACTAGTGCAGAGTACAGCTGGAAATATTTCTTCCTTTTTTCTGGACATAGTATATTAATGCACTGTTTTGGGCTTAGATCACCCTAGATATTTTTCCTCCATATACCATGCCTAAGTGACTACTTTTCTTAAACACTTATGAGTGTTAGTAAGTACTCATTGCCTTAAAATAGAAGGAAGAATGAGTAGGGATATAAAAGTATTCTAAGTAGTCTAGATAGACTACGTAGACCTTTTCTTAAGAAAAATCTTAATTTTGTTGTTCTTTAAACAGTAACTTTCTACTTTTCCATTCTTTCCCCTGAAACAATACTGTTATTTTAAATGTTGAATCATAGTTAATATCAAACCTTGTTATTTTTTGAAGATAATCTTTTCAAATCACAAAGACAATTTAGCAACATTACAAAACATTTAGAAATAAGAAGGGAAAACAGTACTCTTAATTCCTCTACTTTTAAAAGCTACCATTCATCTGGTATAATGGTTTTAGTTTCTATAGTCTTTTAAGAATTTTTTTTATTGTCATAACCATATGTACATACAATTTTGAATCCTGCCTTTTTTCACTTAGCATTATATCATAAGCATTTTTCCAAGTTATTATAGTCGTTATAACCATCATTTTTAATTGGCTGCATTATATTCTTTTGAATAGCTTAGTGGTGAAGAAAACAGACTGTGGAGCCAGACTGCCTGGGTTCGTATCCCAGCTCTACCACTTACTGGCTCTATGATCTTGGTGAAGTTATTTAACCTCTCTGTGTCTCAGTTTTCCCATTCTATAAAATGCAAATAATGATATGCTCTACCTCATAGGATTGTAAGGATTAAATGTGTTAGTATATGTAAAGTACTTAGTGTGCCTGACATATAGTAAATGCTCTAGATCTTGTCAAGAATTATTGTCATCATTACTGAGTGCACATATCAAAAATTACTTAAGTATGTCCTATTTGGGGACTTTTAGGTTGCTTCCACTTCTTGTCCTTTTAAAACCTTGTTATGAGTAACAAAGTGTACCTTTTAAGATATTCTTCAGAATTATTTTTCATAGGCTATTCTACTCTACAGTTTTTTAAACTTTTAAATTGGCTTGTGCTCCACTTGAAGGTATTTGTACCGCATCTACACCTTTTGTATTGTTGGGAGATGTTTTGGATTGTCTTCCTTTGGATCAGTGTGACACAATATTCACTTTTGTGGAAAAAAATGTTGCTACTTGGAAATCAGTAAGTGCCTTAGTTTCTTTTCCTGCTAACTTTATCTTTCTATAGATCCAGAATTCTGAGGGTAGATTTTTTTTTTTAAATTTATTTGTAGTATTGCTGAATGCCAACAAGTTTCTGCCTATGAAAAAATTATATACTGCTCTCTCGGGAGAGCCAAATAAAAACCATGTGTGGAGAAAAACTTGAAATACAAAATTTGATTTAATTTGTGTAATAAAAATTAACTTGAAAATTCACACTTTCACATGTTTAAAACAGTTACTTAGTATCATGTTTTCTTATATCTGAAAATATTTTTATTTCATTGAAAATGTTATTTGCTTAAAAAAAGTGAAAGTGGCATAGTAGATTCTCAGTGCATGTTAGTGTTCTTTAATATTTCACTCTGGCAACTTATTATTGAAGAATGTGTAACAAGTTCTGAAGAAGAGTGATAATTTCCGTCTTAATTTCAGAATACATTCTATTCTGCTGGGAAAAATTACTTACTACGTATGTGCAATGGTAAGTAATTGAGTGATAAAATGATTGCTTTTTAAGTGTAAATATGCCCAGAAAAACACATGGTTGAATTAAATACCAGTGATAACATTTTAAAGATAGATTAGGTATCTGCATTTTTAACTAACAATCTGATTTGTTAGAACTCATTATTCACTTTAAACTGTTTTTGTTCTGGGCATAAGCTTAAAGTCAGAAACGTAGTAAAGTTTGTCTTTTTCATGTCATGTTGAACTTGTTTTGTTCCTAATTTATAGTACTTTTTTGTGGCAGTGGTTTCGGCCCCCAATTTAAGAACTACTGCTTTAGGAAAATACTCTTGACACACTGGTTTAGAAACTTTTAGGTGTGGTTGTAATAAACATAGAATTATCTTTTCTGTGTAACGTTCATTTTCATATATTGTTAGATCTCCTAAGAAGATTGTCTAAATCCCAGAATACAGTCTTCTGTGGACGGATTCAGCTCTTTTTGGCCAGGCTTTTCCCTCTGTCTGAGAAATCAGGTAAGCTTTTATGCATTAAATGAGTTTTCTGCAGGAAAATCTTTTCCAGTTTTTAATAGATTAAAATCTGTCATGATAATGAGAAAAATGGTTCTAAAAAGTTGAAAGACATCATAGAAATTGTCACTTTATTTTCTTTTACTTATAAATGTATAGCAGTCCTAGTATATAATACAGGTAATCCTGAAACAAAGTCATGGATTCTTTTAAGTTCAAAGCTTATTAATGTAAAGTTGAATCACACTGAAACATGTAGATATGAACCATCATATCCGTATTTCATAATGTATGCCTATTTTTGTGTTTGGATTTTCTCTCAGTCACAACTATTTAGCTATATAGACTTCCTTTCATTTCTCTTTTTTTAACAAATTTTTATTGTGAAATATAACGCTCATATAGAAAAGTACATAAAGCGAATAATAATGAAACAAATACTGTATAACCACTATCTAGCTCCTGAAATGGGACATTGCTTGTCCTCCAGAGCCTTCCGCCTCCCCAGTATGTTCAAATATGCGAGATTTTAATATCTCCTTGCTTCAGTCCTCCCTTCCTTAATATTGGGCTAATGTACCACCTACTTTATATGTTCTGAGGATTAAATGAATTAAAACATGTGAAGAGCTTACATTAGTGCCTGCATGTAGAAAGACCTATAGCATATGTTAGCAGTGGTTTATGTGCTTTCTTTTTGTCATCTTATGTCTGTGCTGTTTTCTTTCATACTTATTTTATGTGGTCAGGGTTAATATAGATTTACCACTTCTTGTATTTCTGGCTTTCTGTCTGTGATCATTTTCCCTTTTAGACTTTTCTTCAGTGCAGGTCTGTGTTTTGCCTAAAAATCGTTACTTCTCCTTTATTTTTTTTCCTTTCTTTCTTCCAAACTCCTGTTAATATTGGTATTTTGACCTCCTCCCAATAGGTATAAGATTCTAGATTGGCACTAGATACAGGATTTCATCTCACGGGAAATAATCTTTACTTTGTCTTCTGTTTCCCATTTTTCTATTGACAAGTCAGATGTCAGTCTCACTTCTTGAAGATAATCTACATTTTTTTCTCTGCGCTTAAGATTTTTTTTCTCCTTTGGTTTTCTTTTAGTTTTACTATGATGTATCTCTGTGTAAATTTCTTTTTATTTGTCCTGCTTAGGATTGTGGACATCTTGAATGTATGGATTAGATTCTTCCATCTAGTTTGTAAAAATTTAGCCATTATCTCTTCAAATATTGTGTATGCCTCTTTATCTTTTTCTTTTTCTGGAACTTCAATTAAACATCCATTATACCTTCTCACTGTATCCTCTGTTTTTTACTCCTTATATATTTTTTCATCTGTTTGTCTCTCTCTACCTGATTCTGAATAATTTCTTAAGAATTGTTTTTTTTAGTTTTCTAAACTTGGTAAACATTGTTACTTTATTGTCTGTATCTGGTAATGCCAATACCTTAAATAAGTCTTGGTGGGTCTGTTTCTCCTGTCTGTTTTGACTGTTTCTCACTCATGGTATCTTGCCTCTTTGTGTGTCTGGTTATCATTGGCTGTTACGTTTGAGAAGATGTGCTCATTGCTACTGGAGTATCACTACTTCTAGGCCCTCTCAGAGACCAGAGCTAGGAGAGACATATGTGTATACTAACCATACTCATCTGTATTTGTTTCTGTATCTGTCAGTATATATTTTACATGAACAGCAGCAAAAAATATGAGATTCTACTGATACCTCTGAGTTGAATCCAGCACCAGTAGATCTGTTTATTAACCTCTTTCTCTAACAGTAAGAAACTTGGCTCTCATTAACTATAATGTATTTACTTATTTGTTATACATTATCACTTTTTCATTAATATAATTTACATTTGTGCTTCCAACAGAATTATAAATTATTCTATATTGCATTCTGTGGAATTGTTCTGGAATAGTCATGAATAATAAGGATCAACTCTATTATAATGTATATAGAATTCTGTTTACAGACATACCGTGGGTTTTGTTCCAGACCACCACAATACAGTGAATATTGCAATAAAGCAATATTCATTCAACCAACATTTTTTGGTTTCCCAGTGCGTATAAAAGTTATGTTTACACTATGCTGTAGTCTATTAAGTATGCAATAGCATCTAAAAAAATGTACATACCGTACTTCTAGAATACTGCTAAAAACTGGTAATGACCACCAAAGCCTTTTGCAAGTCGTCATCTTTTTGCTGGTGGGGGTCTTACCTTGATGTTGATGGCTGCTGACTGATCCAGGGTGGTGGTTGCTGAAGGTTGGGCTGGCTATGACAATTTTCTTCAAATAGCACAGTGAAGTTTGCCACATCAATTGACTCTTCCTTTCACGAAAGATTTCTCTGTAGCACATGATGCTGTTTGGTAGCATCTTATCCACAGTAGAACTTTCAAAGTTAGGGTCAGTCCTCTCAAACCCTGCCGCTACTTTATCAACTAAGTTTATGTAATATTCTAAACTCTGTCTCAGAAAAAAAATAAAAAATAAGCCGAGATCGCACCATTGCACTTCAGCCTGGGCAACAGGAGTGAAACTCTGTCTCAGAAATAAAATAAATCCTTTGTTGTCATTCAACAGTGTTCGCAGCATCTTCACCAGGAGTAGAATTCATCTCGAGAAACCACTTTCTTTGCTCATTCGTAAGAAGCAACTCCTCATCTGTTTCAAGTCCAATCATGAGATTGCAGCAATTCTGTCATATCTTCAGGCTCCACTTCTAATTGTAGTTCTCTTGCCATTTCTACTACGTAGATCTGCAGTTACTTCCTCCACTGAAGTCTTGAACCCCTCGAAGTCATCTATGAGGGTTGGAATCAACCTCTTCCAAACTCCTGTTAATGTGAATATTTTTACCTCCTTTGATGAATCACAAGTGTTCTTTATGGCATCTAGATTTGTAGGTCCTTTCCAGAAGGAGTTCCATTTACTTTGCTCAGATCCATAAAAAAATCACTATGTAGCTATAGCCTCATGAAATGTATTTCTTAGATAATAAGACTTGAAAGCTGAAATAACCCTTTGATCCTTTGGCTGCAAAATGGATGATGTATTAGCAGGCATGAAAACAACATTAATTTCCTTGCCCATCTCCATCAGAGCTGTTGGGTGACCAGGTGCATTGTGAATAAGCAATAATATTGTGAAAGGAAATCTTTTTTTCTGAGCAGTTAAGTCTCAACAGTGGCCTTAAAATTGTCAGTAAACCATGCTATAAACAGATGTGCTGTCATCAGGGTTTGTCTTTTTATGGATGGAGCCAAGGCAGAGTAGATTTAGCATAATTCTCAGGAGCCCCAGGATTTTCAGAATGGTAAATGAACATTGGCTTCAACTTAAAGTCACCAGCTGCATTAGCTCCTAACAAGAGAGTCAGCCTGTCCCTTGAAGGCAAGCAGTGACTTCTCTCTAGCTATGAAAGTCCTAAACAGCATCTTCCAATATCAGAATGTTTCATCTGCATTGAAAAATCTGTTGAGTGTAGCCACCTTCATCAATATTCTTAGCTAGATCTTCTGATAACTTACTGCAACTTCTCCATTGGTAGTTGCTGCTTCACCTTGCACTATTATGTTACGGAGAGGGCTTTTTTCTTTAAACCTCGTAAACCAACTTCTGCTAGCTTCGTACTTGTCTTCTGTGGTGTCCTCACCTGTCTCAGCCTTCACAGAATTAATAAGAGAGTTAAAGCCTTTCTCTGGCTGGTTTGCTTGTCTATCCAGACCACTCAGACTTTCTCTGTATCAGCAGTAAGGCTGTTTTGCTTTCTTATCATTCATGTATTCACTGGAGTGGCACTTTTAACTTCCCTCAAGAACTTTATCTTTGCATTCACAACTTGGCTAACTGTTAAGCGCAAGAGAACTTTCAGCCTGTCGTGGCTTTTGACATGCCTTAATTACTAAGCTTAATCATGTATAGGTTTTTATTTAAAGTGAGAAATGTGAGACTCATCCTTTTACTTGACACTTAGAATCCATTGCAGGATTATTAGTTGGCCTAAATTCAATATTGTCTCGTCTCAGGGAATAAGGAGGCCCAAGGAGAGAGAGAGAGTCATGGGAACGGTTGGTCGGTGAAGCAGTCAGAACACACACAGCATTTATTGATTGAATTTGCTATCTTACTAGCTTAGGCAACATGGCAAAAGCCCGTCTCTACTAAAAATACAAAAAAATTTAGCCAGGCATGGTGGTGCTTGCCTGTAGTCCCAGCTACTCAGGAGGCTGAGGTGGGAGGATCATCTGAGCTTGGGAAGCTGAACTTGCAGTGAGCCATGATCATGCCACTGCACTGCAGCCTGGGTGACAGGAGTGAGTCGCTGTCTCAAAAAAAAAAAAAAATAGTTTACTGTCTTAGATCTTAGATGGGCACAGTTTGTGGCAAAAACAAATCTGTGGCAAAACAATGACAATGTTAACCTCAAAGATCACTGATCACAGATCATCATAACAGATATAATAATAATGAAAAAGTTTGAAATATTGTGAGAATTACCAAAATGTGACAGAGGAAGTGAGCATATGCTGTTGGAAAAATGGTGCTGATAGACTTGCACGATGCAGGGTTGCCATTCAATTTATTTAAAAAAACAAGAAACTGTGAAGAACAACAAAACAAGGTATGCCCATACTCCAAAGGTACTTTTAAGAAATGAATTTTTGAAAGGATTTGAAAATCAAATGTGTTAATTTTGACTGCTCTTTATGGATTTGGCATTTTGTAGTTTTGATTATGACACAAGTTATACATAAGTTTAGGTGTCACTGGACTTGCTTTGCATCTTTTTTTTGTTTTTTTACTAGGTCTTAACTTGCAGAGTCAGTTTAATCTGGAAAATGTCACTGTTTTCAATACAAATGAGCAGGAAAGCACCCTGGGTCAGAAGGTGAGGCTGATTTGAAATCTTCTCAGATAACATATTTGCAAGTTTGTTATTAAGATAGTGGGTCCAGGCACAGTGGCTCACACTTGTAATCCTAGCACTTTGGGAGGCTGAGGTGGGCAGATCGCTTGAGCCTAGGAGTTCAAGACCAGCCTGGACAACATGGCAAATCCTCATTCCTACAAAAAAGTACAAAAATTAGCAGGGCATGGTGGTGCACGCCTGTGGTCCCAGCTACTCGAGAGGCTGAGGTGGGAGAATCGCCTCAGCCCAGGGAGGTCAAGCTGCAGTGAGCCTTGATCATGCCACTGTACTCCAGCCTGGGCGACAGAGTGAGAACCTGTCTCATTTAAAAAAAAAAAAAAAAAAAAAATTTCATGTAAATGGGCCTACAAGTCATCAAAAATTTAAAAACTTTTAACTTTATTTCCAACTTACAGAAATAATGTTTTGTATGTAAAAAATTCAACCAGTGTTTAAGATAGAATGTACAGTTATTCTGTAATCCAAGGTAGACCATGGTAGATTATGGCATAGCTTTCTATTAAAGTGGATTAACAAAGTAGCTATACTTTCTGTTTTAATAGTGTTAATCATAAGGTAGATTATAGAATAGATGTACTTTCTGTTTTAAACATTGGGTTATTTTTTGCAGAATATGTATTTTTTCTATAAATTCATATTATTTCTATAACCACTCATAACATTCTCTGTCTCACCATACCAGGACTTTTTGTGTATATGTACAAACATGTTGTTTTTCTCCAGAATGAGGTCATTCATACTATTCTGAAATTCACTTTCTTCCTTTAAGATTTAGTTTTATCTTAGTTTTTAAATGGCTCTTGATAAATCTCAGAGTGGATATATCACATTTCTCTGCCTGTGGACATTCAGATTATCTCTGATAGTGAAAAACAATGTTACAGTGTCTAGTAGTGTATAATATTGCATCAGTCTGCAGCGTCTGCATCAATTATGCAGATGTCTTTTTAGGATAAATTCCAGTAAGTAAAATTACTGGGTTAAAATATATGCATATTCCATATTTCAATAGCTATTGCCTGGTTACTTCTCAAAAAGGTTATACCAATTTATACAGCCACCAGTGGCACATGGAGAATGCCTGCCCTTTTTCCCCACAGCCTCACCCCAACAGTGTGAATTATCAATTTTTAAAAAATATTGGCTTAATTGATGTATATATTTGAAAAATAAGTCTTCTTAGTTTTAATTTCATTTCCTTGATCATTATTGGTGTTGAGGAACTTATTATATGTTGGTTGGAATTTATTTTTCTTCTGTGAATTAGCTATTCATGCTGTTTGCTCATTTTATTGTTGAATTGTCTTGTGCATTTCCAAAACATTTAGCCCTTTATTCCCAGAGGGAATCTATTGATTATGTTTAGAAATGTAGATTTGAAACTTTCTACTGTCTTCATGACTGTGTTATATCATTGTCATACTGCTCTTGAGTTCTTCTGTCCATCAGGTAAAATTCTGATTGCCTTACAGATTAACTATAGGTCTAGATAGTTAGTGACTAGACTTCTCTAACTGTGGGTTGCCTAGGAATGTGTAACTGACCACTTATTCTAGCATTTATCTCTTCTGTCTGATGACTGCTTCATGACAGGCTATACATTTTTTTTTCAATTTAGCACACTGAAGATAGAGAAGAAGGAATGGATGTAGAAGAAGGCGAAATGGGAGACGAGGAAGCTCCAACAACGTGGTGAGTTTTCAGAGCCTAAGCTTTTTGATTTACAGAGATAATCTCCTAATTTATTGAGTATCCTCTCTGGAGTGAGGAGATAGACAAGGAGGAAAGAAATTATAAGAAATTTCTTTCATTTGTAATTTTCATGTATATTACTTAATAAATCGTAAATCACTAATGGGCTTTATCTGCTGGTTTCTATATTATGTGCAGACAGTTCATTGTTTATATAGACTACCCTATGCATAATCCCAGCATTTGAAAAGCCAACCACAGGCAGCCTTAGGAGCTCCTCCCCTTAATCCCTTCCATTAAACTTGTGGACCCAGTGCCTGTGTGTATTGGGCTAACTTTTAATGAAATAGGCAAGTTAAGAAGCCTTTCCTCCTTCTCTCCCCTTGCTCTTAAAACTGTTTCTTATCTCCTCCTCTGTAGCCCTGTGCTTTCTTTCCAAAAGCAATCCTCAGTGGCATAGATAGGTTCTAGAAACTGCAACATTAAGTGAAATGATGTATGATGAAATCAATTTTCCCATAGGCTAACAAACAAAAGTTAGGTTCTTATGGCCTATTTCTGGTCACAAAAACAATCACCAAACTCCTAGATAAAGATCAAAATGCTTCTGTTATTAAACATTGAATAAATGTGAGCTATACATGCATTTGAGAAAGATTAATAAAAACAAGTAAGATAATTATTTGCCTAGTTATTCCAATTTAAGGTTGTGGGTGGCCAGAGCCTGTCACAGCAGCTCAGAGCGCAGGGCGGGAACCAACCCTGTACAGGACGCCATCTGCTCACAGTGTGTATACCCACCCACCCACACTCACTTATCCTGGAACCATTTAGACATGCCAGTTATTTTCATGTACACCTCTTTGGGATGCAGGAGGGAATCTGACTACCTAGAGAAAACCCACACAGACATAGGGAGAATGTGCAAACTCTACATAGACCGTGGCCCCAGCCAGGAATCGATTTTTTTTTTCTCATCAACGTTACAATAAAACAATGTTGAAGGAAACATCGTTATTTGAAGACTTTCCATAATTTCTTCCTAGTGCTGGCTTAGAAGCAATGAGCAAGAGAAAAGAGAAGGCATTAAGGAAAATTTTCCTTCACTGGCACTCTTCCAGGTGTCTGAGGTGATGAGAGTCATTAGTTATAATTGAAAGAATTTCCATTACTGTCTAGAAAATCAAGATGGGATTCCTGTATCTGCCCAGGGAGATGTATTTCTGGCATCCCAGAATTCAAATTCAAACACATCTCCAGAAGAAACATTAGAGGTAGTGTGGCTCCAAGCTTAACTCCAATACTTCCTAGTCATGTGACCTGGGGCCAATTACTTAACCTTCTACAACACAGTTTCCACATCTTTAAAATGTAGTAATGCCACCTACTCTCTACAGTTAAGAGGATTAAATAAGACGATGATCAGAAATAGTCTATTAAGGCACTAATTGTTTATATGTAGTGGTAAGTGTAAAGCACTTAGAATATTGTCTATTCAGTGTCTAGTAGCTATTATTTGTTATCGTTATTATTTTTTTTTAGAGACCTATTTATTCATTATACATGAATAAAGTAGGCTTTAAGGTCTGGCCTGAGCAACATAAGGGCTCTGGGGCAAGTTAGTAGGCTACAAGATGATGAGTCACCTGAAGTGTAAACAGCCCAAAAGACACTGGCCAGTGCAGTTTTGTCTGCTTAGATTTTGCCTAAGACTGTATAGACAATTCATCCCTATTGGTTATGTTTGTAAATCACTTAAATAAGACTCAACACTCAGCTGCCTCTGTCACAGTCACTAATGTTGAATAGAGGGAGAAAATACGTGAGGAATTACTTTGTGACAGCTGTTATCACCAGATGGTCTTAGGCACTGTAATTTACAAAGCAGAACTCATTACCCATCTACCTACAATATGAAGTCCATTTCAGATTTGGCTCAAATACACCAGTAAACATTTTTGTTAAGAAATTTCAATGTATAACATCCTGTAAAATAGCTGAACATTTAAAAAAATATATCAAGTTTTCCAGAGTTTTTTTGGTTAAAATAGTTACAAGACATTCTATTTTACATAGTAACTGGGTCTCTGATTTGTTATTATTTGCAAATACAATAATTGGTTACATTTGCTTTGTGTGGGTAAACAGAAAATTCAAAAGTTTCTGTGGAGTGTTGAAGGTGGAAGGCAAATTGCAAGTGGGTTGAAGAATGAACAGGAAGGTAATGAAGTGGTGACATGGAGTATAGACAACTCTTTGAAGAATTTTATTCAGCTGTGAAGGAAAAGAGCAAGGGACAGCATCTAGGAGAGGGGACTTTAAATTTTTAAAAATATATTAATGCCTCAACTGTAAAAACTGCCTAACAGTAAGATATTAACACTACTTCAAAATTTATTCTGTAAGACACCTCAAATACCCACCAAGCCAATTAAAGATAAAAGGGAAGAGATCAAAAGTCTTTTACAGGTAGGAGATGGTAATTAGCAACATGGAATAATATTGTGATTGGTATTAAGTGTTAAATTAGATGTGAAGTTCTTAGCAATTGAGACAAAAAGGGACATATAATGGTTGCATGAGTCTCATTCTCTGTTAGAGGTAGCCCCATTTTTAAGAGACAAACTTTCCTGGTACATTTCAAGAGGTATTTATTATATTCAATCTTACATGTTGTAACTGAGTAACATTTTGTTACTCAGTGTGTGTGTGCACATGCACTTCAGAAACATTCTTTATCAAATGTATGGAACTATACAAATATTGGTTCTTGTTCTTTCATGAATGTAAATAATTTATATAGTGCTATTTCTTTTCTCTATTTACTTTAACGTTTTAGGGAATGTTCTTTTTGCGGCTTTTTTTTTTTTCTTTTTTGAGACGGAGTCTCGCTCTGTCACCCAGGCTGGAGTGCAGTGCTGTGATCTCGGCTCACTGCAAGCTCTGCCTCCTGGGCTCAAGCGATTCTCCTGCCTCAGCCTCCTGAGTAGCTGGGACTACAAGCACGCACCACAATGCCTGGGTAATTTTTGTACTTTTAGTAGAGATGGGGTTTCAGTATGTTGGTCAGGCTGGTCTTGAACTGACCTCGTGATCCGCCCGCCTCAGCCTCCCAAAGTGTTGGGATTACAGGTGTGAGCCACCGTGCCCAGCCTGTGGCTTTTTTTAAAAACCCAATTCATAGAAAA
Organism: Homo sapiens; assembly: GCF_000001405.40. NCBI lineage: Eukaryota > Metazoa > Chordata > Mammalia > Primates > Hominidae > Homo > Homo sapiens. The sequence goes on along the minus strand of NC_000018.10, from coordinate 249,350 downwards.
CCCAGAGGTATAATCTTACTGTTGTAAATCAGTGAAGCTGCTTTAATTATAGAGAGAAGTTAATGTGTACATCATTGTTTTCCTACTTTCAGAGTTGTTACTAGGGAAAAGTTTAGGAAGAGCGAAAGTAAACATGCCCATTAGAGTCTTTCAGATACTACTAATTCATGATGAAAGCTTTGGCAAGAACTAGATTTAGATTTTTGTTAGTTAAAAGTCAGTATTCTTCACTGTTGATTTTCACGTGCTTCAGATACTAGCCGTTTATCAGATATTAGCTGTTTTAAAAATTAAAAGAATAGGCCGGGTGCAGTGGTACACGCCTGTAATCCCAGCACTTTGGGAGGCTGAGGTGGGCAGATCATGAAGTCAGGAACTCGAGACCATCCTGGATAACACGGTGAAATGCTGTCTCTACTAAAAATACAAAAAATTAGCCGGGCATGGTGGCGGGTGCCTGTAGTCCCAGCTACTCAGGAGGCTGAGGCAGGAGAATCGCTTGAACCCGGGAGGCGGAGCTTGCAGTGAGCTGAGATCGCACCACTGCCCTCCAGTCTGGGCAACAGAGTGAGACTCCTTTAAAAAAAAAAATTTAAATTAAAAGAATATGTATTGACACTGTAGATTTGTGACATATCAAGATTAGAAGTTGAATTAGTAGTGCCATAATAAAGTTACTAGATAAAGGGCTTATTTTTGTGATGCTAACTTGATATGTACCATATATGTTTTTCTCATACTGGTGCTTCTTAGGATATAATATTTTTAGTTAGGATATGATACCTGTGACTTTTAACATAGATTCAGATTAACATTGGTTTAAACAACATAAAAGTTGATTTTTCCCCCTCATATCGAAGTCTAGAAGCAGGCAGTCCAAGGCTGGTAAGGGAGCACTGCTCGGTGAGATTGCCTAGACCCAGGCTTCTTCTACCTTCTTCTTCCATCATCTTGGTGTTTGCCCTTTTTCCTGTAGTGCAAGGTGGCTCACGCTCACATCTGCATTCTAGCCAGCAGGAAGAGGAAAAGGCCAGTGATAAAATATGGCCCAAAAGTTGCACATATGACTTCCGCTCTCAACTGATTGGCCAGAATTTAATCACATGACCATGCGAGCAGCAAGATTGGTTGGGAAACATAATCTTTAATTCTGAATAACCATGTGTCCTTCCAAAATTCAGGGGCTCCACCAGTGTAGATAAAGAGTCTATTGGGGTCTATGAGTTCCCTAAAATGATTTGTAAAAGTTTATATAAGCATTTGTGAATGTGTACTTTTCTGATAACTTTCATTAGCTTCTGAAAACGGTTTGTGACCAAAGCTAAGTTAAGAATATTTAGATATTTGTAAAAGAATTTGAATGATTTATTTAATATAACGTTTATTTTATTAGCTCTATTCCAATTGATTACAACCTGTATCGAAAATTCTGGTCACTTCAGGATTACTTCAGGAACCCTGTGCAATGCTATGAGAAGATTTCATGGAAAACTTTTCTCAAGGTAAGTTGCCATTGACAGACTATCAGAAGCCCAGTATTTTATAGACAGTGATAGAGCTAAAACTTAATCTTGTCTAACATACTTTTCACTATGTAATTCTGCCTCTTACATTTTTATACCAATTTCATAACAAGTGAAATTATAAATTAATATTTAAACCACTAATATTGTGAAGTAGTATATAAGAATCGGATATTTAAAAGTTCGTCATTACAGCCTTGCTTTTTTTGAATATAATGAGTGTTGTTAACATAAATTGATATTTTGCAGAATATATTCTATCTTTGTACAAAATTATTTTAGCTATCTTGTTGAAACAGAAGTCCTCAAGTCATGGCTCTGGGCCAGATCTAACCTACTGCTTATAAACAAAGGTTTATTGGAATAGTACCATGACCATCCACTTACCTGTGGCTGTTTTTGCACTATAATGGCACAGCTGAGTAGTTGCAACTGAGATTATAAAGGCCACAAAGCCTGAAATACTTACTCTCTGGTCCTTTACAGAAAAAGTTTGCCAATCCTGTTTTAGAAGAATTTGTTATATTTTTCTTGGCTACTTAAAGATCAGTTGTCCTTTTTTGTCATAATTAAAATCTAAGATAAATAGGTAGTTCTCAGAATAGCATGGTGTGTGTTATGTTATTTTTAATAGTTTTTGTTTTATATGCAATTTTTTGTGGGGGCAGCACCATCCAAATTCAGATTAAGTGGTTAGTGAGAAATAATCTGGAATTGTCTTCTAACTGGACAGAATTTGGTGGAATTTATTTGCTCAGTTTTTAGCACAAGAAATGCGTAAGAGTTTCCACAGGTGGTTAAACAATTTCACTGGTAAATTTCTGTACACTCTTAAAAATGTTCCCTAATCTATTTGTCCCTTACACAGACTTCTTAAATCATATTTCTTCGTTTTTTTTTTTTTTTTTTTTGAGACGGAGCCTCCCAGGTTCAAGGGATTCTTCAGCCTCAGTCTCCTGAGTAGCTGGGACTACAGGTGCCCGCCACCACACCTGGCTAATTTTTGTATTTTTAGTCGAGACGGGGTTTCACCATGTTGGCCAGGCTGGTCTCAAACTCCTGATCTCAAGTTACCCGCCCCCCTCCGCCTCCCGAAGTGCTGGGATTACAGGCGTGAGCCACCACCACTGGCCAAGAAATTATATTTCTTTAGGAGTAGGGAGCTTGTACCTACTTTTGCAACAAGTGAAATATCATACAAAATAGTTTTAACTCCCATTCTGCTATCATAATTTGTATTGTTAGTGTGCCTTGCAATATACAGTCTACATACATGATTGACTGGGAGTAAATTCTAGGCATTTTGATGCAGAAAAGCACTAAACAAATTTGGGTAACAATGTCGAATAAAACTAATATTTTTATTTTGCAGTATTCTGAAGAAGTTTTAGCTGTTTTTAAGAGTTATAAATTAGATGATACTCAGGCCTCAAGAAAAAAGATGGAAGAATTGAAAACAGGAGGAGAACATGTATATTTTGCAAAATTTTTAACAAGTGAAAAGGTATAAGTTTTTCTTTTTCATTAAGCATAATAAGAAATGGTCTTGTTTTATTTCCGTTTAGCTGACAGCCTTTCTAAGTTAAACTGAATAGAAATGTTTCTTATTTTACTTTGGGTTAAAGCTGATTGATTAATGTTAGTTTGAAAGTCCCATTTCTTCCTTTCAGAAGTAGGACTAATTTGGTTTCAAAGGTGAAAGTAGTTCTACATTAAGTCTGTTTTGTAAACTAATTTTGGAATAAATGCAGTTTAATTACTTTCATGTCTATATATTTTAAATGTCAAGTTAGGATTTAATTTGTATATGAAAATATTTCATAATTATTATTTAGGTGCAAGTAAGGGGTTTAAAAGTTCCTTGTTAATCTTATTTATACATTTTAAAAAGTAAATTTTATTCAAATATAATGCTACAAGATTATGTAAAGTTTCTAGTCAAGATGGCACATTGAGTTTATGTTTCGACTCACTCCCTTTGCTCCAAACACATAGCAATGACGGGTAAAATATAAACGAGAAAACAAAAGAGACAAGGCTGGGCTTCCAGAAACAAGATAAATATCTTCATGGACCAGAAATGCCAAGTAGTGAGCAAAACTGCAGCCTGGGCCTGCTGGACTCTCTATCCAAGGCAGGTGGTGGTGTCCAGGAATTTGGCTACAAGTAACAGAGACTAAATGTGCACCATGTGGGACAAGGGGCCAGAGCCAGATTCACTTCTTGAAGCCAAGGACTAGGGTGGAACTTTTATCCAGTTTTGGGAAGAAACTAAGAAAAAATATTGCCAGTCTTCTGCCAAGGGCTATGGTTTTATAGGAAGTTGTGAGCCTAGGGATAACAAAGACAGCTTTGTGTCCATCTGCTTGCTCAGTGACCAGATATGTGATATGCTCAGTATACTTATGAAACAGCTGCTCCAAGAAGTCATCATAAGACTTCTTCTAGACTTTTGGACTCAGGGGCCCTGGTAGAAGCAGATGCAAAACTGCTAGACAGGGAAGGATGTACACAGAGAGGGAGGGGAAAGGAAGTAAACAAACATCCCAAAAGAAAAGGCTCCTGTTCAAAACTCTGATAAATTAAAATTCCAAAATCCATAAATCTAATGCTAAGAAGGATCACCAGCAAAATCAACTATTGGGATATATATATATATTTATTCCAGATGAAATATATAGCCTGACCAAGACTTTATGTATGTTTTGGATACTCAAAAAGATAATCGATGAGATAACATCCATTGAAAAGGAACAAGAAATCATGAAACAAAAGCAGGCTGAAATGAAGTAGGACAGTCGATACAACTAATCGGGAGTCTTGGGAATGAAAAATACAATAATTGAAACCAAAACTCAGCACACAGAATTAAACTATACACTGGACATAGATGAACAAAGAACTAGTGAACTGAAGAAGGTGATGAGAACTTCATCCAGCAAGCAGCACAGACAGATTTTTTTTTTTTAAGTGGAAGAGCAGTTAAAAGCCATGGTGAATAGATTGGGAATTTCCAACATCTGTCTAGTAGGATTTCCAAAGAAGAAAATGGAGGGAATGGTAGAGAAACTGGATTGCAAAGAATTGAAGGAAATCTCAAATCCTCAGCTTAAAAGTGTGTCACAACTGCCAAGCAGGATAAAGAAAGATAAATCTACTCTTCATTACATCATGCCATAACTGTGGGCATTCAGAGAAAACCTAAAAGCCACTAAGGGATAAGAAAGACAAATATACTGGGAAGGCACAGCAGTTTGACTGTTAGCAGATTTCTAACATATCAACCATTAATACCAGAAGACAGTAGAGAAATATTAAAGTGCTGAAAGAAAAATGACATTCAATCTAGAATTTTATACCGAGTTAAATATACTCAAGACTGTCGATGAAAGAAAGACATTTTTATTTAAAGACCAGGATAACTTACCACTCAGTGACCCTCATTTTGAAAAAAACTACTCAAGGATGTTCTTCAGGAGGAAGGAAATTGAACCCATAAGAATGGAGTGGGATACAGAAGGCAACGGTGAGCACAAAAATTGAAAAATATGACAGTAAATTTACTATTGACTATAAACACAAAAAAGTCATGAATGATTTAAAATTTTTTTAATTAAAAAATTTTATTAACGTGGAACTTAACTAGATGACAGTAATAATATGGAAGGGGAAAGCAGAGATGTTTAGTGAGTAATTTAAAATTATGGCAGTCCTTGTAATCTTCAGGAGTAGGAAAGGAATACTGAATATTCCTTTTCATGTATATTAAAAGGGTAACCACCAAAAGAAAACCAACTTGTTGCTCTCAAAGAACAGAGATCAAAGGGAGGCAGGGAGGAATCTAGACCACTTTATAAATCCAGCGAATGGCAGAAAAAAGGAAGAGAAAGGAGGAGAGAAATAGGTCAGTAATAACAAGTATAGACTGATTTAATATACCTAATAAGACTTTATCAGATTGGATTTTTAAAACTCCAGCTATATTTGTTAATTTAAATGAAACAAATATAGAAACCTTTTGGTTAACTAAAGAATTCAAAAGTTTTATTCTACTTCATGTGTAAGAAAATCCCAAAGCTCTTCTTGCTTAACAAAGAACCTTCCCAAGGTTACCTACTTTTAGAATGCAGAGGTGTCAGTTTAATATTATCAGGGCAAAAAAGTTACAAAATAAAACAACCAGTAAGAGTTGTGTATTTTTAAGAGTTACAGGTCCACATTTCTCAGGACATGACAGCTATTTCAAAACTCTGGATGTCTTAATTGATATATATATATATATTTTTTTTTGAGACGGAGTTTTGCTCTGTCGCCCAGGCTGGAGTGCAATGGCGTGGTCTTGGCTCACTGCAACCTCTGCCACCTGGGTTTAAGCGATTCTCCTGCCTCCACCTCCCGAACAAATAGCATTTCTAAAGACATTTTAGTAATGAAAAACAGCAGGATTAAACATTTTCAGAGAAATCTCCACATTGGAATATGGGATTGATGCTTTTATATCATTCTCCATTCACTTTGTCACACTTGGCTTTCTAATAGTATCTCTCCTTTTCTGATTCTTTGTGAACTTGCTTTCACCAGCAGTTAGAACATGAACTTTCAGGATTAAGCACTGAAATTTCATTAATTAATATCACATCACGAGGAAGGTAAAAACAGCTTTGAGAAGCTTAAAACTTACCATAGGAGTAAGAAAAAGGCACAAAATTGTACCAAAGAGAATGTGAGGCATGTAATGTTTTGCATCTTCATTTCCCTTTGTTGCCCCTTAAGCAACAACTTTGTCTTAAATTTACAGTCCTCTTTGTACATTCTTCATATTTTTTGGTGTATTTTTAGTTTTTACTACTTAATATACAAGTGAAAATATTTGTAATGCATTACGTGTATCATGGAAAATATGCAACATTTTATAAGCTTTACTGCTGCACTGAAAGAAGCCTTCCAGCATCTCTGTACCTTACATGGTGTTTTGATACTAGGATTCCCAAAAAGGCCTTCACACCTAAATATATGCCAGTTTTGGGCCTGATGTTACTTTCAACTTTTGATATAGATTTGGTAAGTCATGAGAAAGGTCTGGATTTTTCAGGGATATGGGTGCCATATTCCTTGCCAGTAAGAGCTAGCTAAAGTGAAATCTAAAGCTATGATTATTTGGAGCATAACTCTTTAGCCTATCATTTCACTGGTGAGCAGGTTTAGAAAAGTGCTTGTCATTACAAGGTTAGATCTTTCATCTCTGTAATAGAGCCGTGACCCCATCCAATGGGAATATTATCCAGAAGCATTGTGTTTTGTTACATGAATCTGGTCAGACTTTTCCTTAGGGATAGTCCGGAAACAATGCTTGGCAAGGATGATACAAACTTTTTTTTTTTTTTTGAGACACTTTTTTTTTGGCCCACTGTAACTTCCACCTCCTGGGTTCAAGCGATTCTCGTGCCTCAGCCTCCCAAGTAGCTGGGATTACAGGCGCCCAACACCACGCCTGGCCAATTTTTGTATTTTTAATAGAGACAGGTTTTTTGCCATGTTGGCCAGGCTGGTCTCGAACTCGCAGCCTCAGGTGATCTGCCTGCCTCAGCCTTCCAAAGTGCAGGGATTACAGGCGTGAGCCACCACGCCCAGCCAGATGATATAAACTTTATAGTTGGAGATAGGCCAGTCATGTGGCAACTACAGGTAGGTAGAGGTTCTACAAATAAAATGGGTGTCTTTGTAAATTATTGTGTCTTCCTTCTTAAAGAAAGAAGTTTCCCCTAGAAACAAAGTGCCACATTTTTGTACTACCTGGAGTGTGATTCTGAATACTAGTGCCCAACAGTATAGTTCCCTTTTTAGCAGAGCAAAATAATCCAGGGTTACTACTTGCTAAATGTAGTGCTGATACACCTGGGTTGCTTATTTTCTAATGCAGTGGAAAAGTATCTGTTCTTTAAGGTTAGTCCAGGATCATACTCAGAAATGTTAAGGGAGGATTTTACCTCTAATTGTTCAACTTATACCAAATAAAAGGCACTGGTATTGTAGGGATTCCTCCCTCTGTACTATGTAGCATGTAAAAGCAGAACAACATTTCAAAATGTTTAAGTACCATGAGTATTACCATGATGGTTAAAGGAATATATTTTTGGATCTTTTAAGTTCTCACAGAAAAGAGTATAATAACACTAATTAGATATAGGCTTTAGGGTTACCCAGTCCTTCAGAATAATACACTTCTCACTTTCCATCTGAGACTCAATGACCAAAATGATCAGATGGAATACTCAGTGGCTAGCAGTTACCAGGGTGAGGTTACCCACAGTTATGTACTGTTGACCCTAGTGTGGTCATTAGGCCATTCATTTTCATGGAGAAAAGAAAATTCACAATTTTGCTTGGTCTCTGCATTGTGTGAAGAGGCCTCTAGTTAGGACTTTTGGTCATTTTTTAAAAAAAAGTTCCTGGCAGTAAGAAACTATCCATATAGTCATTCTGCCTTAAATGTTTTGTACTTTTTATGTCCATTTGAGAGGTTGAATCTTTATGTAGTAACGGCTAAGGTGGGTCTCTTATAAGATATACTATAGCCTAGCTAGGAGCAAATGAAGGCAGAAGCAAGACCCTCCTGTTAACAAGTGGGCAGGCTAACCACTATGCTACAATTTTTTTTTTTATCTCATTAGTTGTTCTCGGCATGGGAGGCTTTTAGATAGCTCTGGAACAGGGTTGCACAGCAGGAGGTGAGCAGTGGGCAAGCAAGCGAAGCTTCATCTGTATTTACAGCTGCTCTCCATCACTCATATTACCACCTGAGCTCCGTCTCCTATCAGATCAGCAGCAGCATTAGATTCTCATAGGAACATGAACCCTATTGTAAACTGATCATGAGGGATCTAGGTTGTGTGCTCCTTATGAGAATCTAATGCCTGATGATCTGTCACTGTCTCCCACCAACCCCAGATGGGACCTTCTAGTTGCAGGTAAACAAGCTCAGGGCTTCCACTGATTCTACATTATGGTGAGTTGTATATGTATTTCATTATATATTACAATATATTAATAATAGAAATGAAGTACACAATAAATGTAATGCACTTGAATCATCCCAAAACCATTCCCTCTACCCCATAACCCCTGGTCTGTGGAAAAATTGTCTTCCATGAAACCAGTCCCTGGTGCCAAAAAGGTTGGGGATCCCTGCTTTAGAAGTCTTTTGCTGACAGTCATGTCAGTCTTAGCATATGGGTGTGCTTTCACTCGTCCTGTAAAGGTAAATACTATAGCCAAAACCTTTTCATATGATTGTAAAATTGACTTGTAATGGTCTTCAGGGCGGAAAGCATGAACTACCCTCTGTTTTGACATTTTTGAACTCTGGTCCTGACAGATAGAACAGTTCTTTAAATATCATTGAGCATATTACAAAACTTAGAGCATACTCTGCCATTGTTATTTTTAGAATAACCTCTGTGTGTGAGTCAAGCCATGGTTATACAAGCAAGATAAGAAAGTAAAGTGATTGATGCTACCAAGTAGCAGCCCTCTAGGAAAGACCAAAGACAGGGTGCAGAAGATGTACTGCCAAAGTAGGCTCTGAATTTGGAGCCTAATCTTGAAGAGAGGCAAAGTCTGAAAGGCTTAGCAGAGGAGACTAGTTATTTGATAAGATAAAGAGCAGAGATAGAATAAGAAGTCACCCAACCTTCTTATTAGCCAAAGTAATAGAAATTAATACTGACTATAACAGAAAGACCATTACAAATTTTAGATCCTCTAGAAATGAGAACTCTCATTATTTTTACAACAGTGTATAGTCATGATTACACAAAAGCATAACAAAGTCATATTTTAAATGTTAATAGACCTTTGAAAAGAAAATGTTCTCTGATGAGGACAATAATTTTGGACTCCTGGACAGACTCTGTAGAGGGCAAAAAATTATTACCTGGTTATAAATGGACTTCATACCCAGAGGAAAAAAAAATTTTTTCTCTGTGTTAATTGGGCTCCCTCCTCTATTATATACAAGTGTTTATTAGTTTTCAGTATACTTTGATATGCATGTTTTAATAGATCAGTGTTTAATAACAGTATTATTTAAAACTTTGGTTTTTAAAACAATTCTATCATGTTTAATATGTAAACATTAACTGATTTATTTCATCCTGAGTGTTATGAAGAACAAACATGTTAAGGTATAGTCAGAGATACATAGGTTTAAAAACATATGAATCAGGCCAGGCACAATGGCTCACGCCTGTGTCCCAGCACTCTGGGAGGCCGAGGCAGACAGATCACTTGAGGTCAGGTGTTTGAGACCAGCCTGGCCAACACAGCGAAACTCTGTCTGTACTAAAAATACAAAAAATTAGCCGGGCGTGGTGGCAGGTGCCTATGATCCCAGCTACTCGGGAGGCTGAGGTAGGAGAATTGCGTAAACCTAGGAGGCAGAGGTTGCAGTGAGCTGAGATCACACCACTGCACTCCATCCTGGGCAACAGAGCGAGACTCTGTCTCAAAAAATAAATAAATAAAATAAATAAAAGTATCGTATGTTAGGGACTTTTTATGTTTTCTGTGTCTGAATTTTAACTTTTTGTAGAAATTTTTTCAATACTCTGTAATCCTATAGAATATTAAAACTTTACCGGATAGCGTAAGAATATTCTGTAAATTCATATAATTTTCAGTATTGTCTGAGATTTATGAAAACCAATATATAAACACTGGCTGTTTAATCACAGCTTGATTTAGTTGTTCACCCATGTTTATGTGTAAATAATCCTGAGTTAATAATAGAGGTAACAACAAAATAACCAATGTTAATTAGAAAGTTTCATTTTAGCCTTTTAAAGGTAGAAAAGTCTTATGTTTATTAAAATTCTATATTTGTATCTTTTTTCTACCTTGTGGTTTAATCAAAGAAAAGTCATAAAGTCATCTTTTAAACTGAAAACTTTCAAACAGTACTAATGTAAAACATTAAAGAGTTTGTTTTACATTGACTATGAGTATTAAGGAAAATGAAATTTAAATTTTTGATATTTATTTTATTGAGGAATACTGTAGCCTTCTAAGTCTACTTCACAGTACAGTCATGCACCCCATAATGGCACCACATAACAACCACATAACTGGTCAACAGTGGACCCCATGTACAACAGTGGTTCTGTAAGATTATAGATTATATAATACTGTGTTTTTACTTTGCCTTTTCTATGTTTAGATACACAAATCCTTAACCATTGTGTTACAGTTGCTTACAGTATTCAGTGCAGTAACATGCTCTACAGGTTCGTAGCCCAGGAGCCATAGGCTGTACCATATAGCCTAGTTGTGTAGTAGGCAATACTATTGTTAAGTACACTCTATGATATTCACACAATGGGGAAATTGCCTAATGACACCTTTCTTAGAATGTATCCCTGTAGGTAAGCAACACATTATTAGTACAGAAAGTTGCTTAAAACTTTTTAATTTGAGACTGTATCTTCAGGTTACCTTTTTACTAAATAAAAGGATTGAGACTTGATAGCTCCTGCCTTCAGTGGGCATCTCCTTTTATCTTATAACTCAGCAGGGACACTGAGAGACCTTTAAGCTAAAATTAGATTTTTCATTTTTTTAAGAACTTTTTTTTGAAAGACAGTTTGAAAAGAATTATTAGAAAGTAGAGCTGGGTGCAGTGGCTCACACCTGTAATCCCAGCACCTTGGGAGGCCAAGGTGGGCAAATCACTTGAGGTCAGGAGTTTGAGAACCAGCCTGGCCAACATGGTGAAACCCCATCTCCACAAAATACAAAAATTATCCAGGCGTGGTGGTGCGTGCCTGTAATCCCAGCTGCCCTAGAGGCGGAGGCATGGGGATCCATTGAACCTGGGAGGCAGAGGTTGCGGTGAGCCAAGATTGCACCGCTGCACTCTAGCCTGGGCAACAGAGTGAGACTCCATCTCAAAAAGAAAAAAAAAGGAATACTATTTAAATTTATAATTTAGTTGTTTTTATACAATTGTTTACACATTCTTTTTCTCAGAAACCAAATGTTTTCTATTTCAATTGAGTAAGTTATATGGAAGGTACTATTCCAGGTAGAAAACTATTGTACAGTTTAGTCCTCTAGACCCTAATTTAATATCTAACACATTTGTGAAAATTAAAAGTTTAAATTGTTTAACGTTTAAAGCGAAATATTTGTAAACATACTAACTGTGGAACCTGTATTTTTTTTTTCCTAATCTGGGGAGAAAATGGGTATATTCAAAACATTTGGTGTTTAGGCTTGATTTCTTAATTGTCTGGGCAGATTTTAACAGCTCGTCCAGGATTATGTAAGCACTTAGTGGTGCCTTTCAACAATTTAAAAAGGAAATCCAGTATGTGAAGCCCAGTGTGGTGGCTCACGCTCGTAATCCCAGCACTTTGAGAGGTCAAGGTGGGTGGATCACTTGAGGCCAGGAGTTTGAGATCAGCCTGGCCAACATAGTGAAACCCCATCTCTACTAAAAATACAAAATTTAGCTGGGTGTGGTAGTGCGCACCTGTAGTCCCAGCTGCTCAGGAGGCTGAGGCAGAATTGCTTGAACCCGGGAGGCAGAGGTTGTAGTAAGCCACGATTGTGCCACTGCACTCCAGCCTGGGTAACAGAGCAAGACTCTGTCTCAAAAAAAAAAAAAAAAAAAATCCAGTACATGAGAGATTTAGTACTTTTCTAGAAATCTCTCAAGCCACACAGTCTGATCAGACTTATATACAGTAGAAACTGTAGAGCTGTGTTCTTTTCAGAGACTTAATACTTTTTTGAGAAATATGCAACTCCTGCAGTCATGCTACAGAAAGACTACCCTCTTGCCTACTCCCTGACACACAATTCATATGGGTTTTCACATAAAAGAAAAAAAAAAGCCTAACAGTCACAGGAAAATTATTAAATTATTAGGCCAACTAGAGGTCATACAAGAGCACTTTGAAGGAGTGAAAACATTCTGAACTAACTCAAGGTTAATAGAAGCGATCCTTTTGTGTACTGTACCTCACTGGGGCTCAAGAGCAAAACATAAAATCACATTTACACAGATGCTCTGAGCGTCCCATGTACCAAATTGCCATTGGTACATTTGTCTTCCGGGTGCACCAGTTTCCTTTTAATGAGGTTTGCATCTTAGAATCTTATTCTTTCGCCGGGCGCGGTGGCTCACGCCTGTAATCCCAGCACTTTGGGAGGCCGAGGCGGGCGGATCACGAGGTCAGGAGATCGAGACCATCCTGGCTAACACGGTGAAACCCTGTCTCTACTAAAAATACAAAAAAAAAAAAATTAGCCGGGCGTGGTAGCGGGCGCCTGTAGTTCCCAGCTACTCGGGAGGCTGAGGCAGGAGAATGGCGTGAACCCGGGAGGCGGAGCTTGCAGTGAGCCGAGATCGCGCCACTGCACTCCCGCCTGGGCGACAGAGCGAGACTCCGTCTCAAAAAAAAAAAAAAAAAAAAAAAGAATCTTATTCTTTCCTAGTTATGCAAAGCTGAGTTCTGTAATTCCATGATTTTCAGTAAGAAGGAAAAAAGCAGACCTAAGAAGCTTAAAACTTACATGGAAAATAAAAGAACACAAAATTTAATAAATTGAAGATGGAGCAGTTTGTATCCACAAGGGATATATACCTAAAACAAAACTCATGATTGAAATATTAGGATGGAAAGAGACATACCAGGCTAATACCAACAAAAAGAAAGCTACATAAATAACAAATAAAATAGAATTTAAGGGAAAAAGTATAAATAGGACAAGAAACACTACATAATAAAGGAATGAACCACCAAGGTGTCATGAACTTATATGTATTTAACAATATACCCTCAAAATATATTAAGCAAAAACTTACAAAATTATGAAAAGTTGGCCCACAATTACAGTATGTATTTTTAACTGCTTCTGATGGATCAGGTTGACTAAAGATTAGTTAAGTATATGGAAGATTTGAACAATGACAGTAATAAGCTTGGTGTAGTATAGAACAAATAGAAGCAACATATTTCTTTTTGTGTATACGTGGAACATTCACAAAATTTGACCATGTACTAGGTCACAAAGAAATTCTCAGCAAATTTCAAAGATTATACACGAAGAACACATTCTCTGGCCACATTTCTCTGTAATCAAATTAGAATTCTAAAATTAGAGCTGCAAAAAGGATAGCTTAAAAAAAGGCAAATATATGAAAACATAAAAATGCATTTCCCAGGAGTTAAAGAAGAACTCATAATGGAAATTCCAAATTTGTAATAAATGTATATCAAAATTGTAATTATAGGAAGAATTACATGTCAGAAGTGTGGGTTGCAAATAAAGGGAGATGCAAAGGGACAGTTAAAGCTTCATATGCATTAATGGAAAAAATGTCAAGAAAGAGTGACAAATTGAGCGTTCAACTCAAGAAGTTAGAAAAAGTACAAAATAAAGCTCAAGAAAATGGAAGTAATAATAGCACAACTTAGTGAAATAAAACAAACTAAAACATATCAGCAAAACTGAAAGTGTTTCTTTGAAAAGAAAATGTTATAAAAAGAAATCCAGAGCTTGTGCAAGGAAAATGAAAAGATACCAGCAAACAATATTAACAGTAAAAATTGACATAGAGATATTTCAAATGATTAAGAGGATATTATGAACAACTACGAATAAATTTTGAAGCCTAATAAAATGGGAATTGTTTAGAAAATTTTAATGACCGAAATAGACTCTCAAAAAAAAAAAAAAATAGAAAACCAAATAAATGAACAACCATTAAGGAAATACCAGCCAGAATGACACTTTTTGAATGACATCAGGCCCAGAGGTTTTTAAGGCATATCTTATCAACACTTCAAAGAATAAATAATTTCTACCATAAATGAAAATTTTCAGAAGTTAGAAAAAGAGAAGCCCCCCAGTTCATTATGTAAGATTATAACTTAAAATCCCAATAAGGACAGAACAAGGAAAAATGTGTATGTATATTCATCTCACATATAAATAGAATGTTTTCTATTTATAGAAATAAAAAATGTCTTACAAACTCACAAATTAAGTAATTTTTTTAAAAATAGAGACATACAGTTTATCCTAGGAATGTAAGTATGGTTCATCAGAAAGATGAATATAATGCCAGATTAACAACCGATTGGCTGGGCGTATTGGCTTACGCCTGTAATCCCAGCACTTTGGGAGGCCAAGGCCGGAGGATTGCTTGAGCCCAGGAGTTCAAGACCAGCCTGGGCAACACAGCAAGACCGTGTCTGAAAAAACAAAACAAAAAAAAAACAGATTAAAGATTTTTAAGATCTGTATGATCATCTCAGAAGCCAAGAAAATTCAATAAAATCTAATATTCAATACAAAAAGTAGAAAGGAATGTTCTCTGAGTTGATAAAGGACTGATTTTAAAAACCCTATTGCAAACATCATACACAATTATGAAACTTTAGAAAGTATTCCCATTAAATCCAAAAAGAAGACATGGATGGACACTAACCATATTTCTGTTCAACACCGTACTGGAGGATCTAACCATTTCAATAAGAGAAAAAAACAAAAAAGGAGTAAGAGTTATAAGTATTGGAAAGAAAAGAGTAAACTATCCCCATTTGAAGACAATATAATTGTCTACAGAGAAAAGTCCAAGAGAACCAAGAAACTGTTAGAACTAATGAAACTTCAGCAAGATTGCAAGAGAAACATCAATAGTGTTCTTATAAACCAGTAATCAATTACAACATGTTATTCAGAATAGCAGTGAAAGCTCTCCAATACCTAGGCGTAATCTTCATAGAGAAACATTACAAAAATGGAGCAGTGTTTCTACATTTATAGATACAGACCCAGTGCCCCTTCTCCCCAGATTTATTGATTCAGTATATTTTGAATCAGTATCCAAATGGGTTTTTTAATTTGAGTTATACCCAAAGGAATATAAATTGTTTTATTATAAAGACCAAATGGGTTTTTTCATGGGAACTCAAAAAGTTAGTCTTACTATTTCTATGGAAAAGCAAAGAGCCAAGAGTAAGAAAACCATGAAGAAAGCGGGAACACTTGCTGTGTCAGATATTAAGACCTATACAGCAATAGTAATTAGGGCAGGTAATTATTAGTACTAATATACAGAAGAAGAAAACTAAAACAATAGAAAGTCCAAATTGTAGAAAAGGTTAATATACAAAAGAAGATTGCATTATAAACTAGTGAGGAAAGGATGAATTATTTATTTATTTGTTTATTTTGAGACAGAGTTTCACTCTTGTTGCCCAGGCGAGTGCAGTGGCGCGATCTTGGCTCATCGCAGCCTCCACCTCCTGGGTTCAAGTGATTCTCTTGCCTCAGCCTCCCGAGTAACTGGGATTACAGGCATGCGCCACCATGCCCGGGTAATTTTATATTTTTAATAGAGACAAGGTTTCTCCATATTGGTCAGGCTGGTCTCAAACTCCCAACCTCAGGTGATCTGCCCGCCTCAGCCTCCCAAAGTGCTGGGATTACAGGTGTGAGCCACCAGGCCTGGCCTATTCTTAATAAATGTTGCTTGGACAATTCATTATCCATATGGAAAAATTAAAATTCAGTCTATACCTCAGTACAGTCAATTCTAGGTTAATCAATTCCAGGTTAATTGAAAGTATGAATGAGAAAAGCAAGACTTTTAAACATTTAGAAGAAAACATGAAATATGTAAATTTGGAGTAGGGAGAGATTTCTTGAGCTACAAAAAGCACAAATTGTGAGGGAAAAATATCAATTTAGTATTTAAGATTTAATATTAAGATGTAAAAGTCTTGAATAGCAAAAGATACCGTAGGCAAAGTAAAAAGACAAGGCACAGACTGGGAGAAGATTATTTGTCACCTACATAACCGGGAAAAATTAGTATTCAAAATATTCCATTGATAAAAGACAACCAAATGGAAAACTGAAAAGATGATAAGAAAAAGTAATTTAAAGATGTAGAAAACTGAATAGTGAATGAGCTTATAAAAGTTGCTAAGCATCTCTAGTGCAGATAAAATATGAGATAACCATACACTTAGCAAACTGGCCAAAATTGAAAAGCCTAACAATACTAGTATTGGCAGAGATGTGGGAAAATGAGAACTTTTATACACTGTTGAAATATAAATTGAATCAACCACTTTGCAGAATACTTTTGTAAAAACTAGTGAAGTTAAAATTTGTTCCTAAATATGGCCCCCTACACAGGACCCACATACACAAGGAAATCTCTAAGAAGATTCACTGTACCATTGTTTGTAAATGATGTATTTGTAAATGAAAGTTTAGAAACAGTGTCAATGTTCACAAGCAGAAGACTGGGTGATAAGATAATTTTACGTGACAGTTCTATAAAGCACTGAAAATGGATTAATTATAGCAGGGGTTGGCAAATCTGGCCTATCATCTATTTTTGTAGATAATTTTTATTGGGCCAGGTGCAGTGGCTGTAATCCCAGCACTTTGGGAGGCCAAGACGGGAGGATTGCTTGAAACCAGGAGTTTGAGACCAGCCTGAGCAACAAAGTGATACCCCCATCTCTACAAAAAAATTTTAAAATGAGCTGAGTGTGGTGGCATATGCCTGTAGTCCCAGCTACAGGGGAGGCTGAGGCAGGAGAATCACTTGAGCTCAGGAGGTCAAGGCTGCAGTGAGCCATATTCATGCTCCTGCATTCCAGCCTGGCTGACAGAGTCAGATCCTATCTCAGAAAACAATAAATAAGAATAATAATTTTTATTGGAACACAGCCACCCTCATTCATTTAGATTGTCTCTGACTGCTTTTGCTCTGTAACAGCAGAGATAAATAGTTGTGACAGAGATATATAGTCCATAAAGCCTAAAATAGTTTCTGGCTGGTCCTTAAAAGATTTGCCAATCCCTGAACTAGAGCAACATGTATTAAGATGGGTAAATTTCAAACATAGTGTTGTATGAAAATAGCAAATTGCAGAATAGCACATAATGTGTAGAGTTTGAAACAGTGCAAAGTACATCCATATATTATTTATAGATGTTTACATATGTAGTAATATAAAATGTGTATAAAAATCCTAACCGTGAAATACATGGTAGTGGTTACCATAGTAGAGGGAGGGAGGGAAATAGGAGTGGGGAGGGTTATAGAGGGAGCTTCAACAATGTCTATGATATTCTGTTTCTTTAACAGATATGTAACAAGTAAAAAATGTTAGGATTTTATATGTAGCTGGGTAGTGGGTACATGAATGTTGTATTACTTAACTATACCTTTTTGAACATTTAAAATATTTCATAATTTAAAAATTGGATAATTTGATCTCAGCTGATGTGTTATGACAGTTGGTAAGATTTTAATGAGAATGTTCTGAATATTTTCTAGCACATGTTTTTTATGTATTTTGTGTTAAATTGATAGAAATGGAAGATTTCATACACTTTAATTTTACCCAGGAATATTATTTATATGTAAAATTGATTGACAGAGAGGCATGTAAGGATGACTAAAATGAAAAGCATGAGCCTTTTTAGGGTTAGAATATCGGGAAAACTGAGGCCTGAGCTAAGATGTGCCATAAAAGCTAAGGACAGTAGCCTAGTCCAGTGATGTATGCCTGAAGTTCCAGCTATTTAGGAGACCAGGGCGGGAGGATCACTTGGGCCTAGGAGTTCAAGTTCAGCCTGGGCAACATAGCGAGACCCTTCTGTACTAAATACATACATACATACAGCTAAGGATAATAAAAGCCCTTTGCTCAAGATACAAAGACATTTACAAAGAAACATTTGGGCCAGGCATGATGGCCTACACCTGTAATCCCAGCACTTTGTAAGGCTGAGGCTGCAGGATTGCTTGAAGTTCAAAACAGCCTGGAGTTCACAACAGCCTGGGCAACAAAGTGAGACTCTGTCTCTACAAAAAATTTAAAAGAAAAAAATTAGCTGGGCATTGTGGCATATGCCGGTGGTCCTAGCTACTCAGGAGGCTGAGGCGAGAGAATTGGTTGAGCCCCTGAGTTCAAGGCTGCAGTGAGCTATGATGGTGCCATTGCACTCCAGCCTGAGAAGCAGAGTGAGACCCTGTCGCTAAAAATAATAATAATGAAATGTTTGACCCATGACATAGTGTAAATGATATAATTTTTTAAATAACCAAAGAAAAATGGAACTAGATAGTAGATATTATGAAAGAAAGGGTACAATTGAGTGTATTAGTTTTACTCTCAGCTGTGTCACTAACTAGCTGTGTAATCTTGCCTAGGTAGTTTTAACTTTTCTGGACCTAGTTTCCTTAAGTATAATGTGAAGCAGTTAGCTTGAATCACATTAGGTCCTTTCCACCCCTGATTCAGTGTTTTGTTGACTCCTATTTTCAATCCATTGTTTCTATCAAGGAAAATCTTTCAACATAAAAAAATAAAATGAACAGCTAGTAAGCATCACCTAGCCACTTTGGTTCGTCTCTTTAAGCTAGGGGTTCACATCTCTACTCCAGATGTATTGAACTGTGTACTTCGGTCCTTCAAATAGGCCAGTCTCTTATTTGGCTCCCCTTCTTGCACCCCCATCCCCCAACCCCCACTCTCCACCTTTAGGTTTGTTCCTTGTTGAGAGTTTAGATGCTGCTTTCTCCAGGAAGCCTTCCTAGAGTTGCTTGGGCAAATGGATGTTGGAGCCTCTCATTGAATTAGCCAATGCTGGAGAACAGCTTTTGTGGAGGAAATTGATGTTTTACTTTGTTCATGAAATCTGATCAGGTGTCAGTTGAACATTCAGGTAGAGATGTGTGATAGGTTGTCTAGTGTACAAAGCTGGAGACTAGGAACAAGATCTAGGTTGAGAGTATAGTTGTAGGAGTTACCAGTTTATAAATGGTAATTCAAACTGTAGAGTGTATGAAATGAGCTAAAGGGGAGAGTGTAGATTCAGAAGAGAAGAAAATACTGAAATCCCGAAGAAAACCCATGTTTAAGGGAGAATGAAGGGAGAAGAGGAGAAGATTGAAGAGTAACCTGTGAGATTAGAGAAAAACTAGAAAAGCATGCACTCATGGAAGCCAAGCATATCAAGTAGGATGAGGACAGTAAAGAGTGTTCACAGGATTTAACAACAAATAAGTCATTGGTGATCTTGACAAAACACTTTCTTCCCCCGCCCCAAGACCGATTGTTGCTCTGCTGCCCAGGCTGGAGTGCAGTGGCATGGTCTGGACTCATTGCAACCTCCGCCTCCCAGGTTTAAGCTATTCTCCTGCCTCAGCCTCCAGAGTAGCTGGAATTACAGGGCATGCACCACCACGCCCCGCTAATTTTTTTTTTTTTTAAATAGAGACGGGGTTTCACCATGTTGGCCAGGCTGGTCTCGAACTCCTGATCTTGTGATCCGCCCGCCTCAGCCTCCCAAAGTGCTGGGATTACAGGCGTGAACCACCACACCCAGCCGACAAAAACACTTTCAATGGATTAGTGGATGAGGCGGTCAGATGATAGCAGGTTGAGGAGCTGATTGGCAACAGTGCCTATAGTCAATTATTTTAAGAAGCTTTGCTGTTAAAGGGTTAGGTGAGAATGTGGGAGATTTTTGAGGGAGCTTATTTAATGCTTATGGAAAGGAGCTTGGAAAGAATAGGTTGTAGATACAGAAACCAGGGCAGTTAGTTGATGGAACTCAATTGTTAGGGATATTGGGATTCCAGATGGAAGGTAATCCAGATGGAATACCTTTAGCCGTGAAGGAGTTGTGACAGAAGGAAATGAAGTAAACAAAGGTGTAGGTGCAGCTGATTTGTCATTTTGGGGGCCAAGAAATGAAATGCTTTCCAATTTAATTTTTCTTCTCATTGAAGGCAAAAGTAGTTATCTACTGAAAGTGAGAAGGGGTGGTAAAGTAGTATTTTTGCTAAGTGGAAAGGGTTGAAAATCATTACTGTGAAGAGTAGGAGAGAGAATGGCCTTGAAGAATAAAGAAAGATTGCTGATTAAAAACAGATGTTTAAGGTGGTGACAACATACCAGTGGTGCCTTCTGCATAGCTGTGTAATTTGGGGTATTCACTCAGGCACCTCACTTTCAGCTGAGATTGGAATCCTGAGGGTTGGTATAGAGAAGGTGACTAACAGTTGGTTTATTCAAGGTTGCTGTTTGCTCACTAGACATGACAGAAGAAATATGGGACAAGTGTGTTGAAGTTGGCAAGAAAATGGCCGAAGAGATTAACCATGAAGTCTAGACCAGGAGTTGGCAGACTATAGCCTATAGGCCAAATCTGGCCCACCACCTGTGTTGGTTGTTTTTGGTGATTTTGGTTTTTTTTTCCCCCTTACATTTTAGATGTTTAAATACCTACATAATATCCATAATATGTCTCTTAGCCCACATAACCTATTAATAAAAATACTTACTATTTGACACTTCAGGAAAAAGTTTGCTGACCCCTTATCTAGACTAAAATAGGATTATAATAAAATGGGATGGGACTAACAGGCAGAGAATAGACGGGTCAAGGGCCTTAAAGTCTCGGTAAGATCCAAATATTAGGTATATTGGAAGCAACTGAGCGAGAGACCTGGGAAGGATAGAGGTTGTGGTGAGATAGGATTGTGAGTTGAAGACTTCAGATCTGGGGCAGCTGTGAGTGACCCCAGGTCTAGCTGTGGCCACAGTAGTGGGTAGCTGGAGCAGAGATGGGCCTGTCCGTGGAGTTAAGGGCAAGGAACTAACAGCCTGAGTGGAGACAGTCAAGTTGCCCAGGGGCTGGAGGAAGGGAAGGCTGATGGCCGGCCATTCACATTTCCAATTTGGGATAGGAGAGTTAATATAAATAACAATCAAATATATTCAATCCTTAAACGTGAGGGAAACCTGACTGGAAGGCTGATCATTAATTTTTTTTTTTAAGACCTGGAGCCACAGTGTGGAAGGGGTTGCTAGTGAATAGGGAGGCTTGTGCGTGTTAGGTAGCATTAGTAAATGGTACCAACCACGTAAAGCAGAGCCACCAGCACTTGGGACATTGAACCAAAACCAATCTTCGACGCTTCCAGCTGCCTTACTGGCGATTCATTTAGAAGAACGTGGCTTTCCTTTGTTACTGTAGTTTTTGAAGGCAGAACTAGCATGAGTTTGTGGATACAGACTTCAGCCTTCCTTCAGTGTTCCATGCACATAATCAGAATGACCTTCCTTCATCGCCGCAGGTTATTCTTACAGCTGGATGGCAGGGTCGTTGAAGAACTTCCTCATGAGTGACCTTCAAGTCCTTTCTAATCCAGATTCTGTGATAATACAAGTATGATGCAATTTTCACTAAAAGCTAAAAAAAAAAGCCCATCTAATCAGAGATGATCTTCACCTCTAATTTCTTGTTTATTGTCAAGTAATACCTCTGTTGCAGGCACTTTATAGGGCTACAAAAATGAGTGGTCCCCGTTGATATTGTGCTGTTATCCGTATCTTCTTTAGCCATTATTTCTTCATATGTGAGAAAGTAGTAGCCTCAGTTTTACTTTAAAAAAAAATTTTTTTTTTAAATTTAGAGTCTTGCTATGTTGCTCAGACTGATCTCGAACTCCTGAGCTCAAGTGATCCTCCTTCTCAGCTTCCTGAGTAGCTGGGACTATAATAGGCTTTGTGCCACCATGCCCAGCTTACTTTTTTCTATTTCTGCTTTATTTTATCCTCATGTCTGGACCATAGATAGATCATTGTTATCCACCAGCAAGAATGTGTCATGGCATAAAACAGTCAAGAAATCTAAGTGAAACCTTGACTGGGCTGTCTTTGGGCTTGTGCGGTAATGCCTCACATGCAGTGAACTCTCAACAAATGGCTTTTAAATTGAATTGGAATCTTCCATTTCTATATTAGCACATTTTGTACCTTTAGGAAAAACTTGATTTTAATGTGTTGTTTTCGTATGTGTTTGCTTGTTTCTTGAGTAGCTGATGGATTTACAACTGAGTGACAGTAACTTTCGTCGACACATCCTGTTGCAGTATCTCATTTTATTCCAATATCTCAAGGGGCAGGTCAAATTCAAAAGGTAAGATAATATGGGTAGTAAACAATTTGTAAACAGTAGCCAAGAAAAAAAAGGACTTGCTTACGATTTTTCTTATGTATGTGTCCATTTCATGTTAAGGCTGTATCCCTAAAACACATGTATTGCAGCTGATACATTGAAGGCTTTTCGATATTAGGATATTTAAGGAAAAGATGTTAAATATATCTGTCAGTGTGAGTTTTTCCTGCCCAACTCCAGGGCTTGCCAGGAGTTGTCGTCTTTATTAGCAGGTGGAGGTCTCTGCTCCAAAATTCCGTCATTCCCTTCTCACCTCCCTCAGACCTCCTCCAAAGCTGATTTGCAGACTAAGCCAGTAATACATATCTCACAAGGTGTGGAGCTCTGCAGGACATTCAAGCTAAAAGATGCAAAGAAAATTTTTAAGCAAAAAGGAGTTCATTTATTTGGGGTTTCACAAAACCTCATTAGGCTCTCTACTGTCTATCTAAATACTTCCATCCATTTCCTCCTATCCTGTCCATAACTGAAGGTGGAGCCCACTGTTACTTAACGGTATTTGTGTTAAGGACACTGAGCAATGCCGTATTAGTTGTATAATGACTTCACTACCTGCTGGGTTTGAATCCCAGGCTCGTCATTTGCTGGCTGCAGTGCAGCTCTTTCAGACTTGTAATTTTAAGGTAGTAGCACATGGTAAACACTCAAAAAATGTTATTTCTTATCCTTCTATCTATTTTGGAGGTTTGGTATAGCATAGTAGGAAGATGAGGGACTTTGAAGTGAGACGTGGGTTTGAATTAAATCTTTATGGCCTTGGGCAAATCAGTGAGACACGGTAGTCTCTGTTTAATATGTACATGTACTTGTTCCGAGAATTCAATGAATAATGTATGTAAAGTGTTCAGATCCTAGCCATCAATATTTATTGGATGTCTTTAAATCACCTAGTGCATTATGAGAGCTCAGTTAGTGGCAGCTATTAACAATTTGGGTTTGCCTGTTGCCTTTTCTAGGGTTTGGGTGTTTTATTCGTTGTATTTTGAATGAATCTTAATGTAGCATGCCATACTGAATGTGCATCATGTATACACATATCTTAATATCAAATCAGAAGTTTTCGTTTCACACTCAGCTTATTTTAGGAAACATATATTGCTCTGTTCATAGTGAATCTGATTGATTAATTGAATGTTTTATTCCCTGCATATGCTTTTATGTCTTCAGTACCAACCCTCTTGAGGAAGAAGTGCAAGAATTTTCTCTTATAATCCTCTCATTTGTGATTATTCTTGTCTTGGTAATTTTTGACACTATCCACAGTATAGTTACATGTTACATGCCTTGTGTTTTTTAAACCTTAAAGTTGCATATGCATTGCTGTAACTCAAGCATGCTTTCATTGCTTTGTTCCCTAGTTCAAACTATGTTTTAACTGATGAGCAATCACTTTGGATTGAAGATACTACAAAATCAGTTTATCAAGTAAGTTCAACACGCAACAAACCCATGATTGAAAAAATGGAAATTTAGGATTTTCTTTGTTTCAGCCCCAAATAGGAAAATAAGGATAAAGTTAAGCTCAGGTACAAGACCACAAACACTCCTTGGTTCTCTGCCTACAAACCACTCCTATGATGCAGAAAGTTGTTGAAAGCTTAGTATATTCTTTCTAATCACAGCTACTATCTGAAAACCCCCCCGATGGAGAAAGATTTTCAAAGATGGTAGAGGTATGTGTTTTTTATGCTTACATCCTCTTCTTAGCACGAAATAGAACTTCAGAGGATTCCACTAACCAAAATGTAATCGCTTTGTTTTTCCCAGCATATATTAAACACTGAAGAAAACTGGAACTCGTGGAAAAATGAAGGTTGCCCAAGTTTTGTGAAAGAAAGGTAAATACATACTGAAAGAAAGGTAAATACATACTCATCACAAGAACGACGAGAAAGGCTTTTGAAAATGTGCTCCGATATGATTATAGCATGTAAAAATACATGTATATATTTCACATAAAAAATGTAAGTTGAACTTTGTAAGAGTACAACCACTTTGATTTACCTCTGTATTTTTTAAACCTCATAAATTTCTTGTCATTAAATTCCTGGAACAAACATCTTATTATTGAGAAGAATACTGTATATCTACTCCGTGTAATTTGCCATATAATGTGGCATTTTTATCTTATATCTGATAATTGTTCTATCATAATATGAAGTTTTCATTTTTTTTTTTTTTTTGAGAGGGAGTCTCACTCTGTCACCCAGGCTGGAGTGCAGTGGCATGATCTTGGCTCACCGCAGCCTCCGCCTCTTGGGTTCAAGCGATTCTCATGCCTCAGCCTCCTGAGTTGCTGGGATTACAGGCGCCTACCACCATGCCTGGCTAATTTTTGTATTTTTAGTAGAGACAGGCTTTCACCATGTTGGCCAGGCTGGTCTCAAACTCCTGACCTCAGGTGATCCACCTACCTCAGCCTCCCAAAGTGCTGGGATTACAGGCATGAGCCACCATGCCCAGCCAGTTTTCATCTTTTTTAAGAGGAAAACAATAACTAAATTTTCTTTTACGTTAAACATTCTTCTATTTCTGTTATCCATTTGTAATTCAAAAAATAGTGTATGTTTTGTTCACGACAGAACATCAGATACCAAACCTACGAGAATAATTCGGAAGAGAACAGCACCCGAGGACTTCCTAGGGAAAGGACCCACCAAAAAAATTCTGATGGGAAAGTAGGTGAATTTGTCTTCATGTGGGATGTTCTTAGTTATTTTTATATTTTGAAGATGTTACTTTAAGAACTCTCCATCCAAAATATAGTATGAGATTGTGTTTGGTACACACATAGATAGCCAAAGCAAACCGCACTGTCTATACTGCCCATTGTGTGGGTTCATGCACCAGATAAACCTTCATTTTGTCTCCAGCTTCCAAAATCTGTGTCTCTAGGCTGTGCCATTTTTTCCGTTTCAGACAGTAGAATTGTTTAGATTCCAGTTGTTGCAAGGTACCATAATCCTTGAGTTCTCTTACCTTCCAGTTAACTATTCATTGCTTTATATTGTGCTGGAATATTTTTAGAAAAAACTAAAGATTATATCATTATCATTAGTCATGATTAATGATTATATGCTCATATAGAGAATAATTTTAGGTATTTTAAATACCAAAAATTATTGAGAAAAGTAAAACTCATACTGTCAACATCCCCAAATCCACTGTTTACATTGTATTGTTTTTCTGTTCAGTTTCAAGGCACATGAGGATGGTGTCCATAAAAAATGTATTTATTTCTGTGTCTATTTTGTAGTGAGGAGTTAACAAGGCTTTGGAATCTTTGCCCTGATAATATGGAAGCCTGTAAATCAGAGACAAGGCAAGTTGAACATTTTTCAAATGAAGTGTTGCTTTTGTCAAGTGTTGAGTAGAATGGAGCCTTTTCTCAGCTATGATCAGAGCTCAAATGAAATTTAAAAGTTTATTGTGGTTGACTTTTGGCACAGCAGCGTGTAACTTCCCACCATAAAACTCCTCAAAGTGCTGATAAAATAATTTTAGAAATCACAAAAAAATAAAGATTCACAAAAGGAATCAAAACTACAAACAGAAGAGTAAGCCTATGAACTGATACGGTTCTAGGGCAGCAGTACTAATGATTGCCAGCTTTGAGAACCAGGGAACTTGGGTTTTAATAGTCACAAAAGTTCGTTGAACTTGCAAAATGGGCAAGTTTAATAGCAGTCTAGACATAGGTAAAGTAAGAATTAATGGGTTAATTAATGATTAAGAAATCACCCAGAAAGCAATACAGAAGGAGCAGAGTTAGAAACGATGACTTAATGATAGTTGAGGAGGTCCAGCAAACATCTGATGGCAGAAAGAAATAATAGAGAATGGGAAAGAGGCAATAATTGAGTTAATTATTAAGAATAGGCATGAATTCATAGGTTCAAGAAGTATAATACTTAAGGAGGATAAACCAAATAAATCCATATCTCTGTACATGATAATAAAGTCACCAGAGAGAAAAAACAGACAACCTACAAAGGAGCAAAGTTAAACTAACAGTTGACTTCAAGAACAACAAAAATCAGAAGACAGTGGGATGAGTGCTTGAAAATGTCTTTCACATTCTCTATTATTTCTTTCTGCCATTAGATGTTTGCTGGACCTCCTCAACTATCATTAACTCATCGTTTCCAACTCTTGCTCCTTCTGTATTGCTTTCTGGGTGATTTCTTAATCATTAATCCAGTAATTCTTACTTTCCCTATGTCCAGACTGCTGTTAAACCTGCTCGTTTTGTAAATTCAATGACTATATTTTCTCATTTCTAGAAGTATTACTTGCTTTTTCAACATTTCAACTAAAAAATTCTGTAACAAGTTAAACAGTTGTGGTTGAGTGATTGACTAAAACTATGAGAAATTATCAACAGTCCCCAGTAAAAAAGCTGTCTTAAGGAAACTGAACCCAGAAAGGAGTAAATTGCAGAAAGGATTACTGTGTAGACACTTTGGTAAACATGAAGAAATCTGAATAAATCTTATCAAGAATTCACTGTTATAAAATAGTAATAATTATTATTTAGGGTTATTTTAAAAGGTAAACTTGATAAAAGTGACATGTAAGACAAGAAGGGGTGGTCAGAATTAAAGAATGTTATGGTTTAAGTCAAACATGCTTGTAAAGTATGTGAAAGAAATGGAATATGTAATTTTTAAATAAATTGAGGGGTAAAAGTAAATACAGAAAATTTAAGCAAGTAAATTAGAAGGTAGGAGAGGAGGAAAAAAGCACAGAAAACACAACAGAAAGTACAAAACAGTATGGTTAAATTCAAATATAAATGGAAATGGACTTTCTGGCTCAAAGACAGAAATTGGTGTTATATTTTAAAGATCTATCGGCCAGGCGCGGTGGCTCATACCTGTAATCCCAGCACTTTGGGAGGCCAAGGCGGGCGGATCATGAGGTCAGGAGATAGAGACCATCGTGGCTAACACGGTGAAACCCCGTCTCTACTAAAAATACAAAAAATTAGCCAAGTGTGGTGGCAGGCGCCTGTAGTCTCAGCTACTTGGGAGGCTGAGGCAGGAGAATGGCGTGAACCTGGGAGGCGGAGCTTGCAGTGAGTCGAGATCGCACCACTGCACTCCAGCCTGGGCGACAGAGCGAGACTCCGTCTCAAAAAAAAAAAAAAAAAAAAGATCCATCTATATGTTTATAAGAAATATACCTTAAAAATAAAGATATGGAAAGGTTGAAACTGAAAGAACTTTTAAAAGACGTAATTTTTAAAAGGCATAGTTATATTGATATCAGGCAGAAAAGGCTTAAAAGCAGAAAGCATTATTAAAAATAAAGGCAATCATTGCATAAAGATAAAAGGAAAAAATAGAAATATACACATTTTAAACTTTATTTTCTAAGAATGTGTTCTCAAAAATTTGACAAAATTAGAATGAGAAGTTGACCCAGGGTCAGTTTTCACCATCCACCACCACCCAGAAAACCTACCATCTAGTAGGATTTTGACAGACCTTTCTCAGAATTTAATAAATTTGGTGGAAAAAACTTAGTGTAATACATTTAGAATTTAACAAAATAATTAACAGGCTTGGTCTTACAGAAACCACAAGTTTTTGTAAATTATGTGTGAATAGCAAAAGCAAAAATACTTACAACTCCTTTAAACACACTTCTAAATAACCCTTGAATCAAAGAAGTCATAATGGAAATTGGAAAATGTAGAGCTAAATAATAATGAAAACACTACATGTTCAGACTTTTGAGATCTAACTCAGTAGAACACAGAAGAGAAATGTATAGCCTTAAGTGTTTACACTTTCAAAAAGAATGAAATCTAAAAACCAAGCTAATAAGAGTCTGACACTGAGAGTCATTCAGAAGAAAAGTAAACTCATAGAAGTAGAAAGTAAAATAAGATTAGAAATCAGTAAAATAGACAACAAACAATAGAGAAGATAACAAAATCAAAAGAGAAGATCAATAAAAACAAAAACCAGGAAAAATAGATAAAATTCTAACATGATTGATTCCTGCCAAATCTGTGAGAGTGAATCAACCCAGTAGAAAAATGTACAAATGAATAGTCAGATTCAGAAGTAGAAACCTTAATAAACCTCTGAGAAGACGGGGAACTTCACTAGTAACTGGAAGTACAGTTAAAAACTACAGCAAGCAGTTTCCAGCTAAGAGATTCAGTAATTTAAAAATACCCAGATTTTATAAGAATTATGGATAAAAATAATTTGCCAGTGCTGCTGGTAGGAGTCTGATGGCACAGTCACTCTATCTGAATGTTAAAGATGTCTGTGCCCCACTAGTAGGTGTGTTGATCAGAATAGTGTTTTTAAAAACTAAGTTTGAGAATCATTGGTGGTTTGTAAAGTCAATTTAGTAATTTCAACTAGCATTTTTTAAATGAAATAGGAAATATACTTTTGTGAAGCATTAGCTTTACTTATATATATCTGTACATATACTTGCATATATGTGTGTACTGGGTTGCAGTGTAAAATGAATTTCTTATTGTGGGTTGCAGTGGAAGTTTGAAGGCCCAGTGCCTAAAGAAATCAGTTCATCTACAAGGAGACAGGTGCAAGAATGTTCATTTAACATTGTCAGAGCAAAGAGTGGGAAGACAAATATCTCTGTGTAGGACATGGATAACTTGGGGCATGTTCATAAAATGGAATATAGTATCTGTAGCATTAGAAAATGAATGGATATTGGGATAGTTTTCTTAAAAGAGCCCATTTTCCTAGTTTTACTCTAGAAGATGTCTTCTGATCCTGAGACCTCATTTCTTTGCTTGACCCTGTATCAAAATTTTATTTCTAAAAACAAATTCAAGAAAGATGCATTTTAAAAATCAACCATGCTACCATGGTAACAATTTAAATAAGAGCTAAAGGTTAAACCCTTGAAATCGTATTATGGTCTGATTATTAGTTTTGGTTTAATTCTGGTTTAAAGAAAAAATAATTCGTGGATAGGGACTTAATGTAAAAGTTTATTTGCTGGTAAAATTCAAATGCTATAAAATACCCTGGCTGCCCTCTTTGAATAGCAACATATTTATATATTATAGTGTGTAATTAAAGTATATAATATTATATGTAGTAAATACTATGTAATATTTAGTATTAGACTATCCCCTTTATTTATTGTCCTTTTTGAATTTAGTTTTGACGGTTTTACTTCCTTAAAAGTCTGGAGTTCCCACGTAATCAAAACTGTAACTAAAAGTATGGGGCCATTAGAATCTTGTCCTGCCACCACTTTATGAGTATTTATTATTAAGAGTATATGCCATCCTCACTGGTTATTTTGTACCGCTCAGGGAACACATGCCCACAATCTTGTCCTGCCACCACTTTATGAGTATTTATTATTAAGAGTATATGCCATCCTCACTGGTTATTTTGTACCGCTCAGGGAACACATGCCCACAATCTTGTCCTGCCACCACTTTATGAGTATTTATTATTAAGAGTATATGCCATCCTCACTGGTTATTTTGTACCGCTCAGGGAACACATGCCCACAATCTTGTCCTGCCACCACTTTATGAGTATTTATTATTAAGAGTATATGCCATCCTCACTGGTTATTTTGTACCGCTCAGGGAACACATGCCCACAATCTTGTCCTGCCACCACTTTATGAGTATTTATTATTAAGAGTATATGCCATCCTCACTGGTTATTTTTGTACTGCTCAGGGAACACATGCCCACAATCTTGTCCTGCCACCACTTCATGAGTATTTATTATTAAGAATATATGCCATCCTCACTGGTTATTTTTGTACCGCTCAGGGAACACATGCCCACTTTGGAGGAATTCTTTGAAGAAGCCATTGAACAGGCAGACCCTGAAAATATGGTGGAAAATGAATATAAGTAAGTATGCTCCTCATTAGCTCCTTTTAATTTTCTTCAATTTGTTTCTTCCTTAGGAATTGTGTGTATACTAGAAAGCCTCTTAAGAGAGGCAGTAGATAGAATAGTGCTTTTTCTCTTAGGTGAGTTTATGTTCCAAGTTCTTGTTAGTACACATCCTGATTTCAAGGATTATTCCTGTTAACTAAGCATGACTTGGAATCACCCTTGTTTCAAAATATAAGAAAAAAAAAACTCCCCCTGATCCCCATTTCTCTCCAACTATTAGTTCTGTTCTCTCTACCCTTCAAAGCACAGTATCTCACAGCAGCTGTTAACCTATCCTGTTCCCCTTAATGTTTTCTTCTCTTGGCGTCCATGAGAATCCAAATCCATGGTTCTTCTGTTTGCCCTTTGCCCTCGTTGCCCACTCCACCTCACATTCCATTTCAGCCTCCTCATCCTCTGCCTAACTCAAATTTTGGAGTAACATCAGGAATTGGTCTTAGCCTCTTTATCTAGAACCTTCTGGGTGACACCGCAGTCTCATGGCTTTAAATAGGAATTGAAGAGTAGTGGTTTAAAGGCAAGAGGCCTCTGGTCAGAATGCATAGGTTCGATTCCCTCTACCACTTACTTACTAGGCAACTAAGGCTAATTTAATTATTAAACCGCCAGTTCCCTTTCCTCATCTGTTAAATAGTAACAGTACCCATTTCACAGGGTTATTCTGAGGATTAAATAAGACAGTGCACTTTGAACCCTACAGGGCATGTGGTTAGCACTCAGTATTTGTGACTAGTGTGACCCTGTGACCAGAGTTGTTAATTACTGTGACCTCTTAACTAATCTCTCTAGTTGTGGTCAGTGCTCCATGCATCAGCCAGTGATCTTTAAAATAATTGTCCAAGTCTAATCTGCTTAAAATCTCCCAGTGAGTGCCTATTCCAAACTCCTTCCCAGGGCCTAAAAGACCTCCTTGGTCTGGCTCATACTCTCCTGTGTGGCCATGCCTCCCCTCTGCTTTAACCACAGCAGGCCTCTTGGTCCTGTCTTTCCCTTTCCTGTCAGGACCTTCACACTTTACTGTCTCACTTGCTTGAACCACTTTTTCCCCAAGGTTGCCGTGGCTTAAAGTCCCCCTGGCTGGGAAGCTCTTCCCCTCCCTGGTCTCCTCTTTTGCATTCTCGTGGTTTTTATTTCACGGCACTTACCACTATCCAAATGAGAAGGTGGCACTTACCACTTTCTCATTTCTCAAGTTTTCCTCATCCTTATGAAATTGTCTTATACCTTGTGTGTTTATCACTAGCAATGCCTGCCTTACTGTGCCTCAGGTACTCTCCACAGCTACTGAGTGCCTGGCTCAAAAGTGTTTGTCGATTGAAAGAATATTAATTTATCACTGTTACATAAGACTAGGTGGACTCATTCCTAAAGTGATAGTTCAAATTATTATCTCCAAAGAGGGTTTTGTGGAGAATAAGAAAAATGATGTGTATAATTGACAGTGAATTTTGAAAATGCCTAAAATAATCAAATTGTCTAAACAGATATGTCAGAGAGGAAGGCTCTTAACTGTTTAGGCAAAGCCTCACAGCAGGTGTTAACTTGGGAAGAGTCCCCAGTGTCTATGGGTAGTTTTTGTTAAGTCTTCAGTGGTACCTGCACATCCTAAAGGTAACATATGCTTATTTATAAGAGGTGACCAAATAAACCAAATTGCTATTCTTAGGGGAGGAAGAGACTTCCAATCCAAAACTCTTAAATGGAATAAATTTGTGGTTTGGTTTCTTCCGCAGCATTGCATATTTCTGACGCATTATCTTTAGAATTTCTCTGCAGTTTGTTTCTCACCTGATGGTATACCACCCTGATCATTGTTATACTTCATTAGGGAACAGTTCATGGATTCCAAATAGCTAGATGGATGATTCCTGTTGTATACGTACTGCATCCAGCCAGTACTGCACACACTTGTTGACTTGTTAAAATTAAACAAAATGAACGGAAACTTTGAAAATGTGTTTGCTGCATATGAGCCTGCCTCTTCAGGCATTGTTGGTTCCTGTGATTAGTTACATGTGCATCTATTGGTTTGTTATTATCAGTGGACTACATACTGAAAAGTTCTTTAGGAATAAGATTCAAATACAAAGAATGGCACTTTGAGCTATTTACCTTAAATACAGAATTACACATGGCAGAACTGAGCAGAAGGGAATACAGAAATACAAAGCTATAAATTACAAGCCTGACACCTCTTTTTATAGGGCTGTGAACAATTCAAATTATGGTTGGAGAGCCCTGAGACTATTAGCACGGAGAAGCCCTCACTTCTTCCAGCCAACCAACCAGCAGTTTAAAAGTTTACCAGAATATCTTGAAAATATGGTAATAAAGCTAGCCAAGGAATTACCGGTAAGTACCATAGATCAACTTTTCATACCCTTTAGTTGACATCTTCTTTAAAATTGCTGTCACTATGTGAGCAAAAAACTGACTTAATCATGTGAAAAACCAGTGATCCACAAGCTCCCATGTTTTAGAATGAGGGAAAAACACATTGGAATATACATTTACAGGAAATACATGAGTTGATAAAGAAGTAACTGATAATTTTCTGTACAGCATGTAATTTAAAGTTCAACAGGGCTGTGGGTGCGGTGGCTCACGACTGTAATCCCAGCACTTTGGGAGGCCGAGGCGGGTGGATCATGAGGTCAAGAGATTGAGACCATCCTGGCCAATATGGTGAAACCCCGTCTCTACTAAAATATAAAAAATTAGCCAGGTGTGGTGGCACGTGCCTGTAGTCCCAGCTACTCAAGAGGCTGAGGCAAGGGAATTGCTTGAACCTGGGAGGCGGAGGTTGCAGTGAGCCGAGATCTCGCCACTGCACTCCAGCCTGGCAACCAAGCAAGACTCCGTCTCAAAAAATTAAAGTTCGTGATACTTCAGGTAAACTGTTATGCACCTATACACACAGACATGAATTTTTTCCTGTTTGCCAATGCATTATATTGTCTTTTATCAAAGATAAAAGATAAGAATCAGAAACTTTTAAGGACACTGTTGCTACTGGCTTCCTTGAGGCCGTCTTTACTAAATAAACCCTGGGTATTTGCAAATCCTGGAACTGTGCTTTTTACTGACTTCCTGCTTCCCAGATTGGGGGTGGGGAGTCTTTCCAACTCTGAGGTCTTCCCAAGTTCACTCCTTCTGCAGGTGAAGATAGTCCCACTTAGGATCCTTACCTGACACTGTCATTTAACGCTCTCAGGGGTGAGGTTCTGGCACCCTGTACTTGGAATCTCACAACCGTCCTTATCCAAACAAAATACCTGTTACCTTACTTCAGAGGCTGGCATTCTTTCAAACATTCTTCTTTCTCATTTTTAGCCTCCTTCTGAAGAAATAAAAACAGGTGAGGATGAAGATGAGGAAGATAATGATGCTCTACTGAAGGAAAATGAAAGTAAGAACTGAATTTTCTTGGTTATTTAACAAAATTGAAGACGATTGGGGTTCTTTGTTGATAGGTACATTATTTAATTTGATCGACTTCTCAACTTCTCCCATTTTATCTCAACTGTTTCTGACATAGTGAGGAATTTAAAACATTGCTTAATAATAACTTTAAAAACACTACATTTTATGCAATAAAATTGGGAAGTAATGGTGCTTTAAAAGGGAATGAAAATACATTTGAAGGCGACCCATACCTCTGTTAATTATTGGTTATTGGAGGGGGAGCACCTCATTTCAGGGAAAGCCTACGTAATTATAGGTAACAGCTTTAGCTTTGATTATTGACCATGCTTATTAAGAGTGGTATTCAACTTACGGAGAATATAAAAAATAATTGTTTACTTTTAAAATAAAGTCTACTAAAGGTGGTTAATAAAACTTATTGGCCCCATAGCTTTCCATTTCTGTTGTATACTTAGAATTGCGCATAATTTATATTCTCTTCATTTTCTAGGTCCTGATGTTCGGCGAGACAAACCTGTAACAGGAGAACAAATAGAGGTATTTGCCAACAAGCTGGGTGAACAATGGAAGATTCTGGCTCCCTACTTGGAAATGAAAGACTCAGAAATTAGGCAGATTGAGTGTGACAGTGAAGACATGAAGATGAGAGCTAAGCAGCTCCTGGTTGCCTGGCAAGATCAAGAGGGAGTTCATGCAACACCTGAGAATCTGATTAATGCACTGAATAAGTCTGGATTAAGTGACCTTGCAGAAAGTCTAACTAATGACAATGAGACAAATAGTTAGCTTCTTTTTTTTTTCTTTTTATTAAAACTGTGATAGATTTTGTTACCAAGCAGCATTTGATAAGAGGTCCACTGGTTTTGGTAAACAATAAACATTTTTATAACAATTGTTGTACAGTCGGCTGGTGCTCTGAGAACAATAGAACACATATTGGCTCAAACCAGAGTTTGGGGAGGTTGGGTTGAGATAATGACCTAAACGAAGTGACCTCAAGATCACAAAATATATTTTTTTGTTAAGTAGATGTATTTATAATGAAGTTAAATAAGCACTATTTAGGGATATGTCGTTTCTTATACCAAATTAGTTTCCTGTGTGTTGTTTGTTAGTAGTTTTACAAAATTTATCCTGAAATCCCAGAATAACACTTTCTGAAACCATATGACTGCTCTGTTCTCACTTATTCGTGCTTTCAAGCAGAGGATCAACAAATGATGGTTTGTTCTGCCTGCCACGAGTCTTGATCATTAAAATTGTACTGGCACCCAGCTGTGCTCACTCATAACTAACTAACTAACTGTCTATGGCTCCAGCTACACTATAACAACAGCAAAGCTAAGGAGCTGCAGCACTTTATAGCCTGCAAAGCCTGAAATAATTTACTATCAATCATCAATCAATCATCATCTATCTATCTATCTATCTATCTAATCTATCTATCTTGTCCATTACAGAAAATGTTTGTTTGCCAACTTTAAAAGAAATGAAGTCTAAAACCTCACTTTTCCTTCTAGCCTTACAAAAATTGCCTGACCTCTCAAGACTTTTAATCACTTCAGGGATTCTTGTGACATTCAACTGAGATATATGTGAACACACCCTATACACAGCAAAGCACTAAGTAGTAGTAGCAGAAGACAGTACCACCGACTTTTCTTGTTCCCACATAAGCATTTCCCTTTAGGGCTCTAAGATGAGGTCATCATCGTTTTTAATCCTGAAGAAGGGCTACTGAGTGAGTGCAGATTATTCGGTAAACACTCTTAGGCCTAACCTAGCTAGTCAGTCAAGCAGTAATCTAGCACAACTCTAATGTTGAGATGATGGCCTCGGTGTGAGTGGCACAGCATATAAGGCACATTCAGGAATCAAGACTTTTTTTTTTTTGGCCTACTCCTCTCCCTTCTCAAAGACCTTACAGGCAAGGCTGAATTCTAAAATAGCCTTATTAGTTAAAAACAACACTGGTATAACTAACTCCCATTTCTACTTGAAAAAATTCTTTGGAATAATGCTTTTTTAGATCAAATAAAAAAATCAAGCTTTTTATAATGATGATAAGGAATTAATTACAATTTTTAAAATTCTAATATAGTCCATACAAGGCTTATATACTTTGCTCTAAACCTAGCTCACCTGGTCTAGTAGCTACAACATTTAGTAGCTACAGTCAGAAAATCTAAATTCTAATTGTTAAATTCATGTCCTCAATAAAATTGTTCTGACCAAATGAGACAATGAATAAAAAAGACTTTGCAAAGTTACAAGCATCATACAAATATACATGAATCATTATAATTTTCATGGTCTCATCCTGCCCATTCTATTCTTAATCCCCTCCACAAAGTAGAAAGTATTGATTGCCAAGTCAAAGTTTAGGTGAGGAAGCTATTTACAAATAAGTTTCCCTGCAATGCTTATTTTATCCCCTCCTAGTGTTCACAGATTGCATCACATCAGATTTGAAAGTAAAATGGCTGTTATTTTCTATTTTTAATAGTTATCATCAGTGTTGTGCTCTGCCGAGCATTAAAACAACATACACAAAGATATGAGATGTTATGATAATCCCCAAACTTTATTATAAATAACTCAAAATCAGAGCCAAACTGGCTGGTATTCTATGCTTTATCCTTTCCCTAGCATCAGTCAAGGGTCCTGGAACAAAGATGAGTAACTATTAAAATGTAAGAAGCCTATCATATTGAAATACCTCATATGCTTGGTATTTTCTACTATCACTTTAAAATCACTAAAATTCTGAAACAGACATTAAGATTTGGGAATTTTTTCTTTTTTTTTTTGAGACAGAGTCTCTCTGTCACCCAGGCTGGAGTGCAGTGGTGTGATCTCAGCTCACTGCAACTTCTGCCTTCCAGGTTCAAGCAATTCTCCCACCTCAGCCTCCCAAGTAGCTGGGATCACAGGTGTGCACCACCACATCCAGCTAATTTTTATATCTTTAGTAGAGACAGGGTTTCACCATGTGGCCAGGCTGGTCTCGAACTCAACCTCCAGTGAACCACCTGCCTCAGCCTCCCAAAGTGCTGGGATTACAGGCGTGAGCCACCGTGCCCAGCCAAGATTTGGGGAATTAAGAAAGGAAATACAAACACAACTGAGCCAAGGAAAGAATCTGACTGATAACATCACTGCATTCAGCATCCAAAGAAATCCATTACTTTTACAACTTTGTATTTCTTTTTAAAATACAGGCAGGCAAAGAAGATAACAAATATTTTTAAATGGATGCTTAACAGCACAGTGTTAATAACCATCTTCAGAAATTGTACAGTATTAAACATGTCTTCAGCCAAGCTCCAACACTCAGAAGACAAAAGACTTGAGGTCAAAAGCTATTAATCCCTTTTTTTTTATTATTATTAAATGTCCTCATTTTCTAAAAATAAGCAACCAGAGCTTGTCAACATTTTCTTAAGACTGATTATTACAAAGCCATTCCAAAGTTAAATGTACAATCCACAGTACATCAGAGAGAGACACAATAATAAATGTATAATCAAAGGTACTATTATTGATCACAATTTATTTTAAAGTCAGGAAAAGCCTGCAATAGGCTGGACAAATACTTGATTGTGCCCATGTTTCCATGGGATGGACAGCAGCACTGAGTCACACAATGAGAGCAACACTTCCTTTTCCACCTTCCTGGAAAAATGTTTGTTAGATAAGGCAAAGGATGGGTGGCTACAGAATGGTGGTTTGAACCATGCAAGAACAGCAAATAATAGGTAATAGGTGTGCAGTAAACATCTGACTGCTGAATCTTGGGTGAAAAAGGCAGCAAGAAAAATGACCACAGAAGGAAATGGTTGAAAGGCATTTCAACTCTGAACTTTTTAAAATAATGCAAGAAATAATAAGCTTTTTAAAAATGTCTTTCTGCCACCTTTATATAGGGCAGCACAATCCAAAGATAATTTTCTCTTCTCTGTAATTTTTTAGGTTGGTGCACAGAGTGGTCTGCTTCTGTCCTCTTTTGTTCCAAATGAGGTGAAACATAAACCCACCTATGTGTCTTCCTCTAAAGCTCTGGATTATAGAAATGATCAACAAATAACATTTATTTTCACATCTAAGCATAAATACTAAAATGAAGATTACTGTTCACTTTCCTCTTCCATTATTTCAACTCTGCGAGGCCCATAGAGTAGAACGTAAGCGATATGCCAGTCTCCACCACCAGAAAGCCGTAAGATATCTTCTGGTGTTACGATGCTGACTTTGTCATCATCAAACTTAATCCATTCATCTAAATAACAGGGACAAGAAGATGAATTAATGTTATGCAGGATTCGTCTCAGAGTTCCACTGCAAAAAAAGTATCAAGTCATCGGAGGCACAGCAGTGCTCCACTGGCCACACCAACAGTCCTCCAAGTGCGACCCAGTGACCACACAGGCTTAAGGGCACTGCAGGGGTTCCACCAGGTTACAACTACTTCAATGACACCACTAGAGCACTGCTTGCCTTTTCCACCCACATTCTCTCAAGTGTACTCTGGAATTTTCCAGAGGCTACATAATGTATGATAATGCAACAGACTGAATGCGAACACTAACAGGAGAACCCAGCTGCCTCCTATTTAAGCCAGACAACAGAAAGACATAAAAATGTAAATCAGTACCATTTCTCACTCATTTTGTTTTTACATTAATATGTAATGGGCTTATTACTATCATTTTTAAAACTAACTTTCTTAATTTCTCAGTTTTAATTTCTAATACAGTAAGTATTAAGAGAGGCAAACCTCATAAACCAAAGCTCTTTGGGGCTTCAAGAATGTAAAGTGGTTCTGAGACCCAAAGTTTGAAAACCACACTGCTATAAAATTTATAATAAATGAACTGTTAAAATAATATTGAACAGTTGAAAAAAGAATACCCTTTACCTTGTTTCCTTTTCACCCATGATACATAATGACCTGAAGAACTAGACCTTCCCTGGTGTGTTAGTACTGCTTGTAAGTCATAGTATCCACAATTATTGGAGCCAATATCTAAAGAAAGATGTAAATCCATTAATATTAGACAATGAATAGACATGTGCCTTCTCAAGCTAAGTAACAAGAATAACTCTAAAGTTCACATTACGAAAGTATTATCAGAATCCAATAAGATACTACTGTCCAATCATAGTTAAGGCTTCATGATTGATGTTTTAATAAGTAACTTACTCATAGAACTGTATGCCAATGAGTAAATTTACTATATGTCATTAAGGTAAATTGTTCAAGAAACCTGACATTTTGTTTGAAAAGCACATCAGAATAAGTAAATATGGGGTAAGATGTAAATTTTACCTTAAAAAGACCCACATACAATAACTCAATTAAAATGAGAATGTTACTTACCATCAGCAAAAGAAAAGGGTTCATACTTAACTTCTTTCTGGGGACTACTCTTTTTGTCACTCTGAGGAGAAAAAAATGTTTAATTTTAAATCATGATTTTGGAAATAAAATTTGAATTCTCTGTAAGTGTTCAATTTCATAAATATTTACTGTCTACAGTGCACAGAGACAAAATACAGTCTACCTTCCAAATTACTAAAATGATATAACCACAGTTAAAACTGTAAACCCAGCAGTCCTACACTTCAACAATATAAAATCTTGTTACAGTACAGTAACAGACACCCTGAATGTGATGACCAATTTTAAACCATTAAAGTGAAAGCGTACCAGTGAATACAGCAGTACAGTTAAACAGTGCTCTAGGGCAGAAAAGGAAAAACCCAATTCCCCAGTGTTACCAAAATACTGTCAAACCACAGAGGTGGGGGGAAAAAACAACTACCTCTAAAACAAGAATTCCTGCAATTTGTATTAAACCTCCTGAGCCATGTCCACTTACCACGCCAGCACAAATGAACTGAAATATTTTTCAGCAAAGACTTACCTACATTAAAGAGGTATGATTTAAATTAGACAAGGACTCTTAGGAGGAACTCACTGCTTCAACTCATTTTAGCATGCAACATGAGAAAAATAACTTATCTAGGAATACAGCACAAAGTTCTTTAAAACTATAATGGTAATGAAGACAATGCCAGCAGCTTACAGGTAGCTGTGATGGCAAGAAGTCAAAGGATTCCACAACAAAAAATGGCAACTAGGTTAATCACATCTTTTTTATACAGATAATGAAATCACCTACAGCAATCACTGAAAAAACTATACAAAGAAACACATTTAAAAACATAAAGTAAAACAGGATTCTAAAACACAGTTCAAGTAACCCACAAGAAGACAAAAAAAAAAAGGCAAAACATC
Organism: Homo sapiens; assembly: GCF_000001405.40. Lineage (NCBI taxonomy): Eukaryota > Metazoa > Chordata > Mammalia > Primates > Hominidae > Homo > Homo sapiens. Next base: position 209,110 of record NC_000018.10, on the reverse strand, counting down.
AAAAAAGCAGAATTAAACCCTAACATGTCGATGATTGCACTAAATGTAAATAGTCTATACCTAAATCACATTTAAATTTAATATAATTTAGGCCGGGTATAGTGGCTTACGCCGGGGCGAGTGGATCACTTGAGATCAGGAGCTCGAGACCAGCCTGGCCAACATGATGAAACCCTGTGTCTAATAAAAATACAAAAATTAGCCAGGCATGGTGGCACTCGCCTGTAATCCCAGCTACTCGGGACGCTGAGGCATGAGAATTGCTTGAACCCAGGAGGCAGAGGTTGCACTGAGCCGGGATCGTACCTATGCACTCCAGCCTGGGCGACAGAGCAAGACTCAGTCTCAAATAAATAAATAAATGTAATAGAATTTAAATCAAGTAAGTGTGTTCTGTCACCACAATGGCATCAAACTAGAATCAACAGAAACATAACAGGAAAATTACTTAGACCCTTCTAAATAACCAATGGCCAAAGAGGAAGTCTCAAGATAAATTTTTAAAAATACAAGGAACAGAATGAAAATAAAAATACCATGTATCAAAATTCATAGGATATAGTGAAATCACTGCTGAAAGGGAAATTTATATCACAAGGCAAGCAGAATAAAGGAAATAAGAGCAGAAATCAATACAACTAAAAACAGAAAATAGAGAAAAATCCATGAAACAAAGCCAATTCTTTGAAGATATCAATAAAATTAATAATCCTCAAGCAAGGGGGACAAACACAAATTACTAATATCAGCAATGAAACGGGATGGATCTCACTCACTAAACACTCTACAGACATCAAAAGGGTAATAAATACTAGAAACAATTCTACATACAAATTTGATAAGCTTATGAAATGGATCAATTCTGGGAAAACAATTTACAAAAACAAACACAATATGAAATAGATCATTTGAATAGCCCTATATCTATGAAGGAAATTAAATTTGAAATGTAAAAACTCCTGAAAATGTGCCTGCCTATGTTTAGGCAATAGAAAAAAAATAAATAAAAATAAAATAAAATAAAATAAACAAATAAAACTCCTGAAAGTAAAATCTCTAAGCAGACTGTTCCACCAATTCTATCAAATGTTTAAAAAAAAATTAACACCAATTCTACATAATCTCTTCAAAACACTAATGGATAAAAACAGCTAATAAATTCAGCAAAGTCAAGGATTTAAGATCCATATACAAAGTTAATTTTATTTCTATATGCTAGCTTTACTAGCCACTCTAGACAATGAAATTAAGAAAGGAATGCCATTTACAAAAGCATCAAAAAGAATAAACTATTTAGGAATAAATTTAACCAAAAATGTCCAAGGCTTGTACACTGAAAACTATAAAACATTATGAAAAAAATTAAAGACCTAAATGAATAGAAAGACACATGAAGTTTATGGATTGTAAGACTTAATACTTTTTATTTTTTGAGACACAGTCTTACTCAGTCACTCAGACTGGAGTGCAGTGGCACCATTTTGGCTCACTATGACCTCCATTTCCCATGCTCAAGTGATCCTCCCACCTTAGCCTTCTGAACAGCTGGGACTACAGGCACACGCCACCACGCCTGGCTAATTTCTGTATTTTTTGTGGAGACAGGGTTTTGCCATGTTGCCCAGGCTGGTCTCCAACTTCTGGACTCAAGCAATCTGCCCACCTTGGCCTCCCAAAGTGCTGAGATTAGTCTTAATACTATTAAGATAGTAATACTTTTTAATTGATCCACAGATTCCGTGTAATCCCCGTCAATCTTTTTTGAAGAAATGGACAAGCTGATCCTAAAATATACATGGAAATGCAAGGGACTCAGAATAGCTAAAATAACTTTCAAAAAGAAGAACAAAAGTGAAGGCTGATACTTCACAATTTCAAGCCTTATTAGAAAACTACAGTAATCAAGTCAGTCTGGTATGAGCATCAGGACAGACATATAGACCAATGGAATAAAATTAATAGTCTAGAAATACACTCATAAATACAGATGGTCAAATTAATCTCTACAAAGGTTCCAAGACCATCTGATGGGCAAAGAACAGTCTTCTTAAAAAATGGTGCTGAGACAACCAGATATTCACATGCAAAACAATGAATCTGAACCCACACCTCACACTATATAAAAAGTTAACCCTCAATGGATCAAAGACCTAAATGGAAGAACTAAAACCACAGAACTCTCAGAAAAAAACATACGTATAAATCTCTGAGGGCATGGACTGGGCAATGTTGCCCAGACTGGAGGGCAGTGGCGTGATCTCAGCTCACTACAACCTCTGCCTCCCCAGTTCAAGCGATTCTCCTGCCTCAGCCTCCCAAGTAGCTGGGATTATAGGTCCGCACCACCATACCCAGCTAATTTTTTGTATTTTTAGTAGAGACAGGGTTTCACCATGTTTGCCAGGCTGGTCTCGAACCCCTGACCTCAAGTGATCTGCCTGTCTCAGCCTCCTAAAGTGCTGGGATTACAGGTGAGAGCCACCATGCCGAGCCCGGCAATGCTTTCTTAGATATGACACCAATAGCACAAGCAACTAAAGAAAAAAATAGACTGGATTTCATAAAAATTAAAAAAACCTTTCTTCTGCAAAAGACCCTAGGTTAAGAGGATGAAAACATAAGCTACAGACTAGGAGAAAATATTCACAAACCACATATCCAACAAAGGTCTAGAATATGGAGAACTCTCAAAATTCAAGAGTAAAAAAACAGTACAATTAGAAAATAGGGAAAAGACAAGAGGAAGCATTTTACAAAAGAGGATATACAGATAGCAAATAAACACATGAAGACATGCTCAACTTCATCAGCCACTAGGAAGGTGCAAAGGAAAACACAGTATCACTATAAACCTATCCAATGGCTGAAATGAAAAATAGTGACAACACCAAATGCTGGTGAGAATGCAGAGAAAGTGAATCAGTCTCACCTTGCTGGTGGAAATGTAAAATGGTACAGCCACTCTAGAAAACATCTGGCAGTTTCCTGAAAAACTAAACATGCAACTACCATGCAATCTAACAACTGCATTCCTAGGCATTCATTCCAGAGAAATGGAACTTACGTTTACATTAAAACCTGTACACGAATGTTTACAGCAGGTTTATTCATCACAGACAAACACTAGAAACAACCCAGGTGTTCTTCAATAGGTGAATGGTGAAGCAGATTGTGGTAAATTCACACCAGGGAATACTGATCAGCAATGAAATGGAAGGAGCAACTGATATGCACAACACCCTGGATGAGTCGCCAGAGAATTATGCTGAGTGAGAAAGGTTATATTAAAAAGTGGAAGAGTTTTTATTTCGTTTGTATAATTTTTTTTTAGAAACAGAGTCTTGCTTTGTTATACAGGTTGGAGTGCTGTGGCACAATCATGGCTCATTACAGCATTTAACTCTTGGTCTCAAGCGATCCTCTCATCTCAGCCTCCCAAGTAGCTAGAACTACCGGTGTATGCCACCACATCCAACTGATTTTTTTTATTTTCATATTTTGTAGAGACAGGGTTTCACTACGTTGCCCAGGACAGTCTCGAACTCCTGGCCTAAAGTGATCCTCCTGCCTCAGATTCCCAAAGTCCTGGGATTACTAGCGTGAGCCACCATGCCTGGCCAACTTTCTTGAAATGACAAAAATTATAGAAATGAACGGGTTGGTAGTTGTCAGGAATTAAGGAAGGGGTAGGGCAGAAGAAAAGTGGCCCTGTGGCAATAATGCAAGATCTTTGTGGTGATGGAAATGTACTGTATTTTGACTGCATCAAGGTCAACACTAGGTAAGGTTTTACGTGAAGTACTTTGAGGAGATAAGTATAAAAGGAATATGAGCTACAGATTACAGGGGGAAGGAAAATATTAAGCTTATTCTACCACAAAGGACTCATTTATTCTAAGTAGAGTTCTGTTTCTCATGCTAAAATACACCTAAAGGCCAGGTGTGGTGCCTCATGCCTATAATCCCCAGCACTCTGGGAGGCCTAGGTGGGCAGATCGCCTGAGCTCAGGAGTTCGAGACTAGCCTCAGCAACATGGCAAAACCCTGTCTCTACCAAAAATACAAAAAAATAGCTGGGCATGGTGGCGCACGCCTGTGGTCCCAGCTACTTGGGAGGGTGAGGTGGGAGGATCATTTGCGCCTGGGAGGTTGAGACTGCAGTGAGCCTGAGTGACAAAGGAAGACCTTGTCACAAAAAAAAAAAAAGGAAAATAAAACACATGCAAAACTTTAAAGATCTGCACTGATATATGGAGGATGTGTATACCTGCTAATTGTAATACAGATTGATCCAAATAATACTATACAAAGTATAGTTCTGAAGGAAAAATGAAGCAGGAAAAAAAAGACAGAGTAATTGCTGAGCACTGATGGGAGATTAAGATATTAAGAGTATAAAGTCAGCAGTAAGAACCTACTGTATTTGGCTGCTGATTCACTTTTTTATCTTCTAGATCCTTGAATTTGGATCGAAAAGACACCATTTTCTCTTGAAGTTCTGGTGTACACAGTTCATACATATCCAACATAAGAGGAAATTTAACATCCTATATACAAACAAACAAAAAACATGTGTAAACACATTTATAAAGATATTTATTTAAAGTATCACATATCTGAAGTAATGCTTTCATAATTCAGATACAGTTGAAAATAAAATCTGTGAAAATCACTTGGAAATCTGCAGTTGAAACCTCTTAAGAGTGCCTATTTTCAAGAATGATCTGGTTCTAACTTTTTTAAGGTGAGAAATTTCTAAAACATGTTTTTCCATTAAATACTCTAACCCACAAAACTAACCACAGAGGAAGTACCAAAATTTACCTGAGAAAAGAAACATCTCAGAAATATTGGACAAGCTGCTGTGAAAATAATGGACCTCCCAAACTGGAATAAACTTATGGTTTTTTTTTTTTATTTGAAATACAACTTTACATAGAAGTAATAGTGATATAGTTCAATAGCTTATAGTAGTATATATTTAAAGTATACAACACTAGATACTTCAACTACATTTAACCTTCTCATACAACGCTAAGTATACTGGAAAATATACTAAGAATTTAAGCTCAAAAGGCTAAAATGATAGATAGGCCCCTCCCAGGACTCTATGGAGATGTAGCAGAACTACAACTCAACAAAAACAGTCAGATTCTGAGGCTGGATCCTAAATCAAGGGATTACAATTTAAGTACTCTTTGGGCACCAGTGATTTAACTCTTTCTCCTTTCACCTGAAAGAAAGGAACTCTTTGGGAGGCCAAAGCGGGCGGATCAAGAGGTCAGGAGATTGAGACCACGGTGAAACCCCATCTCTACTAAAAATACAAAAAAATTAGCCGGGCACGGTGGCGGGCGCCTGTAGTCCCAGCTACTCGGGAGGTTGAGGCTGGAGAATGGCATGAACCCAGGAGGCAGAGCTTGCAGTGAGCCAAGATAGCGCCACTGCACTCCAGCCTGGGTGACAGAGCGAGACTCCGTCTCAAAAAAAAAAAGAAAGAAACCACCTAGAGTATAGTGCAGAGTTATCACTCCCTACCTCACACCCATCTCCAAGCCTACTGAATCAGTATCCCTGAAGCTGAGGACGTGGTCTAGGGCACTATTTCTGGGTAGTGCAGGAGAGCCATCAGAATTGTATATGAATCTTTTGAAAAATATAATATCCTAGGCCCCACCGAAGACCTACCCAGATGTTTGGGGGTGAGGGAGAAGCCAGGTGTGTGTACAGTTAAAAATAAAAAAGACAATAGATAATTCTAATATACGTTCTGAGTTAAGAATCACTTGTCTAATATTAGCTCCCCTAAATATTTCAAAGAAAGCTTAACTATTCCTAAAGGAATAATGAAAGCAATTGTGAGTTAGCAATTACCTTCAAAGAATTACATTTCTTATACAAAGTAAAGTTCATTACTAACCTTAAGAACTTTGGCATTCACAGATTCCTTCTCTTTATAAAAAAATCGAACCATCTGAATGGTCAAGTAAGCAGGCAGCCGGCTGATCTTGGACTGAGGAGACAAAATGTAAAGAAATCCCATTACATCAAAATACCATACAAGTTTTAATTATTTGGTGGTAAAAATTAAGACTGGATAAAATTAATTAACTGGAAATATTTCAGTGAAGCGGAATTTGGCTTCGAAAGGACTGCATAACTTACAGATTTGATATACAAGGCATTTCTTTGCAACGTTGGAGACTGTTTGGTGATTTCTTCCTGAAGTCGCTAAGAAAGAACATAACAGAAGACCAAACATTAGTTTTAAAAATTTTATTTCTGCAATATAGAATCACACCAGTAAGCCTTTTAAAAACTAGCACTACCTAAGAGGCAATATACAGTACATCAATGGGTTTATACCACTGAGACACAATTTGATGACAATATGGGAAGACTTTTAGATACTGTTCAATTCTTACAAGGCATCAAATAATTTACGTTGTTGTGGATTCCTCCGAGTGTAAATACTGTTTGCTCTTTTTTAGCTATGCCCCAAATGATGCTTAGATTCAGAGAATTTTATATTGTATTTTATATAACAAAGCTGTCATTCCTGTTTATTATCAGAATATTCACTCTAGAGGAAAATTAAGAGAGCCCAAGAAACTCCTGTTCTTTACGTTTTATGCATAAAAGCCAATCAGCACCAATGAATTATTGTTAAATTTGAAAAAAGTCATAACACAGAAACCTCTGTTAACCTAACAGATGTGGGAAAGCCTTTAGCTGCTGCACATATCTTAACCAGCATGATCACCTTTCTGCTTCTTACAGCCCGTGTAACAGTGGAAACGGTATTTATCCCTCTGGGCATCATTTGGAAAAGGTGGTAGTGGTAATCAATGTTATAGTGTTATTGTTAGAATTACAGTCAGTACATGTAGAAAACCTGGTAAAATATTTGGCATATACTCTACATTTAACAAACATTCACTACTATTTCTAATGTCACAGAAAGAATTAGCACTACTTATGTGCTCTGCTTTAAGAAAACAAACAAAAAAGAAATTAGAATTAAAATAACCTACTGGTAATGTTTAAGCATGTTACACTTGTATAATTTTAAAGTCTGATTTTTTAAAATTACTAATCATATTACAAAAGGAATCACTGTGGAGTAGCTTTTTAACATTTAACCAAGTTTATTCAGCAGCAAAGCAGTGGAGAAACGAAGCCAAATTACTCAAGAATTATCAGAACAAAAGATAAAATATCTTAAAAGTTATAAAGGAAATAAATACATTCTAGGAATACAGGTTTTTCAAGAAAGTATATCTGGTGAAATCTTATTATTACCACCAATCCACTATCATCTAGACCTTCTGGGTATGTTCGGTTTTCCTATACTTTTACAAAATTGTGAAGAAAATACCATCCTGGAGAGTCCCTGCCAAAGCACTCCACTCCACACTCTCCAGTTAACACTGAGACTTCATTTGCTGGTATATCCTGAAACTTGCACACCATGCCTTACATGATTTGGCTCCTGGGGGTTAAGAAGTTTTGTGTGTTTTTAAATGAATTTCTCTTAAAAGTCACCATGTTCATATCCACACTGGCTCAAAACTCTCCCCTCGGTATCATAAGACAGAGCGTGACTCACTCACTCTTCTTCTTATGCCCTTTAACAACCCTTCCCCTTGCCAACCTTATCCCAAACTATAGATGAGAGCCCCCAGATAACAAATCATCTTGTTTATCAACATAATCCATGTCCCACTTCAGTGTTTATCAACCCACCTCCTCTGCCCAAACTAGGCCTCTGCACAGAGGACCTATTCCAATGTCTCATCATTTTTCACTGACTTTTCTTCCTTCAAGACTTCTCTTTATTGGTCATGGTTAGAGGAGACAGCAAAGAGGATCAACCAGGATTTTTAAAAATTCTGCCCTCCAGGCCCTTCTTCAAATATCTAGATGTTGCAATGGCTAACTTTTATTCATGCATTTATTTTTCATACAACTGTGTTTAGGAAGAAGCTAACTTTTAAAATAAATAATCCTGGCTGGGCACGGTGGCTCATTCCTATAATCCCAGCACTTTGGGAGGCCGAGGTGGGCGGATCACAAGGTCAGGAGATTGAGACCATCCAGGCTAACATGACAAAACCCTGTCTCTATCAAAAATACCAAAAATCAGCCAGGTGTGGTGGCACGCACCTGTAGTCCCAGCTACTCAGGAGGCTAAGGCAGGAGAATCTCTTGAACCTGGGAGTCAGAGGTTGCAGTGAGCCGAGATTGTGCCACTGCACTCCAGCTTGGGTGACAGAGAGAGACTCCGTCTCAAAATAAGTAAATAAATAAATAAAATAAAATAAAATAAACAATCCTAATTATCAGTGCTTTTGAAGTGGAATCACATGAACTATAATTTGAAAACTATTAAAAGGTATCAGTTCAAATGGGGAGATCCTTCGAGAGATATACATATCCCCAAAGCACACCAAATTAGTAAGTCAGCAAGCAAAACCGTATGTTTTATCCATGGGCTTATTAGCAGAGTGGAAGCTGACATTTTATGTGAGTCCGTATTCTTTAGTATGGCACTGGAAAAGCAGCACTAACTGAATAATGAAAGAAGCAAGTTCTAGTTCTGGCTCTGCCAAAAGCCAATTAGGTTACTTTAAATTCCAGGGCCTCAACTGCAAGACAGTGCAATGGCAGAACGACTACATGCCCTGATTTGCACAGAAAAATCCCAGTTTATATTGCATAATTACTAACATACCCTCATTCACTCTCCACCAAAGTGTCCTGGTTTAGACAATACATTATATGATCACCCTTAATGGTTAAGAGCACAAACCCACAAACAACCCTATAGTTACTCTCATTTTCACGTAAGAAAACAGTAGCTTAGATTAAGTAATTTTCCTTAAAGTTAACAGTTCAGCTAAGTTATAGGGCCCATGAAAACAACTATCTCTAAGGAAAAATCTTAACAAACATGTAAACTATTCAACAAACATTTCTTGAGTGCTTTAAAATAAAGCAAGGTACAGCACAAAGCACTAGGTGCTTCTTCACAGTGTGAAGCAGGAACACCCAGTGATTAAAAAGTGAGATGTCCCAATATTTGTTAGCATATGCAACCATGTCAATAATGCTTTTGTCTATGAAATGAAGAGCTAGTTGAAGTTTGTTTGATTTCTGACTATACAGTTGATTTTGTTAGTCACGGTAATTATGTTCTACAAAGTCACCACAAGCACTGAATCAATGAATACTGAACCACTGCTCCTAGGGGAAATACAGGATTAGATTCCCGCCAGCCTTTGATCACAACATTTTCATCAACCAATCAATACATAACCTTGTTTTATGTGTGTTTCTGTTTAAGGACACCTTATTTCACATATTGTGTTGATTAATTAACATTGAACTCAGAGCCAACAGTGCAACGCAGGCCCAACTGAAGCTTCTCTAACAAGTATATTTTCTCAGTAAGGCACATCACAGCCTTCCCACACCTAGAAACACTAGACAGCACTCAGCCCTGTGCTTGGGGGGTCATCTTAAACAGTGAAATAACCAACAAAAAGCAGAAATTTTTTTTTAAAACAACAGTTCTAACATTCCTGCTAAAATGGTATTTGTTTACCAAGCTGAAACAAGAAGGCCAAGTACTTGTTTGACCTCAGATGGGACTGTGTGTATCGGGCAACTCAAAATGCGTATTGCTCTGCACATGTCTACAAATGACCATTAAAGCCCAGTGAATAATGACTTTGGCTTACTCGCAAACATGGAATTCACAAACAACAAGGATGGACTGAGATTGTCCTTACCAATTTAAGTCCTGTAAAAAGATACTTGACTTCCTGATTGATAAAACAGCTAAGCTGAAGTTGATTTTCCTTTCCTTTGGTGACTTCTTCTTCTTCAGATTCTGTACATTTCATGCTTTGTAAACTAAGATAAGGAATATGCCAACGGGTATTCAATTTGTTATATACTCTTGAATATAATACATTATCCTAATTCCATTAAAATTAATAGTATCATTCATTGGCATTTAAAACCTTTTAGTCTCCCAAGATTCATTTCAACATACTTAAGAATGTTCATTTGGCTACCAACAATTCTAGAAACAACAATGAGTAATAAATGTGTATTAAAAGATAAACTGCAATAAACTCTAAACTATAAGCTGGTATTTAGTATGGTCTTATAATGGTCTTAGAAGCCCAAAGGTACATAAATTGTTTCTAAGTTTTTCTAACCATGACCTAGAAGACAGTACTTTCCTGATTCATGTTTTATTAACTGGTTCAATCTCATGTATAGTTGATACACACCCTTTTATAAAATTAAAAAATTCTTTTTTTATTTTAAAAGTTATTATTAACAGTCACCTTGACATATAAGAAATTAATTCTTTATAAGGTGAATGAAAATGAGGTAGACTCTGCTAAAGATGTTCTTAGGAAAAAATAATAAATATCCTTCAAGAAATAAATTTAAAATAATTATATTAATCAAAACATAATGAATAATCCCATTATCCTTCAAGATCACTCCAATAGGTATATTTTTCCAAATTCCTAATTTCCATTATTGTATTTTTTTAGGTATAAAAACCTCTGGGCTGGGCGCGGTGGCTCACACCTGGAGGCCAAGGTGGGTAGATCAACTAAAGTCAGGAGTTCAATACCAGCCTGACCAAGAGGGTGAAACCCCATCTCTACTAAAAATACAAAAAATTAGCTGGGTATGGTGGCATGCACCTGTAATCCCAGCTACTTGGGAGGCTGAGGCAGAACTGTTTGAACCCAGGAGGTGGAGGTTGCAGTGAGTCAAGATCACACCATTGCAATCCAGCCTGGGCGACAAGAGCGAAACTCCGTCTCAAAGAAAAAAAACCTCTGAAGAATTTTTCTTCTACCCACCACCAATCAATCAGCCAATGATGCTATTTATGCCAATTCTAATAAGGTATGAGTATAGTCTATATCTTGGCTCATAAGGATACGTAGTTTCAAACTCAACACCGAAGAACTGATCGATTAAACTTTTCTTTTTAGAAGGTGTCGCTGCCGATGCAGATGAGGAGTCTGTCTGCAAAAATTAAAATAAAAATTCCAACTTTATATAAATATTAATGTAGATTTTCTTCCACACAATCCAGTTTAGTAATACATATTTTTTTAAAAATGTAGTCCCTTACAGTAAAATCCTTCAAAAAACATTACCAAAAATCAACAATGAATTAAGTTTAATAAATAATACATTAAATTTAAATGTCGTATGCAAGCTTCCAAATTCTGACTACAGATTGAGCATCTAAAGTATTTAAATACACATCTACCTATAAGATGGAACTTATTTTAAGCCTTTGAGGGGAAAAAAAATAAAAAAAAAAATCAAGGTATAACGAAAGTCTATAATCACAAATATATTTCAATTACCTCTTTAACAGAATCATCCTCTATTGCTTCCAATTTCTGTTGCAATACTCGCATCATTTGTATCCAACATTCATTAGCATCCTGTAATGTAAAAAAAGACAAAGTAAGTAATCCTGGCAGTGAATGATCTACAAAGTTCTTCCAAAATAATCACTGTCTCCTAGGCAAGAAAGTGGTTTCCTTCTTTAAAAATATTAAGCCAAATAAGACATACGATCTTCCAAAAAATAAAGCATTCTAGAATAGCTTATTCATTCAACAGACATCTGCTGAGCTCCAATTTGTGCTAAACACTGTACTAGATACTCAGCATAATAGCAGTGAATATATAAAATTCAAGTAGAGATAAGGGTTATGAAGCGAAAAAAAGCAGGATGGAAACAGTAAGTGATCAGGGGAAGGGAAGTGTGCTGTTCCAATAAGGTCATCAGGGAAAGCCTAAGGCTTTGGCCTTGGAGCCATGAGACCTGAAGGAGGTGAGGGAGCTGGTCTTGCACTTATCTGACAGCCAAAGAACAAGAGCAAAGGCCCTGCAGGAAGAGGGCACTTGAAAGGTTTAAGGAAGCCTGTGCAGCTGGAGAGAGGCAAGCAAGGGACAGAGTGGTAGTGATGAACTCAGAGAGAAAGCCAGGGGCTAGAGGATTTAGGACTGCGGTAGAAAATCACTAGGGAGTACTGAACAAGGGGCCAACATAATCCTATCGTCATTTTAAAAAGGACATTGCGGGCTGTGTAGAGAAACTGCAAAGGGGCAAAGGCAGAAGCCAGATATCAGTTAAGACTACTGTGCGGCTCCAGGCAAGAGACAGCCGTGGCATGAACTAGAGAAGACTGATGTTTATATTTCGAACTATGTTCCAGTAAGTACGGTAAATGTAGGAAACCTAAGTTTTACATTTACAGAATGAAAAATACCTTGCCCTAATTACCTGTTGAAGATACTGTCCTTGTTCACCTTTCTCGGCAAACTGTGGGAAAGCCATGTGCAAAAACTGCAGTAGAATAATAGGTGGAATACTGGAAGAAGTTTTATCCATGGAATCAAACAAATCTCTAAGGGCTTAAAGACAAAGCAAACATTGCCTTAGTAAAACAGTCACATATTTAATACACGCGACTGTAAATTAATTTTAATTAATACAAACAAAAACTTACTTAATTTTTTTTTTTTTTGAGATGGAGTCTTGGTCCGTTGCCCAGGCTGGAGTGCAGTGGCGCGATCTCGGCTCACCGCAACCTCCGCCTTCTGGGTTCAAGCAATTCTCCTGCCTCAGCCTCCAGAGTAGCTGGGATTACAGGCACACGCCACCATTCCCGGCTAATTTTTTGTATTTTTTTTTTTAGTAGAGATGGGGTTTCACCATGCTGGCCAGGCTCTGGTCTCCAACTCCTGACCTCATGATCCGCTCACTTCAGCCTGTAACCCCAGCTATTCGGGAGGCTGAGGCAGGAGAACTGCTTGAACACAGAAGGGCCTCCCGAGTAGCTGGGATTACAGGAGCATGCCACCATGCCTGGCTAATTTTTGCATTTTTTTTAGTAGAGACAGGGTTTCACCATGTTGGCCAGGCTGGTCTCGAACTCCTGACCTTGTGATCCGCCAGCCTCGGCCTCCCAAAGTGCTGGGATTACAGGTGTGAGCCACCACACCCAGCTGCTTAAACATTTTTAAGTGTATCTACTCTTTGACAATTGTTGGACTCTCAATAAGAAAAAAAAAAATCCTTTTTAAATCTTAACTCACCAGAAGACCTTACAAAGCAATCACTAGCTGTAAACAACTTCTGAGCCCTCCCTCTCTCTTTCTTCTTGCCAGCCTTTGTCTTCCCAAACAAAGCAGGGTGTTTTAATTCAGTACAAAGAACACATAACCTCTGTTTAGGGACAAACAGGCATAATGTAATTGTTCTGCTACTCTGCCAAGATCAGGATAGCGGGTCACCTCTCCCAACTTACCTCCCTTTAAACCTATAGTTGGTTCTCATCTACTCAACTCCTGGAGATTTAAATCTGGGTCCTTAAACAGCTGACTCTACTGGACAGCTAAGAACCAAAACTACTAAGAATTTACCTTCTTCAGAAAACCTTCTTTCCACTTACCCCTCTCAGCAGCATGAATCTCACAGTCATGGACTAGTCTGTTCTCTTGGATTTCGAACCATTTCTCCTCTGCGGACTTCCTAGTGATCATACCTTGCCCTCCTTCATGTACAGCAAAACTCTTCCTCTAGCTTATCTCAACTTGTATGTTTTATTAATACCCAAGATGTGAAATGTCACCTATCATCATTATACAGACTGAACCCACCAAATACAGCATCTTAGCACAAAGCAGGGGCTCAATAAAATGTTCCTGAATAACAAAACTGAACACAATGTTTAAAAAATATTTTTGGAGGGAAGGCTGAAATTTGGGCATCACTACCAAGCTAATTATTTTTTTAAATAAAAGCCTACATTTTAACAATATTTTATACACTACTCAAAAAAACAGATGATTTAAGATCTAGTATATACCATCAACAGAGCATCTCAAAAGTATTTCATTAGTTTGAAAGAAAAAGGTCAAGAAGAAATATAGATTAAAAGAGACTAATAAGATATAACAACTAAATGCAATGTGGGATCTTAAACTGAATCCTGAAGAAGGAAAAAAAAAAAACTTTTTTAATGGACAATACTAGGACAGTTGGCAAAATCTGAATAAAGACTGTATTTTAGGGTACTGTGTGAAACTCCCAAATTCTAAAAAAAAGTTTGTTTTTTGAGACAGTGTCTCAGTCTGTTGCCCAGGCTGGAGTACACTGACACAATCTCAGCTCACTGTAACCTCTGCCTCCCAGGTTCAAGCGATTCTCGTGCCTCAGCCTCCCGAGTAGCTGGGATTACAGACATGCACCAACACACCCGGCTAATTTTTGCATTTTTAGTAGAGACGGGGTTTCGCCATGTTGGCCAGGCTGGTCTCAAACCCCTGGCCTTAAGTGATCTGCCCGCCTCAGCCTCCCAAAATGCTGGGATTACAAGCATGAGCCACCGCACCCAGCCCAGATTCTGAAAATTAAGAATTGTCTTGTGGTTATGAATGTCCTTATTGTTAGGAAATACATACTGAAATATTCAGGATGTCTGGCGCCTTATTCTAAAATGGTTCAGAAAAAAATTACATGCATAACGGAAAAATGAGAAACCAAATGCGACTAAAAGTTAGTAACTGGTGAATTCTTACAACTTTTCTGTAAATTTAAATGTATTTCAAAACAAAAAGTTAAAAAATCAAGAAGCAAAAATGTAAAGAACAGTATTTTTCATCGCATCAATACTATTAGCCGCATATATGATGCTGCAGAAGCTGCTGAAATTCTAAGTTATTCTAAGATACATGAGCTGTCAAATGAAGTAGATATAAATGATCACACTTTCTCACTAAAAACTTCATTTCAACAAGTAAGTCTACTTTAGGAAAAAAAGTTAGAGTAAAATCTCTCTAACTGCAAATGACACAAAAGAAACCTGTTTATAATATCAAAAATCAATGGTTGACAACAATGAGATAACACTTCATACCTCTTGGATGGCTATAGTCAAAAAGACATACAATACTAAGTACTGGTAAGGAGACAGAGAAATCAGAACCCTCATACCCTTCTGGGGGAAATGTAAAACGGTGGGACTCCTTTGGAAAATTCTGGCAGTTCCTCAAAAGGTTAAATATAGTAATCATATGACCCAGTAATTAACTCCACTCCTAGATGCATACCAAAGAGAAATGAAAGCATTTGTCCACACCAAGACTTGTACACGACTGTCAGGAGTATTTGTAATAGTCGAAAAGCAGAAACAACCCAAATATCCACCAACGATGAATGGATAAATGATATGTGGCTTGTCCATACAAGGCACTCTTATTTAGCAATAAAAAAGAATGAAGTACTGATACATGCCATAATGTGGATGAATCCTGAAAACATTATACTAAGTGAAAGACACCAGTCACAAGAGACTACATATTATTTAATTCCATTTAGAGTAAAAGTCCAGAGTAGGCAAATCTAGAGAGAAATAACACATAGATAAATGGGTAGGGCTAGAAATGGGAAAGGAGGTGACTGCTAGATGTTATGAAGTTGCTTTTTGGAATGATAATGTTCTAAAATTAACATTTTAGTAATATTTGCACAACTCTGTGGATAAACTAAAAAACAATGAATTATACACTTTAAATGGGCAGATTTTATGATATGTACACTATATCAATAAAGCTGTTAGAGAGAGAGTAAAAAAAAAGGCATGGCTGTAAAACCCTATTGACCTAACCCAAAGATTTAACAGTATTAAAATGTCCAAAATTAGGTGGGGGTTATATTCTCTTATGCAATGAAGAAACCAGTTATTTCTATCCTTTAAGATTACTATTTCTCCTCACACACATCACTTCTTTACACCAATATTCACTAAGACCCTCTTTTATAATGATACATGGATTATGATAAAACCCGTCGCTGGCTATCCCCAGAGTCAACCCCAAAGATATGTATTATACAAATCAAACCTGAAGCCAAAATTATAATTTAATCCAAAAAAATCCAAAGATTATTTTTCACAAACGACAGACATCATTGATTTATAATCTGGACGATAAAATAAGTACCAAGTTGTTTAACTTAAGTATAATGTACACTCCAGGCTTAATGAGGTGATGTTTTACAAAAGACATTCTGTAAACTGCAAAGGATTGTGAGCGAAAAATAGAATGTCTTACTCCTATCAAAAAGTAGTATATTTAGTATACAAACCTGCAGTAATATACTGCGCTGAAGCCATTTCCCCTGAAGCTCTCAAGGCACCTGCATACCTAGGAACATTAAAGCCGAGTTAAACAATAGAATTCAATTCATTCTAACACTCAAATGGGAAGAAACCAGTTAAAAGGAGTTCTTATGACACCCTCAACTGCAAGTTTCTCAGAGTTGTTCCCACCTTTCCTTTTCTTCTCTTCTGGTCTTGCATGACCAGAAATATGGAGAAAAAAAGGAATGCTGAAAAGGGAATTTAGATGGAGCCTACTTTAAGCTCTTTCCCTTTGTCAAACTCATATAAAACGAACATTTTATTTTATTTTTTATTTTCTGAGACAGAGTTTTGCTCTTGTCGCCCAGGTTGGAGTGCAATGGCATGATCTTGACTCACTGCAACCTCTACCTCCTGGGTTCAAGCAATTTCTCCTGCCTCAGCCTCCCAAGCAGCTGGGATTACAGGCGTCCACCATCATGCCCAGCTAATTTTTGTATTTCTAGTAGAGACAGGGTTTCACCATGTTGGGCAGGCTGGTCTCAAACTCCTGACCTCAGGTGATCCACCCACATCGGCCTCCCAAAGTGCTGGGATTACAGGCATGAGCCACTGTACCCAGCTAAAACAAACATTTTCTGAAAGTATTGTGAAACAACACTATTCATTAATTACAAAGAAAATAAAATAACACAATCTCTGAAATAACTTGGAAGAAATAAGCATTAGATCAAAAACATTCAATCAAAAATCATACACCTACATTCAGCATTAGCTTGCTGTGTATCATTAAATAGGTCACTTAAGGTTGTAGGTCAGTTTGCTCATCTGTAAACTGAGAAGCTTCTATTAAATGATTTCTAAATTCACTTTCAGCTTTATGATCCTCACTTAATTTACAACAGTACAACAAACTGGCCATGCAAATTCCTTTTCAAATGACTATTCAAACCATAGTCATTACTCACACAATGTCTTATTACAAAAGCTCAGAAATTATCATTCAGTTAATATCAAACACTGAAGTGAGAGGGAGACTGCATATACACTATGATTAAACTATGTGTACATACTACACACCCATTAGAGTGACTAAAATCAAAATTTAAAAAAAACTAGTATCACCCAATATCGGCAAGATTGTGGAGCAATCAGAATTACTGATCTAGTCAGTAATAATATGAATGGATCTCCAAGCTAGATACTGAGTGAAACAAGCCAGAACAAAAGAAAAGCATGACCTGTAGGATTCCGTTTATTTTACGTTTCAGAATGTGCAAACTAATATGAAATCAGTAGTTGCTGGAAGGGGGTGGAGAGGATAAGGATTAACTGAGAAAAGGCATGCCCAAGAAATTTTCTGAGATGATAGAAATGTTCTATACTTTGATAGGCAAATGGATTACAGAGAATTTGCATTTGTCAAAACTGATCAAACCAAACACTTAAGATATATGCATTTCACTAGATGTGAATTATATCTCAATTTAAAAAGCAAAACCTCTATGCTTATGTTAAGTAGTATGAAAGAAATCACAGAGAGTATTGTGTTAAATTGTACTCAATTGAAGGATTTTGTTTTTCCCTTTTTCATTTGTTTGCATCTTTCGGAAACTGATGTGACTCAACGAATTTTCTTAATTTTTCAATACACAATAATTCACAATAATGCCTGAATTATGTGTGTTCATTTTTAAAAACCTGAAAATCATTACATTTCCCTGTTAAGACATTTTAGCAACTTCTTAAAAGGCATTTTTGAAATTAAAATTAAGTACTAATATAGCAGACATACCCTGAACATCACTTGGGTATGTAATTAGCTATATAATCGCTGCTGTTACTGAATTTTACTTCTTGTTATAGGGTAACATGAATATGTAACTATTTCTACATTTATGGCAAAGATATACTAATGAATTATCAACCTTTTTTTTGTAACTAAGGAAGGTCATATGTAATTTAATATCCAAAAAAAAATTCCCATATTAGAGCAATAAAATGTAATTCCTAATTCATGTAAAACCATCCATTAAGCCAAATAACATTAACACTGAAGTTTATAAAGAAAAACTTAGAAAATAAAAGGAAACTGACAGAAATACTGAGAGGTTTTACAGTCAAAAGTACTGAGAATCTTTCCTTATCTCTGTCAAGTCAATAAATAAAAAGTAATGATATAGAAAATCAGAACATAATAAAATTAACCTAATGTCTATTATACTTTGACACCTACAAAGAGAGGACATTTTGACTTTTCTAGTCCCTATGAAATATTCAATCATACATCAGATCAAAAAGACAAACTCAAATTTCCAAAAACCAAAAGTTATGTAGGCCACAATCCTTACCCATAGTGAAATAAAGTACATTTATAACATATGCTTTCATATATGTGTTTCTAAATCCACTGGCTAAATAACTTGGCTTAAACTCTTGGGGGTGGATGTGGAACAGATGGAAAGCACATATAATGCTAATGAAAATATGAATTGGTACCTCCGTTTTTGAAACTGGTTGGCAAAACATACTAAAACTGAATATATAAATCCTTTTATGACCCAGCAGTTTCACTCATATATATTTTGTGCATATGCATACATACTCATATATACCCAACAGAAACAAATGCATGTGCCCAAAAATGTACTAGAATATTCAGAGTATATTTTTTCATAATCACCAAAAACTGAACATAAACCAAATATTCATCAACAGAAGAATGGATAATAACTTGGTAGTACAGGACACAACGGAATACTATACTATATAGCATGAATATAAACGAACCACCAATACACAGAACATGGATACACTAAACATCATGAGCCAGACCCATTACCCAGTCATCAGCCAGACAAATGGGCCCAATTTGTACATTTCTGTTCATAGAGTTCAAAACTGGTAAAATTGATCTATGAGATTAGAAGTCAGGATAGTATTTCCAATTTGGGAAACATAAACGGTGTTAGTGATTAAGATCTGTGAGGGGATTTTTAGAGTGCTAGAAGGGTTCTGCCTTTATTTTGGGTATATGGATGTGTTCACCCTGGGACAATTCATTGAGTTGTACACTTATAATTTGTATACTCTGGCATGTTATACTTCCATAATCAAAAATAAACGCGCCAGGCATGGTGGCTCTTGCCTGTAATCCCAGCACTTGGGAGGCCGAGGCAGGTGGATCACGAGGTCAAGAGATCGAGACCATCCTGGCCAACATGATGAAACCCTGTCTCTAATAAAAATACAAAAACTAGCTGGGCGTTGTGACACGCGCCTGTAGTCCCAGCTACTCAGGAGGCTGTGGTAGGAGAATCACTTGAACCCAGGAGGCGGAGGCTGCAGTGAGCCGAGATTGTGCCACTGCACTCCAGTCTGGAGGCAGAGTGAGACTCCTTCTCAAAAAAAAAACAAAGAAAAAACAAACAAAACTGAGCTAAAAGGAAAAGATAAGAGACTTTCTAGTGGCTTTTGTCAACATTTGAACAGCCTCATCTAACAAATAGAGAACAAGCAAAATCTCAGAACTAAATGCTTTCATTACTACACAAGGGTAAGTAAACAATCCACATATGAAACTTTTAAGTTAGAAAATAGACAATAAAACAAGCCTAAGGTAAACAGAAATAAGAAAAAATTAATACAAACAAAAGTAGGATGAATCAGACAACTCAAAAAATTGAATGAACAAATCTAATAGCCAATTCTTTGAAAACTAAAATACAAATCTCTAGCAAGAAAATCAAGGGAGGAAAACACAAATATAACAAATAAGAAATAAAAATACAAAAAAAAAACCATACAGGTCCAATAGTAGAATAACTCTTAAGCTGAAATAATTTAAAGACAGGACAATTTTGTAGGAAAATATAAATTACCAAAACTGACTTTAGAAGAGAATAAGTACATTTAAAATACCCCAAAGGCCAAGCACGGTGGCTCACGCCTGTAATCCCAGCACTTTGGGAGGCCAAAGCCGGGGGATCACCTGAGGTCAGGAGTTCAAGACCATCCTGGCCAACATGGTGAAACCACGTCTCTACTAAAAATACAAAAAATTAGCTGGGCATAGTGGCGGGTGCCTGTAATCCCAGCTACTTGGGAGGCTGAGGCAGGAGAATCGCTCGAACCCAGGAGGCGGAGGTTGCAGTGAGCCGAGATCATGCCACTGCACTCCAGCCTGGGCAACACAGCGAGACTCTGTCTCAAAATAAAATAAAATAAAATAAAATACCCCAAAAAAGCTGAGTGCAGACAATTTCATGGGCAAGGCTTTCAACAACAGATCAGTCCTATAAAAACATGAAAGAAAATAAAAGTTCCAGGAAAAGATAGACATAGAGCTAGCATAACTGTAACACCAAACCCTCACAAAGGAAAAAAAAAAAAAAAAAAGCCAGAGGGAGACAGAATGCTATAAATCAGTCTTACTAACAAATGACCCCAAAAAATCCTTTTAAAATGTTCCAGCAAATTAAATTCAGCGCTATATATTGAAAGAATACGAATGTATCAGGAATATAGTCTACTATTAGGCTAACTATTAACATAATGTATCACAAATAGATCCAGTGAGAAAAATCTTAGTACTAGGTCAACAAACAACATTTGATAATTTTAACATGTATTTCTTATTTTTAAAAAACCTCCAGTAAACAAATGGAGGGATACTTTCTTAACATTCTTAAGAATATTTCCACCAAACCTGAGGGGAAGAAGACAAGGAGAAAAAAAGAAAAAAGAAAAAAAGAACATTTCCACCAAACCCAAGATCAATATTTAACCCTAAAATACAACAGTCCTATTAAAATCAAAAACAAGAGAGAATTCCACAACCATCTACTATTTAACATTGTGTTAAAAGTTCTAGCCAGTGAAGCACGAAAGAAACATGAAGTAAACTACCTGAAACAGACAAAAATAACCTGAGTAATGGATTTGATTATCTATTTAGAAAATCCAAATACTAATAGAAAATATGCCTTATTTCCTCATAAATATATCATAAATCATAATCATAAATATCATCATAACTAAAATGTGTTTTCAGGGTAAATAAATGTGTTTTCAAGGTAAATAAAAACTACATTAAAATTTTCATAGAATATAAGGACTATTTCAATATTAGGGGAAAGTATATCTTGGAACCATGGAAATCTGATATTTGAAATTAGTACTCCTGATTTCTTCCCATCAGCTAGCAGGGCCAATAACAAAATGATCAAGGGAAAATTCATCTAACATTACAAAATACAAAAATTCAAAACAGTTGGAAATAAAACACGTGAAAAAAATCCATCTTACTGAAAGTCAAATAAGACCTGAAACAATGGGGAGACAGCCTATATTCCTGGATGGGGAAGCTAAATATTGCAAAAATGTCAATTTATCCCAAACTTAAAGCCATTATGGTCAAAATCCCAAAGGCTGACACTCCCACTATATATCCATTTAGAGGGAGAAAGGCGTAT
The DNA here is from genome assembly GCF_000001405.40 of Homo sapiens. Classification (NCBI taxonomy): domain Eukaryota; kingdom Metazoa; phylum Chordata; class Mammalia; order Primates; family Hominidae; genus Homo; species Homo sapiens. The sequence continues at coordinate 187,431 of NC_000018.10, read as the reverse complement.
TGAACATGACTATGAAGTTCAAAGATATGTAAAATATGGATCAAACTATCCAGTAATACACTGAAAGTAAGAAGTATGCATTACTACACACCAGATGGTTAAAATGGCATAATACAAACACATATCGAAAATCAGACCTCAATAAATAAACCCAGTTAGAAAATCTAGGAACAGGTCTCAAAAATATTTAATAATAATACATATGATAAAAGATCAATGTGTATCAATATACAATAAATGGTGATGGGAGAAAAAAGAGAAACCTAGATTTTTACCTTAGAAATGTAAGTCACCAATAAACTCACGAGTAAACAGTAGTTCAATCTTACCAGTAGTCAAAAAATATTTATCATTATAATATTTTACATTGATGAATATGTACAGAATGTAGCATTCATATTTTTCTACCTTTTGGGATAACAACTGCCAATATCTGAAAGGTCAAACTATCCACTCTAATTTATTAACCCACTAACTCCACTTCCAGAAATTGATCCAAAGAATCCTATGCATCAAGATGTACTGCAGAATTGTTAATATGTAAGCATAAAAACAAAGACATGAGCACAAATTTAAGACTGTTTGAATTGGTTATAAAAAAACACATACACTGCTACACATATGTTTAAAGAAAAAACCCAAATATAACGCAAATCTTCATCCCTTTCTCTTTTTTTTTTGAGACACAGTCTCCCTCTGTCACCCAGGCTGGAGTGCAGTGGTGCAATCTCGGCTCACTGCAGCCTCTGCTCCCGGGTTCAAGCGACCCACCTGCCTCAGCCTCCCGAGTAGCTGGGATTATAGGCGCCTGCCACCAAACCTGGCTAATTTTTGTATTTTTAATAGAGACGGGGTTTCACCATGTTAGCCAAGCTGGTCTTGAACTCCTGACCTTCGGTGATCTGCCCGCCTCAGCCTCCCAAAGTGCTGGGATTACAAGCATGAGCCACTGCTCCTGGCCCATCTCTTTTTTTAAGAGGCAGGGTCTCATTGCATTGCCCAGGCTGGAGTGCAGTGGCATCATCACAGCTCACTGCAGTTGCAAACTCCTGAGCTCAAGCATTCCTCCCAGCTCAGCCTCATGAGTAGCTGGAACTACAGGTGCACACCACCACACTCAGCTATTTCTTTTTTATTGCAGAGATGCGGGTCTCACTATGTTGCCCAGGCTGGTCTTAAACTTCTGGCCTCAAGCTATAGATTCAGCCTCCCAAAGCACTGGGATCACAGGCATGAGCCATCACATCCAGCCCAGGGCACATCTTCAATCTGTATGAATTAAATGTATGATGCATTTTCATCATATCCTGACATAAGGGCCGAGAAGATGGCTGAGAAAAAGTGAATATCAAATATGTAGACTTTTCTGTTATTTAAAATTTTTTTGTCAAGAACAAGTTGAAATCTGTTACTTAGAATGAAGATATGTGTGCCAGATGTGGTGGCTCACACCTGTAATCCCAGTATTTTGGCAGACTGAGCTGGGAGGATTGATTGAGGCCAGGAGTTTGAAACCAGCCTGAGCAACATAGCCATCTCTTGTCTCTACTTAAAAAAAAAAAAAAAAAAAATCAGCTGGGCATAGTGGTGCATGCCTGAGGTCCCAGCTGCTCGGGAAGCCAAGTCAGGAGGATCCTTGAGCCCAAGAGGTCAAGGCTGCAGTGATCTGTGATCGTGCCACTCCAGAGCCTGGGCAACAGAGCGAGGGCCTGTCTCAAAAAATAAAAAATAATTTAAAATTTTTTTAAATTTTAAATGAAGACATGCCCTCAAAAAGCTAAAAAAAAGAAAATAATTTAAGTAGTGTAAGCAATCCCACATGCAATTCCACTCAATGAACATATCCCCTAGACAGCTGTGAGATGAGATATGGGGCTTTTCTGTTCTCTCCGAGTGTCTCAGTTCTTGCATGCCTCTCATAATATGAGCATCTCACTGAACTGAATGAGACGCTAGTGTTAACAGACAAATATTTTCAGCCAGGCACAGTGGCTCACACCTGTAATCCCAGCACTTTGGGAGGCTGAGGCGGGCAGATGACTTGTGAGGATTTTGAAACCAGCCTTGACAATATAGCAAAACCCGTCTCTACTAAAAATACAAAAATTAGTCAGGCATGGTGGCACACACCTGTAATTCCAGCTACTTGGGAGGCTGAGACAGAAGAATTGCTCAAGCCGGGAGGCAGAGGCTGCAGTGAGCTGAGATCGCACCACTGCACTGCAGCCTGGGTGAGGGAGTGAGACTCTGTCTCGAAAATAAATAAATAAAAAATAAGAAAAAAAAAATGAAAGAAAATCAGCAACCTAGTAACTGTTAACGCTGTGTATATTGAGAGCTGGGGCTTGCCAGTCTCCAATACAACAGATACGGCCATGTGATACTGTCTTTTGAGGAGTAATTTATAGAATTTTAGGATGATTTTTTTATAACATATAGTTTTCACTCTAGGTTCTAAATTGAGAATCTAACTCCAGGAGTATGATGGGATTCCACTGTTGGGCGGCATTAAGCAAGCCATTTCAAACCTTATTTTCACCTGTGGCTATAGTTCTTGATCCTTACTGCCTCTTAAGCTAATCCAGTCTATTTCTCTTGAACACACTTTCCTTCTACCCTCCATCATTATACATCCCACTCTCTTTTTATTTTATTTTATTTTTTGAGACAGGGCCTCACTCTATTACCCAGCCTGGAGTGCAGTGGCACACTGATGGCTCACTGCAGACTCGACCTCCCAGGCTCAAGCAATCTCCCACCTCAGCCTCTGAGTAGCTGGGACTACAGGCACACACCACCATGCCTGGCTAATTTTTGGTTTTTTGTTTGTTTGTCTGTTTTGTAGAGGTGGGGTTTTGCCACGTTGCCGAGGCTAGTCTCAAATTCCTAAGCTCAAGTGAGATACCTGCCTCGGCCTCCCAAAGTACTGGGATTACAGGCGTGAGCCATCACACTCGGGACCCATACCTCCCACTCTATAGAACCTGCCAAAGACAAGTTCTGCTAAGTATTTGTGAGGATGGTCTTCCTCATCTCCAGCTGTAAAACACCTCTCGTGGAATGTTTTTCTGTTCTTTCATTCTTGTTTTATCAGTTAGTGCCATTTTTCCAAAGACATACCACCATCCATGACATCTTGTATCAATTACGTTAGTAAGTGCACTCTCTTGAGAAAATTTAGAATTCAAAAACTACTTCTTTTGTTTGGCATCAGAGGTTGCTGTACAAAAAAAAGAAAAAATACTAAAAATAAAAACCAAAAAGCGAAAAAAGTAACTTTCACTTTTATTTTTTTAAAAAAAGGAAAAACAAAAAATACTTCTTTTGGTTTCAGGAAAATAGAACCACATAGGATGAAATCTCCCCTGCTTACACAGAACTCTTTCCAAAACATAAAAGAGCACTCTCTCAGGAACAGAGGCTAAAAGGCATCCAAGAAGAAAACAGTAAAGAGGAAATCTTGGAAGTGAGCCAAGGCTATCTCCATCAGCCACTCCCAAGGGTGCTAGCCAGAAAGCTACCCCAGCAAACTACCTATTCAGATAATTTGCAACTGGGACATAAGGAAGAGAATATGGTTGCATGATATGAGCACACAACCTTTAAACAAATGAGGGAAGAACAACCCTTACATCCAAAAAGAACAGAGTTAAAAGGCCAAACAACAAGGAAAAAAAAAAAAAACCTTTAAATAAAAATACTTCAGAGCCTCAGAAAAATAAAAGCAGGATTTAGATCCAAAAATTAAGAATAAGGAGTTATAAAAAAGAACAGAAGGTCATGATAAGTAAGCAGTGAAACAAAGTAGACGTATGAATCAGTAAAATGTAAGACAGAACTGAGGCATTTTCCTAGAGCACATCACATAAAAATTATAAAAATTTAAAACACGGAGGAAAGTTAGAAGACTAAAAAACAGATCTAGAAATTTTAATATGTATAAGAAACCAGGTGGAGGAGAAGCAGTACCTAAAGAAATAATGACCAAGAAATGTCCTAGAGTTTGCGACAAGAGTCCTCAGACTAAAAGTGCTCACTGAGTACTTTTATAAGATAAATAAAACCCACAGTCTCACATTCTTGGAAAACTGGGGGAAAGAAAAAAAAAAAAGAGAAAACCCTAAAAGCTACTAACAGAAAAGAATAAAAATCAAGACTGATATCAGACCTCTCATCAGTAAGCATGGACACACAAAAATAGTGGACAAATAACTACCAATCACTGAGGAAAAATGGCTTTGACCTAGACTCTTGCTCCAAGCAATATTATCATCCAAGGATAAGAGGAAAGGGTAAAATAAAGCAATATTTTGGGATATATATAAAAGACACAGTAAGATTCACCAGGCAATTTTTTAAGCAAAATTAAAATAAAAACTGTTGAAGAATAAAATAATAATCTTAGCTACCTAGAATTCAGAGGATAATTTGAATGTCAGTACTCTGCTTAAAATCTTCCAATGGTTTCTCTTCGCCCACAACACGAAGTCCACACTTCTTAAAAACGACTTCAAGATTTCTGGCTGGCCCCTGCTAATCTCCCATCTATCACCGTTTCTACATCCATCCTTCTCCAGGCAGTTGCACTGAGTATGTTGCAGTCTCCTGCCTCCAGACTGTTGCTTAAAAACTCTTTCCTCCAGTCCACTCTCACACTTCCCTAACCTCTCATCCAGGCTGGGATAACACCTAACTGTTTAAATACCAGTTACTCTAAGAAGTCTTCCCAAACTATCCTCAGATACCCCTGATGAACTCCCTTAGATGTTCTCATAGCAGCCTACATTTCCCATCAAAGCAGTTCTGAAACAGTACCTGTTTACTTGATAGTCTTTCTCTATTAGACTGTAGGTGCCTTGAAGACAGATACTGTGTCTTGTTCACTGATAATATATCAGCTGCAATCTATGCAATTTCTCATAAATACCTGACAACTATTCGCTTCAGAGAAATGTAGAAAACCTTTAAAGTCACTCTTTCAGATTTTTGCACACTCCTTCTCTCCCTTCTCTTCTGCTCAGTTCTATCACAACATTTCACAATAGACTGAGGGGAAAAAACAAAAATCAATATTCATAAAGCTGTCTAGAATCCAAATTGTAGTTCAGAATTCTATCATAAAGAACTGACAATTTATGTATCAAGACAGTTGTATAAATTTAGTCAGAATTAAGTTACATATTTTTTAAGTTACACTTATACTCACCGGAAGAAAGGGCCCTTATTTGTAGACCATTTTACAGGTTCTCAAAACATTTGTAATTAATTCTTTACTCTTTTCCTTTCATACGATGGTATAAAAACAAAATGTTCTTTCTTTTTTGAAACCAGTACTGACTGACATAAGGATAGACATATATATAAATGGAAAAGAATCCAGGGTCCAGAAATGAACCTATACATTAAGGTCAACTGACTTTCAAAAAAGGTGCTAAGACAATTCAGTGGGGAAACAATAGCCTTCAACAAATGATACTGGAAGAACTGGATATACACATGCAAAATAATAGGCAAATACCTCCCTCCCTCCCACCATACATAAAAATTAACCACAGGCCTGAATAGAAGAGCTAAAAGTATATTAACTCTTGAAAAACAACAAAGAAGTAAGTCTTTGTAACCTAGAATTAGACAATGGCTTTTACATATGAAACCAAAAGCATATGTGATAAAAGAAAAAATTAAAATTAAGATTAAACTACATCAAAATTAAAAAACATTTGCATTACAAACGTACCATCAAGAAAAGTAAAAGGAGACTGCATACAACAGACTTAGGAAAAAAATAAATTTTAAAAAAGAAAGTAAAATGACAGCTTATAGTATAGAAGAAAAGATTTGCAAATTATCCATTGGGTAAGGAACTTGTATATATGTAAAAACACAATTGAATTTTTAAACAGACAAATAACCCAATTAAAACACAGGCAAAAGATTTAAACAGACATTTCTCCAAAGAAGATATACAAATGGCCAATAAGCACATGAAAAGATGCCCAACATCATTAGCCACTAAAAAAAATGTGCATGACAACCACAATGAGATACCACACTTCATAGCGCTAGATGGCTTAATCAAAGACAGACAATATTGGCAATTTTCTCACATTGCTGGTGAGAATGTAAAATGGTACCGTCACTTTGGAAAATCATTGTGGCAGTTCCTCAAAACATTAAACATAGAGTTACTATATGAAAACGTTCATCTACACAAAAAACATGAATGTTCACTGCAGCATTACTCATAACAGCCAAAAAGGAGAAACAATTCAAATTTCCATCAACAAAATGAATGGATAAATAAAATGTGATATATCCATAAAATGAAATACTATTCAGCCATAAAATAGGAATGAGGTGTTACGTGTGCTGTAACATGAATGAACCATGAAATACTATTCAGCCATAAAATAGGAATGAGGTGTTACGTGTGCTGTAACATGAATGAACCATGAAATACTATTCAGCCATAAAATAGGAATGAGGTGTTACGTGTGCTGTAACGTGAGTGAACCATGAAATACTATTCAGCCATAAAATAGGAATGAGGTGTTACGTGTGCTGTAACGTGAATGAACCATGAAATACTATTCAGCCATAAAATAGGAATGAGGTGTTACGTGTGCTGTAACGTGAGTGAACCATGAAATACTATTCAGCCATAAAATAGGAATGAGGTGTTACGTGTGCTGTAACCTGAATGAACCATGGGAACATGCCAAATGAAAGAAGTTAGCCGCAAAAAGGCCACATATTATACGATTCAATTTACATGAAATGCCCAGAATGAGCAAATCTATGACAGAAAGTAGATGAACGGTTGGCTAGGGCTAGAGGTGGGTGAAGGGGTTAAAGGAGTGACTGCCAGTGAGTACGACACTGCTTTTGGAGGGGGCGGAAAATGTCCTAAAATCGATGGTGGTGATGGTTGCACAAACTTGTAAATACTATAAAAAGCATTAAACACTTTAAAATGCTGAATTGTATAATAAATTAATTATATCTCAATTAAGATGCTAAAGAAAGCAAAACAAAACAATACTACTCATCCAAATGTGAACATCCCTTACCCAAAAAAGACTGCAGTCTTACCTTTTAAGGGCATCTTTGAGTTCAGGCACAGAACGAATACACTGAACTGTGGCATTCATGTAACAAGTGTTACCAAGGTTTGTCAATCCACATGGTAACTCCATCTAGTTGGAAAAAAAAAAAAAAAAGGATTAAATCATTAAACCATTTTTACAAAATGACATGGCATATATAAATCACTAAAATTCTCATTTTGAATCAAGTACCATTTACTAGCTTCTACCAATTTATATTCTGCCTTCACGCTAAAGAAACAGTTTTATTTCCCCCAAAAAAAAGTTTACTTGGATCATGCTGGCCATCATATTATGTTTTAGTTTCCTTCTTAAATATAATAAGAGAATAATCATACTAGTCTTGCCTTTTTTGCAGGTTTATCAAGAGAAGAGAATAGGCAAAATATGCAAAGAAACACTTCAAAACAAAAAGCAAAATAACAGGTTGGGCACAGTGGCTCACACCTGTAATCCCAGCACTTTGGAAGGCTGAGGTGGAAGGACTGCTTGAGGTCAGAAGTTCAAGATCAGCCTAGGCAACACGGCAAGACCCCATCTCTACAAAAAAAAAAAAAAATTTTTTTTTTTATTTGCTGGGCATGATGGTGCACGCCTACAATTTTCGCTACTCAGGAGCCTGAGGTGGGAGGATCACTTGAACCCAGGAAGTTGAGGTTACAGTGAGCTATGATCATACCACTGCACTCCAGCCGGGGTGACAGAGCAAGACCCCATCTCAAGGAAAAAAAAAAAAAAAGCAAAAAAAAAAACCATGAAAATGAATGAATGGCACTAAATAAATGCTAGGTGTTAAAAAAAAAATTGACACGTGTTGACCAGTTTCTAAACTGATTTTGCATTTAAATTCAGGATAAAATGTATGTATTTTCCACATGAAGGATTTTAAAAATTTAAATATCCCAACATTTAAACTACTCTTTGACCCTGTTTTCTCATAAAATAGTAATAGTAAATACTTATATAGTACTATCTGCCAGGAACATATTTATTACAGATATTAGCTAAATATATGTAAGTTAAGCCTAAGTAAATTCACTTGGAAGTCTGAAAACCAGTAGTAAGGTGTACAATACAAAAAAAAACCCCTAGCTGTGCCTTATTTAACTACAGAAGGACTCCCTTAAGCTAATCAAAAATAATAAAACTCTTATTTACTGCTAAAAATATCTATCTTGGTATTAATGATTAAGTCTTCAAGACATTCAGATGCTACTTTCTGAAAGACACCTTAATAATGGTCCTTCAAAAAGTAGTGATCAAACACATAAAATCTGGTGTGTCTTACAGCAGATGCTAACTGTTCTTCTGTCATGTCTTCTACGAAGACAGTTTTGGCTGAGGGTTCTTCTGGAAGAGCATCTGCTGACCCCATCATTAGTAGAGTCATTCCCTGTTTTTAAAAAAAGTAATTTCATGAAAATCCTTAAAAGTTGGTAATGTTTATGTCAAACCAAAAGAAGCCAGGAACAAAAGAACACATATAACATAATTCTATTTGCCAAAAAAAGTAAATCTGCAGAAAGTAGATTAGTTGCTGCCTAGGACTGGAGATGGGGAGAGGGAGTGACCTTAAATGGTACAAGTTTCTTTCTGGGGTAATGGAAATGCTCTAAAATTAGACTGTGGTGAAGGCTGCACAACTCTGTAAATACACTACTAAAAATCACTGCATTGTTTAAAACAAGTAAAAAGCACTGGGGTGGCTGTTTGAGGCCAAGGCAAAGGTGTACAAAGAAACTTTTTCGTGATGAAACTTCTAAATCGTGATTGTGGTAGTGGTTACATGACAATATAGAATCGCCCAAAGTCATCAAACTGTACATCAAACACAGGTGAATTTTACTCTATATAAATTGTACCTGAATAAAGCTTAAGGAAAAAATAAGTATTGCCATAAAAACACCTAATAATGTTTACAATATTGAAGCAGAGGGAATTCCTCAAATGATCATTAACATTTAGTGGCATTATCTCTCTCCATAACAAACTTACAACTAATAAAATTCAGACCAGGCATGGTGGCTCATGCTGTAATCCTAGCACTTTGGGAGGCCAAGGCTAGTGGATGGTTGGAGTCCAGTTCAAGACTAGCCTGGGCAACATGGCGAAATCCCATCTCTACAAAAAATACCAATATTAGCTGGGCATAGGGGTGCATGCCTGTAGTCCCAGCTACTTGGGGGCTAAAATGGGAGGATCACTGGAGCCTGGGAGGTTGAGGCTGTGGTGAGCTGTGATCACACCACTTGCATTCCAGCCTGCGCGACAGAGGGAGACCCCGTCTCAAAAAATATAACAAACAAACAAACAAACAAACACTAATAAAATTATTTCTGTGAATGTCTATTGTGTAACTGTAGTGATTGTTTACATTTAAATACAAATATTTTTAGAGCATTAAATTCTCTATTACTAAAAAATATCAAACCAAATACAGAGTAAATTTGTTCAAAATATCCAATTATATAATTCTACACATTAACCTAAGTAAATACTTTTATTTAATACATATGCAAACACTCCATACAATCAATAGAAAGACAAGGAAGACACTGTCATTGTAAAGCTCATAATCTTAAAATATGAATAACATCTTACTCTCTTACTCAGTATCTTAATTGGAAGGCATGAACACATGAGACAAAGTAAAAGGTAGGACCAGAAGTGGAGATTTAAAAAAAAAAAAAAACAGGGAGGGAAAAATGATAGCCAGAAGACTAAAAATATCCAGATGATGATTAAAATTAGGAAATTAGTTCAGTTAAGAATACCTACAATTAAATTTAATGACCTTTATTCTATCACCTTTTATTTCTACATAGACATTTTATAAGATCATTGCAAAGCAGTAAAGCAGTACTAAGCCATCACTACAGAATTTTTTTTTTTTTTTTTTTTTTAGAGACAGGGACTCACTCTGTCACCCAGGCAGGAGTGCAGTGGCACAATTATAGGTCACTGTAGCCTCACACTTCTGGCCTCAAGTGATCCCCCCATCTCAGCCTCCCAAAGTGCTGGGACTGCAAGTATAAGCCACCCCACCAGGCCAAGAATCTTTTTCCAAAGACAACTGTCTCAAGAGCCAACTATTTAAAGAATACACTAGCAATAACCAGTTGGAAAACACAATAGAAGAAATGCCAACATATATCTAAGAATAAGCATAACAAGAAAAATGTAATACTTTAATGAGAGAATAAAGCTTTACTTAAGGATATTTTTAAAAAAAGCACCTAAATAAACTGGAAGACATGACAAGCTCTGGACTTGAAAAATTACTATAAAGATGCAATTATAGTTATATAAATTTAATGAAATTCCTTTACAAAACCTTGCAAAATGATTCATTCATGCAGCAAATTTATACCCAGGATAATAGCTAAGAAATTTCTGAAAAAGAATAGAGACTAAAACAATGCCCTTAAAAAATTATTAGGAAAAGGGATTATACAATGAAAAATATTGAGAAAAACTGTATACTTTAGAAAAAACATACTATCAGCTCTCTACTTCATACCATACCACAACAACAATTAATTAAAGATTTAAATGTAAAAAAATTAATATTCATAAAAGAATGCAAGTGAATCAAAAAACTCATGCATTGTTGGAAGATTTTCTAAAACTGACATAAATATTAACAATTGATGTAACTAGCTACACAAATCTTAAAAATGTCTATAAAACATTTGAAAACAATAAACTAGGGGCAAAACTATACCATATATACTAAGCACTCAAAAAAGCAAATCTATAAGAAAAAGCAAATACATACTACAAAAATGAGCAAAAGAGATTTAAAAAAAGGCTTAAAATTAATGAACTAGGTAAGCTTCTACCTTAAGCTAGAAAAAGTAAAAATTAAAACCAAGCCATGTGTGGTGGCACACACCTGTAGTCCAAGGTAGTCGGAAGGCTAAGGTGGGAGTACTGCTTGAGCCTAGGTGCTCAAGGTCAGCCTCAGCAACATAGCAAGACCCCATCTCTAAAACAAACCAAAAAAGTCACCACCATTTGCCTGGGTTTCAGCACTTCATTCAACAAAATATGATTATATAAAAATTTTCAAAATTTTAAAAAATTTAAAACCGAAGTAGAAAGAAAGAAAGCAAAGAGAAAAAATAAACGAAGTAATAAATGAACAGGCCAAATGTTTTTTTTTTGGGGGGACACAATCAATGAAACTGACAAAACTCTGGCTTGATGATAGAGGAAACAGACAAATCATAATTTGCCAATACTAGAGAGGAAAACGAAAAAGCAGCACTACACATTCTAGAGTTAAAGGGTAATAACAGTAGAATATGACAATCAATTCAGCAACTTAAATGAACCAATTCCTTAAGAAATACTGATTATCAAACTGATAGGAAAGAAAACATAATATCTAAATAGTCCTACATTTATTAAAGACACTAAATTCTTAAAGTCTTCCTACAAAGAAAACTCCAAACCCACATGAAGTCTAGTGAACTAGGCTTCACTAGAGAATTTTAGGCAACATTTAAAGAAAAAATATCCCAGTGGAGTGGGAGCAGAAATAAAAAAGGAAGAAAAAATATTAATACAAACTCAGAAAAGAGGGGATGCTTCCTAACTCACTGTATAAGACTAACATTACACTGATAGCAAAACCAGATAAAAAAGAATACAAGAAAACTACAAACCATTATCTCTTATGAAAAGAGACACAAAAAACCTTAACAAAAGATAAGCAAATAGAATCTAGCAATATATAATGTCCAAGTGGGGTTTATCCCAAGAATATAAGTTCTGTTTAATACTCAAAAGTCTGTGTAGTTTAATGGATAAAATGAGAGGAAGAAATGATATAGAAAAGGCATTTAACAAAATGACAAAATTCAACTTCCATTCGTGACAAAACCTCTCAGCAAACTAGAAAGAGTTCCTGAACCTGATGATGAACATCTATAAACTACCACCAGCCATGACTGGAGGCTTTTCCCCTAAGGTCAGGAAAAAGGCAATGATGTCCACTATCAACCACTTCTACTCAGCATTGTTTAAAGTCTTAAGCATTGCAATAAAGAAAAAAAGAGAAACAAAATGCACAAAGATTAAAAAGGAAGAAATAAAACTGTCCTTATTTGCAGATGACATGTATACCTAACAATATCCTAAGAAATTAATATATGAAATAAAGTCACAGGATACAAAGTCAATTATAAAAATTAACTTTATTTTTATATACTAGCAAGCAATTGGAAAATGACATTTCAAAAACACCACAGCTGGGTGCAGTGGCTCACGCTTGTAATCCCAGCACTTTGGGAGCTCAAGGCAGAAGGATTGCTTGAGACCAGTTCGAGAACAGCCTGGCCAACATGGCAAAACCCCATCTCTACTAAAAACACAAAAATTAGTCCGGCGTGGTGGCACATTCCTGTAGTCCCAGCTACTCGGGAGGCTGAGGCACGAGAACTGCTTGAACCTGGGAGGCAGAAACTACAGTGAGCCATGATCACGTCACTGCACTCCAGCCTAGGCAAGCAACAGAGCAAGACTCTGTCTCAAAAACAAAAACAAAAAATTAGCCAAGCACAATGGTGCATGCCTATAGTCCCAACTACTCAGGAGGGTGAGGTGGGAGAACCCCTTGAGCCCCAGAATTCAAGGCTGCAGCGAGCTATGATTGTGCCACTGCACTCCAGCCGACAAAGCAAGACCTCGTCTTTAAAAAAAAAAAAAAAAAGAAAGAAAAGTACCACTTACGACAACATTAAAAACCATGAAATAAGCCGGGTGCAGTGGCTTACACCTATAATCCCAGCACTTGGGGAGGCCAAGGCAGGTGGATCACTCTAAGTCAGGAGTTTGAGACCAGCCTGACCAACATGGTGACACCCCGTCTCTACTAAAAATACAAAAATTAGTCAGACATGGTGGCAAGTGCCTATAATCCCAGTTACTCAGGAGGCTGAGGAAGGAGAATCACTTGAAGCCAGGAGGCGGAGTCTGCAGTGAGCTGAGATCACGCCACTGCACTCCAGCCTGGGCGTCAGAGCAAGACTGTCTCAAAAAAAAAAAAAAAAAGAAAGAAAAACGTGAAATACTTAACAATATGTGGAACAAAATATGTGTAAGTCCCAACATTGAACATTTAAATAAAGGAAAGGTTTACCATGTTTGTAAGTTAGAAGACTCAATATTGAGATGTCCCAGACTGACATACAGATTCAATGCAATTCCAATCAAAATCCCAGCAGACTCTTATGGAGAAAATGACAAGCAGAATCTAAAAATGTGCAATAGATGTACAAAGTTCCCAGAATAGCCAACGCAACTTTAAAAAAGAAAAACAACTGGAAGACTTAGACGACCTGATTTCAAGGCCTGAAGAATCAAAACAGCAGGGAATGGGTACTGGTACAAAGGTACATATAAAAATCAATGGAAGAAAACAGAATCCAGAAATAAACCCTTATGTTTATGGTCAACTGATTTTCAACAAAGGCACTGAGGAAGAATGGAAAAGAATAGTCTTTTCAACAAATGTTGCTCACTAAATACTCATGTGAAAAAAATAACCTCAACCATTGCTTAACAGCAAACACAAGAATTTACTCAAAACAGATAATAGACCGGGTGCGGTGGCTCACACCTGTAATCCCAGCACTTTGGGAGGCCGAGGTGGGCGGATCACCTGAGGTCAGGAGTTCAAGACCAGCCTGACCAACATGGAGACCAGTCTGACCAACAACATACTAAAAAAAATACAAACAATTAGCTGGGTGTGGTGGTGCATGCCTTTAATCCCAGCTACTCAGGAGGCTGAGGCAGGAGAATCTCTTGAACCTGGGAGACGGAGGTTGCGGTGAGCTGAGATCACGCCATTGCACTCCAGCCTGGGCAACAAGAACGGAACTCCGTCTCAAAAAAACAGACAATATAGGCCGGGCATGGTGGCTCAAGCCTGTAATCCCAGCACTTTGGGAGGCCAAGGCGGGCTGATCACGAGGTCAGGAGATAGAGACCATCCTGGCTAACATGGTGAAACCCCGTCTCTACTAAAAAAAATACAAAAAAAATAGCCGGGTGTGGTGGCAGGCACCTGTAGTCCCAGCTACTCGGGAGGCTGAGGCAGGAGAATGGCGTGAACCAGGAGGTGGAGCTTGCAGTGAGCCGAGATCGTGCCACTGCACTCCAGCCTGGGCAACAGGGTGAGACTCCGTCTCAAAGAAAAAAAAAAAAAAAGACAGACAATATATCTAAATGTAACAGCTAAAACTTATCAAGCTTTACAAGAAAACAGAAAAAAAAAATCTTGTAAACTTGGCACAGGCGAAGATTTCTTACAACATAGTACAAATCACTAAAAAATGTGATCAACTGACTTAGATAAAATTATCTTCTATCCAACAAAAGAGTATTACATAGATTAAAACACAGGGATACCTTGAAGATATTACAGTTTGGGTTCCAGAGCATGAGAAAGCAAATATCGCAATAAAGCAAGTCACACAAAAATTTTCCCCCAGTGCATACAAACATCATGTTTATATCAGTCTGTGAAGTATGCAACAGCATTATGTCTAAAAAGGAATGCACATACCTTAATTTTAAAATAATTTATTGCTTAAAAAAAAAAGCTGACAATCATCTAAGCCTTCAGTTAATGATCTTCTTGCAGGTGGGGGGTCTTGTTTCCAAGTTGATGACTACTGACTGATCACGGCACTGGTTCCTGAAGGCTGGGTAATTGCTTAAAATGAGACAACAATGAAACCTGCCACGCTGACTGACTTCCTTTCATGAAAGAGTTCTCTGTAGCTTGCGGTGCTGTTTAATAGCATTTTATCCACAGTAGGACTTCTTTCGAAACTGGAGTCAAACCTCTCAAATCCTGCTGCTGCTTTATCAAGTAAGCCTACGTAATATTTTAAATCCTTTATTGTCATTTCAACAACATTCACAGCTTCTTCACTAGGAGTAGAGTCTATCTCAAGAAATTACTTTCTTTGCACATCCATAAGTTACCTCCTCATCTGTTCAAGTTGTATCATGAGATTGTGGCAATTCAGTCACAATTTCAAGCTCCATTTTTCTATTCTTTTTCGTTTTTTAGATACAGGGTCTCACTCTGTCACTCAGATTGGAGTGCAGTGGCACAATCATAGCTCACTGTAACCTCAAACTCCTAGGCTTAAGCGATCCTACTGCCTCAGTCTCCAGAGTAGCTAGGACTACAGGTATACACCACCATGCCCAACTAATTTTATTTTTTGTAGAGACAGGGTCTCACTGTGTTGCCCAGGCTGGTCTCAAACTCCCAGCCTGAAGCTCTCCTCCTGTCTCAGACTCCCAAAGTGCTGGGATTATAGGAGTGAGCCACCATGCCTGGCCACTTCTAATTCTAGTTTCTTCCTATTTACACCACATGTGCAGTTGTATCCTCAACTCAAGTTTTGAACTCCCCAAAGTCATCCATGAGGGTTAGAATCAACTTCTTTCAAACTCCTGGTAAATACTGACTTCATTTTAACTTCCTCCCATGAATGCTCCTAATGGTATCAAGAATTCAGGTGAATCCTTTCCAGAAGGTTTTTAATTGATTTTGCCCAGATTCATGGAGAAATAACTTTATAGGGAAACTTTAGCCTTACAAAATGTATCTCTTAAATAATAAAAGTAGAAATTACTGATCCATGGGCTGCAGAATAGTTGTTGTAGCAGACAGGAAAACAACATTCATCTCGTTTATGTCTCTCAAAACTCTTAAGTGACTAGATGCATTGTCAATAAGCAGTAATATTTTGAAAGGAATCTTTCTGAGCAGGAAGTCTCAATGGTGGCCTTAAAATATTCAGTACTCCATACTATAAACAGACGTACTGGCATCTGGGCTTTGTTGTTCCATATACAGAGCACAGGCAGAGTAGATTTAGCATCATTCTTAAGAGATCCATGGTTTTTGGAATGGTAAACGAGCATTGGTTTCAACTTAAAGTCATTAGCTACATTAGCCTCTAACAAGACAGTCAGTCTGGCCTTTGAACCCAGGCACTGACTTCTCCTCTCTAGCTATGAAAGGCTTAGACAGCATCTTTTTCCAATATCAGGCTGCTTCATCCACACTGAAAATCTGTTGTATAGTGTAGCTACCTTCATCAACAATCTTAGCTAGATCTTCTGGATAACTTACTGCAGCTTCTCCATCAGCACTTACTGTTTCACCTTGCACTTTTATGTTACAGAGATTGCTTCTTTCTTTAAACCTCGTGAACCAACTTCTGCTAGCTTCAGTTTATATATATATATATATATATATATATATATTTTTTTTTTTTTTTTTAAGTTCCAGGGTACATGTCCAGGATGTGCATGCTTGTTACACAGGTAAACATTGTGTCATGGTGGTTTGCTGCACCTATAGACCCATCACCTAGGTATTAAGCCCAGCATGCATTAGCTATTTATCCTGATGCTCTCCCCACATCCCACTGCCTGACAGGCCCCCGTGTGTGCTGTTCTCCTCCCTGTGTCCATGTATTCTCATTGCTCGGCTCCCACTTACAAGTGACAACATGCGGTGTTCGGTTTTCTGTTCCTGTGTTAGTCTGATGAGGACAATGTAGCTTCCTCACCTCTCTCAGCCTTCACAGAATTAAAGAGAATTAGGGTCTTGCTCTGGTTAGGTTTTGACTTAAGAAAATGTTGTGGCTAGTTTGATCTTCTATCCACACCACTTAAACTTACTCCATATCAGCAATAAGGCTGCTTTGCTTTATCACTTGTGTGTTCATTGCAGTAACACTTCAAGAACTTATCTTTTAAATTATAAATTTCCTTTGAAAACTGGACCTTTGTATTCACAACTTGGTTAACTGCTGCAAAATGCCTAGCTTTTGGACTGTCTTGGCTTTACACAGGCCTTCTTTACTAAGCTTAATCATTTCTAGCTTTCTGTTGAAAGTAAAAGACATGAAACTCTTCCTTTCTCTTGAACACTTAGAGGTCACTGTAGGGTTATTTATTTATTTATTTATTTGTTTATTTTTGAGACAGAGTCTCGCTCTGTTGGCCAGGCTGGAGTGCAGTGGCATGATCTCAGCTCACTGCAACCTCCATCTCCCAGGCTCAAGCAATTCTCCTGCCTCAGCCTCCCGAATAGCTGGGATTACAGGCATGTGCCACTACGCCCGGCTATTTTTCTATTTTTATTTAGTGGAGATGGGGTTTCACCATATTGGCCAGGCTGATCTTGAACTCCTGAACTCAGGAATCCACCCGCCTCAGCCTCCCAAAGTGCTAGGATTACAGGTGTGAGCCACCGCGCTCAGCCTGTAGGGTTATTAATTGGCCTAATTTCAATACTGTCTTGTCTCAGGGAATAGGGAGGCTCGAGAAGAGGGAGGAGGGAACTGCGGGTCGGTGAGGCTGTCAGAAGACACATTTGTCGATTAAGTTTGCCATCTTACAGGTGTGATTCATGACACCCCAAAACAATTACAAAAGTAACATCAAAGATCAACATACTTGACATGAGAGTAATGAAAATGTTTCAAATATTGCAAGAATCACCAAAATGTGACAAAGAGACATGAAGTGAACATAGGCTGCTGGAAAAATGGTGCCTATAAACTTGCTCGATGCAAGGTGGCCACAAACCTTCAACTTATAAAAATCACAATTATCTGTGAAGCACAATAAAATGAGGTGTGCCTTTATATGAAACTCTGGGGTCAATCATAATATTTAAGAGGGCAAAAGGGTCACAAAACCAAGAAATTTGAGAACTGCACATCCCAGAAATGCACGGTTTAAGTTAAAAATCAATGAGATTAACCACACTACCAACAGAAAAAAAGAAAAAAAAATCACACCATCATTTTAACAAACAGAAAAAACACTTAACAAAATGTAACGGTCTTTCATAATTTTAAGTTGTAGTGAACTAGAATAAGACAAGATGTCCACTCTTTTTTTTTTTTTTTTTTTTTTGAGGTAGAGTCTTGCTCTGTTGCCCAGGTTGGAGTGCAGTGGTGTGATCTCAGCTCACTGCAACCTCCGCCTCCCAAAGTCAAGCAATTCTCTTGGCGTGCACCATGACACTCGGCTAATTTTTGTATTTTTAATAGAGACGGGGTTTCACCATGTTGGCCAGGCTGGTCTCGAACTCCTGACCTTAAGTGATCCACCATCCTTGGCCTCCCAAAGTGCTGGGATTACAGGTGTGAGCCACCACACCCAGCCAAGATGTCCACTCTTATCACTTTTTTTTTTTTGAGATGGAGTCTCGCTCTGTTGCCCAGGCTAGAGTACAGTGGCACAATTTCAGCTCACTGCAACCTCTGCCTCCCAGGCTCATGCCATTCTCCTGCCTCAGCCTCCTGAGTAGCTGGGACTACAGGCACCTGCCACCATGCACGGCTAATTGTTTTGTATTTTTTTTTTAGTAGAGACGGAGTTTCACCATGTTAGCCAGGATGGTCTCGATCTCCGACTTCGTGATCCACCCGCCTCGGCCTCCCAAAGTGCTGGGATTACAGGCGTGAGCCACCGCGCCCGGCCACTCTTATCACTTTCTATTAACACTGTATTAGAAGTCCTATTAAAAAGTAGGACAAGGCCTGGCACAGTGGCTCACGCCTGTAATTCCAGCACTTTGGGAGATCAAGGCAGGCAGATCACTTGAGGTCAGGAGTTCGAGACCAGCCTGGCCAACGTTGCGAAACCCTGTCTCTACCAAAAATACAAAAATTAGCCAGGCATGGTGGTAGGCGTTTGTAATCCCAACTACTCAGGAGGTTGAGGCAGGAGAATCACATGAACCCAGGAGGCAAATAATGCAGTGAGCCAAGATCACACCACCACACTCCAGCCTGGGCGACAAAGCAAGACTCTGTCTCAAAAAAAAGAAGTCATTTGCTTATCAATTATATGTCAATAAAGTTTAAGAAATCTGAAAGTCACGAATATTGAAAAGGGAGAAGTAAAATTGTCATTATTTGCAGATAACACGTTTATGTACACAGAAAACCCAATGGAATCTGCCCAAAACACAACTGGAATTAGTAAGTGAATTGCTTACAAGAATAAAGAATGAAAATAAACTTAGAAAAATCAACTGTATTTTGGCCGGGTGCGGTGGCTCACGCCTGTAATCCTAGCACTCTGGGAGGCCAAGGTGGGCGGATCACCTGAGGTCGGGAGTTCGAGACCAGCCTGACCAACATGGAGAAACCCCATCTCTACTAAAAATACAAAAGTTAGCTGGGCGTGGTGGTGGGCGCCTGTAATCCCAGCTCAGGCAAGAGAATTGCTTTAACCCGGGAGGCAGAGGTTGCAGCGAGCCGAGATCGCGCCATTGCACTCTAGCCTGGGCAATAAGAGTGAGACTCTGTCTCAAAAAAAAAAAAAAAAAAAAGAGAGAAAAATCAATTGTATTTTTACATTCTAGCCATGAACACTGGAAATATTTTTTAATATTATTTTAAGCAGCGAACAAATGTTAAGTTCCAATAATTTAAGAGAAGTCATGCAAGGGCTGGGCACAGTGACTCACACCTGTTAATCCCAGCACTTTGGGAGGCCAAGGCAGGAGGATCGCTTGAGCCCTGGAGTTCAAGACCAGCCTGGGCAACATAGTGACACCCCCATCTCTACAAAAAATAATTAAAATTAATTAATTAACTGGGCATGGTAACACCCGCCTGTGGTCCCAGCTACTTGGAAGGCTGAGATGGAAGGACTGCTTGAGGCTGGGAGTTTAAAGCTGCAGCGAGCCATGACCATGCCACTGTGCTCCGGCATACGTGAGAGTGAGACCCTGTCTCAAAAAAAAAACCACTCATGCAAAACCTCTATGTTTAAAAACTACAACTCTGCTAAGAGAAAAACAGAGACCTAAATAAATAAGGAAGTACATCATATTCAGGGATTTTAATACTCAATATTGTTAAGATGTTTATTCTCCCCAAATTGAGCTACAGATTCAATGTAATCTCAAACAAAATCTCAAAGAGGAGAAAGTTGGAGAGCATAAGAACATATACTATCTTATTTCAAGACTCTTTTTTTGGAGACGGAGTCTCGCTCTGTTGCCAGGCTGGAGTGCAGTGGCACGATCTCGGCTCACTGCAATCTCCGCCTCCCAGGTTCAAGTGATTCTCCTGCCTCCTGCCTCTGCCTCCCGCCTCAGCCTCCCACCTCAGCCTCCCGAGTAGCTAGGATTACAGGCGTGCACCACCACACCCAGCTAATTTTTTTTTCAAGGCTTTTATTATAAAGCTTTAGTAATCAAAACCATTTGGTACTAGTGTAACTTTAATCTACTAGATCAATGAAACAAAAACCCAAAAACAAACCTATAACTACTTTTCAAGAAAGAGCCCAACACAAGTCAATGGGAAAAGGTAAGTATTTTCAACAGATAGTGCTGGAACAACTGGATATACACATGAAAAAAAGTCATCTGGAATGTATTTTGGTATCATAATGAGGTTACTGCATTATAATAAACGTTCATAAGATAATACTTACATTTTTTATTTTGATGTTTCCCCAATCATCATCCTGTTTCAAAGACAAACAAAAGACATTTAACCACCACTGTACAAGCTGAACACAATCTAATAATCAATTTATTTTAATGTACTTCAAAACAGAATAAAATTTATCCTATATGCAGATTTTATTTAAAATTATGGCAATTAAAAAAATTTTTTTTGGCCAGGCACAGTGGCTCACGCCTGTAATCCCAGCACTTTGGGAGGCTGAGGCAGGCAAATCACCTGCGGTCAGGAGTTCGAAACCAGCCGGACCAATATAAAGAAACTCCATCTCTACTAAAAATACAAAAAGTAGCTGAGCATGGTGGTGCACACCTGTAATTCCAGCTACTCGGGAGGCTGAGACAAGATAATTGCTTGAACCCAGGAGGCAGAGGTTACAGTGAGCCGAGATCTCACCACTGCACTCCAGCCTGGGCAACAGAACAAGGCTCCATCTCAAAAAAAAACAAAAATTTTTTTTAAACACAAGTGGTACTAAAGCCAGGGTTTCAAATAATTTGCTTCAACTGCATAAGGTAACACAATACAAAAGGCAGTAACCTGTATTTACAGCATCAAATACTAAAAAACACATAAGTATAAAAAAATACTTTTAGCAAGTACTAAAAAACACTTGACTAATGACAAATGATAGATCCTATTTTTTGGATGTTTGGAACCAGCAGAGCTAATAAATAACAAGCTTACGTGGCAAGAATGAAGAGTTAATGTCTATAACGCATCTATAAAGCAAGTATATACTTTCCTTTCAATATGTTGAATAAAAATCAAGAATTTTTTTTTTAAATGCATGATTAGTCCAGAGTAATATTTTTACTAACTACAGCTAGGCCTTTCCCCTCATAGGATAAAGTCGATTCTATATTACTCCCTTTTATAGAAGGTATCGGGTACCCAATATGCTTGTCTACCCTTCATTGGTGCCACTAATTATCTCTTTTATCTGCTTTAAAATGGAACGGTAACTTCCTAAAGGCCCTTCTCAATTTAAGGTCTATGACTGCTAAACATAATGAATGATAACTATAAATGCCCCCTAAGATCACTTACCCAAGGTCACACAAAACTGGGAAGTGAACACAGATCTGCTTGATGTATAAATCATATGCTCTTTTGGTGCCTTACTATGTTACTTAAACCTCTTTGACACTCATTTATAAAATTTCCTCATATATAAGATATGGATAACATACAGCTGAGAATTAAAGAAAATATAATAAAAGCCTGACATAAAATAAGTACTCAATAAATGGTAACCATTAGCAGTCACAGTTTCATTTAATTCGCATACTTCTATAATTCTCGACAGCATACCACTAGTACAGTGTTCAGCATAGATTAGGCTATGAAGTTCACTAAAGGCCAAAGGTTCATACTGTACCTTCGGGGGTAAACAAAGATTTTCCTCCAACGTGTGTTTTACTGCCCAGTGGGGGTAGCCTGTCTTTATCTCTAAAGTTAACTATAGATCTTTAGCATTTTATCTAACCCTTGAAGGAAGTATTTTTTAAAGCTATACTTATATTATTAAAAATAATAGAGGCCGGGTGTGGTGGCTCACGCCTGTAATCCCAGCACTTTGGGAGGCCCGAGGCAGGCATATCACTTGAGGTCAGGAGTTCGAGACCAGCGCCAACATGGTGAAACACTGTCTCTACCAAAAATACAAACATTTGTCACGCATGGTGGTGGTGACCTGTTATCCCAGCTATTCGGGAGACTGAGGCAGGACAGTCACTTGAGCCCGGGAGGCGGTGGTTGCAGTTAGCCGAGATGGCGCCACTGCACTCCAGCCCCTGAGTGACAGAGGGAGACTCAATCCCAAAAAAAATAATAATAATAATAGATATCTTCTTGTCTTTTCTGCAGTCCTTCATCAATGATGCTGGCAGGGATGGATTCTTAACTGTGGTCACTGAGATCATTCCAAAGGAAGTAAAGACAAAAATTAGGTTTCTTCTCTTTTTAAACAAAAATTTTTTCCTCCCATCTCCAGGTAGGAGTTAGGTAACAATTACTGTTTAGAAAAAAGGGGGCTGGGTGCAGTGGCTCACGCCTGTAATCCCAGCTCTCTGGGAGGCCAAGGTGGGCAGATCACTTGAGGTCAGGAGTTCAAGACCAAACTGGCCAACATGGTGAAACCCCATCTCTACTAAAAATACAAAAATTAGCCGGGCATGGTGGTAGACACCTGTAATCCCAGCTACTCAGGAGGCTGAGGCATAAGAATCGCTTGAACCCAGGAGGCGGAGGTTGCAGTGAGCCAAGATAGCACCACTGCACTCCAGCATGGGCAACAGGGCAAGACTCGTCTCAAAAAAAAAGAAAAAGAAAAACAGCTCTTCGTTAATGGGTAGGATGCAATAAAGGCCAAAAAAAAAAAATGAACAGTTTTCCAGAACCAGGGCTTTGGTAAAAATGCTGAAGTGCTTTGAATTTCAACATACAAATGCATGTACAAAATTACATTCTGTAGTAGTTTTTTTAAGAAAACAAACCTATCTGTATTGTTCCACATTTTTAAACTGAGATAAAATTTTCCAACCTCATTACAGAAAATTACTAAGGAAATATTAATTGGTTTCATTTTAGTCTAAACAAAATAAAACTAATACTTTTAATACATCCTCATAGGAAAAAAAATTCACACAATACAGATAACTGTAAAGTGTTCCACTCTCCTGACCCACAGAGGTATCTGGTAATACAACACATTTTAAAATAAAATTTAAATGATGCTTTTAGAACAAAGTCATGTCCTTTACAGCAACATGGATGGAGCTGGAGATCATTACCTGCTAGTTCCCTAGTAAACTAATGCAGGAACAGAAAAGCAAACTGCATGTTCTCTTTTGTAAGTGGGAGCTAAATAATGAGAACACATAGACACATAGACAGGAACAAAAGACACTGGAACTTACTTGAGGGTGGAGAGTGGGAGGAGGAAGAGGATCTAAAAAAAAAAAAAAACTACCTATCGGGTACTATGCTTAGTACCTGGGTGATGAAATCCGTACATTGAAACCCTGTGACACAAGTTTACCTATATAACAAACCTGCATATGTATCTCAGAACCTAAAAGTTAAAAATAAACAAAAGTAAAAAGAGTTTTAAAACGATGTTTTTATAATACCATATAGTGTTGTCAAACAGCTACAATATTTCTCCCTTACTCTAACAGGCATAAGACAGTTTTAACACCATAGCTGACATACTCTCATCATATAAAAAAAGCACTTCAAATGCTACATTAAAATTAAATAATTTTCTGGCGTTATTTTTCAAAAAGTATACAATAATAGTAATGTGATGAAAATTTGGACTACATTTTACCTTTAGCGTTCCTCCTTTCACCATAACTTTCTGTCTGGCAGGCTGGACTCCAGTCAACGCAAACAGCTGAGCCTTGAATACCATTGGAGGTTCATCTGTATTCAATTCTACACCTTCAAATTTCTCCTTTCCCCATTTTACAGTAACTGCAAACAAAATCACAATTTTTTTAATTAAAAAATAACAAGACAAGATTTACAGACCCTTAGAAGATCACCAATTAGGCAGTTATCGGGAGTCAAAACATGTCATTCATCTTTCTATGCCCATAACACTTACCTAATCAAGAGGAGCATGCATGCAGTAGGTGCTGAATAAAATTTCACTGGATCAAACCTAACTTCTCATTTCATAGTTAAAGAAACTGAGACTTCAGCAGGCTGGGCGTGGTGGCTCACGCCTGTAATCCCAGTACTTTGGGAGGTCGAGGCGGGCGGATCATGAGGTCAGGAGTTCGAGACCAGCCTGTCTCTAATAAAAATACAAAAATTAGCCAGGTGTGGTGGCGCACGCCTGTAATCCCAGCTACTCAGGAGGCTGAGACAGGAGAATCGCTTGAACCCGGGAGGCGAAGGTTGCAGTGAGCCAAGATCACGCCACTGCACTCCAGCCTGGGCGACAGTGCGAGACTCCATCTCAAAAAAAAAAAAAGAAACTGAGACTTCAGAGAAGTAGATTGATTTGCTAATGTCATAAAATTGGTTAATAAACTCCCAAGTCTTCTGAATCCTACTCCAACAATATGATCATATTGAAATATTTCCCAAAATGATAAGTTTCGCAGCCCCCATGTGTTTAATTGAAGAATCATTCACATCAGCACACAGCATTGGAAAAGAAGAGAGAGAGAGAAAGGTTAGATAGTTTAAGAGAAGAAGAAAAATTCCTGGGAGAATAAAGCACATCTAGAACAACTTAAGGAATACAGATTCTGAGTCATAAGAAATCTGGGAGAATTGAAAAGTGTCATTTCTGAACAAGAGGTGCTCAATTAAGAAAAAATCCAAAGACATATCTAAATCATTTAAAAATATATAGAAATCCCACTTCACAGCCATTAGAATGGCTATTCTTTTTAAAATTTAACAGAAAATAACAAGTGTTAGCAAAGATGTGGAGAAACTGGAACACTTGTACACTGCTGGGGGGAATAAAAGTAAACATAGAATTACCATATGATCCAGCAATTTCATTTCTGGGTATACCCAGAAGATCAGAAAGCAAGGACTCAAACAGATATTTGTACACCCATGTTTACAGCAGCATTATTCACAACAGCCGAAAAAGTGGGAGCAACTCAAGTGTCCATCAACCAATTAATGGACAAAGAAAATGTGGTATATACATACAACGGAATATTATTCAACCTTAAAAAGGAAAGAAACTCTTATACATGCTGCAACATGGATGATTCTGGTTATATGAGATACCTAAAGTGGTCAAATTCATACATACAAAAAGAGAATGGTGTTTGCAAGAGGATGTGAATGAAGGTGACAGTTACAAAACACTGTGAATATATTTAATGCTATAGAACTGTATACGTAAAAATCATTAAAATGGTAAACTTTATTACATATATTTTACCACAATAAAAAATTTCAATCAGCCTCATAAAATAGCTAACTTTTGAAATATATATTTTTAAAACCCAAGGATATATATTGTTTCCACTGAAAATTTTATACCTTCTCAAAAATAAGAACCTCACAACTGTTAATTGCTTTCCAACTCCTGAAATCAGAATTTGAAAACCTCACTCAGACACCAAATCCCAACTCTATCATCAGTTCAATTAATATGTTGAGTATTCATTTAATGACAAGCCCGGTACAAAGCATTGGGAAGACTCTCCATAAACTTACAGCCTAATGGGGGGGTGGGAGGAGGCTAGAGTAATTAACTATGTAAGTATTACAAAGGCTACAGCAACAAAGTGGAATGCTTCATAAATGAGGAAAGATTTCCTGGATGAAGTGTTAACTTCTGAGTTATCACTATCAATTTTGAATCTCAAGAAAAGATTAGGTGTTAGTCAGAGACTAGGAGAGGACAGAAGAATTCCCAGAAAAGAAGGAAAACATTCCACAGCATAAAGCAGCATGGTGTGTTCTAAGATGTAAGTAATTAATTACCAGAGTGAAGGGAAAGCAGCAGTAGATGAAACTGGAAGCTGGCTAAGGATCAAATTATGGAAGATAAGTCATCCTAAATCATACATAAAGAGGCCGGGAATGGTGGCTCATGCCTGTAATCCCAGCACTTTGGAAGGCCAAGGCAGGTGGATCACCTGAGGTCAGGGGTTTGAGACCAGCCTGGCCAATACGGTGAAACCTCGTTTCTACTAAAAATACAAAAATGAGCTAGGCATGGTGGCAGGCGCCTGTAATTCCAGCTACTCGCGAGACTGAGGCAGGAGAATCGCTTGAAACCAGGAGGTGGAGGTCGCAGTGAGCCAACATCGCGCCATTGCACTCCAGACTGGGCAACAAGAGCAAAACTTGGTCTCAAAAAATAAAAAAAAATAAAATAAAATACGTAAAGGCTTTATGTTGTAGGCAATGTGTAATTCCTGAAAGGCTGTCATAAAGGCCACTTTAGTCTGGTTTGAATACTATTAGATCACTTGCAGCAGCAGAGAAATCAGGCTTGAAGAAGGCATACTGTAATCACTAAAATAAACTAGAAGCATATTACAATAGTACAAGCTAAAGATGCTACAGGATTAAACCAAAACAGTACTAGAAGTAAAGGAGAGGAACCTACCTGAAATTTATTGTGCTATTGCCATGAGCAAGTTACTTAAAACTTTTTGCTCATGCTTACAAGAGGAATTATACCAGTATCACAGGATTACGTTGAAGATTAAAACAAAGCAATATGTACAAAACCCTAACTCTATAAGAGGCACAGGTGTGTGTTTATTTTTAGAGACGGGGGTCTTGCTCTGTCACCCAGGCTGGAGTGCAGTGGCGTGATCACAGATCACAGCACCCTCTAACTCCTTGGCTCAAGTGATCCTCCCAACTCAGCTTCCCGAGTAGCTGGGATTAAAAGCATACATCATGGCCCCTGGCTTTAATTTTTAACTGCACTTATCCTTAACCATTTAATAATCTAGATATGTAATTTTCTTTTTTTCTTTTCTTGAGACCCAGTTTCGCTTTTTTCACCCAGACTGAAGTGCAATGGCGCGATCTTGGCTCACTACAACCTCCGCTTCACAGGTTCAAGCGATTCTCCTGCCTCAGCCTCCCCAGTAGCTGGGATTACCGGCACCTGCCACCACTCTCGACTGATTTTTTGTATTTTTAGTAGAGACAGGGTTTCAACATGTTGGCCAGGCGGTCTCGAACTCCTGACCTCAAGTGATCCGCCCGCCTCGAGCCTCCCAAAGAGCTGGGATTACAGGCGTGAGCCACCGCGCTCAGACTAGATACTTAATTTTCTACTAAATCTTATGAAATAGTACTTAAAATGTTCTCTTCATTTTAATATAGAGCTTTTTGCTGACCCTCAAAATACAGATTCTCAATATGGAGAGGTCAAAGGAAGGGACCTTAGAAATCTACTTGAGTTCCTTCATTTGGGGGATGAGGAAAAGATCTGATTAAATATTTAAGATAAAGCTCAAATTTTAAAAAAGAAACTCTGGTCAGCGCTGGCATTTTGAGGAAACAGAGGGGTTTTGTTTTATGTGTGTGAATCTACTGGTGTGTTTAAGTATTAGAATATTTCAAGAGCCATTCTACTGTTGTTATGGCTTTAGAAAGGGGTTGGGCAATCATTAAGAATTCGATTCAAGATTCTAGACCATCAAGAATCCACCTTGAGATCAAACAATACTCTTGATTCGTATCATGCTTTGTAAATGCTGAATCTTCAATAAAGGAACTGTAACAGAATAAACAGGGATGGTCAACGAATCACACACCTACAGCCAATTGGAGACACCACACATATTTTAGGTGCCATTTTGAATAAGGCTAGGGAGCAGCAAGGTCCATTCCCTAAGTAAAAGTGATCCCTGGCCAGTACCCTGGACTGTCAGCAAGCAAACAATACAAGCCCCTGTCAAACGCCAATCAAGAAATGACACCCCGGGGATATGTGTATTCATCTACTTCTGAAAGCTCACACCACGTTTCGGATACAGAAATCCAATGCAACGTTTGATGAAACGAAAACGAAGCAAAAAGGTTTACAATCTGCCTCGGGACAAAACTAAAACTGGTACCAAAGGGGCGGTCGAACAAAGGCAAGGGGCAAGAGAAGGGCGAAGGACGACGAAGGGCGGCGAACGCCGCTTGGCAACCCCAAGAAGGGTCGCTCCATCCCTCCCCTTCTTCCCCGCTCCCTTCCACGGCGACCACTGAGAAGCCCAAAGGAATCTCCCTGCACCTCCAGCCTGGCCCAGCGCCCCAGGACACACCCTCACTTTCACCGCACACCAGGGCAGCGTCAGAAACTATTCTGCAGAGTCACGACTTTGAGAGGCTTCCCCATCTCCACTCCCCCCACCCATCGGTGGCTCAGGGGGACGGCGCTCCCCTGCCACGCAGGGCTCCGACCCAGCCGGGAGAGGGGACGGTGCCTGGGTCATCTCCGCGCCGCCGGCCCCGCGCACCCCACCCCGGCCCCTCCCAGTCCATGCCGGGTGCCCGCCCGTGCAGGCCAGGCCTACGCGGAGGCCTAGCGCCGGTCCGGTGTGCTGCGCGCGAGGCCAGGACAGGGCTCACCGGAGTAGAGCGGCATGGCGGGGCGCGGCGGGAGGCGGCGGCGCAGGAGAGCTGGGCCTGACGAGGGCGGCAAAGGGACGGGGACCAGGAGCAGCTGCGGCGGCGGCCGAGGCGGAGGCGCGGTGGTGGCGGCGGCTTCGGTGCGACGAGTCTCATTCAAACCGGCCACTGGCGATGACGCAGCAACACGCAAAACACCCGTGCAGCTCCGGAGCGACTGCAGCGAGGAGACTGGGCGGCAGGACCGGGGCGGGGCCTAGAGGTGGCGAGAGGAGGGAGGAGGGGGAAGGCGGTGGAGGGGTGGCGGGAAGGAAGGAGGGAGCAAGTGAGGGACGGGCGCGGGGCCCCATCCACCGCAGCAGGTGCGCGCCTGCGCACTGCCGCCCATCGCCCTGCGCGCACTGGCCACGTGGTCCTGGCGCGGCCCAGCCCTGCGGCAGATGAAGTGGGAACTTGGTATCCCACCTGCTGTCTGAGGCTGAGGCGGGAGAATCGCTTGAGCCCAGGAGGTCGAGGCTGCAGTGAGCTGTGATCGTGCCACCGCACTCCAGCCTGGGCGACAGAGCGAGACCCTGCCTCAAAATAAAATAAATAAAATTAGTGGTTGTAAAGTCAGAGGTGTTTTGAAACCCAGCTGTTACTAGCTAGCTGTATGATGTCTGCAAACCTCAGTTTTCTTTTCACCCACACCTCATTTTATTGCGTTCTATATATATATATTTATATATTTTTATATATTTATATATTTTTATATATTTATATATATTTATATATTTATATATATTTATATATATATATATATAAATTGAAGGTTTGTGGCAACCCTGGGTTAGTAAGTCCATCAGTTCTGTTTTTCTAACAGCATGTGCTCACTTCGTGTCTCTGTGTCACATTTTGGTAATTCTCACAATATTTTGAACTTTTTAAATACTATTATATCTGTTCCAGTGATCTATGATTACTATTTTAGTTGTTTTGGGGTGCCACTAACCACCCCCGTGTAAAACAGCTAACTCCAATGTTTTGTGTATTCTGACTGCTCTGGCAACAAGTCTTTTCCCACAAGGGTTCAAGGCTTGAGTTCAGGACACAACTGCAGGTGTGGTGGCAATAGCAAGAGAACTAGAATTAGAAGTGGAGCCCACAGATGTGACTGAATTGCTGCAATCTCAAGACAAAGCTTTAATGGGCAAGGAGTCGCTTCTTATGGATAAGCAAAGAAAGTGGTTTCTTGAGATGGAAACTACTCCTGGTGAAGACGCTGTGAACACTGTTGAATGACAACAAAGGATTTAGAATATCATAAACTATGGAACTGTTGATAAAACAGCAGCAGAATTTGACAGGATTGACTCTAATTTTGAAAGAAATTCAAATTTGAAAGTTCTTCTGTGGGTAAAATGCTGAACAGCACTGCATGTCACAGGGAAAACTTTCATGAAAGGAAGAGTCAATCGACGTGGCAGATTTCATTATTGTCTTATTTTAAGAAATTGCCACAGCTACCCCAAACTTTAGCATCCACCGCTCTGATCAGTCAGCAGCCATCAACATTAAGGCAAGCCCTCTGCCAGCAAAAAGATGATGATTCACTGATAGCTCAGATGATCCTTAGCATTTTTTAGCAGTAAAGTTTTGTTTGTTTGTTTTGAGACAGGGTCTCACTCTGTCACCCAGGCTGGAGTGCAGTGACGCAATTACGGCTCACTGCAGCCTCAACCTCCCAGCTCAAGCTATCCTCTCACCTCAGCCTCCTGAGTAACTGGGACCACACACGGCTAATTTTTTTTGTATGTTTTGTAAAGACGGGATTTCGCCATGTTGCCCTGGCTGGTGTTGAACTCCTGGTCTCAAGCAATCTGCCCACCTAGGCCTCCCAAAGTGCTGGGATTACAGGCATAAGCCACTGCACCCAGCCTTGACACTAAATAGACTACAGTATAGTAGAAACATAACTTTTATATGCACTGGGAAAACAAAAACTTTGTGTGACTCATTTTATTACAATATCAGCAATATTGCAGTGGTCTGGAACTAAACTAGCAATGTGTTCAAGCTGTGCATGTAAAATGGAGATACATCTCAGGATTGTTATAAGGACTAAATAAGATTATGTATAGAAGATTCTTAGCACAGTGCATTGCACATGTGCTATGATACCTATTTTATATTACACAGTAAAACTTCAAAGGGATTTTGCAGGGTATGTTAGAATAGCAGGCTATGGATAGCTTTATTTTCTATTTTTTTTATGTTCAGTAACATATTTCTATAACATACATATTTAAAAATGTATTGCATAGATTGCCCGGGCACCATGGCTTACGTCTGTCATCCCAGCACTTTGGGAGGCCAAGGCAGGTGGATCACTTGAGCTCAGGAGTTCCAGACTAGCCTGGGCAATGAAGTGAGACCCCCATCTCTACAAAAAATTTAAAACTTAGCTAGGTGTGGTGGTGCACTCCTGCAGTCCCAGCTACTCGGGAGGCTGAG
Source organism: Homo sapiens (assembly GCF_000001405.40). Lineage (NCBI taxonomy): Eukaryota > Metazoa > Chordata > Mammalia > Primates > Hominidae > Homo > Homo sapiens. The sequence continues at coordinate 156,221 of NC_000018.10, read as the reverse complement.
ATGGGAGGGTAGCTTGAACCTGGGAGGCAGAGGTTCCAGTAGCCAAGATTGCACCACTACACTCCAGCCTGGGTGACAAAGCAAGACTCTGTCTCAAAAAAACAAAACAAAACCAAATAAAAATGTATAGATCATCTGTGGAAAAATCTGTGCTGCCCTTTGTTGAAGCTGATAGTAAAGGAGGCCTAAAGATTGAGAGATTCAGAGGCAAAAATCATCATCCTGTCTGCTACACTCACATTGCAACCTGCGCTTTTTTGTTGTTGTTGTTTCTTTTTCTTTTTGAGAGAGAGCCTTGCTCTGTCGCCCATGCTGGAGTGTAGTGATGCAATCTTGGCTCACTGCAACCTCCGCCTCCCAGGCTCAAGTGATCGTCATGCCTCAGTCTCCTGAGGAGCAGGGATTACAGGTGTGTACCACCACGCCTGACTAATTTTTGTGTTTTCAGTAGAGATGGGGTTTCTGCTGTGTTGACCAGGCTGGTCTCAAACTCCTGGCCTCAAGCTATCTGCCCACGGCCTCCCAAACTTCTGGGATTATAGGCGTGAGCCACCATGCCCGGCCAGCTTTTTCTTTAGTAACTCTCATCACACTTCTATTTTTTTAATGTCTGTATTCCCCCAAGTACACTATAAACAGGAATCGTGGCTATCTCGTAGGCACTCAGGAATTACTTGATGCTGTGAGAACTGGATGTGAAAGTTACCTATTTGAAGTTTATTCATCATGTAGATGACCAGGGAATCTTGTAGACCAAGTTTTGGTCCCTTTGGTACAACTAGCTTCTTCCAGCCTCTCTGAAGATCCGCAGACCTAAATTTAAGACAAATGGGGGCAGAGTGAGGAGGTGGAACCATGCTAGCAACTGAAAGGAAGCATAAAAAGAAATTTGCACAACTGGCCTTCCTAAACGTCAGAGTTAAAGATGACAGCGACCTCATCGCCATGACACACATTGCTAAGCCCTGCCCTCCATGTGTTTAATGGATGGGATTTTCTTCTTAAGGGTGACTTCTTTAATGAATAAATTGGTAAGATCTTAACCTGCATGTTTATACATAAATAAGTTCTATAAAACATAGCCAAATATCAGAAATGTTTTCACTTGGTGAATTACCTACAATTTATTGCTTAGAATGTACCCTCCTTCCTCATCTGGCCATGGGAAATCCTGTCCAACTTTAAAATCTCCATTTAATGCTAACTTTTTCACATAAACTGAAAGCCTTCTTATACAATCACCCCTTTGTGTCAAATACTATTATGTTTTATTATGGCTGATTTAGTTTCCTATGAGTGCTGTAATGAATTATCACAAACCTAGTGGCTTAAAACAACGTAAGTTTATTATTATCTTACAGTTCTGGTGGTCAGAAGTCTGAGACTGGTCTTAACATTAAGGTGTTGGCAGGACTGCATTCCTTCTAGAGGCTCTGAGGGTGAATTCTTTTTTTCTTTTCTTTTTCACACAGAGTCTCACTTTTTTGCCTAGACTGGAGTGCAGTGGCACCATCTCAGCTCACTGCAACCTCCGCCTCCTGGGTTCAAGCGATTCTTGTGCCTCAGCCTCCCAAGTAGCTGGGATTACAGGCACGCACCACCACGCTAGCTAATTTTTGTATTTTTAGTAGAGACAGGGTTTTGCCATGTTGGCCAGGCTGGTCTCGAACTCCTGACCTCAGGCGATCCACCCGCCTCGGCATCCCAAAGTGCTGGGATTACAGGAGTGAGGCACCGCACCTGGCCTCTGAGGGTGGATCTATTCCTTACCCTTCCCAGATTCTAGATACTGTCCACATTCCTTGGCTCCTGGCTCCATTCCAGCCACAGCATCACTCCAACCCCTGCTTGAGTCGTCATAGCGCCTTCTCTGACTCTGACCTCTGCCTTCCTTTTAGAAGGTCCCTTGTGATTACGTTAGCCCCAACTGGATAATTCCAGATACTGTTTTCATTTTAAGATCCTTAATCACATCAGCCAGTCCCTTTTGGAAGACAACCAAGATAATCATAGGTTCAGGAGATTAAAACATGGACATATTTGTAGAAGTATTTTTCTGTCTACCAAGGACAGACAATAAATAATAAAACAGAAAACAACAAATATCACTACACCTTCTTAGAGCATCTACAGTTTAATATTCCTATGTTTCTCTCTTCTCTCTCTACTAAATTATAAATTATAAGCCCTACCAGGTGTAGTGGTTCATGCCTGTGATCCCAGCTCTTTGGGAGGCCAAGCGGGGCAGATCACATGAGGTCAGGAGTCCGAGACTAGCCTGGCCAACATGGTGAAATTCCAGCTCTACTAAAAATATAAAAAATTAGCCGGGCGTGGTGGCATGCGCCTCTAATCCCAGCTACTTGGGAGGCAGGGGCAGAAGAATCACTTGAACCCAGGAGGCAGAGGTTGCAGTGAGCCAAGATTGCGCCATTGCACTCCAGCCTGGGTGACAGAGCAAGACTCTGTCTAAAAAATAAATAATAAATAATAAACTATAAGCCCTGCCTTAAATAATTTGGAATCCTGCCGGGCACGGTGGCTCATGCCTGTAATCCCGGCACTTTGGGAGGCCGAGGCGGGCGAATTACTTGAGGTCAGGAGTTCGAGACCAGCTTGGCCAATGTGGTGAAACTCCGTCTCTAAAAATACAAAACATAGCTGGGCATCGTGCCGGGCACCTGTAGTCCCAGCTACTCGGGAGGCTGAGGCAAGAGAATCACTTGAACCTGGGAGGCGGAGGATGCAGTGAGCTGAGATCACACCATTGCACTCCAGCCTGGGCAACACAGCAAGACTCTGTCTCAAAAAAATTAATATAATAATAATTTTGGATCCTACACACACATATACACACCATATGCATACGCACACACACACACACACACACACACACACACACACACACATTCTATAACCTAGAACGGTAGTTTGCCTAAAAAGGTTTTCAATAAGTATTTCCTGGCCAAGTATGGTGGCTCATGCCTGTAATCCCAGTGCTTTGGGAGGCCGAGGCAGGAGGATAGCTTGAAGCCAGGAGTTTGAGACCAGTCTAAGTAACAGAGACTTTGTCTCTACAAAAAAAAAAAAAAATTAAAAACAGTAGCTAGGCAGGGTGGCTTGCCCCTGTAGTCCTAGCTATTTGGGAGGCTGACGCAGAAGGATCACTTGAGCCCAGAAGTTCATGGCTGCAGTGACCCAAGATTGCACCACTGCACTCCAGCCTGGGCAACAGAGTGTGAGACCCAGTCTCCTAAAAGATTTTTTTAAAAGTATTTCCTAAATGAATTCATAACCTAGTTTTGGGTCAACAGATGATGCAAATTATATTAGGTGAATGCTATGCTGCTATGGCAAAGGTGCCTCAAGATTAAGTTGCTTATTTATTTATTTATTTATTTATTTATTTATTTATTTATTTATGAGACAGAGTTTTCGCTCTTGTTGCCCAGGCTGGAGTGCAATGGTGTGATCTCGGCTCTCCGCAAACTCTGTCTCCCGGGTTCAAGTGATTCTCCTGCCTCAGTCTCCTGAGTAGCTGGGATTACAGGCATGTGACACCACTCCTGGCTAATTTTGTATTTTTAGTAGAGATGGGGTTTCTCCATGTTGGTCAGACTGCTCTCAAACTCCTCACCTCAAGTGATCTGCCCACCTTGGCCTCCCAAAATGCTGGGATTACAGGGGTTAGCCACTGTGCCCAGCCAGATTCAGTTGCTTATTGAAGATAGAAAGTTATGCAGGAGCCACGGAAGTGCAAGTACTTGCATTATGAGGTTGTTTATGGACCAACATTCCATCTGTAAAGCTCCTCTGCTACCCGCTAGAGCAGTGCTTCTTGAAGGTGAATGTGAACATGTATCACCTGGGATCTTGTTAAAATGCAGATTCTGATTTCCTAGGTCTTGAGTGGAGTCTAAGATACTAACAAGCTCTCAGGAAACAATAATACTCAGTCTCAAGTACTTACTACTTGAGTAATAAGCTGTGAAGGGGCTTGTCTTTTACTTGGTTGAAGATGGGTTGCAGGATCCAAGTTTCAGCCCCTAAGAAGAAGAAATAGAAGACAAAAAGGGTACAAGGCAGCAATTTCATTTTAAGCAAGAGGAATGTGAGGGATGTCCCCAGATCACTCCCATTCACATTTCACTGGTGAAAACAGTTATGTGACCATGCCTGGCTACGTGCAAGTCTGGGAAATATAGTCTCTAACCTGTCACAGGTATACACTTCCTAATCCTATTACAATGCAAGAAGGACAGAATGGATTTTGATGAAAAACCAGCAGTCTCTGCCATGCAGATGGTGGTTTCTTTTATCAATAATCTTCAAGCTTATAAAGTTTTCCTAAAACAAGTGATCAAACTCCTGGTGATTTAGTTTTCTCAACTGTAATATGAAAATGATCATATCTGTCCCTGGACCCTCTTAGAGTTGTAAGGTATAAATGCTAGTTGAGAGCATATATGTCAGGAATAATTATCAGATAGAGCTAAACCACAACAGAACAAATAGCAGAGGCACTCATCTGTTTATATATCTACATATGAGTAGGCTAAGTTCTAGGCTAAGTTCAATTCCCAAAGTTTGCATTATTAAAGCCAAAACAGAAATATATGATTTGCAATCCTCACTCTCAAAACATTTCTTTTAGAAACAAAAATCTCTACAGCTGGACATGAATAAACTGTCTGGCCTTATCCCTAATATTTCTTTACCTATATTACCTCAAATTCAATGATGCTTGGCCAGGGACAGTGGCTCACGCCTGTAAACTCAGCACTTTGGGAGGCCGAGGTGGAAGGATCACTTGAGGCAAGGGGTTCAAGACCAGCCTGGGCAACATAGCAAGACCTTGTCTCTAGTTAAAAACAAAACAAAACAAAACAAAACAAAAAACCCGAGTTCAGTAATGCATGCTTGTAGTCCCAGCTACTCCGGAGGCTACAGTGGGAGGATCACTAAAGCCAGGAGGTTGAGGCTGCAGATAGCTCTGATTGCACTACTGCATTCCAGCCTGGGCAACATAGTAAGTCCCTGTCTCAAAAAAAAATTAAATGATGCTTGAAAATACTGTGCTTTCTTACCTTCCATTGTTTTCCCCACGCTACTACCTCGGAATGTTCTTCCCAATTCCTCTCTACTTATTTCTCACCTCCATGATGCAAACCGTGAACTTTTCTCTGCTTATTTAAGCAATTGCTTTTTGTATCACTCAACATTTTATTACCATCTTTAAATATTTACTATCTTTTAACATTTAATATTTACTATCTTTGACATTAAACATTTAATATTTACTGTCTTTTTATGTGTATAGAGCAGTTATATTATCTTTCTTTTCTTTTTTTTTTTTTTTTTTTTTTTACTTGAGACAGGGTCTCACTCTGTCACTCAGGCTGGAGTGAAGTGGCACAATCTCAGTTCACTGAAACCTCTGCCTCCCAGGTTCAAGAGATTTTCCCACCTCAGCCTCCTGAGTAGCTGGGATTGCAGGCACCCACCACCACACCTGGCACCACCATACCCGGCTAACTTTTTGTACTTTTAGTAGAGACGGGGTTTCACCATGTTGGCCAGGCTGGTCTCGAATTCCTGTTCTCAAGTGATCTGCTCGCCTCAGCCTCCCAAAGCACTGGGATTACAGGCGTGAGCCCTGGCAGTTATATTATCTTTCCATCTAGACTATGAATACTTCTTTGCAGCTCCTTCAATAATATTTGAGGAGTATTTCAATTAGAGGTCATATCACACTCTGAAGCACTTTAATAATTATCATTAGATTGCTATCTGTGTATTATCTGCTTCGTGTCCGGACAGTGCCTGCATCTGTGCCGTTCATCTCTGTGTCTCCTAGGCCTGGCACAGACCCGGCATGGAGTAGGCATTCTATATATTTGGTGAATGAATGGGTTGAGGTTATTGGTAATAGGAATTCAGAGAATAAAGAAATTGAAGGGGGTGGGAAGCAGTTGGGGGCAGGAAGGTTCTAGAGAAATATAGAAAAAGCAAAACCTGGCTGGGCACAGTGGTTCACACCTATAATCCCAGCACTTTGGGAGGCCAATGCAGGTGAATTGCTTGAGCTCAGGAATTGAAGACCAGCCTGGGCAACGTGACAAAACTCTATCTCTACAAAATTACAAAAAAGTAGTCAAGTGTGGTGGCGGGTGCCTGTAGTCCCAGCTACTCAGGAGGCTGAAGTGGGAGAACTGCTTGAGCCCAGGAGGCAGAGGTTGCAGTGAGCCAAGATCGGACCACTGCACTCCAGCCTGGAGACAGAGCAAGACTCTGTAAAAACAAAAAACAAAAAACAAAAAAAAAAAAAAAGAAGAAGGAGGAGGAGGAGAAGAAGGAGGAGGAGGAGAAGAAAGTGGCTCACACCTGTAATCCTAGCACTTTGAGAGGCTGCGGTGGATCAGTTGAGCCCAGAAGCACAATACAAGCCTGGCCAACATGGGAAAGCCCCGTCTTTACAAAAAATAAAAAATTAGCTGGGTTTGGTGGTGCACACCTGTAGTTGCAGCTACTCTGGAGGCTGAAGTGGGAGGATAGATGAAGCCCGGGAGGTTAAAGCTGCAGTGGGTTGTGACTGCACCACTGTACTCCAGCCTGGGTGACAGAGCAAGACGCTGTCTCAAAAAAAAGCAAAATCCCAAAGCAATCAAATTCATCAATTCAACAATTATTTATTGACTGTCTACTTAGGGACCCGGCATTCCAGGAATTCACAGTCTATCAGAAAATGTAGAAAACAATTGCTGAGTGCGGTGGCTCACGCCTGTAATCCCAGCACTTTTGGAGGCTGAGGCGGGAGGATCACTGGAGCCGAGGACTTCGAAACCAGCCTGGGCAACATGGTGAAACCACATCTCTACAAAAAATACAAAAACTAGCTGGGCATGGTGGCACACGCCTATGGTCCCAGCTAGTTGAGGGCTGAGGTGGGAGAATTGCTTGAGCCCGGGAGGCAGAGGTTGCAGTGAGTCAAGATCATGCCGCTGCCCTCCAGCCTGGGTGACAGAGCGAGACCCTGTCTCAAAAAAAAAAAAATGTAGAAAAGTAGAAAAAATTATTAAAATATATAGCAACTATGCATGTGGGTGGTAGAAGGGAAACTAGAGCAGAATGGAGGACCTCTATGTGGGGCTGTGGTAATAGATAAGGTAGCTGGCAATATGGGACAAGATTACGAGAGCCTGAGTGCCAGGATTAAAAGACTAGTCTCAATTAGGTGGGGTTTTCTATCTTCTTAAAATTACTATTCCTCACAAAGAAGAAAAATAATATTGAAATGTCCGTGTAGACCGGGTGCAGTGGCTCATGCCTGCAATCCCAGCACTTTGGGAAGCCAAGGCGGGTGAATCACTTGAGGTCAGGAGTTCGAGACCAGCCTGGCCAACATGGTGAAACCCTCTCTCTACTAAACATACAAAAATTAGCCAGCGTTGTGGCGCTGGCCTGTAGTCCCAGCTACTAGGGAGGCTGAGGCAGGAAAATCGCTTGAACCCAGGAGGCGGAGGTTACAGTGAACTGAGACTGTGCTGCTGCACTCCAGCCTGGGCAACAAAGTGAGACCCTTTCTCAAAAAAAAAAAAAAGTCTGTGTACTCAACTGTTGCAGATGATCTCTTATTCCAAAGCAAAGCCCTAACCTGAATCAAAAAGCCTTACATAGGGCTCCCCATGAGTTAAGGCAGAAAGACCCCTTTAATGTTACCTACTTTTTAAAAAATTAGTAAAGCAATACCCATACGAGGTTTAAAATTCAAACAGTAACAGGAAAACATTTAAAGTAAAACAAAACTCTCCTATCTCATTCCACCTACAATCTCACTTCTCATCAGCAACTGACTTTAACTCTTTCTGATTTTAGCTCTCCTGGTGGTCACCTCTATAATTCTGAATAATATGCTTATAACTCTATTTAATTTATCAAGTGTAAGCAATATCTGTTGAACCCCAGTGTAAACAATGAGGATGTGGGTCAGTTATGCTGTATTTTGCCTCCCCTTCTTCCTCTTTCTTCTCAATTTTATTTTATTTTATTTTTTGGTTAGAGACAGGGTCTCACTCTGTCACCTAGGCTGGAGTGCAGTGGCCGGATCCTGGATCACCACAGGCTTGAACTCCTGGGCTTAAGTGATCCTCCTGCCTCAGCTTCCCAAGTAGCTGGGACCTCAGGCACGTGCCATCATGTCCAGCTAATTTTTTTATTTTCACTTTTTGTAGAGAGGGGATCTAACTATGTTGCCCAGGCTGGTCTTGAACTCCTGATCCAAATGATCTGCCTGTTTCATCCTTCCAAAGTGCTAGGATTATAGGTATGAGCTACCATGCCTGGTTCCCAATTTTTAATAATTAGGTTGTAGTTATTTTGTTGGTTACTTTTACTTTTTTTTTCTTTCTTTTTTTTTTTTTTTTTGAGACAGGGTCTCACTTTCTTGCCGAGCGTGATCACAGCTCACTGCAGCCTTGACCTTCTGGGCTCGGGTGATCCTTCCACTTCAGCCTCTTGAGTACCTGGGACTATAGGTGTGCACCACCACACCCAGCTTTTTTTTTTTTTTTTTTTTTTTTTGAGGCTGAGTCTCGCTCTGTTACCCAGGCTGGATGTAGTGGCGCGAGCTCTGCTCACTGCAAGCTCCGCCTCCCGGGTTCACGCCATTCTCCTGCCTCAGCCTCCCGAGTAGCTGGGACTACAGGTGCCCGCCAATGCGCCTGGCTAATTTTTTTTTTTTTTTGTATTTTTAGTAGAGACGGGATTTCACCGTGTTAGCCAGAATGGTCTCGATCTCCTGACCTCGTGATCTGCCTGCCTTGGCCTCCCAAAGTGCTGGGATTACAGGCGTGAGCCACCGCGCCCGGCCTCACTGCACTGTTCATTGACCTTAGAGTGTTTCCTGACTGCTGTTATATAAGATAAGAAAATTAGAATTTTTAGCCTTCCCTTCCCTTTTTATTTCCTTCACTTCCGATGTCTTTCAGCTACACCATTACTTATATAGTGAAAGATTTTCAACAACAGAAACTAAGAACATTATAGAATTAAGAAGAGGCCGGTCACGGTGGCTCACGCCTGTAATCCCAGCACTTTGGGAGGCCGAGGCGGGCGGATCACGAGGTCAGGAGATCGAGACCATCCTGGCTAACACGGTGAAATCCCGTCTCTACTAAAAATACAAAAAAAAATTAGCCGGGCGTGATGGCGGGCGCCTGTAGTCCCAGCTACTCGGGAGGCTGACGCAGGAGAATGACGTGAACCCGGGGGGCGGAGCTTGCAGTGAGCCGAGATCGCGCCACTGCAGTCCAGCCTGGGCGACAGAGCGAGACTCCGTCTCAAAAAAAAAAAATAAATAAATAAAAATAAATAAATAAATAAATAAATAAATAAATAAAAAATTAAGAAGAAATGGACAAAAGTGATGGAAGCCCCAGAGGGCTGGGCAACGGAGTGATTTCTGGCAATGAGACCTGCTGAAGACGTTGCTGCCGAGAGGAACGAATTCTTTCACCATATTATTAACATTAGCTATATTAACAGTACTTTCAGTCAGGGTAGGTAGGTGAAGCGCTCTCTTGCATAAGTACTAGATAGCCTCACTTATTCTGTGTATGTCTGCAAATATCTTTATTTCAATCTTGTTCTTGCTGATCGGTTAGCTGAGTAGAGATTAATAGATTGGCAGTAATTTTCCTGAGCACTTTGAAGAAATTTCGTTGTCTTCTGTCATTTACTATTGCTGATGAAACTTTTTTTGTTAAGTTTAATTTGTTGTTACCTTGTAGATAAGGTCTTCTCTCTCTAATAACTCTTAGAATTTTCTCTTTGTTCTTAATATTCTGCAGTTTCATGTAGCGTGTTCAGCTGTGTATTTAATTTATCCATCTCAGTACTAGGAGTGAAGTTTTGAGCTGAGACTTAGGTTTTTGGATGCTGCTTATTCTCTGTTTTGAAACTACCATTGTTTTTTTAAAAAATAAAAATTTCTTTTAATTATTTATTTATTTAGTAGAGACAGGGTTCCACCATGTTATCCAGACTGGTCTGGAACTCCTGAGCTCAAGCAATCCTCCTGCCTCAGCCTCCCAAAGTGCTGGGATTACAGGCATGAGCCACCATACCCAGCCAAAATTTTCTCTTATAATTCATATTTTTAAAAATTAACAAAATTTTTTATTCTTGCTGTCATCTTACAAGTGGGTTTTTATTGAAGCTTCTCTTTTCTTTCTTTCTTTCTTTTTTTTTTTTTTTTGAGACAGGGTCTCACTGTGTCACCCAGGCTGGAGTGCAGTGATACAATTCTCTGCTCACTGCAGCCTCAACCTCCCAGACTCAGGTGATCCTCCCACCTCAGCCTCCCAAGTAGTTGGGATTATAGGTATGCGCCACCATGCCTGGCTAATTTTTGTATTTTTTGTAGAGACGGGGTTTCACCATATTGCCCAGGCTGGTCTCAAACTCCTGGGCTCAAGCAATCTGCCCACCTTGGCCTCCCAAAGTGCTGGGATTATAGGTGTGAGCCACCTCGCCTGGCCTGTTGAAGATTCTACATCCTTCATTTGTCTTACCTGGTCTCTCATATTCTTTTATCTCTTTATCTCTGTGGTAAATTATGTTTGAATTCTCAGTACTCTCTTCCAAATCATTAATTCTCTCTCTGTCCAGTCAGCCGGTTTTCCCGTCTATTGTTTTATATTTTAATGATTATATTTTACACTTCCAAGATTGCTTATTGGTTCTTTTTTATAATTGTCCTGTCTTGTGTAATATTTTTGTTTTCTTTTCATAATTTATTGGTCTTTTTGAAAAGAATATGATCCCTTTAAACTAATATTTTTGTCATTACTATTTTTTAACTTATTATTTGAAGTAATTTCAAAATTACAGTAAATTTGCAAGAGTAATACCAGGAACTCTTGTTTACCCTTCACTAACATTTCACCATAGTTGCTATATATGTGTGTGTATATATATATATATATATAATATATAGTTATAGATACATAGATATAAATCTATATATAGACACTCATGACATTTGTGTTAATCATTTGAGAGTAAGTTGCAGATATGATGTATATTTAGCTCTAAATAAATCAGTGTTATTCCGTAAGAACAAGAACATTCACTTGTATAACCATAGGACAACTACCAAAATCAGGATATTCACCATAATACAATAACACTATTACCTAATCTATAGACTTTATTCAAAGGACATTTTTGCAAAATGTCCTTTCTAGTAATTTTTTTTCTAGTCCAGGATCCAATCCAAGATCATGCCTTGCATTTAGAGTTACGGTTTTTAATCTTTGTAAATTTCAAACAATAATTCCCCAGCCTAATTTTCATCTTTTAAAGACTTTTACATAAAAGAAAATTCACCTAGAATAAAATCATTATGCCAGTTGCATAGTGGATAGTACAATGAACCTCTGTATTCCCATATCAAGATTTAACAAAATTCAAGTTTTGCCTATTTGTCTCATCTATTCTTTCCCCCTTTTTCTTTGCTTAAGAACCTCTATTAACCATCCCTAAAAGTATAGGAATTATTTTCTTATATAGCTATAATATCATTATCTTACCTAACAAAATTAACAATATTTTCTTGGTATTATCTATTTTGTAGACCATAGTCAACTTCCCCAGTTGTTTTTAAAATGGTGGGGTTTTTTTGCTGGTTTTCTTGTTTGTTTTTATTTGTTGATTATAGTTTATTTCTTAGAGTTAGGATCCAAATGAGATCCATAGATTACATTTGTTATGCCTCTTAAGTTCCTTTTGAAATAAAGCTGCGGCCTCTCTCTCTTTTTTTTTTTGGACAGAGTGTTATCCAAGCTGGAGTGCAATGGTGCGATCTTGGTTCACTGCAACCTCCACCTCCCAGGTTCAAGCGATTCTCCTTCCTCAGCCTCCGGAGTAGCTGGGATTATAGGCTCGCACCACCACGCCCAGCTAATTTTTTTTTTATTTTTAGTAGAGATAGGGTTTCACCATATTGGCCAGGCTGGTCTCCAACTCCTGGCCTCAAGTGATCCGCCCACCTCGGCCTCCCAAAGTGCTGGGATTACAGGCGTGAGCCATCGCACCCAGCGGCTGCTGCCTTTCTTTAACCTCACTACGTTATTTTCATGCCATTAACTTTTAGAAAAGCCAGGTAAGCCATTCCATAATATGAAATGTCCCATATCCTGGAGTTGTTGGTTTGCTGCTTTGTGGCACCATTTACCTTGATTTTCCCTGTATTTCTTGTAAGAGAAATTAGCTGTAGAGACTTGATTACATTCTAGCTAAGCCTTTTTTTACAGAAATACTCCAAGAATGATGCTGTGTGCTTCACGTTGCATTGGATGAGGAGGCGCACAGCATCTGATGGTCCCAGGCTTACTAATGATCAGGTGAGCTTGATGGCGGGGCAGAGTTTAGGTGAGACTCTGTGATCTCCCCATTGTTAGGCTCCCTGTTGTGAACCAAAGGTATCTGAGACAGGTCCCAATCAATTCAGAAAGTTTATTTTGCTAAGGTTAAGGACACTCCCAAGACACACCCTCAGGAGGTCCTGACGACATGTGCCCAAGGTGTATGGGTACAGTGTGTTTTTATACATTTTAGGGAGACATAATACCTCAGTCAATACATGTAGGATATACGCTGGTTCGATCTGGAAGGGAGGAAGGGTGGGGCAACTCGGAGTGGTGGGGAGAGCCTTCCAGATCATAGGTAGATTTAAAAATTCTGATTGCCAGTTGGTCGAAAGAGTTATCAATAGCTGGGCACGGTGGCTCACGCCTGTAATCCCAGCATTTTAGGAGTCCCAGGCTGGTGGATCACCTGAGGTTGGGAATTTGAGACCAACCTGACCAACGTGGAGAAACCCCATCTCTACTAAAGATACAAAATTAGTCGGGAGTGGTGGCGCATGCCTGTAATCCCAGCTACTCAGGCGGCTGAGGCAGGAGAATCGCTTGAACCTGGGAGGCAGAGGTTGCGGTGAGCCAAGATCCCGCCATTGCACTCCAGCCTGGGCAACAAGAGTGAAACTCCATCTCAAAAAAAAAAAAAGAAAGTTATCAATAGAAAGGAATGTCTGGGTTATGATAAGGGGTTGTGGAGCCCAAGGTTTTATCATGCAGATGAAGCCTCCAAGTAGCAGACTTCAGAGAGAATAGATTGTAAATGTTTCTTATCAGACTTAAGGTCTGTGTCGATATTAATGCTGGAGAGGTATAATGAGGTACACCTAAACCCCTCTTCCATCATGGCCTGAACTAGTTTGTCAGGTTCACTCTGGAATGCCCTTAGCTGAGAGGAAGGGTCCATTCATATGGTTGGGGGACCGTCTAATTTGCAGGATGACTCACTGTTTTCATCCCTCCTGTCTTCTGGTCTTTTTCTGACGTTCTCCAGCCTGGTGTTTGGGGTCTCCTGCTCCATGTTGATATTAGGATATGACACATCCAGTCACTAAGCCAAGGGCCAGTTCAGTTCAGTTACTTGTCACATAGCTTTGCCATTACCCTCCCATCTTCCTGGAGTCACAGCTCTACACAGAGACAGGGTTTTTAGTTTTTGGTTTTGCTTATTTATGTATTTTTTGTTGTTATTTTCAGCCTGTTTCATGAGTGGGGCGATTCCTCCTTTGCCTCTGGTTGTAAGTATTTATCCACTCCTATTCCCCTTTTCAAGCTGAGCATTTTATTTTATTTTATTATATTTTATTTTATTTTATTTTAGACGGAGTCTCACTCTGTTGCCCAGGCTGGAGTGCAGTGGCAAGATCTCGGCTCACTGCAACCTCCACTTCCTGGGTTCAAGCGATTCTCCCACCTCAGCCTCCTGAGTAGCTGCGATTACAGGCGTGCACCACCACGCCCGGATAATTTTTGTATTTTTAGTAGAGATGGGATTTCACCATGTTGGCCAGGCTGGTCTCGAACTCCTCGGCTCCAATGATCCTTCCACCTCAGCCTCCCAAAGTGCTGGGATTAGAGGCGTGAGCCACTGTGCCCAGCCATGCTGAGCATTTTAATCTGTTATCCTACAAGAGCAAAACTTGTCACCTCTGCCTGCTTCTATTTTTGGTCTATGGGGAATTTTTATCTCATTTTTCAGTCCATCTGCAAGTGTGTGTGTGTGTGTGTGTGTGTGTGTGTGTGTGCGTGTCTGTGTGTGTGTGTGTGTTCCTGGCCAAGTCCAGATCCATTCTGCCTGCATACAGTAAATCAATCACAGTGAAGATGGATTTTGCAAAGGAGAAAAGATTTATTCACAAGGGCACCGAGCAAGGAGGTGGGAGAACAGCTCTCAAGTCCACCTCCATGAAAATGAGGCTTCGGGATGTTTAGGGGTTAGGAAAGTGGAGTGATCTAAAGCATGGGGAAAGGTGATTGGCAGGGGAAAAAATAAAGTAACAGGTTCATGATGCACAAGCATAGCTGGGGCTCGTGACATTTGTGTGGCATATGTACAGAAAATGATGGCATCAGCTTGATCTGAGGGGGGAGTTTTTGGCCCTCTGTGGTCAAAAGGCCACGTCTTGGGCAATTGTGTTGGCCCAGTTGAAGGGTCAGTGGTCTCAAACAGTTTGAACTGGACAGGAGCCGGCCCACATTTCTGAAAAACAACTGAAGCAACCATTACTATGGTGACTTATGGATGTTATCTATAAAGTAGCCAGCGATGGGTAAGTTTCAGCGTTCAGTGGTGAGGCCTTCGGTATTGCAGCCTTCAACATCCTGGAAAAAAGGAAAAAACAAACAAGCAAAAGCGAGCGATCAAAAGCAAGCAGGGCAGGCAGAGCTGACTAAACGAACCCCTCAGTTTCATGTGTGTGTGTCTGTGTGTCTAATAAACTCTTTATTTCTCCTTCATTTTTTAAAAAATTAATACACTTTATTTTTTAGAGCAGTTTTAGGCTCACAGAAAAACTGAATGTTAAGTCCAAGAATTCCCATACACCCACTCCCAGCCATCCACACCATTGACATCCCCTGTCAGTGTGGTGCATTTGTTATAATCAATGAACCAACACAGACACATCTTTATCACCCAAAGTCCATAGTTTATTCTCTTTTTTCTTGAGACGGTCTCACTCTATCACCCAGGCTGGAATGCAGTGGTGCAGTCTCAGCTCACTGCAGGCTCCACCTCTCAGGCCTAGTGAGCCTGTTACTTCAGCCTCCTGAGTAGCTGGGACTACAGGCACGTGCCACCGCAACTGGCTAATTTTTGTATTTTTATAGAGATGAGGTTTCACCATGTTGCCCAAGCTGATCTCAAACTTGAGAGCTCAAGCTATCTGCCCACCTCGGCCTCGCAAGGTGCTGGGATTGCAGGGGTGAGCCACAGCGCCCAGCCCAGAGTTCATAGTTTAAATTAGGGTTCACCCTGTGTTGAACATTTTATGGGTTTCACAAGTGTAGAATGTCATATACCCACTGTTACAGTATCATAAACGGTAGTTTCACTGCCCAAAAAAGCCTCTGGGCTTCACCTGTTCCTCCCTTCCCCACCCCTAACCCCAGGCAACCACTGATCTTCTTACTGTCCCCATAGTTTTGCCTTTTCCAGAATGTCATCTAGGTGGAATCTTACAGTATATAGTTTTTTTCAGATTGGCTTCTTTCACTTTGCAATATGCCTTTGATATGGTTTGGCTCTGTGTCGTCACCCAAATCTCATCTTGAATTGTACTCCCATAATTCCCACATGTTGTGGGAGAGACCTGGTGGGAGATAATTGAATCGCCAATACTGTTCTCATGGTAGTGAATAAGTCTCACGAGAGCTGATGGTTTTATCAGGGGTTTCCGCTTTTGCATCTTCCTCATTCTTACTTTGCCTGCTGCTCCTCCTTGCCTTCTGCCATGATTGTGAAGCTTCCCCAGCCACCTGAAACTGTAAGTCCAATTAAACCTCTTTCTTTTGTAAATTGCTCAAGCCTTGGGTATGTCTTTACTAGCAGCGTGAAAAGGGACTAATACAGCATTTAGGTTTCCTCCATGTGTTCTTGTAGCTTGATAGCTCTTTTGTTTTTTTTAGTGCTCCTGTGTGGTCAAGTAATTTCTTATTTGTACATTATATGGATGTAGCATCAATTCAAATATTAATCTCATCCAGAAACACCCCCACAGACACACACAGATTAATCGTTGGCCAAACGTCTGGGTACCCCACAGCCCAGTCAAGTTGACATATAAAATTAACAATCACAACTGTTATGCCAAAAATCATGACTCCACTAAAGTAGGGGAGTCACCTCAACTGAGAGTCAAAACTGAACACAAGCCAGGTGCAGTAGAGCATGCCTGTAGTTTCCACTACTCAGGCAGCTGAGGCAGGAGGGTCACTTGAGCCTAGAAGTTCGAGTCCAACCTGAGCGATATAGAGAGACTCTGTCTCTTAAAAAAAACAAAACCAGGACACAATGGCAGAAAGGAAGTCCTCCCCGCCCCTCAAAAATTGAGATGCTGAGACCAGAAGAAAGGCAAAACAGATGTGGGTGGAAAAATCACAAATGCCCCCAGTCATGAGTCCCGCCATCCAAAGAGAATTGGTCAAGAACATTATGTTGCACTCAATTATATTTATATTTATATTTATGTTAGGCAAGCCCAACAGTACAATCACTATGGAGTGAGCCAGACAATCTTTAACCAGTTTCCCACTACAACCCCAGCTCCTGCTTCTTCATTACCCTCCTTTAATTATATAAACAGGCTGGGCCCAGTGGCTCACACCTGTAACCCCAGCACTTTGGGAGGCCAAGACGGGCATATCACATGAGGCCAGGAGTTGGAAACCAGCCTGGCCAATATGGCAAAAACCCGTCTTTACTAAAAATACAAAAATTAGCTGAGTGTGGTGGTGCGCACCTGTAGTCCCAGCTACTTGGGAGGCTGAGGCACAAGAATCGCTTGAACTTGGGAGGTGGAGTTTGCAGTGAGCTGAGATCATGCCACTGTGCTCCAGCCTGGATGACAGAGCAAGACTCTTTCTCAAAAAAATAATATATGTAAATAATTTTTCAATATGATACTCCTGACATTATGGTAAAAAAGCAACTATTTTGTTAATATTTAATTCAAGAATAACTATTCTGGCATCTCTTCAAATTATGGTACTTAAAACTGAGGCCTATGCATATTTATACTAACTTTTTTTTTTTTTTTTGGAGATGAAGTCTTGCTTTGTGGCCCAGGCTGGAGTGCAGTAGCATGATCTCGGCTCACTGCAACCTCTGCCTCTTAAGTTCAAGCTATTCTTGTGCCTCAGCCTCCTGAGTAGCTGGGACTACAGGCACGTGCCACCATGCCCGGCTAATTTTTGTATTTTTAGTAGAGACAGGGTTTCACTATGTTGGTCAGGCTGGTCTCAAACTCCTGACCTCAGGTGATACTCTTGCCTCAGCCTCCCAAAGTGCTGTGATTACAGGCGTGAGCCACCATGCCCAGCCTACTAATATCTTTAAATATTAGGCTATCTAGTACAATTTGTATATGTATTATATACTTAAATGTGAAAAGGTCTCTACTAAATTTCTGAAATTGATGATTTCATAGCTCTTACACTGAGATAGGGGCCATTTATTTGGTTCTGGAAAATAATTTGGGTGATTCTGGAAAAAAGGTTTTATGATTCCAATATGGAAACACATATGCTTCCTCCAGCCTAATTTGAAATGAAAAGCTGAGATTCTCATAAACTTCCAAGATGCCAGTATCCTCACAAACTCAGATGTGAGCTACTTTTATTTAATTCATTTTTTTTCTGTTTTGTTTTGTTTTGTTTGAGACAGGGTCTTGCTCTGTGGCCCTCTGTGGCTCAGGCTGGAGTGCAGTGGCGTGATCACGGCTCACTGCAGCCTTGACCTCCCAGGCTTGAGTGAGCCTCCTACCTCAGCCTCCTGAGTAGGTAGGACTACAGGCATGTGCCACCATGCCAGGATAATTTTTGTAATTTTTATAGAGGTGGGTTTTCACCGTGTTGCCCAGGTTGATCTCGAACTCCCAGACTGAAAGGATCCTCCCACCTTGGCCTCCCAGAGTGCTGGGATTGCAGGCATGAGCCACTGTGCCTGGACTTTCTTTCTGTTTTAAATATCAGCACACATCCTGAAGTTCATTTTATTGAGTAGTGCATCTTAAAAATATAAAATTTCACCAGGCACGGTGGCTCACGCCTGTAATCCCAGCCCTTTGGGAGGCTGAGGCAGATCACTTGAGGTCAGGAGTTCAAGACCAGCGTGGCCAACATGGTGAAACCCTATCTCTACTAAAAATACAAACATTAGCTGGGTGTTGTGGTGGGCACCTGTAATCCCAGCTACTCAGGAGGCTGAGGCAGGAGAATTGCTTGAACCTGGGAGGCAGAGGTTGCAGTGAGATCGCACCACTGCCCTCCAGCCTGGGCAATAGAGTAAGACTCCGTCTCAAAAAAAAAAAATATATATATATATATATAATTTCATTTTATTTTCTTTAACAAATACATAATGAGATAAACAATAATTTGTATATCACGTACTTTGGAGCAAGATTTAAAACACTGAAGCAGAAAATTAAAGTGGACAACTAGGTGGCAGCAATGGAAATACTGGTTTAAAATCTGCTCCTGTGCAGTTAAGTCATTTCTTAGCGTCACAACTTGCTCTGTCAAAATAACAGTGTTCTTGTTTTCCTACTAGCAACTCACCTGGGAACCACAGCAACAAGACGATAAATTGCTTTTCTTCTAGAAACCTACACACATTTTAACAAAGATTGGTAGTGTGCAGGGTGCGTGGGAGGGAAACAGCAGGAAAAGATGTGGACACCCCCCAAACAACAGACTCTTTTTCAATCATATACATTTTATCATTCCCAATTTGGCCGGGTGCAGTGGCTCATGCCTGTAATCCCAGCACTTTGGGAGGCTGAGGCAGGCAGATCACTTAAGGTCAGGAGTTCAATTTACTTTTGATCCTCACATTCAGATCTCTCTCTCTCTCTCTCTGCCTCTCTCTCTCTCTCTTCCTTGTTGTGAGCCTCGCTCTCTCACCCAGGCTGGAGTGCAGTGGTGCGATCTCGGCTCAATTCAACCTCCGCCTGCTGGGTTCAAGCGATTCTCCTGCCTCAGCCTCCGGAGTAGCTGGGATTACAGGCGCGCACCACCACGCCAGCTAATTTTTGTTTTTAGTAGAGACCGGGTTTCACCATGTTGCCCAGGCTGTTCTCGAACGCTAGAGCTCAGATGATCCACCCGCCTCTGTGAGCCACCTCGCCCGGCCACATTCAGATTTTTTGATTCCACAGAAAAGCTCACCATGTTTAGACTAATATTTCTTATATTAATCATCCCTAGACTTTATTTTCCACCAAACACCTATTTATCAAATCTTTTTTTAATTTTTACTCAGTTTTATTGACTGTAAAATTTGCCATAGTTTCTTGGTTTTGCCTGTAGTGAATCAAAGCAACCAACAGCTATAAGAAAAATTTGTGGCTTTTGCCTCTTTTTTTTTTTTTTTTGCCGGAAACAGCAGCCGGTTTGCAAACCAGTCCTTCCGCCACTTTCAGTGCAGGTGGTTTGTGTGGGTCTGACCTCACGTGACTCTGGTGTGACCAATCAGAACACGGCTTCCCTCTGCCTGTAGTGATTGGTTCAACCAGAGACATGTGACTCAGCTAATGGGAGGAGTTCCCTGGCCCCTGGAATAAGTAGGCAACAGAGATGCTCTTTGTCCTGAGATTGCTACACTTGTAGAACGTAGGCCTGGCGCTGCAGTAAGATGAGGAGACTGTGAGAAGGAGGCCACCCCAAAGGAGAAAAGTGGGCTAGAGGTACAAAGATGCTAGAAGCTTCACTGGAGCTACTGGACTCACGCTCAAAGCTAGCTTTTTCCCTGCACTTTGAATTAAACAAATTTCATGAATCAGTAAGTTTCTTCTTTAGCCAGTGTGTGTTGGGTTTTCCATTTGCAACCAAAAGATTCCTCATGCAAAAAAGTGCACATTGTAAAAATGATTTTCTAACATGAGTCCTGTTTTTATGGTTTTCCTCACATATTTAAATGTTTTCTGTAATTATGTTTTAGGTACTGAATGATAACATGCACTCTTATTTATTAAAAGGCACATCATTTTAATAACTCAGTTTTGGAAACAAAGCTATATGTTGCAGAAGCATTCAATTATAAATTGAGAGACCTGGGTTTTAGTCTGTTTTGTTCTGTTGCAACTTTATTTATTTAGAGATGATGCCCGGGCTGCACTCAAACTCCTGGGTTCAAGCAGCATTCCTGTCTCAGCCTCATGAGTAGCGACTACAGAAGTGTGCCAGCAGGCCCAGCTAATTACAGTTTAAAACATGGGCATCTTACAATTTCCTCTCTAGTATTGGTATCCTTACTTGAAGAGTAAGTAACTTGAGTTGGACTATCTCTAAGATCACTACCAGCATTAAAATTAATTCTGTGGCTCTTAGAAATATAGATTGGAGGATGAAATGGAAAAAAAAATAAATGGGAGGAAGTAGAGAAGAAAAATCAAACCACTTTTTTTCCAGCAAAACACAGGTATTAATTTTTGGTGCCCATGTATAAAAACATTGATTTATTAGTCAAAGAAAAAGAAAGTAATTCTGGCATAATATTTTATTGTTCCCCTGTATTTTCTGCACTCCCATATGGATTATGTATCCTCACCTCCTTGATGGCAGACGTGGCCTTATGACTTGCTATGACCATGAAATGCAAGTTGGCAGTGCTAGGTGCCATATCTGGGCGGAAGTGTTGAAAACTAGCTCATGCATCACCATGTCCTTTTATCCTTTGCCATGATGATTGGCAATATTTGAAAGAGAGGCTACTTCATTGCCCTGGGTCCCAGAGTGAATAGGACACAAAGCAAAGTTGCAGCTGACCTATAATGGAAATGTAGTATGAGGGGGAAGTAAACCTTTGTTTTTGTAAGCCACTGAGATTTGAGGGAGTGATACCACAGCCTAATCTAGCCTTCCAGACCCGTGCTGTAATGGTGATGAAACAAAACTGTATTAAGGTGGTTGTGCAGACCCTAAAAATTCTCAACCTCATTTATAAAGGCTTGATTTGTTCTACATATATAAAGTTGAGATGATCACCATAATTATTAAGGTTGAGGCTGGCACTGTGACACTGTCTTAATAAATACAGAAAATTCATACAAGGATTATTTTTCTAAAATGAATGGCTTAGATGCCAACAGTATTACTTAAAAGTAGAAAAATATGGCCTGCAATAGTGCCAGTATCATGAGGGAGTCACATCTGCAGAAGTTCAGTTTAACAGGGAGCTACTTCAGACCTGAAGTGGAGATTTTGTGTGAAATGCAGTTGTAATATGAAATGATGATCTTTCAAAGTGAAGTTGATAATTAGGTGGAACCTGTGAAACCCTGAGGCTTTTAAAAAAAGTGGCTATAAGTCCATCAGAAATTGGAAAAGAGGTTAAAAATGTTCTATAGGCAGCATCAGGGTAACACCTGAAGCAACTGTAAAAATTCTGTTTGTAATCACGTATCTTCTTGTAATTACCTTTTAAACACTAAAATAATGTATTAGAGGCCTATAAAAATAGAGATTACTATTCAAGGGGCTTTTCAAGGGAAAATTACTCATTGTGGGGATTTTTTTTTTTTTTCTTGAGACAGGGTCTCACTCTGTCACCCAGGCTGGAGTGCAGTGGTGTGATCTTGGCTCAAGTGATTCTTCTGCCTCAGCCTCCCGAGTAGCTGGGATTACAGGGACGTGTCAGGTTGGCCAGGCTGGTCTCAAACTCCTGACCTCAAGTATTCCACCCACCTTAGCTTCCCAAAGTGCTGGGATCACAGGTGTGAGCCACCGCACCCGGCCTGATTGTGGGGAATTTTGTATGCCATGTTCTGAAGTAGGAGCTACACCCGGAAAAAAGAGCTCTGAGGGAGCTTGTACAGAAAATGCTTTGAAGACAATAATGGAGCTATTCCACAATGATGGAGGGGATTTTTTGTTTGTTTGTTTTTCACTATTAATGTCTGGTAATCTTGTAACTACTCTTCTTGAAAAATATCACATAAATATTGAAATATAGTTGGCTAGGATTTCTTTTTTTTTCTTTCTTTTTTTTTTTGAGACGAAGACTTGCTCTGTCACCCAGGCTGGAGCTCATTTTTGTATTTTTAGTAGAGATGAGGTTTCACCATGTTGGCCAGGGTGGTCTCAAACTCCTGACCTGAAGTGATCCGCCTGCCTTGGCCTCCCAAAGTACTGTGATTACAGGCATGAATGAGTCACTGCGCTCAACCAGTTGGCTAGGATTTCTAATCTGGAATCCTAAAAGTGGTAATACCGCAGGTAAGGCACCCTATTTAACCATGAAGACCTGCAGAGAGTAATGTCTGAAGTATTCCTTCCCCACCCCAAATCTCAAGTAAATTTTTCTTTTGCCAGCTGTAACTCAGTATCATACAGGGCATAGAATTCTAGAAAGTGTAGTTCCAGTGTAGCCAAGGTGACATAGAACAAAACCACAGGGAACCTTTTACAATTGTATTATATTCATTATCTTTCCAAGTCTATACATATACATCTACAGTTTTTTTATCATGAATATAGAGAATTTTGTAATTAATTTGCTAATAATTTAAGATATTTAGGTTTATAAATTTTTGTTATGTGAAGGTAATAATATAAATTGTTCTATGACACTCAAGATACATGAAATATTTTTCTATAAATGATAACATCCATATATATATTCCCCGTTCTCATTTTCTAACATAGATAAGACATCCATTACCAAAAGGGTGACCATATGTCCTTGTTTATGCTGATTTTCTTGGTATATTTAGCCCCATTTATTTCAAAAGTACTCCAGTTTGGACTATATATATGGTCACTCTAACACCAGTTATTATTTGGGTTCCTTGCCCATCTCCACTGGATAGTGCAAAAACGCAGGAGCTTATCTCCATCTGGGAAAATGAGGGGGATCTGGAATTTAACCCATAGTGGTTGTCACTAATATTCTGAATCCTCTGTCTCATCATTTGGATTGAAAACTTCCCCAGGGCCTGGGTTCTTTTTTTTTTTTTTTTTTTTTTTTTTTTTTTGAGACAAAGTCTCACTCTGTCACCCAGGCTGGAGTGTAGTGGCATGATCTCCACTCACCACCTCCCGGGTTCAAGCAATTCTCCTGCCTCAGCCTCCCGAGTAGCTGGGATTACAGGCACCCACAACCATGCCCGGCTAATTTTTGTATTTTTAGTAGAGACGGGGTTTCACCATGTTGGCCAGGCTGGTCTCGAACTCCTGACCTCAGGTGATCCACCCGCCTCAGCCTCCCAAAGTGCCGGGATTACAGGCGTGAGCCCCCGCGCCTGGCCGAGCCTGGGTTCTTAATGGCCAGTTCTCCTATGTACTCACACATCTATGTCCATTCAAGTCCCATCCAAGATCCACATGGTGTCTCAGGCTCTCCCTCCATAGGTTCCTTTCCACCCTGCCCCTCTTCCTGCCCCATCTTGGATTAGTTTAGTCCACCCCCAACCACCCTTCACTTACAGCACCAACCTTCTTTGTTTTCCTGTTGATACCATCCAACTTAATTCTTTAGAGACACAGACCACTCAACAACAACAACAAAAGCCTGGTTTGGAAGTAGTGTTCAAAGGGGCCTTAAAACACAAATGTGATGCTTCAGGGACAAAAATGGCTCAGTAATGTATTCTTACACTGTACTAAACTTATGCATATATATCTTGGTGCATATGTGTGAACATTTCCATGGGATCAGTCATAGAAGTGAAATTCCCTATCAAAGGCCTATATACTTAATATATTGATAAATACCACCAAAATAAATTACCCCCAGTAGTAACCATTTTTCGATTTTTTGAAAGTAATGGATATTATAATGAAAAAACCCCATAAATTTAATGGGCAAGAAGGTATGCTGGTATTCTAAATGCAGTTCCCATACTTTATTAGCCATTTGTATATTATTATTATTATTATTTTAAGATGGAGTCTTGCTCTATCACCCAGGCTGGAGTAGTGGCACAATCTCGTCTCACTGCAACCACCACCTCCCAGGTTCAAGCAGTTCTCCTGCCTCAGCCCCCCAGGTAGCTGGGATTACAGGTGCCCACCACCATGCATGGGTAATTTTTGTATTTGAGTAGAGATGGGGTTTCACTGTGTTGGCCAGGCTGGTCTCGAACACCTGACCTCAAGTGATCTGCCCACCTCAGCCTCCCAAAGTGCTGGAATTACAGGCGTGAGCCACTTTGCCCGGCCCTGTATATTATTATTTTTTACCTAACCAAGCAAGCAGCACTAAATCATTTGCATTTCTAAAATTAACTGCTTGTTCATCACCTTTAGCTCATTTTTCTATAGGGTTACTTTTAAAAAATCCGTTGATTTACAGGATTTTTAGAATTTTAAACTTTTTCTCTCATGTTTCAAGTATTTTTCTCAGTGCCATTTATAGTTTGTTTGTTTCTGGAGTTATTTGCCATATAGAAGTTTTATATTTGTATGTATCATCTGCCAATTGTTACCTTTTTTGGCAGCACTGAAAATTCAGGTGATCTTAAACATCAGACAGATAACACAAATAAGTGGTCCAGGTAAGGACTGGGTGAAATAGAAAACATATCCTCTCTCAGAAAACAGTGAGAGGATATTGCTGCTGTGCAGGCCTCTGGCCCTGTGTTGAGAAACAGTTATTGGAAATCAGATTTGTATTTGAAGTATTCCAGTTTTTAAATTAGCAACTATTTGCTTGTAACCCCAGCACTTTTGGAGGCCAAGATGGGCAGATTGCTTGAGCTCAGGAGTTCAAGACCAGCCTGGGCAACATGGCAAGACCCCATCTCTACCAAAAATACAAAAAATTAGCTGGGCATGGTGGCATGTGCCTGTGGTCCCAGCTACTAGGGAGACTGAGGCGGGAGGATCACTTGAGCCCAGGAGGCAGAGCTTGCAATGAACCGAGATTGCACCACTGCACTCCAGCCTGGGCAAGAGAGTGAGACCCCATCTGATGTGATTTGGCTGTGTCCCCACCCAAATCTCGTATTGAATTCCCCCATGTGTGGGAGGGACCTGGTGGGAGGTAGTTGAATCATGGGGGCAGGTCTTTCCTGTGCTGTTCTCATGGTGGTGAATTACTCTCATGGGATCTGATGATTATAGAAGGGGGAGTTTCCCTGCACAAGCTCTTTTATCTTGTCTGCCACCATGTGAGACATGCCTTTCACCCTCCACCACGATTGGGAAGCCTCCTCAGCCACGTGGAACTGTAAGTCCATTAAATGTCTTTCTTTTGTAAATTGCCCAGTCTCAGGTATGTCTTTATCAGCAGTGTGAAAATGGACTAATACAGTAAATTGGTACCAGAAGTGGGGTGTTGCTGAGAAGATACCGGAAAATGTGGAAGCAACTTTGGAACTGGGTAACAGGCAGAGGTTGAAACAGTTTGGAGGGCTCAGCAGAAGACAGGAAAATGTGGGAAAGTTTGGAACTTCCTAGAGATTTGTTGAATGGCTTTGTCCAAAATGCTGATGGCGATATGGACAATAAGGTCCAGGCTGAGGTGGACTCAGATGGAGATGAGGAACTTGTTGGGAACAGGAGCAAAGGTGACTCTTGTTATGTTTTAGCAAAGAGACTGGCAGCATTTCGCCCCTGCCTTAGAGATTTATGGAACTTTGAACTTCAGAGAGATGATTTAGGGTATCTGGTGGAAGAAATGTCTAAGCAGCAAAGCATTCAAGAGGTGACATGGGTGCTGTTAAAGGCATTCAGTTTTATAAGGGAAGTAGAGCATAAAAGTTCAGAAAATTTGCAACCTGACAATGTGATAGAAAAGAAAAACCCATTTTCTGAGGAGAAATTGAAGCTGGCTGCAGAAATTTGCATAAGTAAGATGTTAATCCCCAAGACAATGGGAAAAATGTCTCCAGGGCATGTCAGAGGCCTTCACGGCAGCCCCTCCCATCACAGACCCAGAGGCCTAGGATAAAATGGTTTTGTGGGCCAGGCAGAGTCCCCATGCTGTGTGCAGTCTAAAGACTTGGTGCTCTGCATCCCAGCCACTCCAGCCGTCACTAAAAGGGGCTAAGAGACAGCTTGGGCTGTTGCTTCAGAGAGTGGAAAACCCAAGCCTTGGCAGGTTCCATGTGGTGTTGAGCCTGTAGGTGCAGAGAAGTCAAGAACTGAGGTTTAGGAACCTTGGCCTAGATTTCAGATGTATGGAAATGCCTGGATGCCCAGGCAGAAGTTTGCTGCAGGGGTGGGGCCCTCATGGAGAACCTTTGCCAGGGCAGTGCAGAAGGGATGTGAGGTTGGAGTCTCCACACAGAGTCCTTACTGGGGTACCGCCTAGGGCCACCGTCCTCCAGACCCCAGAATGGTAGATCCACTGACAGCTTGCACTGTGTGCCTGGAAAAGCCACAGACACTCAACACCAGCCCATGAAAGCAGCCAGGAAGGAGGCTGAACCCTGCAGTCACAGGGGCAGAGCTGCCCAAGACCATGGGAACCATCAGTGCGACCTGGATATGAGACATGGAGTCAAAAGATGTCACTTTGGAGCTTTAAGATTTGACTGCCCCACTGTATTTTGGACTTGCATGGATCCTGTAGCCCCTTTGTTTTGGCCAATGCCTCCCATTTGGAATGGCTGTATTTATCCAATGCCTGTGCCCCCATTGTATCCAGGAAGTAACTAACTTGCTTTTGATTTTACAGGCTCATAGGCGGAAGGGACTTGCCTGGTCTCGGATGGGACTTTGGACTGTGGACTTTTGAGTTAATGCTGAAATGAGTTAAGACTTTGGAAGACTGTTGGGAAGGCATGATTGGTTTGTTTTGTTTTTCCTTTTCTTTTTTTGAGATGGAGTCTTGCTCTGAGTCCCAGGCTGGAATGCAGAGGCATGATCTCAACTCACTGCAACCTCTGCTTCCCAGGTTTAAGGGATTCTCCTGCCTCAATCTCCCGAGTAGCTGGGATTATGGGTGCCTGCCACCATGCCCGGCTAACCTTTATATATTTAGTAGAAACAGGGTTTCACCATGTTAGTCAGGCTGGTCTTGAACTCTTGACCTCAGGTGATTCACCCACCTCAGCCTCCCAAAGTGCTGGGATCACAGGCATGAGCCACTGCACCCGGCTGCATGATTGGTTTTGACATACGAAGACATAAGATTTGGGAGGGGCCAGGGGTGGAATGATGTAGTTTGGCTGTGTCCCTACCCAAATCTCATCTTGAATTCCCAGGCACTGTGGGAGGCCTTGGGGGAGGTAGTTGAATCATGGGGGCACGTCTTTCCTGTGCTGTTCTTGTGGGGGTAAGTGACCCTCACGGGATCTGATGATTATATAAGTGGAAGCTTTCCTGCACAAGCTTTCTTATCTTGTCTGCCTCCATGTGAGACAAGCCTTTCAGCCTCCACCATGATTGTGAAGCTTCCCCAGCCACATGGAACTGTAAGTCCATTAAATGTCTTTCTTTTGTAAATTGCTCAGTCTCAAGTATGTCTTTATTAACAGGGTGAAAGTGGACTAATACACATCTCAAAAAAAAGATAAATTAGCAACTAAACAATATTTTTAAAATATGATGTGAGTCTAACAAAACAAATAAGGCTAAATATGACTAAGGTCTCTTGCTAGTTCTAATCATTTTTCAGTTAGTTGTTTGGAACAGTTTTGGTAAGCAATCATGATCGGCAAGTAATGGCAGGTTTGCTGCTTCTTTCCAATATGTGTAATACGTATTTGTGTTTTGCTGCATTTATCTCAGAAAAATGTTGAATAATAGTAGGAATCCTGGTTGTTTCTGACTCTGAAGTTTCCTTGTTAATTACAATGTTTGTTCTAGGTTGGCCTGCCTCTTTTATAGTTAGAGGAGTTATTGATCACATAATTTGTAATAATAATATGATTAACATGAGAATAGTTGAGAGTTTCTACTTTTTGAGTATTTGTGGTGCAAGTGTGAATTAATGTAATACGTTCATTAAACAAGTGAGCTAATGAGAAATACAATTTCAGGCACAATTATGAAGATGTTCCCTTTTTTCTATGACAGTAAATGCACTTTCTTGAAAGCCTGGTTGGAATAGATATGACATTATAATGTAATGTAAATACTCTTTGGATTGTAAATGGTATAAATAATATTGATGAAATAAACAAGTTATAGAGGCAGGGCTTCGTGGCTTACATATGTAATCCCAGCACTTTGGGAGGCCAAGGTGGGAGGATTGCTTGGGCCTAGGAGTTCAAGAGCAGCCTGGACAACAGTGGAACCCCATCTCTACAAAAAATAAGAAAATCAGCCGGGCATGGTGGTGCATGCCTGTAGTCCTAGCTACTTGGAAGGCTTAGGTGGGGGGAGGATCGCTTGAGCCCAGGAGGTCGAGGCTGCAGTGAGCTGTGATCACACCATTGCACTCCAGCCTGGGCGACAGAGCAAGACCTTATCTTAAACAAAAACAAAAAAACAAAAACAAACAAAAACAAAAAAAGCCAAGTTATAGAGTATTACATGTGAAAAGTGTAATGCCATTTATATAAATGTAGAAGCCATATAAAACAGCTTTATATAGATACAAGGGTTTTAGCAAAGGGACAGAATGCGAATGAGGAGAATACACATCAAATTAACAGCAGTTATTTATGGCTTTTGAGGGGGAAGGAAAGAGAATAGAACTGGGAACGGAGGTACACAGAAGTCTTTGATTAAATCTGTAATTTTTATTTCTTTAAAAAAAGCAATTTAAAGGAAATATAAAGACAATATTTGCTCATTCTGGGTAGTAGGTATAAAAATGCATTTTATATTTTTTGCAGAATTAAAAAATATCAGTATTATCTTGAACTTAGTAAAATAAATGAGCCTATTCACAGATAGCAGTGTTTAATGCAGTATAATTATATGGATAATTAGAATAACAATATGGTACACAGGAAAGACCTAGGAATTCTTGTTGAATAGTCAGAACCATAGAAGTGAGCTGTAGTTGACACAGGATGTAATGTATATATAGTGTAAAAAGGAAAAATAAGAAAAATTTCTATAATAGCTAATGTTAGTTTCTGAATATTATGAAATGACAACATACAACATATATCCAACTGAACAATGCCTAGAGATGAATTTTAGTAATAAAGTTCCTGTTAAATGACATTACCATAAAGGAAAAATAATCTATAGTGTTCATAAAGCTCATAATTCATTTAATGTTTCCTTTATGAAGTGTAGCCTGCTAGAGGCTTTCAGTCCAGTAAAAAATGACACCTATTATTATATTTGTTATTTTGCATTTGATAAAATGTTCATTTACAGCTATATTTCTGCCTACTATAAGTGAGTGATGAGTTCATACTATAAAGTTTAAAAAACCAAGACTTATTTCCATACCATGACAGTGAAATCAAAGTTTTCCCCTCTAAATAACAGATTATGATATATGAAATATACTAAAGCCCAGTAAGTCAGGATTCAAATTCATGACTGTTTTTTTTTCAGCTGTAAGTTAGTTTACCTTCACATTCCATCTAGCAAATTGAGGTTTATAGCTGTGTGCCCTAGAACAGAATATTATGTATTTTATTTATTTATTTATTGAGACAGAGTCTGTCACCCGGGCTGGAGTGCAGTGGCACAATCACGGCTCACTGCAGCCTCAACTTCCTGGGCTCCAGCAATCCTCCCACCTCAGCCTCCCAAGTAGCTGAGACCACAGATGCATGCCACCACACCTTGCTACTTTTTTGTATTTTGGTAGAAACAGGGTTTTGCTATGTTGCCCACGGCTGGTCTTGAGCTACCTAAGTGACCACTGGCCTTGGCCTCCCAAAGTGCTGAGATAACAGGCATGAGCCACTGTGCCTGGCCTAAACATATAAAATTGTCCTATCATAAAGTAGGGATGTTAATACCTATAGTTGGTAATACCTTGTAAAGTTGAGAATAGGATACTTTTTGTAAAGGTGAAAGTTACGTTTTAACCTTGAAACATCTTAATTTCAAGATCTTGAGGTAATAACGTAGTGGAAACATTTTTTTTTCTTTTCTAGTTTTGACCTCCTTTATGCCTACTCTTAGATGGCCCCTCTTGTGATTAATTGACATATTTTGAATGAGAATTAGGCCTGAGCAGAGTTAGCAAATGTGTTGCACACAGCACAGAACTTACATCAACCAGAACTAATGAAACCTTGGCCAAGAGTGAGTAAATCTAAGAAACATCCATTCAGGCTGGGCATGGTGGCTCACGCCTATAATCTCAGCACTTTGGGAGGCTGAGGTGGGTGGATCACAAGGTCAGGAGTTCGAGACCAGCCTGGCCAACATGGCGAAACCCCGTCTCTACTAAAAATACAGAAATTAGCTGGGCATAGTGGCAGGCGCCTGTAATCCCAGCTACTCGGGAGGCTGAGGCAGGAGAACTGCTTGAACCCGGGAGGTGGAGTTTGTAATGAGCCGAGATCATACCACTGCACTCCAGCCTGGCAACAAGAGCAAGACTCCATTTCAAAACAAAACAAAACAAACCAGAAACATCCATTCGGCCTAAGTAGAAGGAAGATCCAAAATATTTCCTTTTACCCAGCTGGGCCCATATTATATTTCTGCCACATTATTTGGTTGTAGACTTTATTTATTTATTTATTTATTTAGATGGAGTTTCTCTCTGTCGCCCAGGATGGAGTGCAGTGGTGTGATCTCGGCTCACTGCAAGCTCCGCCTTGTGGGTTCACGCCATTCTCCTGCCTCAGCCTCCCGAGTAGTTGGGACTACAGGCGCCCGCCACCACGCCCGGCTAATTTCGTTTTTGTATTTTTAGTAAACATGGGGTTTCACCGTGTTAGCCAGGCTGGTCTCAATCTCCTGACCTGGTGATCTGCCCACCTTGGCCTCCCAAAGTGCTGGGATTACAGGCGTGAGCCACCGCGCCCGGCCGGTTGTAGACTCTCTTAAATAACTAGTCTAAGTGAAAGTTAGATTCTACACTCACAGTTATCCAGGCAAATGAACCACTTAATTCAATTTAATAGCCAAACCATCCTACATGGTACAAGAAACCAATTTATAGGATCAACCTACAAGTGTCACTTTATTCACAGTCTTTGAATTATACACTTTATTTCTAAGCATTTATATTTTTCCCTTGAATCTCCAACATCTCAAATACTTTATGGGAAACAGTATAGCTTGGGAGCAAGTATCATATCTTAATTCTCATAAGACAATTCATTAACATTC
Source organism: Homo sapiens (assembly GCF_000001405.40). Taxonomy (NCBI): domain Eukaryota; kingdom Metazoa; phylum Chordata; class Mammalia; order Primates; family Hominidae; genus Homo; species Homo sapiens. Next base: position 124,935 of record NC_000018.10, on the reverse strand, counting down.
GGCAAAAGAAAGGAGATATTTAATCTCTTTGTATGTTAGACTTTCAATATGTGAAGTGGAATTAATGTTATTCTTTTCCTACCTCACAAAAATCTGAGTTACATATACTTTGGAGATAATCCATTAGAAAACACAGCTAACTGTTAATAACAGTTATGAAGGAATTGGTGGGGTGGGGTGGGGTTTAGGAAGTGCAGACTGACTTTCTACTAGAATATTCTTTGCATTTAATTTATTGCAATAAGCATAGATCTTGTCCAGAAAAAAACACTAAAAGCATAAAAGATTTGGCAGTAAATATATCTAGGCCATTGAGCATGGCTTTATATATACATACTATCCAACCAGAAATTGATTTGAACAGTAAACATTATAAAAACAAAGAATAATTGTGATTAAGATTTCCAAGTGTCAGGCCAGGCACGGTGGCCTACACCTGTAATGAGAGAGTAAAACTGCTTGAGGCTAGGAGTTAGAGTCCACCCTGGGCAACATAATCTCATCAGATTGTCATTATATGACTATTTATTAACCTAATGATCAACTTTAAAAATCATTTGTTTATTTAAAAAAACCATTTCCGTTTATTCATGTCTTTTTCAACTTCTCCAAATGTCTTACAATTTTCTTGGTGGAGGTCGTATACATCTTTCAGTAGATTGTTTTTAAATTTATATGGGAATGCAGCCAGGCGCGGTGGCTCATGCCTGTAATCCCAGCACTTTGGGAGGCCAAGGTGGGTGTGGATCACCTGAGGTCAGGAGTTCAAGACCAGGCTGGCCAACATGGTGAAACCCTGTCTCTACTAAAAATACAAAAATTAGCTGGGCATGGTGGTGGGCACCTGTAATCCCAGCTACTCGGGAGTCTGAGGCAGGAGGATCACTTGAACCTGGGAGGCGGAGGTTGCAGTGAGCCGAGATCGCGCCACTGCACTCCAGCCTGGGCAACAAGAGCGAAACTTCGTTTCAAAAAAAAAAAAAATTATATGGAAATGCAAAAGGCCAAGAATAGCCAAGCCAATTGGGAGGGATTACAAAGTTGGACTTCTACTACAGATATAAAATCTTATTATAAAGCTACAGTAATTAAAAGTGTGATATTGGCAAGGACAGAGAAATAACACCAATGGATTGTTCACCTGAATTACGATGCAGGAAAGAAGTCTTTTCAATGAATACTGCAGTATCAACTGAATATCCATATGGGAGAAATACTGCTTGATCTCTACCTCACAAATGAATTCCAGATTGATTATAGAACTGTGAAAGTTAACTATGAATTACAAACTCAAGTAACTATGAGTTTGTCATTTAAGTTCTTTTACTTATTTTTTTTACTTTAAATGAAGGGTGAACGGGTTAATTTAAGCTGAAACCCCAAATGACAGGTCATGAGTGAACCTGTGAATAATGACAGTGGCTATGTTTTCTTTGTTGCCCAAAGCTGGAGTTCCTGATCTCAGAGAAGCTTACAGGTGTGGGTGCATGGGCTAACTCAATGCTGAACCTTCATTCCACACTCCTAGTGTGTCCTCCTGTAACAAATTAGAGAGAAAGCTAGAGGCTATATTTCTCAGACTTTCTTGCAGCTAGGGGTCTGGATGTGATTTAATTTTGGCCACGTAGATGCACCTAGAGAAGGCAGATGTGAGATGCAGGCTGTGCTAAATGCCAGCAAGCAGGGTCATGGAAGTGCCTTTTCTGAGGCAGTGTGCAGACATGAGGTTCTTAAGTGGCAAGAGGAATGGTACAAAACATCTAACTGGAGGTAGATTGTAGCAAGCCTGACAAGTGTTGCAGAGAACCAGCAGTGGTAGTGTGGATTCCTGATTATGGCACTATCTGGACCCTCTCAATATTGGTATACTTGGGAGTGAGTGGTTTCCTGAACTTAGAAGAGGAAGCAGCTCTCCTGGTTGACCCAGTTCTGTAATGTGGCATTGGGAGTGCTTCCTCAAAGCTCAGTTCTCAACAATTCTAAGTTCAGATTAGTATGTCATTTGGAAAGTCTTCTCTTGCTTAAACTAATTAGAATTAACTCTGTTCTCTGCAACTGGACCTTAAAATATTAGGTAATGGTGATGAGTCTGAGAAGGTAGTAAGGACACCGTCAGGAACTGTGCTGAGATTTTATCCTGTTTGCATGCTGCCAGTCACAGTTTCATGGATCCTGACAAAAGAGATGAGACCCCTGGGTCAGAGTCAGATGACTTCATTCACAGCACAGCAAAAGCAGCATAAGTTTCATGTTCCATCAGTTCCCTTTGCCCTCCAAGCCCCATGTGGGCAGAGTGGCCCAGGTGGGTGCTGAGCACACAGTGGGTTTGCATCATAGGTGGGAGACGTTATCTTTATTATACTGGACAGTAAAAGAACCCGACATCCTCACAAGGGAGACACTCTATCTTCCAAGGCTGTTTACTACATAAATATCCTTGGAAAAGATAGTCAAAAGAAAGATTGTCAGAGCCTCTGCTTCCCTGATGTGCAGAAATGCAAGAGACCCATGGAGAATTGTTTTCCAACACACTTTAGCCAGCTTTTCATGTGAACTATTCCCACTCTTGTTTTAGAGCCCAAGACCACGTTTTATCTTTTAAAAATATACTTTAATCTAACCATGGAATTTCACAAACATTTATATACAATCAGAGACTAATTTGAAGTATGTTTTCCATTCATTTCAGCCATGAGAAAACACATTGCAGTCAAAATTAAAGATATCCATCCATAAATTACTTTTATTTCTCATTAAATGAGCACAGTCATTACTATATTAATAACAGATATGTTTATTATTACATATTCATCAGTGCGGCTTTCAATACCACTTGAAACATGCATATCATCCTAGAGACGATCGGTTTTCCAGTGCTTCTTATCTGATAGACATTACTGCAAAGCCATTATAAATTACTGAGGAGGTATTTGGTTAAAAAAAGAAACAATAAATCATACTGTCCATATGAATCAACTCTTGTTACCGGACAAGAGTTTAACAGTATTTATCTGGTAATTCCTATGTTAACTGGAAAACATCATGGATGTATTGCCATATTTCCTTTTTATATTGGTGCAACCTTCTACATTTTTTGCAGTTTTATAAAGTCATTATTGTAGCAGGTAGTTTGATGCAAAGATTGTACTCAATTTATGAAAGTCCAACAAACCTCTAAATATTTTAAATTAAACCAATTATCAATGAAAAACTCACGGACACACATAATTTTTTGAAAATACATTTTTTGAAATTTCTATACTTACTCATGGCAGTAAAATAATTATCTCAAATTAAGGCACTAAAAGGACAATGCAACCCCCATTGAAAGTGTTCTAAGAATAATTTACATTTCAAACAGTGCATACATTTCTTATATGTTTGTTAACTTAATGTCTTTATCATTTAAAACCACAAAGAAATACATTATACAATTATAGAAATGATGTACCCCACAAAATGCTTTTAAACTTGGTTCTTTTGTACAGTTAGTTTCCTAATGTCTCTAGTAGTAAAATAACTCAATATGGCTTGGCAAAAATGCATAGATTAAATGTAACTTTTTTTCGTCCTCTCCCATTCCCCAAACTTGCTGAAACATATACAGTATTTTGTAAAGCATAATGAAAGATATTTAATTTCTCCATCAAGTCCACCATGGGCAATCAACAGTAAGGCTTTTAAATTCTACAGTGAGGGCACTGAAGTTCAAGTGATATCACTGCTTTCTTAAAATAGTTTTGTATAGTCTTGCAAGAGCACAAAAACTTAAGTCATTAAAAAAAAAACAAAACTTCAGTTTGTCTCATTTTGAGATATTTTCTTTACTCCTTCCATGAGCTGATCTTGATAGTGATGGCCGTTCCACTTGAAAGTGAAAGTCCCTTCCTCTTACTCATATGAGGAAAACTCTGTTCTATCACGACTGACAGCCATTTTCTTATAAATCCAAAAAGGCAGCACCTTTTAAAAAAAATATATCTACCTAAGCTTTCCCCCAACTGTACTTGCATTACATAGTAATAATTAATCTAATCTACCTGTAGGCAAACCCGCGATAAAAAAAACCCTCAGTGTGTTGTGCCAAAGCAAGGACAGAAAAACAGCAATCTTAACCCTGAAGCCTGTGATATTTGTGTCAAAGAAACAGCCTGTCTGCTCTGCATGGTTAAAGAAGCCTGGTTTATCAGGTAGCATCCCACACGATTCCACAAGGCACTCGGTCACATGGTTAACTGTTGAGGGAGGGGGGAAAAACTAATTTAAGAAATGCACTCAGTTTAAAAATACGAGAAACAAACATTAGGAGGAAAGGTAAATATACATTATCTTTACATACAATAATTAACAATTACACAAAATTTGGAAAACAAGGAATAGGAAAAATATACTTAGTATTCTCTCCTCTTTGTTTCTACACATTTTCTTACTCAGCTATAATCCCATTTCAAATCATTTTAGAGCCAGTTTACAACCTATGCTCAGGAGAAGGCTGACATAGCATTCTACAGAATTAAGTTAGCAGTAAGGTGATAATACCTGGCATAGTATGGTGGCTGAGAAAGGAAAGGATATAAGTCATTTCAAAGAATTAGGCCTGGTTACTGACAATAGGGCATGAACAAAAGGGATGAATTCAGGATGGCTTTCAGCCTGCTTGGAAGATGTGGGTGACACTGGCAGCGAGGCAGATCAGTGTTAGGTCTCAGCTTCTCATTCGAGTGGCCCTATTAATCTAGGGAGTACACTCTAGGGAAGGTGGTATGTGGTAGAATAGAGGCTTTGGAATTGGACAACATAGGCTTTAGAATTGGACAGAAATGGTTTCCAATCCATTGGCTGTGTGATTGAGCAAACTGCTTAATTTCTCTGAGCCTTATTTACTAATGTGTAAAATGAGAACTTAATGAGATGAGATTTCATAATTTCTGTCCAAGAAAGAGTTAACTGCCTGGTGCGGTGGCTCACGCCTGTAATCGCAGCACTTTGGGAGGCCCAGGAAGGTGCATCACCTGAGGTCAGGAGTTCAAGACCAGCCTGGCCAACACGTTGAAACTCCATCTCTACTAAAAATACAAAAATTAGCTGGGTGTGGTGGCAGGCGCCTGTAGTCCCAGCTACTCAGGAGGCTGAGGTGGGAGAATAGCTTGAACCTGGGAGGCAGAGGTTGCAGTGAGCTGAGATTGCGCCACTGCACTCTGGCCTGGGTGACAGAGCGAGACTCTGTCTCAAAATGAATGAATGAATGAATGAATGAATGAATGAATGGTTATGCCTTATAATTGTTTATCATGGCATAAAACATATTTTTGGAAAAAAGTCCATCAAAAATAGTTAAACAGCCAGGCATGGTGGCTCACGCCTGTAATCCCAGCACTTTGGGAGGCTGGGGCAGGCAGATCATTTGAGGTCAGGAGTTTGAGACCAGCCTGGCCAACATGATGAAACCCTCTCTCTACTAAAAATACAAAAATTAGCCAGGCGTGGCATGCGTCTGTAATCCCCGCTACTTGGGAGGCTGAGGCTGGAGAATTGCTTGAACTTGGGAGGTGGAGGTTGCAGTGAGCTGAGATAGCGCCACCACTGCACTCCAGCCGGGGTGACAGAGTGAGACTCTGTCTCAAAAAACAAAAAACAAAAAAAAAAGGGGGTCATGAGTTCACATCCTTTGAAGGGACATGGATGAAGCTGGAAACCATCATTCTCAGCAAACTAACACAGGAATAGAAAACCAAACACCACAGGTTCTCACTCGTAAGTGGGAGTTGAACAATGAGAAAACATGGACACAGGGAGGGGAACGTCACACACCAGGGCCTGTCGGGGGGTGGGGGGCTAGGGGAGGGATAGCATTAGGAGAAATACCTAATGTAGATGATGGGTTGATGGGTGCAGCAAACCACCATGGCACGTGTATACCCATGTAACAAACCTGCATGTTCTGCACATGTATCCCAGAACTTAAAGTATAATAATTAAAAAAACATAGTCACTGATAATACCAAATAATTTTGTATGTTGGGATAGTATGGGAAGTTAACAAAAAAGGGAAAAACAATTTTGGTTTTTGTAGAAAAACTATGCCAACACAGTTAAAAAACAGAAAAGATGATGAAAAGTTTTATATGAATTTCTGCATTAAAAAAATTAACAAGTTGGTTAAAGCATTAAGGGCTAAAACTATGCCATGTACAGCAACTTATGACAATAAAATTAGACACAGAACTAAATAAATATAATATTGCATGTATTATTATTATTAAACTCTAACAAGAATAAGTTAAACTAATTTATAAAGTCACTGCAATTCACATACAAATACCTAAAAATGATGCCCTCTGTGGTGAAAAGCACAATTAGATTTCTGATTTTAATAGCTGTTATCCAATCATTTTCACATTGTTAAAAACGTTAGCATTTCAAATCCTTACCTAGTTTTTCCAGATGTATTTTTGACCACTTTCCGGAAAGACTGATTTGCAGTGGATCTTGTAGAAAGCGTTCAAGGGGAAGCACGAACAAAACCAGATGGTGGATTCTTAGGGATTTTCTTTACTAAATGAGTTACCCATTTTTTTTGTTCATCCTGAGAACATGCTAACAGCAGCATATCTCTTGCTGATGTTACATCATAACTTACTATGTTAAGGAGGAAAAAAAAAGCATAATTAAAGCCATATAGTTTTTTAAAATCCAACCTATCAAATGCATAGTTTTTCAAGTTCTTAAGGTTTTAAAAGTTTTAATATGCTTAATTAAGCATGAACAATATCTCATTCTCCTTAAGTTAAATAAGGCTGAAATTAAAAAAAAAATTAGTCAAACTAATAAAGTAAAATCAGAAATATAAAAAAATGTAAAACAAATAAATGTATTTAAAGAACATAAGCTTCTTATCTGAAAATAGCTATGGTCTGTATTCTTTCCCTCAAGCTACCTCTGTAAAACTAGAAGATATTCTGTGATACAGCATGCATGCTGATCCAGGCAGTGAATGCCAGACAAAAAGAAGAGGAAAAACTCAAGGGAGGAATAGAGTGGAACTCACCTGTTGCTCTTCTCTCCAACTTGGAATAATTTCTTAGCAGCATGTTTGTTTGTTTTTGTTTGTTTACAAGGGGGTGATTCTCTTTAAAAACACTGTTGGCCGGGCGTGCAATGGCTCACACCTGTAATCCCAGCACTTTGGGAGGCCGAGGTGGGTGGATCACCTGATGTCAGGAGTTCGAAACCAGCCTGGACAACATGGTGAAACTCCATCTCTACTAAAAATACAAAATTAGCCGGGTGTGGTGGCACACGCCTATAGTCCCAGCTACTCAGGAGGCTGAGATAGGAGAATCACTTGAACCTGGGAGGCAGAGGCTGCAGTGAGCTGAGATCACGCCACTGCACTCCAGCCTGGGCGAGACAGAGTGAGAATCCATCTCAATCAATCAATCAATAAAAATAAATAAAAACATTTTTAAAAGCTAAATCTGTAAATAGCTGCATATTGCCCCACCAGTGTCAAAATAATACTTTTTATAATCTCTTTTCAACTTGGTATAGAAATCACTACACATAAGTTAGTTCATTGAGACTTAAAACTAAATTTGTTATAAGTTGTAACAATAATTACCATGCCTTACCTTTACATGGACAAATTAAGTCCTCTTTCTTATCTAAGTGATCTCTGTGGCACTTAACATGGCGTCTTTGACACTCTAGGGCAGGGGGTGGCTTAAAAACATGCCAGAGAGGTTTGGCACAGGCATCACAATTGGCAGGAAAGTGGTAGAGTGTAGGAATAAACTCATGGCCTTTGTGATTTTGGAAATTAGTTTTTTCAGCTTCTTGTACTGGTTCCATCTCTACATCTTTTCTACATTCACCTTCATTTGCATATAGTATCTACATTCAGGAATGGTGAAAGGAAAAGATTTTAAAAATCTTAAGCATTGGTATATTTTACATTTACTTCACAAAAACGCTTAGGACTTAGATTCTTTAAAATTATAACTTCAGATTTTTACCTGGAATATTTTAGGAATTTCTTCAGTTTCAGCTCTATACACATCTCCTTGGGTTACAGGTCTAACGTGAAACAGTTTACTAAAATGAAAATAAATATAGGCCATTTACAAAAACTCATTTATTGTAAAAGACATTTCACTAAAGAGGACATATGGGTGATAAATAAGCACACAAAAAGATATTCAACATCATCAGTCATTAGAGAAATGCAAATTAAAACCACAATGAGTGTCACTACACATCTATCAGAGTTAAAAAAATAAAAACAGTAGTAACATCAAATGCTTGTGAGAATGCAGAGAAAGTAAATCACTCATATACTGCTGATGGAAACATAAAATTACAGAGCCACTCTGGAAAAAGAATATGGCAATTTCTTAGAAAACTAAACATATGCTTACCATATAACCCAGCAAATTGCACTGTTGGGCCTTTAATTTCAAGAAACAAAAATTCATATAACATTTTATATCTATTTAAAAAAACCTGCACATAGATGTTCATAGGAGCTTTATTCATAATAACCAAAACCTAGAAACAACCCAAATAAATGGGTAAGCAAACTGTGATACATCTATACTATGGAATACTACTCAACAAGAAAAAAACAAATTATACTTGGATTGATCTTAAGGGAATTATACTGAATGGGAAAAAAAGCTGATCAGAAAAGATTACACATTATTTGATTCCATTCATATAACACTCTTGAAGAGACAAAATTATGGAGATGGAGAACAGATTAATGTTGCTATGGATTAGGGAGAGGTGGAGGAAGGAAGCTGCCTTTTGACTACAAAAGGAGTAGCACAGGGATGCTTGTGATGGAATTGTTCTGTATTTTGAGTGTGGTGGTGGGCATACAAATCTATACACGTGAGAAAGGCATACAGATCGGAAAGAAAGGAGTAAAACTCTTTATTTGGCGATGACATGATTGTATGCAGTTGTCTCGTGGTATCTGTGGCAGATTGGTCCCAGGACCCCGGAGGATTTTGAAGAGAGAGAGTGAAAGAGAAAGAGAGAGAATGAGAGGGAAGGAGGGAAGAGACAGGAAAAAAAGAAAAGATAAGAAATGGTGTAGTATTTGTATATAACCTAAGTACACCTTCCTGTATATTTAAAATTGTCTCTAGATAATATCTAATACAATGTAAATGCTATGGAAATTGTTATTATATTATATTGTTTAGAGAATAATGACAAGAAAACAAATCTGTACATATTAAGTACAGACACAACCACAATAGGCCTAACTACATTTTCAATCCATGGTTGGATGAATATACAGATGCAGAACCCATGGATACAGAGGGCTGACTGTGTGTAGAAAAGCTCTGTGGAACTGATCCCAAAACCCCACAACCCTATAAAACTGTTAAGTGCAAAGCAAGATTAAATGATTCAAGGTCAACATATAAAAACAAATACTGTTGGAACAACCAGATACCTATGTGGGGGGAAAAAAGCCAACCTGACCTAAACAACTACCTCTTACCAAACACAGACCACAAAAGGCAGAAAACATTTTAAAAATTGGTACACTGATCCTCATTAAAAGACACCATTAACAAAATCAACAGGTAAGCAACAGATTGGGAAATATTTGCATTACATATTTCTAACATAGGATTCTTATTCAGAATATATCTAGAACTCTTAAAAACCAATCTTAAAAACATAAGCAACCCAATTTAAAAATGGGCAAAAGACTTGAAAAAAGAAAAGATATACAATGGCTAATAACGACATGAAAGATTCTTGGTATTATTAGTTATGAGGAGAATGCAAATTAAAATAACAATGAAATAGCATTTAACATCCACTAGAAAAGCTAAAATCAAAGGTTGATATCACCAAATGTTGGTGAGGATGTGGAGCAACTGAAACTCATACTGTTGGTGAATATAAAATAGTGTGACATAATAATTTTTGAGAATTGTTTGGTAGATTTTTAAAAAGTTAAACACAGATCTACTTTATAACCCAGGATTCCAATCCTGGGTATTTACCCATGAGAAATGAAAACATAAGTTAAAAAAAGGAATGCTCATAAGCCTTATTTACGATAGCCCCAAATTGGAAGCAACCCAAATGTCAATCAACACAAAAATGGATAAACAAATTCATGCAATGTTATACTATTCAGCAATACAAAGAACAATCAATACATACACCACCACAGGTGCAGGCTGAGTGAAAGATGCTAGGCACAAAAGTGTACATTACTGTTTAATTCCATTTATATAAAGTTCTAGAACAGGCAAAACTAATCTTGGCAATAGAAATCAGATCATGGGAAGAGGTACAAGTGAGCTTTCCTTTTTCTTTTTTTTTTTTTTTTTGAGATGGAGTCTCGCTCTGTCACCCGGGCTGCAGTGCAGTGGTGCAATCTTGGCTCACCGCAACCTCAGCCTCCTGGGTTCAAGCGATTCTCCTGCCTCAGCCTCCCGAGTAGCTGGGATTACAGGCACCTGCCACCACGCCCAGCTAATTTTTTGTATTTTTAGTAGAGACAGGGTTTCACCATGTTGGCCAGACTGGTCTCGAATGAACTCCTGACCTCGTGATCCTCCCACCTCAGCCTTCCAAAGTGCTGGGATTACAGGTGTGAGCCACCACAACTGGCCCAAGTGAGCTCTCTTCATAAATTTAAAAAAAAAAAAAATTCTTTTTTCAGAGACAGGGTCTCGCTATGTTGCCCAGGCTGGTCTCAAATTGAACTCAGGCCAACCGCCCACCTTGGTCTCCCAAAGTGCTGGGATTAGAGGCATAACCACTGTGCCCAGCCACAAGTGAGTTTTCTAAAGAAATACGATTTTTTAAAATCTTGTCTTGAGTGATTATATGAGTGTTTACAACTGTAAAAAGTTACTGAAGAGAACACTTAAGATCTATGAACTTTATTGTGGGAAATTATACCTTAATAAAGAGAGGAAAGAAATCTCTCATCAATCTAAAAAGTATTTAACTTAGTTGAAAGATAGTATCTTTCATACTAGTGTTTATGTATTATTTCACTTAAGCTGATAATTTAAATTTTGACAACTAAAGCTGTTTATTAAAAAAATAGAAAATAAAGTAAGAGTATTCTCTAGAACTTGCTTAATTCTTTTTACATTCTAACTATAACCAGCTCCACAAATACTTAATTTCAAAGGGATGATAATACTTTATTTTATATATATATTTCTTTTAAAAAGCAGTTACCAGACTTGACTTTGAATATATATTTTGTTGAATATGTTCTGCCTTTTCTCCTACTAGTCGGTAAGGTCCTTAATGATGGAATTTACTCATCTTTATACATACTACATAATCTATGATAATATAAGCAGCAATACTTAAGAAAAGATTTTAGAATGAATATAAGAAAAAATACCATATTATAGGCCTCTTTGACCTATCATTACAAAAGAACAGATATATTTATATTTCCCCTTAATAATGACCAAAGAATCCTACACAGTTGTTCTTTTATATCCACAGGGAATTGATTCCAGGAACTCCAAAAATATCAAAGTCCAAGTATGCTCAAGGCTCTTATATAAAATGGTGTGGTATTTGCATATAACCTAGGCACATCCTCCTGTATGCTTTAAAATCATGTCTGTATTACTCATAAGACATAATACAGTATAAATGCGATGTAAACAGTTGTTATACTGTATTTTTTAAAGAAATTTCTATTAATAGTTATAAAATATATATATATAATATTTTATATATATATATATATATTTTTTTTTTTTTTGAGACAGAGTTTCGCTCTTGTGGCCCAGGCCGGAGTGCAGTGGCGCAATCTCGGCTCACTGCAACCTCTGCCTCCCAGGTTCAAGTGATTCTCCTGCCTCAGCCTTCTGAGTAGCTGGGACTACAGGCGCCTGCCACCACGCCCAGCTAATTTTTGGATTTTTAGTAGAGACGGGGTTTCACCATGTTGGCCAGGCTGGTCTTGAATTCCTGACCTCAGGTGATCCACCTGCTTCGACCTCCCAAAGTGCTGGGGTTACAGGTGTGAGTCACCGCACCCGGCCCTCTTTCAAATATTTTCTATCCACAGTTGTGGATATGGAACCCACTGATACACAGCTGACTATACTTTTTGAAATGCTCTCTGAACTCAAACTACTAAACACTTGAACTAAAAAAGTTGTCTTCCAAATACATGAAATAAGTATATACATTTTTCCTTCTCACATTTTGCTGAAGATTTAATATAATGTCAACATTTATGCTTAAGAAAAACAGAAAAGTAGGTAACAGTGCTGAAGTAACACAAAATATAAAATAAATTTTAAGTCTAAAAATAATTATCAAAAGTTAGCTCTCAACCCCTTTAAAATTCAATCAAAGGCAACTTACTCTGTGTCTAACCCTTTCCCAGAAACGGAGGCCCCGGGGGAGCTGGAGGCCTCGGAAGAGGCCGCCTCGCTGGAAGCACCCCTCAGCGAGGAAGAATACCGGGCTCTGCTGGAGGAGCTTTAGGACGCGGGGTTGGGACGGGGTCGGGTGGTTCGGGGCAGGGCGGTGGCCTCTCTTTCGCGGGGAACACCTGGCTGGCTACGGAGGGGCGTGTCTCCGCCCCGCCCCCTCCACCGGGCTGACCGGCCTGGGATTCCTGCCTTCTAGGTCTAGGCCCGGTGAGAGACTCCACACAGCGGAGAACTGCCATTCTTTCCTGGGCATCCCGGGGATCCCAGAGCCGGCCCAGGTACCAGCAGGTGGGCCGCCTACTGCGCACGCGCGGGTTTGCGGGCAGCCGCCTGGGCTGTGGGAGCAGCCGGGACAGAGCTCTCCCGCCTCTCCACCGCCCCACCCCGCCGCCTGACCGCCCCCTCCCCACCCCCACCCCCCGCCCCCGGAAAACGCGTCGTCCCCTGGGCCCCTCCCCACCCCCACCCCCCACCCCCGGAGAACGCGTCGTCCCCTGCGCTGGGTGGAGACCCCCGTCCCGCGAAACGCCGGGCCCGCGCAGCGTCCAGGCCTGACACCCTCCGGCGGCTCGCCTCCTCTGCGCCTGCGCGCCACCGTCGCCCGCCCGCCCGGGCCCCTGCGGCCTCCCGGCTGCCAGCACGGAGCGCCTGGCGGTCGAAGGCACACCTCTGGCTGTCTTTGCCGGCCTCCTGGCTAGACCTGCGCGCAGTGCGCACCCCGGCTGACGTGCAAGGGAGCTCGCTGGCCTCTCTGTGCCCTTGTTTGTCCGTGAAATTCTGGCTGAGTCTCTCCCCCCACCTTCCGACGCTGTCTAGGCAAAGCCTGGAGTAGAGTTGCATCTCCTGGATGATCAGTTCAGAGATATGTCACAATGCCCCCTCCCTGTGGATCCTAGAGAAGATTTGCACCATTTGGGTGATCAGTGCAGAGATATGTCACAATGTCCCCTGTAGAAAAAGCCTGGAAATGATTTACATCACCTCGGTGATCAGTGCAGATGTGTGTCAGATCTCCCTAGTAGGCTGAACCTAGACAAGGGTTACATCACTTAGGTGATCAGTGTAGAGGTATGTGAAAATTCCCGTGTAGACAGAGCCTAGACAATTGTTACATCACCTAGTGATCAGTGCAGGGATAAGTCATAAAGCCTCCTGTAGGCAGAGTGTAGACAAGTGTTCCCTCCCTGGGCTGATCAGTGCAGAGATATCTCACAAAGCCGCTTTAAGCAGAACCTTGACAAGGGTTACATCACCTGTTTGATCAGTGGAAATATATATCACAAAGCCCCCTGTAAGCAAAGCCCAGACAATTTTTACATCTCCTGAGTGAGCATTGGAGAGATCTGTCACAATGCCCCTGTAGGCAGAGCTTGGACAAGTGTTACATCACCTGGGTGATCAGTGCAGAGATATGTCAAAACGCTCCTGTAGGCTGAACCTAGACAGGAGTTACATCACCTGGGGGATCAGTGCAGAGATATGTGAGAATTCCCTTGTAGGCAGAGCCTAGACAAGTGTTACATCACCTAGGTTATCAGTGCAGAGATATGTGAGAATTCCCGTGTAGGCAGAGCCTAGACAAGTGTTACATCACCTAGGTTATCAGTGTAAGTATTAGTCATAAAGCCTCCTGTAGGCAGAGCGTAGACAAGAGTTCCCTCCCCAGGGTGATCAGTGCAGAGATGTGTCACAAAGCCCCTGTAGGCAGAGCGTAGACAAGAGTTCCCTCCCCAGGGTGATCAGTGCAGAGATGTGTCACAAAGCCCCTGTAGGCAGAGCCTAGACAAGAGTTTCATCACTTGGTTGATCAGTTCAGAGATGTGTCACAATGTCCATGTAGGCAGATCTAAGACAAGGGTCCATCACCTGGGTGATCAGTGCAGAGATATGTACCAATGTGCCCTGTAGGCAGTGCCTAGACAAGAGTTGAATCACCTCAGAGATCAGTGCATAGATATGTCACAAAGCCTTCTGTAGGCAAAGCCCATACAAGGTTTACATCACCTAGGTGATCAGTGCAGTGATATGTCACAAAAATCCCTGTAGACAGAGCCTAGACAAGAGTTACATCACCTGGGTGATCAGTGCAGATATTTGACACAATGCCCCCATAGACAGAGCCTAGACAAGACTTCCATCACCTGGGTGATCAGTGCAGAGATATGTCACAAATCCCCCTCTAGGCAGAGTATAGAGAAGAGTCCCATCACCTGGGTGATCAGTGCAGAGATATTTCACAATGCCCCCTGTAGGCAGAGAGTGGACAAAAGTTACATAACCTAGATGATCTGTGCAGAGCTATGTCAAAACGCCCCTGTAGGCAGAGCCTAGATGAGTGTTACATCACCTGGGTGATCACTGCAGAGATACGTCACAATACCCCCTGTAGGTGGGGCCTAGACAAGAGTTACATCACCTGGGTGATCAGTGGAGATATCTGTCACAATTCGCCTTTAGGCGCAGCTTAGACAAGCGTTACATCACATGAGTGATCAGTGCAGAGATATGTCACTATGCCCCCATAGGCAGATCCAAGACAAGAGTCCATCACCTGGGTGATCAGTGCAGAAATATGCCACAATGCCACCAGTAGACAGATATAGACAAGAGTTACATCACCTGCGTGATCACTGCAGAGATATGTCACAATGCCCCTGTAGGCAGAGCCTAGACAAGAGTCCCATCACCTGGGTGATCAGTGCAGAGTTATGTCACAATGCCCCCTTTTGGCAGAGCCTAGACAAGGGTTACATCACCTGGGTGATCAGTGCAGAGATATGTCACAATGTCCCTGTAGCCATATCCTTGACAAAAGTGACATCACCTGGGTGATCAGTGCGGAGATATGTCACAATGTCTCCAGTAGGCAGAGCCTAAACAAGAGTTACATCACCTCTGTGATCAGTGCAGAGATACGTCACAATGCCCCTGTAGGCAGAGCCTAGACAAGAGTTACATAACCCAGGTGATCCGTGCAGAGTGATGTCACAACGCCCTCTGTAGGCAGAGACTAGAAAAGAGTTACATTACCTGGGTGATCTGTGCAGAGATATGTCACAATGTACCCTGTAGGCAGAGCACAGAGAAGAGTTGCATCACCTGGGTGATCAGTGCAGAGATATGTCACAATGTCCCCTGTAGGCAAAGCCTAGGCAAGAGTTACATCACCTTTGTCATCAGTTCAGGGATATGTGAAAACGCCCCTGCAGGCAGAGCTTAGACAAGAGTTACATCACCTAGTTGATCAGTGCAGAGATATTTCACAATACCTCCTGTAGGCAGATCCTAGTCAAGAGTTGCATCACCTGGGTGATCAGTGCAGAGATATTTCACAACGCCCCCTGTAGGCAGAGGGTAGACAAGAGTTACATCACCTAGGTGATCAGTGCAGAGATTTGTCGAAATTCCCTGTAGGCAGTGCTTATAAAAGTGTTACATCACCTAAGTGATCAGTGCAGAGATATGTCACAAAGCTCCTGTAGGCAGAGCTTAGATGAGTTACATCACCTGGGTGATCAGAGCAAAGGTATGTCACAAAGCCCCCTGTAGGCCAAAGCCTAGACAATAGTTACATCACTTGGGTGATCAGTGGCGAGATCTCTCACAATTCCCCTGTAGGCAGAGCTTATACAACAGTTACATCACCTGGGTGATCAGTGCAGATATATGTCACAATGCCCCCATAGGCAGATCCAAGACAAGAGTCCGTCTCCTGGGTGATCAGTGCAGAAATACGTCACAATGCCCCCTTAGGCAGAGCCTAGACAAAAGCCCCATCACCTGGATGATTAGTGCAGAGTTATGTCACAAAGTCCCTTTAGGCAGATCCTAGACAAGAGTCCCATTACTTGGGTGATCAGTGCAGAGATATGTCACAATGCCACTGTAGGCAGAGCCTAGACAAGAGTTACATGACCTAGGTGATCAGTGCAGAGATACATCGCAATGCCCCTGTAGGCAGAGCCTTGACAAGTGGTACATCACCTGGGTGATCATTGCAGGGATATGTCACAAAGCACCCTGTAGGCAGATCCTAGAGAAGAGTTATATCACCTGGGTGATCAGTGCAGAGATATGTCACAAGCCCCCTGTAGGCAGAGCCTAGACAAGAGTTATATCACCTGGGTGATCAGTGCAGTCATATGTCACAATGCTGTGTAGCCAGAGCCTAGACAAAAGTTACAGCACCTGGGAGATCAGTGCAGAGATATGTCACAATGTCCCCAGTAGGCAGAGACCAGGCAAGAGTTGGATCACCTCGGGATCAGTGCAGAGATATGTCTCAATCCCCCTGTGGGCACAGCCTAGACAAGAGTTACATCACCTCGGTTAACAGTGCAGAGATATGTCAAAATGCCCCTGTAGGCAGAGCCTACACAAGTATTACATCACTTAGGTGATCAGTGCAGAGATATGTCACAATACCCCCTGTAAGCAGAGCCTAGACAAGAGTTACATCACCTGGGTGATCAGTGCAGACATATGTGACAAGGCCCCTTTAAGCAGAGCCTAGACAATAGTTACATCACCTGAGTGATCAGTGCAGAGATCTGTCACAATGCCCCTTTAGGCAGAGCTTAGACCAGAGTTACATCACCTGGGTGATCAGTGCAGAGGTATGTCACATTGCCCCCATAGGCAAATCCAAGACAAGAGTCAGTCACCTGGGTGATCACTGCAGAAATATGTGACAATGCCCCCAGTAGGCAGAACCTAGAGAAGAGTCCCTTCACCTGGGTGATCAGTGCAGAGTTATGCCACAATGCCCCCTGTAGGCAGAGCCTAGACAAGAGTTACATCATCTGGTTGATCAGTAAAGAGATATTTCTCAATGCCCCTGCAGGCAGAGCGTAAGCAAGAGTTACATCACCTAGATGATCAGTGCAGAGATACGTCACAAGGCCCCCTATAGGCAGAGCCTGGACAAGAGTTACATCACCTCGGTGATCAATGCAGTGATATGTCACTGTGCCCCGTAGGCAGAGCCTAGTCAAGCGTTACATCACCTGGGTGATCAGTGCAGAGATATGTCAGAAAGCCCCCATACACAGAGCCTAGACAAGAGTCCCATCACCTGGGTGATCAGTGCAGAAATATGTCACAATGCCCCTATAGGCAGATCCAACACAAGTGTTACATCACCTGGGTGATCAGTGCAGAAATATGTCTCAATGCCCCCATAGGCAGATCCAACACAAGAGTTACATCACCTGGGTGATCAGTGTAGAGATATGTCACAATGCCCCCGTAGACAGAGCCTAGACAAAAGTCCCATCACCTGGGTGATCAGTGCAGAGATATGTCACAAAGCCCCTGTAGGCAGAGCCTAGACAAGAGTTACATCACTTTGTTGATCAGTTCAGAGATGTGTCACAATGCCCATGTAGGCAGAGCCTAGACAAGTGTTCCATCACCTGGGTGATCAGTGCAGAGATATGTGACAAGGCCCCTTTAAGCAGAGCCTAGACAATAGTTACATCACCTGAGTGATCAATGCAGTGATATGTCACTATGCCCCAGTAGGCAGAGCCTAGTCAAGCGTTACATCACCTGAGTGATCAGTGCAGAGATATGTCACAAAGCCCCCATACACAGAGCCTAGACAACAGTCCCATCCCCTGGGTGATCAGTGCAGAAATATGTCACAATGCCCCCATAGGCAGATCCAACACAAGAGTTACATCACCTGGGTGATCAGTGTAGAGATATGTCACAATGCCCCCATAGGCAGAGCGTAGACAAAAGTCCCATCACCAGGGTGATCAGTGCAGAGATATGTCACAAAGCCCCCATAGGCAGAGCCTAGACAAGAGTTACATCACTTGGTTGATCAGTTCAGAGATGTGTCACAATGCCCATGTAGGCAGAGCCTACACAAGTGTTACATCACTTAGGTGATCAGTGCAGAGCTATGTCACAATACCCCCGTAAGCAGAGCCTAGACAAGAGTTACATCACCTGGTTGATCAGTGCAGAGATATCTCACAATGTCCCTGCAGGCAGAGTGTAGACAAGAGTTACATCACCTAGATGATCAGTGCAGAGATATTTCACAATGCCCCCTGTAGGCAGAGCCTAGACAAGAATTATATTACCTGGATGATCAGTACGGTGATATGTCACTATGCCCCCTGTGGGCGGAGCCTAGACAAGAGTTACATCACCTGGGTGATAAGGGCAGAGATATGTCACAATGCTCCAGTAGGCAGAGCCTAGACAAGAGTCCTATCACCTGGGTGATCAGTGCAGAAATATGTCACAATGCCCCCAGTAGACAGAGCCTAGACAAGAGTTACATCACCTGGGTGATCAGTGCAGAAATATGTTGCAATGCCCCCATAGGCAGATCCAACACAAGAGTTACATCACCTGGGTGATCAGTGCAGAGATATGTAACAATGCCCCCAGTAGGCAGAGCCTAGAGGAGAGTTACATCATCTGGGTGATCTTTGCAGAGATATGTCACAATCCTCCAAGTAAGCAGAGCCTAGACAAAAGTTACATCATCTGGGCGATCAGTGCAGAGACAAGTCACAAAACCCACATAGGAAAAGACTAGACAAGAGTTACATCATCTGGGTCATCAGTGCAGACATATGTCAAAGCTGCCGTAGGCAGAGTGTAGACAAGTATTACATCACTTGGGTGATCAGTGCAGAGATCTATCACAGTGCCCCCATAGGCAGAGCCTAGACAAGAGTTCCATCACCTGTGTGATCAGTGTAGAGATATGTCACAATGCCTCCTGTAGGCAGAGGCTAGACAAGAGTTACATCACCTGGATTTTGTTTCCTGCAATATGTCACAATGGCGAGGGTGAGGGTTAGGGTTAGGGTGAGGGTCAGGGTGAGGGTCAGGGTGAGGGTCAGGGTGAGGGTGAGGGTCAGGGTGAGGGTGAGGGTTAGGGTTAGGGTGAGCATTAGGTTTAGGGTTAGGGTTAGGGTTAGGGGTTAGGCTTAGGCTTAGGGTAAGGCTTAGGGTTCAGGTTCAAGTTTGGATTCGGGTTCGGGTTCAGGTTAAGAGTTAGGGTTAGGGTTACGGGTTAGGGTTAGGGGTTAGGGTTAGGTGTTAGGGCTGGGTTAGGTTTAGGGTTAGGGTTATGGGTTACGGTTAGGGTTAGGGTTTAGGGTTAGGGTTAGGGTTAGGATTGGGGTTAGGTTTAGGGTTAGGGTTAGGGTTAGGTTTAGGGTTGGGTTAGGGTTAGGATTGGGGTTAGGATTAGGGTTAGGGTTAGGGTTAGGTTTAGGGTTAGGGTTAGGGTTAGGATTGGGGTTAGGTTTAGGGTTAGGGTAGTGTAAATAATTTCACATTATTACTAATAATTATTATTTATATTACACTATTACTTAATGTAAAGGCTATTAAGACATGTTTGTCTTCAAAGAATGGCCTTGGTTTCTGTGGACAGTTTCTCCTCATGGAAAGGTAGTGTGTTCCTGCTAAATCATGGACAAAACGGGTCCCCAGGAGCTACAGGCTGCAGAAGCAGCTTCTCCTCTATGTTCTTCACTGCCTCATACTGTTGTTGACCTTGAAACCTTCTTTTGGTCTAGTTTTATCAACAGAGCTAGTATTTACATGAGGTTCTACTACATACCAGGTTCCAGAAAGCTAAATGCTTTTTGTTTGTTATTATTCACTAAATACAAATCACAACTCTCTTCTCATTACACACACAACAAAATTTAGCTGAGGGAGATTGAGTGACTTTCCCAGGGTCACACAGCTACTAAGAGCAGAGTAGTGTTTAGATTCATGTGGGAATACTGAACACAGAAATGAACCAATGGAAACATCCTACGTTCCAAAAGCCTACTCAAGCCATTTGTTCTTATTTTAAGGAAAATCTTTATGCTAATTTTAAACTCCAAATACTTATGAATCGCAGAGATCTACAGATTTGATTCTGATGTAAGAAATGATGCTCACCAGCTGGTTACTGCTACCACCCCACAACCCCGAGCATACTGGACAAATGTCTAAGCCTCGTGGTTAGTGGGGACATTGCTTCTGGAGTCTGAAATTGTCATGTAGTGACTCACTCAAGCTTAGGCAGATTTGGTGATATATGACACAGAGATGCAAAGAAATGTTGTAGCTGACACACACAGGCTGGCTCTGGGAGATGCAGAAGGAGCACGTCCCCCAAAATGAAGCCAGACAGACATCCTTAAGGAAGGAGCAAAGGGGCTTCATCTTAAAGAATGAAGAAGGGATTTGTCATGAGAGATGGGGCAGGAAGTTCTTGAGAGGCAGAGGGAGAGCATGAGAATGTTAGGAAGGCAGGAGAGACTCTCACACATCTGGGAAGCTGACAATCCATCAGCATGTCCAGGAGGAAAATAAGGAGGAGGAGCAGAAATAGATGAGGCTGGATATAGAAGCAGGGCTGAAGCTGTGTTGATTGTGGTAAAGAGTTGTGATTCTATCCAGAAGGCAATAGGTAGCATTCTAAACAGAGATCCTTTTTTTTTTTTTTTTTTTTTGAGATGGAGTCTTGCTCTGTTGCCCGGGCTGGAATGCAGTGGCATGATCCCGGCTCACTGCAAGCTCCTCCTCCCAGGTTCACACCATTCTCCTGCCTCGGCCTCTGGAGTAGTTGGGACTACAGTCGCCCGCCACCACACCCGGCTAATTTTTTTGTATTTTTAGTAGAGACGGGGTTTCACTGGGTTAGCCAGGATGGTCTCGATCTCCTGGCCTCATGATCTGCTAGCCTCGGCCTCCCAAAGTGCTGGGATTACAGGCATGAGCCACCGCGCCTGGCCACAGAGATCTTTTAAAACAAGAGTCAGCAAATATTTTCTGCAAAGGGCTAAATGTTAAATATTTTAAATTTTCCAAGCCATATGGTCTCTCTCTCAATGACTCAGCTCTTCCATTATACCATGAAAGTAGCCAGAGACGTTATATAACATATGTATGTGGCTGTGTCCCATTACAACTTTACTTACAAACGCAGACTGTGTCAGACATAGTCCATGTATGGTAGTTTGCCACACCTTGTTTTAGAAAGCTCAGGTTTATGATGTGATGGAGAATTCCTACAAGAGTTCTTGTTTTAAATGGTAGAGTGAACATACACTGGAATTCTATACTGCTTGACCCAAGCTTTTGATAGCAAAAGGTAGAAAAGACAGATAGTAAACAGATAGATAGATGATAGGAAGGTAGATAGATAGATGATAGATAAAGAAAGTACATAGCTGTTCCAGAAAACAGAAACTGATAATTTCATGAACCAAAAGCAGAGTAATATACTTTAGAAAGGAAGCAGGCTGGAAAACCCACAGTTGCAAAGCAAATGGAATTTCCAACTGCCTCTTGTAGCCCCTTCCTTGAAGTAGTCATAGCCCAGGGTGTTTGACTTCTTCCTCTGTTTTTTGTTTGTTTGTTGTTTGCTTTTCTGTGGGGTTTTTGTTGTTGTTGTTTGCTTTTTTTAAAAAAAATTCCCTTTCACTGCTTTTTTGTCACAGCAGCCTTTGTCGCTTCAAACACCGCAAGTGTTCTTTTAAAAGAATTATATCAACCTTTCAAGTGAAATGCAACATGTCTGAAACGTGGTATCTGGAGAGGTGAGATGGACAAAGGAGCCCTTGTTACTGCACGTTTTCATTCTCCAAACTTCACCTTGCACGCAGTAACAGACAATGCACAAATCCACTTCCTTATGGACGCAAATTCTGAAATCCTTTTATGCCTGGCCTTTCCATCCTTCAACTTCCCCTTTCCCATGCTGTGAATGATTGTATTGGACATTTTTGTTTTAATCTCAGTGACAGGGGAACACAGGTAGCTCTAATATAGCTGTGTCCCAGATGCTTCTGTTTCTAGCATGTATTTATTTTGCAGCAAACATTTACTTCCAAGATTTTTCACTGTCTTTTGAAAATAATTAGGCAATATCTCATCTGAGGTAGGATGTTTCTAGGGGTTGTGTTCTGAGGGAGGAAAACTAATCTGTTCTCTTTCCACTGCATTCTGGGAACAGTAAGAGGACCTTGTGAGTGAATAATTTGTTTCCACATTACAGAGTGGGTAATAAGCAGATTAGTAAAAACAATTCTGCTTCACTTCAATAACAGCCTCCTCCAACTCATTTTTTCTCAACAAACTTATTTTTCCAGCAGAAGAATCCCAGACTTCTTAGAGAACCCAGTGACTTTTTGCACCTTAAATCTGTGAAATCCTCACGTTTTCTTCTGCTGTATCTATAGTTCAAACAAAGATGAGGCAAAACTAGACGCATTCCTGAAGGAACCCAAGAAATTCCTCTCTTTCTGTCTCGGAATGAAATGAATTCTCCAGACCACTAGTTCTAACCTTCAAAAACCAAACCTGTTTGTGAGATCTCCTTCAAATACTACTGTAGACCCCAGTATTTATTCATTAAATTTTTTAAATATTTGTTTTATTTGGAATCAAAGTATTTGTAATTTTAGTATTTGTATTAATATAAGGGAGAAATGTTTAAATCTGTCTATGCCATATGTGCCTCTGGCTTATTGCCCAATTAATTGTAGTCTCAGGCTAAACTTTCGTTTCTGTCTTCAATTTTTGTCAGAAGAAATATAACTGATCTCAAAACATCTGCTTTTATGTAGGGACTCGTGCTGCCATCTCCATTCCTCTCTCTTTTTTTGCAATCTGGGTGGAAGTTCTTTAATATGAACATTTCAACCACCTTCATTCTACCATATCCACTATGAGCACATTCAAACGTATCCAGCCAAGGCTGTCATCTTAGGCCAGGGATTTTTTAGGAATCTATTTTGCTGTGATGCGGCTGGCACCCCTTTGATTCACTGTATCACCCCAGGGTTCTTTTCATTTTATAAGCCCAAGAGGGCAGAAAATGAAGTAGATGAGCAATTAAACACTGTGAGTCAGGAGCGTCTCCCCTTGTGTTAGGCAATGTTGTAGAACATCGTATTTAGCAAGCTCCTAGCAGATGAGCCATGTGGCTTCTGAGCACACGTGCCTGCTTGCTGCTGTGAGCTCAGACACCATCATCATGTCTTTTCCATCTCTGGAGGGAATTGTAAGGGCCACTTAATAGCCTGTAAATCAGAGAGATAAAGGTGCTTCCCCAAAACACTGATGACAGAATGAAAGGTGAGGAGTGTTAGCCACAGGTCAAAAGTACAGGAAAGTCTCTCAGTGTGGGTTGCTGAAGAAATGCAGGTCTTTTTTCTTTTGGACGTCTCCCTAGAATGGGGTCAAGGACTCTGCCCATTCTAGGATGAAAAATTGGGATATTAGACACACTCAGATATTTATCCCAAACTTTCAATTTGGGCTCTTAATTAGTTTGTTCATCCATCACAATCTCAAATGCTAAGCAGGACATTTGAATCTCTCCACAGTCCAAATCAGCACCGTCTTTTAAAGTTGAGTTTCTTATTATTCTCACCTGATATACCTTATTTATCCCACACACACCCCAATAACATATTGTGCTCACTGTTATCTTTGAGACAACACTTGAATTTTACTCAGCCTGGCGTGCTCTTCACATATCTTGTCCAGATCCAGTTGAGACTCATTCTTCAGCCATGCATCAGTCAATGGGGGCTAGGTTAAACTGTGGTGACAAACAACCTCCAAATTTCAGTGGCTCAAAAATCTTCTTCCTCATTTATTTACATCTCATCACGGGTCAGGTGAGAGATATCTCTGTGCTGTGTCATCCTAACACAGGAATCCAGATGGAAGGAGGGATCATCAATAAGATCCCCATTGCTATAGAAAAGAGAAAAAAGCATGCAGAGTAGAACTCTGTTTCTTGGAGATTTCTCCTGAAAAAGTCACATGTTATTTCTTCTCACCTCCATTAGCAAAAAATAAAATAAAAATAAAAATAGAAAAGTCATGTGGCCATGGAAAAATTTAAGT
This sequence comes from Homo sapiens, assembly GCF_000001405.40. NCBI lineage: Eukaryota > Metazoa > Chordata > Mammalia > Primates > Hominidae > Homo > Homo sapiens. The sequence goes on along the minus strand of NC_000018.10, from coordinate 100,588 downwards.
AGGTGGGATGGAACAGTCAGAATGCATTCATAAAAAAATGGACTGAAAATATTTGGAGAACAGCACCAATGACTATCATGAATGCCAACATACATCCCTAACAACCCAGTGCTGTTACCCTCCAAACATTTTATGTCTTGCAAAGTATTAGAACTTCATATGTGAAGCCATACCACTCAGAGGGAATGCAAAATACATAATGACATCTCCTTTAAGATGTCCTTAGAGAATTCAAGGAAAAGAAGTTAAAGGATTTAAAAGTGCTTTTGGGTACAGCTATTTAGCACTAGACAGTAAGATTAGACATAGATTGTAAAGATAATAATAGGGTTAGGGATAGGATTAGGATCTGGGTCAGAGTCAGGGCCAGAAGTATGGTTAGAGGTGGGGTCATGGTCAGGGTCGAGATCAAAGTCAGGGTCAAAGTAAGGGTCAGAATTAGGGACCAGGGTAGGGATCAGGGTTTAGGTTCAGGGTCAAAGTCTTGGGACAGGGTTAGGGTTAGAATTAGAACCAGAGCTTTGTTCTCGTCAGGACCCACCCGAGGATGGGTCACCATGGCTTTGGAGCACCTGGTAGTGTGGCGTGTCCACAGTGAAGACCAGAGTTTCGTTGTCCTTAAGACTGACCTGGGAGACGTGGCTGCAGGCCATTGAGGAAGGTGAGGCAAAAGCTTCCTGTCTGCTCCCCGTGTGCTGAGGAGGGAACTCTGCCATGGGCTTTACTTTCACACGTTTTATTCTACAAGTCTTGTTTTACAAAAGCATCCCTTCCTTGAGGCTTCGGCTGCTCATCGCAGCTCATCACCATAGCGTGCCATAACATATGGTAAGATTTGGGCTTGTTTCTGGGAAGAGATCTTGGTATAGAGACAGGGGAAATGCTTAGAGCCACCATCAGGACAGTTGGGATGAAAGCTGGGGATGGGCAGAGGCTGGAGGAAACACGTGCACCCCCTGTAAACACTTTTATTCATGTTTTAATTGCTCATTTTTCTTACAGTGTTAAAGTAGTAAAAATAGTATTGAAAAATTGAAAAGTAGGCATATTAAAACTTGCACCATTATTTAAGTTTAAATATATTGTTTGTACCTCATCATTTTTTATTTTGTTGGGAAAGTCTAAGGTTAATTGCAGCATAGTTGTAATAGTAGACAGAATAATGTCTGTTTTATAAACATTGACATACTACATTACATGTATGAGCCCTGAAAATCTGAGACAGCTCTCAGATTTTTTAGAAAGTTTATTTTGCCAAGTTTGCAGTGGAGCCCCCGTGATGCCTCCTCAGGAGGTCCTGACAACATGGGCCCAAGGTGGTCGAGGCACAGCTTGGTTTTATACACTTTATACACTTTAGGGAGACATGAGACATCAATCAATATATGTAAGGTGTACATTAGTTCAGTCCAGAAAGGTGAGAAGGCCAGATAGGGGGCTTCCAGATCATAGGTAGGTAAGAGACAAATGGTTTCATTCTTTTGCTTTGCTGATTACCCTCTCCAAATGAGGCAATCAGCTATGCATTTATCTCCGTGAGCAGATGTGTGACTTTGGATAGAATGGGAGGCAGATTTGCCCTAAGCAGTTCCCAGCTTGACTTTTCCCTTTAGCTTAGCGATTTTGGGTCCCCAAGATTTATTTTCCCTTCACAAGGTCTAACATGTTTTCCTATGAGCATTAATTATTTATTGTGTATTTTATTACACAAATAAGGCATAGATTTTTTAAAAATCATCAACTTCATGCCTAGCTACATAGACATAATTCCATAGAAGCTCAACTAAATTTGAGCTTAGGGTTAGGGTTCGGGTTAGGGTTCGGGTTAGGGTTAGGGATCAGGTTTTGAGAGTGTGGTGAGGATCAAGGGAGGCACTTGGCAGGAGGAGGCAGATTCAACTTCCCTGGGGATCAGGGTTAGGATTGGTTAAGATTACAGTGGTGGGTTAGGGTTGGGGTTGGGTAGAGGAGGTTCTGGGAGGCTGTGTGAGTTTGGGGCACAGAGCTCCTCTTAAGATGCCCCAATAATCATTCACTCTGCTGTTAAAATGTTAGGATATTGCTAGCTACATGCTGATAAGGACAAAGGGGACATTCTTAAGAGAAACCTGGCACCATAAGTACAGATTAGGGCAGAGAAGGACATTCGAAAGAGATAGGCAGGCACAGTAGGTACAGACATGACCACTGTAGGACCTTCCTGGAGTGGCAGGAAGGAGCCCAGCCCCAGCAGTGGAATCACACTGATCACTGCACATATGTGTCAGCCAACAGTGAGGGGGTCCCACAAGCCTAGGCGGGGCAAGTCAGGGATCTAAGGAAGGAGCAGGAAAACCAGACAAAGAAAAGAGGTGGAGACTTGAGGAATGTGAAGAAGTCCAACATAAAACTCCCTGCTCAGGACCCTGGGGCTGTGTTCCTGCAGATCAGCCCCACTTCTCCCTTGAGGCATACTTATTTTTTCTACAATAAGCTCTTTACACTATATTTCTTTTCAATGAAGTTATCTGCCATCTTTGTACTGCCTCTTGGTGAGAATCTTTCTTTCAAGTTAGACAAGAACTGGGACATCAGGTCTCCCCAGTATTAGCTCCATTTCAGTTTGAATTTGCAGAATTGATAGTGCTGAACAACCTGCACTCCAACTTTAAGTGGTGTAGGAAGAGGCCAGCAGGGTCAGACCCTGAAAACAGACCAGCCACGTCTCCCAGGTGGACGCAGCGGGTTCTCCACGAACGTGACTTGGGGATTTAGGGCACTGAGACCGTGCTACCCACCCCCCTTAAAAATCCCTCGTGGCTCCCAGTTGCCCTGAAGGGGAATCCCAAACTCTTCAGAGGCAGCACATGCTGGTGGGTGAGACTTGGGAGCCTGAGTCCAAGTTCCAGCCTGGCCGCTATCGGCTGTGTGACCACTGGCAACTCGCCTAACCTCTCTGGGCCTCACGGGCTCGTTGGAGGATGTGGTGAGAGAATGACCGAGATGAGCTTAGCACAGTGCTGGCCACACTGTCGCTGTTCAATGCCAGGTGGCTGTGGCAGCAAGAGGGCCCTGCAGTGTCTCCAGCCGCCAGCAGGGTGCGTGCCGCCACTACACTGGGAGCAAGAGGGCCCTGCAGTGCCCTGGCCGCCAGCAGGGGGCGCAAGGCCATGACACCGTGAGCAAGAGGGCCCTGCAGTGCCCCCGGCCGCCAGCAGGGGGCGCAAGGCCATGACACCGTGAACAAGAGGGCCCTGAAGTGCCCCCGGCCGCCAGCAGGGGGCGCAAGGCCATGACACCGTGAGCAAGAGGGCCCTGCAGTGCCCCCGGCCGCCAGCAGGGGGCGCAAGGCCATGACACCGTGAGCAAGAGGGCCCTGCAGTGCCCCCGGCCGCCAGCAGGGGGCGCAAGGCCATGACACCGTGAGCAAGAGGGCCCTGCAGTGCCCTGGCCGCCAGCAGGGGGCGCAAGGCCATGACACCGTGAGCAAGAGGGCCCTGCAGTGCCCCCGGCCGCCAGCAGGGGGCGCAAGGCCATGACACCGTGAGCAAGAGGGCCCTGCAGTGCCCTGGCCGCCAGCAGGGGGCGCAAGGCCATGACACCGTGAGCAAGAGGGCCCTGCAGTGCCCAGGCCGCCAGCAGGGGGCGCAAGGCCATGACACCGTGAGCAAGAGGGCCCTGCAGTGCCCCCGGCCGCCAGCAGGGGGCGCAAGGCCATGACACCGTGAGCAAGAGGGCCCTGCAGTGCCCAGGCCGCCAGCAGGGGGCGCAAGGCCATGACACCGTGAGCAAGAGGGCCCTGCAGTGCCCAGGCCGCCAGCAGGGGGCGCAAGGCCATGACACCGTGAGCAAGAGGGCCCTGCAGTGCCCCCGGCCGCCAGCAGGGCGTCCACACCGGGCCGAAGCGAGGGTGAAGCCCGCGTCCTCCTCGGCACAGACCCGGGGGGCACCGCCTCGCTTTGGGACAACTCGAGGCCATGGTGAGTAAAATCCTTCCTGTTTGCAGCCCTGACTACTGAGGGTTAGAGACCAGTAAGCGGGGTCGGTGTGGGAAACTGGAAACCAAAAGCCCCTCCGAATCCTGAGCACTGAGGTTCTCCCCACCCAAGGCGAGGCGGGCGCAGTGCGAGGTCTACACCGCGGCCTTGGAACACAAATGGAGCGTTCCTAATGCAGATATGCCTCCCGAAATACGAATGTGACACTCGCAGTGCTCAGGTAACAAACACCTGTAATGCTAATGCGCTGCCTCAATACAAAAATGTTAATATGAAACCCCGTGCTCCCCACACGGCCCCGCAGTCCCCGCTCACAATAATCAACACTGACATAATCAAAACTAACGTAGCCTCCAGCTGCTCACAGCTGCTGCTGAGCTGGAGCTGCCTCGGGCTTGGCCTCCACAGTGGAGCTTGTTGTCGTATCTGCTTCACGGGCGTGGAATTGACACAGTTGTTTTAAAAAGTAGCTTACTTCCCAATAATTCCATACTTTCAGGAAACTTGCAACGGTAGTGTGGAGTTTTCTTTCTCTTTTCTCTCAGATTCCTCAGCGGTTGTTGCTGAGCCAGATCTGCATCTCACAGAAAACACCCCAGTGTTTTTCACCCAAAACAGGGACCCCTCCCAGGTAAGCGCCAGGTGACCCCAGCGCAGGAGGCCACGTTTCTACCTGAGGGTCGTGTCCGCAGGCCCGTTTCACTTCGCAGCCACCCCGGCTGGGTGGAAAATGTCTCTTTCCATCTGGGTCCAGTTTTCCTTTTCTGGAGCCTTCGCAGAGTTGAAGAGCAGAGCTGCCCCCAGCCTGGGTCTGCACAGCGGTTCCCCCTGGGCAGATGCAGACGCCGCACTCCAGGTGGGAACTCGCAGCCTCCGGCAGTGCTCCGCACAGCGAGTTCCCCGGAGGAGCACAGACCCACCCACACCCCACAGAGACCTCAGGGTGATTGTGACAAAACTCTCCTTTACAAACAAGTCTCATCCCATCACTCTTCTTATTTAACTTTAACGATGGTTTCCCACTGGCCTCAGAACAGGGGTTGCACAACTGACCTGGCCCCCAGTCCCTGAGCGCTCCCACCTGCTGCCCACCCGCCCAGCCCAGCCCAGCTGCCTGCGTTGCGGCCTCCACCTGCAGGGACACAGCAGGCTCTCGGGGGTCTTGGGAACTCTATGCACATCCAACACCCTCTTATCAAATACTCTTAAGATTCTGTCTACCTAGATCCTTCAAGTCACAGCGGTTATGATGTCTAACAACACAAATGTTCTGACGTGATTTTTTTAGACCAAAAAAAAAATGTTTGGTAGATCATATGTGAGAATCACCCTTAATTTATAAATCAAGGAAATAGATACATAAAAGCAGAGTCCATATTTGGGATAATCAGTAAAGAAAAATAAAAGCTCAACACAGAATGAAAGGCAGAGGGCACAATTGATCATTGAAATTTCATAAGAGTTTACTGGACAGAATATTATCTTACTATATTCTCCAGCCCTGTGTGTGTGTATGTGTGTGTATATCACACATATACCAGTTGCAAAAAATTTCAGGTTTAAACACTCATGTTTGCTTTTTATTTTTTATTTTTTTTGAGATGGAGTCTGGCTCTGTCGCCCAGGCTGGAGTGCAGTGGTGTGATCTCAGCTCACTGCCACCTCCACCTCCCGGGTTCAAGTGATTATCCTGCCTCAGCCTACTGAGTAGTTGGGATTACAGGCGCCTGCCACCACGCCCGGCTAATGTTTGTATTTTTAGTAGAGACCGGGTTTCACCATGTTAGCCAGCTGGTCTCGAGCTCCTGAGCTCAGGTGATCTGCCTGCCTCAGTTTCCCAAAGTGCTGAGATTAGAGATGTAAGCCACCTCGACTGGCCTACTCATGTTTACTTCATTAGTCAATACGGTTGATTAAGAAGTTAGGGTTAGGGTTAGGGTTGGGGTTAGGGTTAAGGTTAGTTTTAGGGGTTAGGGTTTAGGGTTAGGGTTAGTTTTAGGGGTTAGGGTTAGGGTTAGCTTTAGGGGTTAGTGTTAGGGTTTAGGGTTAGGGTTCAGGTTTGGGTTTGTGTAGTGTTAGGGCTAGGGTTTGGGTTAGGAGAATTGCTTGAACCTGGGAGGTGGTGGTTGCAGTGAGCTGAGAGTGCGCCACTGCTCTCCAGCCCAGGCAACAATGGGAGATTCCGTCTCAAAAAAAAAAAGAAAAGATAGTAATACCTACTTTTAACAGTCATGAGCAATATTTTTTTTTAATGTGGGTCACTTCTTTATTTTTCTGATTGCTAGAGCCATGTCTCAAATGCAAACATCCTCGTGCTTACTTCATGCAGCTTCAGACTTGCTCTGCAGACGAGCTGATGATCACCTTCTACAAGTGCTGCAATTCTCAGGGTGGACACCGCTGTAGGGATTAGGACTAGGATGGCCCAGCTGCTTCAGTGTGTGCTTACCTTGTCCCTTGGGGTAGATGCTTAGCTGGCAGCGTGAATCATGTGTCCTGAGGGTCTTTGCTGGTGTGGTGGAAAGACAAACCTTTTGAGGTGAAGCGCCAGGGTGTCAGGAAATGTGGCCTATCTGCTAGTCAGAGTGGATGAAGTCATGAATGTCAGGGAGTTTTTCTGTATGGGTAGGAGACGGAGACCCATAACTAAGTATGTGCTGTTTAAAGTCCTGTTCTTTCATCTTCTACATTTATTGGCAGTTGACATTCCCTTACTCCCAATCAACACTATTTGTTTTAATTTTGAGACAGAGTCTCACTCTGTTGCCCAGGCTGGAGCGCAGTGGTGCGATCTCTGCTCACTGCAAGCTCCACCTCATGGGTTCACGCCATTCTCCTGCCTCAGCCTCCCGAGTAGCTGTGACTACAGGCGCCCGCCACCACTTCCGGCTAATTTTTTTGTATTTTTAGTAGAGACAGCGTTTCACTGTGTTAGCCAAGATGGTCTCAATCTGACCTCGTGATCCACCCGTCTCAGCCTCCCAAAGTGCTGGGATTACAGGCGTGAGCCACCGCATTCAGCCTCAATCAACGCTCTTAAATGTTTGTACTGTTCGCAAAACTGAGTACATTAAATGTCTCTAAATATTTAACTGTTGCTTGTAAACTTAATTTAGTATTTATTTTAATCAAAATTCTGAATATTTCATTAAAATGAAAGTTCTAATATTGCCTTCTCAGTGTTTTAAATAGCTTATTAGGTAGAAAGCAAACCCCAAATCACAGTGATCCCAAAATTGACTACATACGTAGATTTGAACAGGCTATGAAAATCCTCATCACTGGTATTTCAATTTATTTCTTTACTCCTACTCTTATTCCCTTATTCATTTTTTGAACCTTCCCTGATTGCTTCCTAGGGTTGCATTAAACGTATAAGATTCTATTCTTTTTTTTTTTTTTGAGACACAGTCTCGCTCTGCCGCCCAGGTTGGAGTGCAGTGGCATGATCTCGGCTCACTGCAACCTCTGCCTCCTGGGTTCAAGTGATTCTCTTGCCTCAGCCTCCCAAGCAGCTGGGACTACAGGTGCCTGCCACCATGCCCAGCTAATTTTTTGTCTTTTTAGTAGAAACAGGGTTTCACCATGTTAGCCACGCTGGTCTCGAATCACCTGACTTTAGATAATCCACCTGCCTTGGCCTCCCAAAGTGCTGGGATTACAGGCATGAGCCACAGCGCCCGGCACTATGTTTTTATACTTTATACTTTCTGTGTTAATCATTCAACTCTCAGAAGAGAAAGGAAACCTCAGACTAGCTGAGTCTAGGTTATTGATAATTGATTCTTGGTCAAGGCCCCAGTCTTAATTGCTTTCTAAATCAATCTCTCTCTCTCTCTCTGAAAGAGATGGGGTCTTGTTTATGTTGCCCAGGATGGCCTCAAACACCTGGGCTCAAGTGATCCTACCGCCTTGGCCTCTAAGTAGCTGCCACCACTCCCCACTCCACATCTTTTTTTTTTTTTTTTTTTTTTGAGACAGGGCTTTGCTCTGTTGCCCAGGCTGGAGTGCAGTGGCATGATCTTGGCTCACTGCAACCTCTGCCTCCCAGGTTCAAGCGATTCTCCTGCCTCAGCCTCCTGAGTAGCTGGGATTACAGGCATGCGCCACCACACCTGACTGATTTTGTATTTCTAGTAGAGATGGGGTTTCTCCCTGTTGGTCAGGCTGGTCTCAAACTCCTGACCTCAGGTGATACGTCCACCTTGGCCTCCCAAAATGCTGGGATTATAGGTGTGAGCCTCTGCCCCCGGCCAATCTTTACATTTAATATGATTGTTTTCATATTGTTTGAACATGTTAACCAGTTCCTGAGCTTATTGTCTCTAATTGGCTCTAGTTCAGAATAGTTTGTTCTGGTTTCCCAAATGTGATTTTATCACGTGGGCATTATCTGTAACGTCTTCTGCTTATGCTGTTAGTTTTACTTCCTCAGGTGACAGTTCTTCTGTTCAGTTTTGTTGTTGGAAGGCAGCATGGATCCACGGTACACATCATGTACTCTGAAGCCAGTGTCCCTGACTGCGCCTTAGCTGTGAAACCCTGGTCAAGTTGCAGAACCTCTGCCTTCATTTCCTCATCTATAAAGTGGATATAATAATAACCTGTTTGAGGGGTTTACAAACTGTTTTCTTAAGGGTCAGAGGGTGAATAGTATAATTACTTACTTTTTAATTTTCTTTGAGACAGGGTCTCACTCTGTTGCCCAGGCTGGAATGTAGTGGCATGATGTCAGCTTACTGCAGCCTGGACCTCCTGGGCTCAAGTGATCCTTCCATCTCAGACTCCCTAGTGGCTGGGACTATAGGTGCGCCCCATGCCCAGCTAATTTTTTTTTTTTTTTTTGGTAGAGACAGGGTTTTGGCATGTTGCCCAGACTGGCAACTTCCATATGTTTTTTATAGGCAATTTTTAAAAAATTTTATACTTCTTCTTTAATTTTTTTGAATTTAACCTCAGAATGTGATTATAGGCAAAATTCAAAATGTAATAATAATTGAGTTTAATTTTTGTAATGTGGGTCTATTACTGAGAAGAGTGGATGCCATTTTGCTTAATTGGGGTTCAAAGTTAATGTTCCCTGTCATTGAAATCAATTGCAAATGTGCATCTGTGAATGCTGGTTACGTGCAGGAGAGCAAATGAAGTATACCATTGACACCACTGAAAGAGTCAATAGATTCACCACTGACAATGGATTCAGATATTTCCCACAGAGTTCTTGCTGATGAATAATACAGAGAAGCAGGCGTGGTGGCTCACACCTGTAATCCTAGCACTTTGGGAGGCTAAGGTGGGTGGATCACCTAAGGTCAGAGGTTCGAGACTAGCCTGGCCAACATGGGAAAACCTCATCTCTACTAAAAATACAAAAATTAGCTGGGCATAGTGGTGCATGCTTGTAATCCCAGCTACTCTGTGGGGGAAAGGAAGAGAGATCAGACTGTTACTCTGTCTATGTAGAAAAAGGAAGACATAAGAAACTCCATTTTGATCTGTACTAAGAAAAATTCTTCTGCTTTGAGATGCTGGTAATCTGTAACCTTAGCCCCATCCCTGTGTCCACAGAAACATGTGCTGTATTGACTCAAGGTTTAGGGGATTTAGGGCCGTGCAGGATGTGCTTTGTTAACAATGTGTTTGCAGGCAGTATGCTTGGTAAAAGTCATTGCCATTCTCCATTAACCAGGGACACAGTGCACTGCGGAAAGCCGCAGGGACCTCTGCCCAAGAAAGCCTGCGTATTGTCCAGGTTTCCCCCCACTGAGACGGCCTGAGATATGGCCTCGTGGGAAGGGAAAGACCTTACCGTCCCCCAGCCCGACACCCATAAAGGGTCTGTGCTGAGGAGGATTAGTGAAAGAGGGAGGCCTCTTTGCAGTTGAGATAAGAGGAAGGCATCTGTCTCCTGCTCGTCCCTGGGAATGGAATGTCTCGGTGTAAAACCCGACTGTACATTCTATTTACTGAGATAGGAGAAAACCGCCCTGTGGCTGGAGGTGAGACATGCTGGCGGCAATACTGCTCTTTAGTGCACCGAGAGGTTTGTGTAAAGTCAAACATAAACCTGGCCTACGTGCACATCCAGGCACAGCACCTTTCCTTAAACTTATTTATGACACAGATTCCTTTGCTCACGTTTTCCTGCTGACCCTCTGCCCACCATTACCCTATAGTCCTGCCACATCCCCCTTGCCGAGATAGTAGAGATAGTGATCAATAAATACTGAGGAACTCAGAGACCAGCACCGGTGCAGGTCCTCACTTGCTGAGCGCCGGTCCCCTGGGCCCACTTTTCTTCCTCTATACTTTGTCTTTGTGTCTTATTTCCTTTTCTCAGTCTCTTGTCTCCATCTTGCAAGAAATACCGACAGGTATGGAGGGGCAGGCCCCCTTCATTACTTGGGAGACTGAGGCAGGAGAATCGCTTGAATCCGGGAGGTGGAGGTTGCAGTGAGCCAAAACCTTGCCACTGGACTCCAGCCTGGGTGATAGAGTGAGACTCCGTCTCAAAAATAATAATAATAATGATGATGCAGTGAAAAACCGTACACTTTAAGCACTTTATGATTTCACAATCTTCATACATTTGTCCACCTAAGCTTGTTCCTGATCCACACATGCTTTTACCACTGCCAGTTTTAACACATATTAGTAGATTCCTGTTTTGCTGCATTAGTTTTCTCAACTTTGGTAATATTCTTGCTGCAGTTGTTGGTTTTCTTTTTGGAGACAGGGTCTCACTGTCACTCAGGTTGGAGTACACTGGTGCGATAACGGCTCACCACAACCTAAACCTGCCGGGCTCAGGTGATCCTCCCACCTCAGCCTCCCAAGTAGCTGGGACTACAGGCGTGGGCCACCATGCCCGGCTAATGGAGGGGGAAGGGCTGAGCTTGTCTGAAGACCCTCCCGTGGGTGTGGCAGAGCCTGTGGTCTGAGGCAGGGGTCCAGCTGCAGAGCAGCCCACAGCTTCGCAGTGGCCCAGGGAACCAGGGCAGGCAGGCCGTGAGGCCCAGTGCCTTCTGGGCCAGGCCTTGATGCTGAGGCCATGGAATAGGTGCGGCTCTGAGAAGGGGCCAGAGTGACCATGGGCTGAAGGCTATGTCCACAGACCCAATGTGGCAGAAGCTGTACCAGGCAGTGATGTCAGCCAGGCTCCCCAGCAGGTCTAGGGATGTCAGGGGCAGCTCTGTCCCAGGTGGCAGACACTGGTTTCCCCTCCTGCTCTCACAACCGTCCTGTGACCGGGTGTTGTCTGAGCTGCGGTGAGGCCTCCCTAGTGACATCCAGGAGCAGGGAGCATGTGGGTGGGGGTGTGTGTGCACCTGCCCTGGCTGCCTGGCCCTGTGGTCAAGGATGGGGGAAGGCAGCTCCGCCTGCAGCTCCACCCCATTTGTAAAGCACTGTGTGCCTTCTGCTGGGGCATGTGCTGAGGGTGCCTCGCAGGCACTCCCCTCGGGAAGTTCACAGGCTTGTGTAGAAGCTGGTGGGAATGTGCTAAGAAGAGGTGTCAGGAGCCAGATATTGGGCAGGTCCCAGGTCTCTGAGCCTCAGTTTCTTCATCTGTAGGAGGGTGGTAACCCTGCCCTGCTCAGCTTACCAGGTACAGCTGTGAGTTTTCAGTGCGGAGGAAAAGCAGAGCCCTTCCCCTCAGATGGCCATATTGCCTTGTTGCTGTACCCAACTTTCCAGTGCTCCCCCAGGGGGTGTCCTGGCCTCCTCCTTTGTAGCTCTCAGATGTCACATGTGGGTCCTGCCCTACCATCCCGTCTCCCTGTCTTGAAACGAGGCCTGCTGAGCTTGAAGCCACCCCACTCCCTGCTCTCAAGCCATCTGCTCCTGGGTTAGCTTGTGGCTGGCCTGGCCTGATTCTACATAGATGTGGGTGTTTCTCCAGTGCTGGGGCAGCGGTTGTCCATTCTGGGGCCTGGGTCAGCTCTCAGCTGTGGCTGTTGTGCCCGTGCTTCCCCAGGTCCTTGTGGTCACTCCAACTCTGCCCTCAGATATCCTAAGAGCAGGCTGACTGTCTTCCCATTCCTACCTTTCCAGTAACTGTTGCACAAAGGGACAGACACTGCTGCAGAGAACTTGCCACGGTGTTTCATGCTGCGGCTGGTGGTTCCAGGCTGCACGCTCCATTCTAGAAAGGGTGAGGATTACTGATCATCAGTCTTAACAGGGGACTGTCCTATGGGTACCTGGATACGCTACCGGGAGTGGGGCAGAGTGGGGTTAGAGTAGTGCCTGATGCCCGTTGAGGGTGTGCGGGTTCCTTAAGAGTGTGCACCCTGTAGCCAGCACGTATGTCTGTTTTTTTTCTTCTCCTTATCACTAATCAGCCTTTGGTAACCAGGCTGGCCCTGCTTCCTGCCTACGGGCTATGGGTGTACCGTCTGGAGCTGCAAATGGGGTGATGGGGCATCAGTAGCCTTCCCACACCCAAGAACTTCCTGACACTCAGCGCCTCATCTCCAGCCAACCTCTGGCTCCCCCAGAGATCCTGGGACCCAGGCCTCACACTCCAGCAGGGGGGGGTCTTCGTCCTTCTGGTGGTGCTCTCCTTTGGAGGTACCTTCGAACAGGGGTGCAACAGATAGAATTCAGGAAGTGCCATCTGTTGCATGGATACTCTGCTGCCACCCTTGTCCACCTTCCTGGGGCAGATCCTGGGATGGGTCTTTATGTAAGAACACAAAAGGGAGAGAGAATGCATAGAGGCCAGGCACCGTGGCTCATGCCTGTAATCCCAGCACTTTGGAAGGCCGAGGTGGGTGGATCACTTGAGGTCAGGAGTTCGAGACCAGCCTGGCCAACACGGTGAAACTGCCTCTACTAAAAATACAAAAAAATTAGCTGGGTGTGGCAGCGGGCACCTGTAATCCCAGCTACTTGGGAGGCTGAGGCAGGAGAATCGCTCGAACCCAGGAGTTGGAGGTTGCAGTGAGCCGAGATCACGCCACTGCACTCCAGCCTGAGCGACAGAGGGAGACTCCGTCTCAAAAATAAATAAATAAATAAATTAATAAATAAATGCATAGAGGTTGTCTATGTGACCCTGGGCAAGTGATTTCTCCTCCTTCCCTTCTTGGGACTCAGCTCCTTGCCTGTGAACAGGGACAGTGCTTCTCCCTTACAGAGCTGTTGTGAGAATTAAAGTAGAAAATGCACCTGTGGTGGTTGTTGGTAGTGAGTGGTTCCCCCAATCCCGACACCCCTGCAGGATGGGGCCTGGGCCCAGGGACAGGGGATGGGCTGGCAGAGGATGCCTGTCCCAGAGAGGAGCCTTCTTGGCAGACGTGGAGATCTAGCTGAGTCAGAGTCCAGGATCTAAGTTTGAGGGTGCATCTTACAGCCTGCAATCATGAGTCTTTGGCAGGGTCAAGCAGCCTTTCTGAGCTTCAGTTCCTTATCAGTAAACCCTGGGCAGTGGTGCCCAGCATCTTTCACAGGACACCGCGTGAGTGCAGATGGAGATCCACTGAGCACTCTGCTAGGGAGCAATTCATGGGGAGCACCCCTCCAGAGAGGGATGGCTCGCACAGGCCCTCAGCCCAGCCCCTTGCAGGCTGGACCTTGGAGAGTGAGGCCCTGAGACGAGACATGGGCACCTGGCTTCTGGCCTGCACCTGCGTCTGCACCTGTGTCTGCTCGGGAGTCTCTGTCTCAGGGGATGGACGAGGTGAGGGCTGGGCACTAGTGTCTGTATGAGGTGGGTGGAGAACTAGGGTATGTTTGGGGGACTGGGTTGTCCAATGTCGATCCCCTAGGGAAAGTTTTGGCCCAAATTGTGCTGGGGCATGTCCTCTAGGGGTCAGCCTGGACCTCTGTCTCTAGTCTCCCTTCCTTTACCTCCCTACCTCCGGTCCCTGGACCCACCCTTCCTTCACCCTCTTGACACCTCTCTGGTTCTGACTTGCCCATGTACCATGGGTCAGAGCCCATCACTTCCCAGGCCTCCCAGTGCTTCCCTGGACAGATTCTGGGGTCATTCACTGGTGACTGCCCTGCTAGGATGTCAGCTGCCGGATCCCCCCCAATCCCCCAACTCAGCTCTCTTCTGAAGCACTCACTGTGGGCTCCCAGCCGTCACTGTCTCCAGGGCCAAGGGCTGGAACCTCCACCTGCCTCACCAACAACATTCTCAGGATTGATTGCCACTGGTCTGCCCCAGAGCTGGGTCAGGGCTCCAGCCCCGGGCTCCCCTTCATCAGGTGAGGGTGGAGGGCCATGCCCACCTGGATAGGGATGAGGGTGAGGATTGCAGCAGCTGCACCAGGATAGTGTAGCAGCCCCGTGGTGCTGACACATGCCCTTTTCAGCAACCAGGCTGCTGGTGGCACACAGAAGTGCATCTGGCAGGGCAGTGAGTGCACTGTAGTGTTGCCGCCCAAGGCAGCACTCCTGCCATCTGACAATTTCATCATCACTTTCTACCACTGCATGTCCGGGAGGGATCAGGTCAGCCTGGTGGACCTGTAGTACCTGCCCTGGAGACACGGTGAACAGCAGCTATAGGCCTGGGGCAGGGCCCCTTGGCAAGAACATCCTGGCTGCCTGGGGGCTGGGAGAAAGGCCCTGCAGCCTGTGACCCCTGTGGCCCAGTAAGTGTTCTCAGTCCCTGCCAAGTAAGATCCAGGGCTGGGGGCAGGCTTGGCCCCTGGGAAGGGAGGGTCCACGTGGTTACTGCAGGGGCCAAAGGAAGTCACTGCTGTCCTGTCCCATCTGGGGCTTTTCTGGACCAGTCTCCCAGTGAGGTGTCTGGTCTGAGAGGGTCTTGACCATGCCCCTTGGGAATCTTTCAGATCCCCAGTCTTGGGTGTGCTGACTGACACACCCAGACCCATGGGGCTTCAGCCTTACATGGATTCTCTCTGTTCCTGTGAAGCTGGACCCACTCTGACTTGCAGAGCACGTCAGCTCGCCACTGCATCCTGACCTGGAGCCTCAGTCCTGCCTTGGAGTCAATGACCACACTTCTCAGCTATGAGCTGGACTTCAAGAGGCAGGAAGAGGCCTGGGAGGTAACACTTTGGCTGGCTTTTCTCCTGGGGGCCTCACTCCTGGGAGCAGCAGTCCAGGGCAGACTCCCCACTCTAAATAAGGCGAGGTCAACTTGGAGTGATGAGGAGGGGAGGAACTGGAGCCAGGTGTGTGTGTGCACAC
The DNA here is from genome assembly GCF_000001405.40 of Homo sapiens. Taxonomy (NCBI): domain Eukaryota; kingdom Metazoa; phylum Chordata; class Mammalia; order Primates; family Hominidae; genus Homo; species Homo sapiens. Next base: position 85,445 of record NC_000018.10, on the reverse strand, counting down.
ATGCTAACATTTACATGTGTGTGCTTCATGTGTGTGTATGTGAGTAGGGTGAGTGTGCCTGTGTCTCTGTGTGTGCACATAAGTGTGGTAAGTGTGCATGTGTTTATGTGTGCACTTACAAGTGTGCCCATGTTTGTGTTTGTAAGTGTACATATGAGTGTGTCTGCGCCTTGTGTTTGTATGTGTGAGTGTGCACATGGGCATGCCTCTGTGTACGTGTATGTGAGTGTGGTGAGTGTGCTTCTGTGCACACACTCGTGTATATGAGTGTGCATGCAGGTGTGATGAGTGTGAAAGTGTGCCTGTAGACATGTTTGCCTGTGTGTGCATATGTGTATTTGTGGGCAAACGCAGCTGTATCTGTGTGTGAGTGTGCCTTCTCTGTGTGTGTGTGCACGTGAACATGGCGAGTGTGCCTGTGTGAGCACAGGTGCGTTCATGTGTGTGTTATGTGAGCGTGTGCGTGTGTGTATTCTCAAGGGCTGAGGGACCCAGCCCCACCTTCAGCACCTGCCAACTGTCGCCACCCCCACAGCGGGCCCAGCACAGGGATCACATTGTCGGGGTGACCTGGCTCATACTTGAAGCCTTTGAGCTGGACCCTGGCTTTATCCTTGAGGCCAGGCTGCGTGTCCAGACGGCCATGCTGGGGGATGACGGGGCACAGGAGGAGCGAGGGGAGCCAGCCCGTGTGCTTCCAGGCTCCCCAGAGACAAGGTGGGCGCTGCTATGGCTGCCGCACTTCCAGAGTCTGGGCTGGGTGTCCCCCACTCCCTTTCAGCCTCCTGGAAGCCCCTCCCTGAGTCAGCCATGTCCCAGTTGACCCCCTTCCTCTGAAGCTTTGAGGTCTGCAGGGAGGAAACAAACACCTGCCAACTCTGGGGCTTCCTGGGAACCTGTAGTTAGTGGCTGCTGTTAGGAGTGAGGGTGGCAGGGCTGCACACCAGGGCTGGGCTCCTGCCTGGAGGCTGGACATGACCTCAGTGTCCTTAATGGGGGCTGGACTGACCCTTGCGCACTGCAGTGCTGAGATGGCCCAGGGACCTTATGACCCACTGTGTGGCAGATGGGAAGAGTGAGGCCCAGGAGTGTGGTTCACACAAGGTCCTTCAGCAGGTGACACAAACCTCCAAGGCCCATCACAAGGTCCTTCAGCAGATGACACAAACCTCCAAGGCTCATCACAAACCTTCCACTTTGGCCCAGGGCACTAAAGGGCGCACTTTTGCCAGGTAGGTTTGTGGGGAGCCTCCTGGCACTGACGCTGCTCACAGCCCTGGGCCCTTCCTGCCCACGGACCCTCTGATCCCACCCTGGGGGTGGCCAGGCAACACCTTTGTTGCTGTGTCCATCTTTCTCCTGCTGACTGGCCCGACCTACCTCCTGTTCAAGCTGTCGCCCAGGTAGGTGGCTGATGTGTGCGTGTGTGTACATGTGTGAGCGGGCAAGAGTGTGCATGTTAGTGTATGTGTGCAGATGTGTGACTGTGTGCATGTGTGAGTGTGTGGTGGGTGGGCCGTCAAGGGCCGCCCTTGTCTGGTTCCTCCCCTCCCCTCTCCACTGCCTGGTCCTGGACGGGGTGGGCTTTTCGAGTCTCCACCCTGGTCCAGAAGAGGGTTCTCAACTTGCCAGGGGAGAGCAGGGAAGGGGGGTCTGAGGCAGAGGCTGAAGATAAGGGCAGCTTGGTCCCGACCAGACCCAGAGTCACCGAGATCAAGAGCCGGAGGTCCTAGTCTCCTGCCTCTGGAGGAGCTTGGTTTGTTCATTTGTTCACACGTTATATGAAAGGTCAGTTGGGGCATCTGGTGTACACAGGACCCTCTTCTCACCCTGGCCGATGCCTTAGAGAACAAGATGGACAAGGACCCTCCTTAAATAAACCATCACGCCTCATGCACCACATGTCAGGTTACAAGAGGGAGTGCAGGGGCCATGTCAGGCCGAGGATGTGAGGAAGAGGGTGTGGGGAGAGGGGTGTTGGGTGGGGCTAAGCGGGAGGGTGCTTGGCTTCTCCTTGGAGCAAAGGAAAGTGTGAAACTGTGTAATACGACCTAGTTTATGTTTTGAGGAATGGATTGCTGGGAAAAGGGGACATGGGGGACCTGCTGGGGGCCAGTGGGGGCCAGTGGGGTGCCCACAGGGAGATGATTTGGCGTGAGCCAGTGAAAGAAGTGGAGATAGAGCAAGGTGGAGGGAATTGCAGGGTCTTAGGGGGAGAAATAGAGGGGACGTGTGGCTGGATGAGATATGAGTGGTGACCCCTGAGGTGGGGAAATGGGGCACAGCCTTGCGGGGAGGTTGGCGAGGTCTATTTGCACCTGTTGGGTTGGAGCCCCAGGTGACATCCTTGTGGGAGGGTCACTGGATCCTTGGCAGCAAGTCAGGTGCTCAGGGAGACACTGGGTGGGGTGGGAGCCACAGACGTGCTGATGGCAAAGATAGAGTTCCTGGAGGTGTGGCTCCCTCTGCGGGCTGAGGATCTAGCTGACAACTCCCTGTTCTGAACCCACCATCGTAGCTCATGCTGTAAAGGACGCGTGCCTCAGTATAAGTCAGTTCTATGCGGCTGTTAGGCAAGGAGGCCCAGTTAGGTCCTGCCCTGAGAGTGGGTTGGGATGTGATGAGATGGGAGAGAGGCAGTGGCAGGGATGAGGTGGGCGGACCTCCTGCTGATGGAAGGAAGCTCAGCCTCTGCAGTGACCTCAGGCCACCTGGGTCCCCATAGGCCTCTGACTGGCCTCTCCTGGCCTCAGGGTGAAGAGAACCTTCTACTAGAATGTGCCCTCTCTAGCGGTGTTCTCCTAGCCCCTCTACGGTGTGCACAATGGGAACTTCCAGGTGTGTGCAGAGACCACGGCAGGGCGTCGGGGGCAGGTGTTGCCCAGAGCTCTGGCCTGCCAGAGATGTTGGCTTTCATGAGGGTTGGCGGCCAGTATGGGAAACTTGTCAGTGCTTGGAGCCGTTTCTGTATATTCAGTGTATTTCAATTTATACGCTGTGTCTCCAGTGGGGAAAAACTAGCTTTATTCTCCGTTACTGATTTCTTTTTGTTCTCATGTCTCCAGTTCCACTGTTGACGGAAAAACGTAAATTTCTCATGACTTATCTCTGTCCCCTCTGGTTTGCGGCTGTCTGCACCCACCATGTGCCTCACCTCCTCCTTCTGCAAAGGTGTCTGCCCTGTGGCCATGGGGAAGGGTCTGTGGTGTGTGTGCTGCCCTTGGGGCTCTCACTGCCTCTGGGCTCCTGCTCTGCCTGGTCCCCTGGTCCCCTGGTCCCCACAGATCGCATGCTGGCACCACAGCTGTGGAGTGGGCTCTGCAATTCCCCGTCTGTGGCCCTGTTGGGCCCCCACAGCCCAGGAACCAGTGAGCAACTTGGGGGTTGCATCAGCCCCTCCCCTCCCTGCAGGGCTGGCGGTTCATGCCCCCTGGGTGGGAGGAGGGGGAGAGGGAGGGCTCCATTGAATGGTCTCTGGTTTTTCCCCTCAGACTCCTCACTTTGGGCAAAGGACAAGAAGCAGTGAGGGCCCCTCCCTGGGGTCTGGGCCAAGCTGACCCCTCTTCTCCAGGATCTTCCCTCCCTGTGCCCTAGGGCATCCCTGGGCCCTGTGCAGCAAGGATGTCCCTTCCACACCGCGGCTCCAACTTACTATGCAGAAAAATCCTTTTTTCTCTCAATGAGGAGCCTAGTTTTCAAGATTTTTGTCCAAATGTTCAATTTGAACCATAAACCAGGCACTTGGCTCTTCACAGAGTCTCCCCCTTTCCCCAAGGTGGTAGGTGTGACTGTCACGAGCCTGGGCAGCCGAGTACAAGGCTGAGCAGGGCACAGATCATGACTGTCCCCTGGACTGTCATCCTGTTGCAGGCACCAGCCCTTCCCTAGAGAATCAGGGCACCTGCCAGGGGTTATTTAGACCTGCGGGTGGGGATCTGGTGCCGTAGGTTTGTCTCCAGGGAGCAGTGCAGTGACGGAGGGTGTGTTGTGTGTTTAGGGAGCAGTGCAGTGATGGAGGGTGTGTTGTGTGTTGTGCATGGGATGGAGGTTCCTGGTCTCACCAAGGGAACAGCTTCCTTTTGGAGGCAGGGGCCGCCTGTGGCCCCACAGAAGGATCCAGGTCTGCTCGCCTTAGCCCAGTGCTTTGAAAGTCACCAGTCCTGACAGCGACTTGTGTGTGTGTATGTGTTTGTGTGTGTGTCTGTGTGTATGTCTGTGTGTGTCTGTGTGTGTTTATGTGTGTGTGTTTGTGTGTGTCTGTGTGTTTGTGTGTGTGTATGTCTGTGTGTCTGTGTTTATGTGTGTGTCTGTGTGTTTGTGTTTGTGTGTATGTCTGTGTGTCTGTGTGTGTCTGTGTGTGTTTGTGTGTGTATGTGTGTGTCTGTGTATCTGTGTGTGTGTCTGTGTGTGTTTGTGTGTGTGTGTCTGTGTGTGTTTGTGTATGTCTGTGTGTGTGTTTATGTGTGTGTCTGTGTGTGTTTGTGTCTGTGTGTGTTCGTGTGTGTGTCTGTGTGTGTTTGTGTATGTCTGTGTGTGTGTTTATGTGTGTGTCTGTGTGTGTATGTGTCTGTGTGTGTGTGTGTCTCTGTGTGTGTGTGTGTGTGTGTGTGTGTGTGTGTGTGTGTGTTGGGAATGCCCAGTCTCTGCAGCTGCTGAAAGGCCCTGAGGCACATGCTGTCAGGAGTTGGCTCTGTCCTGGGCAGATATCACCATCTGTACCTTGGTTCAGGCTGCCGTGAGCACCAGGTCCTGTGCTGGGGGAGTGCTGAGGAGCCTGAAGGGACTCAGGGTCCCGTGATGAGGCTGGGCTGGCACATGGAGGAAAGACAGAATGTCCAAGACACAGGCGCTGCTTGGCCTCTGGGTGTGGACCTCAGGAGGGCTTCCTGGAGGAGGAGGGAGGCTGGGCTTGCCAGAAAGGAGGCAGCTGCTCCCAGGATGAGTTCTGAACATGCTACCTGAGCCCTTCCCTCCTCCTGCACTCTGTTCCAGACTCGGATGGGGGCCCACAGGGCTGGTGTGCTGCTGAGCCAGGACTGTGCTGGCACCCGATGAGGAGCCTTGGAGCCCTGCGTCCAGGAGGCCACTGCACTGTTCACCTGTGGCCCAGCGGGTCCTTAGAAATCTGTGGGCCTGGAGGAGGAGCAGGAAGGCACTGGGACCTGAGCTCAGAGCATGTGCTGCCAGCAGGGTGTACGGAGTGGAGGGCACAGCCCCTTGCCTATCTGCCACAGGAGGACTTGGCCCCCACGTCCACCAGGGCATGTTACTCCCTTCCGTCCTTAGCAAGGCTTGGTCCTGGATGTCCTGGGTCCCTGACTTGCCAGATGAATCATGTCCATTTTGGGAAAGTGGACTTAAGTCTCCGGAGCCCTTGTCTGGGACTGAACCTCCTGAGAATGGGCCCCTAGCAGTGGTTGGAGGTCCTGTCTGGATGGAGGCTCAGGGGCAGCTTCAGGGAGAAAGGATCCCTCCGCTCAGTGCCTGTGGGGAGCAGCCTCTACCCTCAGCATCCTGCCCACAGGTTCTTCCTTCCGCTGTCCCTTTTCTTTATCCCTGGCCTCTCTGAGAAGAGGGGTGTGGTCTCAGCTGTTCCACCATCATCCCCTTAAAGGGCCAGCCTGGGCCCAGTGTACACAGGTAAGGCACCATGACCACCTGGTGTGACCTCTCTGTGCCTTCCTGAGGCACCTTTCTAGAGATTAAAAGGGGCTTCATGGCTGTTCCAAAGTGCTGATGGCTGGGAAGAGGGGCCAGAGGAGGAGTGAGGGGTGAGGTTTGGCCAGCCCTAGGCTTTCTGGGCTCTAGGGACAGCCCGGTGGATGCTCAATGACAGTTTCGGGGACAGCAGGGTGGAGGCTCAGGGGCAACTCCAGGGACAGCAGGGTGGAGCCTCAGGGGCAGCTCCGGGGACAGCAGGGTGGAGCCTCAGGGGCAGCTCCGGGGACAGCAGGGTGGAGCCTCAGGGGCAGCTCTGGGGACAGCAGGGTGGAGGCTCAGGGGCAGCTCCGGGGACAGCAGGGTGGAGGTTCAGGGACAGCTCTGGGCTAAGGTAAGGGTGGAGGCTCAGGGGCAGCTCCGGGGACAGCAGGGTGGAGGTTCAGGGACAGCTCTGGGCTAAGGTAAGGGTGGAGGCTCAGGGGCAGCTCCGGGGACAGCAGGGTGGAGGTTCAGGGACAGCTCTGGGCTAAGGTAAGGGTGGAGGCTCAGGGGCAGCTCCGGGGACAGCAGGCTGGAGGTTCAGGGACAGCTCTGGGCTAAGGTAAGGGTGGAGACTCAGGGGCAGCTCTGGGGACAGCAGTAGTGGAGGCTCAGGGACAGCTCTGGGCTGAGGTCAGGGTGGAGGTTCAGGGGCAGCTCTGGGGACAGCAGGGTGGAGGCTCAGGGACAGCACTGGGCTGAGGTCAGGGTGGAGGCTCAGGGGCAGCTTCATGGACAGCAGGGTGGAGGTTCAGGGACAGTTCCTGGGAGGCCAGAGCCCTCATTCCTCCTTGTCCTCATCCTCCCACTTGCTCCTAGAAACTGAGAGATGAGGCTGGAGCTCCCAGTCAGTGCTGGAAATGACCATCCAGCAGTGATGGTGGCCTGTGAAGGGTCCTGCTTCTGTCCTCAGCCTCTCATGGGGTGGGTTTGAGGAAGAGCTGTGGTCTGGAGAGAGCGGCAGATGGAGCAGAACGTGCCTGCGTTTGTTTCCTAGGGCTGCCGTAACAAAGTGCCACAAAATGGGTAGCTTAGAACCACAGAGATTTGTCTCAGTTCTGAAGTCCAGAAGTTGGAAATAAAGATGTTGGCAGCATTCCTGACTACATGTTCTTAGGCTCCCATGAAACAGAAGTTGATACAAGGCCAAGCAAGTTTCCCAGACAAGGCTTTATTAAGTCTTATGCCCCTAAAGGTTGAGCAGAAGAGAGACGTATTAAGTCTTATGCCCTAAAGGTTGGCCAGGAGGAAGGATTCTTGGCTGGCTCACCAAGGGGAGTGCATTGTGGTGTCTTAAGGAGGGTGACATGCATACTTTATGAGTTAGGTGAGTGTCGTTACACCTACAGGGTGGAGTGAAGGGTGCTCAGATGCAGTAAAGAATCGTGCTAACACATACGTTGCATGATCAGAAAATAGCAGATAAGCCTATACCTGGGTGGGGACTTTAGTATTATAATGAGGCCAGGGGTAAGGATCAGTCATTCTCCTGGCCTCGTGCACAAGTGGGTGATAGAGTCAACTCCCTTGAGTAAGACTTACGGCCAGATGCTGCTTATCTTAGTTTATTTCATACAGTTGGCAAGGTCTGGCCAGCGAGTATAGCACCTGGAGGGTGGTGCGGCAAGGTCTGGTGGTCAGCGGGCATGTATGGAACAACACGTTAGTGGGGGTGGGCCGAGTCCTATTTCTACTCTGTCTCAGCAGGGCCATGCTCCCTCTGAAGGCACTAGGGAAGTATCCGTTTTGGGCCTGTCTTCAGCTTCTGTTAGTTTCTTGGCTTGTGACAGCAAAACTCCATTTTTTTTTTTTTTTAAGATGGTGTCTTGGTCTGTCGCCCAGGCTGAAGTGCAGTGGCATGATCTCAACTTTCTGCAACCTCTGCCTCCCCGGTTCAAGTGATTCTCCTGCCTCCACTTCCCAAGTAGCTGGGATTACAGGTGTGAGCCACCACTCCCAGCTAATTTTTGTATTTTTAGTAGATACAGGATTTTGCCATGTTGGCCAGGCTGGTCTCAAATTCCTGGCCTCAAGTGATTGCCAGCCTCCTCTTCCCAAAGTGCTGAGATTACAGACATGAGCCACTGCACCTGGGCATGTCATCTGTATATCTTTTTTGATGAGGTGTCTATCTTTTAATTGGGTTGTTTTTCTTTTTGTTATTAGAATTTGTTTGTATATTTTGCACACAAGTCTTTTTCAAGTTTGTTTTTTAAATATTTTCTCTCAGTCTGTGGCTTGTTTTTTGATTCTCTTAACGGGATATTTCATAGAATAGTCATTTTAAATTTTAATAAAGTCCACATTATCTTTTTTTATTTTATGAACTGGCTTTTGATATTGTATCTAAAGACTCATCACCAATCCAAAGTCATATGGATTTTCTTCTATAACTTTTACAATTTTATATTTGAAAATTTAAGTCTACAGACTATCTTGAGTGATTTTTTAGGGGTGAGCTATGAAGTTTGTATCTACGTTCATTTTTTTCCCTATGGTTTCTGATTGTTCTGTCACCATCTGTGGAACAGATTTTTCTTTCCCCATTGAATATTTTTGCCCCTTTGACAAAAGCAGTTGACTATATTTATTTGGGTCTTTTGGGTTCTGTATTCTATTCCGTTCATCTATTTGTCCATTCCTTCACCAATATCACTCTCTTCATTACTTTAGCTTTGTGGTAAAGCTAACAGTAATGAGTGTACTGCTCCTAAACAAGGAGTATCTGCATTTATTTATATATTTTTTATTCTTCCCAACCATGATCCAAGGTTTTCTGAATGCATATTTAGATGTATTGTGTTACATTTATACTTAATAAATTCAATTTTGGGGGTGCTATTGTAAATGGTTTTTTTTTATTTCAAGTTCAAATTATTCCTATACATTATTGCTGATAGAAAGAAGGTCAGGCAGTGCATGGTGGCTCACGCATGTAATCCTAGCACTTTGGGAGGCTGAGTTGGGAGGATCACTTGAGCTTGGGAGTTCTAGACCAGCCTGGGCAATATAATGAGACCCACCCCCCCAATAAAAAATAAAATAAAATAATTAAAATAAATAAATAAAAGAAAATCAGGTGGGGCTGGGCACGGTGGTTCACACCTGTAATCTCAGTGCTTTGGGAGGCTGAGGTTGGACAATCTCTTGAAGCCGGGAGCTGGAAGCTGAACCCAGGAGCTGTGATTATGCCACTGTCCTCAAGCCTGGGTAACAGAACGAGACCCTGTCTCTTAAAAAGAAAAGAAAGAAAATCAATTTAGTTTTGTCTACTGGCCATCTTCTTTTTTTCTTTCTTTCTTTTTTTTTTTTTTTGAGAAGGAGTCTCGCTCTGTTGCCCAGGCTGGAGTGCAGTGGCACAATCTCAGCTCACTGCAACTTCCGCCTCCCGGGTTCAAGCGATTCTCCTGCCTCAGCCTCCAGAGTAGCTGGGATTACAGGCACGCGCCATCATGCCTGCTAATTTTTGTATTTTTAGTAGAGACGAGGGTTCACCACGTTGGCCAGGCTGGTCTCGAACGCCTGACCTCAAGTGATCCCCCCGCCTCAGCCTCTCAAAGTGCTGGGATTACAGGCGTGAACTGGCCATCTTCTTTGATTACTATCTCAATGAGTTCCCGTCAAGGCTGGGGATGGCGGGCTCCATTTCAGTCGAAATTTCCAAAATATCGGCCTGGAAAAATCCAGACGCTGATTTTGAGAGATTCTCCAGAGCTGCCGCGAGGGGGCGCCCGGCCCTGCCAAACCCGGAGGGCCGCGCGCGCGAACGGTGTCCGAACCGCACGGCGGCGTCGTGGGGCTTCCACTGTGAGGACGGAGCTTCCTCTCCTCAGCACCCACCCCGGAGGGGCCGGGGCTTCGGGACACCTGGGGCCACGTCCGCTGTGAGGACAGGGAGACGCTCCGGGACACCTGGGGCCGCCGAGGAGAAAGTGAGAAAAAGGCTTTCTGCCCCCGCTGTGAGTGCCGCGGAGCGAGCGCGGCGCGTTTCCCGTCTGGCCATTTGTACCCGGACTTCACTTTGTACGAGCGTCCCTTCATGGAGGCTTGGGCGGCTCACCCCCAGCACAGGACAAGATGCCGGTTACGGATGCGATTTTGTTTCTGGGGAGAGACCCTGGTCCCGGGAGAAGCGGAGGAACGTGGAGACGCCGTTGTGCCGTCGGGCGGTCTGGAGGTTGGGGACTGGCAGGGGCCACAGCCTGAGGCCGAGGTAACAGACGCCCCCTGATCAGTGCTCGTGTTTTTTTTTTTTTTTTGAGACAGTTTCGCTTTGGTTTCCCAGGCTGGAGTGCAATGGCGCGTTCTCGGCTCACTGCAACCTCCGCCTCCCGGGTTCAAGCGATTCTCCTGCCTCAGCCTCCAGAGTAGCTGGAATTACAGGGATCCGCCATCTCGCCCAGCTAATTTTTTCTATTTTTAGTAGAGACGGGTTTCACTATGTTTGCCAGGCTGGTCTCGAACTCCTGACCTCAGGCAATGCACCCGCCTTAGCCTCCCAAAGTGCTGGGATTACAGGCGTGAGCCATCTCGCCTGGCCAGTGCTTGGTGTTTTAAGGCTTATTTGTTAACGTAGTGGAAACAACACAGGAAAATGGAAAAGTAGCACATTATCATGCTCAGGGCACTGCACTCCATTCTGGGCGACAGAGCGAGACCCTTTTTAAGAGTAAAAAGAAAAGAAAGAAAATAAATAGAGTTTTGTCTACTGGCTATCTTTTTTTCTTTTTTCTTTTTCTTTCTTTTTTTTTTTTTTTTGAGACAGAGCCTTGCTCTGTCGCCCAGGCTGGAGTGCGGTGGTGCGATCTTGGCTCACTGCAACCTCCGCCTCCCGGGTTTAAGCAATTCTCCTGCCTCAGCCTCCTGAGTAGCTAGGATTACAGGCGCCCACCACCACATCTGGCTAATTTTTGTATTTTTAGTAGGGATGGGGTTTCCTCATGTGGGCCAGGCTGGTCTCGAACTCCTGACCTCAGGTGATCCACCCATCTCTGCCTCCCAAAGTGCTGGGGTTACACGCGTGAGCCACCACACCCAGCCTTTTTTCAGTTTGTTTTGTTTTGTTTTAAGAGAGAAGGTCTTGCTCTATCACCCAGGCTGGAGTGCAGTGGTGTGATCACAGCTCACTGCAGCCTCGGTCTCCTGGGCTCCAGCAATCCTCCGGCCTCAGCCTCCCAAGTACTTAGGAGTATAGGCACCAGCCACCATGCACAGCTAATTAAAAAAAAAAAAAAATTGGCCGGGCGCGGTGGTTCACGCCTGTAATCCCAGGCGTGAATGACTTTGGGAGGCCTTGGTGGGGGGATCACCTGAGGTCAGGAGTTTGAGACCAGCTTGGTCAACATGGCAAAACCCGGTCTCTACTAAAAATACAAAAATTAGCCATGCATGGTGGTGCGCGCCTGTAATCCCAGCTACTCGGGAGGCTGAGGCAAGAGAATTGTTTGAACCCTGGAGGTGGAGGTTGCAGTGAGCCAAGATCGCGCCATTGCACTCCAGCCTGGGCAATAAGAGTGAAACTCCGTCTCAAAAACAAAACAGAACAAAATGTTGGCACAGACAACAGGATCTTTACGTTGCTCAGATTTGTCTTGAACTCCTGGGCTCAAGTGATCCTTACACCTCAGTCTTCCGCAGTACTGGGATTACAGGCGTGAGCCACTGCACCTAGCCTGGAGTCTCTTCTTAACTTCCTTCTCCCTTCCCCTTCCCCTTCCTTTCTTCCTTCTTCTTTCCTTCTTTCTTTTTATTTATTTTTTTCTTTTTCTTTTTTTTTTTTTGATATTGAGTCTCGCTCTGTCGCCAGGCTGGAGTGCAGTGGCGCGATCTCGGCTCACTGCAACCTCCGCCTCCTGGGTTCAAGGGATTCTCCTGCCTCAGCCTCCAGAGTAGCTGGGACTGCAGGCGTGTGCCAACACGCCCAGATAATTTTTGTATTTTTAGTAGAGATGGGGTTTTACCATGTTGGCCAGAATGGTCTCGATTTCCTGACCTCAAGTGATCCGCGACTCAGCCTCCCAAAGTGCTGGGATTACAGGCGTGAACTGGCCATCTTCTTTGATTGCTATCTCCATGCGTTCCGGTCAAGGCACGGGATGGTGGTCTCCAGTTCAGTTGAAATTTCCAAAATCACGGCCTGGAAAAAATCAAGGCGCTGATTTTCAGAGATTCCCCAGAGCTGCCGCGAGGGGGCGCCCGGCCCTGCCAAACCCGGAGGGCGGCGCGCGCGAACCGTGTCCGAACCGCACGGCGGCGTCCTGGGGGGTCCACTGTGAGGACGGGGGGTCCACTGTGAGGACGGAGCTTCCTCTCCTCAGGACCCACCCAGGAGGGGCCGGGGCTTGGGACACCTGGGGACACCTGGGGCCGCGTCCGCTGTGAGGACAGGGAGACGCTGCTGCAGCTCCGGGACACCTGGGGCCACCGAGGCGAAGGTGAGGAAAAGGCTTCCTGCCCGCGCTGCGAGTGCAGCGGAGCGAGCGCGGCCGCGTTTCCCGTCGGGCTCTTTGTACCTGGGCTTCACTTTGTGCAAGCGTCCCTTCATGGAGGCTTGGGCGAGTCACCCCTAGCGCAAGGCCAAGATGCCGGTTACGAATGCGAGTTTGTTTCTGGGGAGAGACCCTGGTACGGGGAGAGACCCTGGTACCGGGAGAGGGGGAGGAACGCGGAGACGCCGTCGGGCGGTGGGGATGTTGGGGACTGGCAGGCGCCACAGCCTGAGGTCGAGGAAACAGGCACCCCCGGATCAGTGCTCATTTTTTGTTTTGTTTTGTTTCTTTCGAGACGGACTTTCGCTCGTTTCCCAGGTTGGAGTGCAATGGCGCGATCTCGGCTCACTGCAACCTCCGCCTCCTGGGTTCAAGCGATTCTCCTGCCTCAGCCTCTCGAGTAGCTGGGATTACAGGCATGCACCACCACGCCCGGCTAATTTTGTATTTTTAGTAGAGACGGGGTTTCTCCATGTTGGTCAGGCTGGTCTCGAACTCCCAACCTCATCAGGTGATCCACCCACCTCGGCCTCCCAAAGTGCTGGGATTACAGGCGTGAGCCACGTCGCCTGGTCAGTGCTCCGTGTTTTCAGGCTCATTTGTTAACATAGTGGAAACAACACAGGAAAATGGAAAAGTAGGCACATTATCATGGTCATGCCACTGCACTCAAGCCCTGGGCAACAGAGCGAGACCTTGTCTCAAAAAACACAAACAAATGAAAACAAAACCAAAAAAACCATTGTGTGCGTCTAATGGAAGTGAACTCGTCAACAACAGTTTTTCTTTTGTCGAGAAAGTCTGTTTAATTTACAGTGTATTTGTAATGGTACATAAAATGACGTCTGTTTTATAAACATTCTCATCCTAAGTTAGTTGAAATGTATTAACTATATCAAGCTTTGACATGATACCATAAAATTAATTGAAGAAAGTCACTAATCTTTTTTTTTCCTTGGCCTTGACCATTTTAAATAAAATCAGATTTCGTTAAGGTTACTTAATACTGAGCTGTAAACCCGTATGGCCCTGTGGTGTCTTTTCTTATCTTTTTTTCCTTTTTTTTTTTTTTTTTTTTTTGAGATGGAGTCTCGCTCTGTCTCCCAGGCTGGAGTGCAGTGGCGTGATCTCAGCTTGCTGTAACCTCCACCTCCCAGGTTGAAGCAATGCTCTGTCTCAGCCTCCCCAAGAGCTGGGATTACAGGCGCCTGCCACAACGCCCAGCTAATTTTTTTGTATTTTTAGTAGAGATGGGGTTTCACCAATTTGGCCAGGCTGGTCTTGCACTTCTGACCTCGTGATCCACCCGCCTTGGCCTCCCAAAGTGTTGGGATTACACGCGTGAGCCACTGAGCCCAGCCTCTTTTCTTTTTTTGACATGGAGTCTTACTTTGTTGCCCAGGCTGGACTGCAGTGGCGCGATCTCAGCTCACTGCAACCTCCGCCTCCCGGGTTCAGGCACTTCTCCTGCATCAGCCTCCTGAGTAGCTGGGATTAAAGGCTTGCATCACCACACCGGGCTAATTTTGTATTTTTAATAGAGGTGGGGTTTCACCATGTTGGCCAGGCTGGTCTCGAACTCCCGACCTCAAGTGATCCACCCGCCTTGGCCTTCCAAAGTGCTGGGATTGCAGGCAGGCCTGAACCACCATGCCAGGCTGCTTTTTTTTTTTTTTTTTTTTTTTTTTAAATTTTTTTTTGTTTGTTTTTGATACGGATTTTAGCTCCTGTTGCCCAGGCTAAAGTGCAATGTCCCAATCTTCGCTCGCTGCAACCTCTGCCTCCTGGGTTCAAGAAGCTCTCCTACCTCAGCCTCCTGAGTAGCTGGGAATACAGGTGTGCACCAGAATGCCTGGCTAATTTTGTATTTTTAGTAGAGATGGGATTTCACCATGTTGGTCAGGCTGATCTCTAACTCCTGACCTCAAGTGATCCACCTGCCTTTGCCTCCCAAATTATTGGGATTATAGGTGTGAGCCACTGTACCCAGCCTTTACATCTTTATTGATTGATTTTTTTTTTTTTAAGAGAGAAGGTCTTGCTCTGTCACCCAGGCTGGAGTGCAGTGGTGTGATCGTGGCTCACTGCAGCCTCAACCTCCCGGGCTCCAGCAATACTCCTGCCTCAGCCTCCCAAGTAGCTTGGACTATAGGCACCAGCCACCATGCACTGCTAATTTAAGCAGGATCTTTACGTCGCTCAGGTTTGTCTTGAACTCCTGGGCTCAAGTGATTCTTACACGTCAGCCTCCCAAAGTGCTGGGATTACAGGCATGAGCCACTGCACCCAGCCGAAGATCTCCCCCACTTTTTTTTTTTGAGACAGATTTTCACTCTTTTTTCCGAGGCTGGAGTGCAATGGTGAGATCTCGGCTCACTGCAACCTCTGACTCCTGGGTTCAAACGATTCTCCTGCCTCAGCCTCCCAAGTAGCTGGGATTACAGGCATGTGGCTAATTTTGTATTTTTAGTAGAGATGGGGTTTCACCATATTGGTCAGGCTTGTCTTGAACTCCAGACCTCAGGTGATCCCCCCACCTCAGCCTCCCCAAAGTGCTGGGGATTACAGGTGTGAACTACTGCGCCCGGCCCTGCAGTATTTTTCTTTTTTCTTTTTCTTTTTTGAGATGCAGTCTCACTCTGTTGCTCAGGCTAGGGTGTAGTGGCGCGATCTCCGCTCACTGCAACCTCCCCTTCCTGGACTCAAGCGATTCTCCTTCCTCAGCCCCGAAGTAGCTGGGACTACAAGTGTGCGCCATGATGCCTGGGTAATTTTTTGTGTGTTTTTAGTAGAGGTGGGGTTTCACCATGTTGGCAAGGCTGGTCTCAAACTCCTTACCTCAAGTGATCTGCCCGCCTTGTCCTCCCAAAGTGTTGGGATTACAGGCATGAGCCACCATGCCCTGTCCCTGGGGTCCTTTTTTAATGGGGATCTCTAAGGGTCACTCCAAGCTTTTCTATGGTAATCAGTATATTTAAATTTTCCTTATTTTAGAGTCCATTTTGTTAATGTGTATTTTTACTAGGAAATCACCCATTTTCTCTCAGTTTCCAGTTTGATTCAATAAGTTTCTCCTTTCTTTTATTTTTTATTTTTTTGAGACAGGGTTTTGCTCTGTCTCCCAAGCTGGAGTGCAGTGGCGCAGTGGAGATCTCGGCTGACTGCAGCCTCCACCTCCTGTGTTCAAGCAATTCGTCCTCAGCCTCTTGAGTAGCTGGGATTACAGGCCTGCACCACCATGCCCAGCTGATTATTGTATTTTTAGTAGAGCCTGGGTTTCGCCATGTTGGCCATGCCGTTCTCAAACTCCTGACCTCAGCTGATCCGCCCGCCTCGGCCTCCCAAAGTACTGTGATTACAGGCATGAGCCACTGTGCCTGGCCAATAAGCTTCTCTTATTTGACTTCTAATTTATCTCCTTTTAGTTTTCAACAGAATTCTTAATCCTATGTGTTTCTGCTATTTGTTTCCATCAATAATATTTTAAAAATATACTTCTTAGTTTATCTTGTTTTCAATTGAGGGAATTGTTATATTAAACAATTTCTTATGACCCAATGACAAGCTTTAATTATTTTAAAATAATTCCTGCTTAATGCAACACCTTTTGCAGGAACGAGCTGTCAGTGGTATTTGTTACTGACCAGAGTTTCTTGACTCTCCAGTAATAGAAATTGACATGAGGATGAGCAAGTTTCCCAGACAAAGCTTTTATTTAGGTGTTTTTAAGCTTTTATTTAGGAGGCAGCAGAAGAGAGAGAATTCTCTGTCTGGCTCCCTGAAGAGTCAGGAGGAGAGTGTTTCTAAGGTCTGGCCCGATTGCCCAGGCTGGAGTCCTCTGGCACCATCTCGGCTCACTGCATCCTCCCGGGCTCAAGCCATCCTCCCGCTTCAGCCTCCCGAGTAGCTGGGACTACAGGTATATACAACCGTGCTCAGCTAATTTTTGTTTTTTTTTGTAGAGATGAGGTTTTGCCATCTTGCCCAGGCTGGCCTCAGACCCCCGCAAAGTGCTGGGATTACAGGCATGAGCCACCATGCCCGGCCCAGTGTGTTCTTATTAAATTTCAGTAATTAGTTGTGCCATTTGCCTTTTGTTCAACACTGAGATTTTGTTTTTCTTTCCTAATTATCTCATACATGGACTTTGGTTCCATTAAACTATTATTTCCTTGATCTACAAATTGCGGGTGATTCTTGCAGATTATCCAAGAAATAATTATGTTTTGTTCTTAGAAAAACCACATTATTAACTTTACTACTGTTAGATACCACACCTGCAGTGACTTTAAGGATTTTGCTGGACAATGTCTTAGACAATTTGCTAAGGGTGGACATTGGGTGAATGGCTTGAGGGAACATGCATTAAATACTCGAGACACCCAGGAGGCTGCTGTGTCCCGTAAGAGAGAGCATACGAGACTGCAGGCCACTGGGGTTGAATGCCTTGGAAAGGGCAGCATGCAGGAAGGAGCACACAGTGTGTGGAGGTCATGGTCAGTCCTGTGGTCCTTGTTCTAAGGCCAGTGGGAATCCATTGTAAAAGTTGAATCAGAGAGTGACATTGTGAACCTTGGGTTTGAAAATGAGAATTTTGCCATTTTACAGTTGAGATCACCAGCTGTGGGCGGGTGGATTGTGCTTTCTGGTGGGTTGCACTGAGGAGAGCAAGCATTGGGCTGAGGTGTTTTCCCTGGGAACGCAGGGTCTGCATCTGCTCAGGAGGAAACACGGGGCAGACCCAGCTGGGAGTTATCTGCCAACGTTGTGAAACTGAGGGACAGCTCAGGAACATTCCAGAAAAAGGAAAACCCAATCCAAATGGAAAGAGACCCTTTCTCCCAGTTGGGGCAGGCAGTGAAGTGAAATGGGTCTGTGGATTGGATTGTCAGGTAGAGACCTTGCATTTCCTGATTTGGGAGTTACGTGGTGGTTAGCTGGGAGGCTGTCTTTGCTTTGGTAAAATACACTGGAGTGTTTTGTGTGGAGTTGCTGTAACTGCTGAGGAATCTAGGAGAAGGGATAAGTTACACTTTACACTGCTATTGCAAGATTCCTAGAAGTATGAAATTACTGTAAAATAAATTACAAACAACCACAGTAATACCATGGCAATAAAGCAGAGACGACATCAAACTTCACTATAGAGGCCAAACCCAGTCCAAATTCAGGTCAGTGTAAGCTGTGTACCAAGCACCCCGGTAAGAGTCTGGATGCTGTATCAGTATTGCGGCTGCAATATCAGTATTGAGGGTGTCACGTGAGTCTTAGGGGTGTCATAGCAGTATTGTGGGTGTCATATCAGTATTTCGGGTGTCATATCTGTATTGTGTGCATCATATCAGTATTGCAGGTGTCCCATCAGTCTTACGAGTGTCATATCAGCCTTACAGGTGTCGTATCAGTATTATGGGTGTCATATGAGTCTTAGGAGTGTCATGAATCTCGTGGGCTTCACATCAGTCTTCTGGGTGTCACAGCAGTCTTGTGGGTGTCATATCAGTATTACGATATGCCGTGATATGTTATACCAGTATGATACCTCTTCTGAAAACACCTTCACAGACATACCCACACATAGTGCTTTAACAGCTCTCTGTGTATCCCTTAATCTAGTAAAGTTGACACCTAAAATTAACCATCACAGTAATTATGCCTGATTCATGGCTAAAATTTTAGAATTTTTTAAAATTTTAGAATGAAAGCTGGGCACCATAGCCAGACACCGTCCCTACAAAAATATTAAAAAGTTAACTGGTTGTGCTTGCACACATATGTAGTTCCAGTTACTCTAGAGACTGAGGTGGGAGGATCTTTTGAGCCCAGGAGATTGATGCTGAAGAGCTAGGATTGTGGCACTGCATTCCAGCCTGGGTGACAGTGTGAGACTCTCTCAAAAAACAATCAACAGTAATAATATTCTTTGGAATAAATTTAACCAAGGTACAAGACTTGTACATGAGGCTGGGCATGGTGGCTCACGCCTGTAATCCCAGCACTTTGGGAGGCCAAGGCGGGTGGATCCATGAGATCAGGAGATCGATACCATCCTGGCTAACACGGTGAAACCCCGTCTGTACTAAAAATACAAAACATTAGCTGGGCATGGTGGCATGTGCATGTAATCCTAGCTACTTGGGAGGCTGAGGCAGGAGAATTGCTTGAACCCGGGAGGCAGAGGTTGCAGTGAGCCGAGATCTTGCCACTGCACTCCACCCTGGGTGACAGAGTGAGACTCCGTTTCTGGAAAAAAAAAAAAAACAAAAAAAACAAGAAAATAACTTGTACATGGAAAATTTCAAAACATTGCTGAAGTAAATTCACGAAAGCTTACATAAATTTAAAGATGCCTCATATTCATGAACTAGAAGACTTAATAATTCTTAAGGTGGCAGTACTACACAAAGCCACCTACAGATTCTTTGTGGATCCTGTTACAATCCCCACGTCCTTTTGGCAGAAATCAACAGGCTGATCCTGTCATTTATATGAAATTTCAAGGGATGCAGAATAGCCAAAATAGTGTCAAAACAACAACAACAACAACTCAGGCTCACATTTCCCAATTTCAAATCTTACTACAAAGCAACAGTAATAAAATCAACATGATTCTGGTACAATCATTTGAATAAATCAATAGAACTGAATTTTGAGTTCAGAAATAAACCCATATTTCTATGAGCAATTGCTTTATTTTTATTTTTTTGAGACAGGGTCTCACTCTTGTCTCCCAGGCTGGAGTGCTGTGGCACAATCATGGCTCACTTCAGCCTCTATCTCCGGGGCTCAAGTGATCCTCCCGCCTCAGCCTCCAAGTAGCTGGGACTACAGGTGTGCACCACCACATCTGGCTAATTTTTTGATTTTTTGTACAGGTAGGGTCTTGCTGTCCTGCCCAAGCTGGCCTCAAACTCCTGTTCTCAAGTGATCCTCCTCTCTTGTCCTCCCAAAGCATTGGGATTACAGGTGTCAGCTACCATGTCCAGCCTGTTGATTTTTTAAAATGTAATTTCTTTTTCTTTCTTTTTCAAGGCATGGTTTTGCCCTGTTGGTCAGGTTGGAGTGCAGTGGTGCGAACGTGGCTTATTGCAGCCTAAACCTCCTGGGCTCAATTAATCCTCTCTCCTCTGTCACCTGAGTAACTAGGACTACAGATATGCACCATCACACCTAGCTAATTTTTAAGTTATTTGTAGAGAGAGAGTTTTCCTGTGTTGGCCGGACTGGCCTGAAACTCCTGGGTTCAAAAGATCTTCCCACCTCAGCATCTCAAAGTGCTGGTATTACAGGTGTAAGCCACCACCCCCCGTCTGGAATGGTTTTCATAATTACATTCTCATGTTGTTTGTTGCTAGTGTCTGGAAATATAGCAGATTACTGTGTATCGACATTTTGTGTTGTAATTTTGTGTTGTAGTTTACTAGTTTTAATAACGTTTTGGGGGTTTGTCATGATATTTCTGCACATAAGATAGCTCCTGTGATCTGTGAGTAGCCGTTTTTACTGCTTCCAAACACATATAAGTTCTCTTTACTTCCTTTTCTCTCCTATTTGTTGTGGATGGAACTTCCCATACAGTGTTGAATACAATGATGAAAATGAGCATTGGTGCCTTGGTCCTGATCTTAGGAGTAAAGCACTGGGCCCTGACAATGGAGATGGTGCTGAAGTCCGATTGTGGTGTTTAGAAAATTCCTATCCCTGGTTTGTTGGGTGTTTTTATGATGAAATGGTGTTGACTTTGTTTAAAGTACTTCCTGCATCTATTGAAATTAGTATGTGGGTTCCTTCTTTATTCTGTTTATTTGATGTTTATTTGCAGTGATGGCTTTAGTATGCCAAACCAGCTTGATTTTCTGAGAAAAGGATGTAGTGATCATGTTGTGTAATCCTCAAAATACGTGCTAGTATGAAATTACAATTATTTTCTTGAGCATTTTTTTTTTAAATTTTTTTGAGACAGAGTCTCACTCTTGTCACCCATGCTGGAGTGCAATGGCATGATCTCAGCTCACTGCAACCTCTGGCTCCCAGGTTCAAGCTATTCTCCTGCCTCAGCCACCTGAGTAGCTAGGATTACAGGCTCCTGCCACCACACCTGGCTAATTTTTGTATTTTTAGTAGAGACAGGGTTTCACCATGTTGGCAAGACGGGTCTCAAACTCCTGACCTCAGGTAATCTGTCTGCCTTGGCCTCCCAAAGTGCTGGGATTTCAGGTGTGAGCCACCGCACCTGGCCTCTTGAACATTATTAATTGAATAATTATACTAGACATTGATCTGTACCTTTCTGTTCTTGTGATGTGAAGTACTAGTGTGGTTTAGTATTAAATTGGGGATGGGATTGGGTATGGGTTGGTTTACTATTTAGCATATTAAGTATTAGAAGTTTAGGGGAAAAAATTAGCAGAAAGAAAACATACCTGAGGAATTGCGGGGAAGAGTTTGATGAGGTCTGGGTCAAAGTCAGGGTTTAGGGTTAACAAGAGAGCGCCTGTAGCCTTTGCCAACAGTAAATATCAGTCCTTTTCTTGAGACAGGTTCTCGCTCTGTTGCCCAGGGTGGAGTGCAGTGGCGCAGTCTTGGCTTATAGCAACCTCCGACTCCCGGGTTCAAATGATTTTTAGGCCTCAGCCTTCCAAGTAGCTGGGAACACAGGCACGTGCCAACATGCCCAACTATTTTTTTTTTTTTAAGTGGAGATGGGGGTTTCCCCATGTTGACCAGGCTGGTCTCAAGCTTCTGGCCTCAAGTGATCGCTCACTTCTGCCTCCCAAAGTGCTGCGATTATAGGCAGGAGCCACCATGCCCAGCCTGCACACAGGCAGGCAAAGATATTTTAATATTCTTTTAATTAGCACTTCCTTTAGTATTAGTCAGTGTAAGCAACTTTTCATTTATTTCTTAGTTGAGAGTTCTTTGGGTCACAAATCAGATGACATTTCAGTATGTGTAGGGGTATGCATATGTGAGTGTGTTGATGTGTATGTGTGAGAGGAAGTGCAAACATAAGTATGACAGAATGAATATGCACACCTGTTCTTGTGTGCCTAGTGTGTTAGGGTTTGCTTAGAGTTTGATTTAGGGTTGGGGTAATGGTTAGGTTTAAGTTATGGAGAAGGGTTAGATGGTTAGTGTTAGGGTTAAGGGTTAGGGTGAGGGTGAGGGTTAGGGTTAGGGGTTAGTGTTGGGGTTGGGGTTAGGGTTTTAGGGTTAAGGGTTAGGGTTAAGGGTTAGGGTTGGGGTCAGTGGTTAGGGGTCATGGTTAAGAGTTAAGGGTTGGGGTTAGGGTTAGGGGTTAGGGTTAGGGTAAGGGTTAAGGCTAAGGCTAGGACTAGGGTTAGGGTTTGGGGTTAGGGGTAGGGTTAGGGTTAGGGCTAGGGTTGGGGTCAGTGGTTAGGGGTCATGGTTAAGAGTTAAGGGTTGGGGTTAGGGTTAGGGTTAGGGGTTAGGGTTAGCGTAACGGTTAGGGCTAAGGCTAGGGCTAGGGTTAGGGTTAGGGCTAGGGTTAGGGTTAGAGTTAGGGTTAGGGGTTAGGGTTAGTGTTAGGGTTAGGGTTAGGGTTAGGGGTTAGGGTTAGGGTTAGGGCTAAGGCTAGGGCTAGGGTTAGGGTTTGGGGTTAGGGTTAGGGCTAGGGCTAGGGCTTTTAATAAAGTTATATGGTAGCCAAGTTGTCGTTACAGTGGGCCTTGGGTGAGACCAAGTTCTATGCCTACTTCAAGTGTGAACCAGCGCAGTCTCAGTGGTGATGGCCTCAGGGATGCTTATATTACCCCAACTCCAGCTCCACATGGCTTAGCACAGAAAGAGAGACTGCTGGTTTCAGAGAAAGAAAGGGAAGAGAACTAGAATCTCTACTTGATAAATCAAGAGAATTTTTCTTAATGTTAATCCAAGGCCACCACAGCAGTACCTCTACATGTTTGCTACTGTGCTTTTGGGCTTGGGACCTAAGTCTCTTTGAACACCTGGAAAATGTTCCCAAAAATAATGGGCACAAAGAAGCCCAGACTGTGAAGACTACAATAAAGACTGAACTCTTCAATGCCCAGATATGGATGAACATCTACAAGTATCAAGGCCATCCAGGAAAACATGACCTCACCAAACAAGCTAAATAAGGCACCAGGGGCAAATCCTGGAAAAATAGAGATATGTGACCTTTCATGCAGGAAATCCTAAATAGCTGGTTGAGGTAATTCAAAGAAATTCAATATAATGCAGAGAAGGAATTCAAAATTCTATCAGATAAATTTAACGAGATTGAAATAAAAAGAATAAAGCAGAAATTCTGAAGTTAAAATCCAATTATCATACTGAAGAATGCATCAGAGTTACTTAAAAAAATTGATCAAGGAGAAGATAGATTTAGTGAACTTGAAGTCAGACTATTTGAAAAGAAAAAGTCAGAGGAGACAAAAAAGAATGAAAAATAAAGCATGCCTACAGAATCTAAAAAATAGCCTCAAAATAGGAATCTAAGAGTTATTGGCCTTAAAGAGGTGGTAGAAAAAGAGATAAGAGCTAAACATTTATTGGCCCAGTGCAGTGGCTCACGCCTGTAATCCCAGCACTTTGGGAGGCTGAGGCGGGTGGATCACAAGGTCAAGAGATCAAGGCCATCCTGGCTAACACAGTGAAACACCATTTCTACTAAAAATACAAAAAGAAATTAACTGGGCGTGGTGGTGGGTGCCTGTAGTCCTAGCTCCTTGGGAGGCTGAGGCAGGAGAATGGCGTGAACCCAAGAGGCGGAGCTTCCAGTGAGCCGAGATCACGCCATTGCACTCCAGCCTGGGCTACAGAGCGAGACTCTGTCAAAAAAAAAAAAAAAATTAAACATTTATTTAAAGAAATAATATTAAAAACAATTCCCCAACATTTGATATCAACATTCAAGTACAAGAAAGTTACAGAACATCAAGCAGATTTAACCCAAAGAAGACCACCTCAAGGCACTTAACTGAACACCCAAAGGTTAAGGATAAAGATATGATTCTAAAAGCAGCAAGAGAAGAGACACAAATAACATTCAATGGAACTCCAATACATCTGACAGCAGACTTTTCAGGAGAAAATTTACAGGCTGAAAGAGTGGCATGACATATTAAAAAAGCTGAAGGAAAAAAAAAGACTTTACTTTAGAATAATGTATCTGGCAAAAAGTCCTTTAAACTTGACAGAGAAATAAGAACTTTTTCCGACAAACAAAAACTGAGGTATTTCATTAACACCAGACCTGTCCTACAAGAAATGCAAAAGGGAGTTCTGAGCCTGAAAGAAAAAAGTGAGTAAGCAATAAGAAGTCATCTGAAGGTACAGAACTCAGTAGTAATAGCACATGGAAAAACACAGAATATTATAACATGGTAATTATGGTGTGCAAAAATCTCAAATAGAAAGAGTAAACAATAAGCCAATAAAAAATAACTACAACATATTTCCAAGACATAGACAGTAAAATAGGGAAGGAAGAGAAACAACAAAAAGTTTAAAAGAATGGCAATGGAGTTAAAGTGTAGAGTTTTTATTAGTTGCTTTGCTTGTTTCTTTGTTTATGCAATCAATGTTAAATTGTCCACAGTCTAAAATGATGTGTTATATTATATTCAAGCCTCATGGTAATTTTAAATCAAAAAGCGTACCACAGATGTACAAAAAGTAAAAAGCAATAAATTAGATAATATTAAAATATAAATCACCTTCACTAAAAGGAAGACAGGAAGAAAGAAAAGAACAATGAGAGGACAAAAATCAATCAGAAAACAAGTAACAAAATGGCAGGAGTAAGTGCTTATCAATAATAACATTGAATGTACATGAACTAAATACTCCAATCAAAAGACAAATAGTGGATGAATGGATAGAGAAGCAAGACAATAATCTGTGACCTACAAAAAAAATACTCTACCTGTAAAGATACATTTAGACTGAAAATAAAATGATGGAAAAAGTTATTCCATGCCGATAGAAACCAAAAAAGAGCAGAAATAGCTTTACTTATACCATACAAAAATAGATTTCAACAAAAGACTGTAGGAAGATATTAAGAAGGTCATTATATAATAATAAAGAGATCAATTCTTCAAGAGGATATAATAAGAAATATATATGCACTCAACACTAAAGCACCTAGATAAATGAAGCAAATACTATAAGAGCTAAAGAAAGAGATATCAATACAATAATGGCTGGACACTTCAACACCCTACTTTAGTCATTGGATAGACCTTCCAGACAGAAAATCAACAAAGAAACATCAGACTTAATCTGCACTGTATAACAAATGAACCTAATAGATATTTACAGAAAATTTCATTCAACAGCTGCAGAATACACATTGTTCTTCTCTGCACATGGGTTATTTTCAAGGATAGACCATATATTATGTAACAAGTCTAAAAACATTAAAAAAATTGAAGTAATATCAAGCATTTTCTCTGACCACAATGGAACAAACTAGAAATCAATTAAAAAATGAATTTCAGAAACTATACAAACACTTGGACATTAAACAGTATGCTCTTTAATGATCAGTAGGTCAATAAAAATGTTAAAAAGAAAATGGAAAAATTTCTTGAAACAAACAATAATAGAAACATAGCATAGCAAAACCTGTGGAATATGGTAAAAGAGGTACTATTATAAAAGGAAAATTTATAACTGTAAGTGCCTATATAAAAATCAGAAAAGCTGCAAATAAATAACCTAACAATACATCTTAATTCACTAGAATAAAAAGGCCAAACAAAACTCAAAATTAGAAGAAAAGAAATAATAAAAATTAGAGCAGAAATAGAATGAAGAAAACAGTGCAAAAGATCAATGAAACAAAAAGTTGGTTTTTTGAAAAGTAAAACAATTAACAAATATTTAGACAGCTAGCTAAAAAACAGAGAAGATACAAATTAATAAAATCAAAGGTGAAAAAGGAGACATTACAAGTTTCAGAAAATCAAAGGATCATTAGTGGCTACTATAAGTAATTGTATGCCAACAAATTAGAAAACCTAGAGGAAATTAATTCTTAGACACACTCAACTTACCAAGAGTGAACTAGGAAAAAATCCAAAACCTGAACAGACCAATAACGAGTAACAAAATTAAAGCCATAATAAAAAAATGTCTGTAGGACCAGACTGAAAAATAGAGAAGGAAAGAACATTTCCAAACTCATTCTTTGAGGCTAGTATTACACTGATATCAAAACAAGACAAAGACACATTTAAAAAGCAAACTACGGGCCCATATTTGAGAATATTGATGCAAAAATTTGCAAAAAACCTAGCAAACTCAATTAAACAATACATAAATAGGTAATTCATAATGACCAAGTGGAATTTATCCCAGAGATACAAGGATGGTTCAACACGCAAATCAGTCAATGTGATATATCATATAAATAGAATGAAGGGGCCAGGTGCAGTGGCTCACGCCTGTAATCCCAGCACTTTTGGAAGCCGAGATAGGTGGATCTCCTGAGTTCAGGAGTTCAAAACCAGCCTGGCCAACATGGCAAAACCCCATCTCTACTAAAAATACAAAAATTAGCCAGGTGGAGTGGTGGGCACCTGTAATCCCAGTTACTTGGAAGGCTGAGGCAGGAGAATCACTTGAACCCGGGAGGCAGAGGTTGCAGTGAGCTGAGATCATGCCATTGCACTCCAGCCTGGGTGACAGAGGAAGACGTCATCTCAAAAAAAAAAAAAAAGAATGAAGGACAAAATCCATATAATCATTTCCATTATGCTAAAAAATTATTTGATAAAATTAAATATTCTTTAATAATAAACCCTTTGAAAACTGGTATGGAATGAACATATCTCAACATAATAAAAGTCATATATGACAGACCCCCAGCTAGTATCATACTAAGTGGGGAAAAACTAAAAGCCTTTCCTCTAAAATCTGGAAGATGACAAGAATATCCACTTTTACCGCTGTAATTCAACATAATTCTGAAATTCCTATCTGGAGCAATCAGACAAGAGAAAGCAATAAAAGGCATCCCAATTGGAAAAGAAGTCAAATTATTGTTTTTGCCAGTGATATAATCTTATATTTGGAAAAACGTAAAGACTCCTCTGATAGGGTTTTAATGTGTGTCCCCTCCCAAATGTAATTCCCAATGTTGGAGGTGGGCCAGGTGAAAGGTGATTTAACCATTGGGGTGGATTACTCATAAATGGCTTAGCACCATCCCACTTGGTACTATCTTCATGATAGTGAGTGAGTTCCCATAAGACCTGGTTATTTAAAAGTGTGTAACAACTTGCCCCTCTGTTTTTTTGCTCCTGCTTTTTGCCCTATGATGTGCAAGATTCTGCTTCAACTTTTGCCATGACTGTAAACTTCCAGAGGCCTTCCCAGAAGTGCATACCAGTGCTGTGTCTTCTCTACAGCCTGTAGAATCATGAGCCACTTAAACCTCCTTTTTAAAAAATAAATTACCCAGTCTCAGGTATTTATAGTGATGGGAAAAAAGCTTAATACAGAAAATTGGCACAAAGGAGTGGAAAATTGTTATATGAATACCTGAAAATGTGGAATCAGCTTTGTAATTGGGTAAACAGGCAGAGGTTGGAAGAGTTTGTAGGATTCAGAAGAAGACAGAAAAATGAGGGAAAGTTGAGATTTTCTTAACTTTGAATGGCTTTGACGAAAATGCTGATAGTGATCTGGACGGTGAAGGCTGAGCTGAGGAGGTCTCAGATGAAAATTAGAAACTTATTAGGATCGAAGCAAAGGTCATTCATGTTGTCTTAGCAAAGTGGTTGGCTGAATTTCTGTTATGCCCTAGGGTTATATAAAAGTTTGAATTTGAAAGTGATGATTTAGGGTTTCTGTTGAAAAAATATCTAAGCACTAAAGCATTGAAGATGTGGCCTGGCTGCTTCTAACAACCTATGCTCACATGTTGGAGCAAAAAAAAGTAAGTTGTAATCTATTTTTACTTGCAAGGGAAGCATAGCGTAAAAGCTTAAAAACTTTGCAGCCTAGTCATGTGGCAGAAAAATAAAAAGCTTTTACAAGAGAGGAACTCGAGCAGCCTGTGGAGCAATCACTTGTTAGAGATATTTGTATAACTTAAAAAAAAAAAAAAGCAAGTGTTGATAGCCAAGACAATGGGGAAGAGGAATTGAAGGCATTTTAGAAATCTAAAAGGCAGCCCCCCATCACAGACCCTGAGGCCTAAAAGAAGAGAATAGTTTCTGGGATCAGGCCCAGGAACTGCTGCCTTGGGTAGCCTTAGAACATGGCTCCCTGCATCCTGGCCACTGCTCCAGCTCCAGGTGTAGCACAAATTGGCCCAGTTACAACTCCAGTCACTGCTTCAGAGGGTGCAAGCCATAAGCCTTGGTAGCTTTCATATGGTGTTAGGCCTGTGAGTGTACAAAATGCAAGAGTTGAGACTTGGGAGCCTCCACCTTTACTTCAAATAATGTATAAAAAAGCTAGGGTGTGCAGGCAGAAGCATGCTGCAGGGGTGGAGCCCTCATGGAGAACCTCTACTAAAACAATGCAGTGAAGAAATGTAGGGTTACAATCCCCATGTGGGTTCCCCACTGGGGCATGGCCTAGTAGATCTGTGAGGAGAGGATCACTGTCCTACAGATCCCAGAATGGTAGATCTAGCTACAGCTTGCACTTTGCACCTGCAAAAGCCAGAAGCACACAAAACCAGCCAGTGGCACGCAATACCAGCCCATGAGAGCAGCTGTGGGGGCTGAACCATGCAAAGCCACAAGGTCTAAACGTCCCAAGGCATTAGTGTGCCCTGGAAATGGGACGTAGAGTCAAAAATAATTATTTTGGAGCCTTAAAATTCAATAACTCCCCTTCTGGGCTTCAGACTTGTATGGGTCCTGTGGCCTCTTTTTTTTAGCTGATTTATTCCTTTTAGAATAGGAGTATTTACCCAATGCCTATGCCCCATTTGTATCTTGGAAGCACTTAATTTGTTTTTTATTTTACAAGCTTATAGGAAGAATAAACTAGCTTTGTCTTAGATGAGACTTTTGACTTTTGAGTTAAGGCTGAAATGAGTGAAGACTTTGGGGATTATTGGGATGTCATGATTGTATTTTGAAATGTGAGAAGGATGTGAGATTTGGAATGGCCAGGGGCAAAATGATATAGTTTAGGTGTGTGTTCCCACCAAAATCTTATATTAAAATGTAATCCTCAATGTTGGAAGTGGGCCTAGTCGGGAGATGATTGAATCATGAGGGCAGGATTTCCATGAACAGTTTGGCATCATTTCCTTTGGTGCCATTCTCACAATAGTAAGTTTTCATGAGAGCTGGTTATCTACAAGTGTGTAGCACTTCCCCCCTGCCCTCACACTTACCATGTGATGTGCAAGCACCAGATTTATTTTTCACCTTGATTGTCAGTTGTCAGAGGCTTGACCAGAAGCAGAAGCCAGTGCTATGCTTTCTGTACAGCCTGTAGAACCATGAGCCAATTAAACCTATTTCCTTTATAAATTAACCAGTCACCAATTGTTTTTACAGCAATGTGAGAATGGTGTAATATTTCCATCAAAAAACTATTAGAAGTAATAACTTGAGTAAATTTGCAGAATACAAAATTAACATATACAAATCAGTAGGATTTCTATATGCCAACAGTCAACAAACTGCAAAAGAATTCAAAAAAGTAACCCTATTTGCAATAGCCACAAATAAAACAAAATGTGTGGGAATTTACCAAAGAAATAAAAGTTCTCAACAATTAAAAATGTAAAACACCGATAAAAGAAATGAAAGAGAAGACAAAAAAATGGAAAGTTATTTCTATGTTCACATATTGGAAGAATCAGTATTTTAAAAAATGTCCATACAATCCAAAGCAATCTATACATTTCATGCCATCTCTATCAAAATAACAATGACATTCCTCACAGAAATAGAAAAAAAATCTGAAATATGGAACCACAAAACACCATAATAGTCAAAGCTATTCTGAGTATATAAACCAAAACTGGAGGAATCCCATTACATGGTTTTAAATTGTACTATCAAGCTATAGTAATTAAAACAGCATGACACTAGAATAAAAAGACATAAAGACAAATGGAATGAAATAGAGAACTTAGAAACAAACTCATACAACTAAACTAATTTTCAACAAAAGTGTCAATAACATACAACAAAAAACAAGACAGTTTCTGTAATAAATAGGGCTGGGAAAACTGGCAAGCCATAGGCAGAAGAATGAAACTACAACACTATTTCTTGCAAAATACAAAAATCAAATTAAAATGAATTAAGGACTTAAACCTAACACCTCAAACTATCAAAATTTTACAAGAAAACACTGGGGAAACTCTTTAGGGCATTGGTTTGGGCAAAAATTTCTTAAATAATGCCCCATAAGCACAGACAACCAAAGCAAACATGGACAAATGGAATTACAGCAAGTCAGAAAGCTTTTTTAAAGTGAAGGAAACAATAAAGTGAAGAGAAAACCCACAGAATGGAAGAAAATATTTGTAAATTACCCATCTGAAAAGCAATTAATAGCTACATGATATGGTTAGGCTTTGTGTCCCCACCCAAATCTCATATTGAATTGTAATCCCCAGGTATTGAGGGAGAGACTTGGTAGAAGGTGATTGGATCATGGGGTTGGTTTCCCCCAGGCTGTTCTTCTGATAATGAGTGAGTTCTCATGAGATCTGATGGTTTTATAAGGGGCTCTTCCCCCTTTGCTTCACATACATGCTGTCTCGCCTGCCATCATGGAAGAGGTGCCTGCTTCCCCTCTGCCATGATTGTAAGTTTCCTGAGGCCTCCCCAGCCATGTGGAACTGTGACTCAGTTAAACCTATTTCCTTTATAAATTACCCAGTCTCGCCAGGCACAGTGGCACATGCCTGTAATCCCAGCACTCTGGGAGGCTGTGGCGGGTGGATCACGAGGTCAGGAGTTCAAGACCAGCCTGGCCAAGATGGTGAAACCCCGTCTCCACTAAAAATACAAAACTTAGCTGGGCATGGTGTCAGGTGCCTGTAATCCCGGCTACTCAAGAGGCTGAGGCAGAGAATTGCTTGAACCCAGGAGGTGGAGGTTGCAGTGAACCGAGATCATACCAGTGCACTCCAGCCTGGGCGACAGAGCAAGACTTCATCTCAATACATAAATAGATAAATAACCCAGTCTCAGTTTTTTTATAGCAGTGCAGAAACAGACTAATACACTACAATATATTGAGTTCAAAACATTCTATAGAAAAAAATATAATCAATTAAAGAGTGGACAAAAATTTAAATGGACATTTATGAAAAGAAGACATACAAATGGCAAATAGGCAAGTGAAAAGGTGCTCCACATTACTGATCATCATAGAAATGCAAATCAAACCCAAAATGAGATATCATTTCACCTCAGTTAAGGTGGCTTTTATCCAGAAGTCAGTCAAAAACAAATGTTGCTAATAGCCAAGATTTGGAAGAAACCTAAATGTCCATCAACAGATGACTGGATAGAGAAAATGTGGTACATATACACAATGAAGTACTATTCAGCTATAAGAAAGAATGAGAGTCTGTCATTTGCAGTAACAGAAATGGAACTGAAAGTCTTTATGTTAAGTGAAATAAGTCAGGCACAGAAAGAAAAATGTCACATGTCCTCACTTATTTGTGGGTGCTAAAATTTGAAATAATTGATGTCATAGAGAGTATAAGGGTGGTTACCAGAGGCTGGGAAGGGCAGTGGGGGAACGGGGTTAGTGGGGATGTGAAATGGGTACAAAAAATTGTTAGAAAGAATGAATAAGACAGTATTTGATAGCACAACAGGGTGATTATGGTAAAAAAAATTTAATTATACATTTTATAAAAACTAAAATAGTATAATTGGATTGTTTATAACACAAGCTATAAATGCTTGAGGGGACGGATACCCTGTTTTTTATTATGTATTACTCGTTACATGCCTGTATCAAAGTATGTCATGTACCCCCATAAATATATACACTAACTATGTACCCATAAAAATTAATTAAAAATTACAATTAAAACCAAAGGGAGGAGAGTCTAATGAGGCAGGTGTGACCCATGGCTTGAAGTAGCTTTTCAGGTTAACTTTGGAATGTCCTTATCCAAGAAGAGGGGTCCATTTAGTCAATAGGGGCTTAGAAATTAATTTTTAGTTTGTAAGTGGAAAAAAGAGAATTTTTAATCCTGAGCCATAGCTCTCAGTCAGTCAGTCCCTGCAGGGAACCCTGTTCTTTACTCTGGAGATAAACACTATTTTTCTTTTCCACTGAATAACACCACATT
This sequence comes from Homo sapiens, assembly GCF_000001405.40. Lineage (NCBI taxonomy): Eukaryota > Metazoa > Chordata > Mammalia > Primates > Hominidae > Homo > Homo sapiens. The sequence continues at coordinate 53,966 of NC_000018.10, read as the reverse complement.
TCAAAATGAGGGGAAACATCTTGAAACTAAGAGGTATGGCCTTATTAAATTTGATTTGGTTTCCATTGTAATTAATTTAATCACATGTGTTCTAGAGTTTGTCCTCAGTCTTCTCCTACTTTAGGCCCATGAACTGTTGAATTTGCTCGGCTCCCTGCTCAGCAGCAGGAAATCAGAATTATTTAAAAGCCTCATTGTGGCTGGGAGCAGTAGCTCATGCTTGTAATCCCAACAATTTGGGAGGCCAAGGTGGGCAGATCACTTGTTGTCAGGGGTTTGAGACCAGCCTGGCCAACAGAATGAAACCCCATTTCTACTAAAGATACAAAAATTAGCTGGGTGTGGTGATTCATGCCTGTAATCCCAGCTACTTGGGAGGCTGAGGCAGGAGAATCACTTGAACCCGGGAGGCAGAGGTTTCAGTGAACCAAGATGGTGCCCCACACTCCAGCCTGGGCAATAGAGCAAGACTCTGTCTCAAAACGATAATGATAATAATTAATAAATAAAAATCTCATTGTGTTCCAGACAAAATTTCTTTTGCATATCAACTGTGTCAACTTGCATATTAACTATAATCATTTGTTACTTTATATCCAATCTTGAGAAATCTTTGAGGACTAATTTCACTCTTTTCTGCCATTATGGTAAACATACCAAATGCCATCAAATAAAATGCACAAAATTCCTGAGAAATACATTTTCTCCTTGAGGAGTAGACTTGCTGTGTTAGAGGAACTCATGGTTATCAAGCTTCTAGTTTAATAAACATGACTAGAATTCTCTATCTTAATATGAGTAGCTAGGTACTCACAAGGCATCTAGAAGGTTAATACCTATAGTCTGAAAATAGCCACATTTTTTTACTGGCCACAAATTACAACTGCAGAATATTTATGGCCATACAAGACATCTTCCACCAAGCCTGAAAAATGTATAAATGTCCTAGGAGTGCAGCATTTTTTCTTAAAGATAATATTAATGAGCTAGCTTAGGTCAACGGGTTAATTGTCATTGTTAAAACGAATAGCCCCGACTTCAATGAGTACATCTGCACCTTCCAAGTTTAATTATAACTCTTTCTCTTTATAGTTAGAGTAGAGACACTAACAAAAGACAATGCATTCCTGCTCTTGTTTTCTGAGGATGTCCAACTCTGTAATGGAGTCATTTCTAATAAACTTGCTTCGTTCACTTTGCTCTCTGACTCACCTCAAATTTTTTCCTGCACAAGATCTAAGAATCCTACTTTGTGGTCTGTATCAGGACCCTCTTTTCCAGCAACATCTTTCAGCAATGCCATGAAGGGACACCAAGACAAGACCCCCACTCCAAGGAAAACAATCCACATAGAATCAATCAGCTGGCAAGTGGGCTGTCTTTTAGAGTTGCGAAGCCATTCAGGTTGGCAAGAATGATTACCCACTATTACTTAAGTGAGAGGCCCTAGGGTATAATATTAGGGTGAGAGACTCAGCCCAAAGTTAGAGACCTGGGGGTGTCATACTCAGATTAGAGGCCAAGCCCACAGGGTTAGAGGCCCTGGGGAATATTGAGAAGAATGGATTTGGCTAAACAAGATGTTTGCCACTTTCTCTTTTTGGACTGTCCACCTTGTGCTCTTTGTCCCTCACCTGAGTGCTCTGCATATTGTTGCCTTTCTGCCCACCGCCTCCGTTTTGCAGTAGCCTGGAGGCTGCCCCAGGAAAGAGGCCCCAAACAGTTTAGCTTTTACTTTCCTCAGCAATCCTCTGACTTTTAGCCTTGATGTCTTAGAGCTATTGCTGCTACCACTTTTCTAGTTGGCAAAGCTAATAAACTAACATTAGAACAGCACCTACAGGTTTTTGACCCCACACCAAGGGAAGGTGGTCCTAGAAGCTAAAGGGCAGCAGTGGATAATAGGAGAATATTTATGAAAGTGTGAGGCCTTATTGCTAGACCGACCCTCCAGACATAACCCTTAAAGCCTGGCAAACCATAAACCCATCTACTTGCCTGTCAGAGTCCACAGGTGCTCCCAGCCTTTCTGGCATACAGGTTGTATTAGTCTGCTCTCATGCTGCTAATAAAGACATATCTGAGGCTGGGTAATTTATAAAAAAAGAGGTTTAATTGACTCACAGTTGCACATGGTCGGAGAGGCCTCACACTCATGGCAGAAGGCAGGTGAGGAACAAAGTCACATCTCTTACATGGCAGCAGGCAAAAGAGCTTGTGTAGGGAAACTCCCCTTTATAAAACCATCAGCTGTAATCCCAGCACTTTGGGAGTCCAAGGCAGTGGATGACCTGAGGTGAGGAAATCGAGGCCAGCCTGGCCAACATGGTGAAACTCCGTCTATACTAAAAGTACAAAAATTAGACAGGCATGGTGGTGGGTGCCTGTAATCCCAGCTACTCGGGAGGCTGAGACAGGAGAATCGCTTGAACCCGGGAATCAGAGGTTGCAGTGAGCCAAGATCATGATAATGCACTCCAGCCTGAGCAACAGAGCAAGACTCTGTCTCAAAAATAAATTAATAAATAAACCATCAGATCTCATGAGGCTTATTCACTGTCACGAGAGCAGCATGGGAAAGACCCATCCCCTGATTCAATTACCTCCCACTGGGCCCCTCCCACGATATATAGGAATTATAGGAGCTATAATTCAAGATAAGATTTGACTGGGGACACAGCCAAAGCATGTCACAGGTTATGAAACAAATTGATTCTAGCAGGCCAGACTTAAGAGAGATGAGCCCCTTGACCATCCCAAGGCAGAGTGGTTAACAGATGCAAGTTGTTTTATGCATCAGGAAAACAGGAGGGCTAGATATGCTATTATTAGCACAAGATAATCAAGGCACAAGCCTTGCTGGCCTCGACCTCAGCTCAAAAAGCTGAGTTAATTGAACTTACTAGGCCCCTGCAGTTGGAAAGGATTTAAAAGTTAACATTTACACTGATTCCAAGTATGATTTTTTAGTGCTTCATGCTTATGCTGCAATTTGGAATGGGTGGGGACTCCTGACCCCAAAGGGCTTTTCCATACATCATTCAGATTTTGAGCTTGTTAGAATGCTGCTTTGCTGCCAAAAAGTGACTATAATTAATTGCAGAGGACATCAAAAGAGAGACTGACCATGTAAAAGGAAATGCCCTTGTAGATGCCACAGCCAAGGCCCCTGCACTGAAAGGGCCAATGAAGCTTGTGGGCGTGCTGGTCAGCATACATAGAACTGGGCCGGAATACCCTGAAGAAGAACAAAAATGGGCCAGGGATTGCATTTCAGTCCAGGGCCCCTCAGGCTGAATGATGGTAATAAATTACTAATGCCAAGTACCAATCACAGGAGTATAACTCAGCACTTTCATGATTCTTTTCACCCTAGAAGGGATTCTTTGTTTCTGTTAATGTCTCATTTGTTTATAGGGGTAAATCTTTTCAAGACACTAAAACAGGTGACTCAGCCCTGTGAGCTCTGTGCCTGACATGACCCAAACGGCCAGCAATTTTCTCCTTCTCCAGTTAAACCTGTCCAAAATTGAGGAACCTATCCAGGTGAGAACTGGCAACTCTAATGTACTCCGATACCTTTCTGCAGGAGATTCAAATATTTGCTAATGCTTACTGATACCTTCACTGGTTAGATCGAGGCATTCCCCACCCCATCTGAAAAATGTTTACCAGAAGAAATAACTCCTCAGTTTCGGTAATCTAAAAGCCTGCAAAGTGACAATGGCCCATCTTTCACAGCAGGCGTAACCCAACACCTATCCTCAGCTTTAAGAATCCAATATTACCTTCACTCTGTGTGGAGACCGCAGTCCTCTGGAAAGGTGAAAGGGCTAATCCTACTCTACAGAAGACTCCAGCTAAATCAGACGCCTGACTATCTCCAACACCCATAGCTTACTGCGGGTTTGAACTGCTCCAAAGTAAAACGTATAATTAAGTCCTGTTGAGTTAACATATGGAAGGCCTTTCCTAACCACAGATCTCCTAATAGATGAAATGAATCTCCATTACAAAAATATCAATCTAGGACAGGTGCAAAGGCACTCCGTGCATATGGAAACAAGCGTCTTCCCCTCCCACATGGGAGGAAAATTCAGTTTCAGCTCAGCTAGGGATCTAGTCTTACTAAAGACGTGGGAAGAAGTTCTCCAGCTGAGCAGCTTTCCCCAACGTGGAAGGGACCATAGCAAGGACACCTGAGTTCTCCAACAGACGTTCAACGCCAAGGGATTCACAGGTGGGTGCACCTGTGTGGAAGTAAAGCTGTTGCTTATTCTGGGAGCCCAATCGGAGGCTGAGGGAGGTGGACGCGGGGCTATTTAAGCGTTAGCGGAGGGCGGGCTGGGTCGCTGCGCGTCTGCTCCTCCTTCTCGCGCTTCTGCTGCCGCCCTAATCCTGCCTTGGCCATGAGGGAAATCGTGCTCACGCAGACCGGGCAGTGCGGGAACCAGATCGGCGCCAAGGTTGGCAGCCAGGGCTCTGAGGGCCCAGCCCGGGCCTGCCGGGTGGCTGGGGAAGATGTTGGCAGTGGCGGGAGCGGTGCCCCTGCATTGCGGCCCCTGGGCTCCCTGCCGGGGACGGTGGAACCGGGTGGCTGGCGAGGCGGCTGGGGTGGACCCCAGGGACAGGGCGGCCTAGGGATGGGGGTGCGGGTGGGGGTGGGAGAGCGGCTGGGGCGCCTCCGTGACTCAGCCCCGGCCTGTCTGGCCCCTCCCGTCTCTTGCAGTTCTGGGAGGTGATCTCTGATGAACATGCCATCGACTCCGCTGGCACCTACCACGGGGACAGCCACCTGCAGCTGGAGCGCATCAACGTGCACCACCACGAGGCCAGCGGTGCGACCCCCGTCCTTCTCCCACCGCCCTCCTGGGAACGCGGCCCTCCCCTCGCTCATGCCCTCCCGCCCCACGCAGGTGGCAGGTACGTGCCCCGCGCTGTGCTCGTGGATCTGGAGCCGGGCACCATGGACTCTGTGCACTCGGGGCCCTTCGGGCAGGTCTTCAGGCCAGACAACTTCATTTCCGGTGAGCTGCGGGCGAGGACTGGGGTGCGGCTCCTTAGCCAGGGCAGCTCAAAATCCAGGAGTGCCCAAGGTCATCCTGTGGGAACTGTGGCGCCAGGGCCCCTGAACACCCTCCTATCCGCCGAGTCGAGTCGCTTCATCTGCCTCCTAAATGGGCTTCGGGAGGAAGGCCCCGGTGTCTCCTCAAGGTGAGGAGCTACTGATGTCCCTGCCGGGAGCTGAGCTGGGGCCGTGGCTACTGCCTTTCCTGAGAATGGGCAGGAGCCACCTGCAGCGAGGTCTGTGAACCCGTCTCAGGTTTGACTCCTGTCTTAATTTCTAACAGGGGAAGCTGCTGTCCTGTAACTCTGGAGGAGGGAGTTTCATTTGCTCCACCTGCAGGGCGAATGGTGCTTTCACCTCACATGTGACACTTGGCCCTTTCTGCATTATGGTGGTGACCACTGATGACCGTATACCTGGCCGTCGAGTGACCGGCTGTGCTGTCTTACAGGTCAGTGTGGGGCCGGAAACAACTGGGCCAAGGGACGCTACACAGAAGGCGCGGAGCTGACGGAGTCAGTGATGGACGTTGTCAGAAAGGAGGCTGAGAGCTGTGACTGCCTGCAGGGTTTCCAGCTGACCCACTCCCTGGGTGGGGGGACTGGGTCTGGGATGGGTACCCTTCTCATTAGTAAGATCCGGGAGGAGTACCCAGACAGGATCATAAACACATTCAGCATCCTGCCCTCGCCCAAGGTGTCGGACACCGTGGTGGAGCCCTACAACGCCACCCTCTCAGTCCACCAGCTCATAGAAAACGCGGATGAGACCTTCTGCATAGATAACGAAGCGCTATATGACATATGTTCCAGGACCCTAAAACTGCCCACACCCACCTATGGTGACCTGAACCACCTGGTGTCTGCTACCATGAGTGGGGTCACCACATGCCTGCGCTTCCCAGGCCAGCTGAATGCTGACCTGCGGAAGCTGGCCGTGAACATGGTCCCGTTTCCCCGGCTGCATTTCTTCATGCCCGGCTTTGCCCCACTGACCAGCCGGGGCAGCCAGCAGTACCGGGCCTTGACTGTGGCTGAGCTCACCCAGCAGATGTTTGATGCTAAGAACATGATGGCTGCCTGTGACCCCCGTCACGGCTGCTACCTAACGGTGGCTGCCATTTTCAGGGGTCGCATGCCCATGAGGGAGGTGGATGAACAAATGTTCAACATTCAAGATAAGAACAGCAGCTACTTTGCTGACTGGTTCCCCGACAACGTAAAAACAGCCGTCTGTGACATCCCACCCCGGGGGCTAAAAATGTCAGCCACCTTCATTGGGAATAATGCGGCCATCCAGGAACTCTTCACATGTGTCTCAGAGCAGTTTACAGCAATGTTCAGGCGCAAGGCCTTCCTCCACTGGTACACGGGCGAGGGCATGGATGAGATGGAATTCACCGAGGCCGAGAGCAACATGAACGACCTGGTGTCTGAATATCAGCAATATCAGGATGCCACGGCCGAGGAGGAGGAGGATGAGGAGTATGCCGAGGAGGAGGTGGCCTAGAACTCTCCTTTTCTAGGTAAAGGGGGGAAGCAGTGTGGATTCTTTACTGTGTTCTGACAGCCATGTGTCACTATACGCTTGTTAATTTGTGTCTTCACATCTCCTGCTGCGTTTTAAAGCATTTTTATAGTATGCGGTTTTGACTAATAAAGTATTCTCACAGCATCTGGTTTTGCCTCCATCTTCTTTCTATGGGCCCTCTGGCTACTGCTGCCAGATGCGCATAGTTGTCCTGCAAGGCGGAAGCTGTCTGGGTTCATCACATGCCCAGGAACAAGCATTCCAGTGGCTCCAGGAGGGGTCGGTATGGGCTGTGGACATGGCAGGCAGGCTTCACATGAACTTGGTGATGCCCTGGGCCTTGGGCAGTGATGTGGTGGAAAACCTGTTGCTGAAGGCAAGCCTTGGCTTATCCCATATACCAAACTTCTAGGGGACCAGCTGGCCATGTTTCTGGAACGTTAAAAGGGGTCAGTGACCCTGGTGGACAATGTCCCCAGAGTCCCATCTCAGGGTAGGAATGTGGTCAGAGCTGGCTCTGAACCAGCAATGAAGGGTGGGCAAGTGGGACCCCAGGCACTCCATCATCACGATGGCCTGGGTGTGTTTGTGTGGCCTCATTCTCTTAATGAGGTGGGCATGGGATATCTGGCAGGGACTAGGCAGGAATCAAGCCCAGTGTCTGCTAACATGCACTGAATCCCAAGTAGAAGGGGATTAGGTCCTGGGGGCCGTAGATGGTGGTTGCTGGGCCTGTGTGCGCAGGGCAGTCCCTCCAAAGGCACAGATGGGGTTTCTGAACAGGACCTGGGGAGACAGGCAGGTGCTCACAAATACTGCTTCCCCCAACTGGCAACCAGTGAGAAAAATGCCTGAGTGGAGGTCTGACCTGCCCCAGTCTGGAGGGCTGATGCTCTCTGGAAAGGTGGCTAATGAGTACTGTCTGCTCTCTCCCTGTCCCCCACTCCAAAACTTCAGGGCAAAAATAATCCAAGATTGTCAGGATGAGCCTGGTGAGGGTGGCACCTTTGGGGACAGACCCTTCAGCCTGGCAGAGTCTCCTCCCCTGGCTTCTTGGGGAGCCTGGACTGCAAAGCCTGCTTTGGGGAAGCTGTCAAATGAGAGATGTGTGAGCTGGGTGCTGGGACGCATGCACGGACAGTGTTCTTCTCCCTGGCTCTTGTAGAACTTGTCCACGGCCTGTGTGATGGTCTCCTGGTAATTCCCACCCCCACCCCCAGCCCTATCGCACAGATAAGATGAAGCCAGCATAGCCTGGGGGTGGGCAGATGAACAGGCTCTACCCCAGGTCCCCTGGGAATGCCCATCTGCCTCCTACGTGTCAGGGAAAACAGGTGAGGCCCCTTCTTGTTCTCTGAATGTTGTCAATGGTCTATTGCAGCCAAATGGGAACAGGCAGGCAGGAGAGTCTCATCTCGAAAGAAGTGGCTCCTGGAAGCAGCTGGGAGGTGGGAGAGGTCCCCCATACTCCCCCATACTCCCCCACACTCCCCCATACTCGCCCAACCTGTTCTAAGAGCAGGAAAAGGGGCCTCTGTGACAGCCCTCCTCAGTGGCTCTCACTGTCTGAGGGGTGTCCTTGCCCAACCCAGGTGCACACCCATCTGAGATGGTCTCGCATGGACCTGGTTAGGAAGGTTCAGCTGCAGCAACCACTGGAACCTGCCCACACCTGGTGTCTCCACTCACGCGTGGGGCTAGATGTTCCTCCCTCCTGTAGTGGTACAGCCAGACTGGCAGAGGGGGCAAGTCACCACTGCAGTTCCCACCTGGGTCTGAGGGGGGTTCAGGCTTGGTGCCCATGTATTTCCCAATTACCTGGTTCCATCTGGGGGCTTCATGGACAGGAATGGTGCTTTTCCAGGCCTCTTTTCCACATGCCAGCTACAGGCCCAGGTTTCCCAAGTTTCTGGAGCCCCTCTTCCAGCCTGGCAAGCAAGGCGTGTTGTAGGGGAAAGACATCAAGCCTACAGGCAGCAGAACCTGTCTGGGTATATTCTCTCAACCTGGAGGCCCCTGGTTGTTTACCTCTTTGGGTGAGAGTCGGCTTAGGATCTCAACATTCTTGTAGGACTTCAGAACTGTACAGACAGGGGCCCAGGAGGGAACAGGGGCTGGGACTGGCAGCTAACCAGAGTGGTGGGGGTTGTAGGGCTCAGTTTGGTCTTGCAGGGAATTCAGGGAGGCTTGGATTTGCTGAAGCTCTAGAAGAGCTTGGGCTTGGATACGGAAACAGCATAGAGCAGGGGCCCTTCTGCACACTGGACTCTGAGTAGTTGCACCCTGGTGCATCCATAGGTGTTCCCCACCTGGAACACAGCTTTGGATAGAAGCCAGGAGAGCTGTGGAGGGAAGAGGAGGAGGAGGAGGGAGTCTCAGGACAGCCCCAGCATCCAGGCAGGGCCTCTGCAAGTTAGATGCAGATCCAGCCTGTTGGCCACTTAGCAGCTGCTTGGTTGGCTGCAGATCACCTGACCTCTGTTCACCAGTAAATGGGGGTTGCAGCAGCACTTACTTTCTGGGACTCCTGCAGCTTGAAGGGGCAGCACACACCACGTGCTGAGAAAGCGCCGAACTCAAGCAAGCTTCTCCAAGAGCACCACATCAGATTAACACCCAACCTGTACAGGACACCATTAAATCTCCCCACTCCTCATTCCAATGGAAGAAAAGGGAGTCTCTGTCCTAGGGGAGCAAGCACAGGCCTATCTATGCAGTGGGCACATGGCCCAGGTGGGGGAAAGGCCCTTGGATACGTGCTGGTTTCACCAACCATGCGTGGATTGGGTTTGGCCTGGACCCCTGTACCCCAGGAGGCCGGCAGCCCCCTGCATGGGAGAGGACTGGGAGGTGGGTGGGAGGGCTGAGCTTTGAGGGAAGCCATTATTTGGCCTCATGGGAAGTGGTGCAGGTGGTTGTTGGTGGCTCAGTTCTGCAGGACCTGGGTGATCACCCAAGGAGTGAAAATTGCCTTTTTATGAGAAATTGCCAAAATTGATGTAAGCTCATCAGTTGAAAAGGTGAGTAATGCTGACAGTTGGCTTCACCTGCCCCTTCCCCACAAGTAACTGGTGTTCAGAGGTGGATTTGGTTCCTTCCAAGCCTTTCCCATTTGCATATAGCTGTGTGCATGTACTTTTGTGTGTACACATACACGTTCCCTGGAGGGGTTACTTTTATTTTTTTATTTGGGGGGATAACTAGTGAGGCAGCCTGACACTTGCTGATCTTGTCTTTTAAGTGTGGAGTCCTCTATGGAGTGGGCATCAGGTACTTCCTAGCTGGCCTCTGCCAGCTGTTTGGCTGCCCCAGTTTCTGCCCTTCACAGACATGCCGGCCACCTGCTGTGACATTCAGTGGCCTTGTTTGCAGCTAGTGTGATGAGACAAGTGGATCAGGTACATTATAAACTGAAAAAGCACACAACATGCAGAGGGAAAGGATAAATGACCATGTGTGTACTGCTCTGCTGAAGTCCACATCACATGACTGAGATGACAAACATTTTTTCACCTAACATTTGGGCCCTGAGAAATGGCATCTATGTTTTACTTTTTATTTATGACAGAGTTAGAAGAAATACTACCAGGCTTTCTTTTCCATTTTCCCCAACTCCCACTTTACCCCCTCAATTTTACCTACCTCAGAGAGAAAGTGGAGCTCGCCTGGTTAATGACAGCCTGAAATTATTTGAGCCAGGTCACTGTGTAAAGGTCATACTGCTTCCGTTTCCTTGTGCATCACTTGCGCAGCTCACGTATTTCATAGCTCCCTGTATACAGGTAGATGTGTTGCCCTCCTAGCCGCTTTCTTGGTTTGATACATGCCTGAGATCATGTGGGAGCACTTAAGGTCTAGGCTCATGGGAAGACAGTTCTGCCCACCCCAGCTCATCTCTCCAGCTCAGCCTGCATGCCTGCCTTCCTCCATCTGATTCCAGAGTGGGGGATGGGAGGTCTCACACTGATCTCAAGTTTATGTGACTTTTTCCACCTCTGCTTTCCCAGACAGCCCTTGCTGTGGGACTTGTAAGGAGATTTGTGAAGTCAGTATCTACTTTTCTTGTGTGGGAGTTTTATAAATTAGAGCCCTGTAGGGGAATAAATGTTAGAGGTACTCCAAACCCCTAACATATAAATATCTAAGCCTGGCCCTTTTTTGGTGGTAAAATATATACAACATAAAACTTACCATTTTAACCATGTTTAAACGTACAGTTGAGTGGTCCAATATAATGTGTTGTACAACCATCTCCTTTATCCATATCTACAACTTCTTTTTCATCCTAAACTGAAACACCAAACCCATAAATAAGTCTTTGAATAGAAGACTGATGCATTTGACTCCATAAAAATTAAAACTTTATAGGCAAGAAAAATGCATCAAAGTCAAAAGTCAACAGACTGGGGAAACAGATCTGCAACATACATGACAGACAAAAAGCTAATTTGTGTAATATATATGTATATATATAGCTATATAGCTATCCTAAATTATTAAAAGACCAACAGCCAAATTGAAAAATGGACAAGGGACGTAAAGAAACAGTTCAAAGAAACATGTAGATTTTTAAATATTTGCTAATTTTTTTTCTGTGGTGAAATATGTATAAGAGAAAATTTAAGTACATTAAGTAGAAATACATTGTTGTGCAACTATCACCAGTATCCATTCCAAACCTGTGTTATCATCCCAAAGTGAAACTCTGTATCCACGGAACAATAGCTCCCCTTTCCCTTCCCCCCATCCCCTGGAAACCACATCCTACTTTCTGTGTCTATGAATTTAACTGCTCTAGGTACACTATAAAAGTGGAAAGCATGGAGTATTTGCATTTTTTTGTTTTAATGTTTTCAAGGTTTATGTTGTAGCATGTATTAGAATTTCTTTTCTTTTTAAGGCTGAATAATATTGTGTGTATCAATCATATTTGCTTATCCATTCATCTGTAGATGGAGATTTGGGCTTTTTCTACCCTTTGGCTCTTGTGAATGCTGCTATAAACATGGGTGTACAAATTCCCACTTTCAGTTTTTTGGGGTATATACCCAGATGTGGGATTACTGGATCATATGGTGATTACTGTTTTCCACAGTGGCTGTGCCATCTTACTTTCCCACCAGCAGTGTGCAGGAGTCCTGACTTCTCCACATCCAGCATTTGCTGTTCTCTGGGGCTTTGTTGTTTTGCTTTGCTGGTGGGGTTTTTTTGATGGCAGCTATGCTTACATGTGTCAGTTGGTATTGCATTGTGGTTTGGATTTACTTTTTTCTCATGATTAGTGATGCTGAGCACCTTATCCTGTGCTTACTGGTCATTTGCATATCTTCTTTAGAGAAATGTGTATTTTAAAACCTTTGCTCATGTTTAAATTTGATTGTTTTGTTGTTGTTGCTGAGGTCTTTATATAGCCCGGATATTAATTACTTACCAAATACATAATGTGTGAATATTTTCTTTCCCTTCATGAATTTATTTTTAATCTATTTTTTTAATTTTTAAAAATTTATTTATTTATTTATTATTTTTTATGTTATATATATATTTTTTCTTTTATTATTATACTTTAAGTTTTAGGGTACATGTGCACATTGTGCAGGTTATTTACATATGTATACATGTGCCACGCTGGTGCACTGCACCCACTAACTGGTCATCTAGCATTAGGTATATCTCCCAATGCTATCCCTCCCCCCTCCCCCCACCCCACAACAGTCCCCAGAGTGTGATGTTCCCCTTCCTGTGTCCATGTGATCTCATTGTTCAATTCCCACCTATGAGTGAGAATATGCGGTGTTTGGTTTTTTGTTCTTGCGATAGTTTACTGAGAATGATGATTTCCAGTTTCATCCATGTCCCTACAAAGGACATGAACTCATCATTTTTTATGGCTGCATAGTATTCCATGGTGTATATGTGCCACATTTTCTTAATCCAGTTTATCATTGTTGGACATTTGCGTTGGTTCCAAGTCTTTGCTATTGTGAATAGTGCCGCAATAAACATACGTGTGCATGTGTCTTTATAGCAGCATGATTTACAGTCCTTTGGGTATATACCCAGTAATGGGATGGCTGGGTCAAATGGTATTTCTAGTTCTAGATCCCTGAGGAATCGCCACACTGACTTCCACAATGGTTGAACTAGTTGACAGTCCCACCAACAGTGTAAAAGTGTTCCTATTTCTCCACATCCTCTCCAGCACCTGTTGTTTCCTGACTTTTTAATGATTGCCATTCTAACTGGTGTGAGATGGTATCTCATTGTGGTTTTGATTTGCATTTCTCTGATGGCCAGTGATGATGAGCATTTTTTCATGTGTTTTTTGGCTGCATAAATGTCTTCTTTTGAGAAGTGTCTGTTTGTGTCCTTTGCCCACTTTTTGATGGGGTTGTTTGTTTTTTTCTTGTAAATTGGTTTGAGTTCATTGTAGATTCTGGATATTAGCCCTTTGTCAGATGAGTAGGTTGCAAAAATTTTCTCCCATTTTGTAGGTTGCCTGTTCACTCTGATGGTAGTTTCTTTTGCTGTACAGAAGCTGTTTAGTTTAATTAGATCCCATTTGTCAATTTTGGCTTTTGTTGCCATTGCTTTTGGTGTTTTAGACATGAAGTCCTTGCCCATGCCTATGTCCTGAATGGTATTGCCTAGGTTTTCTTCTAGGGTTTTTATGGTTTTAGGTCTAACGTTTAAGTCTTTAATCCATCTTGAATTGATTTTTGTATAAGGTGTAAGGAAGGAATCCAGTTTCAGCTTTCTACATATGGCTAGCCAGTTTTGCCAGCATCATTTATTAAATAGGGAATCCTTTCCCCATTGCTTGTTTTTCTCAGGTTTGTCAAAGATCAGATAGTTGTAGATATGCGGCATTATTTCTGAGGGCTCTGTTTTGTTCCATTGATCTATATCTCTGTTTTGGTACCAGTACCATGCTGTTTTGGTTACTGTAGCCTTGTAGTATAGTTTGAAGTCAGGTAGTGTGATGCCTCCAGCTTTGTTCTTTTGGCTTATGATTGCCTTGGCAATGCGGGCTCTTTTTTGGTTCCATATGAACTTTAAAGTAGTTTTTTCCAATTCTGTGAAGAAAGTCATTGGTAGCTTGATGGGGATGGCATTGAATCTGTAAATTACCTTGGGCAGTATGGCCATTTTCACGATATTGATTCTTCCTACCCAAGAGCATGGAATGTTCTTCCATTTGTTTGTATCCTCTTTTATTTCATTGAGCAGTGGTTTGTAGTTCTCCTTGAAGAGGTCCTTCACATCCCTTGTAAGTTGGATTCCTAGGTATTTTATTCTCTTTGAAGCAATTGTGAATGGGAGTTCACTCATGATTTGGCTCTCTGTTTGTCTGTTGTTGGTGTATAGGAATGCTTGTGATTTTTGTACATTGATTTTGTATCCTGAGACTTTGCTGAAGTTGCTTATCAGCTTAAGGAAATTTTGGGCTGAGACAATGGGGTTTGCTAGATATACAATCGTGTCATCTGCAAACAGGGACAATTTGACTTCCTCTTTTCCTAATTGAATACCCTTTATTTCCTTCTTCTGCCTAATTGCCCTGGCGAGAACTTCCAACACTATGTTGAATAGGAGTGGTGAGAGAGGGCATCCCTGTCTTGTGCCAGTCTTCAAAGGGAATGCTTCCAGTTTTTGCCCATTCAGTATGATATTGGCTGTGGGTTTGTCATAAATAGCTCTTATTATTTTGAGATACATCCCATCAATACCTAATTTATTGAGAGTTTTTAGCATGAAGGGTTGTTGAATTTTGTCAAAGGCCTTTTCTGCATCTATTGAGATAATCATGTGGTTTTTGTCTTTGTCTCTGTTTATATGCTGGATCGCATTTATTGATTTGTATATATTGAACCAGCCTTGCATCCCAGGAATGAAGCCCACTTGATCATGGTGGATAAGCTTTTTGATGTGCTGCTGGATTTTTTTTGCAAGTATTTTATTGAGGATTTTTGCACCAATGTTCATCAAGGATATTGGTCTAAAATTCTCTTTTTTGGTTGTGTCTCTGCCAGGCTTTGGTATCAGAATCATGCTGGCCTCATAAAATGAGTTAGGGAGGATTCCCTCTTTTTCTATTGATTGGAATAGTTTCAGAAGGAATGGTACCAGTTCCTCCTTGCACCTCTGGTAGAATTCGGCTGTGAATCCATCTGGTCCTGGACTCTTTTTGGTTGGTAAGCTATTGATTATTGCCACAATTTCAGATCCTGTTATTGGTCTATTCAGAGATTCAACTTCTTCCTGGTTTAGTCTTGGGAGAGTGTATGTGTTGAGGAATTTATCCATTTCTTCTAGATTTTCTAGTTTATTTGCGTAGAGGTGTTTGTATTATTCTCTGATGGTAGTTTGTATTTCTGTGGGATCGGTGGTGATATCCCCTTTATTATTTTTTTATTGCATCTATTTGATTCTTCTCTCTTTTTTTCTTTATTATTCTTGCTAGTGGTCTATCTATTTTGTTGATCCTTTCAAAAAACCAGCTCCTGGATTCATTAATTTTTTGAAGGGTTTTTTGTGTCTCTCTTTCCTTCAGTTCTGCTCTGATTTTAGTTATTTCTTGCCTTCTGCTAGCTTTTGAATGTGTTTGCTCTTGCTTTTCTAGTTCTTTTAATTGTGATGTTAGGGTGTCAATTTTGGATCTTTCCTGCTTTCTCTTGTGGGCATTTAGTGCTGTAAATTTCCCTCTACACACTGCTTTGAATGCGTCCCAGAGATTCTGGTATGTTGTGTCTTTGTTCTCCTTGGTTTCAAAGAACATCTTTATTTCTGGCTTCATTTTGTTATGTACCCAGTAGTCATTCAGGAGCAGGTTGTTCAGTTTCCATGTAGTTGAGTGGTTTTGAGTGAGATTGTTAATCCTGAGTTCTAGTTTGATTGCACTGTGGTCTGAGAGATAGTTTGTTATAATTTCTGTTCTTTTACATTTGCTGAGGAGAGCTTTACTTCCAAGTATGTGGTCAATTTTGGAATAGGTGTGGTGTGGTGCTGAAAAAAAATGTATATTCTGTTGATTTGGGGTGGAGAGTTCTGTAGATGTCTATTAGGTCTGCTTGGTGCAGAGCTGAGTTCAATTCCTGGGTATCCTTGTTGACTTTCTGTCTTGTTGAGCTGTCTAATGTTGACAGTGGGGTGTTAAAGTCTCCCATTATTAATGTGTGGGAGTCTAAGTCTCTTTGTAGGTCACTCAGGAGTTGCTTTATGAATCTGGGTGCTCCTGTATTGGGTGCATATATATTTAGGATAGTTAGCTCTTCTTGTTGAATTGATCCCTTTACCATTATGTAATGGCCTTCTTTGTCTCTTTTGATCTTTATTGGTTTAAAGTCTGTTTTATCAGAGACTAGGATTGCAACCCCTACTTTTTTTGTTTTCCATTTGCTTGATAGATCTTCCTCCATCCTTTTATTTTGAGTCTATGTGTGTCTCTGCACGTGAGATGGGTTTCCTGAATACAGCACACTGATGGGTCTTGACTCTTTATCCAATTTGCCAGTCTGTGTCTTTTAATTGGAGCATTTAGTCCATTTACATTTAAAGTTAATATTGTTATGTGTGAATTTGATCCTGTCATGATGATGTTAGCTGGTTATTTTGCTCGTTAGTTGATGCAGTTTCTTCCTAGTCTCGATGGTCTTTACATTTTGGCATGATTTTGCAGTGGCTGGTACCGGTTGTTCCTTTCCATGTTTACTGCTTCCTTCAGGAGCTGTTTTAGGGCA
This sequence comes from Homo sapiens, assembly GCF_000001405.40. NCBI lineage: Eukaryota > Metazoa > Chordata > Mammalia > Primates > Hominidae > Homo > Homo sapiens. The sequence goes on along the minus strand of NC_000018.10, from coordinate 37,628 downwards.
GGCCTGGTGGTGACAAAATCTCTCAGCATTTGCTTGTCTGTAAAATATTTTATTTCTCCCTCACTGATGAAGCTTAGTTTGGCTGGATATGAAATTCTGGGTTGAAAATTCTTTTCTTTAAGAATGTTGAATATTGGCCCCCACTCTCTTCTGGCTTGTAGGGTTTCTGTTGAGAGATCAGCTGTTAGTCTGATGGGCTCCCCTTTGAGGGTAACCCGACCTTTCTCTCTGGCTGCCTTTAACATTTTTTCCTTCATTTCAACTTTGGTGAATCTGACAATTATGTGTCTTGGAGTTGCTCTTCTCGAGGAGTATCTTTGTGGTGTTCTCTGTATTTCCTGAATCTGAATGTTGGCCTGCCTTGCTAGATTGGGGAAGTTCTCCTGGATAATATCCTGCAGAGTGTTTTCCAACTTGGTTCCATTCTCCCTGTCACTTTCAGGTACACCAATCAGACGTAGATTTGTTCTTTTCACATAGTCCCATATTTCTTGGAGGCTTTGCTCATTTCTTTTTATTCTTTTTTCTCTAAACTTCCCTTCTCGCTTCATTTCATTCATTTCATCTTGCATCGCTGATACCCTTTCTTCCAGTTGATCGCATCGGCTCCTGAGCCTTCTGCATTCTTCACGTAGTTCTCGAGCCTTGGTTTTCAGCTCCATCAGCTCCTTTAAGCACTTCTCTGTATTGGTTATTCTAGTTATACATTCTTCTAAATTTTTTTCAAAGTTTTCAACTTCTTTGCCTTTGGTTTGAATGTCCTCCCGTAGCTCAGAGTAATTTGATCGTCTGAAGCCTTCTTCTCTCAGTTCATCAAAGTCATTCTCCATCCAGCTTTGTTCCATTGCTGGTGAGGAACTGCATTCCTTTGGAGGAGGAGAGGCGCTCTGCTTTTTAGAGTTTCCAGTTTTTCTGTTCTGTTTTTTCCCCGTCTTTGTGGTTTTATCTACTTTTGGTCTTTGATGACGGTGATGTACAGATGGGTTTTTGGTGTGGATGTCCTTTCTGTTTGTTAGTTTTCCTTCTAACAGACAGGACCCTCAGCTGCAGGTCTGTTGGAGTACCCTGCCGTGTGAGGTGTCAGTGTGCCCCTGCTGGGGGGTGCCTCCCAGTTAGGCTGCTCAGGGGTCAGGAGTCAGGCACCCACTTGAGGAGGCAGTCTGCCCATTCTCAGATCTCCAGCTGTGTACTGGGAGAACCACGGCTCTCTTCAAAGCTGTCAGACAGGGACATTTAAGTCTGCAGAGGTTACTGCTTTTTGTTTGTCTGTGCTCTGCCCCCAGAGGTGGAGCCTACAGAGGCAGGCAGGCCTCCTTGAGCTGTGGTGGGCTCCACCCAGTTCGAGCTTCCTGGCTGCTTTGTTTACCTAAGCAAGCCTGGGCAATGGCGGGCACCCCTCCCCCAGCCTCGCTGCCACCTTGCAGTTTGATCTCAGACGGTTGTGCTAGCGATCAGCGAGACTCCATGGGCGTACGACCCTCCCAGCCAGGTGTGGGATATAATCTCATGGTGCGCCGTTTTTTTAAGCCCGTCAGAAAAGCACAGTATTCGGGTGGGAGTGACCCGATTTTCTAGGTGCTGTCTGTCACCCCTTTCTTTGACTAGGAAAGGGAACTCCCTGACCCCTTGCGCTTCCCGAGTGAGGCAATGCCTCACCCTGCTTCGGCTTGTGCACGGTTCGTGCACCCACTGACCTGCGCCCACTGTCTGGCACTCCCTAGTGAGATGAACCCAGTACCTCAGATGGAAAAGCAGAAATCACCCGTCTTCTGCATCGCTCACGCTGGGAGCTGTAGACCAGAGCTGTTCCTATTCCATTTTCAATCTATTGATTGTATCTTCAGATACATAACAGCTTGTCACTTTGATGAAGTTCTTTTTATGTATTTTTGGTGTTGTTGTTGTCTGTGCTTTCACTGTCATATCCAAGAAATTATTGCCAGATTCTATGTTATGAAACATTTTTCCTATGTTTCTTCTAAGGGTTTTATAGTTTTAGCTCTTACAATTAGATGTTTAGTCCATTTTAAATTAAGTTTTTTATATGGTGTAAAATAAGGCTCCAACTGTATTGTTTTCCATGTAAATATTCATTCTTAACACCGTTTAAAAATATACTGTCCTTTCCCCATAGTTTTGACTCCCTTGTTAAAAATCATGACTGTGTTTTTTGGTTCTTTATTTCTATTGCATTGGTCTTTATGTCTGTCTCTATGGTGGTACAGCATTGTTTTGGGTACTGAAGCATTGCAGTAAGTTTGAAACCAGGAGGTGTTAGTCCTCTAATTTTGTTAGTTTTTAAGATTGATTTGGCTACTTGGGGTTTTTTGAGATTTCATCTGAATTTTAGAATAGGTTTTTGTATTTTTGCAAATATTGGAATCTTTATAGTGATTTTATTGAATCTGTAGATGACTATTGATAACAATGGAATCTTGATGAGGTTTTGTCTTCCAGTCCATAAACACATGATGTCTTTTCATTTATTTGTGTTATCTTTAATACTTTCCTGCAATGTTTATACTTTTGCTGTACAGGTTTCTCATTTCCTTGGTTAAATTGGTTTCTAAGTATTTTATTCTTTTGATGCTATCATAAATGATACTGTTGTCTTGATTTCTTCTTCAGATGGTTTGTTATTGTAGAAATACGACCGATTTTTGTGTGTTGATTTTGTATCCTGCAGTTTTGCTGAATGTTATTTATTGCATCTGATAGTTTATCTCACAGAAACTAAAAGATTTTTAATATACAAGGTTATGTCATCTGCGAACAGAAAATTTTACTTTTTTAAAAATTGGAATATGTTTTATTGTTTTACTTGCCTTATTGTTTTAACTAACTAGAACCTTCAGTACTATATTAAATAGAAGTAGTAAAAGCAGGCATCCTTGATTTTGCTCTTAGGGTAAAAGCTTTCAGTCTTTCATTATAATGTTAGCTGTGTATTTTTTTAATATAACCTTATGTTAAGGTGTTTTATTCCTTTTTATAGCTTATTAAGTATATTTTATCATGAATGTGGGTTAAATTTTGACAAATTCTTTTTCTTCTTTGATTAAGATGATCACATGAGGGTTTTTTCCTTCTTTATGTTAATGTGATATGCTGATTTTCATGTGTTGGAACATACTTTTATTTCAGGAGTCAATTATACTCATTCATAGTGTATAATCCTTTTAATGTACTGCTAAATTTGAATTGCTGGTATTTTGTTGAGGATTTTTGCATCAGCATTTGTAAGGGATGTTTGTTTGTAGTTTTCTTATGGTGCCTTTGTCTGACTTGGTGTCGGGGTAATACTGTCCGCATAGAATATGTTAGAAAATGTTACCTCCTCTTCAACGTTTTGAAAAAGTTTGAGAAAAACTGGTGTTAATTCTGCTTTAAACGTTGGGTAGATTTCAACAGTGAAGCCATCTTGTCCAGGCTTTTCTTTGTTGCTGGGTTTTTGATTACTGATGTCATCTTCTTGGTGAATCTCCTTGCTGAATAGGTTTATTCAACTTTTCTGATTCAGTCTTAGTAGGTTTTTTGTTTCTAGGAATTTGTTCATTTTATTTAGGTTATTCAATTTTTTAGTGTATAGTTCCTTATGGTACTCTCATACATCCTTTTTTTACTCCAAAAATTTGTTAGTAATGTACCCATTTTATTTTTGAGTTTAGTAATTTGAGTATTCCCTTTTTTTCCTTAGTCAATCTAGATAAAATTTTGTCAGTTTTGATCTTTTTCAGAGAACAAACTTGGTTTTGTTGATTTTTCATATTGTTTTTCTCTTCTCTATTTCACTTATTTCCACTGCTGTCTTTATCATTTTTAAAATTTTGCTAGCTTTTAGTTGTCCCTCTTTTAGTAGTCCCTCTTTTTCCCTCTGTTTCTAGTTCCTTAGGAGTAAAGTTGTTTATTCGGTATCTTATTTTTTATCATTTATAGCTATAAATTTTTCCCTTATGGTATTGTTTTTGATGTATCTCTTTCAGTATTTCATATTTTTAATTTGTCTCTAGATATTTTCTATTTTCTCTTGTGATTTCTTTTATCCTTCCTTGAGTGTTTATACCTATATTTTCAGACATAAAATGTGAAACCTACAAAATTTTCTTGATTTGTTACAGTTTTATTTGTTGTAAGTTTTTATTTTAGAATTAAATGTGTGTATCAACATTTGTTATGTTCTCATAAGCTTTGTAATACAGGGAGATTCCTGGTCCACATATATAAGCCTCTACATGAATATTTTTTTGAAGCATTTAACCTTCTGTTTTAATATTTCAAAGGCCTAAATGAAATTGAGATTTTGGTTTCTGAGATGAAATCATGGTAGGTGATTGATAAATGCTTAAAAATTAGCCAAAACTTAAAATTAAGTTAAAGTTTACCTTCAAGATTCAACCTGAATGAGTTGCCCTGTATTGCTGGTAGTAAAAAATAAGTCTTTAATGGTATAAAAGCAAATTTCAGAGAATGTTTTTTTCCCCATTGACATCTAAATTAAAAGCTGTAAAAAATTTTGATTGCCTTATGCATTTTTTACTTTAGAATTCCAACTTTTTCTGGTTAAAATTATTCCAAATAGATTCCTGTGTATTTGAAAGACAATTTTTTAGTTGAAATGCTTAAGCAGTTAAATAAGGCCATGAAAGTTTCTTGAACTTGTGGGAATCCATGAGAAAATCTGACATTATGTTCTATTCTCTTGGAAGGTAGAAATATCATTTGACTTCTGTTTTGCTGACAAGAAATGTGGTCCTGAGGTCCTGAGCAAGGCTACCTGGGATAATGACCTCACACATGGAAAACGCTGGAGCCCATCTGTCTCCAATCTGCTGTTTTCCAAAAATTAGGGAACTTCAGTTTTCCCTTTGATACTCTCTGTTTCTAACAACCCCAACGCCAGGGCTGTCCTGCTTCTACAAGTGACAATGACAAATATAGGCCTGAAGGAAGATGAGCTGATGGCATTCCCAGCTTACTACCACTCCTTGGGGGCCTTATCTCACATATGTTGATTCAATTCATAGACTCAGGTGGGTGAGGATCTATTGTTCAGCTACATTAGAAGTGACTGCTTAAGACTCTGGTGTGTGGTGAAATGAGGCAGAATTTTCTCAATGGAGTGTTGGGAGAAGTTTCTCCTTATAATTACCGTCTTACTATCACTAAATCATAGCTCAAATAAGGAAATTATTCAAGAAGAAATAGAAATGTAATCTTATGAAGACATAAATTTAGAGATTTGTGGAAAGCCCTTCATAATTTCATGGTGTTCTGTTTGAGCTGGGATTATAGTTGATATTTCATTATAATATATTAGCTGTTCTAGACTTTATGCATTTATGTAAAGTTTTCTTTGTTGTACTTTAAGTTCTGGGATACATGGGCAGAGCATGCAGGTTTGTTCCATAGGTATACACGTGCCATGGTGGTTTGCAGCACCCATCAACCTGTCATCTACATTAGGTATTTCTCCTAATGCTGTTCCTCCCCCAGCCTCCCACCCTTTGACAGGCCCCAGTGTGTGATGTTCCCCTCCCTGTGTCCATGTGTTCTCATTGTTCAACTCCCACTTATGAGTGAGAACATGCAGTGTTTGGTTTTCTTTTCTTCTTTTTCTTTTTCTTTCTTTTTTTTTTTGAGACAAAATTTCACTCTTGTTGACCAGGTTGGAGTGCAATGGCATGATCTTGGGTTACCGCAACCTCTGCCTCCCGGGTTCAAGTGACTCTCCTGCCTCAGCCTCCCAAGTAGCTAGGATTACAGGCATGTGCCAAAATGCCTGGCTAATTGTGTGTATTTTTAGTAGAGATGGGGTTTCTCCATGTTGGTCAGGCTGGTCCCAAACTCCTCACCTCAGGTGATCTGCCCACCTTTGCCTCCCAAAGTTCTGAGACTACAGGCATGAGCCACTGCTCCTGGCCTGGTTTTCTTTTCTTGTGTTAGTTTGCTGAGAATGATGGTTTCCAGCTTCATCCATGTCCCTGGAAAGGACATAAATGTGTAGTATTCCATGGTGTATATGTGCCACATTTTCTTTATCCACTTTATCATTGATGGGAATTTGGGTTGGTTCCAAGTCTTTGCTATTGTGAACAGTGCTGAAATAAACATACAGTGCATGTGTCTGTATAGTATAATAATTTATAATGCTTTGGGTATATACCCCGTAATGGGATTGCTGAACCTTGAGGAATTGTCACACTGTCTTCCATAATGACTGAACTAATTTACACTCCTACCAACAGTGTAAAAGCATTCCTATTTCTCCACAGCCTCATCAGCATCTGTTGTTTCCTGACTTTTTAATAATCACCATTCTAACTGGTGTGAGATGGTATCTCACTGTGGTTTTGATTTGCATTTATCTAATGACCAGTGATGATGAGCTTTTTTTCATATGTTTGTTGGCTGCATAAATGTCTTCTTTTGAGAAGTGTCTGTTCATTTCCTTTGCCCACTTTTTGATGGGGTTGTTTTTTTTCTTGTAAATTTGTTTAAGTTCTTTGTAGATTCTTGATATTAGCCCTTCGTCAGACAGATTGCAAAAATTTTCTCCCAATCTTTTGGTTGTCTGTTCACTCTGATGAGTTTATTTTGCTGTGCAGATGCTCTTTAGTTTAATTAGATCCCATTTGTCAATTTTGGCTTTTGTTTCCATTGCTTTTGGTGTTTTAGTCATAAAGTCTTTGCCGATGCCTATGTCCTGAATGGTATTGCCTAGGTTTTCTTCCAGCGTTTTTATGGTTTTAGGTCTTACGTTTAAGTCTTTATTCCATCTTGAGTTATTTTTTTGTATAAGGTATAAGGAAGATGTCCAGTTTCAGTTTTCTGCATATGGCTAGCCAGTTTTCCCAACATGATTTATTAAATAAGGAATCCTTTCCCCATTGCTTGTGTTTGTCAGGTTTGTCAAAGATCAGATGGTTGTATGTGTATGGGCTTATTTCAGAGTTCTGTATTCTGTTTCATTGGTCTATGTGTCTGTTTTTGTACAGTACCATGCTGTTTTGTTTACTGTAGCCTTATAGTATAGTTCGAAGTTGGGTAGTGTGATGCCTCCAGCTTTGTTCTTTTTGCTTAGAATTGTCTTGGCTATTTGGGCTCTTTTTTGGTTCATGAGAATTGTAAAATAGTTTCTTCTAATTCTGTGAAGAATGTCATTGGTAGTTTAATGGGAATAGCATTGAATTCTTTTATAAATTACTTTGAGCACTATGGACATTTTCATGAATTAATTCTTCCGTATCCATGAGCATGGAATGCTTCTCCATTTGTTTGTGTCCTATCTGATTTCTCTGGGCAGTGGTTTGTAGTCCTCCTTGAAGTGGTTTTTCACTTCGCTTGTTAGCTGTATTCCTATGTATTTTATTCTCTTTGTAGTAATTGTGAATGAAGTTCATTCATGATTTGGCTACTTGCCTGTTGTTGGTGTATAGGAATACTAGTGATTTTTGCACATTGATTTTGTATCCTGAGATTCTGTTGATGTGGTTCATCAGCTTAAGAAGCTTTTGGGCTGAGATGATGGGGTTTTCTAGATACAGGATCATGTCATCTGCAAACAAAGATAATTTGACTTCCTCTCTTCCTATTTAAATGCCTTTATTTCTTTCTCCTGCCTGACTGCCCTGGCCAGAAATTCCAGTACTACGTTGAATAGGAGTGGTGAGAGAGGCCATCCTTGTCTTGTGCCAGTTCTCAAGGGGAACGCTTCCAGGTTTTGCTCATTCAGTATGATATTGGCTGTGGGTTTGTCATATGTGGCTCTTATTATTTTGAGGTGTGATCCTTCAATAGCTAGTTTATTGAGAGTTTTTGACATGAAGGGATGTTGACTTTTATTGAAGGCCTTTTCTGCATCTGTTGAGATAATCCTGTTGTTTTTATGTTTAGTTCTGTTTATGTGAGGAATTACATTTATAGATTTGCCTGTGTTGAACCAACCTTGTATCCCAAGGATGAAGCCATCTTGATCGTGGTGGGTCAAGGTACCCTTATCAGTCTTAAGTTCAGTCTTTTTACATAATCCCATATTTCTTGAAGGTTTTATTCATTCTTTTTTGGTCTTTTTTCTCTATTGTTCTCTGTTCTTTTTTCTCTATTCTTCTCTTCCTGTCTTAGACAGATGGTTTTGAAGCTCTGAGATTCTTTCCTCCACTTGGCCTTTTCTGCTAGTGATACTTGTGGTTGCATTGCGAAGTTCTCGTGTTGTGTTTCTCACCTCCATCAGGTCAGTTATGTTCCTCTCTAAACTGAATATTCTGGTTATCACCTTCTGTAATTTCTTTTATGATTTTTAGCTTCCTTGCATTAAGTTAGAATGTGCTCCTTTAGCTCAGTGTGGTTTGTTATTACCCACCTCCTAAAGCCTACTTTTGTCAATTCAGCCATCTCAGCCTGGGGTCCGTTCTGTGCCCTTGCTGGGGAGGTGTTGTTGTCATTTAGAGGAGAAGAGGCATTCTGCCTTTTTGAGTTTTCAGCGTTTTTGTGTTATGTTTTGTCATCTTTGTGGGCTTATCTACCTTTGATTTTTGACATTGCTGACCTTTGAATGGGGTTTTTGTGGGGTCTTTTTTGTTGATGTTGTTGCTTTCTGTTTGTTTTTAACTGTCAGACCACTCTTCCCTAGGTCTGCTGTGGTTTTCTGGGGGTCCACTCTGGACCCTCATCACCTCAGTCTCTCCTGCACCTGGAGGTATCACCAGTGAAGGCTGCGAAACAGCAAAGATGGCGGCCTGTTCCTTCCTCTGGGAGCACCAGTCCAAGGAGGTACCGACTTGATGCCAGCTGGAACGCTCCTGTAGGAGGTGTCTGGAGACCCCTGTTGGGAGGTCTTGCCCAGTCAGGAGAAACAGGATCAGGGACTGCTTAAAGAAGCAGTCTGGCTGCCCTTCGGCAGAGCAGGTGTGCTGTGGTGACTCCCAGGAGTCTCCAGAGCCAGCAGGCTGGAAAGGCTCAGTCGGCTGAACTGGGGAGACAGCAGCTACCCCTCTCCCTGGGGACTTCATCCCAGGGAGAAATCAGAGTTCTGTCCATAGAACTCTGGCTGGAGTTGCTAAAATTCCGATGGGGAGGCCCTGTCCGGTGAGGAGGGATGGATTTCGGTCTCACTTAAAGAAGCAGCCCGGCCACGGTCAGTCACAGCAGCTGTGCTGTGTTATGGGGGACTCCTCCTGGTCCCTGGTGCCAGCAGGCTAGAGCGGCCAACTCAAACCACAGATAGAGTGGCTGCCCTACCCCGGGAACCCGGTCCATCTCCGGCTGTCTCCAGCCTGCTGCTGCTGGCCAGCTGGAATTCCAAGCCAATGGGACTTGTGAGGTGCTGTGGGAGTGGGGCCTCAGAATGATGTCACTTGGCTCCCTGGATTCAGCCCCCTTCCTAGGGGAATGCACGGATGTATCTTCCGCTTTGCTGGAATTCTCGGGGCAGAGGATGCAAAACTCCTGGGCTTTCACGCATGCCCCAGTGAGCCAGCGAGCATTCCGCCCAGACTCCACACAGCTCTGTGCTTCAGACCCAAGGCCATGGCTGAGCTCACCAGGGGACCTCCTGATCTGCAGGTTGCAAAGATCCGTGGGAGAAGCACGGTTTCCCGGGCAGAGTCGCACAATCCCTCACCGCCTCCCTTGGCTGCGAGTGGGGGCGCCCCTAGCTCCGTGCCACACCTGGGTGGGCCATCGCCCCACTTGTTTTCCTCGCTCTCTGTGGGTCGAGCTGTCTGCCTAGTCAGTCCCAATGCAAGAACCTGGATACCTCAACTGAAGGTGCAGAATTCACTCGCAGTTTTTACTGCTCTCCGTGAGAGCCGCAGGCCACAGCTGCTTCTAATAGGCCAGCTTGGCCCCATCTAAAGTATGATTTCTTAATACATGAGATGTTTTAAATACATAACAATATTTATCACAAATAATATTTTGTCTCAGTGTGATATAAAAATTGCTAATAAATCAATTCTTTTTTGGTTACCACAAAGCTTTCTGGAAATGTAACATCTGCCATTTAGAAAATTTTTGTAGAGTTAATAGAATTTTACCTGAAGGGAGGCTGGCAATATGCATCATAATTTCAAATATTGTATTAATTGTTTTGTAATTTTGTGTTTTTTAAAACTAAACTTATTAAATTGGTTGTATATTACTTTAGGTAGCACTATTTGGTGATGAGAGAATAATAATTTGCAAAATATAAGAGTTCCTTATTATAAAAATGTCCTCTGTTTTATATTACTACCACTTCCTCTGAAAGTTTAAAATTGTAATTTTCTAATTAAATTATATATTCCCAAATGTGACTTGTAAATGTTAATATTTACAATTTTAGGGTTTTTTTTTTTGGCATTTGGTAGGGATAGGGTTTTCTGGTGTCTATGCTTCTTCAAAATAAAAGGTAGAGAGAATGGAATCAGGAAAGGTTAAAACGCAAAGGAACACAATGTTGATGATAGAGATTGTTCATTTGCGGCTGGCCAGGGCCTAATAATATCAAGAGGAAACATGATCAATAGAAAACCTGCATGTCCTTGAACAATATAGAATTTTTAATTTCTCTTAAAATTATTCATGATAAAAATCTCTGTACTTTGTACATTTAAGAGAGAGAAAATCAGAGGGCAGGGGCCTCCCTGATCCTGATAAGAGCGCCCAAAGCACAAAGGATGTGTCTTTATCTCCTCCCAACTCCACGGTGGAAACAGTTGCTCTGGTTATCTTATTGCAGTGATGCACAGAGACATGATGGTCAAAGAGCTTGCACACTTTAAAAAAGAAACGTTGGCTGGGCGCGGTGGCTCACTTCTGTAATCCCAGCACTTTGGGAGGCCGAGCCGGTGGATCACGAGGTCAGGAGTTTAAGACCAGCCTAGTCAAGATGGTGAAACCCCCTCTCTACTAAAAATACAGAAATTAGCCAGGCACGGTGGCAGGAACCTGTAATCCCCGTTACTTGGGAGGCTGAGGCAGAGGAATCGCTTGAACCAGGGTGGTGGAGGTTGCAGTGAGCCGAGATCTAGCCACAGCATTCCAGCCTGGGTGACAGAGTGAGACTCTGTTTAAAAAAAAAAAAAAAAGTTATATTATGTTGAGATTAAAAAAAATAAATGACATGATTTGTCTACAGATCTTTATTACTCTACCTCATTTACATTAAATTTATGAACAAGTTAAATAATAACACACAGGGCTTTTATTATTATTATTGTGATAATTTCTTTGTCAACATTATTTTTACCATGTTGTATAAACAGCATTGTAAGACCTGTGACTGGTCATTGACAATATATACAATATGTGTATATTTGTACGCAGGATCTAGCTCTGTCATTCTTGCTGGAGTGCAGTGGCACAATCACAGATCACTCCAGATTCAAACACCTAAGGTCAAGCCATTCTCCCACCTCATCCTCCCTAGTGGCTGGGACTACAGGCATATGCCGCCACAGTCGGCTAGTTTAAAAAAATTGTAGAGACAGGGTCTTCCTATGTTGCCCAGGCTAGTCTTGAGCTCCTGGCCTCAAGTGATCCTCCAACACTGGCCTCCCAAAGTGCTGGGATTACAGGTTTGAGCCACCGTGCCCTGCCTGCTCATATATTCTTCAATAATGAGATAAGAAAAACCTATCACCAGGCAGGATTTTTAGAGGTTTCCAAAACTGGAACATATGACTTGTGATCAAGCCCTTCCACTGTTTTCTGTCTTTTATCTCTGCAATAACAGTTCTACTACTGTTTTCCTCAACCAGCTAATAATTAAATGTCTCGAGATCGTAAATGTCTATGTTTGTAAACATCATGATTCTGGCTGTACCCTGCATTAAGTTAGATTGTCAGAGAAATTGAGATGTATTTTAGTTATTTGGTTATTATCTTATAATTATTCTTTTGGCATTTCTGCATTTCACAAGGTTCTTTTCATGGAAATATCTAGTTAGAAAGAATAATACTTTTCTAAAATTGTGAGCTCAGTTTCTCGGTTGCCAACTATTGCCACTGCACTAACCAAACTTCCTTCATCTGTCACATGAAATTGTCATAAACACTTTATGTTGTTGATAACCAGTGATAGGTCTCACAGTGCCATTTATAGAATATGATCAAAGTAGTGGTGACTAAGAAATTGTCAATATAATAATAAAACAGCCCAGTATTTTATTATATAAGTTGTATATACATTTAATTTAAGCCAGAGTACAAAGATCTGTAGACAAATCGTGCCATTTAAAAAAAATCTCAACAAATTTGACATTATTATGAAGATGAAGAAACAGATTTATCAAGCTCTATTTTCTTTAAATTATTTTTTATTATACTCTCTTTCTTTGCTTCACACATCTGATCTAAACATCGGCAGTGTTTGTGATCGGTCTTTTGTTTTGGTACATTTAATGGTGTTATTTTCCCCACAACTACTCATGATTATATATATGCTTAGGGACTTACACAATTTTGAAGGTTAATCAAGCACAGTTAGAATGAACTTGATTTGCATTGTCTGTCTCTGAGAGTGGTCAGGGACTTCACCCTCAGCCCAAGGACATTCTGGTTGCCACGTCTCCTGGTGAGAGCTGAGATGTACATCCTGATTTATGTTTTTAATGTATCATATGGGACTCAGTTTTCTTTTATACTCTTACCAACCCATATGACCTCTAAGGATTTTTATTTTATTCTTTTTTCCTCACATCTGTACTATGTTATTGTAAATCCTATGATACTTTTAAAATGAATGTGTCAGATTTACTGAAAGAAAATATAAGGAACACAGTAAAGTTTAAAATTGGGATGAGCAATGAATAACATTTTAGTATAGCTAAGCAATATTTGCATATTTATGTGTAATGTGTTTAAGCAAGTATTGGAAGATATTTATACAAATAATAACATTACCCAAAATTCAAATTGAGTCAACTGTCTTATAATTTTTTAATTTTTAATTTTTGTGGGTACATAGGTGTATATATTTATAACATAAATGAGATGTTTTGATACAGACATACAAAATTAAATAATCACATCACAAAGAATGGGACATCCATCCTCTCAAGCATTTATTTTTCGAGTTGTGAACAATCTAATTACACTTTAAGTTATTTTAAAATGTACAATTATGTTATTATTGACCATTGTCACCCTATTGTGCTATCAAATAGTGACTCTCATTCATTCTAATTATTTTTTGTACCCATGAGCAATGCCCACCTCACCCTAGCTCCCCACTATCCTTCCCAGCCTTTGGTAATCATCCTTCTCTCTATGTTCATGAGTTCAAGTGGGTTGATTTTGAGATCCCACAAATAAGTGAGAACATATGATGTTTGTCTTTCTGTGGCTGGCTATTTTGCTTAACACAATGATTTCCAGTTCCATCCATGGCCTTGCAGATGACTGGTTCTCATTCTTTTTTAGGGCTGAATAGTACTCCATGGTGTGTATGTACCACATTTTTTAATCCATTCTTGATGGACACTCAGGTTGCTTCCAAATCTTAGCTATTGTAAATAGTGCTGCAACAAACACAGGAGTACAGATATCTCAACATACTGATTTCCTTTCTTTTGGGTATATACCCAACAGTAGGATTGTTGGATAATGTGGTAGCTTAATTTTTAGTTTCTTGAGGAACCTCCAAACTGTTGTTTATAGTGGTTGTACTAATTTACATTCCCACCAACAGTAAATGAGGGTTCCCTTTTCTCCAAATTCTCGCTAGCATTTGTTATTTCCTGTATTTTGCATATAAGCCATTTTAACTCCAGTGAGATGATGTCACACTTCAGTTTCGATTTGCATTTCTCTATCAATGATTTTGAGCACCTTTTCATATGCCTGTTTGCCATGTGTATGTCTTCTTTTGAGAAATATATCTTCAAATCTTTTTGGCCATTTTTGACCAGGTTATTAGATTTTTTCTTGTAGAGTTGTTTGAGCTTCTTACATATTGCAGTTATTAATCCTTTGTCAGATGGATAGTTTGCAATCATTTTTTCCCATTCTGTGGGTTATCTCTTCACTTTCTTGGTGTGTTATACTTTATTTTTCATTTATTATTTTTATTTAATTTTTTCATAAGTTATCGGGGTACAGATGGTATTTGGTTACATAAGTAAGTTCCTTAGCGGTGATTTGTGAGATTATGGTGCACCCATTACCCAAGCCGTATAGACTGCACCATATTCGTAGTCTTTTATTGCTCGCCTCCCTCCCACTCTTCCTCCCAAGTCCCCAAAGTCCGTTGCATCATTCTTATGCCTTTGTGTCCTCATAGCTTAGCTCCTACATATCAGTGAGAACATACAATGTTGAGTTTTCCATTCCTGGGTTACATCACTTAGAACAATAGTCTCCAATCTCGTCCAGGTCACAGGAAATGCTGTTAATTCATTCCTTTCTATGGCTACATAGTATTCCATTATATATATCTATATCTATATATCTATAGATATCTATATATATTTATCTATATCTATCTATCTATCTATATATATATCTATATATCTATCTATATATATCTATCTCACAGTTTCTTTATCCACTTGTTGACTGATGGGCACTTGGGTTGGTTACACGATTTTGCAATTGTGAATTGTACTGCTATAAACTTGCGTGTGCAAGTATCTTTTTTGAATAATGATTTATTTTCCTCTGGGTAGATACCTAGTAGTGGGATTGCTGGATCAAATGGTGGTTCTACTTTTAGTTATTTAAGGAATCTCCACATTATTTTTGATAGTGGCATACTAGTTTACATTCCCTCCAGCAGTGTAGAAGTGTTCCCTGTTTACTGCATCCACGGCAACATCTACTGTTTTTTTATTTTTGGGTTGCAGGAGGTAAGGTGGTATTGCATTGTGGTTTTGATTTGCATTTCCCTGATCATTAGTGATATTAAGCATTTTTATTTATGTTTGTTGGCCATTTGCATATCTTCTTTTGAGAACTGTCCATTCATGTCCTTAGCCCATTTTTTGATGGGGTTGTTTTTTTCTTTCATACTGATTTGTTTGAGTTTGTTGTGGATTCTGGATATTAGTCCTCTGTCAGATGTATAGATTATGAAGATTTTCTCCCACTCTGTGGGTTGTCTGTTTACTCTGCTGACTGTTCCCTTTGCCATGCAAAAGCTCTTTAGTTTAATTAAGTCCCAACTATTTATCTTTGTTTTTATTGCATTTGCATTTGGGTTCTTCATCATGAAATCCTTGCCTATGCCAATGTCTAGAAGGGTTTATCCAGTGTTATTTTCTAGAATTTTTATAGCTCAGGTATTAGGTTTAAGTTCTTAATCCATCTTGAGTCGATTTTTATATAAGGTGAGAGATGAGAATCCAATTTTATTCCCCTACATGTGGCTCACCAATTATCCCAACATCATGTGTTGAAAAGGGTGTCCTTTCCCCACTTTATGTTTTTGTTTACTTTGTTGAAGATCAGTTGGCTGTAAGTATTTGGGTTAATTTCTGGGTTCTCTCTTCTGTTCCATTGGTGTATATGCCTATTTTTAAACCAGTACCATGCTGTTTTGGTAACTGTGGCCTTATTGTACAGTTTGAAATCAAGTAGTGTGATGCCTCCAGGTTTGTTCTTTTTGCTTAGCCTTGGTTTGGCTACATGGCTCTCTTTTGGTTCCATATTAATGTTAGAATCGTTTTTGTAATTCTGTGAAGAATGATGGTGGTGTTCAGATGGGGATTGCATTGAATTTGTAGATTGCCTTTAACAGAATGGTAATTTTCACAATATTGGTTCTACCCATCCATGAGCATGGGGGTGCGTTTCCATTTGTTTGTGTCATCTATGATTTCTTTTCTTTCTTGTTTTTTTTTTTTTTTTTTTTTTTTTTTCAGAGGGAGTTTCGCTCTTGTCGCTGAGGTGGGAGTGCAATGGTGTGATCTCGGCTCACTACAACTTCTGCCTCCTGGGTTCAAGCGATTCTCCTGCCTCAGCTTCCCGAGTAGCTGGGATTATAGGCATGCGCCACCATGCTTGGCTCCATCTATGATTTCTTTCAGCAGTGTTTTGTAATTTTCATTGTAGAGGTCTTTTGATTCCTTTGCTAGGTATATTCCTAAGTTTTTTTTTTTTTTTGCAGCTATTGTAAAAGGGGTTGAGTTCTTGATGTGATTCTCTGCTTGGTAGCTGTTGATGTATAGAAGAGTTACTGATTTGTGTACATTTATCTTGTATCTGGAAACTTTGCTGAATTCTTTTATCAGTTCTAGGAGCTTTCTAGAGGAGTCTGTAGGGTTTTCAAGGTGAAAGATCATATTGTCAGCAAGCAGTGACAGTTTGACTTCCTCTTTACCGATTTGGATTTCCTCTATTTCCTTCCTTTGTATGATTGCTCTGGCTAGGACTTCCAGTACTATGTTGAAGAGGAGTGGTGAGAGTAGTCTCCTCGTCTTGTTCCAATTCTCAAAGGGAATGCTTTCACCTTTTCCCCATTCAGTATTATGTTGGCTGTGGGTTTGTCATAGATGGCTTTTATTACATTAAGGTATGTCCCTTGTATGCCTATTTTGCTGAGAGCTTTAATCATAAAGCAATGCTAGATTTTGTTGAATGCTTTTTCTGCATCTGTTGATATAATCATGTGAGTTTTTTTTAAATTCTGTTTATTTGGTGTATCACATTTATTGACTTGCATATGTTAAACCATTCCTGTATCACTGGTATGAAACCCACTTGATCTTGGTGGATTATCTTTTTGATATGTTGTTGGATTCAGTTAGATAGTATTTTGTTAAGGATTTTGGCATCTGCGTTCATTAAGGATATTGGTCTGTAGTTTTCTTTTCTGGTTATGTCCTTTCATGGTTTTGGTATTAGGCTGATGCTGGCTTCATAGAATGAATTGGAAGGGTTTCTTCTTTCTCTGTCTTGTGGAATAGTGTGAAAGGATTGGTATCATTTCTTCTTTGAATGTCTGGTAGAATTCTGCTGTGAATCCGTCTGGTCCTTGGCTTTTTTTGTTGGTAATTTTTAAATTACCCTATCAATCTTGCTGCTTGCTTTATTGGTCTGCTTGGGGTATCTAATTCTTCCTGATTTAAGCTAGGAGGGTTGTATTTTTCCAGGAATTTATCCAACTCTTCTAGGTTTTCTAGTTTATGTGCTAAAAGGTGTTCATAGTACCCTTGAATAATCTTTAATATTTCAGTGGTGTCAGTTGTAATATCCCCTGTTTCATTTCTTAGTGAGGTTATTTGGATTTTCTCTCCTTTTCTTGGTTAATCTTGCTAATGGTTTATCAATTTTATCTTTTCAAATAACCAAATTTTTGTTTTATTTATGTTTTGTATTTTTGTTGTTGTTGTTGTTGTGTCAATTTCATTTAGTTCTGCTCTGATCTTGGTTATTTCCTTTGTTTGCTGGGATTGGGTTTGGCTTGTTCCTCCTTCTCTAGTTCCCTGAGATGTGAACTTAGATTGTCTGTGCTCTTTCAGACTTTTCGACGTAGGTGTTTAGTGCTATAAACTTTCCTCTTAGCACTGCCTTTGCTGTATCCCAGAGGTCTTGATAGGTTGTGTCATCCAGTTCGAAGAAATTTTTTACATTTCCATCTTGATTTCGTTTTTCACCCAATGCTCATTCAGGAGCAGGTTATTTAATTTCCATGTATTTGCATGGTTTCGAAGATTCCTTTTGGAGTTGATTTTCAGTTTTATTCCATTGTGATGTGAGAGAGTGCGTGATACAATTTCAATTTTCTTAAATTTATTGAGACTCATTTTATGGCCTATCATATGGTCTATCTTGGAGAAAATTCCATGTGCTGTTGAATAGAATGTGTATTCTGTGGTTGTTGGATGAAATGTTCTATATATATCTGTTAAGTCCATTTGTTCCAAAGTATAGTTTAAATCCATTGTTTCTTTGTTGACTTTCTGTCTTGATGACCTGTCTAGTGCTGTCAGTGGAGTATTGAAGTCCCCCACTATTATTGTGTTGCTGTCTATCTTATTTCTTATGTCTACTAGTAATTGTTTTATAAATTTGGGAGCTCCAGTGTTAGGTTCACATATGTTTAGGATTGTCATATTTTTCTGTTGGATGAGACTGTCAGGTGACAGATGATATACTGTCTCTCTTTGTCTCTTTTAGCTACTGTTGCTTTAAAGTTTGTTTTGTCTCATATGAGAATAGTTACTGCTGCTTGCTTTTGGTGTCCATTTGCATGAAATGCCTTTTTCTACCACTTTCCTTAAGTTTATGTAAGTCGTTATGTGTTAGGTGAGTCTCCTGAAGGCAGCAGATAGTTAGTTGGTGAGTTGTTATCCATTCTGTGGTTCTGTATCTTGTAAGTGGAGCATTTAAGCCATTTACAACCAACATTAGTATTAAAAAGTGAGGTACCATTGCTTTCATCATGCTCTTTGTTGCCTCTGTACTTTGTTTTTGTTTTTTAACTTGTATTTTTGTTTTATAGGTCCTCTGTGATTTATGCGTTAATGAAGTTCTGTTTTGATGTGTTTCCAGGATTTGTTTCATGATTTAGAGCTCCTTTTAGCAGTTCTTAGAGTCCTGGCTTGGTAATGGCAAATTCTGTCAGCATTTGTTTGTCTGAAAATGACTGTATCTTTCCTTCATATATGATGTTTAGTTTTGCTGGATACAAAATTCTTGGCTGATAATTGTTTTGTTTGAGGAGGCTGAAGAAAGGGCCCCAATCCCATCTAGCTTGTAAGGTTCCTGCTGTGAAATCTGCTGTTAATTTGACAGGTTTTCCTTTATAGGTTACCTAGTGCTTCTGTCTCACAGCTCTTAAGATTCTTTCCTTTGTCTTAACTTTGGATAACCTAATGACAATGTGCCTAGGCTAAGATCTTTTTGTGATGAATTTCCCAGGTGTTATTTGTGGTTCTTGTATTTGGATGTCTAGGTCTCTCACAAGGCCATGGAAGTTTTCCTAGATTATTCTCCCAAATATGTTTTCCTGGCTTTTAGAATTCACTTCTTCCTCAGGTACACCAATTAGTGTTAGGTTTCATCATTTAACAGAATGCCAGACTCCTTGGAGACTTTGCTCATATTTTCTTATTCTTTTTTCTTTGTCTTTATTGGATTGGGTTAAATCAAAGACCTTGTCTTCGAATTCTGAATTTCTTTCTTCTACTTGTTCAATTCTATTGCTGAGACTTTCCAGAGCATTTCACATTTCTAAAAGTACGTCCAAAGTTTCCTGATTTTTTATTTTTTTATTTAAGCTATCTATTTCCTTGAATAATTCTCCCTTCACGTATTGTATCATTTTTTGGATTTTCTTGCATTGGGCTTCATCTTTCTCTGGCCCCTCCCTGATTAGCTTAATAACTAACCTGAATTTTTTTTTAGATGAATCAGTGATTTCTTCTTTGTTTGGATCCATTGGTGATGAACTGGTGTGATTTTTTGGGGGGTGTTGAAGATTCTTGTTTTGTCAGATTACCAGGGTTGGTTTTCTGGTTCCTTCTCATTTTGGTAGACTCTGTCAGAGGAAAGGTCTAGGGCTGAAGACTGTTGTTCAGACTCTTTCATCCCACGGGGTGTTCCCTTGACGTAGTACTCTCCCCTTTTTCCTATGGGCATGGCTTCCTGTAAGCCAAAGTGCATTGATTGTTGTCTCTCTTCTGGGTCTAGCCACCCAGCAGGTCTACGTGGCTTTGGGCTGGTACTGGGGGTTGTCTGCATAGAGCCCTGTGATGTGAACCATCTTTGGGTCTCTGAGCCATGGATACCAGCGCCTGTTCCAGTGGAGGTGGTGAAGGGTGCAATAGACTCTGTGAGCCTCCTTAGCTTTGGTGGTTTAATGCTCTATATTTGTGCTGGTTGGGCTCCTGCCAGGAGGTGGTGATTTCCAGAAAGCATCAGCTGTAGTAGTGTGGAGGGACTGGCAGTGGGCAGGGCCTTAGGACTCCCAAGATTATATGTCCTTTGTCTTCCACTACCAACTTAAACATTTGTGACAGTTTCAATATCAGAAATTTATGTGTAATCAAATTTATTCTGGTAGCTTATTTTCTTCTATGCTTCAATCTTTATAATTTAGTTCTCACATGAGGGAGATCTAATATTGGAAATATTTTCAATGTGTATGTTTATGTATTTATTCTAGTTGTCCAGGCACAAGGTTATCAATGTTGCTGTGTGACCAGCCATTGGCTTTTCACATTTACAACCCCTCTGAATTTTTTCTTGCCTTATTTCTGGTGCTGGGAAATTCTGATATTTTCTCCTCATCTCCATTGTAAATTTTAGGGATTCTTGAAACTTTTGATGCACAAACATCCACACTTTCCACATAAGTAAAATATTTTACTTAGATATTTTCTAGCAGACACTGAGTTCTCATGAGAAATCCTCAGTCTCTTTATTTGGAACACCTCCTCCCCAGTATTCCATATGGAGTAGTTATGTGTAGAATGTGATTACTTCATTAATATGTCAAAGTATGGATATATTTTGAACACATTTCTGAAGTTGTAATTCCTTTCTTGATGAATTGTACCTGCGCATGAGCAGAATTGATGTTTTCTGTGGAGCAGTAAGTTAGCACTGGTAGAATCTGTTCTGTGATCCCAGGTCCTTGGGCTCCAGTGTCAATGCTTCCTCCTTAGATCCTCCCTGACACTGCAAATTTACCTCAGTCCCTATTTCTTAATCCAATAGCCATTTAAATTGATCTTCAATTACTTTGTATGTGGCCAGATATTATTTATGGGTTATATTCTAATTCACATTTTTCTGATATAATTTCAGAGAGCCTAGAAAATATCACCTAGTGAATATCTACTTCCATGAGGTCAGTGACACATTTTTAGGTCTTCAACTTCAATATTTAAAATATTTGTCTCTGGAATTTGAAAATAATATGTATGCCTTTTTTACTGGATAAAAAGGCTAATCAGTTGTTCATCTGATTAGTAATCAAAGTTTCTAAAATTTAATACTTCATGTTACTTTATGTTTTATATAAATGTGTATTTCTATGACAGTTTTAGTGTCACCTAATATTATTTACAATGTTGTAATTTTTATTTATATGAATCTTTGTGTTATACATTTTAACGTCATTGGTATTAAAACTATATGTGCAAATAGCTTGAAATAGCACCTAACACATCATGGATTCTATGTAAATATTCACCACTCTATTTCATCACATTTTAACCAATTGATACCATTCTTCATTTGCTAACATTTTGTTTGTCTTAATTCTAATTTGTGTTGGTGTCCTGTCTACATATTAATAAAAGAGAGGAGGTAGGCCCAGACTTCCATCTTGATTAAATACTAAGACAAATGGCACATTTTCCTAGTTCTATTTATATACAACATTACATTTGTCTGACATTATAAATAAGAGTATTCAGTTCAGTACAGCAAAAAAAAAAAAAGTAATCTTAACCTTCCTACAACAGATGTTGGGATATTCATGGATTGTCCACAACTTCCTTCTCCCAACATTATTGTTATTCTTACATCTCAACTGCCATGAAAACCTAGAAGCATGAAATACTACAAATTAGACACAGATTCCCTGCTATACACAAAGTGTAAAATTAAATCAAGAAGAAAGAGAATATATGCGTACTTATACAGCAAGTAAACAGATTAGACTAATGAAAACTCTTCATCAGTCTAGCCCTGGCTCACATAGCTTCACTAGTGAATTCTATTAAACACTTAATGAATAACCAATCCTTCACAAACACTTGCAAAGCAGAGAAGCAGGAAAACATCAATTCATTTTCAAGGCCAGTATTACCCAGATAACAAATCAGACAAAAGTATCACAAGAAAATAAAAGTGCAGACTATTATCCCTCATGAATGAAGACAGAAATCTCCAAAAACTCTAGCAAACTGGATGAAGCAACACATAAAAATGTTAGACAAGCCTGGCATGGCAGTGCACATCTGTAGTTCCAGCTACTTAGGAGGCTGAGGTGGCAGGATCACTTGAGCCCAGGAGCTTGAGGTTATAGTGAGCTGTGACTGTGCCACTCCACCCCAACCTGGGTGACAGAGTGAGGCCTCATCTGTAATAAAAATGAAAGAAAATTAGAAAAAAGTTAGACAATATAACCAAGTGGAATTATCCTACCAATACAAATTTAAAAATCAATCAGTGTAATACATCATATTAATAGAATAAAGGAAAAGACCATGATGATTTCAATGGACGTCTGACAATGTCTGACACTCATTCCTGATAAATCTTCCAGAAATCTAGCAATAGAAATAACTTCCTGAACCCCCTAAAGGACATCCATGAAAATTTAATAAATTCCACTAAGGTATATTGAAAGGCATATTGATACTTCCAACCTTATGGTTTTAAAAATTAACAATGAAATGAGAACTAATAACAGTAATCTATCCATCTGCAAAACATTAAACACCTTTCTAACAATATTTCTTTTGAAGTGATAAAGGTAAACATCCAAATTTAATAAGAGGAGTGCTTTTGAGACAACTGAAATTTGGTGTTCCTAATTTTTCTGACTTATTAGCAATTAGAATCTAATTATCAATAATGCCAAGAAGACAGGAGTACTCTCCAATGACATTAAAATGTATAACACAAAGATTTATAGTTAGGCATAATGTATAACACAAAGATTCATTGTTTGGCATAACAGCATTTCATATTTGAATCATCTAATAACATTGTCATCATTGCATATTCTCCTGGAAGTAACACACAATACAGACTTCAAAAAACCAGAGCTTTTGCTGGGGATATATGCTCCTTCCAAAGGCGATTGATTGTGTGCAATATTCTGAGAAGTAATTCCTCCAAAGGTAAAGTGTCGCTATCTGGGCTTCTGGGAATATCCCGAAAATCCACATATTCTAAAAATCTTTTCCACTACCAACCACCATAAATGCTGAACAACAGAACATGCGCTCAACTGCACAAATTATGCTTTGGGGCTTTTGTACACAGTTTTTGCACAGAAATATTTAAGTAAATATAAATTAATTGAAATGTTTTCCAGGTGGATATTGAGGGAGAAACAGAAAAATCCAAGACAATCCCTTGTGGAAGAAAATTCTCCAACCCAAAACTCAACCGAACTCAAAGGGCTGAACAGCGCGTCAATTAAGACCTGTCAAATATAATCACACGATCTAATAGTTTTAAATACGCAAAATAAAGAGCACCAAAGTAAATGTCATTCAGAAATAACAACAACAAAACCAGAGCACCCCGATGCATTTAGGCCTCAAGGAATTCCAAAGTAGTGTATTAGGTATAGTAAATATATATGTAATTAGAAATGTTTAGAGAAATTAGAGAGATGTGTTTTTTTTAAAAGATTTGGCCTATAAAACAGTTAACAATTCCAGTAAAGAAGAAAACAGAAATTCAATGTTTGATATACATACATAAAAATAAATTTCAGGAAAAGTCCGTGTGATAACAGAATCCAAATTATATAAAAGATAGAAATCTCAATGTTTGTTTTTACACATTTTAAGGAAAAAACAACCCTGAAAGCACAAAATGCAGAAAATAATGTTAATAAGTCTTGAGTTTTGAAGTCCCTCTCACTGGCTTTGGCACTTAGAGAAGAGCTAGCACAGGCTCAGGATCCCCTAATGGGCATTTCTGCCAAGGAGACCATCCTCATGAAAATGGAGCCGAAAGCTATGCGCACAAGATGGATGGATGCTCCTCTCCCAGAGACCAGCAGGTGCAGGTGTGCAGGGAGTGGGCCAGGGAGGGGCTGTGAGCACCAACCTGGGAGGGGTGGCTAGACCTCCATTGGATCCTCCTGTCCGCAGGGGCCTCAGAGGGTTCCAGCAGAGGCCAGTCCTAGGTTCCTTGTCCCATGGCTGGCCCCTGAGACTTGCTTCACCTGCCAGCTCTTTCCACAAAGACATCAGGATGGCATACCCAACCCAGCCCCCTCACAGAGAAAGGGGATTAATGTCAGGGCCCACGGCCATCCTGGCCTTTTCAGTAACTGTTTAAATAGTGGATAGGTTAGGCCAGAATGTGCTGCTGTGGCCCCTGGGATCACATCCCTGGAGGGAACCTGCCTGGGGTTGTGAACTGAAGGGCGAGGCTGGACAGCCCACTTGGGGTTCAGTGAGCCGAGACTTAGTTTTCAGCTCAGTTCCCTCTGCCACTCCTGGGGGACTTGGGCTTGTCTAGAGCAGGCATTGAGGATGGCAGAGAGCAGAGATGCTGAGCTGTCAGGTGGGTGCCAAAGGGTGAGCATGAGGCATCCCGAGGGTTGGAGCCATCAGAAGGCCCTTAGGTCAGCCCAGAGCCATCCCAGCCTCTGTACCTGGAGCTGCAGGGTGGGCGCTGTGCAGTGGGCTGGTCAGAGTGGACTGAGAAGCCAGTTAGGGAGGGGTTTTCATTGCCCATTTTCCTGCGGTGCAAATCAAGTTCCGAAGGCCACAAGCGAGGTGGGGCAGAAACACTGGGCTGAGGCATCACCTTCTCTCCTCTTTGGCTCACATAGGCCCCTGACTTTCTTGGGCTTGCCTGAAAGTGAGAGAAGATCCCTCTTATTGTGCGGGTGGACACAGAAGTCACCAGTCACGTGTGATGAGGAGGGCTGAGGCACCCCCAGAGTCTTTGCAGGGCAGCACCCACTAATTGCTGGGTGGACTGGGAGGCCAGGCTGGGACACTGGGAACTGAGGTCACCAGTCCCCACTGTACCTCGAATCTGTCCCCACCGTGCAACATTGGGCCAGCTCAGGCTCTGTCACCAGCTCCCCACATCGTCGTCCCTCAGAGCCCTAGGGTGGGTTCCCCCTACTCAGTGTCTCTGGCCCGTGCTCTCCACTTTCAGGCCTGACAAGCACCCAGGCCCCACACCAGTGTCTTTCTGAGGGCGTGGGTGTTGGGATCGCTGGTACAGAACTCACAGCTTAGCTACATGTGTGTCCCAGACTTGCTTAATCAATGGAGCAGTGAACCCGCTGCTTCTGGGGTACAGTCTCCTGTATTTCATGGGTCAGGTAGACAGGCTGCCTCCCCTTCACCTCCAGGTGTGCGCACCCACAGTCATCTCCACCTGCAATCCAGTCTCATCTGAAGCTGCACGCTCTGCAACAGACGCCTGTGCACGACCTCGCTGTGCACACAGCAGGGGCTGCCCTCGGTCCCTCACTCTCCCCTAACGCCCCTGCCTCCCAGACCCACGACTCACAGGAGGAGCCAGTCCCCTAGCCCAGGGAGCCAGGGTGGGTGCGGCCTGGGGACTGGGCATGGCAAGCTGGCCCATAGGGTCGTCCCTAGCACCTACCAGAGAGTGTACGAGGGAGCCGAGCCTGCAGCGCCGGGTGGGCAGCGAGCTCCCTGGAGACCCATGCAGCGGGTCAGGTGCCAGCGGCCGCCAGGTCTGGGCGCGGGGCCGGGCCACCAGGGTGCGGCTTTCCGCTCTGGAGAGTTTATGGCCCCTGTCGTGGGACGGCTGCGCAGCCGCCAGGGAGGGACTGCAGGGACCGCGGCTGGGACAGGCTGCTGCGCCAGGCGGCCCTGGACCGCCGCTTCTGCCCCTAAGCCGCCCTCGCAGCCCAGGTGACCGGTTTGTCCTACCCGGGGAGCATCGCCCTCCTCCGCCGGGCCCGAGCCCGGCGTGGGGGTTGTAGGCCGGCACCACAGCGTGAGGACACCGCGACCTCTGCCCCCGGGAGCGCGCTGAATGCCAGGTGGGGCTGCTGTCGCAGGCCGTGGAGCCGCAGCCCCGCTGAATGGCAGGGTCAGGCTGGGCGTCGGGGTCCTGGCAGAGACCGCGGCGAGGGCCAGAGCAGGTGCACTGGCCGCTGCACACGCGCCGCTAGGCTCCCGGACACCGCTGGCGCGCACCCCTGGTGGCAGCCGGCTCAGGAGCCGCGGGAGGGCGGTGCCCAGTCCCCAGCCAAGCGGCAGCGCGAAGCTCCTTCCCCGCTTGGGGGAGTGGGCGTGGCCCAGGGGCCCGACTGCCTTACTAGTGAAAAAGCTGGGGTTGGAGCTGCCACGGGGGGAGGTGGGGGGCCTAGGAGGCTCTCTCTGGACCTTCTGGGTGTCCTCCTGCGACCTCAGGTTCTTCACCTGTCTCAGAGGACTGATGGGCTGGTATGGCAAGGTTGTTTGGAGGATTAAGCCAGATAGTCGCAGTAAAGCCCCATTAGCCCGTCTGGCCTCTGGATTTTTTTTTAAATTATTTTTCTGGCTTTCTTAGGAAACTTTCCAGAATGTGTCCAGGTGTTGAAGCGGGAAGGCTGGACACCCTCCCTTGGCGTTGCGGTTCCTTCCAGACGCCCCCTCTTCTTAGGCTCTTTTCAAGCGCACGCCCAGCAACGTGTGCTCTACCCAAGAGCGCGTCACAGATCTTCCTGTGGGTCTAAAACCAGAAGGCTTTCTTCCATGACCCCTGCCCTCATATCACCGCAACGCCATGTCTCTTGGCAGAGCCGGCTACAGAATCGAGTGTCAGTTTAATGCTTGTTCCCTAAGGTCTCCCTAGGGCTCTTATGACGGCATTAGGGTTCGGGTTCGGGCGCGCCCCTCCGCGCCTGCGCCTGCGCCGGCGCTGCGCGCCCCTCCGCGCCTGCGCCTGCGCCGGCGCTGCGCGCCCCTCCGCGCCTGCGCCGGCGCTGCGCGCCCCTCCGCGCCTGCGCCGGCGCTGCGCGCCCCTCCGCGCCTGCGCCGGCGCTGCGCGCCCCTCCGCGCCTGCGCCGGCGCTGCGCGCCCCTCCGCGCCTGCGCCGGCGCTGCGCCTTTGCGAAAGTGAAGCTGTGTTCTCATCAGCAGAGACTCGCAGAGCATGGCGAGGGCGCAGCTGCGTTCTTCTCTGCACAGATGTCCGGAGTACCGCGGAGGCGGAGCAGCGTTCTCCTCAGCACAGACCCGGGCGGGCGGGCAGTCCAGGGGCACCCCGAAGGCAGAGCTGCGTCCTGATCAGCACAGACCTTGCGGGCATTACCTCGCTTTGGGACAACTCGGGGCCACAGCGACGGTAAATAAAATTCTTCCTCTTTGCAGCCCTCAACAATCAGGGTCAGAGTCCAGTTAGAAGGGTGAGGGTTAGGGTTAGGGTTAGGGGTAGGGGTAGGGGTAGGGTTGGGGTAGGGTTAGGGTTAGGGTTAGGGTTAAGGGTTAGGGTTAGGGTTAGGGTTAGGGTAGGGTAGGGTTAGGGTAGGGTTAGGGTTAGGGTTAGGGTTAGGGTTAGGGTTAGGGTTAGGGTAGGGGTTAGGGGTTAGGGTTGGGGTTTAGGGTTAGGGTTAGGGTTAGGGTAGGGTTGGGGTTGGGGTTGGGGTTGGGGTTGGGGTTGGGGTTGGGGTTGGGGTAGGGTTAGGGTTAGGGTTAGGGTTAAGGGTTAGGGTTAGGGTTAGGGTTAGGGTAGGGTAGGGTTAGGGTAGGGTTAGGGTTAGGGTTAGGGTTAGGGTTAGGGTTAGGGTTAGGGTAGGGGTTAGGGGTTAGGGTTGGGGTTGGGGTTGGGGTTAGGGTTAGGGTTAGGGTTAGGGTTAGGGTTAGGGTTAGGGTTAAGGGTTAGGGTTAAGGGTTAGGGTTAGGGTTAGGGTTAGGGTTAGGGTTAGGGTTAGGGTTAGGGTAGGGTTAGGGTTAGGGTAGGGTTAGGGTTAGGGTTAGGGTTAGGGTTAGGGTTAGGGTTAGGGTTAGGGGTAAGGGTTAGGGTTAGGGTTAGGG